>NC_000018.10:5010000-6260000 GCF_000001405.40 Homo sapiens | reverse complement strand
AGAAGATTAAAACTAGACCCCCTACCTTTCACCATATACAAAAACTAAATCAAGATGAATTAATAATTTAAATGTAAGACCTCAAACTATAAGAGTTCTAAAAGAAAACCTAGGAGACACCATTCTCAGCATTGGTCTTGAGAAAGAATTTATGACTAAATCCTCAAAAGCAATTACAGCAAAAACAAAATTTGACAACTGAGACCTAATTAAACTAAAGGGCTTCTGCACAGCAAAAGAAACCATCAACAGAGTAAAGAGACAACCTACAGAATGGGAGAAAATATTCACAAACTATGCAGATGACAAAGATCTAATATATCCAGAATCTATAAGGAACTAGATTCAATAAGCAAAAACCAATTAACCCATTAAAAATGGGCAAAAGAAGAATGAAGGAGATGGAGAAGGAGAAAGGAGAAGAAAAAAGAAGAAAAAGTAAAAAATAAAAAATGGGCAAAAGACATGAACAGACACTTCTCAAAAGAAGACATACAAGTGGCCAACAAACATAAAAAAATGCTCAACATCACTAATCATCAGAGAAATGCAAATTAAAACCACAACGAGATACCATCTCACACAAGCCAGAATGCTTATTATTATAAAGTCAAAAAACAACAGATACTTGCAAGGCTGCAGAGAAAGAAAGGCACATGGAGTTGCATGTTCATTGCAGCACTATTCACTATAGCAAAGACATTGAATTGACCTAGGTGCCCATCAATGGTGTCATCCTCTTTCCATTGTTGTTCCTGTTCTGTTTCTGACCCTGGTCTGAGTGACTTCTCATGGGTTGTCTCTCTCCCAAATTATTCTTCTGTGGCCTTTGCAGTCCTGCCTGTGGTAAAACAAATTATGCAATTTTCCCAAGAGCTCAACACGTCATTCCCTCCTCCCTGTGGCCAGGTGCACACCTGCTTCCCCCCGGGCACTCTGCCTCCTGGGTGCCCCTGTGCCACGTCCACTTCTCCCTCTGGGTGCAGGCAGGCCTAGCCTACTCCAGCTCCCAACCACTCCTTTCTTACCCTATTTCTACTTGCATGCCCAACCCTCCCTTCTTGGTGATTTATGCAGTCGTAACACTGCTATTTCCACTCTTGCTGCCTCAATAGGGTGTGTGTGCATGTGTGTCTGCTCACACTGTTCACCTCCCTCTGCTCTCTCCCCTCCTCCACCCTCTCCCACCCAGTCCCGTTCTCACCCTGGGACATTTCTTTGCCCATGTGACAGTCCATCCACCTCCTAAGACCTTGGGTGCCTCCATGCCAGGAACCGGTGCCCCCTTTTCAGTTCAACCCATCTGCCTTCGTGACCACACTGGCATAAGTCACAGTTGAACCTCCTCTGCAATGGTAAACTTTAATCTCACCATCTGATTTTGTCCACTGTCTTTCCAGACTTTTCTGTCCCTTATTCTTACAGCACCACTTTTTCTTTTAAGACTTGTAGTTCCTTTGTTGTCTCCCTCCTGGCTTCACATTTTCCCTGGCCAGCTCAGCCCAGTTCCCTCATGTCAGCCATTCTCTTGCCAGGATCTTCAGTCCGTTGCCTCCCTGCTATCCTCTCCCCATCCATGCCCACCGCAATCCCAGCTCCTGACTAATGCGTATTCACTGCCTACCTTCTCTACCCCAGGTGCCAAGCACTGCTGAGTAGGAACCATGAGGCCTTGCAGATAGCTGTGGCCCTGCAGATGCACAGCCTCAGCGTGCAGGCATTGTCTGGCCGTCCTTCTGTGTTGTTAGTCTGGGCTCTCCCTGCTCCCTAGGAAAGCAGGTCTATGCTGGCAGGCATCTTTCCTCCCACCTGAAGCTTTCAGTCCCTTACTGCATGTGGTGAGACCTTCCACTGCCCCCTGCAGACCATCACTCAGCACACCTCTTCCTGCCTCTTTCCCCTGTGGTCCTGGAAGAAGTGTCCCTTCTCTCCAGCCTCCTGCACCTGTGCTCTGCATCCTTTCCATTCCTGCCTTTCTAGAGATCTTACTCCATCAGTTATCTCAGGGCCTGCCTGTAAGCTGACGTTTCTTCTCTTTTGAACATTTCCTTTTAGAGCCCGGCGATGTGGCTCATGCCTCTAATCCCAGCACTTTGGGAGGCCGAGGTGGGTGGATCACCTGAGGTTGGGAGTTAGAGACCAGCCTGACCAACATGGAGAAACCCCGTCTCTACTAAAAATACAAAATTAGCTGGGTGTAGTGGTGCATGCCTGTAATCCCAGCTGCTCCGGAGGCTGAGGCAGGAGAATCGCTTGAACCCGGGAAGCGGAGGTTGCGGTGAGCCAAGATTGCGCCATTGCACTCCAGCCTGGGCAACAAGAGCGAAACTCCATTTAAAAAAAAAAAAAAAAAAAGAAAAAGAAAAAGAAAAAGAAAAAAGAAAAGAACATTTCCTTTTAGAATGCAAATATGCTTAAGTCTGTTCCATCTTTATGAAAAAATAATGTCCCTTGGTTCTGCATTTTCCTCCCTAACTCATCTCCTTAGTCCAGACTGGCTTCTTGAAATTTTAGACTGCATTTTCTCTTTCTGGATTTTTCCAACCTTCTTTCCCACCTCCAGCCTCCGCAACCTGACCTTTGGGTCAGTTCATCCAGCTCCTTAACTGCCTTAACCTGTGCCATTCTGTGTGGTTACGTGTGGGTGTATTTTGTCTCTCGGTGAAATTGTGATCTCCTGGAAGCCTGACTTGGGTTTCTTTCTTCTTGTTTTAGTTCCTCTCTGCCCTCTGGTTCCCGGGAGAGGTTCGTATTGTTTGCTGTGCTTTTACCTGCGCTGCCTCAGTAAGCCCTCCACTGCTTCCCCTCACTGTGTGGAGGCACCTCCCTGACTCTTAGTTGATTTAACTGAAAACAGCAGATAATATCACCTACTTCTCAGGGATTTTCCTGAAGAATTCCACATCGTGTATATCAAGTGTCCAGCGTACTACAGTGCCTGGCATATAGATGACTTGCTTAAATACAAGCGGTTCTCAAAATCACTCTTTCTCTCGTCCCTTGCTTTTCCCACTGCCTTTTCTCAGCCCCTCTTGGTAGCCCTGTGTGCTCTGACCACCGACCCCCTGTTTATTCAGAACACTAGCCCAGCCTGGCCTCGGCAGACCTTGTCCTTGCCACAACTTGCCTTGGTTCGACCACAGTCCTCTATCCTTCCAGCCTGGCCTGCCCACGGCGGGTGTTCCTGTCTTAGTCTCCCGATCTGCACTTAAGAGTGGGTGCCCAGCGGGAAACCCACTGTCCTTGGAGCAGAATCCTTAGTGGGTCACGTTGTTCCCAGCCTCCTCTCTCCTGCCTGATGACTCACCAACTTTATTCACGATGAAAACAGAAGTGGTTCCTCATTTCATCCCCTTTCTCTCTAAACAAGGCACAATCGTGGCGTTCCCACCTCCCCCCACTTTCTTGTCCTGCTCTACCTCCTTCCCCTCTTCATAGCTATTATTATAATCTAGTATGATTTCAGAAAGAAAGACTTTATGTCCTGAAAAGGAAATTCCAGCCTTCTGCAGGATGATAAGGTTGCATTTATTTTTGGGAGGGGCTGGGGGTTGTTGGAGGAACAGAGGCACCTTCCTGGTTTAACCTCCTAATTGTCCTAGAAACAAGACAGCCTTATTTGAACACATTCCTATTCTCTCTTTGTCTTCCTTACTTGAAATCTGAGTAAAGGGAATTCACCCTACCCCAAATTTAAGTTCTTCACCTATGCCTGAATTATATTTTAAAAATGGAATTTTTCTATCTATGCCTATACATTAAATAGAATCTGAAAGACGTGCACATGTGCATTTTGTTTTTGATAGGTGCATTTTGTTTTTGATAGTCTGAATTTGTATTTAGCCCTGCAGGTGCAGGAAGATTGTTCTGTGGAAATTCCTATTTGTTAAAACTCCTTGTGAAACTTTGAGATACCCAGAAGCTTTCCAGCCAGAAGAGTTTAGTCAGATACCAAGTGTTTGTGCTGTGAACATGGTTCCAAATTACTTGACAGTCACTGAGAATACTATCACTGTTTTAATATAGATGCTTCTTAGTACTTTAAATATTAATCATAAGCCAAATGATGACCATGTCTGGCTTTTTAGTACTTTTATAAAATGCAGTGAAATACTTTATGCATTCTGATATGCTTGGAACCAAATTATAGCCTGAGTCTGTGTCCTCTTTTCAATTGCCTAAACTGTTTGCTTGTCTACCTATTCTTTTTTTTTTTTTTTTGCCTTTTATATGTATTTTGTTGCCTTCAGTTTTAAGGTAACTTCACTGGTATTTAACAGTACTCCCAGGGGGAAAAAAAGCATTTTTTGAAAGAATACTGTGTGCATTATATTGAGATGTTTGGTTGGAGTTTAAATCACAAGGCATATCGAGACGAAAGAAGGAACTGTATTTTAAAAATAGAGTGTGGCCTTGTGACATGAAGTCATTTAAGATGATTAATTGCTGGGGCTCTGAAGGGCAGAAAGAATTCCCATTCATGCTCATTTCCCGTAGTTTCTAAAGGTCTAAGTTCTGGGGCAGAATTGAAGATACATCCTGATGTGGTTCAGATGCTTTTCCTACATTTAGAATCTGTGTCTCTGAAATGGTGATTGAAAGTACCAGGGTTGCTGGGAAATAGTTGAGCAGATCTGAAGTCTGGAACCAGACAGTCAGATCAGGACTGCTTTTTAGTTCCTGGTAGGGGTATGAAGCACTTGTAACAGGCTGCTTATCTGCAGTTCCAGCTGGAAGCTGAATGTCAAGTTCAGAGCTCTTCAGAAGGAGGAGGAATTAAAGAGGAAAATGGTGGCATTTGGAATCAAGGGTAGACACGACTTCTTGTTTAGTTAAAGGAAATATGTATTAGAAGTATCCTTGTCTATTTTCTCTGGGAAGAGTTTAGTCATTGGGGGAAAAATATGTGAGTTTATTGTTTTAGACACTAGACTCAGGATTTGTGGAATCAGTTCGGTGATGGCCAGTGAATTATCAAACAATTTGAGAAGTTATTTTAAAAAGTTCTTTCTGTGCAGTCCTGTATTATGAATGGTGTGGGTTCTTTTTCTTTGTTCATAAATGATCTTTGCTGGTCTAAGGTTGCCTAGACCTAGTAGTGTTTTATCTGCTCCGGTACGTGCTTTGTTTTTGTTTCTGAGACCGTAATTCAGTCAGTGGTTAGGATGCACATTAAAATGTTTATTGTGCAGCCAAATTTCTTACTATTAGTAGCTTCTGGGGAAATGAGGATTTTGCAATTGAAATTCTAGCAGAATGGATTCACAGAAAGCCAATAAGAACTGCATTCACTTAACTTATTAAAGTATATTTTTGTTGAGCCCTGAGTTCTGTTTCTCTATTTGAAGAATGCCTCTTGCTACAATCTTGGCAGCAGTTTAGGATTCTAAGTTCAGAATTAATCTATGAAAAATGTTCAAAATAACAAGGAAGTAGTCTCTAAAATGAAAGTTTAAAAATACACAATCAGCCATCCTTCACTGCCATCTTAACTGCAGCTTTGTAGCAAGTTCTGTTTAATTATGTAGGTGATGATTTTCCCCATCAGCCAAACAAATAGATGGCAAAAAAAAAAAAAAAAAAAAAAAGGTGTCACTTTGAAAAAGCGGAATTTGAAGCATGCCTTGCTGCTTGGCCTGTATCCCCATGATGAACAACTGCAGTGAACTGCTGTGTTCTGCTTACTGAAGGCTTCCAAATGTGTATTATTATTTAGTCAGTGGGTTGATTAATGACAAATCCCCTTGAAGGGTAGCCATGTGGCTCTTAATCTGTTTTTGGGTCTTAGACCTCTTTGAATATCTAATGAAAGCTATTGATAATATCCTCAGGGAATTAGGGTATCCTTAGGGAATAATAATATCCTTGGGGAAATGCTTATATCCATTTGCACCCAAAATTTTGTATAAAATTCAAGAGGATTCTAGAACGCCCGAAGACATCATGAACCCCACTCTGACTCCACTATTAAAAACAGCTATATTAAGGTGTAGTCTGAACAAGAATAGAAAAAGAGCAAATGTGTACATGTGGTGAGTGTGTGCGTGTATTAGTGTATATAATATTTTAAGTTCTCTGTTTTCTGTGATTAAAACAAGAGAAAGCCAGAAGAAAATCTAACATTCCTGCTAAGTGCCACTGTTAACTCAGGTAAAGATCATAAAGTTTCTCAAGGAAAAAGCAAGGAAGGAGCTTCATAACCTCTCATAGTCTTCCATTGTCTTGCAGTAAATAGACTTTTATGATGAAAAGATTTATTGCAAGATTCCTGGAAGAACATTGGAGCTGTAATAATGCAACAGAAGGTTGGAAGGATGCAGCCTGTGGTTGTCCATGAGCTTCCCATGAAGTCTTTGAAAGTGTTGGTAGATATCATTCCCATTATCAAGGTGAAAATTAGCATTATGGAAAATTTGACAATTTATTTCAAGCCTGAAATGTGGGCACCACCTTAAAATCCTCTGCCTCCCTTGTCCTCTGCCTCCAGCCAGGCATCAGGCACTGCCCATTTTACCCCCTAAGTATGTACTGAATCTGGCCACTTCCCCCATTCCCAGTCCTACTTGCACTGGCTGAGGTCCTCATTATCAGTTGTCAAGGCTGTTGCAACTTTCTAAATGTAATAGAACTTGGGAGTTAAGTGCACAGGCCAAGGCCTGAATTTGAATTCCAGGTTTTGTATTGACCAGTGTGCAAACAGAGCAATTTGTGAACAACTGTGAGCCTTAGTTCTTCATGTGTGAAATGGGGATTGTCATAGTTCCAATATAGGGTTTTTTGTTTGTTTGTTTGTTTGTTTTGAGACGGAGTCTTGCTCTGTTGCCAGGCTGGAGTGCAGTGGTGTGATCTTGGCTCATTGCAACCTCCACCTCCCAGGCTCAAGCGATTCTTCTGCCTCAGCCTCCCGAGTAGCTGGGACCACAGGTGCACACCTCCACACCCAGCTAATTTTTGTATTTTTAGTAGAGACGGGGTTTCACCACGTTGGCCAGGATGGTCTTGATCTCTTGACCTCATGATCTGCTCGCCTCGGCCTCCCAAAGTGCTGGGATTACAGGCGTGAGCCACCGCACCCGGCCCCAGGGGGTTTTAAGGCTTAAGTAGTTGACTTAGACACTGTACATGGCATATGGCAGATTCTTAATAATTGACAGATACTTAAAGCCTTTTTAACGTCTTCTACTTCTAGTCTTGCCACCTTTCTAATCAGTTTCCCACACCGCTGCTAATAAGATGCAAGAATATTTTTTGCATCTTTTGCTGGTGCTTTATCAATTAAGAATGAAATAAAATTTTCTTAGCAGGACATATGAGTCTTATCATGGCCTGCGTCCTGCCTGCTCATTTAGTATCACCATCACTTGATTATGTGTATGTGTTGATTTTTTAAGAATTACTATGTCATTTAACATTTTTAACAAGACAGAAGGGTATAAAAATAAAAGGGTCTCTCTCTGTCTGTTCTCCTCTCTAGATGAACCACTCAAAATAATTTGATGTAAATCTTTCCAGATCTGTATATATGTAGCTATGTAGATATGTAAATCATGTTTATGTAAATAGCTGTGTTTTTTTTGATAAAAAATGAAAACACACCATATGCTTATCTAACACTTGCTTGATATTGATTATGGCTGTCATTCTGCCTCGGCAGATGCAGTGATGTGTCTTGCTTTTTTCTTTTTTCTGAGACAGAGTCTTGCTCTGTCACCGAGGCTGGAGTGCAGTGGTGCAATCTTGGCTCACTGCAACCTCTGCCTCCCAGGTTCAAGCAATTCTCCTGCCTCAGCCTCCCAAGTAGCTGGGATTACAGGTGCCCACCACCACACCCGGCTAATTTTTTGTATTTTTAGTAGAGACGGGGTTTAGCCATGTTGGCCAGGCTCTTCTTGAACTCCTGACCTCAGGTGATCCACCCACCTTGGCCTCCCAAAGTGCTGGGATTGCAGGCGTGAGCCACCGTGCCCGGCCTGTCTTGCTTTTTTTGAGCAGCCGCATTGTATTCCATGGTCATGTCTATTACTTCTCCATCTAAAAGTATTTTTGTATATGATATTGTGGTGGGAATCTACCTGAATTGTTCTTTCCAAATTGGTAGTCGTGTGTTCTGATGCCATCTTCTTTGCTCTGCAGTGTGCAGTGCTACCTTTATTTATATTAAATTCCCACATTTAGGAATGCCTTTTATAGACTCCCCTTGGCACTGTTTTCACACTTTTGGCAGCTGGGGATTACTTAATGGCCATAGGTGGTACATATTAGACCACCAATTTTAGATATTTGAAACATTTATTATATTTATAATTATGAAATAAAAAGTTAAAAATTATGAAGTCTTTAATTAGCAAGGGGGATGGTGATGCTTATAACTTTTGGTAATATTCTAGCATCCAGACCAATCACTCAAACAGGAAAGCCAGATACACTTACACTGTGGCCTTGGGCATATCATCTGTAAAATGTGCATAATAACACTGCATAGGGTTTTTATGATGATTTAATGTGTTAATATTTGTAAGTACTTAAAACAGTATCTGGCGCAATGTTAAAAGGCATCTATGTATGGCTTGATAAAGGACAGCTTAGGCTCTATAACTATTCCTTCTCTATCTTATATTCTTCCTTTCTCTTACTGAGAAAATTGTATCTAACCATTCTAGGTTTCTGGCTACAACAGCAAGTGTTTGGCGGTTTCTCGCACAGTTCTCAATCATGCTGTTTATTCAGACCAAACATAAAATCTTTTCCTTTTGCTTCATCAAAGGCAGAGCTGACAAGACTCTCACACTCAAAACCTTGCAAGTTGATGCTCCCTATTTTAGCGAAGCCTGCAAGGGCCTTCCTAACTTTCTCTTTGGTTGTATTCATCCTGGAAAATACTTCTTCATGTTCTCTTCTGTAGCATTTGAATTATTTTTGACATTACTGATAGCATGATTGATTTTTTTTTCCATTGAGTGAAGAAAGTCATCAAATTTTGTCAAAGAGTTAAATTCTCTGTGGTCAAGCTGTTTATATCACAGTTCGCCTATGTAAGACTTCCTCATATTTCACCCTTTACATTTAAAATAGTGACATTTTGTCCCCCAAGGGACACATTGGAACAATTTTATATGTGGAAGATGTTGCTGAGATAAACCATTTGAGCAGGCTGCTGAATTCATGGCAAAGGCCTTTGTGTAGTAAGAAATTTTGTTTTTGTCATCTGCATATAAAATTCCTCCTGTGAACATCTTTCCCTTTGAGAGCTATCGTGTGAAGGTTTAGAAATCAGTGGCCTGAGGTCCTTGCCCAGTTCTTTGTATAACATGTTAAAATGTGTGCCTCGGTGGCCAGGATTTGATTGCAGGCCCAATTTCCCCCACCTCTCTCAATGCTGAATTAAAATGAGGAAAATATTTTTGACTGCCTACCCGTGCCTTTGAATAACATAGACTATTGAGGGGCATTCAGTTGGAATCTTGCAGCTATATCACTTGAGCGCTCTTCCGTGATACACCCCTAGCTGATGCTCTGCCAGCACTGATGGCCACAGACCTTCCCCATTCTACTGTGGTTCACAAAATAATCATGACAAAGCATCATCTATTCGATCTCATAATGTGGAGTGGATGGCACACACATATAATAATTATTGCTTTTAGGAATTTCACCAGTAGCTTGTCTTCAGTTTCTCTAGGCATGGTGACGGTGTTTTGTTTGTGTGTTTGTTTTGTTTTTTCCTCATGTTATGGCCCATTTTACAAGCATTTTAAATAATAGTATATAATTTGTACCTGCTTTTGTCAAGAGGTGTGGAACTTTGAATAATGTTTCTTTTCCTTTATTAGTGACAAAATCAATTTCATATGAGAAAATGTTATTTTGTGGCTTTTTGGGAAAAGAAAATGACAAAGCAAAACACCTTAACTTTTGTACTCAAGAGCACTGGCGCTTCTTTGGAAATGTCCTTGGGGCCTTCCATGGCCTCTAGCCAGGTTTCGTTTTGCCTGTTTAGTTGCCACTTCTGTCCCTTTATGTGGAACACACAGCTGGCAGGTTTTCACAAGACACAGGCCCTTAGTTGTACTAGGCTACTAAACTAGCTGTGTGACCTAGAGAAAGTTTATTCACCCTTCTGGGCTCGAGTCGATCTGTAATTTTTTCCAGGTCTCTGAACCTTATAATTTTTTATGACTGAATTTAATGGGCCTATTGTTTGCTTTAAGTATGTAACTCTAGTTATCTTTTCTTACCATAAAATATAATCTTATAAGCACAGTATCAATTATATTAATGAAACATAAGATTTTTAAAAAGGAAAAAATTTTTAAAACCTGTCAGTTCATGAATAAACCATTTAACAGAGAAGAGAGACTGATGAAAGGCAGTGATATTTCTCACTAAATGTTGCCTTTCAGATTGTTAAAATGAACGTTTTATTTTTTATTTTGAAACCCTCCAAGAAATGCTGAGTCTGTTTTAGCTATGTAATGTTACTTGCAACATTATGGAAAGCTCCCAAATGTTCCATTGGGAAACCAATTTGAAAGGCTGACAAGAGTAACATTGATCATCTTAACTTCTGGCTGGGAAGTATTGTCAATGTCTCAAATTTATCAATCACGTGTGATAAGACAGTATAGTTTGCTCAACATAACACTGTTTCCTCCCCACCCCTAATTTTGCAGTGTTTCAGTTTTGTTAAAACATGAACAATGTTCTTTCAGTTTCTATGGCTTCTTAAGTTTCCTCTCAGCATTAGTAACATTCTCTCCCTGTGGTCTACCTTTTTCATTGCATTTTGTCAGCGTTGTGTGCATGTGTATTTGTATATGTGTATGGCACTTTTGAAGTTAACCGAGAAATTTCAAAGCAGTGAACAGGAGGTAGTCACACAAAACTTGTTAAATACAATCTGCTGGAAAACATAGTAGATGTGAGAAGAAGGCTGGGAGAGTTAAACACACACATGACATTTATTTTTATAGAAATAAAATATTCCTGAGAAATCATTCATTCTTGCCATTTCATTTTGGGGTTTGTCATCTTTTAAGTTTTTCCTTAGAAGCTTCTAAAATGACCTCAGAATGTAAGAAAAATTTAACGATATTTTACAAGCCAATTCATAGGTTTTACAATTATTCCATGCTTATATAAAAAAGGCTTGCATCCAAGTATAGAAGAAGGTTGAATGAGCTGGGGTACCTATACACAGAGGAGTACAATGCAGCTGTGAAAAAGAGTACGTGTAATAGTTGGGAATGGACATGGAGTGGTTTCCAAGAGACATTAGTAATGCAAAAAGCCACGTGCAAAAGAGCATGTATAGTATGCTGCCTTTTGTGTGAGAAAGAAGGGGAAATAAGAAAAACCTACATATAACTGCTTATCTTTACAAAAAGAAGCTTCGGAAGCATAAACCAGAAAACAGTGAAGTTGGTGACCTCCACGAGGTGGTGTGAGGGAATGCGGTGGATAGAATATGGGAGGAAGAGATACATTTTTGAGTAACTTTTGCTAATTTTAACTTTTGGAAGCATGTTAATATTCTACATATTTAAAAAATCATTAAGAACTGAAAGCAAATTGAACAAATTTGAACTCAATTGTATTTCAAATGGATATTGTAACTTTACTGAAGAGAGAACAAATAGGAACCCAAGTAGTTCACGAGCACAGTTTTTAACAATATACTCCATTCTTGGATGACACAGGAGGGAGGGAAAGTTGCAAAGAAATCTTGAACTTTTAAAATAGGTTTTCTTATTATGACAGTATGGGTAAAACAGTTCTGAAACTGTAAGAGGCCCTGTAGGATTTGTTAAATGAGTAAATGTGTCGACTTTGCTCAAGGAGAAACACAAAGTGGATGCAGGAGGGCAGAACAAACCTTTTGGGGGGGGATTAGTCTTAGACATATCTGTTTGAACTTATGATTTATAAAATATATGTGTATGTTTGTATGGGTATACATGTGTACATGTCTATGTGTTAATGTACATATATGTGCATTTTGTATGTAACTAGTGAAGAAATTGGACAACACTGTGATTGAATGATCAAAACTACCATCACCAGTGAGGGACAGAAGGACATCATGTGCCTCTGAATGCGATACCCTGAGAAGGACACAACACATCCATGTAGTATTCTGGCAAAAAAATATACCACCTGAATCAAATCTTGAGGAAGCATCAGACAGACCCAAAACCAGGAATGTTCTAGTCAAAAAATCAGAGGAAGGGCCTGTAATCCCAGCACTTTGGGAGACCGAGGCAGGTGGATCACCAGAGGACAGGAGTTCTAGACTAGCCTGGCCAACATGGTGAGACCCTGGCTCTACTGAAAAAATACAAAAAAAAAAAAAAAAAAATTAGCCGGGCATGGTGGCTTACACCTATAATCCCAGCTACTCGGGATGCTGAGGCAGGAGAATCGCTTGAACCTGGGAGCCGGAGGTTGCAGTGAGCTGAGATGGCACCATTGCGCTCCAGCCTGGGTGACACAGCGAGACTCCATCTAAAAAAAAAAAAAAAAAAAAAAAAAAAAAAATCAGAGGAGGGGGAAGTCTGCATTCTTAAAAACATGTCAGTGCTATACAAGACAATGACACAGTATGGGAAAATTTTCTGATTAAGGAAGACTGAAGAGGCTCGTCAACTCGTAACATCCGACCCTAGACTGGCTCCTGCTTTGCAGGCGGTGTATGGGGGTGAGTGTTGGAAAGCATATTGTTGGATAAATGGACAAAATTGGAATATGAATGGAAGATTAGAAAAAGTATTGTATAAATGTTAAATTTACAGTTAATAACTGAGTTATGGTTTTGCAAGAGAATGTTCTATTCTTAGGGAAAATACACTACTCTTAGGGAAAATTATTTTGGGGTAAAGGGCCTTCAAAATGTTAAGAAAAAAATTTATATCCACATGTTTCTCTATCTATGTATATGCTCACAGAGACATATGAGAGATAGAGTAAGTACAAATGGTAAAGCAAAGCAGGTGAAATGTAGCAATGAGTGAATCTAGGCAAAGTCTATCTATGCATGTGCTCTCTACACTGTCTTGTTGTTGCAACTTTTAAATTTCCCAGTGGAATAATTTTTTTTTTTTTAGTTGGAGTTTCACTCTGTCATCCAGGCTGGAGTGCAGTGGCCCAATCTTGGCTCACCGCAACCTCCGTCTCTTGGGTTCAAGCGATTCTCCTGCCTCAGCCTCCAGAGTAGCTGGGATTACAGGCACACACCATCACACCTGGCTAATTCTTGTATTTTTAGTAGAGATGGGGTTTCGCCATGTTGGCCAGGCTGGTCTCGAACTCCTGACCTCAGACGATCCACCTGCCTTGGCCTCCCAAAGTGCTGGGATTACAGGCATGAGCCACGTGCCCAGCCCCTGGAATAATTTTTGAAAAGAATAAATTTTAACCCCAAAATAGGCATTCAGATGTTAAGCAATATTAAATAATAATACAATTAGTGATTAAATGCAGCTCTAGATCTAATAGATCTAGGTTCTACTCATCATTTTCCATTAGTATATGATTATTTGCAATTAACAATAAAGTGACTAGTAATGGTGAATCTGTTCAAAACTGTGTGCTTAAAGAAAATAATGATGAATTGGAGCAAATTAGGAAGTCTGCTGTGAAAATATTACAGTAAAAATAGCTATAAACATTCAAAGGTATCTAGAAATAAATATAGCAAAGTATATTGGCAGTTTTATGTGAAAATTGAAAAACACTTTTGACAGATAAAAATGATTAGATCAAATGGGAGAGAGAACAAGTTTCTGAATTTAAAAAACTTAATATGGAAATGATTGCTTTCTAAATAGAAAGGCTCATTATAAGCAAATAAAACTGTGTGATATAGGCAAATAAGTCAATGAAACATAAGAGAGGGGTCAGAAATAAGACCTACAAGTATGTAGAAACCATATATGACAGAGCTGACTTTGCCAATCAATTCAAGTATGGACTATTCAAAACGCTTTTCTTGAATGATTTGTTTTCCATGTGAAAAAAGTAGGCCTCTACCTGACACCATAGAAAACTCAATTTCAATTGTACTACAAATTTAAATATGAAGAAAGAAACTTCAACAGTTCTTAAAAAATACTAGGGACAGGTGCAGTGGCTCACACCTATATTCCTAGCCCTTTGGGAGGCTCAGGAGGGTGGATCATTTGAGGTCAGGAGTTCAAGACCAGCCTGGCCTACATGGTGAAACCCCGTCACTACTAAAAATACAAAAATTAGCCAGGCCGTAGTGGTGCACACTTGTAATCCCAGCTACTTGGGAGGCTGAGGCAGGAGAATTGCTTGAACCTGGGAGGCGGAGGTTGCAGTGAGCTGAGATCATGTCACTGCACTGCAGTCTGGGTGACAGAGTGAGACCTTGTCTCAGAAAAAAAAAAAAAAAAAGGAAAATACCTATGTAGCTTCAGAGTTAAGAAGGATTTCATAGGCTGGGTATGTAGAATGTATAGAAAATAATTGATATATTTTACTACCTTAAAATTATAAGTTTATCTGCAACAAAGTCACTGTAAACACAGTGAAGAGCCAAGTCACAGACTGAGAGTAGGTAATCCATATAATAAAGTGATGCTATCCAGGGTACAGGAAGGAAAAATGGGCAAAAGGAATAAATGGGAAGTTCATAGGACACACAACTTCATGGAGGTACTATTTCAAAGCATATTAACATAATGAAACCATCCTTGAGCACTAACTACATATAAGAACAGTCTTCCATCTTTAGCCACATCACTGAGCTTCTAAACTATACAGTGAATTCTTTCAAAAAATTCTTATTTGGGCTGGGCGTGGTGGCCTGTAATCCCAGCACTTTGGGAGGCCAAGGCGGGTAGATCACAAGGTCAGGAGTTCAAGACCAGCCTAGCCAAGATGGTGAAACCCCGTCTCTACTAAAACTGCAAAAATTAGCTGGGCGCAGTATGTAATCCTAGCTATTCGGGAGGCTGAGACAGGAGAATCACTTGAACCCGGGAGGTGGAGGTTGCAGTGAGCCAAGATCGTGCCAATACACTCCAGCAAGAGTCCATCTCAAAAAAAATTCTTATTTGATTTATGTTTTTGACAAATTATAATCATATATAACCCTGGGGTAGACAGTGATGTTATGCTGTATGTACACAGTGTGGAATGATTGAATCAAGCATACTCACACATCCATCACCTTAAATACTTACCATTTATTCCTCCTTTCTAACTGCCACTTTATACCCTTTGACCAGCATCTCCCCATTCCCTCAACTTCCAGCCTCTGGTAGACACCATTCTACTCTCTGTTTCTATGAGTTCAATTGTTTTAGACTTCACCTAGAGGTGACACCAAATATCTTAATATAAAACTGTGATGAAATCTCAGTGGCTAATGTTATGTCGTGAAATTTTGTAGGATCAGTCCTTTCCAGAGCATGAAAATGGTTTTCAGATTGGAATGAGATTAGAAGGCATTGATCCCCGACATCCATCGGTATTCTGTGTGCTTTCTGTAGCGGAGGTAAGAGGTGGTGTTACTGTCTTGGGCTAATTGCCTAGTGACAGAAAGATAATTTTCTAGAAAATAACAAATTTGTTTGATATTTATTATGAAGAAGTTCCAGTGCATTATGGATTTATTTTAGTCAGCGATGGGTGAAACTATGTTTCTTAGTGAATTTTTTTCCTTCTCTGAAGATGAATTTTCTAAAAAGTCCTTCATCAACTAGCATTTATTCTTGACTTAATTGGTAAATAATTTTCACTTGAGGTTGCTAACAATCTGTGAATCCCAGTGGTATTTTAACCTATTAACAGAGATGTACTTATTCACATTTTAGCTGAACTAATGAGAAATGTGTATGAATAATATTAATGCATATGAATTATATATTTATATAAATACATTCACTTTATGAAAATTATTTAGAGTGGAGAGCTCTTGATGAATGGCTTATAAAATGTAATACTTACTAAATATATTATTAAATCCATAAAAGATCTTTATATTTCTGATAGCATTGAACATAACAGTCACATTTATTTACTTTACTGATTGATTATAGCTATTAAAGTTGTACCACATGTCTAGAGGATGTATTTCTCAGACCATTTTATTATTCTCTTTATTGAGTGTGCTGGATACATATGTTAGAGTTGAAACAAGGCCATGCTTATTTTAGTTGTGCTTTGTACTTTAGCTTACACTGTCTTGGAATGTGAATCCAGGCCAGAGGGCAGAAGATAGGGTTGCTGAAGGGAATATTTGACAGGTATTGAATTAATAAATAAACCAGTTAATTAATGAATACATAAACTGACCCTCAGATTCCTAGATTGGGTAAAAGGGTCACTATTTTGCAGAATGCACTAGATACCTGTAAGACAGGGTCTAATTTCATTAGAGCTTAATCAGAGGTCATCCATAAATTTCTTCTTTAATGGAAACATTTGGATAGAAGGGTTGGCTCTTATATGTTGATAGTACTGACAAAATATATGAATATTTTGTGAATTTTGTGTCTACTCCAAATATATGACACTTAACGAATGATTGTAAACTTTCTATCTTGCAGGTTTGTGGTTACCGTCTAAGACTTCATTTTGATGGTTATTTAAGTTGCTATGATTTTTGGACCAATGCTGGTTCCCCTGACATTCATCCAGTAGGATGGTGTGAAAAGACCAAACATGAACTGCACATCCCTAAGGGTAAGCCAGGATACATTTACCAACTGGAAAGAGAATCAATTGGTATTTCACTTATATTTTAACAATACTTTATGAAATTCGAAGAAGAGATCCTGGTGTGGATTGATTTCCAAAATGAAATTGTGTTCCATAAAGAGTAGTAAGACTATAATGGTACCATTTTTAGAAGTAAATGTCTTTAAAGAAAAGCATAAATGACTATTTAGGTCAAATATTCTGATAATGTACAGAAGGCAGAAATAAAATATTATGAAAGCATTTTATTTTATTTTATATAAAGTTTATTAAACCTTATAAGCAGTGCAGACTAATATTTAAATCATGGTTGAAACAAAATATCTAATCAATGATACAGCAAGGTGAGGAAACTTGATTCACTGTAAGTAATTTGTTTCAGACTTAGGAATCACGGAAAACAAAGAACTATGAAAAAAATCACTATTTTCTTTCGATGGGAATGAAAAATATCATGGTTTTGTTATGTGCTAGAGGAGTCTGGGCCAGGCAGATGTGACCAAAACCTTTTCGATTTGCTGTGTGCAAGTGAGGTGGGGATGTGGTCAAGGATGATGCTGACGGGCTCATATCTTTGCACAGCAAACTTCTGTACATTGTCTCTGGCTTGGATGTCAGACTGTTCGATGTCTGTGGCAACTTCTGGAGTCAGTATACAGTCCTTTATTCCTAGTTATCCACTCAGGGTGTCCCTTGGGATCCTCCCCTGAGGCTGATGGCAGAGTCCTTGAGGTTGCTGGTTTGGAGGAAGCTGGTGACAGGCTACAGGCTCATTCATTCAGTAGGTATTTATGGAGCCCTTACCACGTGAGGCACTGAGGGCCAGTAGCAAGTAAAGCAATGTCTCTATCTCCACGGGGCTTCATTTCAGAGGAGAAGGATAATGGCGGTGGCTGCAGGGACACTCTTTCAGAAAGCATGGGGGAGAAAGGCCTCTCTGTGGACATAATGTTCCAAAGAGACGTGGGTGAAATGACAGAGGAAGCAGTGTGGTGTCTGGGTAAGCCCTCCAAGGGAAGAACAGGAGCAGGCGCCGGGGCAGGAGTGCGCTTTGCGAGGATGAGTCATCTCAGGGAGACAGCAGAGAAGCGCCCAGGTGGGAAGGTCGGGGACGAAGAGGGTGGTGTTCCCAGGCCTGGAAGGCTGTGCAGGGAGTTTGACTTCTGTTCCAAGGCTGGTGCTCAGAACCATATTTTGAGCCTGTACTGTTTGGCCAGCACTGTGTGAGAGCCACGCCAGGGCATGCGAATGGGAGGATGCAGCAGTTTTTAATGGGAGACTAGTAAAGATGCGGCGCAGAAAGCTGGAGCTGTGGAGTGGGCATTGGATTGAGAAGGCGTTTCTGTGCCTGGCATCCTGGATGGCTGCACCCTCAGGACCTCTGATGGTCTCTGTAAAGTCTCTTCCTCAGGAGTGGGGACAGGTACGGGAACTCTGGTCTCATCCCTTTGCCCATTCAGGAAAGCCTTAATGGGCGATGAGACTCCCATCAGGCCACCAGAGTACTGACTCCGTATCAGAGCATGTGAAATTGTATCGGGAATGATGCGCGTGATGGGGAAGCACTATCAACAGTTTTGCACATAATACATTTTAAAAAGGTGAAACAATTTGGAGATTTTAATTTAAATCTTTTGTGGGTGCTAAGGACGTTGAATTTATGGCAGGACACTAATAATAACCATATGAGGTTGGTGCAAAAGTAATTGCGTTTTTTTTCCATTAAAAGTAATGGCCAAAACCGCACTTACTTTTGCACCAACCTAATATATTTAATATGCATGTGATTACATCTTTTGGGTATTTTGAGTAATCTGTGCTTTTTTTAGGTTATAGAAAAGATAAATTTGTTTGGATGGATTACTTGAAGGCCTGCAAATTGCAAAATGCTCCAAAGAAATTATTCAGAAACAGAAGTCCTGTAAGTATTTTCTTTCCCAGCATAAATCAAATTTCCCCCAAGCTTAAATTTCTTAAAATTCACTATATATTCTGTTTTATTTTAATCCTTTAAGAAGTTATGGAAACTGTTAACTTCCTGTCACTTTTCTCACCTAATTCGTCAGTTTCTTGTGGGCATATCTTGGTTTTCTTCCTTTAAAAGTATAATTAAATACTTCAATTAGATGAGAAAAAGTTGGGAAAACTTAAAAACTTTATGTTTAAAGCCTACTAAAATTGAAAGTGTCTTTTAAAAATGTTTTCCCTTACAGGGAGTTAATCCTTTAATCTTGCTTTTGGTGTTTTGAAACCAGCAGATACTCTAAGTAGGCTTTGAATGTACCCAGCCTAGATATATTTAAGTGTAATGAAAATGAGAGTAACATTTTGTACTAATTGAAGGGGTGTTCTGCGGATCTGGGTAGATCACACTTCTTATGCCATCCGTGTCCCCAGAAATCTAGTGAACCTTCAGTGGAGGAGAATAAATTGCAACTCCAGAAGTCGGCTCTGCCACTGGCAGGCGGTGTCACTGTGCAGGCCACTCACTGAATTTCTCCAGACATCACTTCTGTGATCTTGAAAGCAGTGTTATACAATCGTTAAATATGTTTCCTAGATTTGTATCAAGAAAAGGAGCTATTAAAACGTGAAGTTGCTGTAAAAATAGAATGTGCTGAAGGAGAATAAAAATCAGGGTTTGATGAAAGAGAAGTAGAGAAAAACACCCTCTTTCAGTTCCCGGATACTGTATGTACTCCCTAAATCCCAGGATTGGCTAATTATAGATATATGAAGGGTGGGTTTGTAATTGTTATGTTATTGTAAATCATAGTTCATAGTATTTTTATACTAAGAAAAGCACAGATAGTAAAAAAGCACTCACATTTTAAAATTATAAATTTAAATTATATGTTAAATATATATAAATTATATATAAATACACATTTTAAATTATAATTTTATTTAAGCATGTATTTCTTAAATATTGAAAAAGCCACTTATTTTCAGATTGAGTAATCAAATTAACAGGATACTTTGGTGCTAATTAGAGCATATCTTCACCACTTTTTCAAATAGTGGCATTTGGAAACTTCAAAAGCCTATGGGAAGCAGAGAAGGTTATTTGATACTATTGTGTTCAGTAAACATCATATTTTAAAATTAATACAAATTATTCTAAGAAAAAAGAGGGAAATATGAAGATGATAAGGGAAAGAAAACCTCCCTGCACAACAAAAGGCAAAAGCACAAAGGAAAGCTAGTTTCCTGGGCCTTTGTTATGAATATAAACTGTGTGACAGTTGCCGGATATTTTTACAGGCATTTGATGGCTTTGTCCAGAGGCTAAGTGCTGACACCTGTAGACTTTGCTGTTGCTAAACATAGAAGTTTTGACAGTGGCTCAGTCCTATTTGGTGTCCTGTTTCTTTTTGTGCTTCTTCCCCTGCTGGTGCTGCGTTAGAATGGGCCAATGTCTAAAGAATTTCAGGTTGGAATGAAGCTGGAGGCCGTGGACAGGAAGAACCCTTCCTTGGTGTGTGTGGCGACCATAGCAGATATTGTTGAAGATCGCTTACTAGTGCATTTTGACAACTGGGATGATAGTTACGATTACTGGTGAGATATGAATGTGTGTTTTATTTTTGTGTATTCATATGTTTGATGTTAAGAATTTGTTTTCATTCTAGCACTGTTGCTGTTTTTGCTCTTCTAATAGTGATGAGCATTAGGAATTTGGTGGTTGACTGTTCATTACCTTCTCTTCCATGTGAATTACTGAATTAAAGAGCCCTAGAAACTTCTCCATCTGTAGAGGTTACCCAGTGAAGCCTCATCTGAAATAATATAACCTGTTCAGGACACTTTGCTGTATTTTGTCTAATTTGTGAGGACAGCATTTCTGTGAAGAGGAAGCTAAAAACTTTCAGCATTTTTTTTTTTTTGTCTAAAAAATCTTAAATGTACCTTATCACATTTTTTTTTTTTTTTTTTTTGAGACGGAGTCTCGCTCTGTCGCCCAGGCTGGAGTGCAGTGGCGGGATCTCGGCTCACTGCAAGCTTCGCCTCCCGGGTTCACGCCATTCTCCTGCCTCAGCCTCCCAAGTAGCTGGGACTACAGGCGCCCGCCACTACGCCCGGCTAATTTTTTGTATTTTTAGTAGAGACAGGGTTTCACCGTTTTAGCCGGGATGGTCTCGATCTCCTGACCTCGTGATCCGCCCGCCTCGGCCTCCCAAAGTGCTGGGATTACAGGCGTGAGCCACCGCGCCTGGCCACCTTATCACATTTTTAAAAGGAAAGATTCTGGGACAATGGGAGTGAATTCTTCGAAAGCCTATGGGGAGCAGAGAAAATGTATGCTACCATGCATGCCATTAAAATAACATGACATGAGTTGAAAGGGTTTTTTTTTTTGATTAAAAACCTGAAATATGCAAGAGGTCATGGCAAAAATAATTTTTATAGCATTTCTCCACATATGTCCCTCCACATATGTCCCTGCCTGAGGCAGTGGTTCTTTATGTGCCTGATGGGCCCTGTCTTCTCCTTTGAACTCAGAGGCAAAGCAGAGAGGTATTGTTGTATATGTGTCTTAGGCAGAATATTCTGGGTTCTTTGAAAAGGACAAGGAGGAAAGATGTCATCTGGAGTCTGATTGGACTGTCCTATTAATATTTTCTCTTGCTGCCAGCAAGAAGTGGTAGAAGTTTATTAAAATGCTCACTCACTTTTTTGGGAACATCACTGGCAGCTCATTCAGGCCCTTGGCAATCCTCTGTTAATTTTATACTTTTTTTTTTTGAGATGGAATCTCGCTCTGTTGCCCAGGCTGGAGTGCAGTGGCGCGATCTTGGCTCACTGTGAGCTCCGCCTCCCGGGTTCACGCCATTCTCCAGCCTCAGCCTCCCGAGTAGCTGGGACTACAGGCGCCCGCCACCACACCTGGCTAATTTTTTGTATTTTTAGTGGAGACGGGGTTTCACCATGTTAGCCAGGATGGTCTCGATCTCCTGACCTCATGATCCGCCTGTCTCGGCCTCCCGAAATGCTGGGATTACAGGCGTGAGCCACCGCGCCCAGCCAATTTTATACTTTTAAATTTCAAGAAGCTTATGTGAAAGAGAAGCTTGGTAACAGCCTACTAATGCAGTACTGAAAATTCCTTCTAATTCTCTCCAGCTATGAAGTACTGTTTTCTGTGGTATCTGTTGATATCCAGAATGATTGTTACTCTTGAATTCTTTCTCTGGCATGAAGTAAAACGGAACGTAATATAGAGCTCTGTTTTTGCAGGTGCGATGTTAATAGCCCTTATGTCCAGCCAGTTGGTTGGTGTCAGGAGAATGGAAGAACTCTGATAGCACCCCAAGGTGAGTGGACTGCCTGGGTTTTCTTTGAAGTCATCTCTGTGTGAGTGGCAGTCCTCATTTTTATTTTGTTTATGAAGACCAGATTTTAATACATATCTATTTAATATGATAAAAACACTATGTGAGATTCTGTTGACCACCAAGTGTCTGAAACCTGCATTTCCTTACCCATAATGAAGACGAACTGTGTTTATAAAGATGCATTAGGTGCTGGGTGTGGTGGCTCATCCCTGTAATCCTAGCACTTTGGGAGGCCAAGGTGGGCGGATCACCTGAGGTCAGGAGTTCAAGACCAGCCTGGCCAATATGGTGAAACCCCATCTCTACTAAAAATACAAAAATTAGCTGGGTGTGGTGGTGGGCACCTGTAATCCCAGCTACTTGGGAGGCTGAGGCAGGAGAATTGCTTGAACCTGGGAGGCGGAGGTTGCAGTGAGCCGAGATCGTGTCACTGCACACCAGCCTGGGTGACAGAGTGAGACTCTGTCTCAAAAAAAAAAAAAAAAAAAAAAAAAAAAGATGTACTAGGCAGCCATTGAAACAAAGTTGCTAAAAATTTTTATCCAACTAAATGAGTACCATTGTTGAATACTGATACTTAAAACTAGCTATTTCTACTTACATAATTTATCTAATAACAATTCATTAATTGAATGCTATGATTATTAAATATAATTAACTTTGGAGTTCAATGTAGAAGTACAGAAATCTAAAGCAGTAAGACTAACTTAACAATGGGTCTCCAAACTTGCCAGACTTCCTTCCCCAAACCAAATTAACATCTTAGCTAAACATTTAAATAAGGACTCTATCTAGTTAGTTATTTTTTTCATTACAGAAATGTTATGAAATGTTTAGAGACTTGCTCTGTCAAATCCCTTTGTTTTTAATTTAAAATGAATTAGAAATACAGGCTGTATAATCTTAGTATTTTTAACACAAGTGTTCAAGCAGACAGATATTTTCTTTCAATAAAAAATGTACAGAAAGAAATGTAGAGTAAGGGATGTGCCATTCCAGAATGGAACAAATGTTGTTTTGATTCAAATGATTCATACTTTTGCTGTTTTTTAATGTTTTCGCCTTAAATATAGAAAAATATTAGGACTTCTCATCAAATTCTTGAATTTAGTGAAGATAATTTCAAGAATTAAAAACAATAAAGAAGCCAAATCAAAATCACAAATTATTCAAAAATGCCTGTTTGGTCTAGAAAGGTTTATGAAATATTTAACACCTTAAATTTTGATTTTGATATATAGAGAGATTTGGAGTCATTTGTTTTATTTTTCTGTAAAAGTGGCTAAAACTAACTTTAGAATGATGTTCCTTAAGATGAGATGAAATGCTTGTCAGATCTGAGTGTGTGGTTTGAGTTGGTGTGCCTAGAGACATGGAATGCTTCTTCCCATTTTCATCTGGTGAAATATCTTCTTCTCTGCTTCCAGCTTATTTTCACTACACTTCATGAATAGGCTCAGTGTGTAAGTCTCTTGGCGTTGTGTGAGCCTAGAAAAATTCTGCGCAGCACATTTGGAATTAGAGTTCCAGGATTATGCCATCATTAACATGCTAGTTCTGTCTGCAAAAGCATTGCCTAATCTAAGGTCATAAAGATTTGTTACAAAAGACTATTATTTCCCTATTGTCACCCTTATTGAAAATCCATTGCTCATAGAGTGTGAGTTTATTTCAGGTCCCTCAGTTCTTTTTCATTGGTTCGTATGTCCAATTTATACCAGTATCATGCTTTGATTACTGTAGCTTTGTAGTAAATTTCCAAATTGGAACACATGAGTCCTCCAGCACCGTTCTTTTTCACAATTGTTTTTGCTCTTCTCAGTCCCTTGCATTTCTATCTGAATTTTAGAATTAACTTGTGAATTTCTGCAAAAAAGCCAGCTGGGGTTTTGATAGTGGTGCACTGAATCTGTAGATCAATTGGTGGAGTATTGTCATCTTCACAATATTAAGTTTCTCTTCCCATGAACACAGGACTTCTTTCCATTTATAAAGGCCTTTTAAAATTTTCTTTCAATTATAATTTGTAGTTTTCAGTTTACAAATCTAGTACTTACTTTATTAAATTTGCTACTATTTTATTCTTCTTTTATTGATGTAAAATTCACACAGCATACAGTTAACCATTTTAAAGTGTGCAATTTGGTGGTATTTAATGTATTCACAATGTTATGCAACCACCAGCTCTCTCTAGTTTCAAAACTTTTTTATTCCCTGTAAAAACTTCTGTGATTATTAAGTAGACATTCCCTATACCCGTCCATACCCCTATTTCCCTGGCACCTTTAATCAGCTTTCCACCTCTATGACTTTGCCTATTCTTGATATATTACATGAAAGGAATCATACAATATGTGACCTTTTGTATCTAGCTTCTTTCACTTGACATCGTATTTTCAAGGTTCATCCAAGTTGTGGCATGTCTCAGTACTTCATTCCTTTTTATGGCTGAATAACATTCCATTGTATGTACATACCACAGTTTGTTTACCCATCGATTTGTGGATGAACATTTGGTTTAGTTGTACCTTTTGGTTATTATTAGAAATGCCACTGTAAGCATTCATGTACAATTTTCTCTGTGGACATACGTCTTTATTTCTTTTTTAAAATTTGTATTTATTATGTTACTTTAAGTTCTAGGGTACATGTGCACAATGTGCGGGTTTGTTACGTATGTATACATGTGCCATGTTGATTTGCTGCACCCATTAACTCGTCATTTACATTAGGTATTTCTCCTAATGCTATCCCTCCCCCATGCTCCCAACCCCACAACAGGCCCCGGTGTGTGATGTTCCCCACCCTGTGTCCAAGTGTTCTCATTGTTCAATTCCCACCTATGAGTGAGAAAATGTGGTGTTTGGCTTTCTGTCCTTGGGATAGTTTGCTCAGAATGATGGTTTCCAGCTTCATCCATGTTCCTAAAAAATGACATGATCTCATCTTTTTTTATGGCTGCATAGTATTTCATGGTGTATATGTGCCACATTTTCTTAATTCAGTCTATGACTGATGGTCATTTGGGCTGGTTCCAAGTCTTTGCTGTTGTGAATAGTGCCGTAATAAACATACATGTGCATGTGTCTTTACAGTAGCATGATTTATAATCCTTTGGGTATATACCCAGTGATGGGATCGCTGGGTCAAATGGTATTTCTAGTTCTAGATCCTTGAGGAATCGCCACACTGTCTTCCACAATGGTTGAACTAGTTTACAGTCCCACCAACAGTGTAAAAGTGTTCCTATTTCTCCACATCCTCTCCAGCACTTGATGTTTCCTGACTTTTTAATGATCGCCATTCTAACTGGCATGAGATGGCATCTCATTGCGGTTTTGATTTGCATTTCTCTGATGGTCAGTGATGATGAGCATTTTTTTGTGTGTCCATTGGCTGCATAAATATCTTCTTTTGAGAAGTGTCTGTTCATATTCTTTGCCCACTTTTTGATGGGGTTGTTTGTTTTTTTCTTGTAAATTTGTTTGAGTTCATTGTAGATTCTGGATATTAGCCCTTTGTCAGATGAGTAGATTGCAAACATTTTCTCCCATTCTGTAGGTTGCCTGTTCACTCTAATGGTAGTTACTTTTGCTGTGCAGAAGCTCTTTAGTTTAATTAAATCCCATTTGTCAATTTTGGCTTTTGTTGCCATTGCTTTTGGTGTTTTAGACATGAAGTCCTTGCCCATGCCTATGTCCTGAATGGTACTGCCTAGGTTTTCTTGTAGGGTTTTTATGGTTTTAGGTCTAACATGTAAGTCTTTAATCCATCTTGGATTAATTTTTGTGTAAGGGGTAAGGAAGGGATCCAGTTTCAGCTTTCTACATGTCGCTAGCCAGTTTTCCCAGCACCATTTATTAAATGGGAATCCTTTCCCCATTTCTTGTTTTTGTCAGGTTTGTCAAAGATCAGATGGTTGTAGATGTGTGGTATTATTTCTGAGGGCTCTGTTCTGTTCCACTGGTCTATATCTCTGTTTTGGTACCAGTACCATGCTGTTATGGTTACTGTAGTCTTGTAGTATAGTTTGAAGTCAGGTAGTGTGATGCCTCCAGCTTTGTTCTTTTGGCTTAGGATTGTCTTGACAATGCAGGCCCTTTTTTGGTTCCATATGAACCTTAAAGTAGTTTTTCCCAATTCTGTGAAGAAAGTCATTGGTAGCTTGATGGGGATGGCATTGAATCTGTAAATTACCTGGGGCAGTATGGCCATTTTCACGATATTGATTCTTCCTACCCATGAGCATGGAATGTTCTTCCATTTGTTTGTTTCCTCTTTTATTTCATTGAGCAGTGGTTTGTAGTTCTCCTTGAAGAAGTCCTTCACATCCCTTGTAAGTTGGATTCCTAGGTATTTTATTCTCTTGGAAGCAATTGTGAATGGGAGTTCACTCATGATTTGGCTCTCTGTCTGTTATTGGTGTATAAGAATGCTTGTGATTTTTGCACATTTATTTTGTATTCTGAGACTTTGCTGAAGTTGCTTGTCAGCTTAAGGAGATTTTGGGCTGAGATGATAGGGTTTTCTAAATATACAATCACGTCATCTGCAAACAGGGACAATTTGCCTTCCTCTTTTCCTAATTGAATATCCTTTATTTCTTTCTCCTGCCTGATTGCCTTGGCCAGAACTTCCAACACTATGTTGAATAGGAGTGGTGAGAGAGGGCATCCCTGCCTTGTGCCAGTTTTCAGAGGGAATGCTTCCAGTTTTTGCCCATTCAGTATGATATTGGCTGTGGGTTTGTTATAAATAGCTCTTATTATTTTTAGGTACGTCCCATCAATACCTAATTTATTGAGAGTTTTTAGCGTGAAGGGTTGTTGAATTTTGTCAAAGGCCTTTTCTGCATCTATTGAGATAATCATGTGGTTTTTGTCTTTGGTTCTGTTTATATGCTGGATTACGTTTATTGATTTGCGTATCTTGAACCAGCCTTGCATCCCAGGGATGAAGCCCACTTGATCATGGTGGATTAGCTTTTTGATGTGCTGCTGAATTTGGTTTGCCAGTATTTTATTGAGTTCTTATAAATAATGATCGGGAGGAAATCCTTTCAAAAAATTATATATGTTAGTTATTTTTTATGACTGTTGTAAGTAGAATTACTAGATTACTGAGTATGGAAAAAAATTTTAAGTATTTCATAAATATTTTCAGAGTATCCTCCATAAACTTTTTTTTCTTCTGATAACAATATTAGAAAATTCAGACATAACAAAGAAAATAAAATGAATAAAACTGGATTTTTCTAAGGTAGGCACAATTTTCTGTGAACCTTGTGTGAGCAAGGACTATGTTTTGCTCACATTTTATTCATGACTCCTGCTTCATAAAATATGCAATAAATCATATTTATTTTATTAAAATATTCTAACTAAAATGATTCATAGATTGAATCAGTAATACAAAAACCTCCTGACAAAGAAAAGCCCTAGGCTTGACTAGTGAATTCTAGCAAACATTTTAAGAACCAGTACCACTCCCTCTCAAACTTTTCCAAAAAACAGAAGATGAGGGAACACTTCCTAACTTATTTTATGAGGCCAACATAATTACCATAATACCAAAGCCAAACAAAGAAACAAAAAGAAAACTGTAGACCAATATTCTTCAGGAACACTGATGCAAAAATCCTCAATAAAATACTAGAAAACCCAAAATCAACAGTATATGAAAAAGATTACATACACCATAACCAAGTGGGATTTATTACTGAAATGCAAGGATGGCTCAACATATGAAAATTAATCAGTGTAATATACCACGGCAACAAAATGTAGAGAAAAAACCACATGCTATTGCAATTAAGGCAGAAAAGCATTTGACAAGATTCAACACCCTTTCATGACAAAAACATTCAACAAGGTAGAGACAGAAGGGAACTACCTCAGCATAATAAAGGATATATATGAAAACCCACAGGGAATATCATACTCAATGGTGAATGTCTGAAAGCTTTTCCTGTAAGATCAGGAACAAGGTAAAGATACCCACTTTCATCATTTTGTTTCAGCATAGATCTAGCCTGACTAATTTGGTAAGAAAGTGAAATAAAAGGCATCCTAACGGAAAGGGAGAGGTAAAATCATATCTGTTAGAAGCCAAAATTATTATGTGTGTAGATAACCCTAACATAAAAAAATCTGGTAGAACTAATAAACCAATTCAACAAAATGGCAGGATACAAAATCAACACACAAAAATCAGTTGCATTTCTTTACTGTAACAATAAACAATCAGAAAGGGAAATTAAGAAAACACCTCAATTTGCAGTAGCATCAGAAATAATAAAATACTTAGGAATTAACCAAGAAGTAAAAGATTTGTACACTGAAAAGTATACAACATTGCTGAAAGAACTTCAGGGTGACACAAATGAGTGGAAAGCCATGTTCGTGTATTAGAAAATGTGATATTGTTAAGGCATCCCATTGCCAGACTTCAAACTATACAAGTCTACTGTAACCAAAACAGCATGGTACTGGTACAAAAACAGACACATAGACCAATGTAACAGAATAGAGAGCCCAGAAATAAAGCCATACACCTACAACTATCTGATCTTTGATAAGTAGGCAAAAACAAGCAATGGATGGAAGGACTCCCTCTTCAATAAAAGGTGCAGTGATAGATGGCTAGCCATATACAGAAGATTGAAGCTGGACCCCTTCATTATACCATGTACAAAAATCAACTCAAGATGGTTTAAACACTTAAAAGTAAAACCTACAAGTATAAAAACTATGGAAGATAACCTATGAAATACCATCCTGGATATAGGCCCTGGCAAAGATTTGATGACAGAGACACCAAAAGCAACTTCAGCAAAACCAAAAATTGACAAATGGGACCTAATTAAACTAAAAAGCTTCTGCATAGCAAAAGAAATTATAAAGAGTAAACAGACAACCTACAGAATGAGAGAAAATATTTGCAAACTATGCATTGACAAAAGTCTAATATCTGGAATCCATAAGGAACTTAAACTAACAAGCAAAAAACAAACAACCCCATTAAAAAAGTGGACAAAGGACATGAACAGACATTTTTTCAAAAGACATATATGTAGCTGACAAGCATATGAAAATATGCTCACTCATTAGAGAAATGCAAATCAAAAACCACAATGAGAGACTATCTCACACCAGTCAGAATGGCTATTATTAAAAAGTCAAAAAAATAACAGATGCTGGTGAGGTTGCAGAGAAAAGTGAACACTTATACATTGCGGGTGGGAATGTAAATTAGTTCAGCCATTGTGGAAAGCAGTGTAGTGATTTCTCAAAGAACTCAAAGTAGTGTTAGTAGTATTACCATTCAATCTAGCAGTCCTGATATTGAGTATATACCCAAAGGAATATAAATTGTTCTTCCATAAAGACACATGCATGTGTATGCTCATCTCAGCGCTATTCACAATCTCAAAGACATGGAGTCAACTCAAATGCCTGTCAATGGTAGATTGGATAAATAAACTGTGGTGCATATTCACCATGGAATACTACACAGTCATCCAAAAGAATGAGATCATGTCCTTTATAGCAATGTGGATGGAGCTGGAGACCATTATCCTAAGTGAACTACCAGAGGAGCAGAAAACAGAATATCCCATGTTCTCACTTGCAAGTGGGAGCTAAACATTGAGTATACATGGACAGAAATAAAACAACAAGAGACACTGGGGGGATTCTTGAGGGTGGAGAGTGGGAGGAGAGAGATCGAAAATCTACCTGGGATAGTTTTTACCTCTCTTATTACCTGAGTGATGAAATGATGTTTACACCAGGCCCCTGTGACATGTAATTTACCTGTATAACAAACCTGCACATGTATGCCTGAACCTAAAATAAAAGTTTAAAAAAAGTCAACCTACCCTAAGCGATATAAGCAGATTCAACTTAATCTTTATCAAAATTCCAAAGACATTTTGAGAATAAAAAGAAAAATCCATCCTAAAATTTATATTGACTCTCAAGGGACCCTGAATAGTCTATACAATCATGAAAAAGAACAAAGTTGGAGGACTCACACTTCCTGATTTCAGAACTTACCGAAAAGCTACAGCAATCAAAACAGTGTGGTCCTCACATGGGGATAGAGATGGAATAGAGAGTGGAGTAGAATAGAGAGCTCACAAATACACCCTTGCAGTTATGGTGAAATGATTTTCAACAAGGGAGCCAAGACTATTCAGTGGGGAAAAGAGAGTCTTCAACAAGTGGTGCTGGGAAAACTGGATATTCACATGGAAAAGAATGAAATTGGACTCTTATACAAAAACTGACTCAAAATGAATCAAAGACCTAAACATAAGAAAACCTAAGAACTAAAACTATTGAAGTTCTTAAAAGAAAACGTAGAGAAAAAGCTTCATGACATTGGATTTGGCAATGATTTCTTGAATATGACAGCAAGGGCACAGGTAACAAAAGAAAAAATAGACAAATTGGACTTCATGAAAATTAAAAACTTCCATACATCGAAGGACAATGAGTATCAACAGTGTGAAAAGGCAGCCTACAGAGTGGAAAAAATTTGCATATCATATATCTGATAAGGGATTAATATCCAGGGTATATATAGAGTTTCTAAAACTCAACAATAAAAACCCAAACAACCACAATTTAAAAAAACTTGAAAACAATTACCCACATACTTAGTTGTATTACAAGTCTTATAGATAAAAAACAGCATTCTTCTTCCCAACAGGGGCAAGCCTGTTACTTTTGATGTTTATCACTGTGTTCCTCAAGTATGTGTTCATACAGCTCCATTTTCCAGTACTGTCTCTTAATTTCTACTATTCACACGAACACTAACTTCCAACATTAATATTTAATTTTAAAAATATTTAGTGCATCTATTATAAGTATGAAAATTTTTTTAGCTTAGAGTTTCCTGTGATTCCATTTTCTTTCTTCTACCACTTTTATTTTCCCTGGAGTTAATAGTTACCTATTTGCCTTGTGTAGTTTTCTGTTTCTGGTATTAAGTCACTCTCACATTCTCCATCAGAAGAAAATTCAGATTAAAAATATTTTCCCCTCAGAGCTTTGAAGATATTGCTTTGTTGCTTTCTAACTTCAAGTTAGGCATTTGATGTCACTTCTGATCCTTTGTCCATGACAATGACCCCCATGTGCCCTGCTCCTGGAGGCACTCAGGGTCTTCTCTCCCCGCATCTCCATGATGGGACATTTCACAGGCTCTCCTGCGGCAGGAGAAAATACAGCTTTTCTGTAAGTGTGTGGTGGTGTTTCACTGTGGTTTTGTTTTGCCATTTCCCTAATAATTAATGATCTTAAGTAACATTTCATGTACTTATATGCTCTCCTTGAGTTAAATATGTATTCAAATCTTTTGTCCATTTTTTAAGAATTATTTTTCTTATTATTGAGTTTTGAGAGTTCTTAATATATTCTGGAGACAGTTTATTTACCAGATATGTATTTTGCAAATATTTTCTCTCAGTCTGTGGTTCATCTTTTCATTTTCTGAACAATATTGTTCAAAAAGCAGATTTTAAAAATTTTGATGATGCCCAATTAATTAATTTTTAAATGAGTCTCAGCTTTTTTGTGTACTAAGAAATCTTTTCCTATCAGAAGTTCACAATATTTTCTTTTATTCTAGTGAAGTTTTATATTTGTGAGTTTTACAATGAGATCTTTTTATATATGGTGCACTGTAGGGGCCAAGGTTTGATTTTTGTTTGGAATATGGATTTCAAGTTGTTTCAGGAACATTTGTGGAAAACGCTATTTGTTCTCCTTTGAATTACCTTGGCATCTTTATGGAAAATTAATTGACAATGTATGTCTAGGTCTACGTTTGGACTTTGTATTCTGTTCTATTGATTTATGCCTGTAACTTTACATTAATACCACGTTGTCAAGCTTATATAGCTTTACGGTGGCCTGTATCAGATAGTGTACAACTATTATGTGTCAGTTTTGAAAAAGCTGTTCTTGTCCTGGCATGATGGCTCATGCTTATAATCCCAGCATCTTGGGAGGCCAAGGCAGGAAGATCGCTTGAGGCCAGGAGTTTAAGACCAGACTGGGCAACATGGCAAGACTATATCTCTATTAAAAAAAAATTAGCTAGGTGTGGCGGCATGCACCTGCAGTCCCAGCTACTCAGAAACTGAGGTGGGAGGATCGCTTGAGCCCAGGAGTTCTAGGCTGGAGTGAGTTATGATTTGATTTCCTTGCAGTTTATTGATTTTAACACCCATATTTGTGAAGGATATTTGTCTGGAGTTTTCTTTTCTTAATTTTTAAAACTGGTTTTTGTATCAGAAAATGGTGATCTCACAAATGAATTGGAAATATTCCTCTCTTGGTGTACATTTTCTGGAACAGCAGGTTTAAAATTAGTATTATTTATTCTTGAAGTATTTGGTAAAAGTCATAAGTGAAGCCATCTGGGCTTGAGGTTTTGTTTCTGGGAAGGTTTTAGCTATGAATTCAATTTTGCTAATTTAATTTTGTTATCAAACAATGTACTTTGTATTATTTCAGTTCTTTAAAACATAATTTTCCCCTCCATGGCTCAGAATGTGTTTTTTCTTGTGAATGTTACACATCCATGAAAACAATGTGTATTTTGCTGTTGTTGGGTGGAGTGTTCCATCAATAATCAATTAGTTCAAGTCGGTTGAGTGTTGTTCATGTCTTCTGTGTTCTTACCAATTTTCTGTTTACTTTTTCCATTGATTACTGAGAGAGGATTAAGTCATCTGTAAGTGTGGATTTGTGTATTTCCCCTTTTTATTCTATAGTTTTTTGCTTTGTATATTTTGAAGCACTCTTATTAGGTGCACACACTTATAGAATGATTTTGTTCTCTTAAAGAATTGTCCCCTTTATTTTTATGTATTTTTCTTTTTCATCCCTGGTAACATTTCTTTAGCCATTTTAACTTTCTTTTGATTAATGCTTGTATTGCATATCTTTTTCCATACTTTTTAACCTACAATTTACCTATTTGTATATTTATATTTAAAGTGGGTTTCCAAAAATATGTAACATATTTATGTGTATGACTGAATTTAAATCCCTCATCTTGGTGTTAGTGTTCTATTTATCCATTATGGTTTTGGTTTTTTTAAATATTTTCCTGACTTTTTAAAGATTTTATTGGGTATTATTTAATGCTTCCATTTTACCTTCAGTATTGACTTTTTAATTATGCCTCTTAAAAATATTTATCAGTTGCTCTACAGTTTATGATATACCTATTATCGCAGTCTACTTTATTATATCACTTTTCCCACAGTGTGAGAAATAGTATAGCTGTTCCCATAGTACAACAGTTTATTTCCATTTTCTTTCCTGCCATTTCTCCTCTTGTTGTCTTTAGTTCTAGATGACTATTTTTCTTATAAAATGAGCAAATAAGGAAAACATGAAGTAAAAGCAATTTTACCTTCTATATGTTCTATATCTCGTAAAGGCTGTTACCGTATTTGTTTTAGATTATGACATTATCTTTTGTTTGTTTATTTTTTATTTTATTATTATTATTTGGAGGCAGAATCTCACTCTGTTCCTCAGTCTGGAGTGCAATGGTGCGATCTAGGCTCACTGCAACCTCTGCCTCCCAGTTGCAAGTGATTCTTGTGCCTCAGCCTCCTGAGTAGCTGGGATTACAGGTGTGCACCATGACACTCAGCTATTTTTGTACTTTTAGTAGAGATGGGGTTTCGCCATGTTGGCCAGGCTGGTCTCAAACTCCTGACGTCAAGTAATCCACCTGCCTCTGCCTCCGAAAGTGTTGGGATTACAGCATGGGCCACCACATCTGGCGGACATTATCTTTTACAGTGATTTATATTAAGCAGGTGTATTTTATTTTTACCTTTATGTTCACCATTTTCAGCACTTTTTATGTCTTTGTATGTATCCAAATTTCCATCTGGTGTTATGTTCCTTCTCTCTGAAGAACTTTCTTTATAATTTCCTGTAGCTTAAATTTGGTGGAAATGCATTATGTCAGTTTTTATTTGCCTGGAAAAGCCTTTATTTTGCCTTAACATTGTACAGACATTTTTGCTGGGTATATAATTCTGGGTTGAAAGGTTTCCTGTTCATTTTTTTTTTAAGGTGTCACTGTCTTATCTTCTGACTTGCATAGTTTCTGAGTAGAAGTCTACTGTAGTTCCTATGTTCCCCTTAATTTTTTTTTTTTTTTTTTAGATAGGCTGGAGTGCAGTGGCACGACCTTGGCTCACTGCAATTTCTGCCTCCCAGGCTCAGGCACTTCTCCCACCTCAGCCTCCTGAGTAGCTGGGACTACAGGTGTGTACGACCACACCCAGTTAATGTTTGTATTTTTGGTAAAGATGGTGTTTTGCCATGTTTCCCAGGCTTATCTTGAACACCTGAGCTCAACCTATCCACCTGCCTTGGCCTCCCAAAGTGCTGGGATTATAGGTGTAAGCCACTGTGCCTGGCCACCCTTAATGTATTTTTTATTTTCCTTGTGCTGCCTTAACATTTTTTCTTTACCTTTGGTGCTCTGGAAGGGAGCTTTCTCCAGTTTTGTGCTTCACTCCTAACCTTTCCCTTGAGCACTTGGGCAGGCCCATTATTCCAGACTGACAGGCTAGCCCCACTTGGCCTTTAAGTCTTTACTAAAATGTAAGCTGATTTCTTTTTACCCACTTGTATAGAATCACTGCTTCCTCGTATGCTCTGCTACAGGCAAAATACTTTGAGTTTCTCTATCTGTCCCTCTTTGGATTTCTCTTTACTTTGTTGCTTTGGAACTTTAGATCTCCTGTGGGCTCAAGAAAGTTTATGATCATTGTTAGGGAGCGAGTAACAGTCTTCAGTGGCTTTCTACATTCTACACAGAAATGGGAACGCTCCCCCCTACTTTCCAATAGCACTCTTATCTTATGGATCCTCTGTGATCTCTCTAAGGATATTCAATAAAGGTTTATTTTTAAAACTTTTTGGTTTAAATCTTCCTCACTTTATGTTTTCCTTGTTTTTTTTTTCGAATTTCCTTTTTTATTTGTTTTTGTATCTATTTATTGTGGTCCTCAAATATCTAGTTCATCTTAGTTATACTTTGATGTTTAAGAATAAGCTCCTGACAAGCTGGGTAAAATCTCTGGGTGCCCTGATGGAGCTTGTCAGCTTGTGAGCCTTCCTGTAGGGTGTTCAGATGGAAACCACGTGTTTTGTTTCTACACCCCCAAATAACATAACTAGGACTCTTGGGTCAGTTTCCACAGGCAAGGTTCCTCCATTCCTCTGACTGGTGTGTATGGTGAGAATGGATGACTTGGGAGGGTGCTGCTAGCTCTCTGAGATCCTGGCCATGGGAGTGGGTAGAGAGGTCATTGTTCTGTGAGTGGGTTTCATTAGCGCCTAAGATTTCCACATCTGTAACTTCTCTGTTTCAATCTATCTAGAGATTAAAACCTCCAGCCTTTTGCCTTAATGCATGAGGGATGGTTCCCCCGTTGTGTTGGGCAAGGTAGATGACTTCGTGGGGTCTACCAGACTTTAAGACCAGTGTCTGTGTTTAGCCCCACACTGCTGCCATTAGAAATATTTGGTGCCTGCAATTCCCAAGCTTTCCTGGATTCTATAACATAAACTAGCTACTTCTTATGTTAACAGATTTATGTGTTCTTCTTTAACAGATTTATGTTTTAGCTTTGTAAAGTTTTGTTAAGTCAGTTTTCATTTGTTGGTTTCTTTTTTACACTTCCAGGGATTTTTGTTGACATTTCTCATTTGCATTTGGCTTTTTACCTGTTCGCCTTGGGGCTTTATGTCTTCATATTAGTTTTGTTTTTATTTTTATTTTTTGCATAAATAACATTATATTCGTACTATTTTATAATTGCAGAGTTTTCTCACTTAGTGCCCCTTGGTTTCTCCTTCCACCCAGGTTAATTACTCCCACCGAGCAAATGGTAACTGATGCTAATCCCTTAATATTAGTCACCTTGAGCTAACTAGTATATCGAACCGCTCCAAAATGTTAGTGCTTTTAGCACATTTAAGATTTTGTTTCTTGCTCCTGTCACAGTATAATCATGGCTGATAGGGGCTAGTTCTGTTCCATGCAATTATTCTGGGATTATCCTCCAATTTCTTGGTAATCTTTCCATTTCAGCCGGAGAATAGAAAGAAGCTGATGGTTGTACATGGGAGGGCCAAACTTGGAGGTAGCTTATTACATCATTTCTACTCACATGGGTTGGCCTGAATTCAGTCACAGGACTACATGTAGCTACATAGGAGTCTAGGAAATGCAGTTCAGCCTTCTTACCAAGAGGAAAAGCCATCATCTTATACTGTACGTATTTTGTGGATTCTCATGATTGCATATCCATGTGCACATACATGCTCATATCCATGTGTTCATAAGCCCATGTTTTTTTTGTCATTGTTTGTGCTGTAAAAATTGGATTATATTAGGTACTTACTTTACATCATTTTTAACTTTGCTCAACTATGTCTCATGGCAAATTCCTTCCAACTCATCTGTATAGTTCAAATTCTTTCTTTATAATAACTGCATAATATTTCATAATGTGTTATATCAAAATTAACTCAGCATTTTTGTGTTAAACATTCATTTAAAAATGCCTTTATTGATACCTGTTGGCATTTAGAAGGGAACACAGCTAAAAGTATGTGTTTATTTCCGCATTTTTAAACTGGAAATTGAGCATTCAAACCTGTTGGCTGAATGAACATTTATTATTAGGGAATAAAGCTATAATAATTGGTATTTTGGGAGGTAATGAAATGTACTTTGTAGAAATAACACAGTTGGTTTTTTTAGATTCTCTAGAATCACCAATTGGCTGGACCTACTTAGTAGATATTCTAGATGTTTCATGAACACATAGAAATATTTAGCTTTGCAAATTAATATTTTGATACCCAATGACCACTTTACCTCATAATTTCCTTGCAAAGCTTATATTATATTATATTATATTATATTATATTATAATAGAAAAATTTACAGTCCAAAGAAATCCTTCCTTTAGTTGCAACCTTAGCCATTAACTTTTTTTTAGCCAAACAAAAGATTACTGTATTTTAAATGGAACTGTGCTAGTTTCTATAGATAGATTCTGTTGGCATAAGGAAGGTAAGAGTTCAGAGGATAATATAAATTATTAATTAATGAATTGAACGATATGAATTGAGTGCCTACCAAATGTGAGGCACAGCTAGGAGCTGAGGATGTAATAAAGAACAATAAAGATATAACGTGAGGATTGCTAGGTCTGTAATAGAGTGTCACTCAGTGGAATATGATACGGTTAGAGAAACTAAGAGAAAAACAACCCTAGCTTTTTATTTTAAAATCTTAAGTATTGAGAGACAGAGAGAAATAGAACTCATTACTCTGTCTCAAATGCCTGCCAAAACATTGGGTTAGATTAGATCCCGCATGAGCCATGGTATTGAAGACAGTTCTGCTGGGCGCTCAGCCAGTGCAACACAGATAGGTTGTTTTCTGGTGATCTCGCCAGACACAAAAGAGAGTTTATTTCTTTACATAGTGTATTCTGGATATAGTACAGCTCAGCCATACTTTGAGCAAAACAATCAATTATAAAATGAGCTCTTTGACAAGCTCCTGAGGTGCTGATATTTCATACTGTAGATCAAAGAATTCTCCCTATGCTTTAGAAACTAATTAATGATCAAGTAAAAAATCTGACGTACTGCTGTAAATGTTAGAGAGTCTAACTTATGTTCTTTTGCCAGAAAGATATTTTAACTTTAATTGTTATGAGCTGAATATGAATGTAAGACTTCTAATATCTAAGGCACCGTAAATGTGAGGTCATTTTCAACATGTGTTTTGAAACAATAAAGGGTGAACCTGAATTAGGCTTGGCCACGATTGAAGCATCTGATTTTCTTCAAATCTTGTATTTCTGAGTCATGTACTGAACAGCATGCCACTATTTCATACAAGACAATTAGTGACCACTTGGTCCTATGATTGTTTCCATGAAGGGCCCTTCTGTATGTGCAGAACCTACTAGCAGAATGACAGCTTTCAGGTAGTGTAACTTTCCTCAATCTCTATCATTGGAGGCCCGGATATTTGGATGACTCACTGCCCTGCCTTGTGAGAGACACTTGAAACAAATGAATAAGTGGCCTCTGAGGGGCTTTCTTATATAATTCAGGTTCTTAAAATGATAGTGAAAGCTAGCCAGGGCCGCACTGGTACTAGTCACATAATCCTAATTATTCTATTGATGCTTTCTCTGAGACTTCAGGCCCAGCAGCCTAGAGCACTCAGTAAACCTCAAAGTAGCTCTTTAGAAGTTTTGATTTCTACAAATTGCAAGTCAGGAGACACAGGCTCTAGCTTTGACTTCGTTGTTAGTTGCCTTGCCTTGTATGAGTCACTTAAAATGCCAGGTCTCACTTTCCTCATCAGTAGAATTGAGTTTGATGAAGTGTCCATCCAGCATGTGTGTTCATGCTGAACATTCTGTCTATTGTGATAGACCCTTGGCAGATCCAATAGACAGATAGATTTGTCTATTGTGATAGACCCTTGGCAGATCCCTTTTATTGCTGCTTATTAAATAGGACTATTGGCCATTACTTAAAACCTGCTTGTCATACAGCAATGATTTTGTTTCCTGAATTGGCCACCAGTATAATTGTGGTTGTTCTGCTTCTCTAGTTCCTAAGGGACAGGTCACCCAGACTAGTCAGGAACTTAAGGACTTGTGCTATTGATTCATGAGCTCAATTCTTTAGAAAGAATGTTCCAGTGGAAAAAATAGGTTGCTGCTTAGGCTGTTGTTCCTAGAGGAAAAATAATCGAGGGTGCCTTTAAAAAAAAATCTGAAACCAGTATTACACCTTCTTACATGGCCTTCTAATATGGAAAAAAAAACTGAGGAGTATTACATTTGCATTGTATAGATGCCACAGATCAGACGGCTTTTTCTTGGCATCATCCAGTTTACAGTGCTGTTGGAACATTAGCCAGTATTGACACACCAGCACCATTTTGTTCAAATGGTACCTCTGATGCCACCAGTACCAGCAGGCAAAAAACTTTGTATCAGAGTTTCATTCAGAATTTTGGGGCTAGACTGGTATCATTTTGGCTTGTATCTCTATCATTCTTGGCCACCAAAATGTAAAATGTAAATGTTTCAGGAAATATATTTTATTCATTCAACAAATATTTACCAAATACTTACTGAATACCAGCTGTATGTTGTGAGGAAATAACAGTGAAGTGAACATATTCCTATCATAAGGCAGCCTATGTTCTAATGGAGCAAGAGAAATGAAATATTCACAACACACACTGTGTTAGGTGTCAATAAGTGCTGTGGAGAAGAATAAGGCAAGTAATGGGGTTAGGAAGGGCACATACATTTGGGAGGGGGGCTCCCTATTATATAGAGAGTCAGGGTGGGACTGAGCGAGAAGGTGACAGTTGAGTGGCATTTGAGATAAGGTGACAAGTCTGGAGGATATCTACAGATAACTCTCCAGGTAAAGGAACAACAAGTACAAGAACTTGAAGAGGGAGGATGTCTGCAGTGTTCTAGTTACAGCAGGAGTGTAGTGAACAGGAGATGAGGTCAGAGCGGTAGTGGGGCCAAGTTCTGTAGGGCCCTGTAGGTCATGGTAAGCACTTGCTTTTCCCCTGTGTAATCGAGGAAGCCATTGGAATGACATGGTAGAGAAGGTTTTAACTTATATTTACCATTGTTTAACCCTTACATGTTTCCTTTTTTGCTTCCATATTTGCATCCTCCAGAAGGGCTTTTTCTTGACCCTGAATGCGTTCCACTCCAGGTTCTGGAAGTAATCTCCCTAGATCTCAGTTTCTTCTTTTTATTTTTATTTTTTAAATTGTGTTTTAAAATAGAGGTGAGGTCTCGTTATGTTCCTAGGCTGGTCTTGAACTCAGCGGCTCAAGTGATCCTCCCACTCCAGCTTCCTGAGTAGCTGGGACTACAGGTGTGTGCCGCCATGTCCAGCTGATCCCAGCTTTTTCACACAGGGCCTCCTCCTTTGTCCCTCTCGAGGCCACCACTTCCCTGCAGCCTGTAAAGGAGACGGCTTATTTTGCCACATCCCAAGTAGTTCTCCTCGTCTTCTAAAACAGTTCTCAGCTGTTTGGAAAATCCCCTTCTTCCTGAGCGTTCAGGCTGTTCTGCTTCACTCCATCTCACCCCTAATTTTGCCACCATCCAGATGATTTTTAATTATTCTTCATCATTAACTGAAGATATTTGTCACCCAGATCTACCGTTTTACCGGAAGAATTGCTGGCACCATGAGGAAATCCAGGGCTGAGTGGCCGACGCCCTAGCTCAGTACTTCCTTGATCCTAATTTCTGTGACACTTTTTCCACGCTTTGGTTCAGCCACCCATGCCCACAGCCACAGCTTGGACCTAAAGAATGAGGTCCAAGCTGTGGCTGTGGGCATGGGTGGCTGAACCAAAGCATGCAAGTTTTTAACTCAAAATGGCATGGAATGAGGTGGGACATGAATAAATAATTTAAACAATATAGCCCAGTCTCCAGTCCAGCAGTTTACAGTCCCGCCCTCTCGCTGTCGCAGTTCTATGCCTTGGCCTCCAGAGGGAGCTCAGCATCTCAGTCCTGAGGCCTGAAAGGGGCTGCCTTGGATCATGGATGCGCTGGGTTTTCAGTCTCAGCAGGACGAAGTGATAAGTATGAGGTTGATGGAGCCACGCGTCATTGTTCAGATACCATTTCTTCCACTTTCTAACTGTATAGCACTTGGCAGGCTGCTCAAGGCTCAAGTTCTCACCTAAAAAATGTAGATAAAAGTGTACCTCACAGGGATAGATGAGGAATAACTGACTTCATGTAAGTGAGTACAGTGCTTACCTATAAATGGAAGCCAGTTAGAGGTGGGTTTTCATTGAGAGGGGTGAAGAGGTTAAAGGCTGTTCTTGTTCCATGGGGCGGTCTCCTGTATTTCATTCTTGTCTCAAGTAGGAATTTAAATCGTTGGAAAGCTTCTTCCACGGTATTGCTGCACTGCTGTGTGCATGGACCTGGCCCCTCCCACTCCCCCTGCAGCCCTACTTCTTGCTTCCCAAGGTCTACCAGGACTCAGGGCTGGGGTCGGAAGGAAGAAAGTTGGAGTACGTGGCTTTTGCAACTCTCCCTGGGCCATATGACATTCTTCTCTCTTTGGGTTCATTGAACAGGGAATATACAGGTACAATATTTTCCCTTTTTTGCATGTACATAGCTCATTTCTGAGAGTGGCATAGACGCAATTGCTGCTTAAGAGCCATTTAAAACGGTCACAGCCTTTAATTTTCACCTGTTTTTCACAAAAAGGGGAAGAAGGATAGTGACTCTCACAGTAGCATGCCAAGTCTCTTTACCAGGCTGGGACAGGACCAGGTACTGTCTCTCTTACTTACCTCACATCCAGTCCTTAGTCCCCTACACTCAGGTTTCCTTTCGCTCTATCCAACCATATGTACTGGTCAGGTGCCTGGGTGAAGAAGCCCAGCATGGAAGGGGCCAGGTGTGGGCATGGTTCAAAATCTACACAGAAATGTGGAGATCCAAAATGTGATAAATGGATTTGGATGATTTTAAAAAGTATCAGCTATAAAAGTAAATGCAGAGTTGGGTGTGGTATCATGTGCCTGTAGTCCCAGCTACTCAGAAGGCGGAGGTGAGAGAACAACATGAGCCCAGGAGTTTGAGGCTGCAGTCCTCTATGACTGTGTCAGAAGAGCCACCGCATTCCAGCCCGGGCAGCCTAGAGAAACCTCATCTCTTGAAAAAGAAAAAGTAAATGCAACTGCAGAAATACTTATTGAAACATAAAATATATAGTATAACTCATAAAGGAAAGGATAGAAAGCAAAGGAAACCTCAAGAGAGCTTAAAAAAAATTCAGCTTAAAACATGTTTACAGAAATTAGATTAAAAAACTAGTGGTGAAAACAAATGTAAATTAATTTAAAAGTCCATTTAGAAAGTGATTAAAATAGATATGTCTGGAACAAAATAATATAAAAGTAAAAACGATGGGTAAAATATTATCAGCAAACACAAACAGAAAATAATAGGGTGGCAATATAATTTTTAGTAAAAATAATTTGAGACAAAATACATAAATGTATCCAAAAGGGAAAGGGAAATTTTCTCTATATCAAGAATAAATAGAAAGCACAACTCATGCCAAACATTTTATGTACAGAATGATGTAACATCAAAATATGAAGCAAAGTACTCCATGATCTAGCAGTGTTACTCCTGGATGCATTCCAACATAAATGTATACTTCTTATCACTAAAAAGAATATACCAGAATGTTCATAGCAGCATTTTTAATAATAGCTCCCAAATGGAAACCACCCAAATGACCACAATCAGTAGAATAGATAGATAAATTGTGAAATACTCACATAATGGAATATTATACAACAATGAAAATGAATGTTCTGAAGGCAATAATCCACCTGACCCTCACATTCGGAATGCAGAGCAAAAGATGTTCACCACAAAGGAGCACATGCTGTGTGATTGCATTTACGTAAAGGGAAAAACAGAAGAAAACAAATCTCTGTGGTTGGAAGCGAGGGTAGGGATTTCTCTTTGAGGAGGGTGGTATGGTGCCTAGAAGGGACGATGATGGGGAGGGGATCCTGGAGCTCTGGAAATGTCCTGGTTTAGATCTGTGTCTGGTTATGCTGGTATGCTAGTTTTTTGAAAAATGTTCAGTCTATCCACTTGATTTGTGTACTTTCCTTTAAATATATTTTTATTAAAAAGCATAAAAATGAAGGAAAAATGATCAGAAATATGGGGGAATTGTAAAAAAATACTTATTTTAGAGAATTGAGCATATTGCTTCAGACTTTCTGCTTAAAGGACAGATTTTTGCATAATATAGCTAGATTGTATTACTGAAAATGCTAACATACTTTAAAATACATATATACTCTGTTTTTTAAAAATTGTTGACTCTATTTTATACTAAAAAGAAATCCTCAAACCTCAAAAGCAGGAATTCTATATGTCACATGACATTCTGAAACTATTATGTAGTAAACTAGATATTAGTGTTACTATTTTAAACAAATATGAAAATTACTTGGAGTATCTCAAATAAATATTTAAGGATTAAATCAAGACAACACAGATTACAATTATAATTGGTTTCTAGAAAATAAAAAGTGAGAAGAATACATATTTTTAAAAAATGTGTCCAGCTGTCTAAACCTGAATTTAGTGGCAACAATGGCAGGTTCATTGTCTATTTCATTTTAAATGAAAATAAGTTATGTTTATAATTCAATTTGACAAAACAAATATAAAATAAACTGAAGAGATGTAGGAGGGAGGAAGTAATAAGAGTAAAAGCAGTAAACAATATAATTAGAAAAGAAAAAAGAAGAAAAAATAGAGCTGATGAATAAATCTAAATACTTATTGCGTGGAAAGATAAATAAAACTATACTATATAGATCTCTAGCAAATTTAATTAGGAATGAAAGAACACAAACATAAAGAGAAACAAGAAGGAAATTTGAAATAGAGTTCTTTATATCATGTTCAATATATAGTTTTAACTGCAATTTTAGGAAATTGTAATTACAAAGATTTAATAATGAGACTAAAGCTTTAATAGATATAGAATGATTAGAGAAATTTGAAAGATTTTCAGAGTCTTTTTTTTCCAATTCATGGTATGAGGTCAGATGGTTGCTTGTAAGTGTTTTCAAACTGCTAAGGAGCCTTCTGTTGGAGCTTGGGAGTCAGAAACCTGGGTCTCACCTGGCTCTGTGAAGTACTCACATGGCCTTTGACCTTGGCCAACTCACTTAACCTTGTTGAGTGAATGAGAGTACCATGGAGTAAGTGCTTGAGTGCAGGCATGCCTTTGCCTTCTCAGAGGTTATGGTTAAGTGAATTAATATATCTGAAGTTCTTAGCATCAGGTCTGTTTAATGGTGAGCATTCAATTAACATTAGGTGTCATATCATCCAACGTTTTGTAGTATACGGGAATCAGAATATCTATGAGTAATCTTTTGCTATTTATATATATATATTTTCAGGTTATCCCAATCCAGAAAATTTTTCCTGGACAGAATACCTGGAAGCTACTCAAACCAATGCAGTTCCTGCCAAAGTTTTTAAAATGGTAAGTTCTATGTGGGTACAAACTCTCACCTTTAAACAACGTTTGTATTGAGTCATGCCTACATTTGGCAGTTTAAAATTATTCTAGTTTTTTCTTTCTAAATTCAAGTAGTAATTTCATAACCAATATGCTTTTCTTTTAGTTAAAAATACAAAGTAGGTGACTCATCTGCTATTGTTCCCATATAGAAATGTAGATGATGGTTTCCTTCCTTGAAAAATGGCAAATCAGAGGTACAATTGAAAACACCTCATCAACTGCTGATGATCCATTCCTTACATTTCTGGTTCTATTAGTCTGCTGAGTGAGAACTCTGAATTTTCACAGTACCACTCTCTCAGGGACTGTTTGACTGTCCATGATGCCATAACAAAATTGTTGAATGCATAGCCTTTGTGTGGATAATGTTATATATTTTGAGGTAAACCTTTCTTTCAGCATTTGTTAGAATACTGATTTTTAAATTTGTACTTATATATTTATTCCAGGATTGAACTAAGTATAAATTAATTTCTAAAATAAAGTACATAGGTAGTACAGTTAAAGATATTTATATCCTAAACCTAAACCAGCGGTTTTCAAACTCTATTCCCTTTCAGTTCTCTGTGTGTTTCATGTTCCCCAACTTGTCTTTAATCAGAATTTTATATATTGGGCTTCTGCATATAATTTCATTTACTGAAAATTGTCTAGAGATCAAGAGCGGCTTGAAACAAAATGATATTTCATTTTTTGAAAAAATTGATTATAATTAACAGTATTTGGGGGGAAATGTCCATATAATAAAATCAGGAAAGTAGAAGTGTTGGAGTACTAGGAAGGGTTTAAAAAGAGCAAAGGTTCAGCAAGCAAAAATGCTTATTGTACTTGACTTTTCCAAGAGGAAAATGACAAGAAAATAAAATTCTGAAAAGTAGCTAAGAAGGCAACTTCCAAGCTCTGTCCTGGGTTATTGTGGATTCAGCTCAGGGATGTACCTTAGGCGTGTACAATACTAAACTCTTCTACCTCTGTTGTTCAGGACAGTGATGTTGGGGAGAACAGAAAGATTCTCCGGGATGAAAGACCTAATTACAGTCAGTATACTCCATTTAGTAGATGTGATAATGCATCTTACAAAGAAAATGTGTTTCTACAAAAGCTGGAGAGAAACACACCAGATATTGCAGAAAGATTTGACTGTTTATTACTGACATATTAGTTGGGTTTTATTTTCCTTTTGCCATTTCTGAACTTGAAAAATTCAAAACACTTTTGTTTCCAATAAAACCAATTGAACACTTTTATGTGTAATAGCTTTCAAAGTGAAACTTTTTGCCAACCTATAGAAACTATCAGAGTTGCTTTTGATTTTGATTTTTGAGAGTTGAATTTCCTTAGTTTCTGTGATTTGGTTAAGTCCAGTGTCTTTTTTCTTACTCCGTGATTATGAATCCCTGTGTGTCTGTGGTTATAGACTCTTGGTTCCTAGCAAGATCACCTCAGGTGATCTGCCCACCTCGGCCTCCCAAAGTGCTGGGATTACAGGCATGAGCCTGTGGTTTCTTCCTTTCAAGTGAAAGAAACCATAACACAGATCACCTGTCTCTTGTTACAGATGAAATGACAAAAGCATAGGCTATGGCTTTAAAGTACATCATAGTATGCTTTTAAAACAGTTTAACAGCTGAAATTACACAGCTTTTATCTAAGCATATTTTAGATTTATAAAGGATCGTGTTTCTCCTTTCTGAGTTTTTATTAAAGAATTTTGCCTTCTGTGCCATACAGTTTGAAACTGGGCAATGAGAATAGTCAATAGTTTCTGAAATTATAAGGTCAATATCAGAAAGAAGGAAAAAAACTAAACTAATATAGGAACTGTAATAAGATGCTTTTTGAACTTTAGTGTAATCATTAACAAATTTATGATATAATCTGTCTTTGTCTTTTTAGTTATCTTTAAAATGGCCAAAAAATTATTTTTTCTCTCACAGGTTTTTGTGAATCGGATGAAATAATATGCATACAGTCCTATGTGCTCTTAAAACTAAGTTCTGGCTGGGCATGATGGCTCACGCCTGTAATCCCAGCACTTTGGGATGCCGAGGTGGGCAGATCACCTGAGGTCAAGGGTTCAAGACCAGCCTGGCCAACATGGTGAAACCCTGTCTCTACTTATAACACAAAATTAGCTGGGCATGGTGGTGCATGCCTGTAATCCCAGCTACTTGGGAGGCTGAGGCAGGAGAATCGCTTGAACCCGGAAGGTGGAGGTTGCAGTGAGCTGAGATCGTACCATTGCACTCCAGCCTGGGCAACAAGAGTGAAACTCCATCTCAAAAAACAAACAAAAACAAAAACAAAAAAGCAAAACAAAAAACACTAAATTCCAGTTGTATTGAAGATCTGCATATTAAAACTAAAACAGTAGTATTTTAGAAAAAATTAGTAGGATATCTGAATTACTGAATTTTGCATGATTTGTTGTACTTATAATAACATTTACAGAGGTTGCCTCATGGTTTTCTGCCAAATATGAAACTTGAAGTTGTGGATAAACGGAACCCCAGGTTAATTCGTGTTGCTACGATTGTAGATGTTGATGACCAAAGAGTAAAGGTACATATTTTAAATTATTATGTTATTATATCAATATTTTTCCTACATTACTTTTGTTTCCTCTACCCTCCCATTCTCTGAACCTTTCTCGTTTTTTAATTCATCTGCACAATAATTTTCTGGGGGGAAAAGCGTTCTGGATTTGACCTTGAAGATTGACCCTGGCCAAGATGGGACTAGAGGATCCCTAAAAAAGGAGAGTGTATAACTCACACCTTAAACTGGCCACAGAGGCTCTGATTCTTTTGGTGCAGCAGAAGAATAAAACTGCCCCTGGCTTAATTTCTAGTCACATGTCTTTGGATGGAGTGATTCCCAGCTTATGTGTATGTGCAGGGGGAAATCTGTAGATGAGACATGACTGACTTTGAGAGATATTCTAATACTTTTCTGTTTGGATTTGCTGTTTTGACTTTTACTGTCAGTTCTTTTTATTAAGCTTCTTTTTATTGGCATTATTCTATTTCGCTTGAAATCATTGTTATTAAACAGCTTACCAAGAACAATTAAAACTTTGTTTCCTGCTTTTCTTTGTCAAATAAAAAAATTAAAAACACTTTATTCACTGTGGCTAAAAACAAAAGGTTAGATTTTGAATTAAAGATTTGATTAAAAGATTTCTATACTGTATTTTTCTCAGAGAGCTGAAAGCATCTGTAGAATTTATTAAATTTTCTACAACATATTACAGCTCAAAAGTTATTTTCCATGCAAGTATAGTTTCTTTTCATAATAATAAAGATTGAAGTCAACTAATTTTAATAGGCACTAACTTAAAAGATAGATTTAGGTTCGATATAATTTAAAAGAAATCTTATTTGCCGTATCCCTAATTTGAAAATAATATCTGATTCAATTTATAGAGAATAGTCAGTACATACATTTTAGTAAAATTTAGAGATGAGTGTCCAGCTTGGCAATAGATTATCAAAAGAATGTACACTGGCAATGTCCATTATTCTTCTGATGAATGAAAACAAAAACTATGTTAAATAATATTCAGGAATAACATAGGTATTTTACCATATACCTTCTTATTAATGTTTTAAGTTTAATTTTAAACATATTGCTTTAACTCTTATTTATTTCTGGAATTTTACTGTTTACTCTTATGGCATTTTCAATGGAAATGACTTTTGCATATCATAATTGCTTTGTTAATTCAGTGACATTTTATTATTAACTTTCATTTTAAAAGTAGGCCGGGCACAGTGGTTCACGCCTGCAATCCCAGCATTTTGGGAGGCTGAGGCGGGCGTATCACCTGAGGTCAGGAGTTTGAGACCAGCCTGGCCAACATAGTGAAACTCCATCTCTACTAAAAATACAAAAATTAGCTGGGTGTGGTGTCACGTGCCTGTAATCCCAGCTACTTGGGAGACTGAGGCAGAAGAATCGCTTGAGCCTGGGAGGCAGAGGTTGCAGTGAGCCGAGATCATGCCACTGCACTCCAGCCTGGGCGACAGAGCTGGACTCTGTCTCAAAAAAAAAAAAAAAAGTATTTCATTTCTAAGATAAGCTCAGTCATAATAGCACATCAAATCTGACTTAGATTTTTAGTTGACAGACTGTTTTCTTATTATTCATAAGATATTTACTGTAGCATCGATTGATCATTTGTTGCCAGTTTATGAGCAAGCAATTGAAGTTTTTCTTCTCTCAGCTTTGCCCAGTACATTCCTCTATTCTTCAATTAACGTGTTGATCATATTGTTCATATTGTTCTGTTATTCTCTAATTTTCTTTTTAAAGTCAGTATTTTTCAAAGGAAATCTTTATCCCAGCACATAATAGATGCTTACTGTATGCATGAGTGAATTAAGGAGGGTGTGGAGGAGTGAATGGCACTGAATGTACCTTGGCACTCTGACTGTTGTCTGAATATGTAGAAATAATTGTGTTGGTCAACAGGCACTCTTCTCTTATTTTCAAATATTTTCATAATTACTCTTCTCTTGGACATCTGGAGTAATAATTATTGGAAAATGCCCTCGGACAAGACTGATCTGGGTTCAAATTCCAGCACTGACTTATTTGACTGTGTGGTAACTTGGTGAAGTTACTCAACATATTTGAACTTTCCTTATCTGTAAAGTGATGGCGTCAACAATACCTGCCTCACAGGCTTGTTGTGAAAATTCAATGAGGTCATGTATGGAAAATTCCTGAAACTCTACCTGGCTCTTTATATTATAGGTACTTCAGCAGTAGCTGCTGCTGTAATTAGTTGATACAAGTACCCTGTGCTGCCCTCCCTGGGTGTATTTATTTTCTGTATTAATGAAGGGACCTCAAGGAAGCAATTGTCATCAGTAGATGGACAAAGAACAAGCCTACACTCCTTGGTTCAAAAAGCAGGAAGTTTGATTGGAATTACATGGGGAATGTTAACAGGAACAGATGTTACTGTGCTGCATGCCTGTGTTTGTGAGAGCAGAGTCAGCCTGTTCTAACAATGAGAACTACATTTTCAACAATGCCTATGGTGGTCATGGCACTTAGTCTTTGTCACACACTGTTCTAAGGGCTTTACATGAGTTAACATATCTTCCTGCAACCATGTGAAATAAGGTACTGTTGTTATACCCGTTATGTAGATGAAGAAACTGAAACCACAGAGATTAAGTAATTGGTCCAAGGTCACAAGATAGTATATATGGGAACAGGGTTTTAAACCCCAGCTTCCAAACAGATGTTTTCAACTCTAGAGCTTATAGCATTCCTACTCTTCCTACTCTGTGTTCTAATTTTTATCCTAAATAACTCACTTCCTAGTGGGAGAGCAGATGTGTAGGATGAGGAGTTGTGACTGCCCATGACCCCACTCACTTTGTCGCTTGTGCCCAAGCCCACATTGTCTGTCCTACCTGGAGGGTCCTGTGTGGTACTGGCAGTTCTTGACAGAGCGCAGCAGATCCACTAAAGACAACTTCATTTCCTTCTGCCACTCCCCAAATATGTAGTTGGCCTTATGTATTTTATTAGTTCTATTTTTATTATACCTTTTTTGAGATACAATTCACGTACCTTAAAATTCAGTGGTCTTGAGTATATTCACAAAGTTGTGCAACCATCACCACTAAATTTAAACATTTTCATCACCCTAGAAAGCAACCTTGTACCCATTAGCAGCCACCTCATTCTACCCTCCTTCTACCCAACCAAGCCCCTGGTAGTCACTAATCTACTTTCCATAGTGTCTATGGATTTGTCTAGTCTGGGCAATTAATATAAACAGAATCCTATAATATGTGATCTTTTGATTGGCTTCTTTCACCTGGCATAATGTTTTCAAGGTTCATCCATACTGTAGTAAATATCAGTACTTCATTCCTTTTTATTTCTGAATAATAGCCATTGTATGGATATACCACATTTTATTTATCTCCTTATCAGTTGATGGACATTTGGGTTGTTTATTTTGGGCTATTTTGATTATTGCTGGGATAAACATTTACATATGTTTTTGTGTGGACGTATGTTTTCATTTCTTTTGGATATATAACTACGAGTGGAATTGCTGGGTCATATGATAACTCTATATTTCAGATTTTGAGGAAAAGCCAAAATGTTTTCTGAAGTGGCTGCACTGTTTTACTTTCCCATTAGCGGTATATGAGGACTCCAATTTCTCCACATCTTCACTGCCACCTGTTATTGTCTGGTTTTTGTTTTGTTTTGTTTTGGCTTTTTTTTTTTTTTTGCCAGTTTAGTGGGCCTTATGGGCTTCGGGTCTAAAGAAATCAGGATTATCATTATTTATATGTGCTCAGTAATAATATCCCGGCTAAGAGAATTGGGATGAAATACCTTGCCCAGTGTTTGTAATAGTAGAAGTAGTAACAGTAGTGGATGTAGCAGTGCAAGTATCAGAAGTAATAGAAGTAGTAATAGTAGAGTGGACACTTAGCAAGTATGTTATATATCACATTTTTGGCTTCACATCAACTCTTTTAGGTAGATGTTATTTTTGCTGTGCAGTTGGGATGGAGAACTTAAGTAATTTGATGAAGATTTCAAAGATATCCATGTTTCTATTCAGAAGCCAGTATTCTCTATGTTTTCGCAATTGCCCTGTAGCTGTGATAAGCCATTGGAATTGGAGATCATACATGGTCAGTGCTGGGGGATAGGACCATGAGCAGCCTCATCCAAGATCCTCTACTCGCTCACCCTCATAAATCCACTTAAACTAGTCAGGTCAGATTTTCTGATTTTTATACTGAAAATATTCATTTGGTGATATGTGGTTCATTGGCAGTTGAGTGGTGAAGTTTTTCATGCCATGGCAGGGTTTTAAGATGCTAGGTTTATTAATTATGATGGTTGCTCTCTAATAAGCGTTTATGATGTACTCAGTGTATCTTGTTCAATTTATAGCCAGCTATTATGTTTAATAATTATTCTTTTGTTTGGTTGTACAGTGTGTGCTGTTATATCTGAAAGCCCATTACTGTTGCCTTATCAGAAAATGCACATTAAATTACAGTAGATGGGTGGATGCTTTTAGGAAGTTTAGCCATTATTTGTGGGAAAAAGTATTCTACAAATAAAGATAAAGGAAGGACTTAAAACAGAGTAACATTTGATAAATATTTGCCCTGTGGGAAATGCAGCTAAGCTGTGAAATGAATTATAAATGAATTTCAAATAGATGCTTTAATAAGTTCTACTGAATCATTAATAAATTGAGTCTCTTCAACAAGTCTTTTCCTATTTAATGCATTAACTGGACATATTTGTGGCATTTCACAATGAAATTAGAGCATCATGACCAAGAGAAATTGTTATGGCTGTCTAGTTATGTAACTAGAAACTATTTTGGGTTTTATGTCAGACCAATAAGTTCAAAAGCTCTTGTTTGAGAAAAACCTGCAGGAGTATTAATGCAAAACAAAAGTCCAGATATGAGTTAGTGATGTTCACTTTACTAAGGGTTGCCTGTGCTTCCAGAAAGCCACCTGACCTCTATCTAACTGGAATGCATTATTTATTTATTTATTTATTTATTTATTTATTTATTTATTTATTTTTTAGACAGGGTCTTGTTTTGTCGCCTAGGCTAAAGTGCAGTGGCACAATCATGGCCTGCCGCAGCCTTGACCTCCATGGGCTCACACAATTCTCACACCTCAGCCTCCTGAGTAGCTGAGACTACAGTGTGCGCCACCACACCTAGCTAATTTTTGTTAATTTTTTTTTTCTTTGCGGAGATGGGGGTTTGCAGTGTTGCCCAGGCTGGTCTTGAACTCCTGAGCTGAAGTGATCCACCTGCCTCGGCTCCCAAAGTTCTGGGATTATAGGTGTGAGACGTCGCACCTGGCCTGGGATGCATTTTTGAAAAGGGCTTTGAAATACGAGGATAGAGCAAGATACCAACATTAAAAATATATGTCCTTTGAGCTAAGCTTGTAATTAATGGTCATCACAGTGTCACAGTGATTGATGGCTGTCTTCATTTGGGAAGGAGACTGGGACAATTTTCAGAAGTGTTATGACCCATCAATGAAAAGATGATTTTTTGAGTAGGTAAAACTATAAATTAGTGTCAGCCATGAATTCCAGAAAAGTTGAAGCAGAGAGAGTGCTCAACCAGGTGAACGTGCCTCAGTTAATTCCAGGTAAAATGAAGAAGAGCAGTGACAGTACTAGAGCTGGCTCACTCAAACCCCCATGCTGCTGTGTCCTTGCTTCCCATTTTCTTACTCTTATTCTTCACAGCAACCCAATAAAGTAGCATATGTAAGGAAATAGGCGCAGAAAGCTTAAAAGACTTGGCCAAGGTTGCACAGCTTATAAGTGGTAGAGCCAGGTGGGAACCAGTTGGCCTGGTTCTTCAGCCTGAGCTCTTAAACCAGGTGGCAGTGCCTTTTTTGTAAGGAGCCAGAGAGTAAATATTTCAGGCTTTGTGGGCCATGTGGTCTCTGCAGTAACTGCTCGACTCTGCTGTTCATCACAAAAACAGCCAGAGACAATATATAAACAAATAAATGACTCTGAAATTTGCATCACACATACTTTTCACATGTCATGAAACAATCTTCTCTTGACTTTCTCCCCAGCCATTCAGAAATGTAAAAAACATTTTTAGCTCATGGGACTCACAGAAACAGGTGGTAATAAGGGTCTTTTTGGCCTGTGGGCTGTAATCTGCCAACCCCTGTCTTAAGAGATACTGTACTGGTTAGACTATTAGATGAATTTATTAGTTGTTACCTTTAGTATAAATAGTTTTGTATCCTTGTCTTATTTTTTCCAATATCTGATTTTTGGACCAAATCACATCTATATTTACTTTTCAATCTAGTTTTAGATCAATTTTAGCTATTAAGTAAAAAAAGGTAGAAGAAATGCGGGCTACCATGTAATCAACAGCTTCTAGATTTAAAAGAAATACATATTTTTTTCTCCTATCAGTTGATAACCCTCTTTTTATTTGGTTTTCAGTGTGAAAGTAGCCAAGCCCCTGAAAGGATGTATAGTCTCTCACTGTATTTGTATTCTCCAAGAACTGTAGTAGGGACTTACCTTTCACATTTTTATTAAAGTCAGCATACCAATAACGGAAACACGGGCCGAGCAGCACTACGGAAACATGTGGCCTTGGTGATGAATTGGCGCCTACTCTAGAACTCCCTGGATAACTCCCCCACCCTGTACCCATCTTACCAGCCTGACCTGCGAGATCTAGTGAGATCCTGACATGATTATTTGGCTAGAGACATCAGCTCAGTCATGAGCCAGATAGAATAGAAATAGAATGTTTCACAGTTTTCTATGCACAACACTGTGTAGAAACTTCTTAAATAAAAGATGATGATGTAGCACTAGTTGTTCTTAACTCTTCTTTTTTAGGGATATACATTTCTTTGAGTGTCTGAGGGATGCTACAGATAGCTCCAATGCAAAATGCACATATAAGTGTACACCAATACAGGATTATATTTGTGTTTCAAGGGTTAATGGACCTTTGAGTAAGGACCTTATTTTAGACTAACAGTTCTTGATAAAGCAGATTCTTCGTTCTGCATACTCTTGGCCCTTCATTCAAAGCTTTATATTTGCTCAAAAAGTATAAGACCTCTGACCTGCTGTGATAATGAAGCCTCCTCATTTCCCAGACCTTCAGTCAGAATGTGCAATATGTACTCACTCTATTCCTTCAGAGAAAACAAGAGTCTGTGGAATTTGTCTTAGCTTTGGAGGAGACATACACATTCTCTGCCATTTTCCTGAACAGAAGTGTACTATTTCTGACCAGCTGCAGTTCTGACATTCCAAATGCCCTTACTAATACTGATACTTAGCTAATTATGCCAAACATCGTCTCTTTTGCTCACATCCTGCTTTGTAGGCACTCTATTTTTAACCACTGGAAGAATATCTTTCAAAAATAAATAAGTGAATAATGGACTAACGAAGCAAGATGGTGACCACATTCTCCCCCATTCCTTCTTCCAAAATCTATGCCATTTCTTGTGATATAAGAAAGGATGATGGACTCAGGGGAAGGAGAGTTGTCTTTGAGAAGAGGATGAGTAGATTTTTATACAAGATTAATATATTTCCAGAATGTAGTTGTTTTACTTTCCTATTACTACTTTAACAAGTTACTACAAATGTGGTGGTGACAGGTTGATAGGTGCAACAAACCACCATGGCACATGTATACCTATGCAACAAACATTCATGTTATATACATGTATCCCAGAACTTAAATAAAATAAAAAACAAAAATAAAAACACCACAAATTTACTATGTTACATTTCTCTAGGTCAGAAGTGTCACTGGTCTAAAATGAAGGTGTCCGCAAGGCTGGTTCCTTCTGGAAGCTCTGGAGAAGAATCTGTTTCCTTGTCTTTTCTGTCTTCTAGAGGCCACCTTTACTCCTTGGCTTCTGGCCCCTTTCTCCATCCATATTCAAAGCCAGCAGCGTAGCACCTTCAAACCTCTGCCTCTGACACTCCTATTTTCCTCTTCTCAGCACTGTAGTAATTTCTTTGAGCTCGCTGAATAATCCAGGACGATCCCTCGTCTCAAGATCCTTAACTTGACCACTCTTGCAAAAATCTGCCTTGCCATGTTACGGGACCTATTCACAGCTTTCAGGGATTAGAATTTCGACATCTTTGGGAGCCTATTATTCTGCCTTATGCAATTGTTTTACATAAAAGTAAAATATTCAGTAAAAAGGAGTAGAAGAGATGAGGTCTACTGTGTAATCAACAGCTTTCCTTTACTGAACACTGCTAAGGTAGAAGAAAGAGACCATCCCAGGAGCTGTGGGCCCTATGGATATGATGCATACCTGGAACCTGCCCTGACCATCTAGCTGGAGAGCAAGGATAGTGTGACAGTTCAGTGTAATAGTGCAGGGCACAAACCCTCAAGTACTGTAAAAGCCATTGCAAATGCAGGGAGCATTGTGCTCAAAGATGCTGAGGGGCAGATGGCTTCTCAAGAACAGTTTTTCTCCTCTTAGAAAAAGTATATAACATGCCTTGTTTTATTTGCATTTCCAAACACCAAATGCTTTTATTTACTATCATGTAGAGACAAAAGAGACTTTGGGTTTAATTTGTTTTAATGTGTATCTATGTATACATGCATGTATATATGGATGCACATATATGTTTTTTTCTTTTAAAACTATGGAAAGCCCCTTTGTCAGGTGGTATATGCAAGATCTTTATTTGGATTGTGACCAGAGGAATCATGGGGAGTTACACGGCTGCTGGAGCCATCAGGGCTCAGCTGTGGGAGAAGGGGTGGGGGCCCCAGCCCAAGCAGTAGCCACAGAGCTTTTTCTTTTCCTCCTGCTACTTGGTAAAGACTCATTCCCAACTTCTCCAGCCCAGGACTCCATCTAGAGTCCTGTGTGTGTCCTTGAGTTCTTGGCACGGCCAGTGCTAGGCCATGGAAACAATAGGACCAGGCCATATTCATGGGGAAGTGTCTTCCTCCAACCCCAAGGGGTGTGGCAATAGAAAAAAGGAGGTGTGTAGATCCTGTAAACACAGAGGATGGAGTGGTGTTTCAGGGTTGTTGGACCAAACTGAGGGGATGGATCAAAGCTGAACCAAAGCTGGGGCCCCGAGGAGCAGGCTGGGCAGCATGCCAGTCCCAGGAACAGGTGGTGACATGAGGCAGGCTGGGCACACACCCTAAACGGGCACGGCAGAAGGTGTTCAGGCAGATTTCATGCCCAGGCTTAGGGCAGCCATGTGGCAGCTGAGGCTTCATTCCAGAGCTGAATGTGGCCTTGGAAAGGCTTGGTACAGGTAGGGCTCTCTAGAGACTTCCCAGTCAAGAGCAGCAGAATGTAGTGTCTGCATCACCTGGGAGCTGGTTAGAAACGTAGAATCTGGGTCAGCACCCCAGATTCCCAGAATCAGAATCTGTGTTTTAACGAGATCCCACCTGGTTTGTATGTGCACTGAAGTTTGCAATGCCTGTTCTTAAACAGGAGCAAGGAATACCTGTTTGCTCCTAGGGCAGGAGGGACTGGCTGTTCTTTTCCCTGGTTTGTAATACCTTTCTCCACGTTAACCAAGGAGGGTGGTAGGTTTTGCTGCCCTCCACAGTGAGTCAGGTATGAGTGGCTTCTTTTGGCTCTGAATTCAGCAGACATCAGGCTCTCCCAACTCAATACTGTTATAAGGTTCTCTGGAAAGTCCTTCCACCTCAACAGTGTTGTAAGTAAAGGAAGTCTAGTCAACTTTATGAGCCAATTACACCCTAATTTTGGAATAAACTTCAGGTAAGCTTGAAATGTATACTCCCTGCTTTGGGCTGGAATGTGAGGCTCTATGTTAGAGAGCTGGGCTGGATGATGTGGGAGGAGTCGGCTATCCTACCTCAATCAGCGTTTCCCTATCTAGCCTGTTTTTTTGTGGAGGGAACTGGGGTAGTAATTATTATCATACATTCTGTGCCATTATGTTTACTTGTTTTCTTCGACCTCATTGTTCCTTTTGAGTCCTGTTGTTGGCTTCTCTGCTTTTCTTAACCTCTGAAGACTGGCACTGGCCAAGGCATTGGTCCTGGGCCTTTTGTTGTTTCTTCTCTATGCTGTGTGCTCAAGCCTGACTGCATGAAGTGCCCAGCAGGCATCAGCATTTGGTACAGCTCTCCCAGGTGATTTTAATACATGCCTGGGCTGAGAATGTCTGCTCAGTTCTCTCTCTTAAGTGAGGTCATCCATTCCCTTGGTTTTCAGCACTTTATATTTTCCAATAACTTTAAAAATTGTATCTACTGCTGTGACCTCTCCCAGAGCTCCAGGGTTAGGTATGTAACTGGTACTTTTGACATCTTTTGTATGTCTACGTTAATTTTTCCTGGACTGAACTCCTCAATACACAAACCTTTTTCTTCCCTAGGCATCCTCAGCTTAGTAAACGGTAGCCTGATCTACCAAATTGCTTAAAACAGAAACCTGGGAGTCATTCTTACAGTCTACCCATCTCAGAGTTACCACACATGGTCAACCGCCGTAGTCAATGGACACTAACTCCAGACAATATATTCCTAGTCTCCTTACCTCTCTCCATTCCTATGACTGCAGTCCCCTTGATTGCCACCCTAATAAAAGCCAGCAGCATATCTCACCTGGACCACTGAAGACACCTCCTAGCTTGTTTCTCTGCACCTGCTGCAGACCCTCTCAATCTTCGCTACCCAAAGATGCCAAAGTGATCTTAAACATATGGACTGGACCACATGACTCCCTTGCATACATTCTTCCATGACATCTCATTGCATTTAGGTAAAAAAGAATCAGCTCTTCAGTGTGTCCTACTAGATCCTGCATAATCAAGTCCTGACTTACTCCTCCAACCTGTTGTTCAAAGACAAACTTTAAACAAATTTAACAGAGTTTGCTTGAATGAAGAATGATTCACAAATCGGGTAGCCCTAGAACCAGAAGAAGTTCAGGGTGACTCTGTGCTGCCACATGGTCAGAGATGATTTACGGACAGAAGATGGAAAGTGATGTGCAGAAAAGGGAAGGGAGGTACAGAAACAGCTGGATTGGTTGCAGCTCTGTGTTTGCCTTATTTGAATGTGGTGTGAACAGTTGTCTGCCTTTGACTGGCTGAAAGTTGGTGACTGGCACAAGAGTAGGTTACAGTCTGTTTACATATCCAATTAGTTGCACTTCACTGTGTACAGAGAAACCTTTAGGCTGGACATAAAATATGTAAGGAGGCAGCTTTAGACTCAACCTAACTTAACACTATCTTATTCCACACTTTTTTGGGATACATTATATTTGTACATATTTATGGGGTGCAATTTTGTACATATTTATGGGGTATTTATATTTATGCAATATTTGTACATATTTATGGGGTGCAATTTTATGTGAAATTTTGTCTCAAGCATAGAATGTGTAATGATTAAGTCAGGTTGTTGCACACTCTATCATGTTGAATATAAATTTGCATTTTTCTTTCCAAATTGGTTGTCTTTTCCTTCTCTTTGAGTCTCTCTGTAATCCCTTACTTCATTGGGAATGTAATTTTTGTCTATTCTCACATAATTGCCTGATTATAAATTTCCGAGTGAGCCAAAATTTAATCTTGTGGCTAGAGAAACACAGAGAGCCATTCTGAGAGATTTGCCTTCAAATTTTTCTCTACAAATGTCCAAGACAGCCCTAAGCCCATTCCTGGCATTCTGATCATTTCATGTTCTTGTTCTCCAAGAGAACTGTTTCACACACCCTCGCTCCTCACAGCCTTCTCCTCATTCTCTTCTCATGATCTTCCCTCTCGTTCACTGGGAAAGGAGAAACTCATGGTAAAATTGCCGATATTCCCATGACCAAACCCACCTCTTAATCCGTGTCTGAACGTGTACACTTGGAGTTTCTACTTGTTGCAGTGGGAGAATTATTCCTGCTAATATTGAAGCAATTCACTGTCTTCTTACATGAATTTAGTTTTCATCATAGGTATTTATGGTTATCTGACATTAGATTATATATTTGTTTTATTTATTTATACTTTGTTTTGCCTCTAGAATGTAAGTTAGTGGAAGGAGCATTTTTATCCCTTGATTACCCGAGTACTCTTGATATCCCTAGTGCCTATGGAATAGCACCTGGCATTTCATGGGTACTCAATAAATATTTGCCAAATGAATGGAGAAAGGAATGAATGTGAGTTGTAAATAAGAGTGTACTGATAGGTTATTTATTGGTGCAAATTACTGTTTATTAAGGATTATTTATTCCTTATGCAAAACAAATGTGCACTAGCCTTTGGCATTAACTAAACACTCCCTACATATTTCTTAAAAGAGGAGCTATTTCTAACATCACATAGAAAATTGAATTCATTGGTGTTTCTCTATTATGAATATACCTTTAAGAAGCAATATGCTTACTTTAAGCATGGGTGAGAATTACATAATATTTGAATAATTTAAATCATGTATTATTTTATATGATGCTTCCTCCCTTGAAATATTGACAGAGTGAACCATGGCAGAATTGTAATAGTGTCAAAGAAGCATAGCCCATTATGAGGCCATTATACTAATAACATATGACAAACAGTGGGACTGTGGAGTAGTAATGGATAGATAATGGATAATAAATGGCTGGAATTCTGAACAGTAATGTTTGCTAGTGATTTTCCGGTAATAATAACCTCCTTCTCTTAAAATAAATGTAATTCTAATGGCAAAAACTGCCGGTAGCATGAAGGATTCAGATTGTTTTTTGAGTGTGGCCTACTTCACTTGGCTTAAGGCACCTGGAGAACCAAGTTAATCTCTCTGCTTCCTGGCCAGCTAGGAGAGTTCCTCCTACAGCGTGTGCCCACAATGACTCTAGTGTGTGCTTATCAGTGTACGAGCATGGTGTATTTTAATACATGAAAAATCCCAAAGCCCCAAATTGATATACAAAATATAATTGCATCTTCTTATTCACTGTGTCCCACAGTGATTATTTCTCATTTGCACCTAAGATTCCAAAATGAAGAAACAGGTTTGCACCCCTGTGCTTTGCTGCTGCCTTCAGGAAATTTGCAGTAGTGGCCTCTGTGAATATATCCCTTAACCCCTCTTCTTTACCACTCCTTGTTGTCACTGAGCTTCCATCAGTGGCTTCTGCTGGCAGCTTCCTCCTTCCAGGGGTGTTGTCCATCACTGGGCTGGCATTCCTGCCTGTCCTGCCTGACAGCTTTCTGTAGGACACTTCCAGAGCTCTTTCACTGCCCTTGGGCCCTGGGTATTGCAGTGAGAGCCCAGAGATTTATACTCTGCTCTGATCATTTTTTATAATTCTCTGCTATCACCCGTAAGCAAATTTTGTGCTACAACATTACTTCTTTGTGTTTAAGCTCATTTGAGTTTTTTCATTTCAGCTGCCTCCGTAAACTACATTTATTCAAGAACAAGGTCATAGAGGTCTCTTTCTGACCCCCAAAGCTATCTTTCTCCCTTACCCTTCAGATTTCCCCTTCTGCCCGGAGCTGTGGATAGCATAGCTGCTTCCTGCCCTGGATCCTGCCTTTCTTCCCGTCTCATGGCAATAGGGCTTAGGATCTTAGCTTTTAGCTTTTCACCCACTTGTCCAGGCAGTAAATTCTACTTATATGTACTACTGGTGGTCTCTATACAGTAATCCCATTGCCTAGGCCAGTGCTGTCCAGCAGAACTTCCTGCAGTGACGGACATGGCATCTCTCTGTTCTCTCCAGTACATTGGCCACTCGCTGCATGTGGCTGTTGGGCACTTGAAGTGTGGCTAGTGAGGCTGAGGACCTGGAGTCTTCATTTCAGTTGAGTTTAATGAATTTAAGTGGAAATAGCCACATATGGGCAGTGGCTGTTACGTTGGATGGTGTAGCTTTAGGGTGTCCAGTTGCAAGTAGAAATAGTGGCCAGTGCACATCCACCTTAAGAAGCCCCATGTAGGCATGAGGGGGCTGATTACCTGCTCCTAGGAAGCTGATGCTGTGTTGGATTTGGGGTTAGCCATAGTTTATTCATTTGTCTTCTCTGTCAACTTGTCTCTTTAGGTCAACTATTTGCTGTCTCTTTAACATCACTAGTGAACATCATAAGCTTAAAAAGTTTAACAGATTTTTCCCTCTTTAGAAATCAAAAATGTAATTTAAATGAGTGGGGAGAAATTGGTTAAACATTTGGAAAAATCAGTAATTACATAATGATTAATTTCCGAGCTTGAAAATTATCTAAATATTTAAATTGGCCTTTCTATTTCTACCCTAAAATATATTTTCAGGATTGTGAACATCATAATAAATAGATGCTACCTCATCAGACTAAGAGAACATGTCTGAGTTCAGTAGTTTAGTAACTATTCTCTAGTATTACATGTGACCAGCCTATCACTGTCAACACTTAAATTCCTTGTCAGTTAGACAGTGATTACACTGTCCCCTTTGAATAGGCTGAGATATCTTCATTTAATACTTCTTATGACACATGGTCATTTCCTCTCATCATTTCAGACTGATTTATGGAATTTTAGAATTTATGTTTTTTGGGGGATTGATTTTGATGAAGCTTAAAGCAGGTGGCTTGGAATGGAGAAACAGACAAAGGAACGTGAAGAAAAATACACACTAGAAATTAACGTCTTTAGATCCATGGTTATTCTTGAAAAATATGCATTATACAGCCAGCATCGGACTATGGTGCAAGATACAGAAATAAGACAAAAGACTTCCTTAGACATGAAATCCCACTAAAAATTAGGATAAATGAAGTATATTGAGAGTGGTACAGAATTTCTGGGTTTCGATGTAGTGTTCTCTCTTTCTCTGGTAAATATCAGAAATCTTACTATAAACAGGGAATAAATCAGATTAGCATGTGGGGAAATGAAACAGACAAATGGAGCCAAAATAGTGCTTCACTACTGTTGAGAGTGAGTGGTTGCAACCCTGAGATAAGCTTGGTGCAGGGATTATTCTGTGTTCAAGTTGTGTTTTTCACCTTTTCATTGTGAAGATATGTTGGCCACAAATAAGATAATTTTTCATCAGCAGTAAAATACCCACAAGGAGAGACTGAAGAAAGATGAAAGCAATATTTAGATTAGCTTAGGCAATCACAGTGGCATCAAGAAAGGGAGAGGGGTGGTCAAAGAAACAGGCTGAATTAAGACGCACTGAAAGTGGATGAGTAGAGAAGGGAGAGAAGGTGCGCCACCCCAGCCCCAGTTCTGTCTGACCTGCACCACTTAACCTAACAGACGCTTCTGGGCTGCGGGCTCAACAGTGTCAAAGCTTCGCATTACTTCCTTCAAATACTTGCGAGGGCAGCAGTGATAGCAAATGAGTTTGTACCTATAGAAATCTGGGTCTGGCAGGAACCTTGGCTAAGTGGAAGTCTGGGTCACCAGGACGAGGTGGATGACAGAATCACAGACAGTCTGCAGCTACACAGACGAAGGCTGCCCCAGGAAGGCCAGTGTTGGCAAAAGGCAAGCTGTACCTAGAACCAAGTAGGGACCTGGTTAGCACAGTCAAGACTGGGATATATACCCAAAGGAATACAAATTATTCTATCACAAAGACACACGCACACGTATGTTCATTGCAGCACTATTCACAATAGCAAAGACGTGGAATCAACCCAAATGCCCATCAATGATAGACTGGAAAAAGAAAATGTGGTACATATACACCATGGAATACTATGCAGCCATAAAGAGGAACAAAATCATGTCCTTTACAGGGACATGGATGGAGCTGGAAGCCATTATCCTCAGCAAACTAATGCAGGAACAGAAAACCAAACACTGCGTGTTCTCACTTATACGTGGGAGCTGAACAATGAGAACACGTGGACACAGGGAGGGGAACAACACACACTGGGGCCTGTCAGGGGTTGGATGTGGGGAGGGAAAGCTTTGGGAAAAATAGCTAATGCATGCTATGCTTAATACCTAGGTGATGGGTTGGCAGGTGCAGCAAACCACCATGGCACACGTTTACTTATGTAATAAACCTGCACATCCTGCACATCTACCCCAGAACATAAAATAAAAGTTTTTAAAAAAAGAATAGTTGAAGCCTGAGAGCTTTTAACACCAACTACCATAGCTATCTGGCTTAGACCCACTTTTCTAGTTTTATCTGTAAGCTGTTCAGGGCCCTGCTTGGCCTTGCCTTTTGGATGGAACTTCAGATTATGGAGGAATTGTTTAAGGAATATCTGTCAAGGTTCTTCTGTTGCAAGTGAGAGAAAGCCGGGGCTGACCTAGCCTGAAAAGGAAAGGACCCTAGTTTGTTGGCTCCCTGAATAGGAGGACATGGGTCTGGCTACAGGCATAGCTGAATCCAGGGTCTCAAACAACATGGTTGTGGCTTCCTCCTGCTTCTCCAGCCTCATTGGAACACCCTTAGGCTTATTACTGAGATAGTAAGATGTTCAGAATATTCAGGCTCTGCATTTAGGTCTCTCAGCCCCTCTTTGAGCATTTTTCACACTGAGAAGGGGATCAGAGTTTTATAGTTAAAAGGCTTTGGACATTTTCTTTTGGATAGATAGCCCCATGGGAGCAAGTAGGTTTCATAAATGATGTGACTTTTCTAGTGAATATTCAATTCAGAATTTGAACCAAAGCCCCAAATTTTAAGAGGAAGAATTATGTGCATTCAGAGTCAAGTTAAGATCATAGGGTTGTATTTAAGAGGAACTCTAGGCCGGGCACGGTGGCTCATGCCTGTAATCCCAGCATTTTGGGAGGCCAGGGTGGGCAGATCATGAGGTCAGGAGATCAAGACCATCCTGGCCAACACGGTGAAACCGCGTCTTTACTAAAAATACAAAAAATTAGACGGGCGTGGTGGCGGGCGCCTGTAGTCCCAGCTACTTGGGAGGCTGAGGCAGGAGAATGGCGTGAACCCGGGAGGTGGAGCTTGCAGTGAGCTGAGATCATGCCACTGCAGTACAGCCTGGGCAACAGAGCGAGACTCAGTCTCAAAAAAAAAAAAAAAAAAGAGGAACTCTAGATAGGCACAAATGAGGCTGTTTCTTGGAGTTGTGGGGAAGCAGATATCAGTGGAGCTGTTGGTGATGTAGATGTTCTCCTGGGTGTGTGGCAGGCGCTCTGGCTGGTTACTGTGTGAATGTGGAATAGGAGGAGAGTGTGGGTGAGACAGGGAGAGGGGATGAGGAATGAAGAGGGCTAGGGCGAAGGGAGCTGTTGAATGAAGAAGACTGAGAGGAGTGGAACTAAGCCGACACAGCTTCTCGTCTGCTCAAGTGTCCACCAAAATATTACATTGTCTGCTCTGGGGTGGTTTGCAAAGAGTTGTGAAAAACCCTGCTCTCTTATTCTGGTACAGGGAAGCCAAGCTTTATGGGGCAACCAATAAGGCCAATCAGATAAGCAACAGACAGCTGCAGAAATTAATCTGAACATGGGTAGTGATTGCATGGGATTCTAAAAATGTTTTCCGCTCAGCCACAAAATATTTTATCCTTAAAATAATGTTTTTGTAATAAAAACAAATTTCTGCCTTTTTCAACTGCAAAAATTGTGGTGAGGCTTTCTCTGAGTGTGCTGTTTGCAGACATTTGTGTGCATGTTCCTCCAACAGTCTGAGGCTTGTAGGGGAATAACTTATGCCAGTCTATCTGCCCCACATGGAATTCATGTCAGAAAATATCCTGCAGCTTCCGCGAGCCACACACAACTCTACCACTGAACAGAAAGCCTTGCAAATCAGGGAGCTCTCAGCAGTTACAGGCAAGTAATCAAGTACCTAGTAGTGGGATATTAGCCCATCTTCAGAGTGCAGGGGCACAGGGTAGCGGACATCCACATGTGCAATTGATGGGGAATTCCGTGGCTGAATGCAAACCTGCCCCCTTCTCTCCTCCAGAACATGGCTCATGTAGGTTTGCCAGGACAGACCCTGGTTACTGATGGACTGGCAGCTCAGATCATGGTCTCTTGAACTGTGTTGCTCTCAACCCAACATCAGAAGATTTCTTTTCCTGCCTTTATGTGATAATATCATCATCCATGATCATTACCTCCTGAGTACCTACTCTACACTTTTGTACATTACACCCATTAGTTAGAAACTTTACACTTATGGGCAAATTTGGTATCATTCCCTTCATTCTACAGGTGAGGAAAAAGGAAGATCAGCTTGTATAAGTCTGTTGCTCAAGGTCACTTAGCTAGCAAGAGGCAGAACTTCAATTTCATGTAGGTCTGTCTGTTTTGAGCAGACTCCTCCTGCCCTGTGCTGGGAGAAGCTAGTCCTTGGCAATGGCATTCCTTCTGCTTTGGCACTGAGAGCTCTTCTCCACCCCAAGGACCTGGGCAGGGCCCCTCAATGCTGGATGGCAATTCATCGGGGATGCTGCCATGCCTTTCCTGTCACCTGTGTCTTCGTTGCTGGTTTCTTGTCTGTACTCCAGTGAGGAAGGAGTGCTGGGGGCTGGCTTCTCTTCTGATCCTTTGGCATTCTGTCTGACTGTGACTTGCAGTTCAAAGTTAGGGACCACAGCACATGGAAGGGAGAAGGGGAACTTTCTGTTCGATGTTCTGCTTCTGCTGGGATAATAGTGAAGTGTGCCATTGTTTGGACTGCACCACACATGGGCTATAATTAATTAAATGGGCCACTTCCCACGGTGCTTTCTTTTAAATTGGTAATAACTGTGATGCCTTAGTTGATGCTTTACTGAAAAAATATTTTAAAAATAAATGGTAACGACGGCTGTGATGGTGGCATTTAGCAGCCTACATGTTGTGTTCATTCCAAATGTAGCTTCACGTCAGGCCGGTTTACAGAGGCGGGAAGGCTGCCGTGACCATCGCCACGCCCTGTGGGAGAGTGGGCTCATTCAGACTCCCTCGCTGAGTCACTGTCCTCATTTGAATTCTGGGATATTTACTTATTTCAGTGGCGATGTGGGAAGGTGTGCTACTGAATTTCAATAATGCAGGAAGCTGATCACTGTACGGTGGGAGTTTAACTTTCACTGGCACCTAAAATTTTCCAAAGTTAAAATTGCAGTTTTTTTTATTTTGTTTTTCCAATGAGGAAGGATTTAAATAGGCTCCAATCTTTGTTCCCCTCCTTGAATTCATTTTGGAAAGCTTGACTGGAGGACATTTAATGGGGTGTACTTCTTCCTTCTTCGACCCCACAAAGTACTGCCATGAATGCAGCAAGCTCCTGCTGGGTTTTATTATATATTAGCAAGTTGGAAGACTCATTTGTCCTGCTATTCCCTGGTGTGCTTTTTGGTCAAATAGCTCAAGTTAGGAGGTGTGCAGTGAATTTGTGCTGGTAAAAGGGCATTTAAGCATGTTCAAGAGAGTGGCCCATATGCCTGGACTATGACTCAATCTCTCCAGTCGGCCTCACTTTCATCCACAAAAGCCACAGGGAAGATGCAGGCACTCACTCCCCACTGACCCATCAAACTCACAGCCTGGCACCACCTGCTCCTTTGATCCCACCAGCCCAACTGTATCTCGCCCTTTATCCGCAGTGATGTCAGTTTGATCAAGAAGCCCAGACTGCAAGGTCACCGTTCAACTCTGCCCCGTCCCGGCTCTCCACGCTTTGCCTTGTGCCTCTGGACCCTCTTTTCTGAAGGTTCTCTTCACTTTCTGCTCTGCCTGTTTCTCACTGAGGATATTGCTGCTCTGCAGCCCTTGCACATGGGCCCTTTGGGGGCTGGAGGTGAGAGATTTGTACTCTTTGCTCCTCGTGGTTATTTCCAGACCTTTTCCCTTTCCCTCCCTAAAGCCCTCTGGGTTTGACTCTCGTGTCTTCAAACTGTATTTGCCACTATTCCTCGTATTTATAGGCTACTACACATGCCCCTGCTTGGTTATTTTAGCTGTTGGCTTCTGGTCACTCTCACCAACATGACTCTGATTTTCATTCTTGGTGGTTTTAGTACACATGCAGGCGATCCTTCAAGCACCCTGCTTTCTCAGTCCCTTGCCCTTCTCTCTTGGATGTCCTTGCCCTCCACTTGACTTCAGCCACTGACCCCTGTTGTGGGCCATTAACAATAATGTAACCCTTTTTGTGATTGCAGTTTCTCACATCCTTTCTGACCACCGCCATCTTTTTTCTAGATAATTTCTTTGAATATCCCAACTCCGTCAATCTGCAGCCCTCAGGGCCTCTAATCCGTTGATTGTACTGCATTTTCATCTTCACTGCCCCTCACTTTCTTGTTTTCTTTTTTTCTCTTTACACGGCATGAACTCCATGTACAATAGATATAATTGGATCATTGCATAAACCTTTAGCTCTTCTGTCCTTCCACTCCTCTCCCTTTCTTGTCAAAACCATGGCCCTGGAGAAGTTTGCTCTCTGCCTGCTCTGTACCTGCCTCCCGGAGTGAGGCATGGCTAGAGAGACACAGTCCCCTGACTGGTCCTCCTGCATAACTGCAAAACGTAGTGTTACCTGAACCTTGGTGCTGACTGGCAGTCATTGAGTTTCCCTAATTCTTTGACTCTCCCATTCTCCTAGATAACGATTTCACATCTTTTTTTCCCTCTCCTAAAATTTCCCATTCCTCTTGCCTCACTCTCGTTCTCAGCCGATGATGCCTATTACCTCCTATCCCACCTAGAAAGCAGAAGCCATCAGAATGGAACTCTAGGACTCACACATATTGCCAGCACCACCCGCTGCACCTGCCTGCTCCTGTTGCCACACATCTCCCTGCCACTGCCTTCCTGTTGCTATGGATGAACCTTCCACATTTCTAATGAAGCACCCCCTTATCTACATGCCCATCCTCTCCTGCCTGCTCTGCCACCTTTCAGCAACTCACTGCTCTTCCTTATCCTTCGTTTTTCCCTTTCCGTAAGACAATTTCCATCAACAAATATGGTATTATGTCTGCCATCTTGAAAACATCATTTTCTGACTCCACTTCTTCATTCATTTTTCTGCTGCCATTTAAAGGAGACCTCTTTGAAAGAGCTGTCTATACCTCTGCTAACAGTTTCTTCACGTGGCTTCCAGGGCACCGCATTCTCTTCGTTGTTTCCTGCCTCACCAGCAGCTCCTTCTCACACACCTTCTATTGATTCCCCCTTCTCTCTTGAATATTTTTTTTCTTTTCTCTTTTTCTTTCTTTCTTTCTTTTTTTTTTTGAGGGGGGGGAGGAGGGGACAGGGATACTCGCTCTATCACCCAGGCTGCAGTGCAGTAGTGCAAACCTAGCTCACTGCAGCCCCAAACTCCTGGGCTCAAGTGATCTTCCCACCTCTGCTTCCTGAGGAGCTGGGACTATAGGTGCGTGCCACCACACCCAGCTAATTTAAAAAATTTTTTGTAGTGACAAAGGTCCCATTATGGTGTGCAGGCTGGTCTTGAACTCCTGGACTCAAGCAATCATCCTGCCACAGCCTCCAAAGTGTTGGGATTATAAGTGTGAACCACTGCACCTAGCCCAATGCCGAGTCATATCAGTGTGCACTGGGGCTCGTCACTGGACCTCTGCTCTTCCCTAACTGTATTTATTCTCTTTGTGGTTTCCTCAAATGGCACTGCTTTAAATATCACCTATATGTTGATGAACTGCAAACTCCTATATCAGTCTACCTACTCGACTTGTCCGTTTTATGTCGAATAGATATCTCAATCTCAACATGTCCAAAGTTTGACTGATCTTCCTCTCTAACCCTTTCCCACTGCTACCTCCTCCATCTCAAGCAATGGCCATTCCGTCTTTCCCATCGCTCAAGTCAAAAATGTGGAGTCATCTTTGACTGCTGGCTTCCTATCACAGCTAATATTCTAATTCACCAGCAAACTGTTGACTACAGCTTTGAGATGTGTACAGAAGCAGGCCTCTTTCCCCACTTCTGTTGATACTGCTATAGTCCAGAATACATCACCTCTTGCCTGGATTATTATAGCAGCTACCCACCTGCTCTTCTAGCTTCCACTCCAGCCACCTCCCTCTGCCCCAGTTCTCTCTCAAAGAAGCAGCCAGGCTGGTTCTTGTAAAACACAAGTCAGATCATGTCATGTGACCATGTCATCATATCATCTTTGTGCCTTTACGCAAAATCCTCTAGTCTCTCTTCCTGTCTCCCCAAGAATAAAAGCCAAATCCCATAAGACCCTACCTCATACTGTACCTGTGTTCCCCCTCTGACCTTAACTCTTACCGCCTTTTCCCATGTGCTGTCTACTCCAGCCAAACTAGACTTCTTGCTTTTCCTACACATGTTGGACTGCTACCTCAGGATCTCTACTCTGGCTGTTCCCTTTGGCTGTAATATTCTTCCCCATACGCCCAAATCTCTAACCCCCACACCTCTTTTAAGCCTATCTTTTCCACTTCATTTTCAATTTCAGCAAGACTCTCCTGGCACACTCCTACTCCCCCTAACTCGGCTCTCACCTTTCCAGCTTTTACCAACTTTTAATATGCAAAACATTCACTTATTTGATATTATTTGATTATCCCTACTAGAATTTAAGCTTCAAAAGGCAAGGAATTTTTTCCCCTGTTTTGTTCACTGATATATCCCTGGTGCCTAAAATAGTCCCAGACATGTAGTAAGTATGCAATTAATATTTGTGGCTTAAATGAATACATGAATAATTATTTAGAACTCTACTGATAAATTCTGAATCGATCTCATTATGACTGGCAAGCATGTCATAATGGGGCAAATATTTGCAGACCCATTCCTGTTGTTTTATAAAGGAAGGGATAATTTACGTATAGTTACATACACAATTTAAGTGTACAGCTCAGTGAATTTTTACATATGTATCTACCCGTAACTATCATCCAGGTCAAAACAGAGAACATTTCTATCATTCAAAAACTTCTCTCAAAGCCTCGTCAGCCAACACTACAGCCCTTTCCCATACCTTTCCAGAGGTAACCACATCCTGTTTTATTATAGATTAATTTTGCCTGTTCTTATTAATGGAGTCATGTATTTCTTATGAATGCGGTCATACAGTATGTACTCTTTCATGTCATGTTTCTTTTCGTGCTTTTTATTTAGTCTGGCAATCTCTATATCTTTTGTTTTTGCCTTAATGTGCTGAGGTGAGTTTTTCTTTTTCCTTTTCTTTTTTTTGCCCCCATGTTTGGGATTGACTACGTTTCTTGAACATGTGGGTTGATATTCATTACACATTTTGGAAAATTCTCAGCCATCATCTCTTCAGACATTGATTCTGCCCATTTTCTATCTCCTCTCCTTATGGGATAATCGTTGCATATCTGTTAGAGTATTTGAGGGGTTCTCACACGTCTCTCATGAACTCTTCTACTTTTACCTATTCTTTTTTCTTTTTGTGCTTCAGATAATTTCTATTGATCTGTCTTTTATGCCACTTGCCTTTTTTTCTGCTATTTTCAGTCTGCTAAAACACATTTAATGAATTCTTAATTTCAGATATGGAATTTTAAATTCTGGAATATCCATTTTGTTCCTTTTTAGATCATTTTTCTGTTAAATTTCTCCAACTTTATATCCATTTTCTTTACTTAAAAAAATTTTACATTTATAGTAATTAATGTTCTTTTTTGCTAGTTTTAACATCTGGATCATCTGTGTATTTGCTTCTATTGGCTGTATTTTCTCTTGATTACAAGTTACATTGTCTTGTTTCTTTTTTCATGTATGCTGGATGTTGTGAATAAAAGAGCCAAAGAGACTGCAGTAGGCATTGTTTTCCCTCAGAAAGGGCCGTGCCTTTTCTTCTGTTAGGTGGCTAGTGTGAGGGCCTATAGTGGGTTGCATGGTGGTCCACAAAAGATTCGTCCACCTCTTGACCTCCAGAACCTGTGATTGTGACTTTATTTGAGAAAATGATATTTGAAGATTTAATTAAGTTAAGGATCTTGAGATGAGCTCATCCTGGGTTTCATGAGTGGGTCATAAATCCAATGACAAGTATCCTTATAAGAGACAAAAGAGGAAAAGGCACAAAAGAAGAGGAGAAGGCAATGTGAAAAATGGAGGCAGAGATTGGAGTGATGCAATGTGAAGCCAGGAAACCACCTGCAGCCACAGGGTACTGGAAAAGGCAAGGAGTGATGTTCCCAGATGGAGTGTGGCCCTACCATGCTTTGATTTCAGATTCTGGCCCCCAGAACTGTGAGAGAATAAATTTCTGTCTTTTGAAGACACCAAGTTTGTGGTAATTTTGTTATGGTGGACCTAGGAAGCAAATGCAGAGATGGATCCCTTTGATCCAGTTAAGAATGAAGCAGGTTGCAGTTTTAGCTTTAGTTCATCTCTGGTTTCAAATGTGTTGATAGAAAGGACTTCCCTGTACTCCCTCTAGTGATCCCAGGACCAGGAGATTACAGGGGTCTCCCTGGGCCTTCCAGGCCCTCCCCACAGCCTCTGTGCTGGTAAGCACTCAATGACAGCCAGCTCAGGGTCTGGGGTTTCGGCAGATCTCAACACAGCCAGCCAGCCCCTATGGCTTCTGAAAACTGCACTGGCTGTGTCTTCCTCTGTCAAAGTCCATCCCCCTGTGTCAGGTTTGATCTTCAGCTCCTCCAGGTACAAACTCAGCACAGGCCCCTGAGCTGGAGGAAGTGGCTGATCTCTCTGCTCACTTAGGAAAGGGCCCTCCTTTTCCATCAGTCAGATAATTTAGACTTCATTTAGACTTCTTAGTATCCACAGTGAGTTCAGAAATTATGGTTTTATATATTTTTAGTTTCTAGACATTTTCTAGTTCTAATACTTCTAATTGTCCTGTTCTGAAGTTCAACATCCTAACTAGAAGCAGAACTCCCTAAAATATCAGTGTATTTATTAATTTATTAATAATTACACTTTTAATATTAATTATATTATAGAGTATATATAAATTTTTATATAATTACATTAAATTATACTTGTAAAAATATGTGGTTAATTGGAAATATAACTAATTAATTGTCAGTACCATCCTACATGATCTGTGTGGAGGTTGGTGGGGTTGGTGTGTGATCTTTGTGAAGGCCAATAGTTTCTCATTTCAGATTCCAGACCCCAGGATTCCAAGGTAGAAAAGTGAGGGAGGCGGGGAATTAATGGATAGACTTGAAATACTCAGGAACATCAGGAACATAAGTGCTGAAATACTGGACATAGCATTCAGCTGGACAACAATGATTTTTTTTTTTGTTTTGATCTAAAATAAATTAAGTAGAAAACTAGCCCTAGATAATTAGATCTTTGATTATTTTAATTTAGGTTATGTTTAGCTCTCACTACACACAAAATTGTAGAGAGCAGACACCACTTTTTTTTTTTTTTTTTGGTACCAAGAGCCTTGTGGACAATAAGTATAATTTCAATGGGAATAATTTAGACTTCTGACATTGAATTATAGAAAAAAATTAAAAGTATGAACAAACATGTTAATTGCAAACATTCATTCTCCTCCATTGCTTGAAAGTCATTCACTGGCTTGAACATTATTTTCTTTAGAAAGTCAATCCATTTTCAGAACACCTCGTTCTGGCTGAGGTAATTACTCAGTTATACATGAAAAAGAGGGGAAGGCTCTGCAGTCAGCTGGATAAATTACCTGTTTCAGAGGGTGCAGTACATGTAAACATGAGCCATTTGTGCAGAATTTTAAATTTACAACACAGTTTTAAGCAAAATCTTCTTATTCCTCAGAAGCAACATGCATTTATTTTAATGACCCAGCACACTTCATAGGAGGTGAATATAATCAGTATGTAAATAGAAACATAGATTTTATTGTTGAAATAGAGCCAAGATTTTCATCTACTATGATGTGATATTTTAAATGAAAACTTTGGAATTCGAGTAATGTTAGATATCCTGTAGGCACTTGAAATTATAACTTCTTTTGTAGAAGAAACCACAGCCACCAAAAAAAGTCAAAACTCAAAAATATATGCTAAAAAAAAGCATCTACTCCAAGTTTAAAACTCATATATGCTAAAAACAGCATCTACCTTGAGTTTAAAACTCAAATATATATGCTAAAAACAAGCATCTACTCTGAGTAGGAACAGAAGGTCATATCAGTTTTCTAAGTGGACCTCTGTTTTTACCCATATCATCTATAACTGAGATTGGATACAGAAAGCATAGAATTGTTGAAGCCTAGACCTTGGGCATCGTCCTGTCCCTCCACCTGCCCCGTCTCCATGTTTGAGGCCTTAGCATCACACAGGACAGCACCTTCTCTAAGATTTCGAGCTCTGAATCTTGGTTTCTGAGCAGAGCCTTCTGTCTCTGTAGCCCTCTCGATTGCTTGTCTTGCTCTTCAGCCTCTTGCAGGCCCCCAAGCCACCCCTCACAGCCCCCACATCTGCTGGCCTCCCACGGCTTCCCTGCCTAGAGCACTTGGGAAGCCATCACTGGGCAAACACCCTCAGTGCGGCTCTCTGCGTACCCTGACCTTCTTCAGATCTTTATCCACCAACCGGAAGGAAGGTGCGTTTGCTGGTTTATGATTTACTGCCACAACTTGCCTTTCTGCCCTTGGACTGCCCTCCACCTCCACCAGTGGCCTTGCCTCCTGTTTGCCTGAGAAACTAGAAGTTGCCTTGCGGTTCTCCTCCCTCCTGCTTTCCCATGCTTACTGTGTCTTCCTTGCATCTGAGAGAGCTGAGGCTTCTCATTTCCGAAACTCTTTCTCTTGTTTATCCCATGTCCTCCCCATTTCTTCGGTCCCATTTTCAGTCTCTCGGCAGGGCCTTCCATTAGTGTAAGATCAAGTCTCCATGGCTCCATGCGTCCTTCCTAGGGGAGCTTCTTTGCTCACTTCCTCATGGCCACCACAGTTATTAAAAATGCCCTTTTTGGCCAGGCATGGTGGCTCATGCCTGTAATCCCAGCACTTTGGGAGGCCAAGGTGGGCAGATCACCTGAGGTCAGGAGTTCGAGACCAGCCTGGCCAACATGGTGAAACCTCGTCTCTACTAAATACAAAAATCTACTAAATACAAAATACTAAATACAAAAATCAGCCAGGCATGGTGGTGGGCACCTGTAGTCCCGGCTACTTGGGAGGCTGAGGCAGGAGAATTGCTTGAGCCTGGGAGACAGAGTTTGCAGTGAGCTGAGACTGCACCACTGCACTCCAGCCTGGTTAACAAGAGCTGAACTCCATTTCTAAAATAAAATAAAATAAAATAAAATATAAAATAATAAAATAAAATAAAATAAAATAAAATAAAATAAAGAAAGTGCCCTTTTTGGTTTTCACTTCTGCCACCTATTCAGTCTTCTGGCTGAGTCAGCCCAGATCCGGGCCCCTTGCAGTGGCTGCCTTGCTGAACTTGGCATAGTCATTTCTCACATGTCTATTTGGCAGCCTCAGCACAGTTGACCCCAGCCCCTGTTGAAATTGCCCTCCTTCGGTGGCCTCTTTACCACTCGGTCTTGATTAGAGTTCTTGTCTTAGAGTTCTTTATTGCTTCTTATTGCTCCACTTTTTAAATAAAATTCCTCAGGATTTCTTGTAGACTTGTGTATCAGTCAGGGTCCTGCAGGAACCAGCAGGCACATCATACAGACTTTAGTAGAGGCCTGTTTATGACGTTTGGGCAGGGTTGAGAGGGTGAGGGGTGGGACTGGGAGAACCCAGGATAGCTCAGTACAGGAGCCAACCACAAGCAGGAGCACCACCCTCCGGTGGGACTTCAGCCACTGCCAGCCTGCAGCCTGCAGTGAGGGAGGTCTGAGCATGCCTTCCCCAGCCTCCCTCTCCTCCTGTCTTCATGAGTCCTTTGGCTACTTCTCATTGGCCAAAACCAAAGGCTACTGATACCATCCATAAAGGGCTGTGTCCTTGGCACCGTATGGATCTGGAGGGGAGAAGGGAGCATATTGGGTCCAGCACTGCGGTATTTCCCACTTGAGTCCTCACTCCCTTTCTTTGTCAGCACGTGTCAGCATGTGTATGGCCCTGGCTCCGCCTTCCCTCTGTTTGTTTATGACTCCTAAATCAATGCCTTAGATTTTTCAGTCAAGATCCAGGAATGACTTTTCATTTGTCTGCTGGACGTTTTGACCTGCATATCCTGTAAGCACTTGGAATTTAATATGATCAAAATGGAATTCATCAAATTTACCCTTCAACAACAAAATTAACCAAACCAAAGAAAAATCAAAACCCTGCTTCTTTTCCTGTATTTCTCATCTGGCGATGACATAGCCATTAACTAGGTTGCCCAAGTTATACTGGCACAAAGTGCAAAAAATAATGCTGCAAGTTTTGTTTGGGAAACCCTTGTCCCAAGACCTCTTTCACATTTTTTTCCTTAGCTGATTTCTGTGTTGTTTATCCTTGAGACTCTAAACATGGGTTTGGTTTGCAACTTCTTCACTTTTACGCGGGGTTCTGACTGTATGAGATGTGGGTGGAGCTCTCGTTTCTCCCCTGGCCCCTTCCACGTATGCACTCTTCTCTTCACCCATCCTCAATATGGCTGGATCATAATTGTAGTTAGATCAAAATCCTTGTTTACCCACTACATCTTAGTCATTATAGCCAAGAGGAACATGTGCCTGTTTTTGTATTCTAAAAGAAGAAATGGCTTAAAAGAATCTCAGGAACTTTCATGTTATAGAATGTCATATTTCTTGAATAACAATGTTGGTAATTGAAAAGATAGATAAGTCTGTAAAAGAAATGGATAAATCAGCTGGTTTGGGTTAATCTTAAATAAATCCTTTAGACGTATTTGTTTGGTAGTGTTTATATAATTTGAATGGACATATTTGGATTTATACATTCATTTATTCATTCATTTGTCCAATGAGTGTTAATGCTTCAACAAATATGCTCTGGATATTATCTGGTATTGGAAACAAAAAAAATAGAAAATACGGTTTCTGTCCTCAAATAATAGTCGAATTACCGTGACGGATGTAAAATCAGAGTCTAAATGATCGGAAGTGAACAGGAAATTATTTATATGACCAATTTAGAAATTACTAATAAGATTAATGTTGTACTAATACATAAATTATTAGAATGGATAGGGAAAATATGTAACCTACCCATGACTTTGAATAGTGTACATGATGCATTCATTTTGTAAGTACATCTCTGTGTGTGTATACTTCCATTTTGCTTATACTACCCATGTAGATATTATGTAATTACATAAATTATTGTGCAGGCACTATATCATATTGTCCATCATGTTGTTCAAGGTTCCTTATATAACTGTGCAATAAATTTCTATTAGGGGAAATTTTGCAACGTTAGACTAACGTGTATTTTTTTAATGTTATAATGAGAATTGTATAATATTTCCCCTTTGCTATTGGCTTACTGGGAATTGAATGTTTATAGCAGTCTCATCCTTAGAATACTTAGAGTTATTGAATATCCTGGATTACATGGTTAGTCCTGGAGTCCGCCTACTGTAATTGTCTAATGATTAATAGTGTTCCCTTTTACTCTCAAAAATATCCCTTTTGGACAATATCCTCTCTCTGTATAACCAACTTTTCTTAGTTTGACATTCTTCACATCTTACTGTTCTTATTTAGAAATCCTATGTCTTCTTTATTGTAAACAGTGTAAGTCCTTCTTCATGTGATTTAGTAGAAAAACTGTGATGATTTGCTATAGGATCCAAGGTGGAAATTCAGAATCTCAGGACAAATCAAGAGTGCATATTGAAACAATGTCGCCTGAAAAGGCCTTTGTCCTGAAGAGAAGACAGAGGGTAGAGGCCTGGTGAACAGTTACAAAGGCAACGACCTTTACATCAGCAGTGAAGGCGCAGCGTCGGCCACGGTGGTCCAGTTCACCACCTCAGTGCTTCAAATTGTTTAAGCTTTTGGGCAGAGATTATGGAAATATTTATGTTAGTCATAGCCGTAAACTGATTTGGAGATCATTTGTCTTTACACTGGTTATGAAGGAGGTTTTTCTTGCAAAGATATCACCCACAGACATGTAGTCGCAGAGCCCCAAGTAGGGCTGGTATGCCTAACTCTGATGAAATATTTAAAGATTTCTTAACAAGAATTAAAACCCTGGGGATTCTATTAGAAATTTGGCATTTTTATTTCTTGTGCAAATCTTATCTGAAAAACACATCTTATGGGAAAAACTAATTCTATTTCTTATAACTGTAACCATAGAAATAGAAAAATGGAAACTTATGTAGATATATTTATCACAAATGGAAACCTTTAGAGTTGAGTGGTCCTCTGCATCAGGCCTTCAATCAGATTTCTCTTGGTTCATTGCATTATAAAATTAAGAATGGTTTCTGACTATTTAAATAAGTTATTTTCAGTGGCATTAGATAGAACTGTGGGTTTAATGGCAAAGTCAGTTGATAACCCTAAAAAAGCATTTGAAAAGATTTTATCTAAAGGACTCCCCTATTCAATAACTGGTGCTGAGATAACTGGCTAGCCATATGCAGAAGATTGAAACTAGACCTCTTCCTTACACCATGTACAAAAATAAACTCAAGATGGATTAAAAACTTAAATGTGAAATCTAAAACTACAAAAGTCCTGGAAGACAACCTAGGAAATACTATTCCGTATATAGAACCTGGCAAAGATTTCATGATGAAGACACCAAAAGCAATTGCAACAAAAATAAAAATTGACAAATTGGACCTAATTAAGCTAAAGGGCTTCTGCACTGCAAAAGAAACTATTAACAGAGTAAATGGACAGCCTACAGAATGGGAGAAAATATTTGCAAACTATGCATCCAACAAAGGTGATATCCAGAAACGCATCAACAAGCAAACAATCAAACAACCCCATTAAAAAGTGGGCAAATGATTTTAAACAAATCAACAAGTAGGCAACAAATGACCCCATTAAAAAGTGGGCAAAGTATATGAACAGACACTTTTCAAAAAGAGACACACACACAGTCAACATGCATATGAAAAATGCTCAACATCACTAATTATTAGAGAAATGCTAATCAAAACCACAGTGAGAGACCATCTCACACCAGTCAGAATGGCTATTATTAAAAAGTCAAAAAATAACAGATACTGGCAAGATTGTGGAGAAAAGGGAATGCTTATACACTGCTGGTGGGAATGTAAATTAGTTCAATTATTGTAGAAAGCAGTGTAGCAATTTCTCAAAGAACTCGAAGCAGAATTGCCATTCAACCCAGCAGTCCCATTATTGGGGGAATATAAATCGTTCTACCATAAAGACACATGCAAGTGCATGTTCATCACGGCACTACTTACAGTAGCAAAGACACAGAATCAACCCAAATGCCTAACAGTGGTAGACTGGATAAAGAAAATGTAGTACATATACACCATGGAATGCTAGACAACCATAAAAAAGAAGGAGATCATGTCCTTTATAGCAACAGAGATGGAGCTGGAGACCGTTATCCTAAGTGAACTAATATAGAAACCGAAAAACAAATACCACGTATTCTCACTTATAAGTGAAAGCTAAACATTGAGTATGTGTGGATACAAAGAGAACAAGAGATGCTGGGGCCTACTTGAAGGTGGAGGGTGGGAGGAGGCAGAGCATTGAAAAACTACCCAGCATGGCCGGGTGTGGTGGCTCACACCTGTAATCCCAGCACTTTGAGAGGCCAAGGTGGGCGGATAACTTGAGGTCAGGAGTTCGAGACCAGGCTGGCCAACATGTTGAAACCCCCACTCTACTAAAAATACAAAGAAAAATTAGCTGGGCATGGTGGCACGCACCTGTAATCCCAGCTACACAGGAGGCTGAGGCAGGAGAATTGCTTGAACCCAGGAAACAGAGGTTGCAGTGAGCTGAGACAGTGCCACTGCACTCCAGCCTGGGTGACAAGGTGAGACTCTGTCTCAAAAAAAACAAAAAAAAAGAAGAAAAACTACCTATCAGGTACTATGCCTATTACCTGGACGGCAAAATAATCTGCATACCAAACCCCTGTGACATGTAATTGACCTGTATAAAAAACCTGTATTTGTACCCTTGAACCTAATATAAAAGTTTTTAAAAAAGAATGTAAAATGCAAAAAAAAAAAAATTGTCCTCACCTCAAACAGAAAGTCCGTACCCAAAAACCAGTAATTCCCCAGTCCTACCTCCCTGCAGACCCTATTAACCTCTAATCTACTTTTGGTCCCTATGAATTTGCCTATTCTAGATATAAGTAGATATTTGTCCTTTTGTGCCTGGCTTACTTTGCTTATCATGATGTTCATCTGTGTTGTAGCATGTCAGAACGTCGTTCCTTTTGGTGGCTGAATAATATTCCATTGCGTGTACATACCACATACCCATTCATCAGTTGACGGACACTTGGATTGTTACCACTTTTTGGCCATTGTGAATGCTGTTGCCATGAACATTGGCATACAAGCATGGAAAAACAGCAAATAATCTAGGGTTTGTGGTTAAAAAATACAGATTTTGACCTTCATTCTTGACTCCCACTGAATTAGATCTTGGTTGGAGGAGAGGATGGTTCATATTTTGCTTAATAAATTTTGAAAAACACTGCTTTAAGAAACCTGATGAATTTGGGCAGTGGCCTTACAAATAAAAATAGGTTTAGAATACCTATAGTGAAAACTATTAATTTTCCAACTTAGTGATTAAAAGTTTTTCTATGATATTTGTTATGGGAAAGGATTAAATGGAAGATGGAAGCAACTATATTTGTGGAAAAGCAGATGAGTTTGAGGGAGGTTAGCAGGGACAAGGAGTTGAGTTAATTGACCATAAGTGAGTGTGGAAGCAGTGGTAAGGAACAAACCTAGGGGCAGCCGGTTCCAAAACCACAGAACAGCACTTCAGGCATGTGGCCTGGGGGAGAGGGAGGGTTTAGGAGTCACAGTCATCTGGAAATTGGGGGCATATTTCATAATCCCTGTCTCAGTAGCCTTATATGTAAAATGGGGATAATAACATGAGAGTAAGGTGTTTTGAAGGTATATATATATTTTTCCTTTCCTTCATGCTCTCTCCTTCATTACCCTTGTCTGCAAGCAGATGGACTGAATGTGGAGTTAATGTTTACTGTGGAAAAGTATGGGTAGCTCTGGACTATATCCCTCATTTAGTCAGTTATATTGTTTTCCTGATTTATTTTCTTGCATGGTTCTCTCAGTAAACTGTTCTCAGGTTAAGTCTGTTTTTGCCATTTACTGGCTTATGATCTTGGCAAACCTCTTAACATCTGTGAGGCCCCTATTAATCATCTATTAAAATAGTACTGTGAACATTAAATGAGGCGCTATATAGGGCCGCACTCAGTGCCTCATGCCTGTAATCCCAGAGCTTTGGGAGGCTGAGGCAGGAGGATCACTTGAGAACAGGAGTTTGAGACCAACCTGAGCAACATAGCAAGACCTTGACTCTACAAAAAAACAAAATAAAATAATTGAGTGGTGTGGTGTGGTGGCATGCGCCTGTAGTTCCAGCTATTTGGGAGGCAGGAGGATCACTTGAGCCCAGGAGTTTGAGGCTGCAGTGAGCTGTGGCTGTGCCATGTCTGTGTATGTGTGTCCACACACACACATTACAACTATCCCTGGAATATATGTGTACAATAAAAGTGTGTCCCCTGCCATACCCAACACTCTTGCTCTTGGATTATGATAGTATTCTGTAAAGGCACGGTGCAAGCATTCTTGCCCCACAGCAGGGCAGATGTCTTGCCTCAGTACTATCCCTGAACCCACCTTTGCCATCCCTCAACAGAGCCCAGAGCCTGGCATCACAGGAAGTAAGATGAACTATAATCTTATTAGCACCAATAGTTATGAGCAATAGGTATCAGGAAAACATATTAAAACCCAGTTCTCCTCTCTAGAATGAAACTTAAGCCTAGTTAACTCAAAATGTATTAAATTAAAGCTAGAAGAGTTCAGGCACAATACAGGCTGTTTCTGAAGAAGTTAACATCATGTCTGCGCTTACAATTTGTTTGCCATAAGCATGTAAAATAGATTTGAGGACTCTGACAGTAAAACAAACGTATCCAATAAGCCTATTAAAGTGGAAATTAAAAATTTAAAAAAGGTTTATAGCAAAATAAAACAATGTAATAGTCACTTAGGCTAATAAAATTATTGTGACTGAGCATTCAATTTAGCCCCAATGTTCCTAGGTATTATAATAACTTCCTCGTCTTCCAATTGCCCAAAAGAACAATGAGAAGATGTGATTACTGTCTTGCATCTTATTCAGACAATGGGCTTTGAGCCTTTAAAATCTGTGAGACACAGGGCTAAGTGCCATGGGAGCAGCGAACATGACTGAGGCGTTGGGGTACATTTAAGGGGCTCAGGGCAAGTCCTACTGTGGGCATTGGGAAGTAAAGATAAGGAAAAGCAGAGACTGTGTTGGTGCAGACGGCTGGAAGTGTGGGATTTATGCCAAGGAGTTTTTCCTTGTTGTTGTTGTTTTTAATATGCTGATCTAACTTTTAAATTTCCAAGTTATTTCTTACCGCTCTTTAATAGCTAATGTGTAACGTTAATACCATTAGGACACATTCCTGTCTGTTGAAGGATAAGAACTTGAGACAGTGGTTGATTCAGTGATCTGACCTTTGTTTTCTAGTTTATCAAAGCTTGAGCAAGAAGGGTCTACATGTTTATTTTATGCAAACCCAGATATGTGAAAAATAATAAATGTATGAAATATAATGTTGAGATGATTTGGTTTTCAAAATGAGGCTTTGCTTTACAAAAGGACTCTTGGTAAATAGACTTAAAATGCCAGTCTCCTCTATTAACTTGACCATCTGGTTAGAATTTTTTAAATCGGATTTTTATTCCACAGATCCAAAGATATGATCCAAAGATATGAAAATATCTTTCATAAGGATGTATTCTACATAGGCACAGATTTTGATTATAAATTCAGAGTTTAGACAGCCCTTGTTGGGGAGGGGAGAATCACATCATTGGATTGGGAGGCTATTTTTAATTTCCATGGTTTCATTGTAAGCAGTTATAGACAATCCTGGAAATGATAATTTAATATTTATTAATGAACATAAGAGGAAAATGTTGAATAGGGTATGTAAAAATATTGTACCTGCTGTCAAAAAAAATTGAAAAAGATTTTTTTTTTCACTTCTTCAGTTGAGACCTAATTCTGCAGTCGGATTCCCAGGTCCACCACAATAGTTAAAATAGAAAGACCTAACTCCTCAAAGCAGGACCTTGCTGGGGTATTTGTCCTGTCCTGTTTGTGCTTTGACACAACTTCCTTGCTTTTGAAACATAAAAAAATTGCACCCCAGACTTAAAAGGGGAAGGGCATTGAAATTAGTTGAAGCTTGGGAAATTTATTTCTTCTTCACTCCATTATATGGACTTACACAAACTTCTTCCTATTGGTAATTCCAGAGCAGGAGGCATCATTCCAAAAAGGAACACCAGTGTTGCCTGTTCACACCTTGAATATTCAGTGGCCTGGTACTGACAGTCCTAGGGTGCCTGGCTATGTCTTGAGCACTGCAACATCGCCATCAGTAGAAGATAGTAGGAGACAGAGCAGCCACATGTGACAGCAGCTGAATGTAGAAATGTTTTAAATAAAGTAACTATATTGAGATGTAATTTGCAAATGATAAGATGTACAGATTTCATGCACGCATTTTGATGAGTGTTGAAAAATGTATAATATATCCTGCATAGCCACCATCCCAGTCGAGATGTAGAACACTTCCAACAACACAGAAGCTTCCTTTGTGCTCCTTCTCAGCCAGTCCTGCTCCCATCCTTCTCCCAGACAACCATGGACCTGGTTTCTATTGCCTGTTGTCAGATTTCCTATCAGTGGGGTCATGCAGCATGCACTGTTGTGTCTGCCTCATTGCTCAACATGAAGTCTGTTGTTCCCATGTTCATGCATGTGTAAACAGTTTATCCCTTTTTATTGCTGAACTAGCATTCGTTTTATGGACATTGCACACTTGTTTGTGAATGAATGTTCACCTGTTGGGCATTTGGGTTGTTTTCAGGTTTGGGCTATTATGAATAAAACTGCAAGGGGCATTTGTTTACACAACTTTATATTTTCATCACTTTTGTTGGAATTACTAGGAGTCACAGGGTAGGCACACGGTTTAAGCTTCTTTAAAAAGTAGTATAACATTATTGAAAGTGGTTGTGCAATTTTACACCCCTGCCGACATTGGTATGAATGCTTCAGGAGCTCCACAGCCTCGGCAGTAACTGATGTTGGGAAATTTTGTCTGTCATTTAAATCACTCGAGTGGGTATGCGGTAGTAATTCATTTTGGTTTCTCTGGTGAAGAGTGATATTGAGATGTTAAAAGTTTGTTTATTGATCATTCATGAATTTTTTTTCCAAAATGTTCATTGAGTCTTTTGCTCATTTTTTACATTGAATTTTTTGTCAAGTCTCTTGTCAGATAAATGTATTGCAAATGCCTGTGGCTCACTTCATATTTTTCTTGGTGATTTTGAAAAACAAAAGTTTTTGAGTCAGGTAAAAAATGAATTTATTAATTTATTATTATATGGGTAGTGCCTTCTGTGTGCTAATAAATCCTTGAATATTCCAATATCATGAAGACTTTATCTTAAAGTTTTCTTCTTGGGTTTTGTAGTTTTAGCTTTTATGTTTTGTTTATGTTTCATTTCAAATACTTGTGTATGTGTGATGTGAGGTAGAAGTCAGCTGGCTCATTTTTTTTCACATGTTGATGTTCAAGCATTCTGGTGCCATTTGTTGAAAAGACTGTACTTTCTTCATTCAATACTCTTGTCATGTTTTTGAAAATCAATTGACTGCATATATATGGATCAATTTATATGCAGTATTTTGTTTTATTAATATATTTGTCTATCCTAAGCCAGTACAACATGGTCCTAATAACTGTGCCTTTGTAGTAATTCTAAAATTCAGATAGTATCAGTTCTCCAACTTTGTTAATTTTTTTTACAAAATTGTTTTGGGTAAGCTAGGTCATTTTTCATTCCTTTATAATGTTAGAATCTGCTTGTCAAATGATACAAAACAAAAGGCCTACCTTTTTGAGTAGGATTAAATTGAATTTATGGAACAATCTGGGAAGAGATGACATATCAATAATAATATTGAGTCTTCCAGCCTGTGGGCATGATAGTTCTCTTCACTTGTGTGGGATCATCTTTTAATTTCTCTTAGGAATGTTTTCTAGCTTTCACATTTTCTTATTTTCTCAGATGTTTTGCTAAGTTCTTCATTTTTAATGTTATTCTAAAGGAAATTTTTAAAAAATTAATATTTTTTAAATTTTTTTGTTGCCAGTATATATTAATAGAATTGATTGTTTTATGTTGACTTATTTTGCAAGTTTCATGCCTTTTATTAATATTTCTTTCTCTTGCCTAATTGCACTACATTACAATGTTGACTAGAAACAGTAAGAATGAATAAACTTGCCTTATTCTTGATTTTGGGGATGAAGCATTCAATAAAGTATTACTTAGTCTGATATTACCTGTGTTTCATAGATGCCTTTTATCAAACTGAGGGAGTTCCCTTCTATTTCTAGTTTACTGAAGTATTTGTCATTGTGTATTGAACTTTGTCAAATACTTTTTCTGTATCCACTGAGATGACCACATTACTTTTCTTCTTCTTCTGTGGTGTAATGAATTAATCAATTACAGAACACGGAACTAGCCTTGCATATTTCCCCGCATATTTGCTGTTGCTAGTACTCTTCATGTAGATCGTAGTTTTCATCTGGCATCACTTAGCATCAGCCTGAAATACTCCCTGTAATATTTCTTACAGTATAAATCTATAAGTGCGTATTCTTTTTTTTTGTTTATCTGAAAATTTCTCTGTTTTAGTCTTTTTTGAAGGATATTTTTTGTAGGAATTGAAATTCTGTGTTGACAGTTTTTTATGTTTCCTGTTAGCGTTTTAAAGATGTCATTTTATTATCTTCTTGCCTGCACTGTTTCTGGTGAGAAGGTGGCCCACTTTCCCATCGTGGCTCTGCTCTTTGCAATGTGTTGCATTGTGTCCGGTTGCTTTCAGGGTTTCCCTTTAGCTTTCATTTTCAGTGGTCTATGATTTGCCTAGTTTTCATTTCCTTTGTATTTATTATGCTCAGGTTTTGTCATTCTTAAGCTTGCAAATTGGTATTTTTGGCCAAATTAGGGAGATTTTTTGTTTTAACCATTATCCTTTCTGCGTTGGTTTTGTTTGACCACTATTCCTGCTCCATTCTCTCTGTGTCCTCTCCTTCTAGAATCCAAATATGCGTATGTTAGATGAGTTGATATTATCAGGCTCTATTTATTATTTAAATCTTGTATCATCTTTTTTTTTTTTTTTTTTGACAGAGTTTCGCTCTGTCACCCAGGCTGAGTGCAGTGCCGCAATTTCGGCTCACTGCAAACTCCGCTTCCCATGTTCAAGCCATCCTTGTGCTTCAGCCTCCCAAGTAGCTGGGAATACAGGCATGCATCACCACACCAGCTGATTTTTGCATTTTAGTAGAGATGGGGCTTCACCGTGTTGGCCAGGCTAGTCTTAACCCCCTGGCTCTAAGTGATCTGCCTGCCTTAGCCTCCCAAAGTGCTGGGATTATAGGTGTGAGCCATCACACCGGAACATCATCTGTTCTTTAGGTTAATAACTTCTATGAATCTGTTTTTATATTTTATATTCACTCATCTGTTTTTCTGCCATCTCCAATCTCCTATTATTGCCATCCAGCAATAATATTGTCATCCAGCAATATTTAAGATATTTTGCTATTGACTTCTAGAATTTCTATGTGCTTCTCTTTTATAGTTTCCATTTCTCTCCTGAAATTCTCTGTTCACTCATTTAGACCATTTCAATTAAGTTTTTGAACATATTTTCCTAACTACTTTGCAATCCTTTTCTGCTAATTACAACATCTAGGTTATCTTAGGTTCTATTTCTGTTGACCACTTCTTCACAAATTGAGTATGGCTCACAATCATCTGCTTATTTACATGTTTAATAAACTTTTGTATGTTATATGTAATGAATGATACAGCATATAGTGGGAGTTTTTTTTTTTTTTTAAGAGTAGAGTTCGTTCTATCAGGGAGTTCATTACTGGTAATTCTTCATCTGGCTAAGGCTTGATTTTACCCCTTTTTTAGGGTTGTTCATGAGTAATTATTAATCTAGAGCATCTTTCTTTCCCCAAAATGTGAACTTTGTGGTGTCTCAGTCAAATTGTCAAAGTGTTAATTGAGGTTTCTCCACATTAGTCTCTCCCCTCTCCCCGGAACTTGTGACCTCTAGTATCTTTGTTTCATTCTCAGCCCCGTATCAGCTACTCTCTGCTTGGCTTCAGAAAGTCTTACCTGGTACATGGGCAGTCCAGCCCTTGGTCAAGGTCTTGTGAATAACCTCCCATGGACTTTTTGGTCCCCCACTTTATTGAGACAGGGTCTTGCTGTGCCGTCCAGGCTGCAGTGCAGTGGCATGATCATGGTTCACTGCAGCCTCAACCTCCCCAGGCTGAGGTGATTCTTCTATTTCAGCCTCCTGAGTAGCTGGGACCACAGGTGCACACCACACACCTGGCTAGTTTTTGTATTTTTTGTAGAGATGAGGTTTCACCATGTTGTCCAGGCTGGTCTGGAACTCCTGGGCTCAAGAGATCCTCCTTCCTTGGCCTCCCAAAGTGCTGGGATGACAGGCATGAGCTACTGCACCCTGCCTTTGGTTCCCCCTTTTTTGTAGTTCTGTCTTTTCCAATACTTTGTCTTTTAACTTCCAGCTGCATCATGCACTCTGATCTGCAATCTCTGTCTCTCTGACTGCATAACTGCTTTCTTTATGTTTCTTCTCTGTGTGCTGCAATCAGGAAATTGTCTCCAGGCTGATGTTAAGGGCTCATCTGGGATGTTTTCCTTTACTTAGGGATTGCATTTCTGTGCTGCCTATTGTCCGATGTCCGAAAATATTCCCTGCATATGTCCAGTTTTATGGTTATTACTATGAAAGGGCACTCTGTCATGGTCAGGAACCTAAGTTCAGTAGAAATGTACTTTTGAAAGTTATTACTGTAATCTCTGGTTCTCAGACTTTAGCATATAACAGATTCATGTAGAACACTTGTTAACACACAGTGTTAGGCTCTACCTTTAGAGTTTCTGATTCAGTAGGGTTGAGGTGGAGCCAAGAATTTGCATTTTTAACAAGTGCCTAGGTCGGTGATGCTGATAGTCTAAGAATCACACTTTGAAAACCACTTGCTTAGAAAGACGACTCTTGAGAAAAAATATTGGGAGTTTATTTGGGACTGAATATATAGAATTTTGCTTTTTTGGTCTTAAGTTCTGCATAATGGATTTATATTTCAGATTGGCTTATTACAGCACTAGGCATCTTGCTCTTTTTATTCAAATATGATTTTCAAAAACTTAAGTGGGCTTCTTTGCATTAGAAAGGATATAGATTTTTTAAAAGAAATAATTATTTTTAAGAAATAATTATTTGATTTTTGTTTCAGAAATTGGGATTTATTTAATTATTCTTATATGTGTGCATGGTATGTGTGTGTGTGTTTTGCAGATAAGATGCAAGATAAATTATCCTTGCAATAATTAGCCTTGTTGGAGCCTATACCAGTAGGATGGCTGGACCTGGGGATGGCTGGATCTTCTTCAGAAGATTTCTTAATAGCTTACCCTTGGCCTTTAAATAGCTCTTATGGCAGCTATTAAAATCTATCTACCTACCCCCTAGCATATTTTGTCTACTGTTTTTGCCTCCATGGTTCCAATGGGCCCGTCTCTCATTTGTGAGGTTTTAGGGATTGATTGTTTCTTTATACTCTAATCTGTGTATTTCCCATCAGTATAGCACTTGTACTAATGTCAAGTTGGTGACTCTTACTGTTGATGATGCTGACATGGTTCTTGAAGTGGTTAATAGGACAGTCGCTCAGGACAAAGAGTATCCCCTCAACAGCATTCCAGTACGTGTCTTAGTTGAGAAAATGGATTGGCCTTACTTCTTCAGATTCTGGTCAATCCCTGACAAAGTTTTCGTTTACCAACCACTTTAATTTCTTTGAAAATTTGGTACAATTGCCTTTGTTGGCTGGATTAGAAGGCTATAGAATGGCACATATTAAATATTATTTCAACTGCAAGGTGTGATCAATAAAATTTCAATCTCAGCTTCAGACATCTGTATTCAAATATTTTGATACAGGAATAGTGAAATCCTAATTACTAAATGCTAATCATTCAAAACTCGTTTTAACAGGTTCATTTTGATGGTTGGGACCATAAGTATGACTACTGGGTGGAGGCAGACAGCCCTGATATCCACCCGATCGGATGGTGTGATGTCACAGGGCATCCACTGGAAGTGCCACAGCGTGAGTACTTTGCTCTTTGTTGTTGCTTTTTAAATACTTGGCCTGATTTCCAGCCGTAATGTTGCTTATTCATGCCATTACAGGCATTTGAAAGCTAAACATCACATAGGCGAATTAATCACTACAGCTACACTGAAAGCCGATTATTTACAATTAAGCCTCAAAGGGCATGCGTTATGTTAATGAAAAGTGATAATCTTTAAAAAATTATTTTGATAGTGTTTTCCAAAGGAATCTTTATTTTCTACATTTGAGTTTGGAAAACTGAGCTAGCACATCTAAATCCATCTAATTTTGGTCATTGGTTTTAACAAGTTCATCTTATTTTTTTAAACATCTGATCTTTATTTTATAGAATAGACTACACAAAGTCTTTTGGAAAATTAAAATATTTTAACTTCCAACAATTTTCAGATTTTACTTATAAAAAAATTTAAAATCCTCTACTTTACTCGCATCTTTATTATTTCTGACTTTCTAGCTACTTAAAGTTAAGGAGGAAATTAACCTCTCTAAATTTTAATGAGCCTCAACCCAAAATACCTTATTTTTTTGTCTGAAGGAGTCCTCTGATCTGATTAGGCTGACATGACTAATAACCAGTTCCAGACACAAGTGCAAGTGTTCTCCATTCTCATGTTTGTTTTGTTCCCTCACTGCTTCACTTTCCCTCCCATTGGTTTCTTAGCATGAAGCTAGAATGCTTTTCTATTAATGAGGATATCTTACATGGAGCCAGCCTAATGATGCTTGAACCTTAGACCCCAAAGGACTTCTTGTAAAAATGAGAAGAATCCCTGACTAAATAATTGGACAAACAGTTCTACATTGTGCTAGGTTCTTCAAAAACTACAAAATCAAAGAGATGAAGGCCCTTCTGGAGCCTACAGTGTATTGGCACACATAGGACCAGTACCCTAAGAGTGTAGAATGAAGAGGACCATGGTCAGCACCATATGGGGGACTCCAAGTAGGGAAGGGCGCCAGCATTTGTGCTTTGTGGTTTCCTCTGGTCTCGCTTTTTATCCTCCCTGGTTTCACACCCCAGCATGTCACGGAGATGGTTCTCACTTTATGTGAACCCCCCCCAATACACCCCTGTACATCCATGCCTCAGCCAGTAACTTTCTCAAGTACGAACGATTTCCGCTGGGGTAGGCGTGGACCAGCATTGCAGATACAGGGACAGCTCTCTTCACTCCACTCCAAGCATTGTCTGCTCCTTTGTCACTCTACCCACCTGGCTTTTCTACCTGAATGTCTCAGAAGCATCCCAGAGTCTATGCATCAAACCAAACCTCCATCCCAAGCCAAAAACTTGCTCTTTCTACCGTTTGCTTCCTAAGTTGCCATTCCAGACTCTGCTCCCTCTTGACCCCTTCCTCAACCCACACATATAAACAGTCACCAAGTGTCCTGCTGGTTCTTTCTTAATTATACAGAATCTATCTTTGACCCCCAATGCTTTGACCCCCAGTGCATCTTCTCAATGCTATTGCATTATTTTGAGGTGTCATCATAGTTACGGATGCTTCTCAGAATGTGGCCTGTAGTCTGCTAGTGAGTTGCACAGGTTCTCCTGATGAGCCTAGGATAAATCTAAAATCTAGAGCAGTATAGACTAGTGGTTAAAAATGAGAAAACTGGAGTCAGAATGCTGGGCTTTGAATCTCAGTTTAAAGCTTGCTTAGTGTGTGCCTCTCTATGCCTCAGTTTCCTCATCTATAAAATAAAGATAATATTAATATCTATCGCATGAATTTATAATTATTAAATGAGATAAATGAATGGATAGAATTCAGAAACTGCCTGCCCCGTAGCATGTGCTCAATTAAATCTTCTCTCAGGAAATAATGTGACATTCTCTAGATTTTCATTCTTATGTAAGTTATTAAGTGGGAGTTACTAAGAGTTCCAGATTTGAAATTGAGCTAAAATTAATGTGATTAGGGTTTTCCAAATACTTTAATTAAATTTTTCTTTTATTATTATTATTATTATTATACTTTAAGTTTTAGGGTAGATGTGCACAACGTGCAGGTTTGTTACATATGTGTACATGTGCCATGTTGGTGTGCTGCACCCATTAACTCGCCATTTAGCATTAGGTATATCTCCTAATGCTATCCCTCCCCCTCCCCCCACCCCACAACAGTCCCCAGTGTGTGATGTTCCCCTTCCTGTGTCCATGTGTTCTCATTGTTCAATTCCCACCTATGAGTGAGAACATGCGGTGTTTGGTTTTTTGTCCTTGTGATGGGTGGCTGAGAATGATGGTTTCCAGCTTCATCCATGTTCCTACAAAGGACATGAACTCATCGTTTTATATGGCTGCATAGTATTCCATGGTGTATATGTGCCACATTTTCTTAATGCAGTCTATCATTGTTGGACATTTGGGTTGGTTCCAAGTCTTTGCTATTGTGAATAGTGCCGCAATAAACATACATGTGCATGTGTCTTTATAGCAGCATGTTTTGTAATTCTTTGAGTATATACCCAGTAATGGGATGGCTGGGTCAAATGGTATTTCTAGTTCCAGATCCCTGAGGAATTGCCACCCTGTCTTCCACAATGGTTGAACTAGTTTACAGTCCCACCAACAGTGTAAAAGTGTTCCCATTTCTCCACATCCTCTCCAGCACCTGTTTTTTCCTGACTTTTTAATGATCGCCATTCTAACTGGTGTGAGATGGTATCTCATTGTGGTTTTGATTTGCATTTCTCTGATGACCAGTGACGATAAGCAGTTTTTCATGTGTTTTTTGGCTGCATAAATGTCTTCTTTTGAGAAGTGTCTGTTCATATTCTTTGCCCACTTTTTGATGGGGTTGTTTGTTTTTTTCTTGTAAATTTGTTGGAGTTCATTGTAGATTCTGGATATTAGCCCTTTGTCAGATGAGTAGGTTGCAAAAATTTTCTCCCATTCTGTAGGTTGCCTGTTCACTCTGATGGTGGTTTCTTTTGCTGTGCAGAAAGCTCTTTAGTTTAGTTAGATCCCATTTGTCAATTTTGGCTTCTGTTGCCATTGCTTTTGGTGTTTTAGACATGAAGTCCTTGCCCATGCCTATGTCCTGAATGGTAATGCCTAGGTTTTCTTCTAGGGTTTTTATGGTTTTAGGTCTAACATGTAAGTCTTTAATCCATCTTGAATTAATTTTTGTATAAGGTGTAAGGAAGGGATCCAGTTTCAGCTTTCTACATATGGCTAGCCAGTTTTCCCAGCACCATTTATTAAATAGGGAATCCTTTCCCCATTGCTTTTTTTCTCAGGTTTGTCAAAGATCAGATAGTTGTAGATATGCAGCATTATTTCTGAGGGCTCTGTTCTGTTCCATTGGTCTGTATCTCTGTTTTGGTACCAGTACCATGCTGTTTTGGTTACTGTAGCCTTGTAGTATAGTTTGAAGTCAGGTAGTGTGATGCCTCCAGCTTTGTTCTTTTGGCTTAGGATTGACTTGGCAATGCGGGCTCTTTTTTGGTTCCATATGAACTTTAAAGTAGCTTTTTTCCAATTTTGTGAAGAAGGTCATTGGTAGCTTGATGGGGATGGCATTGAATCTGTAAATTACCTTGGGCAGTATGGCCATTTTCACGATATTGATTCTTCCTACCCATGAGCATGGAATGTTCTTCCATTTGTTTGTATCCTCTTTTATTTCATTGAGCAGTGGTTTGTAGTTCTCCTTGAAGAGGTCCTTCACATCCCTTGTAAGTTGGATTCCTATTTATTTTATTCTCTTTGAAGCAATTGTGAATGGGAGTTCACTCATGATTTGGCTCTCTGTTTGTCTGTTATTGGTGTATAAGAATGCTTGTGATTTTTGCACATTGATTTTGTATCCTGAGACTTTGCTGAAGTTGCTTATCAGCTTAAGGAGATTTTGGGCTGAGATGATGTGGTTTTCTAGATATGCAATCATGTCATCTGCAAACAGGAAATTTGACTTCCTGTTTTCCTAATTGAATGCCCTTTATTTCCTTCTTCTGCCTGATTGCCCTGGCCAGAACTTCCAATACTATGTTGAATAGGAGTGGTGAGAGAGGGCATCCCTGTCTTGTGCCAGTTTTCAAAGGGAATGCTTCCAGTTTTTGTCCATTCAGTATGATATTGGCTGTGGGTTTGTCATAGATAGCTCTTATTATTTTGAGATATGTCCCATCAATACCTAATTTATTGAGAGCTTTTAGCATGAAGGGTTGTTGAATTTTGTCACATGCCTTTTCTGTCTCTATTGAGATAATCATGTGGTTTTTGTCTTTGGTTCTGTTTATATGTTGGATTACATTTATTGATTTGCGTATGTTGAACCAGCCTTGCATCCCAGGGATGAAGCCCATTTGATCATGGTGGATAAGCTTTTTGATGTGCTGCTGGATTCACTTTGCCAGTATTCTATTGAGGATTTTTGCATGAATGTTCATCAAGGATATTGGTCTAAAATTCTATTTTTTTGTCGTGTCTCTGCCAGGCTTTGGTATCAGGATGATGCTGGCCTCATAAAATGAGTTAGGGAGGATTCCCTCTTTTTCTATTGATTGGAATAGTTTCAGGAAGAATGCTACCAGCTCCTCCTTGTACCTCTGGTAGAATTCAGCTGTGAATCCATCTTGTCCTGGACTCTTTTTGGTTGGTAAGCTATTAATTATTGCCTCAATTTCAGAGCCTGTTATTGATCTATTCAGAGATTCAACTTCTTCCTGGTTTAGTCTTGGGAGGGTGTATGTGTACAGGAATTTATCCATTTCTTCTAGATTTTCTAGTTTATTTGTGTAGAGGTATTTATAGTATTTTCTGATGGTAGTTTGTATTTCTGTGGGATCGGTGGTGATATCCCCTTTGTCATTTTTTATTGCGTCTATTTGATTCTTCTCTCTTTTCTTCTTTATTAGTCTTGCTAGCGGTCTATCAATTTTGTTGATCTTTTCAAAAATCCAGCTCCTGGATTCATTGATTTTTTGAAGGGTTTTTTATGTCTATTTCCTTGTGTTCTGCTCTGATCTTAGTTATTTCTTTCCTTCTGCTAGCTTTTGAATGTGTTTGCTCTTGCTTCTCTAGTTCTTTTAATTGTTATGTTAGGGTGTCAATTTTTGATCTTTCCTGCTTTCTCTTGTGGGCATTTAGTGCTATAAGTTTCCCTCTACACACTGCTTTGAATGTGTCCCAGAGATTCTGGTATGTTGTGTCTTTGTTCTCGTTGGTTTCAAAGAACATCTTTATCTCTGCCTTCATTTTGTTATGTACCCAGTAGTCATTCAGGAGCAGGTTGTTCAGTTTCCATGTAGTTGAGCAGTTTTGAGTGAGTTTCTTAATTCTGAGTTCTAGTTTGATTGCACTGTGGTCTGAGAGACAGTTTGTTATAATTTCTGTTCTTTTACATTTGCTGAGGAGTGCTTTACTTCCAACTATGTGGTCAATTTTGGAATAGGTGTGATGTGGTGCTGAAAAAAATGTATATTCTGTTGTTTGGGGTGGAGAGTTCTGTAGATGTCTATTAGGTCCGCTTGGTGCAGAGCTGAGTTCAATTCCTGGATATCCTTGTTAACTTTCTGTCTCATTGATCTGTCTAATGTTGACAGCGGGGTGTTAAAGTCTCCCATTATTATTGTTTGGGAGTCTAAGTCTCTTTGTAGGTCACTAAGGACTTGCTTTATGAATCTGGGTGCTCCTGTATTGGGTGCATATATATTTAGGATAGTTAGCTCTTCTTGTTGAATTGATCCCTTTACCATTATGTAATGACCTTCTTTGTCTCTTGATCTTTGTTGGTTTGAAGTCTGTTTTATCTGAGACTAGGATTGCAACCCCTGCCTTTTTTTGTTTTCCATTTGCTTGGTAGATCTTCCTCCATCCCTTTATTTTGAGCCTATGTGTGTCTCTGCACGTGAGATGGGTTTCCTGAATACAGCACACTGATGGGTCTTGACTGTTTATCCAATTTGCCAGTCTGTGTCTTTTAATTGGAGCATTTAGCCGATTTACATTTAAGGTTAATATTGTTATATGTGAATTTGATCCTGTCATTATGATGTTAGCTGGTTATTTTGCTCATTAGTTGATGCAGTTTCTTCCTAGCCTTGATGGTCTTTACAATTTGGCATGTTTTTGCAGTGGTTGGTACCAGTCGTTCCTTTCCATGTTTAGTGCTTCCTTCAGGAGCTCTTTTAGGGCAGGCCTGGTGGTGACAAAATCTCTCAGTGTTTGCTTGTCTGTAAAGTATTTTATTTCTCCTTCAGTTATGAAGCTTAGTTTGGCTGGATATGAAATTTTGGGTTGAAAATTCTTTTTTTAAGAATGTTGAATATTGGCCCCCACTCTCTTCTGGCTTGTAGAATTTCTGCCGAGAGATCAGTTGTTAGTCTGACGGGCTTCCCTTTGTGGGTAACCCGACCTTTCTCTCTGGCTGCCCTTACCATTTTTTTCTTCATTTCAACTTTGGTGAATCTGACAATTATGTGTCTTGGAATTGCTCTTCTCGAGGAGTATCTTTGTGGCATTCTCTGTATTTCCTGAATTTGAATGTTGGCCTGCCTTGCTAGATTGGGGAAGTTCTCCTGGATAATATCCTGCAGAGTGTTTTCCAACTTGGTTCCATTCTCCCCGTCACTTTCAGGTACACCAATCAGATGTAGATTTGGTCTTTTCACATAGTCCCATATTTCTTGGAGGCTTTGTTCATTTCTTTTTATTCTTTTTTCTCTAAACTTCTCTTCTTAGTTCATGTCATTCATTTTGCCTTCCATTGCTGATACCCTTTCTTCCAGTTGATCGCATCAGCTACTGAGGCTTGTGCATTCGTCACGTAGTTCTTGTGCCATGGTTTTCAGCTCCATCAGGTCCTTTAAGGACTTCTCCACGTTGATTATTCTAGTTAGCCATTCGTCTAATCTTTTTTCAAGGTTTTTAACTTCTTTGCCATTGGTTCAAACTTCTTCCTTTAGCTCAGAGTAGTTTGATCTTCTGAAGCCTTCTTCTCTCAACTTGTCAAAGTCATTCTCTGTCCAGCTTTGTTCCGTTGCTGGTGAGGAGCTGCGTTCCTTTGGAGGAGGAGAGGCACTCTGATTTTTTAGGGTTTCCGGTTTTTCTGCTCTGTTTTTTACCCATCTTTGTGGTTTCATCTACCTTTGGTCTTTGATGATGGTGACGTACAGATGGGTTTTTGGTGTGGATGTCCTTTCTTTTTGTTAGTTTTCCTTCTAATGGTCAGGACCCTCAGCTGCAAGTCTGTTGGAGTTTGTTGGAGGTCCACTCCAGACCCTGTTTGCCTGGGTATCAGCAGCGGTGGCTGCAGAACAGCGTACATTGGTGAACTGCAAATGCTGCTGCCTGATCGTTCCTCTGGAAGTTTTGTCTTAGAGGAGTACCCAGCCGTGTGAGGTGTCAGTCTGCCCCTAGCGGGGGGTGCCTCCCAGTTAGGCTACTCGGGGGTCAGGGACCCACTTGAGGATGCAGTCTGCCCATTCTCAGATCTCAAGCTGCGTGCTGGGAGAACCACTACTCTCTTCAAAGCTGTCAGACAGGGACGTTTAAGTCTGCAGAGGTTACTGCTGCCTTTTGTTTGTCTGTGCCCTGCCCCCAGAGGTGGAGCCTACAGAGGCAGGCAGGCCTCCTTGAGCTGTGGTGGGCTCCACCCAGTTCCAGCTTCCTGGCCTCTTTGTTTACCTACTCAAGCCTCTGCAATGGTGGGCGCCCCTACCCCAGCCTCACTGCTGCCTTGCAGTTTGATCTCAGACTGCTGTGCTAGCAATGAGCGAGGCTCCGTGGGCATAGGACCTTCCAAGCCAGGTGCAGGATATAATCTCCTGGTGTGCCGTTTGTTAAGCCTGTTGGAAAAGTGCAGTATTAGTGTGGGAGTGACCCGATTTTCCAGGTGCCATCTGTCACCCTTTTCTTTGACTAGGAAAGGGAATTCCCTGACCCCTTGTGCTTCCCGGGTGAGTTGATGCCTCGCCCTGCTTCAGCTCACACACAGTGCACTGCACCCACTGTCCTGCACCCACTGTCCAGCGTTCCCCAGTGTGATGAACCCGGTACCTCAGTTGGAAATGCAGAAATTTCCTGTCTTCTGCGTCACTCATGCTGGGAGCTGTAGACTGGAGCTGTTCCTATTTGGCCATCTTGGCTTCACCCTCTAATTCACTTTTTCTTAAGAAGTTTGAGTTCCATGTGTTGTTGGCAGTATTACAAGATGTGTATTTTGTGTATTCACAGACAGGTAATTACAGTCCCTAGAATTTGGGGGAAAGACAACTTGTAATTGGCTGTCTTTGGTTGGTTATGATTTTCAGTTTTTGCTGTTTGACTTTTTTGTTATAAACTTGTTTGTTTAGATTAATCAAGATTAATATAGCTTATTATAGGTTGTTTGGTTAATCTTATGGTTTTAATTATCTTTATCTGCACCATAAATATTTATGTTTTATTGATTTTGAAATACCTATACTTTAAGACATGCTTGTGATGTGGTTCAATATATGTCATCCCTGCCCCTATTGTGAAAGCAAAAATACACACCCACCCACACACACACACACACACACACACACACACACACCCACCCCCCCCCCACACACACACACCCGTAGACAAACACACCCCTACTCCAAAACCGATTCTGTTACTTATTTTTTTATTTATCACTGAATTCTTTTTCCACTGGGAAGTAGAAACAAATGGTTGCTCCAGGCACTCTAACAAAACAACATTTGAGGGCCTGTCATTGACCGTTGCAGTGGTGTTATGATTGTCTTTTCTCTCTTCTTTCCTGGAATAGTCCATATAAAACCCCAAACTCACCTCGTTTTCCACGTTATTAAAACTCTTCTTTGGCATGGAGTATCCTATCAACCTGAGACTCCTTTGCATGCACACAAAGCCCTTCACAGTCAATGCATTACTCACCTATCGTCCACCATTTTCCTCTCAAAACCTTTCATTTACACCTCACATTTACTCACAGCACCTTGAACACTGGCCTCCTAAGAATCTGAAGACAATATCTTACCTTTCTATAGCTGTCCTCTGTATCTTCACTTTTCTTACGGGAAAATCACACCGCTCAGTTGTTGTCAAATGCCTGTGTGGCATGGAGGCTTCAGGGCATTTGCTCTACAGAGGAGTCACATGTACCACCCTTTTACTGTGTCTTTTATCTATGATATGTGTACAAACAATCACATCCAATCATCTTTTATTCTGAGTGCCAGTTGAGTCAATGGGTTAATCTTATTTACTCATATAATTCAAACTAAACTTTTCTCACTATAATGTCCAGTATCTTTTAAAATCAGATCAAAATAGAGTTTGTAAGTAGATCTATACAACCACACGCAGTATTTTATCATATATGAATAAAGTCAGCTGGCCAACATTAATTTCCAGATATTTTAGAAGTATTTTAAGATAGTTTAACTTTCGGATTTTTTTTTGAACTCTTTTGTTTTATTTTTGTTGTATTTATGTGACTCAACAATTGTGTTAGGTACTTATCTATGATAACTTTATTGGTCAAATACTACAAAGACTACTAAAAGTTGAGGGCTTGGGAAAATGATCTTAGAGATCATGGAATCTACTCTATATTTTATAGAGGTGGAATCTGACTTGAATGTTATTTTATTGATTTACTTTAGTGGATTTTTACAAAAGATATCACAGTAGGTTGTCTACCAGTGATATTATATGAAAAAAGAATGATCAAAAGAAAATATGAGGTAGAGAGTTTTTTAATCTATTATTCTCATCTGTTTTTCTTTATGAATATTTTCCCTTTTTTCAACAAATTAGTAGCTGTTATTGTAATAAAAACCTTGGAAACAAAGGAAGAAAAATGCGTACATACACACACACACACAGGTATATTCTCTCTTAGCTTTCTTAGATATATATATATATTTTATATATAAGAATTATATGTATTTTTTCAGTGAGCTTCCAATTTGTGTCTGAAGGGACTGTGGTTTACAAATGTATGAAATAGAATAAAATCACACAGCTGCCCATGGATGAGTAAAAATGAAATCTAGATTGCTACTGTTGTTTTACAGAGTGAGCAGAATGCAGTGGGGTGAGCCCAGGAAGGAACCTCGGGGCAGTGTTGAGCCGGGCTCAGATGAGCACGCCGGGCCTGAAATAGTTAGTGGCAGCCTCTCTAGAGGTGAAAATGGCACAAGTGTAGGCAACACTAGAACTTGCTGGTTCTCTATACACATTTTATTAGAACTTATTAAAATTTTAGGTCTTTCTAAACAAGTGATAATCCCTTTAGTTTGTTTCTATTTTTCTAGTGCCATTTAATCTCATTGCAGACATTGAGCCAAGGTAGAGTGCACACCGTGGATCTCAGCTTCTGCAGAAATACTTGTGCAGTAAATTTGAGCCAAGACCATAATATTCAAGCCCTAAGGCCCAGTGTAAGTTCTTGAAAAGTTAACAGGGAAAAGCCTCTTGAGAATGAAAACTTAAATGTTCCCATTCAACTGAAAAGAGTCCAATTTTGTATGACCAGGTGATGACAGCTTCCTCTTAGCTGCTGTTCCTAACTACAGATGATCACCTGCAATTCACCCTGGTACCCTGCTGCCAGATTAAGCTCTCCTTTTCTCATCCATGAGGACGCGATTTGTCTGCTTTATTTGACATAGAGTCCCTCATGGTGGGCTTTTCCTACAGTTAGAATTGAAACTAAATACTGATGTCTTAGCACTGTTGAATTGTCAAGATCTTTCTATCATGCTTTGTGTTTCTGGAATGTCCTTTAAAAATATGAAAATATCAGAACCTAAAAACCATGCCTGCTCTGGTCATCTAACTGGGTCATATTTTGGCAATCTTTTTAGTCACATCATTTGGAAACTGTAATCCCAGTCACACTTGATGTAAATTTTCTTTAAATGGAGCTCATTTCTTTTACTATATTGGTAATTATTCACACACAGATTACCTACTCCATTGGACAATGGGATGTCCAGTTTTTCTTGCGTGGGAAATTAACCAAGTTTGAGAAGCTAGATGATAGACTCTGGAGTTAGGAAGACTTGGATGTCCATTTCCTTTCTGCTCTGATTAACTCCGTGCTTTTTTTTTTTTTTTTTTTGAGACGGATCTTTATTCTCGTCACCCAAGCTGGGGTGTAATGGTGCGATTTCAGCTCACTGCAACCTCCGCCTCCCAAGTTCAAGTGATTCTCCTGTCTCATACTCTTGGGTAGCTGGGATTACAGACCCCGCCACCAAGCCCGGCTAATTTTTGTATTTTTAGTAGAGACTGGGTTTCACCATGTTGGCCAGGCTGGTCTTGAACTCCTGACCTCAGGTGATCCGCCCACCTTGGCCTCCCAAAGTGTTGGGATTACAGGCGTGAGCCACCGCCCCTGGCCAACTCTGTGCGTTTGGATGAGTTCCATGACCTCTGGAATCTGCAGGCCTGTGAGATTAAACAAGGTTTTGGCTCCGAACACTCCTGACTTGTAACACTGCTGACTTGCAACACTGTTGACTTGCAACACTGACTCCGAACACTCCTGACTCCAAACACTGCTGACTTGCAACACAAAAGGTAGTCACTGAGTAAGGGAATGAACGCCGGCTCCTCTTTTAATCCAGGAGATCCCCTAGGGTGGGGTCTTTGTATTTTCACCCTTGCTCCTCACTCTGTGGAACCTCTGTAGCTCTTGCAGGTGCTTAGCTCATGTCCGGAAACACTTGGTGAAGGCTCCAGGATGGAATGTGCCAGTCCACCAGCAGGGCAGCCCCCCAGGACTGCATGACTCTCCATGCTGTGGATGAGAACGGCTGTACTTACGTCACCCTTCCTGCCCCTTCAGCCCTTGTTTTAAACACTCTTTCAGAAATCAGAGCTAAACAATGCAGAATAAAATATTTGATTATGTAGAAATGCTTTTAAATGTTTTAAAGTAGGAATAAAAACAACAAAATAAAAATGTGACATGTCCCAGTGCTTCTAATAAGATAGATATAGCTTGAGACAAAATATTCATTTTTTAATTAAATGCAGATTTGGCTGCACCACTTAGTAACTAACAGACTTTTCTCACCAGGGTATATATAAAGTGTTTGTTATGAAATGACAAAAAACTGAGGTGCCGCGACAAGGGCTGGTGGGGTATGGAGTGGCCTGGTGGTGCTGGCCCTTCAGGGAGAGCCATGTGGCATGCCCTGGAGCCTCCCGTGCAGGGACCATCGCGTCAGATTAAGCTGGGCTCTTGTTTATGATGGGAACACTTTGCATCTCCAACTTAAGAAGAACAAAGCTGCTCGCTCAGCTTGGGTATAGATATAAATAGATGCAGGAGAGGTGTTTCGATTCATCTTCTCTTATCCTAGTCACCAAAGATAGGGGTGTGGAATATGAAACTGATGGAATCCTAGGACTTATCAGATCCAAACCTCTCATCCAGAGGTGAGGCAACTCAATGATTCACACAGCTTGTTAGAGCCAGAGTGGGGTCTCTGGTCCTGGTCAGAATGTATTCTTACTTGCCTAAACCCTGCAATATGCACTTTTATAATCAGATGTGTTGCCCTCTGGTTATCCCGTCTCTGAACAGAAAAGTGGGTAACCCAGCCAGTGAGAGGTCCCAACCTGGGGCGAGGCCTATGGAAGTGCTGAGGTTGGGTTTCCAGCAAGGGATGGTATCCTCTGTTTTGCAGCATCAGCAATGCTGCATGAGGCATGAGGGGAAGAGGGCAGCAAAGCCCAAAAATAGATGACATTGCAGCATAGCCTCATACCTGGGTCGCCTGCAGTGACTTCACATCATTCCTGATCATCAGCAGCTCACAGGGCACACTCTTCCCAGGAAGATGGAGCCTTACCTTTTCATAAAGAGACATCCCTGATGGGTCTTGCTCAAGATCCTTCCTCCAAGGAGGAAGAGCTGTTTGCTCTAATCCCCAAGCCACTCTGTATGTGGCTTTTATATCTTGACACCAGATTTCTGCTCACCTACCAGCCCTTTTAGAGACCCCGTGCTTCCTTACTGAGGCACGTAAGAACTTCTGGGTCCCCTCCATGTACCACACAGGCTGTGCTGAAATGGAAGTACAGCCTTGGGCTCATTAACTTGGCCACTGACCTTCTACCATGTGTAAGTAGCCATGTGGGATCTCTTTCTACAGATGTACAGCTGTCCCTTAGTATTGCCACAGCCTTGTTTTAAGACCTCCTATTTATAAATAGATGCCCACTCCAATGCCAGCATGAAGGAAGGGTAAATGAAAACAGAGGGGGAGTAAATGAAAACAGAAGAGAGGAGTGTGCACATACACACCTCTTGCCTCCTTGTCTTCCTTAAGCCTCTCATTCACTACGCTTATTCCTTTCTCTCAATTGGTGAACACAAACTCTTTCCACCCTAAGGCCTTTGTATATATATGCTGTCTTCTCTGTTCAGAATGGTCTATCTGCTCTTCTACCAGATGGCTCTTTCTCACCCTTTAGAATACATCTTGAATGGTCCCTTCTTAGAAAGGCCTCCATGGGCCATATTATCTAAAGAATAGCAATCACTATTATTTTTCATTTGACCACTTCCTTATCTCCGCAGTGCAAAATACAATATGTAATCATCTCAGTTGTCATTAGTTCTTATGAAACCATAAGCTTCATGAATGGAAGGACGGTGGTATCTCTTAGTGTTTTTCCATGGTCTGACTTCCAAAAAACATTTGTCTATATATTCTTCTCTCTATAATGTGTTGGTTAGTCACATAATGCAAAACCAACATGCATCTGTAGAGGCCACCTTGGGCTCTCGCCTGCCACCTTAATGGAGTGAGTGAGTTCTTGAGTAGTAGCTATGGAATTGGTCTAGTCAAGCCTAGTAGGAGAGACACAGGCCAAGAATAACCCTCCCTAAGTGACCAAGGAAACTTTCCTAAATAGGAAGTTGATAGGCAGAAAAATGAGATTTCTTAGCTAGCTTCCATGTCTAAATAATTGTGTCATTGTTCTTTCTTTAGCTTCTGTTTGATTTTTATTTGGAAGTAATTATAATGCTTGATTACAAAGTAAATTAAATTATCATTATGAAGTTAAAGTGTATATTAATAGAGTAATAATACAAACTAAAATATATATATCCTTTGTAATTTATATTAATGACTTTGAGAACATTGCTAATTTATTTAACAGTTAAACATAAACAGGCATAATAGCACATAACTTGATAAAAGGTATAGTTCATTTTTATCCAATTTCATTTAATATACTGCACGTATATAAATACAACAGAATGACTTGTAAATACACCATATGGCTGGTACATTGTTTATCCTGATGAGTGAGATAAAATTCTTAATCTACACTAAGCAATGAATGATTAATAATGCCATCTTTTATGAGCATTGAAACTCTGTGGAATTAGAAAAATTTTATTCAGAGATGGAAATTCACTTAGATTATAAAATAAAAGTTAATGCAATTTTTTGGCCAGATGTGAAGCAATTAATATGATGATGGATGGATGTCATTCCGAGGAAAAAATATTGTTAGCCTAACCAGGTAATAGCACATTTTCAATTTCATTCTGTTTTAAAGAGAATTTCACAAGGAATCTTTAGTACTTGTTCTTCCAAATTACAGCAAGCAAGTAATCAGCAGTTTTAAGAGTCCCTAAGTACTCATTGACTTAATAGACAATTACAGCATATTGTGTTTTTTAAAAAGGTAGCTATTTTCAAAGTCCCTAATTACAGATCTACATGATAGACTTATCGAGAAAAAAATAATACGTTTCAAAATGTACTTACAGTCATAATGATATTGTCTGTTTTAAATGTTCCTTGTTGAAGTGCTTATCCTGCGTCTCTACCTTCTGGAGGTGTGAGGGCAGAATCCATTTACTTGATTCTATAACTTAGTTGTTGGATGCCTAGTGGCTAGCTCAGAACAATTCTGCAGATTATTTTCTCATTCTAGCTTGAAGACTTTGTTCACAGTTGCGATGCAGTGTGGCATAGCAGTTTCTGTCATCACATGTACAGACCATCATAGATTGTATTAAATAAAGCACAGCTCTGTGCGAATTTACAGACCTTTAAAATAGGTACAATAGCCCGTCCCTTCTAAAATGGATGAAACAACTCAGTGGTTTGACAGTAAGGCTCGCCAGATTCTCACCCTATCCCAATTTATGACTCATATCTGGCTATAGATTTATGCAAGTCAGCATATGGACGTTGAGTAGAGATCCTGAGTTCACGCAGAGACTTTTCAGCTTTTTCTCAGAGAGATTTAACCCTTTCAGAAGACAATGATGCCTTCCATGGCAGGGGAAGGGAACTGGATGCAATTGTTATGTATCTATATCCCTGCCCTACGTCACCCTACAATACCTGGTTAATGGAAACCTTGAGCAGTTGAGCAATCAACTGACTGTCTGAAAATATTACATGAGGAAGAGTTTTATCATCTCATTGTTGTTGTGGTAATTGAATAGAGATTTATTTGGTATCTCTAATGTACTAACTGCTGTTCTAGGGTTTGCAAAGTCCTATGGGAAATAGTTCTACACTTATGGCCATGATGATAAAGGCACCAGAAGGAGAGATAGTCCTGTGAACACTCATGGCGTGGTAGTGCCATAGTGAAGATATTCACAGAGAAGTCAATGTCTGGCTATTTTGGCTACTTCATGCACTAGTATTTAGTGTTAAAAGATTAAAATTCCTCCTCTTAAAGATGCTTTTTCTTATTTATAGCAATTATTCTTTCAAAATTGGGGGTCAAGGAGAATGAGAAGTGGGCAAGGGCAGCTATCTGTGTTGCTTTAAGGACAAGCTTAATGGTATTAGCATCTTGGAAAATCTTTCATTTTTTTTGTCTTTCATGGTATTAGAAACATTTAAAAATACGTCATAGTTTTATTTTACAAGTAGAGGTATCCTTAAATGACTCCTAGGAATGAACACAGAGTCAAGTATTTTTAATGTAAACATTATGTATTTGCATTCTGAAAGAGAGCTGTATAAAGATTATGATTTTTTTCATTTCACTCTGCATTCTAAGCAACCAAGAATCAAGAAGTTGCAAATATACACAAACCTAAAATTCAATGAGCGCTAAATGACAGACTTAGAGAACTGAAAATTTTTCATCATATTTAAGAAGTAAGAGACTTTGGCTTTTATGTTACTTTTCGTTTATGCTTTGGTATTCATTTCAAATCAGAGAGTAAAAATTGGAATTTGTTTTCCTTAGCAAAGCAGTAAGTTTCACTTCAGCACATAAGTTTACCATAATTAGAGGGGATGGCAGAATACTATACCCAAGTCTTTGGGATAACAGCTCTGTGCACCTGTGCATCCAGCCATGAGAACCATAGATCTTTTCTTCTATGGCCCACTCACAGGATGGCATATTTGGGAGCTTCTCATCCTAGGTGTTGCAGATACAAAGTCAGACCTTCTCTGAGCAGCCAGTAGCCTCGCCCTACTATGTTTGAAGTGACCCTCTAGATTTCTGGCAGTGCAGTCTTCTGCTACATCTCACTCACTCTATAGCATTCTTTAGAATACTCCTAATTTTATTTGCGTTCAGTGCTTCATAAAAATTTTCTGTATGTAGTGTTATTTCTATAACCACCAATGAGCTGAAAGCCATGTAGAGGAGGATACAGCTGCTGACCACATAGTCCTTTTTCTCCTGCATTACCAAACCTCTTCTCCAAGGCATTATTCTCCTTGACTAATCCACATTCTCCTTGTTGCTATTTGACTTGACTCTTTTCTTGAACATTAAAAGCTTTTATTGTTCCAAAGAATTATAAAACAGAGTAAAAGAAATATGGTTATGGAAGTTTTTATACTTTAATGAGCAGTTTATATTTTTTAGATTGACAAGAACATTTTCCGTAATTTTCTTTGAAGTCATCGTTATTCTTTTCATGTCAATGGACCTATTTTGTAATGGAGGTCATTAGAAAAGGAGAGGAATCTTTTATGTAATCCCTCTCATCAAATTGTATATAATGCCAGACAGCCAAGGAAAATTCTTTCACACAGTGGAGTCACATTTTATTCTAGGATTAGGGTCTAAATTCAGCGAGTAATGCAAAAAATCATGTTTAATCACAATTACTGAAAAGTGTGTCTCAGTAAGCCCACCAGAGTGGATTACCTCCATCACTGAACTGTACAGTTGGCGTTGTTGAGCATTAGGTGAAGTCATTGGTGTGAATTGAGGGTCATGCTGTACGATAATCACACTGCACTTTTAAATACCAGGTTGTTTGCACATTCAGAAGACTGCTCACACTGGAGGAACATATTGAGACTGAGGAGAAGAGTAGTAGTCTCTGACTTCTATCTCGTGCTCATACCCAGATTCCATTCTTGAGTACTGTAGTAGGATCACCTATACTTGTAGCTACTAGAGTACATTTCTTTCCCCCTTTTTCATATATATTTGAATTTGGACATATGGTAGAACTCCATTCTATTCATTTCAGATATTTGACTGTCTTGATGTGCATGACTACCCTTGCTATCTTTTAAAGCTAGGAATAGTTGCAACAAGAAGTTGGTGTACATAAACATATAAAAATTTTGATTATTATGTAAAGCAAATATTAAGAGATGTGAATAGAGAAATAGACAGCAATACACTAATAGTATTGGACTTCAGTATCCACTCTCAACAGTGGATAGATCATCCAGATAGAAAATCAGAAACAAGACACGGGTGCCTACTTTAGCTCACATCTATTCAACATAGTATTGGAAATCCAAGCCATAGTAATTAGAGAAGAAAAAGAAATGAAAGGCATTCACATTAGAAAGGAACAAGTTACATTGTCTCTGTTTGCTGATACTGTAATCTTTTGTGCATATAGAAAACTGTATTAGTCTGTTTTCACACTGCTATAAAGAGCTTCTCTGAGACTGGGTAATTTATAAAGGAAGGGGTTTAATTGACTCACAGTTCTGCATGGCTGAGGAGGTCTCAGGAAACTTACAATCATGGCAGAAGGGGAAGCAGGCATCTTCTTCACAAGGTGGCAGGAGAGAGAACAGTGAAAGCACAGTGAAAACTGTCATTTATAAAACCACCAGATCTCATGAGAACTCACTCACTATCATGAGAACAGCATGGGGAAAACCACCCTTATGATCCAATCACCTTCCTCCCTCAACACATGGGGATTGCAATTTGAGATGAGATTTGGGTGGGGACACCGAGCCAAACCATATCAAAATCCCTAAAGAGTCTACAAAGAAACTCTTAGACTTAATAAATAAATTCAGTAAAGTTGCAGGATACAAAATCAATATACAAAAATCAGTTGGGTCTTTATACACTAACAATGAGCTATCCAAATTCCATTTACAATAGCATCAAAAAGAACATAATGCTTAGGAATAAATTTAACCAAGGAGGTGAAATATCTGCCTGCTGAAAACTTTTAAGAAATTGAAAAAAATTGTAGAAGACAAAAATAAATGGGAAGATATCCCATATTCGTGGACTGGAAGACTTAATGTTAAAATTCATACTACTCAAAACAGTTTACAGATTCAGTGCAATCTGTATCAAAATTCCAATGGCATTTTTCACAGAAATAGAAATAACTGTCTCATGGAGCTACAAAAGACCCCAAGTAGCTTGAGCAGTTTTAAGAAAGAAGAACAAAGCTGGAGACATTACATTCCCTGATTTCAAAGTACAGCACAAAGCTATAGTAATCAAAATAGTATGTTAGTAGCATAAAAAGAGACACATAGACCAATGAAACAGAAGAAAGCCCAGAAATAAACCCATGTATATGGTCAAGTAATCTTTGACAAAGGCACCAAGAATATATAATAGGGAAAGGAAATCTCTTTAATAAGTGGTTCTGGGAAAACTACATATCCACATGCAGAAGAATGAAATTGGACCCTTGTCTTGCACCACATACAAAAATTAACTTGAAATGGATTAAAGACTTAAATCTAAGATCTGAAACCATAAAACTCTTAGAAGAGAACATAAGGAAAAGCTTTATCAAGACATTGGTTTTGATAGTGAGTTTTTAAATATGACAACAAAAGCAAAAATAAACAAAGACTACATCAAATTATAAAGCTTCTGCACAGCAAAGGAAACAGTCAATAGAATGAAGAAACAACCTATGGAATGGGAGAAAATAGATACAAACCCGACATCTGATAAAGGGTTATCTCCATGTATATAAGGAATTCATCTAACTCAATAGCAAAAAACCAAAAATCTGATTAAATAATTAAAAATGGGCAAAGGACTTGGATGGACTTTTTTTTCTGAAGAAGCCATACAGATGGACAGCAGGGCCATAGCTGTATGAAAAGGTGCTCAGCATCACTAATTGTCAGAGAAATGCAAATCAAAACTACAGTGAGATATCACCTAACACCTGTTAGGATGATTGTTATCAAAAAGACAAAAGATAACAAGAATTGGCCAGGATGTGGAGAAAAGAGAGAACCCTTGTACACTGTTAATAGGAATATAAATTGGTATAGCTGTTATGGAAAAAAAAAATGGAGGTTCCTTTAAAAATTGCAAATAGAACTACCATGAGATCCAGCAATCCCTCTTTTGGGTATGTATCCAAATGAAATGAAATAAGTATCTCTAAGAGATACCTGTACCCCTATGTTCATTGCGTCATTATTCACAATAGCAAAGATAGGGAATCTACCTAATTGCCCATCAGTGGATGAATGGATAAAGAACATACGGTATTGTACATACAATGGAATATTTTTCATCCATAAAAAGAAAGAAATCCTGTCATTTCCAATATCATGGATAAACTGGAGTGCTTTATGCTAAGTGAAATAAGCCATGCACATAAAAACAAATACTGTATGATCCTACCTATATGAAATCTAAAAAAGTCTAACTAATAGAAGTGGAGAGCAGAATGATGTTTACCAGGGGCTGAGGGGTAACAGAAATGGAGAAATGTTGGCCAAATGTACAAACTTGCAGTTACAAAATGAACAAGTTCCAGGAATATTATGTACAGCATGGGTGGTGATGTGTTAATTTGATTGTGGTAATCATCACACAATATATATGTTTATCACATCACCATGTCATACATCTTGAATATATATTATCTTTGTCAATTACATATTTTAAAATTAGTCTGGGCACGGTGGCTCACATCTGTAATCCCAGCACTTTGGGAGGTCGAGGCGGGTGGATCACCTGAGGTCAGGAGTTGGAGACCTGCCTGGACAACATGGTGAAACCCCGTCTCTACTAAAAATACAAAAAAATTAGCCGTGCCTGGTGGCGCGTGCCTGTAATCCCAGCTACTTGAGAGGCTGAGACAGGAGAAGTGCTTGAATCTGGGAGGCAGAGGTTGCAGTGAGTCGAGATCGTGCCACTGCACTTCAGCCTGGGCAACAAGAGTGAAAACTCCATCTCAAATATATATATATGAAAATTAAAAAAATTAATTGTAGCAGTTGCTTATTGTGTATCATAGCAGAGTCAAAAAAGTACAGATCTGCAAGTTACAAACCTTGAATTTTTGTCCCAAATACCATAATATGACTTATGAGTTGGCACAAATTATGTGACCACATAAACCTTTATTTTGTTATTTACAAAAATAAGTGGGTGGACTGGGTCAGTGGTTCACAACCTGAATGGGGAACACATAAATGATTCACAAGCTTGCCACTGGAATTCTGATTTTGTGGGATCTGGAAGCTTCAATCTTTAAGTCCCTTCCAGTTTTGTATGCCAGTAAGGGGATCCGTTTTCTTCTAGTAGACTCCCAGGCTCTCCTGGTCCTGCTGTGTCTGTGGCCTCTGACCTTGTGGAGCCTGGCGCTGCTGTAGTCTGTACTGGGATGGCACTCCGTGCGGTCCCTGGCACTGAGACACTCACTAAGGCATTGGAAAGTTAGAATTTGAATGGTTAGACTGTATCATGGGAGCTTTCTCTCCTTCTCTGAATGGAGTGCCTTTATACCCAAGGTGCCAGCGAACATTTTTATTTGCTGATTTGACCAGGCAGAAGGTAGGAAGTCTGGTTTCTTACATCTCCTTGCAAGAAGCTCCCTTGGGGCAGCACTAACACTGAGACTCAGTTAGGGCTTGTTCTCTCTCAGTTCTACAGTCTGGACAAATTCAAAGCCACCAGTGAATCAACTAGTACAGGGGAGTTGGAGGGAAGGCAATTTGCTCCTTTTACGTTATCGAAGCATCTGTTACAGACATCAGGTGGAGAATTTTCCTTCCATTTAGAAACTTGGCAGTTCTGCCAAGTTTCTGAATGTCAATAATGAAATGTCATTAATTGTAGAGTTAGATTTCAGGAAGAAGCCATGGAGAGAAATGTAATTAGAATTATACATTGTGTAATTGTGTGTGTGTATGTGCGTGTGTGTGTGTGTGTGTGTGTATTCTCAAACAACTCATAACATTTTCTGTTAAGAATGCCCAAAAGCAGCTTACTGGTCATGAGAACTTTTAATGTGGCCCTGTTAGGCTAGTTTGAGAAGGGATTATGGACACCATAGTTCCCGCTTTAGATGTACTTTTCAGGTTATTGGAAAAATGATATAGTCACTCCACTTGGGAGTATGTTTCAATCTTATGGGTAACTTTCATATTTATACATATTTGGTTATGAGAACATATATGACATTTCTATCAGCAACTAACCAGCTTGACATTTTTAGTCCGAAAATTGTATGTGACACCATCAATGAAACTAGATGTACTAAATTTCTCTTTTAGTAAAAGAGAGGAAAAACAGTTCAAGAGCTGGGGATGCTCAAAACCAATTCATAAGCTACCTGGATATGCTTATAGCTTTTGACCTGTCTCTTATCTCCCCTTACATGAATAAGTACAATCCTAGGACTTAGGAGTATACACGTTATCATCCCAGTTTAGTGTCAATTTGCTTAAGGCAATGTGGAGGAATGGGGAGAGAGAGAGAATGAGTGAATGAATGAGAGAGAGAAAGAGAGAAGGGGGATGGTTTTGCAGCATTTTCACTTGAGTAAAATGGGAATAATTCAATTACATAAACCAAGTACCAAATTAGGTGGGTTTTCTTAAAGGCTGATTTCTCATAAAAGGCTAAAGGAGGTTTAGGGCAAAATAAAGTTAAAAAGTCCTTAGGATGTGGAGAAATAGGAACATTTTTGCACTGTTGGTGGGTCCGTAAACTAGTTCAACCATTGTGGAAGTCAGTGTGGCGATTCCTCAGGGATCTAGAACTAGAAATACCATTTGACCCAGTCATCCCATTACTGGGTATATACCCAAAGGATTATAAATCATGCTGCTATAAAGACACATGCACACGTATGTTTATTGCGGCACTATTCACAATAGCAAAGACTTGGAACCAACCCAAATGTCCAACAATGATAGACTGGATTAAGAAAATGTGGCACATATACACCATGGAATACTATGCAGCCATAAAAAATGATGAGTTCATGTCCTTTGTAGGGACATGTATGAAACTGGAAACCATCATTCTCAGCAAACTATCGCAAGGACAAAAAACCAAACACCATATGTTCTCACTCATAGGTGGGAATTGAACAATGAAAACACATGGACACAGGAAGGGGAACATCACACACTGGGGACTGTTGTGGGGTGGGGGGAGGGGGGAGGGATAGCATTGGGAGATATACCTAATGCTAAATGACGAGTTGATAGGTGCGGCACACCAACATGGCACGTGTATACATATGTAACAAGCCTGCATGTTGTGCACATGTACCCTAAAACTTAAAGTATAATAATAATAAAAAAATTTTTAAAAACTCCTCTTATTTCTTTATAATTTCTTTGAGAGACAATTTTCATAAGGGTAAAGTTTAAAAGATAAATATATTTTAATCACTGTCTTATTTATTTCTTAAAAATAATGAAAAAAATGGAACAGGGCTATCTAGTGAAATAGTATTCACATTAAAAACCCTTAGGTGCCATTTAACTCTTTAGTTCCTCACAGTAAGTCTAATGTTAGTTAAGGGTAGGCTTAATACAGTTTATTTATATGTAAAACATTTTTTTGTGTATGCCAATAACTCTTAACATTTTTTCTATTCTTAAAATTCTGTGCTTTATGGTTGGGCATGGTAGCTCATGCCTGTAATCCCAGCACTCTTGGAAGCTGAAGTGGGAGAATCACTTGAGCCCAGGAGGTCAAGACTGTCCTAGGCAACATAGCATGACCCCCCTCACTACAAAATAAACATAGAAAAATTAGCTGGGCATGGTGGTGTGCAACTGTGGTCCCAGCTACCCAGCAGGCTGAGGCAGAAGGATCATTTGAGCCCAGGAAGTTGATGCTGCAGTGAACCGTGATAGCAGCACCGCAGTCCAGCCTGGGTGATACCAGCCAACAAGTCTCATAAAAAGAAAAAACAAAATCTTATGCTTCTACATTGTCTATGTGGACCTCTCACAATTTTATCCCTTCTGTAGATCAACAAAAAGGTCATTCTCCTGATTTTTGAAAGGTTAAAAACTGAGTAATAAAACAATCCAACATTTTACAAAGGCCTATTCTGTAATATAAAAAGAGCTTAGTTTTGTTGTATTTAAGTGGTTGTGGTATAAATACTTTAAAATACTAATGTGACATTTTTGAATGGGGAGATATCTAAAATTGAATCTACAATTTTCTCTTCTTTATTGTCATTTTATCCATATATCAGTAAAACTATATGTGTAACTTCTTCACTTTCTTGTTCCTAATCCTTACAATGGCTCATACCAATACACACCAGATCTCAGATGCTTCGACTGGAGTCTACAGGTCAAATCATTCCATTTTCCATCAAACCTCTGATCTCCCTGATACTGTACTCATATTTAAATATGAGGTCATCCTTTTCTGGGATCCTCATTTAATTAGCCAATTACCCATTATCTTATTAACTCTTAATTAAAGCTGAACATATGATAAATGCATTTTACTATATTTTGTTAAGAAAATATTTGCCAGTTCTTTATTAAGGAAGTGGTCTTCTGTCTCATTTCAAAATAATAAGCAAAGGCCAGTACCACATGATATTTTTGCCTTAACTGCTCTGAAGCTATGTCAGATCTGTGAAAGAGACTTTTGGAGTCTGCATTCTTTTCTTACTGTGTGATTGTTTCTGAGTGGAAGATAAGTATTATTATTATATCGATTCATCTCTTTCAGGAATTTACCACATTTCTAAACATATCCCTATGTCAGGCAGATGGTTAGATTGCCTTTCTCTACTAATATTGCCATCGTGGTACTTTAAAGATTTTTCTAGATTGTCAAGTAAGTATAAAATTGACATTTTTAGGAACCTTTTAAAATTCTTTTTTTTGCATTTTCATTTCACAAAATTGTTGTTCTATTTTATTTATGTATTATGAAATATGATGTCCTGAAACCCAGGTACAAGCAAACATGGTGTTTGGTTATATTATTTTCTTCTTCTATTTGAGACACTAATTATTATAGCACAATGGATATTTATTTTCCCTAATTTCATTAGGAGGAGGAGAATAGGTATGATTAACCTATAATTTTAGTTTGAAAGATAATGCTTATTATTTGCATTCTCCAATGTTCAAGGGTAATTATTTCATTAAATCTTCTTAGCAAACTATAATACAAATTTCCTGTGGGGTGGCAGGGAAAAAACCAAGATACTAACCTAAACATTTCCAGTCCAAAGTAAAGATAGTAAAATCTTAATTATTTGAAATGGGAAAGAGTGCATAATTGAACAGTTTGCTTTATTGATTTTTAGTTCACATTTCATACCTTGCTCCACTGCTGCATTCTCAAGCTCAGCTGTCGAGCTTACTGCCTGTTTCACCGAGAACATAAAAGCTGTCAGTGGAGAAATTTGTCTTCCTTCTGCCATCGAGCCCACTAGCGCCCCATCATCTGCACACATAGGTTTTGCCTTCGCCAGGACTGGGACTACTGACAGTCCCTGATCGCCCCACTGCTCATCCTCACTGGGATACTGGCCTATCACCCCGTCCTCACTCAATGACTTTTTCCCACATTTAAACCCCTCCCTACATTATCAAATTTTCCCTGTACTGAAATATTCTCATCATCACTCAAACAAAAACAATAATAGAAATACCATTTGGGGCATAAATCCACTTTTTTATAACCACTTTATACAACCTTTTATATAAAAACTTCTTAATAAGTTGTTTAAACTATAGCTTCTCCCTTTTTCCTCTTCCACTTTCCCGTGAACCTCCATCAGGCTTGCTCACACCTTTTCACTGAAAGCATTCTTGCCGCAGGCCTGGCAGCCTGGCACTTTGCGAAACCCAGCGGCCAGGTGCAGGTTCAACCGTTGCATGGACTGAGCGCCTTCTCCGCAGCTTCCTCGTAGCGCTTCCTCTACTCGCTGAGTTCCTCGCTCTCAGCCGCCTCGCTCACTCTTTCTTTCTGCTCTCTACATCTCGGTGTTCCCAGAGTTCAGTCCTCAGACTTCTCTTCTTCATGGACACGAACTCGCCATGGGGCTCACCTAGCCCCAGCTGTAAATAGCGGTGTGGATGCTGCCTGTGTGGGCTCTGAAGGGCTGACTCCAGTCGCAGCCACGATGCAGAGCGCACAGCAGGTCCCGAGCAGCGAGGTAGGTGTGTTCTCACCGATCCCCTCTCCACGCAGTGCTTGCCAGTGTCTCCCAGCCAACCCAGAATAAACAAGAGACTCTTTGGCCCACGCCGTCTCATCTCCCGCCACCCTTCCCCTCACCCAGGCCTTCTGGCTGTTGTCCCAGCGTGTCCCGTGCTCTCACTTCAAGTAGGATTCTGCTCAAATATCAGCACTCCTTCTCTGCCTCCCCGTCTTAAAAATCTCCCCACGTCCCCCACTCACTGTCTCTTCCTTACCCCACTTCATGTATCTGCCTAACATCATCACTCTGACTTGCTGTCATGCTTCTTACCTGATGGCTTATTCCATCTTTGGCACCAGAAGGTAAGCTCCCGGGGCAGGGCCTTTCTCTGGTTTGCCGCCATATCCCTAGCAAAGGGAACAGCAGCGTCTAATAAACCTGCAGTATCCCTTTAATTGAATGGATAACCCTCAGTAATTAATTTTATGTTAAAAATAAGAAAAAATAAAATCTTGACTGTTATCTGTGACATTTAAATCTATTTCCCTTTTCAAAGAAGCAGTGTTTGTACATCTTCTAGTGGATATTATCACCCAATGCTAATGTCATTTCTCTATTACAAAAAAAAAAAAAACTTGCTAAATGAATCAGGTTGAATCGAGTACTGTTTCAGCAGTGAGTAATTAGTATTGAAATAAAGATAGGAATGCTCCTGATTCTTCTTCTTCTTTTTTTTTGATGCTGGCCAACATCAATCCATAACTCATCTATATATTTAAATGAGTAGACCATCTTAATTTGCTTCAGGGTCAGCATTATCACTGTGCTATGGGCGTCTGTATACCAAATAAAATTACAGTTCTGAGAAGAGAGTACATTCTTAGAAGGAGGAGGATGTTCTCAGTCTGTAACCCATTTTAGGTATAATAATAAGCATTTTCATTTACATCACCCAGAGTCACCAATTTGGGCCATTTTGGAATAAGAAAAGACAGTTCCCTTTTTCATTTTCTAGAGATAAGTACAATCTCTTTTATTTCTCGATTTTTGCCTTGATCTTTTACATCATCTTTACATGACAATATGTCTGAAATACATACGCAACTTGAGTGTTTTCTTTTAAGGACAATTGCTTGATTTCACAAAAGAAAAATCAAAATAAAATTGCTGTTTTATCCTAGAAATTTTTATCAGCAAGTAACACAAAAATTAAACCATAGAGTTTAATCAAAGAGAGGGATATCATTCTTGCATGACAGATCACTGGTGTAACAGGTCCAAGGATGGCAGTGTTGTGGGCCCAGGCTCTTTCTTCCTTTTTTCTCTTCTTCCCTCAACACCTTTGCATTTGTCTCTGTGCTTATCATCTCATGAGTGTTTACATCTGCATTCCAGGGAGTCCAAAGATGGGGGAAATGAGCAAAGCAGCACCAGTCTCATCTTCGCCCTTTTAACAGGAAAGAAAAGCATTTGTCTTTACGGTGCCTTTCCCTTCGGTCCTGTTATCCAGGACAGTTTCAAGTGACCATGACCAGATTTAAGAGAGGCTGGGAATGAGGGTGTGTGTAGCTGGGCACATTGTTGCCCTGAGCAAAATCAGAGTTTGGTTGGCAAGGAAAGAGGGCTGTGTGTAGTAACCATGCATTGTATGTGAATGGGGAATCCCATGAGGACATCTTACAATAGTATCATGTTAGGGTAAAGCATTATTCATTATTCAGATAATTCTTAGTTTACAAGCATATTTTCTTTCCTTTTTGTCCTTTCCTAAAGAACCTTGCCATTAGATTTACTCCTGCCTGAGTAAAAGATTTCTTAGAAGACTTGCAATGAACTAGGAGTTATTCATGCTGCTTGATATAGCAAGTAGCTCATGGTATTTAGAAACAGAAGATCAGAGAGGGATTTCAGACAAGCTGAGCTCTGAAATGAGAATAAAATAGTGATGATCTCACAGCATTGTGATAAAATAGTGCTTCCAGGTATTAATTGTTGCTGTCTTTTTTTTTTTTTTTTTTTTTTTTGGAGATGGAGTCTCACTCTGTCGCCCAGGCTGGAGTGCAGTGGTGTGATCTCAGCTCACTGCAAGCTCCACCTTCCAGGTTCACGCCATTCTCTTGCCTCAGCCTCTCCAGTAGCTGGGACTACAGGGCCTGCCACCATGCCCAGCCAATTCTTTGTATTTTTAGTAGAGACGGGGTTTCACCGTGTTAGCCAGGATAGTCTCGATCTCCTGACCTTGTGATCCGCCACCCTTGGCCTCCCAAAATGCTGGGATTACAGGCGTGAGCCACCGCGCCCAGCCGTTGCTGTCTTTATTATCATTTTCCCACTCATAAAACATACTTGTTGAGTATCTATTATCTGCCAGTCGCTGTTCTGGCAGATAATAGGTGCTGGGGATACAGTGGTAGACAAGTTAGATAAGGTAAATGTCCTCACTCTAGTGAAGGGAGACAGGTGATAGAAGCAGATAAACTACAAAACTAATTTCAGGAAAAGTGGTAAAAATAAGACAAGAATGGGTCATATGGTCAGAGATGCTCTTTCTGAAAAAGTGATTTAGAGCTGAGGACATTTCTTCTTGAGACCTAATTGTCTAAATATCCAAATTATAGTAAGCTATTCTTGGCAAAAATACGATTATTTTCTGAACAAAAACATTCGTTTGATGGTAGGTTTCCTTTATCTTAGAGTAATAATGTGAACTGTTGCAGAATTTGCAGGTTTCTTTTCCCTAGTGGATGGCTTCTTGTCTCATTTGCCATTGATTCAACCTATTATACTTCATCATACAAAATTTAATGAGGAAATTGCTAGGTCCCATGCATTTTTATTTCCTGTTTTTCTTGACTCTTTCTTTGTTATGTCTTTTGCTGCAGTTCTTAATGCAATGGCTCTTCTCCCATAGTTGAGGTCATGCCTTTCCTTCCAGCTCTACCTGGGAGAGAATGATGGTACCTATCAGGGATATGGAGATAAATATGCATTGATAAATATTAAAAACATCAGTTTAAACCTTAATTTAATAAAGTACATTAAAATAGTACTGAAAACAATATTAAGTAGCATTCATTGAAAGATCACTCTGTGTGTAGGATGTTGTCCACACAGAGTTACATCTGGGTTAGCTGATGGAGAGTATTTTTTGTTTTTTTAATTTGTGGGTTTAATATTACAGACCTTTGTAATGATAGCTTGCATAATGTATTGTGAGATGCAGTTTAGAGAAAACTGTTTATATACTATATGTTTCTTTTCTGGTAGATCCTTTTATTTACTGAATGACACAAGCATATTTCTTAATGAAGGATTTGTTTACAATTTTTTTTTTGAGATACAGTCTCACTGTCTCCCAGACTGGTTGAACTCCTGGGCTCAAGAGATCCTCCCATTTTAGCCTTCAGAGTAGCTAGGACTATCGGTACATGCCACCATGCCCAAATAACTTTTAAGATTATTTTTTTGTAGAAATAAGGTCTATGTTACCCAGGCAGGTTTCAAATTCCTGACCTCAAGCGATCCTCCCACCTCAAACTCCCAAAGTTCTGGGATTACATGCGTGGGCCACCATGCCTATCCTGTTTACAGTTTTCAAACATCACTTCCTCTGATTCGTTTAAAAGTTGTTTTTTTAAAAAAAGCTGTTTCCAAAGCTGGCTTTGAATAGGGTAGCTCTATTTTTCTTTATTTATGCTTCAATGTGTTTCACAAAGTCATAAGAACATAAGATGTGCTTAAGACATACTTTCAGTAAATGTAATGAAAATATATTTGAGGCTTAAATATTTGTTTTAATATCATGACACATTGGGACCTAAACTCAGTCAGTATTTCCATGCAACCTAATTTCACTGTAATTCAAATTTGCTGTTTATATATAAGCTGCTTTTCTGGACTATGAGTGTCTCTCAAAGGAAGAACTGTGGAACACTCACCTGTTCCACAAACACTGAGCACTAACTATGTGTTGGGCTAGATACTGGTGACACAGTGGTGAACTAGACTCATGCCTGTAGCTTATGGTCTAATAAGAGAGATAGACATTAAACAAATAATTATTTACTTTGTAATTGAGGTAGGTGCTATATAAAATGAGGACGTAACCTCCTCTCAGAAGTTAGCATGAGGAAGTGAAATATAAGCCAAGATGTGAAAGATAATAAGAAGTTATCCAAGGGGACACAGTGGAATGTTCTTGCCAGCATGCAAATGCCCTGATGTAGGAAAGAACTGGCAGGTTCAAGGAATAGGAGAAGGCCAGCATGGATGCAGAATCCTGAATGAGGAGAAAAATCAAGTCCAATCATAAATCATGTAGGCCAGGGTAAAAATTCGAGTTTTCATCCTAACAGCAATGAGAAGCCATTGAAATGTGCTAAGAGAGAAGTGATATGATTGTATCTGTGATTTGAAAAGATTGCTCTGGTTGCAAGATGGAAAATAGATTAGGAAGAGTGAAGAATGGCTATCGCAATTCTTCAAGAAGGAAGATGGCTTTGGATTAGGCCAGTCATAGTAGTGATGAAGATAAGTTGGTAGGTAAAAGAAATATTTGAAAAATTGAGGACCGATTGATAGGGTGGCATGAAATGAGGGAGAGGTGATGTGAAGGATCCAGCGAGAAATGATGTCAAGGATCCAGGCTCCTGGATGGAGGGTAATGCAGTCACGGAGATGAGCTGCTCTACGGGAGAAGAAGGCTAGGGGGACAAGACGATAGGTTCAGTCTGAACATGTTGACTTTGAAATGACTTTAAGAAATAACTACAGAGACATCAAGTGGAAAGGTGGATACATTGGTCTGGAACTTCAAGAATGCCTGGGCTGTAGACTGTGAGCATCTGTAGCATGCAGTTGGTAAATGAAGCCGTGGAAATGAATGGCCCAGGAGCAAACCTTGAGGATGTTGCCTGAAATTTCAGGTTGACTAGAGGAGGAAATGCTGGCAAAGGAGATTACAAAAGAATCCTCATATGCAGAAGGAAAACTGTCAGAGTGTGATGTTGCCAAAGCCAGTGGACAACAGCAATTCCAGAAGGAGACTGCAAACTATATATTGAACTACATCCTGTAGCACATAGTACAGTATGTAGTTTCAGTAAATACTTATTCCGCAAGCACTTACTGAGCACACAGTTAGTGCTCAGTAAGTGCTTGCGGAATAGGTGAGTATTCCATAGTTCTTCCTTTCAGAGGCACTCATAGTCTAGAAAAGAAGCTTATATATAAACCATAAATTTGTGTTACAGTGTAATTAGATTTCATGAAAATACTGACTGAGTCTAGGTCCCAGTGTGTGGTGATATTAAAACAAATGTGCCTCAGGAAAGGAGCCCTGAGGAGAAGGAGATAATTACTTTGAGAGGTTTGCTCTGAACAAGAAGCAGGGAACAGCAGCTAAGAGGGGATGTGGGATCTAAGTAGAGTTGTAAGCTTTTGTTTTCTCTTTTGTCTTTGTTTTTATGATGGAGAAACTGGAGTATGTTTAAATGTTGGTCAATAGTCAAGGAGTGATTAAAATACCTCATAGCTTACAGATCCTGGAGAATGGGAGGTGATGAGATCAAGCACAGATGGTGAGGGATTTGCTTTGGAGAGGGGAAAGTGCGTCCCACACTGCAGTGGAAAGGAAGGAGGGGAAGTGCTGGGCAGGCGGTGAGGAGGCGCTCTGCTCTGTCCATGGGCTCCTGGTCCTCAGCAGGGCTGAGGGTGCAGGCCAGTGGCAGTGTGGGACACCGGTGTTTTGATAACACCTCGTCTGCACAATGTGCATTTTTTTCCCAGGAGAACTTAGTTATGCAAAACATAGAGCAGCAGGTTGTTTCGGGCCATCCATGGTTGGCTCTTTCCCACCTTCGCGCCACAGCCAGACATGATTGAAAAGTCAGAGAGCAAGGGAGTTTAAGTTCCTAGCAGCAGAGGGTCAAATAACAGTTGATAGAATCTAAGTTAGACAAGGGAAGTGGGTTATGGCCCCTCAGAAGGGGCTGAGGAAGAGAAGAAGGGAAATTAGTGGCCTGGAACCTCCACTGATGTTGAAAACATCAGCAGCAGTTGGGCACCTGATCACGCAGTATGGGAGGATACGATTTTGTGGTCAGGTGGGGCTTTAGAAGCAAAGCCATTTTGGGTGATGACAAGACCCAGAGGGTTTTGTTTGTGTGGCCCAGATGGGTTGGGGGCCACTAGCTCGAGGAAGTGACTGACGTGCTGGGGTGGCAGAGTGGCAGGGTGAGCACATGGGGCCTGAGTGTGCCTGAGCATTTGCCAGAGTTGGGACAGAGCAGAACATGGAGAGCCAGTGCCAAAGTCTTCCCTGAGTGATGTGGAAACAGTGGGCAGATAGTGGAAGCCCAAGGCATCAGACTCAGAAGAGGAGCCTCAGAGGTGTGGCCCTGAGGAGGCACAGAGAGGAAGACGGTCCCTGACTTCCCTGCCTCTCTGGAGGCATGTGACCCCTGTGGAGGGCTGTGGGAAGCCATGTCTTCAGCCCCATGAAACCAGGGCTGGGAAATGGGGAATATTGAGATGAGGAGGAGGAAGTAGGGAATTTGTTGAACAGGAAATGGAAGTCTGAGAGCTGGGAGGGGAGAAGGAAAGTGTGGGATTGTCAGAGAAGTAAGGCCCAGAACAGCAGGAGGTATGGGATGGGACGTTCCAGGAACTGATATGTGTGAGTGTGCGTGTGTGTGTGTGCACATGTGTATGTGTGTGTGTGTGTGCATGTGTGTTTAGGGGGCGGAGAATACTGAGGAAGATCACAGAACAGGGCATGGAGGTTTTGCTACTGATAATATTGAGATGTAGACTGCCTCTTGGGCTTGACAGAATGCTTGGCATGGTTAGAGTACAGTGCATTGCAATGCAGTACAGTACGGTATATAGTACAATATAGCACAGTGTAGCATATAGTATGGTGTAGCATAGAGTATAGTATATAGTACACTGTAGCTTATAGTACAGTGTAGTATATAGCATAGTATATAGTACAGTGTAGCATATAGTATGGTGTAGTGTATGGTACAGTATAGTGTATGATGTAGCATATAGTACAGTGTAGCGTATAGTACTGCATAGCATATGGTACAGTAGAGCAGTAGTATAGAGTAGCATAATGTCAGTTCTTTCTTTGCCTAGCTTTGAAAGCCACTTGAGTAAGTGTGCTGTGGGGCCATGTTTGCCATCTTCAGCACGCCCCATTTGCTGGCCCAGTTTCTGTCCAGTATTCTAAGATCCTTGCTGTGGTTGAGTGGAGGCTTCACTGAGGACCAGAAAGCAGACCTTACGTATTCGCATTCTCAGCTCGTGGCTGTATTGTCTTTGCCATTATTAATCTCTGAAAGAAATAAGTGAATGTTCTCATATCTATTTTTAAAAATTTCTCACACCTGTAATCCCAGTACTTTGGGAGGCTGAGGTGGGCAGATTGCCTGAGGTCAGGAGTTCGAGACCAGCCTGGCCAACGTGGTGAAACCCTGTCTCTACTAAAAATACAAAAATTAGCTGGGCGTGGTGGTGCTTGCCTGCAATTCCAGCTACTCAGGAGGCTGAGGCAGGAGAATTGCTTGAACTCGGGAGGCAGAGGTTGCAGTGAGCCGAGATGCGCCACTGCATTCCAGCCTGGGCAACAGAGTGAGACTTAGTCTCAAAAATAAAAAAAGAAATTCTTCAATGCCTATTCATTTATTCATTTTCCTCTCTCTCTGATATGGGTTGTGCTGTTGGTGTTATTTATCACAGCACTGGTATTTTCTGCTAAATAATTTAATATTAATAATACATCGTAAGTCACCTGTAAGTGGTTTTTGGTGATGGTTTGTTTTTAATTTGTAAAGTCTTAATTAGCATCATTTACATATTTCAGATTTGCAGTCTTCTTTAATGAGGGTGTTTTCAAGGCATGTTCTTTTACTTCCTGAAGGAACGAATGACCTGAAGATCCTTCCAGGTCAAGCTGTCTGTCCTACTCCCGGGTGCCGAGGAATAGGCCATATCCGTGGTCCACGTTATTCGGGACATCACAGGTAACATTTTTCTTATTTAAGTTATTTCCTGGATGAATGGAAACATTCTGCAGATTAGCAGCTACATGGAGCATCATAAATGAGTCTCATGGAGCCAGCTGCCCCTGTGACACTCCCACCTCTGTGTTGCTGAGGCCTTTCCTTGACATTTTCCTCTGCCTGCCAACTCTGCCCTTCTAGAACCTTCTTGGAATTATGAGGCATTTCCCAGACCCACTTCATGTCCCAGAATCTCTGTTTTCTAATAATTTTCCTACCAAATGCACACTGTCATACACACCCACCACCCTGTCCTGAGACTTGCTTTCTTCTAGAGAAATTCCAGAGCCTCTTGCCTTTTCTACTCATTTTCTATTTCTTGCCTCTATTTCTTTTTCTGTCTTTCTTATTCATTTGGAGTTAATTCTATAAAAGAATAGAAAACTAGTGTGAAGTTATGTTGCAGAATATGCCCATGTTTTAATTATTTGACAATATCCATATGAACAGATGTTGCTTTTGAAGAAAAATAATACGAATAAATATGTAAGCCTTTGCTTCTTTGTCTATCCTCATCAATTGGTAAATAATGTATAGATAAATTATTTATATTGGTGATCTAGAAACATATATAAATTAAGACTGAAAGAATTAATATCAAATTTGTTCAAATACACAAATATGTAAACAAACATAGAAAAGTTTACTGTAAAGAGAAAAGAATAAGTCATATAATACATGAAGCAAGAAAACATTTGTTTGAATAAAGGATCTAAGCATAATACAGGAAGTCCATGCTTTATCAGGCAATCCTGGAAACTAGTGCCTAAAACATTTTTAACTGAATAAAAGGAAATGCCACTGTAATAGTGATAAGCACTCCCAAATCACATACATGAATATAAATGTGATATGTGTAAATCTATTAACACTTAAAAGAAAAAAATATAGCATTCATAAAAAAAGAAAGACATGAAGACTGCTTGGCGACTTGTGAAAATCTGTGGGACTCAGACTGTGAATGTGGAGCTGGACCCGGAGGAGATGTCTTAGTCCCAGCAGTGTCAAGTCTGTAAGGAGTCTGCAGTAACTCAATTCTTGCCTCCTCAGAGGAAAGAGTTTGTCCCAGGGGCATAAGGCAGAGTGAGAGACCAAAGCAAGTTTTTGAGCAAGAGTGAAATGTTATTAAAAAGTTTTAGAGCAGGAGCAAAAGGAAGTAAAGTGCACTTGGAAGAAGGCCAGGAGGGCAACTTGAGAAAGTCAAGTGAGCCATTTAGGCCTTGCCTTGGGGTTTTTATACATTGGCATAATTCTAGGCGCTGCATTTCTTCTGTCCTCGTTACTGGTGGAGGGTGTCCAAGTTCTTGGTGTCTGGCACAAAGAAATGGACAAAACACACAAACAAAGCAAGGAAAGAATGAAGCAATGAAAGCAGAGATGTATTGAAAGTGAAAGTACACTCCATAGAGTGGGAGCACACCCAAGCACAGGGCCTCAAGATCCCCATTACAGAATTTTTAGGGGGGTTAAATACCCTCTAAAGGTTTCCCATTGGTTACTTGGTACACTCTATGTAGGTGAAGTAGTGGGCCACAGTCAGTCTGATCGGTTGTGGAAAGCAACCAATCAGAGGCTGAAGTGAAGTTGCAAAGTTACACTCCTATGCAAACATCTGATTGGTTGCTCTCCACATCTGGTTGCTGTCTACAACCAATCAGAGATACTTTCAATTTTCCATCTTTCATGCAGAAAAGCAGGGGGTGAGGGGTGCAAAGGGAGTAGCCTCTGGTCCTTTTGTTACTTTAGTGTGGAAAGTTGGGGGTTTTCTTTTCGTTTAGTTCTAGGAAGTCAGCGTGAATTGGCCTTAGGTTCCCTGCCTCCAGACCCTATTCTCCTGAGTCACCCTGATTCTTCCTTGGAGTGGACTGTCCACATGTGCAGTGGCCTGCCAGCACTTGGGAGGGGCTGTGATATGGTTTGGCTGTATCCTCACTCAAATCTCAACTTGAATTGTATCTCCCAAAATTCCCACATGTTGTGGGAGGGACCCAGGGAGAGGTAATTGAATCATGGGGCCCAGTATTTCCCGTGCTATTCTTGTGATAGTGAATAAGTCTCACAAGATCTGATGGGTTTATCAGGGGTTTCCACTTTTGCTTTCTTCCTCATTTTCCCTTGCTGCCACCATGTAAGATGTGCCTTTCACCTCCCACCATGATTCTGAGGCTTCCCCAGCCATGTGGAACTGTAAGTCCAATTAAACCTCTTTTTCTTTCCCAGTCCCCTGTATGTCTTTATCAGCAGTGTGAAAACAGAATAATACAGTACAATTGGTACCATTAGAGTGGGACACTGCTGAAAAGGTACAAGCAAATGTGGAAACAACTTTGGAACTGTGTAAAGGGCAGAGGTTGGAACAGTTTGGAGGGCTCAGAAGAAGACAGGAAAATGTGGTAAAGTTTGGAACCTCCCAGAGACTTGTCGAGTGGCTTTGACAAAAATGCTGATAGTGATATGAACAATAAGGCTGAGGTGGTCTCAGATGGAGATGAGGAACTTGTTGGGAACTGGAGCAAAGGTGACTCTTGTTATGTTTTAGCAAAGAGACTGGCAGCATCTTGCCCTTGCCCTAGAGATTTGTGGAACTTTGAACTTGAGAAAGATGATTTAGGGTATCTGGTGGAAGAAATTTCTAAGCAGCAAAGCATTCAAAAGTTGACTTGGGTGCTGTTAAAAGCATCCCATTTTAAAAGGAAAACAGAGCATAAAAGTTCAGAAAATTTGCAGCCTGATGATGCAGTAGAAAAGAAAAACCCATTTTTTGAGGAGAAATTCAAGCTGGCTGCAGAAATTTGCATAAGTAGCAAGGAGCCTAATGATAATCCCCAAGACCATGGGGAAAATGTCTCCAGGCCATGTCAGGGACCTTTACGGCACCCTCTCCCATCACAGGCCTGGAGGCCCAGGAGGAAAAAGTGGTTTTGTGGGTTGGGCCCAGTTGTGTGCAGCCTAGAGTCTTGGTACCCTGTTTCCCAGCTGCTCCAGCTGTGGCTGAAAGGGGCCAACATAAGGCTTGGGCTATGGCTTCAGAGGGTGGAAGTCCCAAGCCTTGGCAGCTTCCACATGGTGTTGAGCCTGTGGGTGTATGGAAGTCAAGATTGAGGTTTGGGAACCTCCGCCTAGATTTAAGAAGATGTATGGAAATGCCTGGATGCCCAAGCAAAAGTTTGCTGCAGGGGCAGGGATCTCATGGAGAACCTCTGCTAGGGCAGTGTGGAAGGGAAATGTGGGGTCAGAGCCCCCACACCGAGTCCCTACTGGGGCACTGCCTAGTGGAGCTGTGAGAAGAGGGCCTCTGTCCTCCAGACCCCAGAATGGTAGATCCGCTGACAGCTTGTACCATGCACCTGGAAAGGCTGCAGGCACTCAACACCAGCCTATGAAAGCAGCCAGGAGGGAGGCTGTACCCTGCAAAGCCACAGGGGTGGAGCTGCCCAAGACCATAGGAACCCACCTGTTGCATCAGCGTGGCTTGGATGTGAGACCTGGAGTCAAAGGAGATCATTTGAGAGCTTTAAAATTTGACTGCCCTGCTGGATATCAGACTTGCATGGGCCCTGTAACCCCTTTGTTTTGGCCAATTTCTCCCATTTGGAACAGCTGTATTTACCCAGTACCTGTACCCCCATTGTATCTAGGAAGTAACTAGCTTGCTTTTGATTTTACAGGCTCATAGGCAGAAGGGACTTGCTATGTTTCAGATGAGACTTTGGACTGTGGACTTTTGGGTTAATGCTGAAATGAGTTAAGACTTTGGGGAACTGTTGGGAAGGCATGATGGGTTTTGAAATGTGAGGACCTGAGATTTGGAGGGGCCGGGGTGGAATGATATGGTTTGGCTGTGTCCCCTCTGAAATCTCAACTTGAATTGTATCTCTCAGAATTCCCGAGTGTTGTGGGAAGGACCCAGGGGGAAGTAATTGAATCATGGGGGCAGGTCTTTCCCATGCTATTCTTGTGATAGTGAACAAGTCTCACGATATCTGATGGGTTTATCAGGGGTTTCTGCTTTGGTTTCTCCCTCACTTTCTCTTGCTCCCACCATGTAAGAAGTGCCTTTCACCCTCTGCCATGAATATGAGGCCTCCCCAGCCATGTGGAACTGCATGTCCAACTGAACCTCTTTTTCCTTCCCAGTCTCGGGTATGTCTTTATCAGCAGAGTGAAAATGGACTAATACAGGCCATATGCACAATGTGTTTACTGAAGATTGTGTACGTGCTCATTTGAGGCATTTTTCCCTTACCAGTTGAATGTTCCTAGAGGAAGGTCATGTGCCAGTTAAACTCCACCATTTTGCCTCTTAGTGAACAGGCTGGGGCCCACTCACCCAACTCCTGAGATCTTATCAGGAAGCGGCTGGTACCAGTTTCAGGTGTTTCCCATCTACTGGGAGGCTGCCTTTCCCTGGCACCTCCCAGCTGTGACCAATTATTATTTTAGAGAGACAGTCGAACAACCACCTGACCATCACCTGATGGTTGCCTGACATTCCTGGGGTAGGGGGCCTTTCCCGCCCTGCTCATGTCTGCCTAGCTACCCACATTTTTTTTCACAATCTGTTCAATGTCTTATACCTGCTGTAACATTAGTGCTCTGTGAGGGGAGGAGGAAACCAGGAAAAAGGAAAGATGAGGGAGGGAAGGGGAGAGGAGGGGAGAAGCCCATGATTAGGAGGGTGCCCTGTATTAGCGAGGACTCTGCTGGAGTTGATGGAGCCACTTCCTAGACAAGCACTAGGAGTATATAGCCATGGAGATCATCTTCCTCAGGCCTTCTGTTTGTGTGTGGGGGGAGTGTGTGTGTGTGTGTGTGTGTGTGATCTAGAGCTGTAACACCCACTATGGTACTCGTTAGTCCCCTGCCTCTGTGTTCCTCACACACGCTTGGCCATATTTCACATGCTCAGCAGCCCTTGTGACTAGTGGCTACTGTATTGGACAGCAAAGATATGGAACGGTTCCATCATCCCTGAGAGTTCTGTCAGACAGCCCTCAGAGAGCCTGGCACACTGTGCCCTCTCATTGTAGTATTTTGAGCGACAGGTACTTCTGTGAAGTGACTGGCCATCTTAATGCCTCCTTCAAAACTTGAATCATTATCGTCAAAGTTCGTCACACCATGGTATTGCAATTTGTCTGTCCCTTAGAGCTCTCTGCTGATACCCCTCCCGTGGAACTGGTGCTAAAATAACACCGACCATTCTTGGACTGCTTTTTAAGGTAGCAGAGCATCTCACACAAGCCTCTCTTTCCACTTCAGCAAAGCCAGCTTGCCTCCTGCGCTGGGCGTGTGTGTTTCTGACTGACCTCTCCCTACTAGATTCTGAGAAGGCTGTGGACACAGACACAATGGGCATGCTGCACTTTGTTCCAGCAGCTTCTCTGAACTTTCTCTCATCTGACATAATGTAAATGGGGTCTAATTGATGTTCTTCTTTGTATTATCTAATTATCAAGAGAATATTTGACTTAAGTTTATCTACTAAGTAGCCTTTAAAGGTTGGCCTCAGAATTTCTGAATGAATGAGAAGAATATAAAAAAGAAAGGTTTAAAGAAAAGCATTATATGAAGCTTAGAGAAAAAAATGAAATACTGAAGGTGTGATAGTGAGAAGAATGGGGCATTTTTAGGGAGACAGCAGGCCTGAGAAGCGATCCTGTCTCCAGGCCTCACACATGCTCAGGGCTGCTGGGGTGATGAATTCTATCAGCTCTTCTCCAGTTCCAGACCTCATTATTAGAGAGCGAACTCAAGTAAGAGCAAGGTCTCCAAAAGCTTCATGATTCCAGGGTCTCAGAAATGAAAATGAAAGGCAATGAGTACCTGCAGCTAGCATCTATCTAGAATGGAGAAGACAAAAATTAGAGAACTGGATGTTTCTCGACCTTGCGTTTTATAAAGGGGAGTTATGAAACATGTAAACCATCAGGTAAATACATTTTAACTTATCTGTGAAAGGAAATGCAAACAAATTTTATTATATTAAACACTATTTTGTCTTAATACAAGGAATTCAAAATTCCTTGTATTCAAGGAATGAGGATAAATCCTTGATGGAGTTACTGTTGGCTGAAAGGGTATCATTGGAGAGTGTGGATCATGAGTAATGTAGGTTAGCTCTAGGAAATGCTGGGGATGTCTCTCTTGTTTTAATCATATAATCACTGTTTTTTACCCAGTTAATCAATTTACAAATGTAACTGTGGTACAACTTAAGAATTTACTAAAATTCTCTTGCAATTAACTGTAAAAAATTGATATCATTCATAATCCCTGCATTTTTCTTATATTTTTACTGCTGTCATAGTCTAAATTTATATAGCTCTAAAAGATTAAAAGTGTTGTTCTTCAGTACCAACCTTGGATAGTATCTTTTGAGAATATTATATACATGCACTTGCGCACACACACATGCATGCCTGCTAGAAATTTTCCATAAAACACCTGAGGTTATCATTATACATTTTGTTCTTTTATGTCAGAGATGGTGAGGAAGAGATAAAATTTTTAAATCTTTGCTGTATTCTCCCAGATTCCTAGGTGTACTATTAATATAATCATCATTTCTAGCTTGAGTTTCCTAATGAATTTAAATGAGTAAAACTTGTGTATTCCAAAATAAAAGGTTTTTTCCTCTTGTCATAGATATGTACCTTTACCAGAGAGGCATCATTTTACAAGACACTTCTTGCAGTCTCTAGTCCAGAAGATTCTCAGACAAATATTCTTATATTTAAGAAAAAGAAGAATAAAAGAAAACAACAGAACAAAAGACCAAGCCCCTCCGGTTTGGCTGGGACTGGTATAAAACAACTTAGTTGACTTCTGCTTCCAAACCCTGGGGAAAGCGTGAAAATGTAGTGCTCCACTTTAAGAAGGTGGCAATTTCAGCTGCTTTTCTAGAAAATGCTCCCAGGCAGTGGAGTGCTTGCAAGCAGAATGTTGTTTTTACCATTTCAAATCAGAATTTCTGATTCTGATATTGAAGCCTTGGTGTTTTGAAAGGAAGTAAACAGTATTCTTAATATAAGTTGTCAGCATCTTATTTTGTACAGCTGACAAAGAGAACGATGACATCAAAATATTGCTAAGGACATTTGAAAATACTACCTCACTTTGATAGGTGAGGTGGACCCTGGGTGTCCTTTTTAGATGGATGTCAGACAAGTTTATTTTAGTTTTTGTTAAAATAGGGGGTTAGCAATAATACTCAAACTTGTATGGAATTCATGTAGAATATGGATAAATTATTATTTGAAATAAATTGCATCAGTTCTTATCTGTATGAAAATAGGACTTTTGGCACACAATTTACATTTTATTTGCATGAATTTACATAGAGAATAAAGTGAAGTAGGTGTATTTGTTAACATAGGAATATTTAAAGATGACAATATTGGGACTACAAGATGTAAATTTACTTTTGAGTCAAGGTCCAGGATTAGATACGAAATTTTTTTTTCCAAATGAGTAGAACACAGACTCCAGAAGACTTGATCTACCTCTGTGTCATAAAACATACACAGGTAATTTATTGAAGAACCAATAATTATATTATTTACATTGAGAGCCAGATATTGTTACAATGTGAAGGCCTCTTGCCCTAGAACTCCTGTGTGGGACACAGGGCACAGCATACATGACTGAAGTGTCAAACCTGAAACAATACAAATAGAAGAGGAGCATTTACTGCTCAGAAGTTGGGGGGGCGGGTATCAGATAAATCTAATATATTTTTGGGTGCTCTTAGTGGAAACTTATAGGACAACTCACCCTCTATTCAGGATTTACCTGGAATTGTTCGGTCAGCCCAAAAATAATGATGGAAATTATTTTAGATGTTTTCTTCTTTTCACGTCTGTTCCCCTTTGTGAGTGAATGTGTGTGTGTGGCGGGTGGGGGGTGTCAGTCTCACTAGTCAGGTTTAAGGCCTGGAACTCACCTGAACTGGACATCCAGACTGACCGCTCACTCTGCAGTATGAGGCAAATCGCCCCACTATTCCTAACTTCATTTCTTCATCTGTAAATGAGAGCTCTTTACACTACAAAAGATTCAATTTTATGATGAGATTCAAACAGACATAGTCTTTATTCACTAAAGAGTATAATATCATGTTTTGGGAAGTACAATGGCAGAAAATATAAGGAGAAATAAAATAATATAAGGAGACTTTAATTCACCCATTTCAGAGAGTGATGGAGTAAACAGGCAAAACAGACATAAGAATATACAGAATCTGAATAACATGATTTAAGAAAAGGAGGAAGAGTGACTAAAGATATACATCAAGTTGAAAACAGAATAAATCTGCCTAAAAGCACTTTTCAAAACTCTACCGTTAGGCCACACACAACTCAGTAAATTCTCAAAACAAAACATCAGACCTACTCTTTGATCAAAATGCAATGAAATAAGAAATTGTTGAGAAAAAGTCCAGTCACCTAGAACAAATGCAAAAACGTTTATAACTATCACTCTAGCACTTAAGCAATCATGGGATCAGAGGAGAACCCAGACCTGAATCTCAGAAAATCTAGACTTAGTATAATGAGAACACTGAAGAGATAAACTTTTAGGATATCATAGTACATATGTTCAGAGAGAAATCTATACCTTACTCAGTAAGAAATAATGAAAGTGAACTAATTCAACTTTCAACTCAAAAAGTTATACAAATTTTTAAAAATGATTACCAAAGGGAAGAAATACCAAACTTAATGATGAAATGAGTGAATTGGAACACACACACACACACACACACACACACACACACACACACAGAGAGAATTCCAGTAAATTGTTAAGAGTATCCATGCATTGATATTTTGAAGCAAAATAATAATACTACAACAATAAAGCAATAGGTACACGTATAGCTGATAAACTGTTTTGGATGGTCCATGCATTATTCTGAGACTTAAGACACCCCTTCTGGAAGGAACTAGAGGTGCAGCTCTTGGAATTCTTGTTCGGTTGGTCTGACTTTACATGTAATCGTTTGTTTTGCATCATTGACCTTCCTTTTAATTGAGGCCTGTGGGAACACTTTGGGCCCCTGATCTCTTAGGCATGTATCTCTTGTTATCCTTGGAAGTAGCCTTTCCCATTTCCTCAGCCATCCTCCTGCTTGTTGGGTTGGCTTTGACTGAACACCCTCTGGTTGTATCACAATGTGACCTAAAAATACAAACTTCTCCATTTGGCTTTTGACTCAGCTACAGCCAGACACATCAGGGGGTCCATTAATCCGCCTCTCACCTCAAAGATAGCCCTCTGCCCTTCCTCCGTCTGAACTGCTTTCTCTCCAGACCTGCTGCACAGCTGCCTTCCAGGTCTTTCCTCCATCTTGGAATTCCCTTTATCTCCCTTTCCTTGGAGCTTCTATTCCTGGCTTGGAGAGCTCTTTTCACCAATTTATGTTCTTCATTTCCTGACTTTTTGGGACAGAGTTTGTGCGAGGGAGTTACTTTTCTAACTAAAATAGCTTGTGTGTCTCCTCAGCCATGGGTACAATTCCAGTTGGAAGTCCTTTTCCTTCAGAATATTGAAGGCATCATTCCATGTTATGTTTACCGTTTTGTTGTTGAGGAGTCTGCTTTCGTTCAAATTTAAATCCACCCATGGGACTGTTCCTCTTCCCACGCTCTATCATGTCACTCCCCTCCCCTCTGCAAGAACTGCACCTCCCTGGGCATTTTTAGGGCTTTTTTTAATTTATCCCTGGTGACTTGAAATTGGCCTTTTGTCCATTCATTGTTTCAATCTGGAGACTCACCTCTTTTATTTATGGGAGGTGTTCTCATTTTATTTGTCAATAATACTCTCTTTTCTATTTGCTCTGTTTGCTTTCCTCAACTGATGCTCAGAACTTTTTCACTCCTTGTCTTTTATTCTCTTTTATGAAATATCTCCTCAAGTTTGTCTTCTAATCCTTCAGTTGAAGTTTTTGATTATACTGTGTTTTTTTTTTTCAGTTTCTGAGAACACATTCTTATTCTCTGATTTGTTTTTATTGTATCCTGTTCTTGCTGGATAGATTGTGTAGCTTTTCTTACCTCTCTGATAATGTTTGGAGTTGTTTTTTCTGCTCCCTGCATTGACTCTTCCCCCGCCCCACCCAATATTTTTGTTTTGATTCGTTTTTGGTTAGGTTGGTTGGCTTCTTCCCATTATACTAAAGGCATTTCTCAAATTCTGGTAGTCTTTGTTTTGTTCACTTTTTAGAGTGAGGCACCAAAAAAAGCTGGCGTGAGGCTTTGTGTGCACTGCTGGAGCCCATCAATGGTGAACTTCTGGGAGGGTGGCTGGCAGGGCCCAGGCACACTGCAGAAGAGCCTCCCCTCCACCACCATCAGGAGATCTTGTCCTTTGAGTAAGAAAGTTACTTCCAAAAAAGAAGACGGTTCCAAACTTTTCCTGGTGTGTTTTTATAGCATCCTCTATCTGCAGACTCTTGGCTCTCAGCTTATCTGTTTTCTATCTTCAAAAATGTGTTCACTTCTCTCATCTGCCAGCATCGTGCTTTGTCTTTTATTCATTTATTGCTATTTTAGTAGAGAGAGAAAGGATTTATTCGCAAGGACAAAGGATGAATTCAATTTTCCAATCTGCTATGTATTCTCTAACTTATTCTTAAAACTTCATTTACCTACCAAATAATAATTCACCTAATAGTTTATGGTTTTATTTCGTATTCTCTCTAGTTGTTCTAAGTCATCACAATAACATGTTCATCATGTAGAACTGGGGTGTCCAATTTTTTGGCTTCCCTGGGCCACTCTGGAAGAAGAAGCATCGTCTTGGGCCACACACAAAATATACTACCACTAACGACAGCTGACGAGCTAAAAAAATTCATAATTTATAATGTTTTAAGAAAGCTTACAGATTTGTCTAGGGCTGCATTCAGAGCCATCCTAGGCCACATGCAGCCCATGGGCCGCAAGTTGGACAAGCTTGATATAGAAAGTAAAAGCTCTCATAAATTTACTTTGTGTTTAGTTTGGCTCCGTAAATTTTGTGAATTTACAGTGGCTGATTGAAACACTGTGTTCAAAAGGGTTCCCAAAGGCACGGCTTTAATTTTTATGCACAGTACTTCTTAATTTGGTGTCACCTTCAGTTAAAACTTTTATCATGCCAGGAAAGCACCTCAGTGACACGTGCTTACATTTATCTGATTCCTTTGTCACTTGGTCTGTCATTTTCCTTGACATCCTGTTACCACACAGTGAAATTGAACTGGGTGGAAATTTAAAAATAAACTTGCAGATGTATTTTTACTTTAATAAGCAAAAGGAAAAAGAGTATCTGATTTTAAAGAACCTTTTAATTCTCAAAGTGACATGATTAATTACCCAATTTAGTAAAAGCATTGATAATGTAACAAAAGATCAGTCATGGATCTTTAAATCAGTTCTACCCATTACTATAAAATTCTTCAAGGTTAATGTATAGGTCTGATTTTACTGAACTGGGAAATAATTATGTGAGAATTCAATGATTTTTTTTTCTAAATTCTTTAAGAAAAAATTGCACATGAAATGCTTAATTTTGTAGCAACTATGGCACTGATTTCCAAAGGTACTATATTATTTGATACATTCTAAGGATTTTATTAAGTGCAACATTCTAAATTACATAAATTGCCAAGGTTGTAGGAACTGTATCCTTATGAGGAAAGCAGATATGGCTTTGGTTTATTTCTGTGTGAGAAAGAGCAGTACATTGATTAAGGAGAAGCTGAAATGATGAAATCTGGTAATTTTAAGTCACCTTGAGAACCAAAATCAGAGTAAATATAAACAAAGAAAATTCATTCTCTTTAAAAAGTTAGAAATATTGCAATTATACATTATTTTAAAATGATACCATTTTATTACAAGATTAGTCTATGGTCAATACCGAAAATTTAGACAATATAAAGAAGCATTTAAAAATAAATAAAAACCACTTATAGTCCCATAATCCAAGTACTAAGTTATATGCCTTTAATCTGTGTCTTTTTTGTTTTTTTCCACATATATACATATATAGTTTTTCATGGGTAGAATCAGACAGAATATACAGATTTTTTTTGTCATTTGTCCTTCAATAAAATATAAAATAGTCTCCCATGTTGTTAAAAATTCCTGAGTTACATTGATCACATATTTGGTCCATAAATGATTGGTCCACATATTATTTTGTCCATAAATTCGTGTCTTTGGTCTGGATTCTATGTTAGTTAGAAATGACTCTTAGTCCTGTGTTTTCCCTTGACTACTTCTTTGTCTCATATTAATAGTGCCAAACAAAATTCATGTGTGTGCATGTGAATGTTCAAAAATTAGTTGTCTGTTCTATTATTTTTAGCTTTTCATGGTATTTTATTCAGGTATGCTTTTTATGAAAAGCATATATAACTGTCTTAAAAAGAAGGTCAGGCACAGTGGCTCACATGTGTAATTCCAACACTTTGGGAGGCCAAGGCAGGAGGATTGCTTGAGCCCAGCAGTTCGAGACCAGCCTGGACAACATAGTAAGACCTCATCTCTACAAAAAATACATGACATTAGTGGGGTGTGGTGGTGTGTGCCTGTAGTCCTAGCTACTCAGCAGGCTGAGGTGGGAGGATCGCCTGAGCCCAGGAGGTTGACGCTGCAGTGAGCCAAGATCACGCCACTACACTCCAGCCTGGGTGACAGAATGAGAACCTGTTTCCAAAAGAACAAAACAAAACAAAAATTATTTAATTAACAAAACTATTTTTTTAAAAAGAAAGAAAATCCCATCCAAGAGCCTTTTCCTGTTGATAAGAGAGTTTAACCTATTTGCAGTTATTGTTAAAATTATAACATAACTTGTACATATGCCAATTTGCTTTATGCCTTAAATATTTTGTTTCTTTTGTTGTGTTCTTGCTACTAGTGGTAGGACAAAGGAGGGGACCTTCCTTTCCCCTCCCTCCCCTCCCTTCCTTCCTTCCTTTCCTCCTTCCTTCCGCATTTTGTTAGTTAATAATTTCTAGTTTAGGAGTAAGAGCATCTATCCACCCAAATGTTTTTTATTATTCTATTGGTTATTCTAATGTTTTTTTCAGATGCGTTTCTAAACCTACATTTACTTACTTATCAAAGTCATTAGAGAATATTAATCTTTGGCTTTCTTTTGGGAAAGAGGCAATGCTAAATATTTATCTTTTCTTTTCCTAATTCAGTATATCTATTGTGTTAATTAGATTTGAGAATACATACCTTACTCTTTTTTTCCTTCCATTTTTAAAGCAATAGAGATCAATTCGTGGAAAGAAAAAAAGGAACACAAACAATTTTTTCAATCATATTTAAAACTACCATGCACCTTTACTGATTCCAGTGGTAATCTCTCATCCTTTCCAGCCTCAATTTCCTCCTTATTTCTTTACTTAATTTCCTTTATTCCTTGTTCCAGCACACTTCAAGAGTTGTTTTGATTTGTCTAGGTGCCTGCATATTACATTTAAAATCTTTGCATATTAGAAAATGCATTTCACCCTTGAAAGCAATTTGATGGGAGACAGGTGTTTAAGCCCAGACCTTTTTCTTTCAGAGCTCTCTCTGTCCTGTTGCTTGCTATCATCTTCTAGTTTTTACCATGATAACAAAGTCTCCTGCTACCATGTATTGATAGTGTACTGCATGTATTGGTGTGTATATATAATTGTATATATAATTTTTATATATACATATATATAATAATATAACTGTATATATAATTTAAAATCCCCCTATATATGTCTATATATAGTTTTTTTCATTAAATTTACCTCTAATACTCTTTTCTCAGTTTGAGACTAATGTCCTCCTTTGTACGAGACCATTTTTTCCTCTGAGTATTTTTTCAAGTTCTATTTCTATTCCAGATATATTCTCTCTAGAATTTCTATTAAATGACATTGGAACCTCTACATCTATCCCTCGTGACTCCATCTTTTCTCTCATCATTTTCCATTCTTCGTCCTGTCCCTCTGAATACTAGGAAAATCACTTGAATGAATGTTCTAAATTGCTAGTTTGATCTCTCATCCCTCCACTGAGATGTTTTCATGTGGTGACTGCCTTATGCCTCCTGGGCAGCTTTTCTGGCCTCTGTTCTTACCATCTTCATCACCATTTACCAGCCTGATGTGGGCCTTCCTTACACCTGGTATGATGGAATACATGGCAGCTACAAAGTCTTTACCCCAAGGAGTTCACACACTCGTTGATCCCAACACATAAACATCACTGGAATGGAAACTGTCATTTCGTCACTTATTTTTTCAAAGTAAAAACAGTTTCAGGTGGGCCTAGCCCTTAACTAAAAGTAATTTAAGAATAACTGTTGTAATGCCAGGTAGTAGGACAAAGGACAAATTCACATAATCTCTAGGCCTTGGTTTCTTTATCTGCAAAACAAGATGATTGGATTAGGTGATTTCTCACTTCGTTTTTAGTTAAAATATCTGTGATATTCATATTAATCTGTTCTCACGCTGCTAATAAAGACATACCAAAGACTGGATAATTTATAAAGAAAAGGAGGTTTAATGGACTCACAGTTTCACATGGCTGGGGAGGCCTCACAATCATGGTGGAAGGCGAAGGAGTAGCAAAGGCACATCTTACATGGTGGCTGGCAAGAGAGCCTATGCAGGGGAACAGCCCTGTATAAAACCATCAGATCTCATGAGAATTATTCACTATCATGAGAACAGCACAGAAAGGACCTGCCCCCATGATTCAATTACCTCCCACTGGGTCCCTCCCATGATACGTGGGGATTGTGGGAGCTACAATTCAAGATTAGATTGAGTGGGTAAACAGCCAAACCATCTCAATATTGTTTAAGAGATACATCACAACATAATTCTCTAAGATCAACAGCATACTGCCTGGACATGACTTTTTCCAGTTGCAAGAAACTTATTCTATGTGCATTTCACTGTTTAATAAAATGTAAATATCATGAGTCCAGGATCTATATTCCAAATGTAAGGCCCATAATTGCAAAACTATTGCTAGCAGCAAGAACTGGGTTAGAATAACCCCCTTTCCTAAAGATGCCTCAAGAATCAAGATTAATGACCCTTCCATTATCTACTAGGCACAGGAAAAAAGAAAATATAATCTTTTAATTAACATGCTGTGATTTCCTGGAATTACTCAAATTGTTGAAGATTTATCCTAGTTAAAATGAATTCATGGAAAACTCTGTAATGTGCATTAAAATGGATTATTTTTTCTAAGAAATAACATTCCTAAGTTTAGGAAGTTTGTCACTTTCTATAGTTTCTTCCTTATATATGAGTTAGATTTAAATATATAATTCTCATGGAGATTCTGTTTTCTTAAATTTTTGGATAAACACCATTCTTTAAAGATAATGGCTATAATTCAAAGAGATAATACGGCCTTGGCCAATCTTCCTTTTATGAATGAGGGTAAGGTTGTGTATTAGTCCATTTTCATGCTGCTGATAAAGACATACCCAAGACTGCGCAATTTACAAAAGAAGGAGGGTTTAATTTGACTTACAGTTCCACATGGCTGGGGAGGCCTCACAATCATGGTGGAAGGCAAGGAAGAGCAAGTCATGTCTTACATGGATGGTGGCAGGCAAAAAGAGAGCTTGTGCAGAGAAACTCCCTCTTATATTACCATCAGATATTGTGAGACTTATTCACTCTCATGAGAACATCATGGCAAAGACCTGCTCCCAGGATTCAGTTACCTCCAACTGGGTCCCTCCCACAACATGTGGGAATTCAAGATGAGATTTGGGTGGGGACACAGCCAAATCATATCAAGTTGATAGTACAACTTATTTTTGGAAGTTACTTGTAGTGCAGACAATTGGGCAAAATTTGATTCAAAGTTTGAATGTTGATGTTTTTTCCTTTGGAAAGTGTCTATTGTACAAGTTAATAATAACAATCATAATAATATGTTATATTTGTGTATAATTTAACCACTAACAGAATGTTTTCACATATATTATTTAATACACAGAGCAGCCCTGTGATGTAAGTTTTATTATTTCTATTTTATGAATTAAAAAAGCGAGCCTTGGACAGATAGTGTCTTCCCATCACTGCACAACTCATAAGTGGTAGAGCTGATTTTAAATTAAATGTCTTCTAACTACTCATCTGATACTCTTTCTCCTATTCCCGGATGTATATGCAGAACTGGAGTGGTAGTTGAAATTATGCCTCTCACTTGTAGATTAGGAAGATTTTAGATCAGAAAGGGAAATTGATCCTAAATGACGCACAAACCTGCTACATCTGGATAATCAGTTGTTAAGGAGACTGTTAAGAACAGTTTTCTCACTTGAGACAAGGCCAAGACGAAATGATCCTCAGAATTCTTTTCAAACCATGAACTTTTGATTCCCAACTCCAAAATACAAACATGCACACACACATACACACACACACACACACACACACACACACACACGGGGAAACAATGCTAGTTGTTATGATTTATTTAAAAAATAAAGAAAAAGAATCTACTTGAATGTCTGCTTCCCCTTTGGTGTGTAGGGCTGTGAAAGTGCTCCTTGTAAGACATGAAATATCAATAAGAAACTTGCAAATCAGCAATCTGGAATAAAAGCTTTAGTTATGAAAATATTAAGCTGGGCATGATGATTTTAATTATCCCTTCATCTCATTCTCATTTTGATGATATGATAATTATAGCATCATATTCCAATTTCTGTTGTTATAATTCAGTGCCTGCATATGTCAGATTTAATATTCATTTGCCTATCTTTATGTGGGGCCAGATGGAAGAGGTGCATCGCCTATTTATAAGAACTAGTTGTTATTACTGAATTTTCTTAATTTCTTCTTGATAGCAGTGGCTGAGGTGGAGGGTGATTTAGGATTGCGTTAGAAATGCCAGGGCAATAATCCAAAGTAAATAATGTGGTGCTGTGCATCTGTAAATGAACATGCTGCTTACTAAAATAGATACAGTGGCATTGACCTCAGTTATAATAGTACATGCTGCAGAAAGTTCAAGAATGAATGGACAACAGATAATTCTTTGTGTAATTAATGGAGACTTGACCTTGGGGCTTTTTTATAGAATGTTGTAAACATCACTTATCTAGTAGATGCCAAAAATAACTTCAAGAAATATGGCAATCCTATTCCTAGTCATATGTCCAAGAAGTACGTGCGTCAGCTCACCAAAAGACATGCACCAGAATGTTTGTAGCAGCGCTATTTATAATAGCTCCTACTTGAATCTACCCAAACACCCATCAACAGTGCATAGATAAATTGTGTCCTGTTCACACAGTGGGATGCTGTACTGCATTGAGAATGAGTGGCTCTAACTACACATAACCTGGATGAAGCTCACAGGTGTAAAGCTCATTGAAAGAAGCCAAACACCAATAGTAATTACTGAATGACCCCATTCATATAAGGTACAAAAGCAGGAAACATGAGTCTCTTAAGGATTAAGATTCAGCCTGGTAATTACCCCTACAGGGAGTGACTGGAAGAGGAGGAATGGAGGGGCCTCTGGGTTTATGTTCTGTTTTCTGACTTAGTGGTTGTTCTAGGAGCATGGTCAGTTGTGAAGAAGACAACTTATAATCTGGGCACTCTATATAAAGTTCTACTTCAATTTTAAAAAGTTTTTCAAACAAAAATGACCTCAAGAAAATCAGAGTAGCCTTCCTAACGTTACTCACAAGTTTCTCCACAAGCTGGCCCTTGCAACACAGGCAACAGTCTGATATATTAGGTTAGTAACGCCAAGCTGGGAGGTGGCATCCTGTCTTCCTTCCCTCTCCATAGCCACCTCATGACACTCCAGAGGAAACAGTAATGACTGGTGTAAAGGCCATTAGCAAGCAGGCCCCGGGCCCCTGGGCTTGTAGACCACCTTAGGAGGCACGTGGTCGGTTCCGAGACTGACCTGGGAGGACCGAGTGTTGCACAGTTGAGTGAGGTTAAAAACACATCTGTACTGTTTCAGGCCCTCAGTGTGTTGCACAGTTTAGTGAGGTTGAAAACACATCTGTGCTGTTTCAGGCCCTCAGTGGTGTTTCACAGTCCATAAGACTCAGCTTGGGCTTTAGTCTGCTTTGCAAGTCTCTGTCATGAATTGAAAATGAGTGAACAGAACAGAGTGAAATGTTTAAATTTCCCTGAATTAGGAATTAGGAGACCTCGCTTTTCAGCCTTGTGTTCTGGAGACAATTACCCAGTTGGTGGTCTGTTTTTGCTTCCTTTATGCTTAGCTTTTAGTCTTCTAACTACTCATCTGATACTCTTTCTCCTATTCCCAGACATATATGCAGAACTAGGGTAGAGAAATGTTTTTTCTTTCTATGAGACAACAGGTCTTGCAGAGAGACATATCAGACATATCAGAAAAAATCCTGGTCTTTTACCTTGAATTAAACCTGGGACACATACACCTCCACATACATGAGAGAGCCATGGTCTTCTATCAAATAATATTCCTTAGGCCTGGCTTCTGTACTGTTTAAACTAGATTACAAAATAGATCATAAAAATCTTAGGAGGAATAAAATAGCAGATATCCCTATTTTGAGTATTTCCTGAACAGCGATCCATACGCATTCAAGCCTAACACCCTGCCTCTTTCTCTCACCCCTACCACCCACACGTTTATCTAAGAATTCTTTGCTGCTAATTCACAAACACTAAAAAAGACTTTTTGAAAAGGATTAAAAACCATGTTGTGTTAAGCAGCAAACTGATGTTACATCCTGGGCACGAGGAAAATCTGTGTGTTAGACTGTGCCTAGCATTTAGGTGCCATCTGCAATTGTTCGGCTGTTTGCATTTTCATGGTTCCTTTTGACAGTAGTTCCAAACAGCTCCTAATTTTTGTTCACAGAGATAAGTGCTAAGGATTTTAGTACAGTGCTCCTGGCTGTCATATTTCTAAAAAAATCAAGTCAGCAGCTGGTGGCAAATAAACCAGTGCTCTCTCTTTCACTACCTGTAACTTGGTATGATTGTAATTGTTAATAACTGGTGAAAATACAGGGATAAGCTGGCTGTGAGCCACCCAGCAGAGGTGGACTCAGCCTTGCAAAGGAAGCTCTTTGAAGGGAGGGATACTGTTCTAGTCAAAAAAAAAAAAAAAAAAAAAAAAAGAAACCAAAAAAAACTGTGCCAAATCTATTAGAAAGTTCTGGTAAAATTGAAATATGTAATTTTACCTTGATGTGAACATTTGGGCCAAATGATCAAAGTACTGTTCTTCTGTAATATATGCAAACACATTGCAAACCCCTAAAAGAATAAAACACTTGATGTTCCTTTAGTTAACCACTTTTGGTGTTACTTACCAGTATTTTAAAACAAGGTCATGTAAGTAGTTAATGAAATTTTTATGTTATGTTTTTAAGGGTTTCTTCTGAGTAGAAGAGCTAGCTAGGTACTTTAGAGAAAAACACTGTAGAAACTTAAGATTTGTGAAAAAGTAAAAGAGTTTGCATTAATATCTTCAATAAAAATAATTACTTAAGTCTTCAACAAAACTATATCACCTGGAAATGGTTTATGTTCCTTTCTTTTCTCTGAGTTTTTTTTCTTTCACTGAACAAGCATGTATTGAATGCCCTTAAGCATCCAGCACTGTGCTAGGTATAAGATCTATCTCTGTTTCCAGAAGCTCAGTCAGGGAAGGAGATGAATGATACCTAGAAAGTTAATTCAGTGGTGCAGAAAGGTATGTTTTGAGTGCCATAGGTGGTCCTGTGAACATCTCTGGATCCAGTTGAGGAATTTCCAGAAAAGTTTCCGGGGAAAGGTGGTATCTTTGATGAGTCCTGAAGGATGAGTAAGAGTTAACCAAACAAAGGGGGATAGGAGGGATATTCCAGCAAGAGGGAGTAGCTGACACAGAGCAAGTGCTCGTGTGTGTGTGTGTGTGTGTTTGTGTGTGTTTAAGAGACAGAGAGAGAGAGAGAGAGTGAGTTTGCATGCAGTTTCAAATACCTGAAGCTTGGGGTTAGGTGGTGATAGTGGGGCATGGGGAAGAGGCCACAGATGGGGCAGAGGAGGTGACAGGAGCCTCTACAACTTGGTTCTGAGACTTTGTAAGCTTTTACCCTCAGAGATCAGAGGTTGGGAGTGTGGCCTGAGTGTGTTCAGCCTGGCTGTGTTCTCAGGCACCTGAGCCTGTGGTTGACAGGTGGCCTTCATGGCACATTTGATGCAGTAAACATAAGGGCTGGCATTTCTGTCTTGTGTTATTAATACAGAGAATTGGAAATTCTTTCTGTGAGTTTATTCAGCATTAGTCCAATATGTGAATATTAAGAATATGTCATTACTAACAATGACATTGCAGTTTTATTGTTAATAATCTATTAAGAATGTCTTTTTTTGATACTTCAAATATTGGGTTTCTGTTGTGTGCCAAGATTTTAACATAGGACGCTGTACTTATCACACAAATGTTTTACGACAAATCTTATCTCCAATTTTTTAGATGAGGAAACAGGTTCAGAAGGATCAGCTATCTTGCTGATTCCTAGTAAGTAGCAGATTCAGCATTTGAACTTACATCCTTTAACTCCACCAGTTTCACAGCTTTTCCCATCCTCCTGCCCTCCTACCAAAGATGGGATGCTGATGGCAGCCTGAGGGAATTATCCACTCAAATCAGTTGCTGTTGGCAGCTTAGAGCCGTGTTCTGTGGCTCTGCTCAGACCTCAGCTCTCTCTGGGAGGTCTCTTAACTTCCCTTACAGTAGCTATTTTGTAGAATTTCTGGGTTATTTCCCTTTCCCACTTCATGAGACAGACCTCAGCTCCTACTTTGCTGAAAAAATAATTGCCACCCAATCATGACTCCCTCATCCTGGCAGGACAAAACCAAGTCCTTCCTTCTGTTTCATGCCAGTCTCTGACCTCACCCCACCTTTGTCAGTCACCTGTCTATAAATTAGTCCCGCTTATTGACCCTCAGTCTCTTCCATTCTAAGGGATTTTTCCACAAGATCTCTGACTATATTTGTACAAAGGAAAACTATGCAGCCATGCAAAGGAATAAGCTGCAGCCAGACACAACAATATGCGTGGATCTCACAAACATCACGTTGTGTGAAAACTACTGCAACACCAAAGCAATGCATATGGTGTAATGCAAAGGATAGGAAGTTCTGGAACCCACAAAACTAAGCAGTGTTGCATAGGGATACATGCATAGATGGTAACAGTACGAATGAAAGCAAAGAAGTGACCGAGCAAAGGTCAACACAGGGTTTGGAAGGCACATGGGGCTTTTGTAAGGCTGGAAGTATTTAGTTTCTTGACCATGATGCTGGCTACACAGGTATTTGCTTTATAATTATGTTATAAACAGCATGCGTATGTATTATGCCTTTTTATTTGGGATATATTCAACAAAAAAACTTAATCATGTCCAAATCTCTCTAAAAACAAACAACTTTTCTCTACTTCAAGATAACTTTTGTGCCTGGGCATGGTGACTCATGCCTGTAATCCTAGCACTTTGGGAAGCCGAGGCAGGTGGATCACCTAAGGTCAGGAGTTTGAGACCAGCCTGACCAACAGGGCAAAACCCTGTCTCTGCTAAAAATACAAAAATTAGCTGGGCAGGGTGGTGCATGCCGGTAATCCTAGATAATTGGGAGGCTGAAGCAGGAGCATCGCTTGAACCCGGGAGGCGGAGGTTGCTGTGAACTGAGATCGTGTGCCACTTGCACTTCAGCCTGAGCTACAGAGTAAGACTCCATCTCAAAAAAAAAAAAAAAAAAACCAGCAACAACCACAACAACAATGTAACGCATCCTAGAGGGACAGAGGGATGGCCTGTCCTCCCGTTCCCATGCCCCCAGCACTTCTTGGAGCCCTGTCACATGACTCTGGTTACAGTGCCACTCCCAGCTCTGGCCAGGTCACCTTAAGCCTCCTTGTTGCTGAACCCTGTGGTCCTTTTAAAACCCCTTTATGTCCTGCTCTTCTGCGGCACTATTGGTGTTGATTTTGCTCCAGTTTCACTACCACTTTAGCTATTAGAGCATCTCTGTCCAGCTTTCTATGATCTTGCCTTCTCTTGTTGTTCTCTCTTGCTCCTTAGTCTGCCTTGTCCCACTTGACCCACTCCCAAGATGCTGTTGCTCAGGGTTCTTTCTGGTCCTCCTCTCTGCCCAACCCATGCAGAAATTCCTCACACTGGCTGTGCATGGATCACAAGGACTGCGCCGAGCAAACAGAGGCCTGGGCCCCACCTCCCAGGGCATCTGTATTGACTTGAGGTGGAGCCCAGATACTGAGGTTGCTTTAAAATTCTCTGGGTGGCTCTGATGTACACAGGTCTGAAGACGACTTCGTGGCCATGCTTACTCTGAAGTCCTCTGAGTGATTCTAATGCACATGAAGGATGAAGATTACTTCATGCCATGCTTACTCTGTAAACCCTCCTTGAGTCTTCCCATGGTTTCATTTTGACCACGGCTTCAGACACATTTAAATGTGCTCGGCTTCTGATAGACACCTCTGGCACAGGCTCCCTTGAACAGAGACCCATATATTCAACTGTCCAATGAGCATCGCCTTGTAGGTAGTTGCTGGCTTCTCATATTCAAAGCTGACCTCATTCCCTCCACCCAAATGGGTGGGATGGGTAGAATCATGTGTCCAGTTATGAAACCTGTAAAGTGAGATGTCATTATTAACCCATTCCCTCTCTTACCCCGATGGTGAATCATCCAGTCTTGTCAATAGATTCTGATTATGACTAAATTCTTCCAGATTTGCCTCTTCATCGCCATATTCACCTGTGCTTTAGTTCATGCCCATTCTACTGAATCACTCAGCACCCTCCTTACTGGGCCACCAGGTTGTTTTCCTCACTGCAGTCAGACCAATCATTCCCAAATGTGAATCTCACTGTCCCACCACTCTGCTTTAAGCACCTCCCAATGGCTGCCCATTTCTCAAAAACCATTCAAACAGCTTATAAGGCCCATCAACACTGTAGCTGCACTCAAGCTCTGGAATGTGCTACACGCCATCTCCTTCAAAATGAGCTTGCTTCTCTGGCTGCTGAAGAGCCTGTCACTGTCCCAATCTCACCGACACTTCACTTGGTGAACCCCCAACCATTATAATACAATGTACACATCACTTACCAGGTTTCCATGGCTGCCCTTCCGCTGTGTTCTCCTCTCCGCTGTGTGACCTCCTCTGTGTCTCCCAAAGCACTGTGTCTCCACCCCTAAGTGAACCTGCACCACCGTTGCAGGTATCCTTTGACTCATCCTCCCTCAGCACTGAAGGCAGCAGTATGTAGTGACCATCACTGGGTCCTGCATCCTCACAGAGTGCCTGGCACACCAGTGGATGGAAACCAATAAGATAGCTTTTGTAAGCTTTTTTGAAAAATAGATTTGAGAATCCTAATATTAAGAAGCAAATAATGGAAAAAAGGTTTCAGATAAATCAAATGGCAGATATTGAGCAAGGAGTGATGCAATTCTGGAAATGCAATTTTGCTTCATTGATATTCTTGACTGATTATTTATTCTGGAAACATTGGTTGAAATATTGCTGTGTCCAAGGCACTATGACAGAATCTACAAGAAATGATAAAGGGAGTATACATACTATCAAGGAGCTTGTATAATAATGTTGAAAGTATACAAAATATATGAATACAGATAACTTAATACAAAAGAACAAATTATGAGTATTTTAAAAGAAGCACAGAAAAAGATACCCAGGGTTTTAGTACTAAAGAGGGAGAGATAAATTTCAAGTGGAGTCGTGACAGGAAGCTTCCTAGAGGAAGTGATGGTCACTGTGGCATATTAGTGGAGTCAGCCAACTGCATTAAATAAGAAGGTGGCAGGGAAGGGCTGTTTATTAGCAGAGGGGAGGCCCAGCCCTGCTCTTATCTCCTTCAAGTTCCTTCAGTGAGGCCATTGGCACACACAGGAGCATGGGCATGCTGCTCCCTGCTTTACTCACTGTCATCTGAATCTGTATGTTTACATGTTAATCTTATTTTATGTAGATGTCTGTGTGTGTGTCTGTGTGTGTTTGTGTGTAGCTCACCACAGTATCTCCAATGCCTACAACAGTTCTTGGCATCAAGTAGGTGCTCAATTAATATTGGAAGAAAGCAAAAGGAGGAAGGACGAGAGGGAAGGATTTCATTTGGATTAGGTCTTAATCTCCAAGTAGGTAGACTGTGGACAAACATCAGTGATGACATTGTATTCCAGATGCAGGACAATTCCAAACATTGTGCAAGTGTACATTGGAACAACTTAAAACACCTTGTTTCATTATTGGTGTTACTGGGCGTTCAATATCCAGTGTTTGAAAAAGTAAGTATAGCCATGAACTCAAGTTATCTTTGAGTTGTTCATTATTAGTAGGATGTGAAAAGAAAAGCACCCTAGGAGTGGAGTAGAGGAAGGTAGCAGGTTAGTGATCTTGAATCAAGTGAATTGGTAAATATGTTTCAGAAAACTTTTTCCATTTTTACCAAATAAAGCAAAATAAACACTTAGAGGGTTCAAAGGAGCCTACAGGAGCCACTGTCACATCATTCTATGTAATCTTTCAGCATTTTGGAAGTGAAGTGTTATATTAATACAAGTTGCTACTTTTTGTTTTTTATTTGCTTTTTTTTTTTTTTTTTTTGCCCACACTTGCCTCCAATTAATACACTGTCACAGTTTACAGAGCTTTATCAGGTTTGTTATATAATGTAGCATTTTCAAACTATTTTGAATAAGCCTTCTTTTACAGTCTTTGTTATCCTCTATATCACAGTTTCTAAAAACAGAAGATACAATTCCCGTTTCCATGAATGAATGTGTTAGTCTTTAATACTAATCAGATATGAGTTAGTTGCCTACAAAACATGAAGACTAATCTTTGTTTTTCCCAAGACTCCAGTCCATCTTCTTTGTTTTTGTTATCAATATATCCAGTTTCATATTTTCTTATAATGTTATCATCCCTGAAATTGCTTTTTGGGAAACACTGAGTGAAAGATGCAGTATACAAACAAATTGGATTAAATATGGAAGACAGATGATATGGGCTCTGTTCTGCGATGTGCCGGGGAGTTAACCAGGCACAGCTCATTAACACTAATGAAAAAATTCATCACTTACCATGTGCATTCCCGGACACTATAGAGGCAATTTCTCCCCCTAATTAGCTATATAATTTGATTAATTCTAAATGTACTAAGAACTGAAAGGAAGCTATTGTATCAATCATGCATCTTAAAGATTACCTTTCATTAATTTAAATTTGAATCCCATTGAGAAATTGAGAAGAGACTTCCTCTCCAAAAGCCAATTTCTTTTTTTATAAATATAACTATGACATCCTAAACACTATATTCTTTAAACTTCCAAATAATGAGTAGTATATACCTGCCATATTTTAAATGTAACTTATACTTTTATTGTATTTTAAGTATTGCTGGAGATTCAGACAAAAATTGGGTATTCTCAATTTCAGGTTCAGAATCTGAATACGGAGCAGAGATTTTAAAATAGGGACATCCTGCGCTTATCCAGAGATTAGTTATTTGCAGATTTGTGTATGTAGAGCAAAGCTGAGACACAGGGAGTAAGCTGGAAGAGGCCTCTGTGCAGCCAGAGAACATGCACAGCATCTTTGTGCCTTCCTTACAGGCTATAGTTGTGATGCACTCAATTTTAATACCTAAAGACATGCTTATCCGCTTTCCCAGTCAGTCAGTGTGACGTGCCAGTGCAGCAAAGGGAGAGATTTCACTGGAAGGTAGACTAACTATGGAGAAAAGATGCGATCCTCGGTTGTCAAAGAATGTAATGTTAGGATCAATTCCTTTTAAAAATAGGTTTAAAAGTCTATAATTTTAGAGACAGAACAGGACTGTCTTGACAGTGACTTGAGGTCATTAGTTCAGTTCACATTGATGTGTGTGCGTGTGTGTGTGCGTTTGCAGTAGTCAGGAAGTTGTTTAGCCTTGTTAAGCAAGTGGGCATCTCTACTAGTTAATTGTTTTCACCTAATAAAATTTATTTAGCAAAGATAAATACTGAATGAGCTCACTTTATGGGATCTAAAAACGCTGAACTCATAGAAGCAGAGGGTAGAAAGGTGATTACCAGGGACTGGGTGGGGTTACGGAGATGTTGGCACAAAATTTCAGTTACAAGAATAAGTCAAGGAGATATATTGCACAACATGTCGACTCTAGTTAATAACAATGTGTTGTATTCTTGAAAATTGCTAAGAGAGTAGATTTTAATTGTTATCACCATAAAAAATAAGTATGAGAGGTAATACATATGTTAATTAGCTAGATTGAATCATTCTCCAATGTATCCATATTTGAAGACATCATACTGTGCACAGTAAATATATATATATGTATATACATCTATATAATTTTGTCAATTATAAATAAATAAAATGTGTTCCAGCACTCAGAAGAGAAGGGCAGATGCTCAGTCGTTCACACGCTGGAGAGACTGAGCAGACACCCTTTGCAGCGGGCTGTTTCTTCTCTTCTGTCTCTCCCTTTCGCATTTTCAGCTTCCTCTTGGATTCTCCATCTCTAGTGACAAGGAAAGGCCATGTGCCATGGAACCTCAATATGCAAGTGATATCATGGGCTGAAGTGGGGCTCTTAGCAGAGCAGCATTGCTCTGCATAAAGTTGGCCCAGGGACTAGTGTGCTTAAAAAATAATAATAATTGTTTTAAAAAATCCTAAGTCACTTTTATTAAAATAACAACTTTATTACATTATAATTCAAATATAATGCAGTTCACTCATTTAAAGTGGTTATTTACACCCATTCAATGGTTTTTAATGAATTCACAGAGTTGTACAACCATCACCACGATTTTAGAACACTCTCATCAGCCCCAAAGAAAACCCTTATCCATTTGCATCTTCCTTTCATTTTCACTCCTTTGCAGCACTATTTATCTCATTTCTCTTTCTCACCTCTCCGGCTCCATCTTATTCTCTTTTTCTGATCCTTCTCTTCCTGCTTGCTTCTCTTCTTAGGTTCTTTCTTTTCCTTGCAAATGGTGAATGCAACTCTTGGTCTAGGCATTGTTCATTGCTAAGGAAGAAAAGGAGGGCAGAGGAGAGATAGGACCTGGGGGGTGGGAGGAAGGGGAACAAAGGGGTATAAGGAGGAAAGGAACCATTTATACACAGGTCTGAGACCAGCTGGAAATGGGCATGAACAAAATTCCACGAACACACAGAAAATTAGAAAATGAGAATGCGTCTATCCAGCACTTTCCTCCTCTCTTACCCTTGTTCTTTTATTACTCTACAAAATAGTAACTGTAGGCAGACAAGTGATGCTCATGTATAGCTGTCATTGACCATGTCCTCTCTGATGCATACAGAAACCACACATACATGTGTACACCCACATGCACACACTCACATCCTGCACAATACACATGTACAACCACCTGCAAACACACCACACACATACACATGTGCACCCACATGTACACACCCACCCCCCCATGCCACACATACAACCCCCCACGTACACATGTACACCCACATACACACACCACACATATACATGTACACCCATGTGCACACAGCCACACACCCCGCACACGTGTACAACCACATGTACACACCCACCCACCCATGCCACACATACAACCCCCCACATACACATGTATACATGTGGATACACACACATATTCACATGCACACACACATGCAGCCCCCACACATACATGTGTCCACTGACATGCACGCACACACGCATACAGACACCACACACGAGAGAGAGAGATACAAAAGCAGACCAGGTATGTGTATGTGTGTGTAAAAACTGACTCTCATAAATGTACAGATGACATTTCCAAAATAATGGTAAGTGCAACATATTTTCACTCTACTACCAGTGGATTAAATTTTGAAACTCAATAGGGGTCTGAGATGTAAATGGCATTAGAGTTTCCCGTTAGAAGCAGAGACACTCCCAGCCTGGGAGGGAGTATGTAGACTGAGTTATTATACTTCACCACAAAGTTGTTTTAAATCATATCTGTGGGCCATTAGTAAATAACTGTGTTAAGGCACGTCCTTGGCTCTACAGACTGATGCCATCCACTCCTCCTTCACCCCGTGTGCGAGTCCACCTCGGCCTGCCCTGGTCCAGATCCAGAGTCTATCAGCCCCAGTGCACGTGGGCTGACAGATGACTCAGTGCCTGGAGGGTGCACTGACCTTCCACTTCTCTTTTATTTAAGGGAAAAAGGAAATATTAGAAAAAGACCAAATGAAAGTTTGAAGAAGTAATGAAAATCTCTCTCATTTTTAAATAAAGAGAGGATCGGGGACCCATAGTTGTTAGGGATCCTCTGCATGTTGAGACTCTCCCTGGCCTCCTGGCATCTTCTGGGGTGCACGGGCAGCTTCCAAGGGGGCTGTGAGCTCACTGACAGATCTGCTGGTTTTGTGTAGGTTTGCACGTGGGCATTTGTTTAGCCAGGGGCTCCACAATGTTCAGCAGATTCTCACAAGGATTTTGACCCCAAACAGGCTCTGGAATGGTATTAATGAATCATTCAGAAAGGGCCTCCAAGAAGAGCATGTAGCCTATTAGAGGGGTGCTCAGGCCAGCAAAGGGGCAGGGACGTCCTGGACAGCTACTGTGTCACCCACAGGGCTGTCACTGGTGCCCAGGAACTTGGAGTTGATTATCCTAGAAACGAGAAATGCAAGCCTCATAACAATGGTTATGACAATGACTAAATCTGTCTACATACATGCACACACATAATGCCTGCGCACATGGTATAAAAAAATAAAATCAGAAGGAAACAGAAAAACGTTTCTTAAAAAGTGGTCCAGTCTTGATCTAAATTCATGGTTAAAAATTGGTCCACTATTGATCTAAAAGATATTGGCCATTTTTCAGAGAAAAGATCATGTGATCTATTGAGAAAGAGACTGCATGTTATAAAACCAAAAAGAAATCCTGATGTACCTTCACTAGTTTTCTTCCTCCAGACCATCCCTACCTTAAACTCCCTCTAAAAGTACACATCTGCATAGACTCATAGTCCCTTGAAAGTCTCAATTCAGCCATTCCTTGGTACCCATAGGACATTGGTTCCAGGACCCTGGAGAATACCAATATTTGAAGATGCTCAGTCCCTTATATAAAGTGGTGTAGTATTTGCCTATAACATATACATATTCTTCTGTACACTTTAAATCATCTCTAGATTCCTTGTAATACCTACTATAAAGTAAATGCTAAGTAAATAGTTGTTATACTATATTTGTTTTTTTGTGTTATTTTTAATTGTTTGAGTTTCTTTTTCAAAGATTTTTTATCTGTGGTTGGTTGAATCTGAGGATGTGGAGAGCCACATGTACCCCAAAAAGCAAAAGAGGGGGCCCTCAGAAGGCCCAGAGGAGGAGAAATGGGACAGGCATTGAGCTAGTGCTTCTGAGCTCTAGAAATGCCCTGAGATTGACTGTTTCAATTAATTTTTTTTTAATGGATGGACTCCTAGTCAGTGACTCTAGCTGTGAAATCCCATTCTATAAAATCATGATGAGAGCAGTTCATGGTCCTGAATAATATATATTATTGCAAATTGGACCTAGTTCCAGTCTTCATAGATTGTATAACTAACACATCTAGAGAGCTTAATATACCAGCTTATCCACACAGATTTGCCAACAACACATGCAACTGGAAAATTTCTATTGTAACTGTTTTTTTATAGACAGTTTTTTAAATTGACGAATTTAAAGACAAAAGAAAACTTTTTCTGCTGTTTTGAATATTATTTCCCCTCAGTGCCAGGCACAAGTCCCACATCCTCCTGGAGTCTTCCCCTGGCTGCAGTGATGTTGTTCATGTCTGAAAGTATCTTTAGACTAAGGCATATGTGCTCGACCATTTATGGCTGTCATTAACTATCCACAACCTGGACTGCAGTTGGAGACCAGGGACCATGCGTGACACTCCTGTTTTAGTTAGTGTAGCAAGGGCTGAGAGTCTCCTTGCTCAAATTAGATGAGAACCCCACTCCAGGAGTGTGTTGCAAGTGACGTAGATGGGGGAGGAAGCCTCTTCAGACCAGCTCCTTCCTGTTGGCATGGCACGCGATTTTTGGGGGAGCTCAAGTGGTTAATCCTGTTTCTCACTTGTCACTTGGGCAAAGTAAACAAGGTACAAAGTAAACAAGTGGTGTTCGGTAAAACCTTTGGAGATTTCCAGGCAATATTAAATAGATACACGAAATGTGCAGTGGCCAATCTGTGAGCAGGCTGAAACTTTGAGAATGCATCTATCTTCTGCTTCAGCCACAGGCATCTGCTGGTGGTGCCCCAAAAGTCATCTTCATGTCCGAGTTTTCTACCTCTGCTCACCTGCAGAATGAATCCAGAATTATATGGCAGTCCTGTCACTTAAAATGTTAGTAACAACGTTTATTATCTTAGCTCCACATCAGCATCTCTGCCCTCCCATCTTTATCATCACACTCATGAGTTTCCATTCCATTGTTTTCTTTAACAACTCCCAAATTTATTAAGCTTCCAAGTACCACTATTTTTGTAGAGTGTGTTCAGATCCAACAACTCCTTCTGTTGCAGCCACTTACCCAGACCGCCTGCATGCTGTCCAGGTCCTGTCCCCATCCCTCAGGCTGCTCCTCACAGCCCGCGCAGTGAGGATGATCTTCCAGACCGTTGTCTAGACACTTTCCCAATTCGAGAGCCAACTGAATCTGTGATCAGTTGAGCTCCTAGCCAGACATTGTCCTCTGGTCCCCATCACAAGGAAGGGTCCTTCCCAGGCCCACCCCTCAGCCCATTGGCTCTGTCTCCTCTCTTGAACTGATTGAGGCTAGTCCTATTTCAAGAACCTGCCTCTGCCTCCTCTGCAGCAAACTAGGAAACAACAAGGGCGGCAACAGGAGCAATTTTATGAAAACTTAACTTCTTTATATTATATTTATTTAATGAAATAATGTGCACTATTAATGAAATCATAAGCACTATTCTAATGCCTGGTTTTATATTAAATGCTTAATAAGTATATATGCCTATTGTTATGATATATCATTTTTAAACATATACATAATTATAATAAACAGCAATATTTGCCTACATTTGCCTTTCAGGTTTGTAATTCACATTTTTTGTAGTCCCCAGGTCAAAGCCCCTTGAGGTGGGACCCTTGCCATATTTGGGGCACCACATCCCTAGTCCAGGGCTGTGCATACAGGGACATTCTACAGAGATTTGTGGATGGATTTAAATGGCAGAGGCTTTTGCTTCCTAATCCTGACTTTAACCAAAATAGGATACTATTTGGATGCTTGTAAAGCTGTGTAAGGTAAAATGTTGTATTTGACTGGGTAGGTGCAGCTTTAGTATGTGTATATGTGGGTATGAAATATTTAAATTTCCATTTAAAACTTGCTAGGATAGAGCTTTAAAGCCTTTTTCTGGCAGAAAGTCAAGGCTCTCTCTTCTCTATTTTCTTCTCTTTTCTCAGGGTTTTATAAATTACAGCTTGTCCCCATAAGAAATTATCCAGATGGCCAGTTCTCCACATTACAGTTCATCCCATGCAGAGAATGTGCCTTTGTTCTAAAGAATTCCTTTTTCACCATGTTTTATTCTTGCAGCAACTCAGTACATTCGGGAATGAAATTTTAAAAACACTAAACAGCTCAAATTCCCTCAAAGTATTCTATGTTCCCTACTCATTCTTCTCCATATACAACCACCAATACCAAGGGTGTTATATAAATATGTTAATATCATCAGTATCCATTTGGCAAAGTACCTAGTATGTACAAGGCATTGTGCCAGGTGTTTCATAATTTTTATTTTCTGTAATGTCTTCAGAGAAAAATCTAGCCCCAGAAGCAGTTTGGCAGAGTAGTTAAAAGACTAGACCCTGGCATCAAGCTGCCTGGGGATTCAGTCCTATCTGTATAACTTCTTAGCTGTTTGGCCTACAATGACTTCTTTAACCTCTGTACCCCAGTTCCTTCATCCATAAAATGCAGATAATAACAGTCCCTACTTCACAGGGGTATTTTGAGAATTGCATGAGCTAATATATAAAGGAAACTTAATTCAGGGTATCATGTATAGTAAAAACTATGGCACTATGACCTGTTGTTGCTCTTAATATTAGACTAATCAAGTTGTGTTTTGATGGTATCTTTCTTTGATTTTTCTATAATTTTACTACCTAAATTTAATAGAAATGAAAATATCTATTCATATATTTTAGGTTAGACTGAGAGTCTTTTTTCATTTTTTTTTTTTTTTTTGAGACAGAGTTTCACTCTTGTTGCCCATGCTGGAGTGCAATGGCACTATATTAGCTCACTGCAACTTCCACCTCCCAGGTTCAAGTGATTCTCCAGGCTTAGCCTCCAGAGTAGCTGGGATTACAGGCACCCGCCATCACTCCTGGCTAATTTTTTGTATTTTTAGTAGAGACGGGGTTTCATCATGTTGGCCAGGCTGTTCTCAAACTCCTGACCTCAGGAGATCTGCCTGCCTTGGCCTCCCAAAGTGCTGAGATTACAGGCGTGAGCCACTGCGCCCTGCCTAGACTGATAGTCTTTTATAAAATATTGGCTGGGTGCAGTGGCTCAAGCCTGTAATCCCAGCACTTCGGGAGATCGAGGCAGGAGAATCACCTGAGATCAGGAGTTCGAGACCAGCCTGGCCAACATGGTGAAACCCCATCTCTACTAAAAATTCAAAAATTAGCCAGGCATGGTGGCATGTGCCTGTAATCCTGCTACTTGGGAGGCTGAGGCAGAAGAATCGCTTGAACCCTGGAGGCGGAGGTTGCCGTGAGCTGAGATCATGCCACTGCACTCTAGCCTGGGAGACAGAGCGAGATTCTGTCTCAAAAAAAAAAAAAAAAAAAAAAAAATTGGTGGTGTTCTCAACAACATATACTTGAAAAACCAATTATTTGAATAATAATTTAGAATAGTGTATGGCAGAAAAAGTAATATTGATCATATTCTCTTGAAAGAAATAGACGTTCATCCTTATCACCAATTATATTAATGCCCCCAATCTTTTAATATCTCAGGGTCGTTTTGTCTTTTTAAAACAGCTGTTTTTAAAGAGCTCCCTTTAAGATTTCATGAAGATTTCTAATTTGGGTTCTTATTTCTATCAAGGACAATATTGCTTTACAAACTCTAAATTACAAAATACATTTGCCTTCGATGTGTTAATTAATTTGGAAAGAATATAATTGGCAACCAACTTCTTTAATATGGAATATATCTATACATATATGAATCTACAAATCAGTGTTTATCTGAAGACTATGGAATGATAAAAGGTCAACTTTTTCTTTTTCTCAATTGTGGTAAAAACAATATGAGATCTATCTTCGTAACAATATTTTAATGTACAAATACAGTATTGCTTACTATAGGCACAATGTTATACAGCAGATCTCTAGAACTTAATCATCTGGGTAACTAAAACTTTATACCTGTTGAACAGCAACTCCCCATTTTCCCTCCCTGCAGCCTCTGGCAACCACCATTCTACTTTCTGCTTCTTAAGTCTTTATCTACATAAGATACCTCATATATGTGGAACCATGCAGTATTTGTTCTTCAGTGACTGGCTTATTTTATTTAGCATAAAGTCCTCATGGTTCAACTATGTTGTCACATGTGGCAGGATTCCCTTTTTATTAAGGCTTAATAATATACCATTGTATGTATATACCATATCTTCTTTATCCTTTTGTGCATCAATGGCCATTTAGATTCTTTCCACCTCTTGTCTATTATGAATAATTCTGCAATGAATGCAGGTGTACAAATATCTCTTTGACGTGCTCATTTCAGTTCTTTTGGATAAATATCCAGAAGTGGGATTGCTGGATCATATGTAATTTTTAATTTTTTTAGGAACCTCTATACTGTTTTCTAAAGAGGCTGAATTATTTTACATCCTCACCAGAAGGGTTCCAGTTTTTTCACATCCTCACCAATACTTGTTATCTCTTGTTTTAACTCTGACCCAAGGAGGAGCTGGGCCACCTTTTGAATTGAGATCCGAAATGCATGCTTTTGCAGTGCCCCACAGGACTCCGCAGAGCATGGCTTGTTGTGGGGAGGGCAGCAGGACCTCTGCAAATCTTCTTGTAGCTGTTAGTGTTTGGGAACACTCGGCCCAGGCAGTTGAAAGATGGGCTAGTCTGGCTTTTCTTTTTCTGCCACACAGACTGCACTTCTAATCTCAGTGCATAGGTTTGTCAAGATAACTGTGAATTTATCACTTTGAGAAAGAACTTTCAAAACATTTCAGGGTGCTGTTGGCATTGGTTCAATATTAATGTTTAACACACAGGTTAGATGCTTGCGGGTATACATAAATATATACCTATGTAAACATATTCTCATGCATATTCAGGAAACTGTTAACAATTTCATTTAAATTCAGTATATTGAACTTAGGGCCTTCCAAAAGATGGAATTATGATTCATTGCCAAAATGCATACTTTTAATTCATGAATAATTTTTGAAATTGTGCTTGAAGGCATTTTGAGTTATTTTCCAGGTGTCCTTTGAACAACTTCCAAGATAAATGCTTTCACTCCTGTGACATTTTGTTTAAAAACAATGCATTTTTTTAAAAAAGAGGAAAAACATACTGTAAAGGTTTTTGCAGAAAATATTTTTAAAACTAGAATATTTCAATTAAAACTAATCTTGACATGTTCATACCACTTAACCAAAATGTTACAATTAAAAAGGTGAAAACAATTTGTATATACTAAGAAAAAAGTTCATTTTAATAACAGACACAAACTTATCACTATAATTGTTTCAATTGAGTTAGTAATGTAGCATTTTAATAACTTCATTTGTTTAATTTAGTGCTTAATGTTAACTGTGTAGTTAGAGTTTTGGTAAAAAATTTTAAACTGCAGATTCTATTCATCAGATCTTCTCCATGCATAAATTAGACAAATTACTTACAGTACATTAAACTGGTTTCAGCATAAATTTTGTAAAGGCCATTAGTGTTGCTACATAGCACGCTATTACATTCCTTGAGTGTACTTTATACCTTGGAAGTTTCTAGTAATCATACACTAAGATATTCTAGAGGAAGGGTAGTATACACACACACACTCTCGCTCTCTCTTTCACCTTCACTCTTAATGCATTTTTTCCTTCCTGTCTAGTTTGCTGAAACTATTACCTATAACAAACAGCATAGATAATGTGCCAGCCCAATTAAAGGGTATCTCTTAATGCATACCAATTAAATATCACATCTTGGGTTTGACTTTTTGGTACTTGAGCAGACATTAATGAAATGATTAAGCTCATAGCTCCAGTGGAGGTTGCCCTTCATGTTCATCTATTTCTGTGTGCACCAGCTGCAGAGTTCATCTTCTTGCCATGTGCTCTAGTCTTTACACTTTCAAATTTGTGAATATTTTCACAACCATACCAGGAGCCCAGTGGGCTAAATTGTGATAGAAGATAAATGTGCTCCAGGATGGGGATAGTTCTCCAGTTTTGCAGTTGGGCTTTTGTTGTTTCTTCTAGAAAATGGATACAGGAGTCAGAATGTGAGAAAGGCTTGATTAATCTTTCTAGAAGGACAAAGGTAGCTCCTCAGAGGAAGAAGTTGACCTGGGATGGCTAAATAGGGGGACTGGAAAGAGAGGAACAAACATGGCCTGAGTTTGGAGACACTGATTAAGGGAGTGAGATGAGAGACTGAGAACAAGTTCTGCACTGATTGAGATATGGGAAAGCTTTTCGCTAGATGTCTAAGCTTAAAATCTTGCTTGGCATCAATTTGAGTGACATCAATAAATAGATAACTTGCCATATACCAGATACATGACTGGTATTTCTTTAGACACTGATGTGCTGCTGAGCTGCTGAAGCATGAAATAGCCCAATTTTACTCAGTTCAAGCTGATAAACAATTACAGCCTCTGATTTTAAGAAATTTAGTTATAGTAGAGAAGATGGATATATACAAACAATACTATAATGAGGAAACTATAATAAAAGTTGGGAGGTGTGCGTTAAAACTGGAGGGCAGTGATTATTTTGATGTGACCAGAGCTTAGGTTTTATAGGGAGTGAAGATGGGAATGTCTTGAAAAGGTGGCCTGGGGTCAGATGGAAGGGGTCTTTCAATGCCATGCAAAAGAATTTCGACTTCGGTCTAAGGGCACATATTTATAACAAGTGGAAGGAAAGGAAGAAAGAAATAATGGCTCCTTCTTCTGGAATGCTTCTGCAATGTGAAAATTGAATACCTGTAATCAACAGGAACATGAATTATAGAAAGATAAATTAGAGTTGGAGAGAAATCGCATTTATTGAATGCACATATGCCATGAAATGTACTTAGTCCTCTCCATTCAGAGCACCTCTTAGACTGACACATGAGTGGATTCGAGTCTGCAGGTTGCAGCAGAGGAAACTGTGAGCTGGAGAGGGTAAGGATTGGGCTTAGAAGCAGGATTGAAACTCAGTCTGGCCTGTACTGAAAGCCTCTTTTGTTACCACAGTCCTTCGTGGGTGCTTTAGTTAAGTAGAACAAGTTCTTCATTTAGAAAGAGAAGTAGGGAGAGGGTGCTTGTTTAGGAGGAGTCTCCAATAAAATCCTTAACATTAAAAGGATCATTAGGGGACCTCTGCTTCCAGAAAAGGGGAATAGACATATTTTTCTCTATTCCTCCCACGCAAACCTGGACATTATACATCAAGCAAACAGAGGAAGACTTTGAAAGGTGGAGAGAAGGACGCAGACCAGCTGGGGACCTGGAGACCCAGGGAACAGCACAGTAGTGAGATCCCTGTGTTTTCTTTCTCCTCATATATCCTGGACTGGTTGTTGGAGAAGCGGAAAACCTGGAAAAGCCAATGGAACAGGCAAAAATAGCCCCGAGAAGAGGCTTATCTCTCTAGTTAAAGGACCAGCAAAGGGGCAGTGTAGCAAGATGGAAACTTTAGACAATAACCACCTTTCTCTGACCAAACACCCCAGGAAACACCTTCATCCCCACAGAAGACTGAGTGTGGATCCGGAACAAGGGGCCCCAACTCATCTCCCCCAATGAAAGGCAAAGGCTGAGTGGGAAATGGGGCTTTCATCCATGCTGGGTGGTTACAGCCTGCCCCCAGCATCAGTGGAGATCACATGGGGAGCCTGGGCCTACGCCCTCATCCAGTGGTAGTGCAGTGTCCCCTCCCAGCTCTGCTAGGGTGGTGTCGCAGGAGGCCAGTGGAGTCAGGACTTTCCCTGCAGCCCAACATTAACAGGGCCACTGCTCCCCCACTCCCCACCTGGTGCCAATGGAAGCCACATGGATCTGTGTCCTCTCAGCCAGGGTGGCATCCAGGGGTGCCTAGGGAGGATGTTTACCTCCACATGGCAACTACGAGGAAGTGCCCCCCTTCCCCTACTGAAGCAGTGTGAAAGGAGGCCTGCCAATCAGAAAGTTGAATAGGAGCTAGAGTCCCACAATATAATCCCCAAAATGTCCAGGTGTCAACCCCAAATCACTCATTATACCAAGAACCAGGAAAATTTCAACTTGAGTGAGAAAAGGCCATGAACAGATGACACAGATGTGAGAATCATCTCACAAGAATTAAAGCAGCTCTTATAAAGATGATTCAACAAGCAATTTTAATAAATATGAAACAAATGACAGAATAGAAAGTCTTACCAAAGAAATGGAAAATAAAAGAAGAACCAAATGGAAATTTTAGAATTGAAAAATACAATAACCACAATAAATGGGATAATTAGTATTTTGTATCAGAATAGGCCTTTTTAAAATTAAAAACTTATGAGCATTTAATTTGTGCTGGTCACTATGTGAGGCCTTGCATGGATTATCTCATTTAGTTTTCACAAAAAAACCCTGTAAGATATTATTATCACCATGTTATAGATGAGGAAATGAAAAACAGAGGAGTTGAATGACTTGCCCAAGGTTATAGAGCGAGTAGCTTTCTTCCAATTTTCTCTAATTCTCAACTCCACACTTTTCACCACTATACTAAACGGATTACAATGCTTAATTTAGGTAGTAATTATCTTCCAGCTTCCTAAGTGGCCACATACAGAAGATTATAATATCCAGGATTTCACAAGCTGTGTTAACCCAGGGAAATGTATTTTTAGAATCAAATGCATTTCATCCAACTCTTTGAACTCATTGAGTCATAGATAGATAGTTAGGTAGATAGATATAGATATATAGATTTATTTTGACTCTTATGAAACTTTAAAAAGCATTTATACTTTTTTCTTACTCTGTGTGTACTAAATTTTTGAGTACATAAAGTGACAATTAAGTGACAGTGTCAGCTATTTTATGGACAAAAGTTAGTTGCAATAAGAGAAAAATATCTTAGGTGAACTGATTTTACAGCCACAGGAATTTGAAGAAAATTGACCTTGAGACCTGAAAATCTCCTCTCTCTCTCTCCATATATATATATATATATATATTTACATTATCTATCTATCTATAGATATATAAAAATTTAGGTTTTGCCTATGTCTGTGTTTGAGGACAATGTAATAAAAATCATGTCACATCCTCAGCAGATGTTAAAAACTCATGATGGCTCTTACTTCCCAGTCCATATCCCAACATGTATTATCTGTACTTGCTGTTACTCTTCATAGAGGTAAAATTAGCAACAATTTCAGTCAGATGAAAAGTACTATCACTGTTCAATAACTTCAATAATCTGCATTTTGGTATTTATTATGTCTTTTGGTGCCATTTGGCCAATCAGTATTTTCTAAGAATAAAAGATATTCACTTAACATCCTTATACTGTGTGAGAGTAGACTACTGCATACTAAAGACAATACAGTTCTGAAATGGGGCGGGTTATTTTTATGAAGTGAAAGGGCAGGGAGGGAAACAGCGTGTGGGGAAGGCATTGCTTTCCCGGGGCGGGAGGTGGTCATGCTGCGTGCAGCTTCCCAGAATCCTCCGAAAGAGCTGCCTGCTGCTGCCATCAGGACCTGAGGCCACATGGTGAGGCAGGCAGCATATACCTCTTCCTTCTCATTTCCATCGCTGAGCCCCTTTCTCTGCCAAGTCTCAGTGCCCTCTCTCCTTATCTGATAGGTATGACTATTCATGCTTCCTCCTGTCCTTTGGTTCTGGGAGGCCTCCTACCTACTCCTTCATAAAGGCTTCCACATGGAGATGCCCCCGGCCCACCCAGACACAGTACCTGTTAGAATCTGACCTCTCAGTTAAGAGAGGACTCTTCAGTCTTGTCTTATCTGCCTCTTGAAGGAAAATAATATAATTGGTTAGCAAAATAATTGAGACTAAACTATAAAATACTCTAGGCTTCATGAGGGGTGAGTTAGTTGCATTTAGAGAACCCTTTACAGTCTGTGTGTCTAATTCCTGGGCTATAGGAAGCCACGTTTCCACATCTGAGCCCCTCTTGGGAGATACTTGCCTATTTTGGGCGACTTTACTTTTCAGGATCACAAGAAAGGTTGTCAACAACTTGACACTCTTCCCGAAATACTGCTGACTTCTGGGTTATTTATTTATGTTTTGAACTGCAGCACTCAAGAGGCTATTACATCTTTGCCATTTTGCTTAAATTTGTCATGCTTCCCAACTTTTTAAATGTCACGTCACAGAGAAAAAATGACCATTGGCGTTTGGGAACAAGAGGGGGCTTAGAGCCTAGAGGTTGCTGGAGGCTGGAAGGACTGGTCTGGGACTCTGGTGCCCCAGGGCCCCCTGGTCACCTGAGGGTGTAGCCGCACACAGGCTGGGAAGCTACCCTTAGGTAAGTCGTGACAACTTGGTTATAACCTCCTGCTGTGAACTGTCCACCTCCAGGATGTCACAGAGCACCACCCACCCTTTTAGCAGAACAGGGCTCTCAGAGAGAAGTGGGAATCAAGTCTCCTGCCTGGGTAGGAGAAAATGAAACATTGTTGATGCAAGAGGAGAGTATAGCTGAGGAGCAGAATCTGGTATCCAAGGGGTTTGGCAACAGTAATCACCATCTAGACTCTTGGAATCAGAGCCACATAGGAAGAGTTCAAGAGGAAGGGAGGGATCCCAATTGGCGGGCACAGCACCTGGCAGGGAATAATTCGGGGTGAGAAGCACATAGAAGACTGGCCAGGTGGCATCTGGGAAGTGGAGCCTCACATCCTAGGTTTAAGAGTAAGAGGCAGAAGTCGTGTCATGGGAAGGGGATGGCAAAAACAAAGTAGGAACTTAGGGTGTCCATACCAGGAAGGCACCTGAGTCTAGTCAAAGCAGAGGGCAAGACATTTAGAAACAGGGATCAAAGTGGATGCTGAGTTAGAGGAACCGGAGCCCACAAGGCTGACTAGGGCTTCTGAGCATGGCATTTGCACAGACATCAGACCGGGGCACTGCTTCAGCTGGAACTGCTGGACTTTAAGATGGAGGACTGAGCTTAATGGATTACCTGTGACCTCACATCAGGATAAGTCCTGGGAATACAGGGAAACTGTCCCAACTGGTGGAATCAGGTACCCCTGCCGTGGAAAGAAGGAGAGAAGATTCAGTCTGAGGAGCCTCCTGGACCACACCCAAAATGCAGGGGTCCAGCCTCAGGGGCTCAGTGTTGCTGCTTTGCAAACCCTAACGTCATTAAAACTCAGAGACAGAAACATGTTCAGGAATGCTGCTCTTAGAATGAATAAAATTTACTTTTTCATTTGTCATCAGATATTAAAAATTATGCTTCCATATTCTTTTAAATTGTAATCACTCTGTTTCCTTCCATTATAAAGAAAGAGGACTACTTGTATCTGTCAAAACATTTTTCTTTTAAAACTTTGTCTGCAATGGTCTGGCAACTTTTTGTTTATTTAGCGTATATCCTCTCTTCAACTGCTTCACTGTTGATGAGGTTGGGGCTGACATTTTTGGTAAATTATTTGGTAGAACCATGCAAAATTTCTGATACTCAACTGTCTTTGACATTTAAAAACTGCAATTTTGTGTGGGTCAAGCTAATAGCTGCTGCTGTCTCTTCCTTTCCTGCAAATGACAGATTCTTCTGTGAATTAAGGAGGAATGGAGAAATGCTCTTCTGAATCAAAAGAGCCAGGACTCCAGCAGAGACACTGTGGCTCAGCACTCCCCTCTCAGCCTGCAGTTTCTAAGCTTGCTTGTCTCCATGCATAATCAACCAACTGGAATTTGAATATATTACTCCCTACCAATCAGACACTGACAGTTTACTTTGACCAACAGAACTTTAAGTCATAGAAACTTCAGCTTAGCTCAAATACTTTCTGAAGAGACTATGTCAGAACAGTACTTCCCCAATATTTGGCTAAATCCAAAGCTTTCAAAAGTGGTTTTATCATACCTAGCCTGTCCACTTCAGTCTTCTTTTTTTCAATGTGAATAGATTTATACAGAATCATGCATCTCTTAAACACACACACACATGCATGCGTACGTGCATGCACATAAGCACCAGTAAGAGTCTGAGTGTGCAAGAAGGCAGGCAAAAGTTGGGGATGCCATCTCCTTAATGTAGCTATTTCTCTGCAAAGAACCAAGTGAGCACAGTGTTGCAACTTGGTCACAGTAGATTCTCAGAACCCAGATTCTAAGGTTCAAAATGGTGCAGATAAGTCACATGATTTGCCTCATAGAATCAGGAATTGTTCCATTCTAGCAATGCTCTGGGGTTCCATTTGATTTTGCCTTCCTTACTACCAGAGAGACAAAAAAGGAACTAGGAGGAAATTAGAAATAGGTGAATGATTGAATGACCAGAGAGACTGATTCATGAATGAAGACTGAGGGAAACAGAACATCTCTCGACATCAGCAAATACTGATGACTATAACAGCTCACTGTGGAGGGGTCTGTGGTAGCTGTCTACAGATGCTGGACAGATAAGTAAGCCTTAGGAAGAGGCAGCATTAGTGCCATGTAGCATGAACCACATAGGGGTAGTGACACGAAATTACAAAAAAAAAAATTCATGGTTATAATGATCATTTAAAAAACTCAAATTGGGAGTGTGTGCTAGATGGATAGCAAAACTTCTGAGTCATAGTATCTTAATGAAAACTCGGCTGTCTTTGAAAAAGATATTTCTCAGTCTCTCTTAAGTTAGCCTAATGCCTTCCAACTTTTGCCTACAGAAAGTTCTTTCTGAAATTTTCCTTAAATCCCATACGGTGCAGCTTAACCAGATCGCTCTTGCTCTGCTGCTGTTGGGAATAGTGCTTCATCCCAGGACTCAAGCGTATGCTGGCCTGCTCTTCCCCACCAGCAACCAGGACAAACCAAGCCTGCATTAGCCTGTAAATACTTGCCTCTGGGTCTCTCTGCACAAGGACTGTGCTATGGTTTCCTTCATATTTTCTTTTTTTGATGGTGTTAAAAACCATGTCCCCGGCCGGGTGCGGTGGCTCACGCTTGTAATCCCAGCACTTCGGGAGGCCGAGGTGGGCGGATCATGAGGTCAGGAGATCGAGACCGTCCTGGCTAACACGTTGAAACCCCGTCTCTACTAAAAATACAAAAAATTAGCCGGGTGTGGTTGTGGGCACCTGTAGTCCCAGCTACTTGGGAGGCTGAGGCAGGAGAATGGCGTGAACCCGGGAGGCGGAGCTTGCAGTGAGCCGAGATCATCGCACCACTGCACTCCAGCCTGGGCGACGGAGCGAGACTCCATCTCAAAAAAAAAAAAAAAAAAACCATGTTCCCCTTCTTCAGCCTGATTAGTGCCAATAGTTAAGTGATTTGTTTTGGGACTTCCCAAGAAAGTGCCACAAGGCCTTGGTAAAGTTGCTTACACTGTGTGAGCCTGTTGTCTTACCAGTAAAATAAATACGCTAATACCTTTGGGTATTCAGTCAAAAATATATATTCATTAGAAATAATACATGTAAAACACCCTGTATAATAGTGGGCCTATAGCATACATTCAATAGGGGTAGCTTTTTAATTCTTATTATAAATTGTACTTTTTGGTACGTATGTCTTAACGTCTTCACTGAATTTATATTCTCTATAGTACCTAGCATGTAGCAGATGCTTATGGATTGTTGAATCAATACCTGAATAGATTAATAAACCAATAGATCAATACTGATTATTACAAATTACAGAACATGCATGTAAAGGCGCCCTTCTCTCTGTAGCAAAGGTTGCTGATACAGGTATAGATCATGCTGGGCCAGGCTGATATCATCTTAGCCATCCTGTCCCCAGTTCCAGAGTCCATTCTAGATATTGGTACTAAAGTCCTTTTGGGGTTAGAATGCATATGGCCTTCTCCAGAAGATCCAGTTTATTTTTATTATGTTCGCTGGACTCATGATAAAATTGTGGACCAGAAATCTGTTCTAGTCCACAATTTTATCATGACCTTAAAATAAAAGAAAGCTTTCATGTATTCAGAATGGATTTACTTTGTACTATGTATCAGCAAATTCATAGTGAGTAGGAAGTGAATGCTCAGAAAAGAATCAACTGCCTCGATATTGATGTATTTGGCCACGTGCTCCTCTAGGTGTAGCCGGTGATAACACTATGATGGCAATAACAGCTACCATTTCATGATGTGTGTGTGTTTGTGTGTGGCATGTGTTTGTGAATTCTTAGGGTCACACTAACCCTTATGAGTTGGATCTCCTTTGCTCATTTCACTGGGGAGAATCTCTGAAGCTCTGGCAGGAAGTACCTTCCCCAGGGTAATGTACAAGTGACCTGTCTTGGGTGTGTCTTCCCTGGTATAGCAACCTCATTTCTAGCAGCGGCAGAGTTTTGGGGCCTCTTTGGAGACAGGGACGTGGGCACAGGGATCTAATGGAGACAGCCCATCAGCCTGCAGAAGGAACCAGGTCATTGGCCCTGGCAGATCCTTCTGCCCATAGCCTGCTATTGGGTTCTGATAACATCCAGGACTCAGGACTCAGCTTTGACTTGTGAGGGGAGATAATAGACTCAGCAGACCTGGGCTTGGGCCTCTCCTCTCTCACCTACAATGTATCCTTTCACACCCCAGCCCAAAACTTCCCAGCAAAGCTCTGGAGGATTAAGCAGATCTGCAGATAGAGTGTTTCTGCATACATGAATATTAAGAAATGAAAACGCAATATTCTCTGATACCAGTAAATATGCTTAGTTACCCATAGTCTTTTCTGATACAGTCAAACCAGGGAATGCATATTGAGGATACAAACTGAGTTAAGTGTTATGTGACATTTGCATTGTTCCATTGGAAGTACATCTGTATGCTATTCTTAGATTTTTAAGTTTCTAAAATTATAAATGCCGTATGTGTTGATGAATCTATCTATAATTCTTTGTTGACCAGTGTCTGTGGTTCTAGAACCTGAGATTTTCTCAAAAGGCAATATGAAAAGAAACTATTATTTGAGTGTGCTCAGGGAAAGAAGAATGTTTCTATGCAATTTTTAAATATTAGGTGTAAGTCTGCTCTAATGACAATGGATCCCTGATTTATCACTGTATACTGATGACTGTGCTCTCATTTTTATACAAACCAGTGCTTTTGGCTGCCCGTATTCAGACATGAACTTGAAAAAGGAGGCAACACTTCACGATCGTTTGAGAGAACAAACACAGGCAAATTTGGAATCAGACTCTTCACATTCAAAATCAAAAAGCCTCTGTAGTTTGAACTTCAATGGAAAACATGAAAAGGTGAACAGTCAGCCCAGGTAAGAAACTTCTTAAAAATGTGAGCCAGAAAGTAAACCATGTAGAATAGTAAAAGAACAATTTTGTTAATAGTAATAGTTTCTATTTCTTTCTTCAAAAGAATTATTTTTATTTCTGGATATTATTAGGTTCGCTGGGCTGATAAAATTCATCTAAGCCTTGATCTTCATTTAAAAAATATTTTATTTTGCTTCATCCTTAAATATTTGAATTTACCTTTTTCTAAATGTACATATTGTATGTAAGCAGTAGAAAGTATATCTCATTTGTACCATTCCAAAAGATTCCCTTTTATCTTAAAAAGTCTTTATTCTTTTGAATCGTTTCATAGATATTACCTCTTTTGGCACATGGACAAGTATCTGTATCTTCTTAGTCATATCAAGATTTCGTCTCTTATCTCTTACTTGTCTTTGTCATCTTTAATACAAATGTACCTCAGATATAATTTCTTCTTACACAGAATAGTTTCCATTTTAATTTATTGACAACACATCTTCCCTCTGTTCCTAAATGTAAACTCGTGATTCTAAATACCAGTTCTCATTTTTGTTTATATATAACTATATTCTAAGGAGCTGCAAGTACAGCCTTGTGTGATATTTTTTAACCTAAATGAGTAAAATAATTTAAATAACATCTTTTCTCCAAAAAGCTCTATTCTCCATGCTGGGAATTATAAATACAGAAAAGTCTAACACTAAGTAAATAACTGGAGACCAGACAGAGACTGAGCCAAGAAAGGCTAGACAGAGAGATGAGAAATGGGTGTTTTCCTGACCCTGCCACAGGCAAAAGGCAATCATGTTCAAGACCTTGAGCACCCTAGACCCTGACTGTGCAAGATTTGAAGGGACGACTGCTTCTCCTAAGCCTCAGAGCCTTGCTCTTTGCATTCAGCAGGTGTAAAATAAAGACACATAGGCCTCTCTGTGTGTGCAGAGTTTCCACTGAAATCACTGCCAGCATTTGCACCTCCATCCCAGGTGGGGAGGTGCTCCTTCTCTTCAAGGGGGCGCCAGTTTATTCGGAGAATTTGGCTCATAGGATACACTTTTCACATGGGTTTTACATCCTGGACTGTGGATTTTTATTTTTATTCATGCACATGTTATTTTAGAGCATTTGGGTGACATTTCATTTTTTGTTAAATTTTGAATATTTTGACTTGATCTCTGTGCACATGACTGTAGATTAGTGCTTCTCTCTATTGCATGATCTATTTCCTATGGATACACATGCTTCTCTATTTTTATAGCTGTATCTTGCATTTTTATTATTTGCTATACACCTACTCCTGTTGTTGCAACTTCACAGGGTCTCGTTGTTCTTTACTGCTGTTTCACACCCACACTGTTTACAACTTTACGTAGTTGAGAGCTTGAATGTCTTTCCATTTCCTAATTGAGAGAGAATTTTTTCTTTTTTAACTATTTCCAAGGAACAGTGCTTATTTATTCCAGAATCATAGAGACCAGTACATCCGTTCGCCCTTAATCTTTTTGCTATAATCTGTTGTATTTTTTCAAATAAAAACCTAGTCAGTTTCACTTGTAAATATTTTAGACATTCATCCTCAATGTCAAAAATCACAGAAATGAAACAGATCTTTGAACTGCCTTAAAAAAAATGATTGCTCTCAGAGGTTAGCTAAGCTTTTCTTTCTAGCAAACACAGATATGTTGCCTCCCTATCTTGAACTCCTCTTAGGAGTTTAGCCTTTTAAACTAATTGTTACGTGCTTTATTATTTATGAAGGAGCTTTGCACTGAAATATGCCAAATAGGAATAATTACTACAGATAGAAGGAGTCGAGAATGTTAGTTGATAATCAAGCAGACAAATCACCGGTTGTCCTGTTCTGCCAAATCCTATGTTGCCTGTAATTAGCTGTGGGGGCAGGAGGTGTATGTTACACATCATGAATCCTCAAGCCTACTTTTGCTTTTACATCTCAAGACCAAAGCCATCCTTGCATTCCAATATCTGTCCACTTTTTTTCCTAACCAATCATCCTAATAATGTTTGGATAAATCGTATTAGCAGTCATTCCCTTTTCGAGTCTACCCTCATCTCCATGGCATCCTGTTCATAGTCTTAAATTCCAGGGCAAGGGAACAAAAGAGAACAAAGGAATCGACAAGGAATGATATGTAGGTTAATTATGTACAGATAAAACATATTTTAACTCTCTCCACAGCTTACTTGTAGTACTGTCCCGAGGCTGCCTTTTCTCTAACCCAAATCTTTGCTCTTGAAATCACTAGCTATTAGATACAGGTGATGGAGAATATTTAAATTCTATCTTTCCTCTTTTGCATGTTGAGCAGAAATAACTTTTACTTGGCTGCTGTCCAAAAATAGTGATGGGGGTTAAATTGGTGAAAATCAGAGCTATAATTTCCACTGGCCTCCAGTCAAGCCATCCACCATTGAGCTCTGGACAGGCCTTCTGTAATTTTTTTATACAAGCAACATTTGTCACATTAGAATATCCAGAGTTCCAGTCTGGGCAACATCATGAAACCCCATCTCTACAAAAAATACAAAAAAAAAAAAAAAATAGGTGGGTGTGGTGGCATGTGCCTGTAGTCCCAGCTACTCAGGAGGCTGAGGTGGGAGGATCACTTGAGCCTGGGAAGCAGAGGCTGCAGTGAGCTATCACACCATTGCATTCTAGCTTAGGTGACAGAGTGAGACCCTGTCTCAAAAAAAAAAAAAGAAATATATGTGTGTGTGTGTGTGTGTGTGTGTGTGTGTATATATATAATATATATACACATATATTTATATATATCCAGACTTCTTGTAATTCAAGTGAAAAATATAAAATTAACTTTGATAAGCTTCCAAATTTGGTTAGATATTGCCCAACAATTTGGATAATTTTTTCTTTTCCTTAACTGCAACCCAATTTTTTGATTATTTTTAAAAAACATGTTTGCTCTTATATTAATCTTTGTATCAGGGTTATAATTAGTAAATATATGACTCCACTGCATGATTTAGTGGTAGAAATAGTCTATTTATGTTCACATTTTTTAGTAGAGAGTCATGTTTTTATTTTGAGAGATTTATATATGTACTGCTAGACGTTTGCAAGAGTTATCTTTATAACAGTAAGATACAGATGTTATATTAACTGTAAAGAGTCATACTCACAATATCACAGTAAGTCACCATTTACTGAAAACCCATATATATTCCTTTTTTATTTGTGCTAATAGAGTGGGTAGTATTACATTCGTGGTGCATTAAATGGAGGTGAATAGCTTACACTTGAGTTTCTTTCATTTGGGTACATATAGTAGAGTAGAAAATACCTTAATCCATTTAACCATTTATAGTTTGCACATACATAACCTTTGGAGCTTCCCATAATTTTGTAATTTAGGCAAAGCAGACATTATTCTCATCATAATATTGCCATTTATAGGTGAGGAAATAGTAAGCTGGTAAGCTTATCTGGGACTGAAACATAGGTCGTCTGATTAAATACAGCATATTTTCAGTACAGTACATTAGCAATCATATTGCCAGAAATATCAATGATAATAACTATCTACTATTAATAGCACATACTTACTTGGGGCTGCAAAGCGTTATGCTAAACAATTTGTGTACATCATAGTGTTAATTTTATTTCATCCTCCCAACAACCCTGTATGTGGTAAGTTTTCTTATTCAGATTTTATAACATAGGCATCTAAAAGTTCAGAGAGGTTAGGTAGTGTCTGAGGTCATGCAGATGATAAGTAGAAAAAAATCCCACGTGCAATTCAACTACGTTAGACTAGTGAAAGAATGACAGCTTAAGGCTTTGAAAAAGCCCAGCTAGGTTCATATTTAGTCTTACTTTCTACTGATGTCTAGGATTCTCAGAGTCACCTTATGATGCGTCTGTTTCTTATTTTGTGAAAATAGAACCTGCACGTTCTGCACATATACTCCAGAACTTAAAGTTTAATAATAATAATAGAACTACTGAAGGGAAGAATCTTACCATGTTTTCCCCAAACTGATGTTTCTTATTTATACTATATATAATACAAAATGTCCGTCTTGAGCACGTTTTATTATAGTATACTAAAGGCTTCTACCTGCAACAAGAGAATATAATGAGTCATTAAAACATTTTCATCATAAAGAAAATTACTTTGGAATGCAGCTCCCCTCTACTCCCCATATTGTCTATTAGCTGGTTTCCCCAGGCCTGAGGGGGACTTTTTTTTCAGGCATTTTTTTACCTGCCTAAGTGTTCTTTAATAACTTCCTTTGCCTCCCAGAAGCATTGTTTAATATATTCTAATTCACACAATTGATAGCACCACCATTCGTTAAAATACCTGTCATATTCTATCATTGCTATTAAGAAAATCTAAGAAAATGCCTAATAAAGCTCACTTTGTTTTTCCTGATGCCTGCCATATTATAAATTTCACGCACTTTTTGAAAGCTAATATTAGTAATAAAAATGCCTGGGGAAAATTGTGGTAATCAGAAAGGATGGCATGTAGTGGAATAGTTCCTTAATGATCTTGGTGATAAACTGCACTGCCATGAGCCAACTAGTTTATTTTGGCTGCAACATAAGTACCTTCTATGATCTCCACCCTCAGAATTATAACAATGTTAGTTGGTTGTCCCACACATTCACCTTCCAAGTGAGTAAATAGGTTCTTTAATCCACCAGCCTTTTTCTCACTTCTTACTTTCACTTTCTCACTCCTCAATTTCACTTTCTCTCAATTCTCTGCTTTGGGAGGTAGAGTCTACTTACTGGCCCCACTCACTCCCCATCATCGCCTGCAGTGTTGTTTTCATTCCTGCACTGTGCCTTTGTTTCCTTTCTTGGTACCTCATTTACTCCTGCCTGCATCTCCTCCCTTTCCCACGGCTCACCTCTCTCTTGGAGTTCTGTGGCAGTTCCAATCTGTAAGAGCTTCTTGAAGTTGGAGTTTGTGTTTTATGTGTCTCTCTATTTCTAACACTTATTGCAATACCTGACACATACTAGACACTCAACAAGTTAAATAGATTTTGAGCAACCTACTAGGTGCCAAGGATGGTGGCCAGCCCTGAGAGGCCAGTCCTATCCTTGCTAAGTCCAGTCCAGTCCTATCCTTGCTAAGGCCAGTCCTATCCTTTCTCAGAGCCAGTCCTATCCTTGCTCTCAGCATCCCTCTCTCCTTTTGGTCCACACCACATATCAGCAGCTTATTTGTGTGTCTGCATGTACCTTTTTAATAGTTTGTTGTGCATATGCCATGTCTTCTCAAAAAGACTATAGGCTGCTAAAGGGAAGAAACAATTTATGCTTTTGCTTTTTCTTCTTTATGTTTCACATTATAGATCTTTAGTGTACCTAAGTTGATTGATTTCATCATATACATCTGTTTTTCTCTTAGAGTCTCCATTCCTTCACCTGTAAAATGGTCATAAATGTGAGGCTTATATAAGATTTAGAGTATAGGAATATAGATGTAGGTAGATATAGACATTGATATTGCTATAGATATATGAATGGGCCTGGCACATAGAAGAGACTATTGAAATAATAGTTCCATGTCTTTTCTCCATTTTTATGAAAACCATTGATTTTAAAGTCTTGCAGTTGGACCAGTTCTAGCGGTGTGTATATCACACACCTCAACACCAACCACAGGAATTTAGACCTTTATTTATTTGGTCTAAGATAATACTCAGTATCTATAACTAAATTAAGCCCCTTAATCAAGAAAGTAGTGATCAAAACACCATGACAAACCAGAGTTCTTCTTGCCCTATAGGGGGTTTTGGCTGGACAGGAAATCCCAAGGCCTTTCAGAGCAGCCCCCCTCCAGCTCCCCACCTCCACTCAGACTCTGAGGAGCCACTAGCCAGGCATGACAACCTAGGAGCTCTACGGAGGGAAAGGACTCAAGAGATTAATTCAACTTCTGCAATGTGGAGACAAGGACACCAATGCCAAAGAATTTTGCTATTTCATCAGCACTGTTGATGGTGGCCCCTTTGAGCCCTCTGACTCCCAGCTCATTGCTCTCCTCACTGTTCCATACCACCACCTGCCCTAGAATTAAGATGCAGTCAGAATGGAATTTGGTTTTGGTATGTAGTTAGCTGACTAACACTTATCTTGCTGAATTCAGCACCGTGACCATAGCCAGGTCCCGAAATTAGACATATTCATTCATTCAACCTTTGTCTGTTGAATAAATATTTAGAAAATACTGTTCCAAACTCTAGTGATAGAGCAGGGAACAAAACAGACAAAAATCCTTGTTCTTATCAAGCTTTTCCTTGGTGATAAGAAAATCACCCAAACTAGTAAGTGTCAGGACAAGGATTTGAACTTAGGTGGGATGGCTCCTGTCTGTGCAGACTTGGCAGTAGGCATGCTGATTCGCTCATGACATCGATATTCATTCACTCCACAAGTATGTGTGGAGCTGCTGCTGTTGCCAAGTGGTGTGTTAGGTGCTAGGGATGTGGAGGTGAGCAAACCAGTTCCATCTTTGTGTGGAGCCAATTTTCAGGTAGGGGAGATGGAAGAGGAATAAAGAAAGCAAACCATAAATGAAGAGAAAATCACAGTTGGTTGACAGGTGCCATAGGGAAGTAATGCGGAGTAGAAAGGGTGATGCTCAAAATGTTTTCAGTAATCACCTATCATAAAGGGCCCAGCCACTAAGGGAAAAAAGGTTCTGTTGAATATTGTGCATATGGAAAACGAAATGAGTTGTGCCCGGATCAGCTCAGGGGCATGGAGAGGATCTGGGATGAGATGGAAGGGCCCAGCTCTTGCCAGTCTCCACCTGCCTCACTTTTTAGGCACCTCACTGGAGTCTCTAGAGTCTTGTATTTCCTAAATGAATGTACAGTTATGCTGAAACGTTATGAAATAACCCATGGATGCCATGCCATGTCTTCAAAATATTTTTCCGAGCTGATTCTCGTAAAGAATTTTAAAATTTATTCTTAATCTCTGGATTTCTGGAATCCTGCCTTGGCTCAGGCTTTCAGTGACTAAATGCCACAGAACAGTGTGTCCTACAATGTCCACAGCAACTTGTGTAGAGGAAATATTAGTGTTCCCGCACCCCAGAAAAATAAAACCTTGCAGCCTGAGCACCAGCAAGCATTTTATCATCTGTATACTTAACCTGGTTTGAAAATAATTATTTCTTACTCATTGTAAAGAGTAAAGTGGGACTTTAACATGATCTTTTTCTCATTATTACAGCAGTACTTGCTTATTATGGGAAAAGAAAAAATACAGTTGAGTAGAAAGAAGAAAATAAAAACTAAAAACATTAACAATATCCACACCTTTTTCTATCAAACAGCATAACATATAGATGTTTGGAAAAATATAAGAAAATGTCCACCTTAATAATTCCAGTAATGTAGAAGTTTTAAGAAATTAAGAATTTCTCATTCTCCACTCCTAACTCTGATGCTGCATGCTTAGGTCACTAGGGTTAACAGATTGCCACCTGTTCTCTGTACCTTTTTGATGTTCATGTATGCACATGTGTATGTAGATGTATGTATTAGTCCATTTTCATGTTGTTATAAAAAACTGCCTGAGACTGGGTGCTTTATAAAGGAAAGAGGTTTAACTGACTTACAGTCCAGCATGGCTGGAGAGGCCTCAGGAAACTTACAATCATGGTGGAAGGCAAAGGGGAAGCAAGGCACCTTCTTCACAGGGTGTCAGGAAGGAGAATGAACACAGGAGGAACTACCAAACACTAATAAAACCATCAGATCTTATGAGTACTCACTATCATGAGAACAGCATGGGGAAACTGCCCCCATGATTTAGTTACCTGCACCTCGTCTCTACCTTGACACATGGGGATTATAAGGATTACAATTCAAAATGAGATTTGGGTGGGAAACCACAGCCTAACCATATCAATGTACATTCACTCTTTTAAAATAATTTATATTAACATTTTGTTAATCTGCAATGTGTTTTATTTCATTTAACAATATGTCATGGGTAAATTGTCATATCAACACAAACAGACCCAATGCATTATTTTTAACAACTGCATTGTATTCCATGGTGTAGGCATACCGAACTCATTCAACCATTCCCCTAATGACCATGGTTTCCAGTATTTCTCCTCTTGTAAATAATGCTGCAGTAAACATTTTCATATGAATATTATGGAACTTATTATTTGCTGATGCTTTTTACTGCTATATTTTAAAAGGGTTCATTACTTTTTATTTGCAAACTAAACATACTGTATGAATCCTCAAATTGATAGAATCTCACAGGTCATTGGTCCATTTTGCTTGACTGAGAATAAATAAATTCGCATATCCAAACCTACACACATGCGTGGGAACATAGAAAGCTTGTGCAGGCCCCATAATTTGTCCTAGCTCCACGTCTTACCTCATTGCACACCACACCCCATTGCTAATTCTCCTCACCCACACTCGCCCTCCACCTGCAGTGGCCCTCTCTGTGTTTCCTGTGATAAAATTTGTATTGAGGCCCAGTTCAAACTCATCTCCTGAAGGCTTTTTCTACCATCTCTCACCTTGTATGCAGAAAATGTCCTCCTGTTGTATGATCCAATAGCACATCCTCTGTCTCTCTGATGTAGCCCTTTCTTGGTCTGCTTTGTGTAGAATCTGCCCTTGCACAAGTCTGCATCCCCTAATAGATCATGAGTCTTTTGGTGGCAGAAACCATCTCTGCAGAATGCAACAGCTGCAGGCAGGAAAATCTCAGAGAAATGTTGATTGAGTTTGGAGAATTTGCCTAAAAATAGAAGAGTCAGAGCCCAGTGTCTGCCTGTTAAGCCTTAAGTTATAACTAAACACAGTTATTGTGGCAGTTTGGGGAGCAGCTTCCCAGATAAGACAATCACATTCCGTGTGTTTTTTGAACTTATGGACCATTTTTTTTTTAACTTCTAGAACAAGGGTCAGATAGCTTATTTTTTGTAAAGAGCCGGATGGTAAATATTTTAGGTGTGGCCAGCTATAAAGGTCTCTGCTACAACTACTCAGTTCAGCCATCGTAGTGAAAGCAGCCCTAGACAGTAAGTAGAGAAGTGACCGTGGCTGTGTTCTAGTGAAACTTTGTTTACAAAAACAAGCAATGGGCAGGATTCGACTTACGGGGCATAGTTTGCTAACTCTTGTTCTAGAAGGTGTCTAGGTACAGTTAGACTAACCTGAATTAAATTCAAATCCTAGTTCTTCTACTTATTATGTGACTTTTTAAGACTCCTTAACTTGCCTTTTGAACACATAAATAGAAGATTAATATTTCCTACTTCATGTTAAGCATCCAGTTCAGGGCCTAGCACTTAATGAGCACAGAAATGATAGCCACTAGTATTGTCTTGTGAAGGGGAATGGAAGCCTAGAAAGAGGGTCAGAGAGGATGCAGGCCCTTTCTTCCAACTGGAAGTAGGAAATCCTAGGGAAAGAACACATTGAAAAACAATGGATAGCAGAGACTCTTGGGTGACAGTGACAGCTACAGCTTTTGCCTTTAGGTCATATGCACCTCTTTATGGAATAAATCAGGTATAAACAGATACACAGGTCTCTTGACACTTGCGACAGCAACAGCAACGCTATTAATAAAATACACTGAAGATTGTTTAGGATGCCCGGAGCTATTATGACTATATAAAAGCTATGGGCCAGGCTTCAGGAGGAATAATTGGTGCAACAGTAGTACATCCCTGGAGATTTAGACAGAGATTGAGACTATTTTAGCTAAAACACAAATGAAATATTAATCTTTGGCTCATGACTGGCCTAGTCATTTCCAAACATGTCTACTGGCTGTATGCAGTGGATTCTTTTGAAATACAAATTCCTCTGTGACTTTTCCCACTGCCCACAAGATGAAGTCCACATCCTCGAGAACCCATGCAAGGCCCTCCATGGCTGGCTTCAGTTTGTTCTGTCAAGCTGCCTTTCGTTGCATGGTGCTTCAGCCAAACAAGTCGATTAGCTTATTCAGGTCCTCAAAACACTTCCCCGTCCCACGTTACTTATGCTCGTTCTGTTCCACCCTAATTCTCGAGACTTTTGGAAACCCATCTCCATTCTCTGAAGACCCCACTGGCCCAGCAACAGTCAAGTCTCTGCCTGTGACTTCCCTTTATCCGTGCCTTCCATAAATAATCAGTAAACTGTACGCTATTGGAAGGTGATGTGTAAAGCAGAAAGAAACCTGGATTTGGAGTCCAAAGACTTGAGATTGGACTTCATTTTGGCTCCATTAAGACCTGATTTTGGCTCCATTATCGACCCACTTTGTGCCCAAGATGGGGCAGGTTGTTGAATGTCTCTGAGCCCAGTCTCTCAATGTGTAAAACAAGAGTACTATCCCAACCTTGTAGAGTTTTTGTGAGAATGAAATGGGAAATGAAAAGGCTAGGAGTCCTTAGTATGTACCTACCTCCTGGGAGTTCCCAGGAAATGCTACCTGAATCTGAACTACTCACAGGATTTGGCTTGGCATATCTCTCTACTGATGTAATCATTTGAAAGCAAGACTATACTGAAATATACCCATGATCAATTGAAGAACTCCGCATTATTTTTAAAAAGCACCCAACAAATTTATTTGATTTATTTTAAAATGTTTTTTAAAATACCCATAAAAGTTTTATATGTGGCAGACTGGCTTCTATTTTTTAACTTTGTAAGACAGAAGCAAGATCTTGATTAGCATATATTGCAGAAGGGGGCTTTAAGATGGCTTGAAAATCAACTTGAAGTTTCATAAAATTTGTAAAATTGAGGGGGAAATACCTAAAGATTTGCCAAAAATCATGTAAACACAGCTAAAATTGTTCTTTCCCCCGCCCCAAATTATTCTTTGGAAAATGGCTAGGCTGCACTACTTACCTTATGTGCTGTGTCCCAGCATCCTGTTTGACCCATGCTCTCTACCAGATACTCACTGCTTACATTTAAGCCACTTTTCTATAGTTTATATTTTCTCCTACAAGAATGTAAATATCAAAGCATGATATAAGCAAAAAAAAAGAATGTAAACAAATCCTGATGATACATATGTTGAATATAATTAAAATTATATATATTGAATCGATGAGAATATTACACATATTCTTATGCACGTCCATGATGCATAAGCGTTTTTACACTGGTTTTTAACATACTATTTCACTAGTTGCTCTGAACAACCCAGTGAGGCAGGTACTGTGTCCATTTAACAGATTGGAAGCTAAGATTGAGCATTTAAATATTCACTCTGGATCACAAACCTAGGGGCTGCATCCTAGGCGTGAACTCAAGTTTTCGCACACTGAATGTACTGTCTCTGCATTGCCCCCCAGGTGATTAAGTACATGTGGTTAGTATGCTCCACAGTAGCCTTGTAGGACCTATGGTAAAGTCCAAAGTTGGAGTTCAATAGAAATTTTCTCGGTTTCTTGCTTTTTTGATAAAAAGTCTTGATGATTAAGAGATCTCTAACTGATAGAACATTTCTGCCATGATATACTTGTGTAAACATACAAATAAACATATAGATACAATTATCTCAAATTCTGTAAGTCATTTAGGTTTCTATGTAGGATTTTGGTAACTGAATCGGTTTCCTCATCTAGCACAGAAATTAAAACAGTACTTCCATGACCAACTCAAAGGCTTGTTAGTGAAAATGAAATGAGAGACTTGCTGTTCAAATACAGTAAGAAAATACATGTGCAAAGCAAGATATAAATTTCATTAAAATATATACAAATAAATTACTTGATTATCTCACAGGCCTATCTACCTAAAATTAATTACTGACTAATTAGCAATCCTGGAAAAGTTTTATTGTAGAAACTTCCATATTCATTATAAAGTATGAGCCTCAAGTTTTAATGAAGTTCCATGATAAAAGAATAACAGAATTAGGCCGTACTACATACTGCAGCATTTTAAAAGTTAATTAATTCCCTGACATTCAGCAATGTAACTAAATTACTTTATACAGTTGTTTGAGCACAGTGTCTATAATCTTCTGATTAAAATAATGAGCCTTAAAATCATCAGTAGCAATTATTATTTACTTACCTACCATCCCATCACCCACCATCCTGCTAGCTCCTCCTTAGAATCTGAAGAGATTATTCTCCAGAGAGTTTTGGAAACTTTTTACTGTAATAGAATGAGGGGGGAAAGGCCTTTTAAATTTCAGGGTTCAAAGTCAGAGTTTCTGAACAGAAGTGTGTTTTTAAAATCTTAAACTTAAAATTCTAACAAGGCTCTGTGCAGCAAAATACCTGCCAATTCACTATTGTTTACCCTGCAGTTTCTATTTAAATTTGTGCTGCTATCATGATTTCTTCCTACCTCACAGGATAATGAATCTAGATTTTATTTCTGTTCTTTGCCCAGACTTGTACAGCAGGCAAAGTGTTTGAAAATCAAAGGAAAAGAAGATATTGACTTGGATAATCTCTTCAGAGGTAAAAACAAAAACACTAGCAAAACACAGAATATACTTTTTGTTGTGCAGAATGTCTTATTTGTTTGACTGTTTGGTTTTATCATTCCAACAGGGAATGGTAGAAAGAGCCTAACTAGAAGTCAAAAGAGACTTGTGTTCTAGTTCCCGCCCTGTGAATGAGTCCCTTCACTTCACTACTCAAACCTTCATTTTCTCATTTTAAAAGTAAAAGGACTGGACTCTATGATCTCTATGGTCCCCACTCATGATAGGAAAAGTGTAAACCAACAGAAGTTAGAGGTTCAATGGTTGAATCCCACTCTGCCATCTGCAGAGGCCATGGAGGGAAACCAGGAGTGTCTCACTGAACTTGTGAAGGTGGGAGACTGTGAGATGCACCTCATTAGTAAGAAAGGCTAGAAGAGTATTAGGCAAAAAATTAAACCATCAGAGCTGAGGAATCTGTTGGAGTCTAGGAAGAAGAATTGCATGTGTTCTTTTAGTTACGTTTCTTTCCAATGAAGGCTCCATATAGACAGAATTTTGAGGTTGGATTATATTGTACCAAGCTAAGGAATCAGTTTTCTCCAGGTTCCGTTTTGATTTAGTCAGATGCAAACATTGATAATTTCTATTAGCCCACCTGCAGCCTTGGCAGCTCTGTACATTTGTGTCTCCCGGAAGATGTAGGAGATCTGTCTGCCTTCTAGAGGGAAGGAACATTGCTGAGCTTTCTACTGACCTGGTAGAAGTCCAGTGAATTAGCACACTGTGCTGGACTGTGCCATCTCGTTACCCATTGGACTTTTCTTAAGAGAAGGAGAGGGTGCTTGGCAGTCATTGAACAAAAGGGCCGGGAGGCCAGGGAGCAGTGCTGAACTGCTCACTTCAGGCAGAGATGGAGCTCTTGCTTGTGTTGGAGGAATTGTGGATTTCATCTCAGCCACACGAGGCCTTTTCCTCAGAAAAGAGAGGGCAGTTGAATTACTTTGGATTCATTGTGCAGCTACATGTTTCTCCCTCATAAGAAGAATTTCTATGTAATATAACCAGAGCTCAAGTCTGCTTTAAATAAAATAAATCACTGATATTTTAGAAACTGTTCCATACAAATGTTCTCATCCATCTTACCAAGCCTTCATTCTGTAAACGACATGTTTTGGAACCATGTAAGAAGCCTTAAAAAAAAAGTGCCAGTGTTGTAATTCATAGTTTGACACTTTTGAAAATATCTCCACAGAGTAATTATGTATATGTTCTTGTTCAAACAGATACACAATTTTGTAGTTCATATCATAAATGTAGTAATGAGGATCATCCTTACAAAAATAGAAAATGTCATAGCAAAATGCATTTGCATACTGTGAAAGATGAAATCTCTTCCAAGATGCTCAGAATGCACTTGTTCTTTTCTGCATCATGTATAAGGAGTTTACACCCATATGCTTTTATTTATTCATGCATTTACTGTGCTCTTTAATTTAAACATATCCGTTTCCTCACAGCAGAGGTCTGTGCTATCAGATATGGCATTTATGTCAGAAGAGTGTGAGGTGGGAGGAGCAGTCGGCCTTAGGTGGAGCACACGGCTGCCTGTGGACCCAGACCACTGTGTGTTGGGGAAGTGCAGGTGGGGTTCATTCCATCCCATGAAAATTGGCAGGCTGTGGTTAACGCCTGCTTTCTAGTCTAGCCTTTTGTCAATCAAAGTGGCTCTTCCTTGTATGTCCGGAGTCCCCAACACCTAGGCTACAGACCGGTCTGTAGCCTGTTAGGAACTGGGCTGCATAGCAGGAGGTGAGCAGAGGGCAGGCGAGGGAGCAAAGCTTTATCTGCATTCACAGCTGCTCTCCATTGCTCACATTACCACCTGAGCTCGGCCTCCTGTCAGATCAGCTGCAGCATTAGATCCTCATAGGAGCACGAACAGTATTGCGACCTGCACATGTGAGGGATCTAGATTGCGTGTTCCTTATGAGAATCTAATACCTGACGATCTGTCACTGTCTCCCATCACCCCCAGATGGGACTGTCTAGTTGCAGAAAAACAAGCTCAGGGCTCCCACTGATTCTACATTATGGTGAGTTACATAATTATTTCATTATCTATTACAATGTAATAATAATAGAAATAAAGTGCACAATAAATGTAATGCACTTGAATCATCCTGAAACCATCCCCCCACCCCTGGTCTGTGGAAAAATTGTCTTCCATGAAACCAGTTCCTGGTGCCACTAAAGGTTGGGGACCGCTGTACTTTGGGACTAATCCCCATTATTATAAAGCATATTTGCTTTCGTTCTAACGTGGCTGAGACAAAATAATGAAAATAAATATGTTCTTATGGTGATATTAAACGATTATTTAATATTTTATTTCATTTTTCTTAAGCCTGCAAATCTGATCATAATATCCAGTACCCATGTCCTTCCTTTTTTTCCCCTTTTTTTTTTTTTTTTGTTTTTTTTTTTTGAGGTGGACTCTCCCTCTGTTGCCCAGGCTGGAGTGCAGTGGCGCGACCTTGGCTCACTGCAATCTCCACTTCCTGGGTTCAAGTGATTCTCCTGTCTCAGCCTCTCAAGTAACTGGGATTACAGGCTCACACCGCCACATCCGGCTAACTTTTTGTAGTTTAGCAGAGATGGGGTTTCACCATGTTGCCCAGGCTGTTTTTGAACTCTTGAGCTCAGGTGATCCATCCTCCTCAGCCTCCCAAAGTGCTGGGATTACAGGTGTGAGCCACTGCACCCAGCCTTTTCCCCTGCCAGCTTTTTTTTTTTTTTTTTGGTCTGGGCATAGATTTGAATGAGTGCCTTCTTCATTCATCAGGAGTCTTTTATTTATTATTTATTTATTGTTCATTTATTTATTGAGACGAAGTCTTGCTCTGTCACACAAGCTGGAGTGCAGTGGCGCGATCTTGGCTCACTGTAACCTCTGCTTCAGGGTTCAAGCAATTCTTCTGCCTCAGCCTCCCGAGTAGCTGGAACTACAGGTGCACGCCACCATGCCCAGCTAATTTTTGTATTTTTAGTAGAGACGGGGTTTCACTATGTTGGCCAGGCTGGTCTCGAACTCCTGACCTCGTGATCCACTGACCTCGGCCTCCCAAAGTGCTGGGATTACAGGCGTGAGCCACTGCGCCCAGCCAGGAGTCTTCCATTTTTTTTTTTTTTTTAAGGAAAATGGGCTAAAATTTGTGCTCTATTTCTTCTATGAGGGGAGGTTATATACACTGGATTTTTGGAAATTGTATACACACATGTATAGATGCACACGCAGATTCTGTTTTTTATATCTTGGGCATGTTTTCCATTTTCACTGGAAAACTTCTTTTAAAAATCATTTTATTCACCATATGTATGCTTGGCATATATAATAAAAATATTTTAAAGACTACCCATCATTTTCAAGTGTAATTCTTAGCTACTGAACACACTTTTTTCAATACGTAAACATATATCGCAATAATATATAAACGTAAGATTGGATAAACATATATAACAACAACAATATATAAACATAAGATTGGATGATAAAAATTTTAATTACTTTGTAATGATAAAAGTCTGTAGAGGAAACCATGATTATGTTAAAAGGATGTTGGTTGTGCATAACAGGGGCAAGTTGAAATTTGTCTTACTAATCCAAGGTTTACAGGTAAGCTTATTGAGTGTTACTCCTAAGACATGACAAGTGATAATTATTCTTTGGGCCTTTTGCGAAGTAAAATAATGCATGAACATAGAGTTTATGTGTTTGGCAACACCGCGAGCCCCTTCTCCAGGACGGAGCTGGGCCTCTGTGCCTTTTGAGTTGTTCCTTTGCTCAATGAGTGTTCCACAGAGAATGGGACAGAACCTGCTCCCTGAGCACAAGCTGAGGGAGGTGAATTAAAGTGCATTTGCATTCATGAGGAAGGATCTGCTCATCCAGGTGCTCTGTCCTGTCGCCGTTAGACGCTCCTTGGTCCCTCAAAGAGATGTCACTCTCACGGCCACTGCATTGCACCACCTGTGAGATACCTTTGGAATTGTGGAAAGTTCAGCTAGAAAGTTGTTTCTTTTTAATATTTATTCTTTTGGTCCCAAACCTTTAATTAATGCTCATTTTCTAAAAATCCCCAAATTTCATAAAATGAAAAATAAAAATTGAAAGAGATAAGCATTGTTGATAAATCCTTAATGGATTTATTTTGGATATAATAATTCACATTTTTTTTTACCAGTGCAGAATCATATTATATTTGGTGATCTACAATCAGCTTTTCCTCCCTCACTTATTGATATATTGTGGTTACCTTTCTAAGTCAGTACATATACATCTTCCGGGTTATTTCTGTTATAAGTAAAAATTTTAGCCAAGTGCACAGAGATCATACCCATTTAATCATCACTAAGATCAAGAAACATATGACCAGAAGCTCACCTCAAGCTTCTGACCCCTATCATTCCTCCTGCCAGGGTAACTATTCTGATTTTGCTCACTCTCAGTTACTTTTGCCCTGTTTGCAAAATTTTATAAATGGAATCAGATGTTATGTACACTTTTATGTCTGACTTCTTTTGCTAACATTGTTTATAAGATCCATTCAAATCATAGTTTGCTTATTCTCATTGCTACATATTATTCAGTTTTGTGAAGATACCACAATTTATCCATTTTTAGGTTGATTGTTTTCAGTTTTGCACTGTTTCCACTAGGAACATTCTAGTATGTGATTTGGTAGATATGTGTATGCATTTTTGTAGGATAAATATCTATGAGTGGAATTTCTGGGCAATTGGGTTTGCAGAAATTCAATTTCAGCAGTTAGTGTCAAATATTTTTACAAAGTGGTTGTACCAGGATGTTCCTACCAGCACAGTATGGAAATTGCAGGTACTCTGCATCTTTCCCAGTAGTTACTATTTGTCAGTCTCTTTCATTGTAGCCATTCTTTTGGGCTTACAGTGGTATTTAATTTTGCTTTAATTTTGGTTTCCTTCTGAGGCCTAATGAGCTTGAACATATTTTCATGTTTATTGGCTATTTGAATATCTTCTTTTATGAAGTATCTTTCTCATTTGTCTTTTACATTGTCTTTTTTTATTGATATGTAGGAGTTCTTTGGATCAATATATGAGTTCATTGTTTTATAATTGTATTACAGATATCTTCTCCAGTCTACCATTTGCCTTTTCACACTCTTAATGATGCCTTGTGATGAATGCAAATTCCAGATTTTAATATAGTCTATCAGTTCTATTTTGATTAATGCTTTTAGTGTGCCATTTATAGTTTTTGTCAACCACATGTTCATTTTGCTGATTTTTATTCTAGAATCTTTATTTTTTTATCTTTCACATTTAGATCTACAGTGTACCTATAAGTGATTTTATGCATGGTGTAACATAGAGGCGAAGATTTACTTTTTCTTTGAATATTCAGTTGACCCAGCACCATTTATTAAAAAGTCATTTCCCTATTGCTCAGTAGTAACACAAGTAGTTCATACTTGTCATAAATCGAGTAACCATTTATGTGTGGGTCTGTTTCTGGACTCCGTTCTATTCCATTGGTTTACTTGGCTATTCTTGTGCCAATACTATGGTGTCTTGATTACATAACTTTATATGATAAATTCTGATAGCTAAGAATGCCGCTCCTCCATTTTTGTTCTTTTTCTTTGAGATTGCCCTAACTATTCTTGTTCCTTTACATTTCTTATCAGCTTGTTCACTTACACACACACATCATACAAACTACTCTGATTTTAATTAGAATTGCATTGAATGTATAGTTTTATTTCAGGTGAATTGGCATCTTCCAATTCATGAACATGATCATCCTTCTGTTTGATTAGGTATTCTTTAATACCTAATTGATGCTTGATGTAGTTTTTTATAATGCTGCATAGTGGATTGAGGAAATTGCCTCCATTTCTAGTTTTTCTTTTTATATATGTTCCTGAATTTTATCAAATGCTTTTTCTGCTTGTATAGAGATGATCATGTGAATTTTCTCCTTTATTCTTTTAATGTGCTGAATTATATTAAAATAATTTCCAAGGAAATTTTTAGCTGGAATATGTCATAAGTTGGGAAAATGTAAAAATGATACTGTATTGCTGAATGAATCTGAACAAAACAAACATCTATGTACCAGCACCCAGATCAAGAAAGAACCAATGTCTTTACTTGTATAGGTAGACCTCACTTTGCATGCTTCTAATATGAATGAATTTCAGTTACCACCATTTAGTTAAATAACACCAGTCCCCCAACAACATAGTCAGGCTTCATTTACCAAGATATGTTAACTGCGAGTGATTGATTGCACAAAGCACTGGCTCTTTAGTTTACAAATCATTACATAAATAACAGCTCTCATCATCATCAGTGACCAATAACATTACCTCTTTCAAAGTCTGTTGGTGATTGGTCACAGCATTGACCAATCAGTGTTGTTCAGTTCACACACGGACAACATGACAGCCAAGTATATAGTTGTGTAGCCTGCTTGTCACCCAGTGATAAACCCACATAACATTTTACAAAACTGGACACTCCAGAGAGGGCATTGGCCAACAAATATGAAAGTACAGTAAAGAAGAAAGGAAGGGATAACACTGGAAGTGAAATTCTAATCGAATGTAAACATATTCAAAGGAAAAATAGCCAACCATAGAAATGCTGACCCTACCTCCATTCAAGATTCTAGACGTGCGGCCAGGGAACTTAGTGACGGTAAGCTCATTGACATAAATGAAGAAAGGGGTTATGACGAACAGCATGAAGATGTCCCACAGAAAGTGATGCTGGCAAAAAACAAACAAAAAAACAAAACAAACAAACAAAAAAACACTTCACATTAAAGGAACTCTCAGAGATATTTCACAACATTGTAAGTGCAAAGGATAAAATGTTAGAAGTGAATCTAACTTAGGAATATGACAGTTTACCAAGGAATGGAAAAGATGCTGTCTTCATTCACAGCTATATGACAAAAAGAAAGCAAACACTCCTCAGAAAACTCGTGATAAGTTTTTTTTTAACAAAGAAACAAAACACCTTATCTCAATGTATTAAATGTTATAAACCACAGCATACTAATTAAATATTACTTTTACTAGTTAAAAGAGTTGTTAATATTTTGACCAAAATTTGTGAAGTTCGTGAAAAAAGAATTACAATTTTCCCCATTGATTATTAAGCTCAGTTTGCATGGCTTCAGCTTGCATCGTCAATTTTATACCCCCTGACTACCATGCTAAGTGAGAACTCCCTGTGTTTTATTAAGGACTGTTTCAAATATGTTCACAGGAGAAGCTGATCTGTAGTTTTCCTTCTTGTAATGTCTTCTTCATCTCGTTTTGATATTCCCTCTTTCTCCATTATCACCAAGAGTTTATGTAAGATTCACAACATTTCTTTTTTAACTGTTTAGATGAATTCACAGACAGGAAAAAAACTGAAGTTTTTTTTATTGAAAGAATTTTAATTGTAGATTCAATTTCTTTAATAGATTGAGGACTTTAGATTTTTAAAATTTCTTCTTGTATTAGTTTTTCTAGGAATTTGTATATTTCATTTAAATTTTCAAGTCTGTTGCTATTGAGTTGTTTATAATACCCTCTGATTAGCTTTTCAGTGTCTGCAGATTCTATAGTTATGTTCCTTTTTCATTCCTGAAATTGATGTTTATGTGCTTGTGCGTTTTCTCTCCCCCTCTGTCTCTCTCACTCTCTCTCTCTCTGTTTTTGCCTCTGTCTGTTTCAATTAATCCTGCTAAAGGTTTACTTATCTTTACAATGGACCAATTTTTGGCTGTGTTGATTTTCTCTAGTGTGCATTTGTTTTCTCTGTTATTAATTTCTGCTATTATATTTCTGCCTTCCTGCCTTCCACTCTCTTTGGCTTTAATTTACCGTCATTTTTCTAACTTCTTTAAATTATTACTTAGATATTTTGTTTTTAAATATGTATGTGTGTATATATATATATATATATATATATATATATATATATATATATATTTTTTTTTTTTTTTTTGAGACGGAGTCTCTCTCTCTGTCACCCAGGCTAGAGTGCTGGAGTGCAGTGGCACGATCTGGGCTCATTGCAAGCTCCACCTCCCGGGTTCATGCCATACTCCTGCTTCAGCCTCCCGAGTAGCTGGGACTACAGGGGCCCGCCACTACGCCCAGCTAATTTTTTTTTGTGTGTGTGTGTGTGTTTTTTAGTAGAGACAGGGTTTCACTGTGTTAGCCAGGATGGTCTGGATCTCCTGACCTCATGATTCACCCGCCTCGGCCTCCCAGAGTGCTGGGATTACAAGCGTGAGCCACCGCTCCCGGCCTTTAAATATATTTTAATATATGCACCTAAAACTATATTAGCGTTAATTTAAGCATGGCTTTTCCTGCATTCCATGAGTTTTGATTTGTCAGATTTCATAATAATTTAATTCAAAATATTTTCTCATTTACATTGTTTTTCTTTTATATGTGGTATGAAGAAATATACTGATTCATTTCCAGATATTTGGGGATTTTATTAACTTTTTGTTATTGATTTTGAATTTTATTCCACTGTGGTCAGAGAGTATACTCTGAGCAATTGTTAATCATACCGTTAGATCTTTATTATCTTTACTGATACATTTCTTCCTGCTTATTCATTTGATTCCTGAAAAAATGTGTTAAAGTCCTCTACTATGGTTGTGATATTACCTGGTTTTCCTTTTATTATACACATTTTTAGGCTATATTACTAGGCTCATGAAAATTAGAACATTAGAATATTAGTAATCAATTGACCCTTCAACATTTTGAAATATGTATTTTATTTCTCCAATTGCTTCTTACCTTTGTTTCCTTTGTCTGATATTAGCAGTATTATTTTGATTAGTATTTGTTTGTTATATTTATTTCCGTCCTTTTATATGCTCCATCATTGTCCTTATATTTAATGTGACACTTCCAAGTGGCGTGTGATTTTTATGTGTAAATCCAATCTAATAACAATCTTTCTTCCTTCCTTCCTTTCTTCCTTCCTCCCTCCCTCCCTCTCTCTCTTTCTCTTTCTTTCTTTCTTTCTTTCCTTTCTTTCTTTTTCTTTCTTTCTTTCTTTCTTTCTTTCTTTCTTTCTTTCTTTTTTTCTTTCTTTCTTTCCTTCCTTCTTTCTTTCCTTCTTTCTTTCCTTCTTTCTTTCTTTCTTTCTTTCTTTCTTTCTCTCTTTCTTTTTTTCCTTCTTTCTTTCTTCTTTTTCTTTCTTTCTTTTTTATGGGATCTATCTCTGTCACCCCAGACTGGAGAGCAGTGGCGTGATTATGGCTTACTGCAACCTTGGCCTCCCAGACTCAAGCAATCCTCTTACCTCAGCCTCTCAAAGTGCTGGGATTACAGGTGTGAGTCACTGCACCCAGTCAACAGGAGTCTCTTAATTGAAGGATTTAATACATTTCTATCTAATGTTATTAGTGTTAAGTTGGACTTAGGGCTACTATCTTTTTTTTTTTTTTTTTAATTGAAAGAGTCTCACTCTGTCTCCCAGCTGAAGTGCAGTGGTGTAATCCTGGCTTCCTGCAACCTCCACCTCCTGGGTTCAAGTGATTCTGATGCCTCAGCCTCACAAGTAGCTGGGATTACAGATGTGTACCACCATGCCCAGCTAATTTTTGTGTTTTTAGTAGAGACAGGGTTTCACCATGTTGGCCAGGCTGGTCTCAAACTCCTAGCCTCAAGTGATCTCCCCACCTTGGCCTCCCAAAGTGCTGGGATAACAGGTATAAGCCACTGTGTCCAGCCTATTGCTACCATCTCTATAATTGTTTTCTATTTTTCTCAGTAGTTTGTATTCAATTTTATATTTTTGCTGTATCTTTTTAAACCAAAATTCATGTGAGTATACCATTCTCCCTCTATTAGCTTGTTGTTTATTTATTTTTAATATTCTGTTAGTAGATATCCCAGCTACTACAAAATGCATCTTTATCTTTATATAGAATCATTTTTCCTCTATCTGAAAAATTATCTTTTGTACTTCATTCATAGTGTCTTCTAGTTATTATTATTTTTTTAGACAGGGTTTCACTCTGTCACCCAGGCTGGAGTGCAGTGGTGCGATCACAGCTCAATGCAGCCTCAACCTGCGGGGCTCAAGTGATCCTCCCACCTCAGCCTCTGGAGTAGCTGGGCCTACAGGTGTGTGCCACCATGCCCGGCTAATTTTTGTTTTTTTTGTTTTTTGTTTTTTGTTTTTTGTAAAGATGGGATCTCACTATGTTGCTCAGGCTTTTCTCAAACTCCTGGGTTCAAACAATCTGCCCACTTTGACCTCCCAAAGTGTGGGATTACACACATGAGCCACTGCGCTTGGCCTAGCTGATTTTTTTTTTTTTTTTGAGTAAGTTTTTCTTTGTCCAGAAATATCCTTTTTTCACCCAAACTTTTGAAGAATATTTTTACAGGTTATAGAATTCTAGATTGGCAGTTAATTTTTTTTCAGGCTTTAAATATGGTAATCCGTTGGCTTCTGACTTCTATTGTTTCTCTCAAGAAGTCAGCTGTAGCTTTATTGTGTCTGTTTGAAAGGAGTATGTCTTGGAGTGTGTCACATTTTATCTGATTACTTATAAGATTTTTCTGTTGTCTTTCATTTTTAGCAGTTTTACTATGAAGTGCCTTATATTTGTCTCTTTAGGATTCATAGTGCTTAAATCTGTGGGTGTATGGCTTTTTACCACTTTGAAAAATTTGACCATTATCTCCTCAAATATTGTTTATGCTCCATTCTCTCTCATTTCCCCTATTGAGACTCCATCTGCGAATATATTAGACTTTCTTAGTTATGTCTTAAGAGCTCTTTTCATTATTTCCCCTCCGTTTTTAGTACATGCTTCAGCCTGGATATTTTTCTAGTGGCCTATTTTCAAGATCAGTGATTCTCTCTTCAGCTGTCTCCAAACTGCTATTACACTCATGTAATTAATTTTTAATTAAATTATTGTTTATTTCTTAGTTTAGCAATTTACCTATGTATGATTTTAATAGACCTTAGTTCTTGAGTAAAATTCTCTATCTTGCCATCTAATTTTGTAAACACATTAGTCACCGTTATTTATCTGAGTCATCTTTTGCCTTTGTTATTGGAGCACTGAGTGAGTGATATCAGCCTCGCCAACTGCATGGGAGCTGGGTGAGGCTTACTGCTGCCTGCTCCTCCCCACTACCTTTGTGAACTCTTCTGTGCAGAAGAGGCAGTTATACTCCCTTCTGGAACATTAGCCCAGTGGCCTGAGAACCACCTCCCAATCCTCACAGTGGCCGCAGCTAGCCCAGCTCAAGAAGAGTCAGAGCACAGACCCGCCTAACCCTGCCCTCACTTGGTTGTGCCCCTTCACCCACCCTGGTAGCTTAACACAAAGGACATAAACTTTGGGGAACTTTATAGCCCTGCCTGTCACCTGAGGAAAAAAAAAAACAACACTTTCCTGCAGCAACTTATGGCAAGCTTAAATCCCACTGCTACTACTGCAGCTGGTTGCTCTTTTGCAAATGCCACCTCGTGGCTGGAGGCCATCCAACACAGTCCATTAAGCACCTCTAGGTAGAATGCGCCCAGGAAGGAGAAAATGACTATGTGACCTCAGATATCACCACTGCGTACAACACCCTGACTAACCAGAGGTCCTGAGCCTGTCCATGTGGCAAGTTCACTGCAATTGTAACTCTCATTTGAGAAATCCAGCACACTAAGCCTTATCTCCAACCAAGAAATCTCACAGAGTGTATGTAACTGCCCTGCCATCTCCATCAAAGATGGTGCTGGTGTACACTGCTGGGAGACTTGAAATTAGTTCACATTTCTGGATCCCTTGCAGACATTCCCCAGCATCAGCTCAAAGTGTGGTAGTCCCACTGGGTATCTAGACCCAGAAGAGCACTAACAATCACTGTGGTCTGGGTCTCAGGAAGTCTCATTCCTAGGGGAAGGGGGAGAGCATCACATCAAGGGAACATCCCATGGGAAAAAGAATCTGAATGGCAGGCCTTGAGTCCCAGATCTTTCCACTAGTGGGACGTTTCTTATAGCAGAGACACAATTGCAGTGCTGGGTGCAGTAAAGAAAGTCTACACCTCTACCCCAACAATCAGGCAGCATCTCTGATCATAAAGGGGCTTGGAAAGGGGGTCCTTTTCCCACTGGTACACCACTGCACACACAGCTGGGGCTTCTCCCAGAGGAATGCAGTGTAGATGCACATATAGATGGCCTTCCAGGAACAATTTAGGGTGATTGCATCCCCACAGGAGGAGCACTTCTCAAATTCAGGCTTGCAGAGTCACAACTCCTCTCTACTTGGAACATCAACATTCCTACAGATGCAAAGAGTTACCTGTCTGATCTGAATAGCTGGAATACTGGGACAGGAAGGTGGATAGCTTTCCTGCTTGCCTGGCAGGGGAGCTGAGGTGGCTTCCACCCTTCACTCTGATAAAACCTCAGCACATTTAATTTAGAGCTCCCCCAGGCACCTTCATCAAGGCTGGGACCTCTGCCCACCATTAGATATATCTATGCATCTCTTTAGCTACCACCAATACCTACCCCAGGGATACCTCTCCTATTGGCCTGAAGGCTGAATCATCAGCTTAGTAAATAAAATACTGGGAAAAAATTAAATAAATAAAAAGGTGTACACCATGGGAGAATGAGATAAGCTTCAAGAGATCCTAGCCATTCCAACCCTACAGGAGACAGTGAACTTACCCACAGGCCAAATGCATGGTTACTGCAACCAGCGTCTGGGAAAGCCAGCGCACAAAAACTCTCTTTAAGGAACTCCTACAGAGTCTTCCCCACTAAAAGCATTAAGAATCAAATTAGGCTATAATAAATGATAAACATTAAAGTCAGATCCTTAAGAGGGAAAAGAAGAAATTAAAGAAAAAAACACAGTCAAATCAAAAATAAATTTAAGAACAATTTGAAGAAATGGTCCACCCAAAATAAGAAGAAACCAGAAAAGTAATTCTGGTAATATGACAAAATGGGGTTCTACAGCATCCGCAAGAAATCACACTAGCTTTCAGCAATGGATCCAAACCAAGATTAAATCTTTGAAATACCAGATAAAGAATTCAGAAGGTTGCTTATTAAATTACTCAAGGAGATACTAGAGAAAGGTAAAAAACAACATAAAGAAATTTTTTTTTTAAATTTAGGATATGAATGAAAATTTTCCAGAGAGATTGATGTCATGAAGTAAAACCAGTCAGAACTTCTGGAAATGAAAGTCACACTTAGGGAAATGCAAAATACAGTGGAAAAGTTTCTTCAATAGACTAGAAAGAATCTTGGAGCTCAAAGATCAGGCTCTAGAATTAACCCAGTCAAAGATGAAGAAAAAAGAATCTCAAGAAATGAATAAAGTGTACAAGAAATATGGGATCATGTAAAATGGCCAAATCTAAGAATAATTGGTGTTCCTGAGGGAAAAGAGAAGTCTAAATGTTTAGACAACTTATTTGAGGGAATAATTGAGGAAAACTTCCTTGGCCTTGGTAGAGCTCTATATATCCAAATACAGAAAACTCAAGGAACTCCTGGGAAATTCATTGCAAAAAGATCATCACCAAGGCACATAGTCATCAGGCTATCTAAAGTCTACATGAAGGAATGAGTTTTAAGAGCTGTGAGACAAAAGCATAAGGTGACCTATAAAGGAAAACCTATCCAACTAACAGCAGATTTCTCAGCAGAAACCCTACAAGCCAGAAGGGACTGGGGTCCTATCTTTGGCTTCCTTAAGCAAAATAATTGTAAGCCAAGAATTTTGTATCCAGAAAAACTAAGCTTCATAAATGAAGGAGAGATAAAGTCTTTCTCAGACAAACAAATGCTGACAAACAAATATGCACCAAAACAGAACTTCCTTAAAGCACAAATCTCACAAGTCCTATAAAACAATAACACAATGAAAAAAAAAAAAACAAAGTATCTAGGCAACATCTAATATGATCACTAGAACAGTACCTCACATCTCAATAATAATGCTGAACGTAAACGGCCTAAGTGTTCTACTTAAAAGATACAGAATGGCAGAATGCATAAAAAAATCAACCAAATATCTGCTATGTTCAAGAGACCCACCTAACACATAAGGAGTCACATAAACTTAAGGTAAAGGGGTGGAAAAAAATATGCTATGCAACTGGAAACAAAAGTGAGCAGAAGTAGCTATTCTTATATCACACAAAACAGACTTTAAAGCAACAACAGTTAAAAAAAGACAGTTAAAGAATGACATTATGTAATGATAAGAGGATTAGTCCAACAAGAAGATATTACAATCCTAAATTTATATGCACCTAACCCTAGAGCTCTCAGATTTATAAAATAATTACTACTAGACCCAAGAAATAAGGTAGACAGCAACACACTAATAGTGGGGCACTTTAATACTTCACCAACAGTACTAGAAGATCATCAAGACAGAAACTCAACAAAGAAACACCAGACTTAAACTATACCCTAGAACAAATGGACTTAACAGGTGTTTACAGAACAGTCTTCCCAAATACAGAATATACATTCTATTCATCAGCACATGGAGCATTCTCCAAGATAGACCATATGATAGACCATAAAACAAGTCTCAATAAATTTTTAAAAATCGAAATCATAACAAGGGTCTTCTGAAACCACTGTGGAATAAAACTGGAAATCAACTCCAAAAGGAATTCTCAAAACTATACGAATACATGGAAGTTAAATAATTTGCTCTTGAATAATTTTTGGTTTAACAATGAAATCAAGGTCTAAATTAGAAAATTCTTGAAAATGAATGATAATAATGACAGAACTTATCAAAGCCTCTGGGATACAGCAAAAGCAGCCCAAACAGGAAAGTTCATAGTATTAAATGTGTACATCAAAAAGTCTGAAACAGCACAAAATGACAACCTAATATCACTTCTCAAGAAACTAGAGTAAAAGAACAAATTAAACCCAAACCCAAGAGAAGAAAAGAAATATTAAAGATCAGAGCAGAACTAAATGAAATTGAAACAAAAAGAACATTACAAAAGATAAATGAAACTAAGAGCTGGTTCTTTGAAAAGATAAACAAATTTGATAGACCATTAGTAAGATTAACCAAGAAAAAAAGAGAATATCCATATATGCTCAATTATTCAGTGGAAATGAAACTGGATATATTATAATTGATACCACAGAAACACAAAATATCATTCAAGGCTACTATGAACACTTTTATGCACACAAACTAGAAACCCTAGAGGAAATGGATAAAGTCCTGAGACATAAAACCATCCTAGATTAAATCAGGAAGAAATAGAAGCCCTGAACAGACCAACAACAGGCATCAAGATTTAATCAGTAATACAAAAATTGCCGTCAACAACAAAAAAGTCCAGGACCAGATGGATTTACAGCTGAAGTCTACCAAACATTCGAAGAAGAATTGGTACCAATTCTACTGAAACAGTTCCAAAAGATAAAGAAGGAATCCTTCCTAAATCATTCTATGAAGCCAGTATCACCCTAATACCGAAACCAGGAAAGGACATAACAAAAAAAAGAAAACTACAATATCCTTGATGAACATAGATGCAAAAATCCTCAACAAAATACTAACTGACCAAATCCAACAGCACATCAAAAAATAATAATAATACATTATGATCAAGTAGATTTCATCCCAGGGTTGCAGGTATGGTTTAACATATGCAAGTCAATAGATGTGATACATCATATAGATAGAATTAAAAACAAAAACCATATGATCATCTCAATAGACACAGAAAAAGCATTCTATAAAATTCAACATCCCTTTATTCTAAAACCCTCAAAAAAATACACATAGAAGGGGCTTACCTCAAAATAACAAAAGCCATATAAGGTAAACCCACAGGCAACATTACGCTGAATGGCGAAGAGTTTAAAGCATTCCCCCTGAGAACTGGAACAAGACAAGGATGCCCACTTTTACCGCTTCTATTCAACATAATACTGGAAGTCCTAACCAGAGCAATCAAACAAGGGAAAGAAATAAAAAGCATCTGAAGTGGAAAAGAATAACTCAGATTGTCACGATTCATCAATGATATGATAATATGCTTAGAAAACCCTAAAGACTCATCCAAAAAGCTCCTAGATCTCATAAACAAATTCAGTAAGGTCTCAGGCTACAAAATCAATGTACACAAATCAGTAGGCACCAACAATGACTAAGCCAAAAATAAAATCAAGAACTCAATCCCTTTTCAACTGCTGCTGAAAAAAAAAAAAAACCTAGGAATATACTTAATCAAGGAGGTGAAAGACTTCTGCAAGGAAAATGACAAAGCACTGCTGAGAGAAATCATAGATGGCACAAACATGTGGAAACACATCCCATGCTCATGGATGGGAAGAATCAATATTGTGAAAATGACTATACTGCCAAAAGCAATCTACAGATTCAATGCAATTCCCATCAAAATACCATCATCATTCTTTACAGAACTAGAAAAACCCATTCTAAAATTCATATGGAATGAAAAGAGAGCCTGCATAGCCAAAGCAATACTAAGCAAAAAGAACAAATATGGAGGCATCACATTACCCAACTTCAAATTATACTACAAGGCTGTAATTATCAAAGCGGCATGGTACTGGTATAAAAAATAGGCATGTAGAACAATGGAACTGAATAGAGAACCCAGAAATAAAGTCAAATACTTACAGCCAAGTAATCTTCAACAAAGCATACAAAAACATAAATTGGGGAAAGGGCACCCTATTCAATAAACGGTGCTGGGAAAACTGGCAAACCACATGTAGAAGAATGAAACTGGATCCCCATCTTTCACCTTATACAAAAATCAACTCAAGATAGATCAAAAACTTAAATCTAAGACCTGAAACCATAAAAATTATAGAAGATAACTTTGGAAAAACTCTTCTGGACATTAGCTTAGGCAAAGAATTCAAGACTAAGACCCCAGAAGCAAATACAGCAAAAACAAAAATAAATAAATGGGACCTAATTAAACTAAAAAGTGTCTGTGCAACAAAAGAAATAATCAGCAGAGTAAACAGACAACCTACAGAGTGGGAGAAAATATTTGCAAACTATGCATTTAACAAAGGACTAGTATCCAGAATTTACAGGGTACTCAAACAAATCAGCAAGAAAAAAAAATAATAATCTCATCAAAAAGTGGGCAAAGGACATGAATAGACATTTCTCAAAAGAAGACATACAAACTGCCAACAGACATATGAAAAAATGCTCAATATCACTAATCATCAGGGAAATGCAATGAGATACCACCTTACTCCTGCAAGAATGGCCCTAATTAAAAAGTCAAAAAAACAATAGATGTTGGCATGGATGTGGTGAAAAGGGAACACTTTTACACTGCTGGTGGGAGTGTAAACTAGTGCAACCACTAGGAAAAACAGTATGGAGATTCTTTAAAGAACTAAAAGTAGAACTACCATTTGATCCAGCAATTCCACTACTGGGTATCTACCCAAAGGCAAATAAGTCATTATATTAAAAAGATACACACACACACACACACACACACACACACACACACACAGATATTTATAGTAGCGCAAGTCTCAGTTGCAAAGATATAGTACTAACCTAAGTGCCATTGACCAATGACTGGATAAAGGAAATGTGGTATATATACACCACGGAATACTACTCAGCCATAAAAAGAAAGAAATGAAATAATGCCTTTTGTAGCAACTTGTGCAGAGCTGGAGGCCATTATTCTAAGTGAACTAACTGAGTAATGGAAAACCAAATATCATATGTTCTCACTTAAAAGAGGGAGCTAAGCTATGAGGATGCAAAGACACAAGAGTGATATAATGGACTCTGGGGACTCAGGGAGGAAGGTTGAGAGGGGAGTAAGGGATAAAAGATTGACTGCATATTAGGTACAGTTTACACTGCTTAGATGACGGGTGCACTAAAATCTCAGGAATCACCACTAAAAAACATCCATGTAACCAAAAACCACCTGTATCCCCAAAACTATTGAAATTAAAAAAAAAAAAATTGGAAATGCTAGTATTCAAAAACAAAATAACAGAAATGAAGAATGCCTTTGACGGGCTCGTTAACAGAGTCAACATGACTGAAGAAAGCATCAGTGGGCTTTAAGCTGTGTCCGTAGAACTTCCCAATCTAAAAAGCAAAGAGAAAAAAAAGATGAAAAAGACATTACAGAATATCCGTGAACTGTGAGAACTGTGGGATAATTACAAAGGGTAAACGTGCAATGGGAATACCAGAAAGAGAAGAAAGAAGAAAAGGAGCAGAAGAAATATTTGAAATGATAATGGCTGAGAATTTTTCAAAATTAATGGCAGACACTAAAACACATATCCAGTAAGCACAAAGAATACCAAGAAGGATAAATATCAAAACATCTGAACCTACATATGTCATATTCACACTATACAAAATCAAAGATGAAGAGAAAATCTTGAAAGAAGCCAGAGGAAAATAATCACCTTACCCATAGAGGAGCAGTGATAAGAATTACACTGGACTTCTCTTCAGAAACTATGTGAGCCAGAAGAGAGTAGAGCGAAATGTTTAAAGCATTGAAATTTCCCACAACCTATAATTCTGTATGCGGTAAAACTATTCTTCAAAAGTGAAGGAAGAATAAAGACTTTCTCAGACAAACAAAAACTGGGGAAATTTGTCTCCAGTAGAACTGCCTTGCAAGAAATTTTAAAATAAGTTTTCCAGAGAGAAGGAAAATTATATGGGTCAGAAACCCGGAACTACTTAAAGGAAGAGCATTAGAGAAGGAAAAATAAAGGTAACATAAAATATTTTACTTTTTATAGTCTTAATTGATAACAGTTTGTTCAACTATTTTTTAATAACAATAGCAAAAATTAATTAGGTGAGTATAGCTTATGGAGAGGTGAAATGAATGCCGGCAATAACATAAGGGATGAGAGGGAGAATTGGGGAATATTCTGCTATAAGGTGCTTGCATGGTATAGCGCTAGTAGAAAGAGGACTTAGGTAAGTTGTAAGTGTATAGTGCAAACTTCAGGGCAATCACTAAAAACGTTTTTTAATTTAGAAGTATAATTGATATGATAAGAGAGAAGAGAAAATTGAATCGTATAAAGTGCTCAATTAAAATCAGAGAAGGGAGAAAAAGAGAGGAAGACTAGAAAAGAAAGAACAAGTGCAACAAATTCAAAATGAAACAAACTCAGGATGGATCATGGATCTAAATGTAAAATGCAAAACAATAAAATTTCTAGAAGATAACAAAGGAGAAAATCTAGGTGGCCTTCAGTTTGGTGATTATTAGAATAAACACCGAAAGCACAAACCATGAAAAAGAAACTAGATAAGTTGGACTTTATTAAAACTAAACATTTCTGTTATATGAAAGAATCATTAAGCAAATGAAAAAAATGAGTCCCAGAATGGAACAAAAGATTTGCAAAACATATATCTAAGAAAGGAATTGTACGCAAAATGTACAAAGAACTGCTAATATTCAACAGTAAGAAAGCAATCCAATTTTTCAAAGGCCAAAGATCTGAACAGACATATCAGCAGACACAAATGATAAATAAGCATATTAAAAGATCAACATCATATATCACTTGGGAATTGTAAATTAAAATGAGATACCACTACAAAACCTGCTAGAAGGGCTAAAATCAAAACACTGACATACTAATGTGAAGCAACAGGGACTCTGTCATCCATTGCTGGTAGGGAAGCAAAATGGTACAGCCGCTTTGAAAGATAGTTTGGTAGTTTCTTGCAAAGTTTCTTACGAAAGTAAAACAGACTTAACATATGATCCAGCAATCACATTTCTAGGCATTTATGCAAATGAATTTAAAACTTATATTTGTACAAAAACCTCCACATGAATGTTTACAGCAGCTTTATTTATAATTGTCAAAACCGGAAGCAACCAAGATGTCCTTCAATAGGTGAATGGATAATAGGTGAGTCTGTGGATATATTCATACAAAGGAATATTATTCAGTGATAAAAAGAAATTAGCACCAAAAAGACATGAAGGAGCCTTAATTGCATATTGCTAAGTGAAAGAAGCCAGCCTGAAAGGGCTACATACATAATTCCAAGCCTATGCAATATACTTGAATATGGATATTTTGTAAAAGACAAAGCTACAGAGATAGCAAAAAGACAATAGTGGATACATGTCATTATGCATTTGTCAGAACCCATAGAAATGTACAATATAAAGCCCTAATGTAAACTAAGGACTTTTAGTTGATAATATTAATAATATATCAATATTGGTACATTAATTGTGAGAAATGTACCACACTAATGTAAGATAATAATAGGGGAAGACATGGGATTAGGGGTAAAGGGGGCATATGGGAAATCTCTGTACTGTCTGTTAAATTTTTTTTTTATAAACCTAAAACTGCCCTGAAAAATAAAAGATCAATTTTAAAAAGAAAAAAAAAAAAGCTGATTGCGAGTACTTCGTATCTTCATAATGACTCAGCAGTATTTGGTGTACCTGAATGCGTTTTAATGTTTTAGGCATAGAGGAATAGGACAAACTGGAGTAGCGGGGAGAGGAAAGGAATTATTTGCAGTGGACTGAAAGATCATTCTAAGGGAAGGAGCTGGATAACCACATAGCTCAAGGATGCTATTCTGACAATTAAGAAAAAGAAACTGATGGCATAATGAGAGTATGTAATGAATATTCTCCATTTTAGCCTAGAAAAAATTAAATATCTATTATAAATGACAATAGAGTTGTAAGACAACATAAACAAGATACTGGTTCTTATGGAACACAGATATTGCATCTGTTATTGATAATACTCTCCTGCAGCACTCTACTACTTTCTTTAGATGTCAATTAAAATATTAATAACAAAAGCTTACAAGATAGAATAGAATGTAGTCAGTTTCTCATTACAATGGATAGCTTTTAGCCTTACTTCACTTAGAAAAAATAAATACTAGAGAACTTTATCCCAGGTTAGACACCAGCTGCCATTCTAATGGCCTCTAGGCATTCTAATGGCCTCTAGGCTTGGAGGTGCTAAGATTGAAATGATTAATTTGTTTCCCTGACAGATCTTCTGAAACACCTCCACTCACAGCTCTGCTAGAAGCGTCATCACAGCAGCCAATGAGGCTTTAAGTGAGAAGAAGATTCTTGGAACTGAGTGGAGGGGTCTGGGTGCCCTCTTAGTCTCCTTTCTAGGATATCAGGCTTTTTTTTTAGCTTGGTTTTTAATATATTCTGTATTATCCTTCAAAAAAATCCATTTGCCCTTCTTTTCATACAAAATTTTTTCTTATCAAATTCCAGAAATACATGAAAATGAGAAAGCCAGTTTTCTTGCTGGAATACAAGACTTTGGTTTAAGGTTTATGGATTATGATTTATGGATTTTTAAGAATTATAAACATTATTGACAAAATATTTTGAAATTGTAAATGTGAAGAAAAGTTATACTGCAAGAATAAGAAAGTCTGAGTAAAAATAAACCTGCTTTAATACGTAGATACTTATTTTTAGGTACAAGGCTTGAGGGAGTGACAACTCTGAACACCACATTCCACAGCAACAAGTCTGGTGCATGTGGGCAGCCACGCCAGAGGCTTCCTTGGAGTATTCCAGAAATAACCCTCTCGAACTGGAGTCTGTCTCTGACACATCCTCTTCTCCATACTGACACTGTCTCTGGTTATAATAGAATGCAGCTTCACCTTTCCACATCACTCCAGACTAGATGCGTAATCAGTCCCTCTGACACTGCTGCTGGAATAGTAATCTGACACCTGCCGTCAGCTGAGGGTCCTTGGCTATTGACTGTGCAGAGCTGTGGGAGAGTGGACAGCCCAGAGACAACCGGAGAAGCAGATCTTATTACTGGAATAATTGCACCTTTGTGTTCCAACACTGCACAGTATTTTTCTCAGGAGCCAAAACTGGCTTCTAAGATTCTTGGATTCCAGGCTCACCATTCCAGGCAAGGTGATAGGGAATTGTAATAACTTCACCTTATTCCCGGTATCAGATTAACATGCATGTTGGCTTTGAAAGATGTGGCATTTCCATCCTTAGAGTCTATGAACATGTACGGATTATTTATGGGTGTAGAGGATGCCCCCCAAAGTAAAGCAGTTCTCTCCTTTATTCATCATTCCTCCCACAGCACTGCCAGGCTTTGTCTTCTTTGTCTCTAATTGCAGTGCTAAAGGGAAATGTCCCCAGGCCAGAGCAAAGAACCTTTACCTTCAAATATACCTTGGATCAAAGAGAGAAAGCCCCTGCATCCCTCCATCAGATTGATAGTGTGAGACACTTTTTCTCTTGATTATGGGTACCGTGGACTTGAAAAAAAACAACAAAAACAAACAAAAACTTCCCTGATTCATAGTCTCCTTGGGGAGACAGGCCTGTTTTGTACGAAAAAGTTTTCTAAACCTGAGATTTATACTCCATAAAGACACAGACAATGAGGAACAATTCAAGGCTTGTTCTAAAGGATGCAGCAAAAGTGTTAGGTAGAAGGTTCAGGGTACTGGAGCAATGTAGAGAATGAGGCCGTGGAATTCCTTTTCTTAAAAACCTTCAGACAAAGATTGCCCTGGGATTCTCTACCCAGACAGCACTGCTATTTTGACATTTCATTAAATTTCTAAGAGATAAAACTTATAAATAGTAATGCCAAGCACCTTATGTCTAAGGAGAAGAATCAGGATTTGATGTCTTGATTCCCACACGTATCATTGGACAATCTGTTTCAGTTCAACTGAAATTCATTACTGAGAACTAGAAAATGAGAGTTGTTGCTGGTTCCAGCATACTTGAGTTAAGTCATGTTGATTATTACAAAAGTTAAGACACAAGAAATTTTTATCTCTTTATAAATTAAAGGAATAGCTATTATGAGCAATTTTAGATAAGGAAGGGGCATAAAATATTTCAATACCATATGAAAATAGGCTTAGGAACTATACCTGATATATGTTAAGTATTTGGTTGAGTCACTCTGAGTACACTGCTTGTCTTGTTGCTATGGTTACTGCTGCCTTGTGGGGGTACACCGTGTATCATTTTTGTCATGGACTTTATTTATTAGCACAGACAACTCTTTCTTCTATTATTTACGTGGTTCTCCCTCGTTCATTATTTTTTAATGTTTTTCATTGTTGATTTGTTTTCTTTTTTTGAATACTTTTTAGTTGATGCATTTTTTTCTTCACATTTTGACTGCCAAGTTTTCAGTGATTTTGAGGTTCAGAAAAAGTCAGATTATAAAATAATCACAAAAAAATTAATAAAGTAAACAAGAAGTATTTAAAGAAAGTAGAAACTAAACAGAGAGAGAAGTTTCCTGAGTTTTTTAGATATAGGTATTTTGATGACATTTTTCTCTTTTATTTGCCTTTAGAAAGAGATAATTAAAAAATAAAAACCAATTTTCCCCAGTGGTGATAGATTGTTATACACTCTTGCCTAGTTTTTATTCTGTTATTATGAAAAACATACTTTTGGCCAGGCGCAATGGCCCATGCCTGTAATCCTAGCACTTTGGGAGCCCAAGGCAGGCAGATCACGATCACCTTAGGTCAGGAGTTTGAGACCAGCCTGGCCAACGTGGCAAAAACCCATCTCTACTAAAAATACAAAAATTAGCTGGGCGTGGTGGCATGCCTGTAATCCCAGATACTCGAGAGGCTGAGGCAGGAGAATCGCTTGAGCCTGGGAGGCAGAGGTTGCAGTGAACCAATATTGTGCCACTGCACTCCAGCCTGGATGAGAGAGCGAGATTCCATCTTAAAAAAAAAAAGAAAAAGAAAGAAAGAAAGAAAAGAAAAATTAGCAGTGGCATCAAATAACTGTTTTCTTAATATGTTCACTATGATAGTAATACTGATAATAACAATATGTTCATCTAGCAGTTTTCATTTATAAATTACTTTCATGTCTGTCCCATTTTTCCTCTGAAAGATTGTGGTTTCTGTTTTACTGTTGAGGCACTTGATCTGCAGAGCAGGTGATTTACCCAACGTCACACAGCTCAATAATGACAGAGTTGCAGCTTAGAGTGACCTCTGCAAATCCAGAGCTTTTCCCCCATGGCCTACCATTTCATCAGGACACCCACGGAGTTAACTGACTGTGTGGTTTCACGGAAAGTGCCATTAGAAGTGGGGTTGGAGACCTGACTTTAAGCCCAGCCACAAACTCGCTTTGTGGCTGAGCCCTGGGGGTGGGCCTGAGTCTCCTTGCCTGTCGCATAGAGAGCCTTTCTCTACCTCTCAAAGCAGCTGAGTGCATAAGAAAGGGCATTAAAAATAAGGCACACTATATATAAAGGTCTGACCAGCACTCAGACATTTCTCCATAAATTCATTGGAAGTAGGCTAATAACACTTCAGAGGGAGCCTCCTGCCCAGTGCCTCCTGCCTAGCAGGGGCCCATGTGGTGTGTGTGCTCAGGATGCAGTGACTTTTGCTTCCTGTCTGACTACTGCTGAGTTCTTGCTCAAACACAAAAGCAAACTTCTGCTGAAACTTTGAGAATTTTGCTTTGTGCTGAATAGATTGGCGCTGAAGTCCGAAGGCAAAAGCCATTTCAGTGTCTCTGACATGCTTGTTTGTTTAATGACAGTCTCTTTTTTCTTAAGAAGAATGCCTTTCTGCTTGGCCAGAAATTTCTTCTTGGAAATGACAGAATCGCTGTCTCACTGTTAATGAATTTTACAGCCCAGATTCCTTTTAGTTTAATGAAATATGGACATATCAACCCAAATCCATGCTTTAAAACAAAGTAGAGGAAACTACCACTCCCCCCGAAACACTGAGGCGTTTTCCGCCTGGCTGACCAGTGCAACTCTGAGGTCATCGCCTTATAGCCACTTGCATAGTGATTAGATTATGGTTCACAGTTGATATTAGTATGCTTTAAAAATAAACACAAAGTCCCTTATACAGAGAAGAGGCTGAGGACAAAAGCTTAGTCATCTGTGATTCACATACATATCATGAAGTATAATAGTGGAAGGATCCTTCCCTGGGGGTCTGAGAATCTGGGTTCCAACTCAGTCACTGTTTCTCTGGCACTGGGCACCCCTCCCCCGGACCACTGTGAGATGATGCTTTGTGCTTGGCTAAATTGCAGAGGTTTTTAATTGTTTCCTTATTATATTTTGTATCAAAAGATGGTTTTTAAAATCACTTCTGTTAACATGAGGGTTGGAGAATAACAAGTTTTCAAAGTTGTAACTCTTGTTTGAGCATTGTTTTCTATTTAGCCTTAATATAAAAAACCTTTGCTGACCAAGCTGTCTAGATTGCCCCAGCAAAAAAATCAATCAGTCAATCAATCAATCAATCTGTGCCTTTAACATACTATCGAAGAAAACTTACTTTCAAATATATCTGGTCAGGTGAATGGTTCTTCCTCTTAACGGTTGGGGCATAGAACCCTACACCTCTATCCCAGCCTTGACAACTTTTAAGCCTAGTGATTTGAAAGATAATGAGGTCTGAGCAAAGTGAACATGGTCATAATATCAGATGTCATTAACAATATAAATTAATCAGAGAATGAATGTCCAAAATGTCAGAAATTTTCTTTGGGGGGCTTCATTGTGCCAAAGGTTAAAATATCTTTAAACATCATGAACATCTAGGAAATTCATAAGAGAAGTTGGGATGACTAAAATGGTTTCTCTTTCATATGTAACTCAGGATGATATAACTAGTCACTGAAAATAGGCATGAGATGAAATTTGACTTGCTTCTCCAAATGGACAGCGCTAAGGTATCTAGTCATACTGTCTCACAGATTCCTGAGGTTAAAGGTGCAATTCCTCTGAACGAGGCTTAAAACCAGGTGTTTTCAACTGTATTTTAGTGTCTTCCAGTGGATTCATGTGGAATAACCTGTAAGTGAAGCAGAGGGAAGCTGAGCTTCAGGGAAAGGGAAAAAGAGCCCGAAGCCCAGTTGTGTGGTGCCACCTCCCTGGCCATGCAGGGGCCTTGCGGCATTTCCACAGAACCATGTCTGTGGTCCCAGCATCATTCATGGGTTCATCCAGGACATATTCTTTACATACCCAGCATTATTCTAGGCACAGGCCATACCACAGTAAATAAGAGCAGCGCTGGTCTGAGCTGTTGTGGAGCTCTGTGGCGAAGCGTTAATCTGTTTGAGGTTACAGCTGAGATAAGTGCCAGGCAAGGGCAGCACAGGGCTGGGAGATCAGGGCCTGTCTCTGGGAAAGTGACATGGCCCAGATCCAAAGGATGAGGGGAATGAAGTGTCAGGGAAGGGGCGGGGGCGAGGGCAGAGGGCCTCGGAGGAAAAGAAGGATGTTTGCTAAGTGGTTCCATTCACTGGCAGTAAGAGTACTGAGTGTGGTAAACCCCTGGAGGGAGTATCTGATTTGATATTCTCACAGAGAGAGGAAACTAAGGTACAGGAATTGACTTTCATACCCCTGACTCCACACCTCAGGGATGGAGCCAGGGACTGAATCCAGGTCTTACTACAGAGCCTGTACTGGACTGCCATCCTGCACTGCCTCCTAATGCGAGCCGGTGGGCACTCTGGGGGACTTAAGTGACAGCAATGTATGAGACAATCTGTTTGCCAAGAAAAAAAAATTGTGACGATGCAGGCTGAGTCAGGTGTCTCAGTCCATCAGTTTCGCATACTAAGATCTACAGTGCTGTAAAGATGGAGTTTAGAGAGTCTTTAGTGGGGAAGATGTTATCACTAAGAATGGACAAACACACAAAAGCATTGAGAGCCTCTATCTCCCAGGTAGGAAAGAAGCAGAGGGACTTGAAGAGCAACATCAGAAGAGAGGTGTTGTGTTTGCTAGCACCTGGCAAAAACAGGCAAAAAATGTCTTTTATACATTCTGAAGTATAGAACTTAACCTAAGCATGTCAATTAGACTTTGCAAAAGCATTTGCACGCCATGATTTTTTTCAGTCACTTTTCACATATTTAGGTCATCTGCCTTTATTGAACATATCATTTATGTGCCCACTAGACTGTGAACTTCCCATCAACTTAAAATAACAACAGAGGGAGACAAGCTCTCCAAAGAAAGAGTTTACTGGGGAATAGCAAGAAATTGTCATTAGGATACGCATGCTGCAGTGGACCATAGGCGCAACCAGAGAAGCAAAGGAAGGCAAGGTTTTTAAAGGGGAAAGGAGGGCAGTTGCATTCGTTGTTTTGAAGCAACTATCCTTGGCTACAAGTATTAATAACAAGGGTGAGTCAGTCTATTAGTGAACAGGCCATTAATGAGCAGGCATCCTCACAGAAGTAATCTTTGTGCAAGGTTGCGATGGCCTTTGTGAAGGTTGTGGTGTTGGCAGCCTTTTGTGATAGTACCAGTTATCAGACAAATGTGCATGAGGGCCTTCCCTTCATGGCCTCCTGTATCCATTTCGTTAGGATTGGACATAAGTGACTCCATTTTGGTACCAGCAACTTTCACATTCTTATAAGCAGGAAATCTTCACTTATTTTCGCATCCTCTTAGTCTAACCCAGTTCCAGTCCTGCAGTGGAAACTCAGTACTGAGTGAATTTTGTAGCATTTCTGAAAATAAGTCCCTTGCCTCTTTCTCTATGTTTATTGCCATCACAAATTAGTATTTTAGCTATGCAAGCAGATGCTTTACTAACACACCTAACTAGATTAGAAATTATTTTACTGTCTTAGCATAGTGTATTGTGAAGAGCCAACACTAGCTGGAAATGCATGACACTCCTTCTACCATTTAAAAATAGAAAGACACAATGAACAAGGACTGGTTGATAATCAACGTTTGTTTATTGGACTTGTTCTTCCGAATGATAAATTTGTTCTGGGAAATACAAATTAACGGGACGTCCTGCTGGAATCCTCTGAATTGTGAATGTTTCTGCCTTGCCAACAAGTGTGCACTGTAGTTTAGGGATTTACAGCACTCCATTTGTATAGCACGATTTCGTCCACTGCAGTACATTTTCCATTTTGTTGGCCTGTTCTTTCCCTGAGAACTAGCAGTGTTGGAATTCTTTATGTCCATTAGCCTACTAACGCACTGAGTCTTGAAACAGAAAATTCTCCACTATTGGCAAAGTAAGAAAAAGTGAGCCATTTGCAAAACGTAAATTCAGATTCTCTTTCTTTCCTCAGAAGATTAGATGGAAAAATACATAAGAATTGTGTAACTTGCCCTTTCAGCTGCAAAGGGCAAACAAGGATATTTGACCTTTATTTTCATTTGCTTAAATGTTTGAAGACTGATATTTGTTATTCCACAAGAGGCGTAGAAGTGCAGTAAGCCCCACTGTTCACTGTAGCCAGCAACTGGCAGGGAGTAAGTACTGATTCATAGTTATTACAATCCAATATATTTCTTTATTAAAAGTTAGCTATATATAAACTGCCATATTCTGAAAATGTGTAATTAATTTGATACTGAAAAATGCTGAACATATTTGTATTGCTTTGTGATTCAGAAAGCACTCTGTAGACTTAACTTCAGAGCCATTGTTTTAACATCACTTTAAATTGTATTTATCCATGCGACCATGCCAGTTAATAGGAATTTCCAGTTGGTAGCATGCTATCAGTAGCTATGTATATTCATAATTTAAAAATCAAAACATCAAAGAGAAAATGCTTATGAAGTCGACTTAAAGGAAATTTTTAGTCATTACTAAATATTTCTCTAAGTTCTTACAAAGCCTTTGGAGCTGCCTCCAGTTGCTTTTCAAAAAACCCATTTCTAAAGTAGAAATGTTCTCACTGAACAATTGGTATTAGGGAAACTGCAAGGGAAACACCTCAGAGCTCAATAGCCAAAGACGCACCATCAATGTTGAATGAGACAGAGTCTCTACTGATGGGAAATTCTACAAGACTCCTCTGGTGTTTTCTGTGATATCTGTTCCAGCCCCACAGTGGCCACTTTCAGTTCTCCCCCACTATTAACACTCATCCTGCCAAGCCAAGAATTCTTAAGGTAGTGTAGTGAACGCCATGCTGAAAAATAGGCTCTTACGGTGCCGGGGTCCGTGAACACAGCTCACCACTCCGAGGAGGAAACCTTCCCTTAGCACAGGCACCACCTCCTCAGACAGTCCCACAAATACAGGAAGGTGGTGGCTCCACCCAGGGCCACAGTCATTGTCTCCACCACAGTCACAGAACACGCCCAATCCACTGCCGACATTTTGAAGAAAGGGCCGCAATCATCCACTGAATCTGTCCTACCAAGGAAAGCAAATCAAGCTTGCTGCCCTATTCGTTTCTTCCTTTTTTTTTTTTTGAGACAGAGCCTTGCTGCGCCGCCCAGGCTGGAATGCAATGGCATGATCTCAGCTCACTGCAACCTCCGCCCCGCAAGTTCAAGCGATTCTCCTGCCTCAGCCTCCTGAGTAGCTGGGATTACAGGCATGCGCCATCATGCCTGGCTAGTTTTTGTATTTTTAGTAGAGACGGGGTTTCACCATGTTGGCCAGGCTGGTCTCGAACTCCTGACCTCGGGTGATCCATCCACCACAGCCTCCGAAAGTGCTGGGATTACAGGCGTGAGCCACTGCGCCCGGCCTGCTGCCTTATTCTTGAATGGAGATATTCATGCAGACTGTCATGACCTCAGCGGCATCTCATTGCCCCAGAGTCGGCAGAATTTTAGTCAGGATCCTTCTGGACTGGCAACCAAATTAGCTTGGTGCTCTGTGTTCTGTTGACTAGCATACACTAAAGACACAGTGTGGAATACTAGCAAAAGGAGTTCTGCGGGATGTGCCTCCCTCAGGCTGAGAAGGTGTCCATGCATCAACATCACAGGCTCTTGCAGCCTAGCACTGACCTGGCGGCAGCTGCCACCAGCACCTCTCACATCGGCTTCCCCAGAGACCTGAGGCCAGAGAAAAACAGGATCACAAACTGTGTTGATATCACATGTCCAGAATTCTTCAATATGTAGCACATTAAGAACAGATCAATACACATTCTACAACAAAATTTGCTTCTTATTCTATTTTTCCCATTATGAGCTGGGAGGAATAAAAAATTCCCCCCCTTAGCTTTGTCTCCCTCTCTCCAGAACTCATTTCAGACCCATGCTATTTCCCTAAGAGAAGAAGAGAAAAAATTTCATTAAAAAACGGAAGTCATACACTTCACAGCAGCAGCCCATGGAGCTACTGAATTTTATTCAAATAGAAAATATGAGAGCACACTGGCATCAGATTATATTTGCATTTTGGAAAATATTAGGCATTGATTTTGTTGAGTTGCCCTAAGCTATATACTTTAGAAATTATTGTGCACAGGTAATAATAGAGGGTATAACCATTTATAAAGACTATGGAACTTTGCTCTTAAATTGTAAAAATTACACAGTGAATTTATTAATATTTTTATCATTATAAAGTCTACAAGGTTAATTGCTTTTCAGAATGGTGAATGTAACTAGTTTTTACAGTTTCTATTCAAAGGAAAATGCTAAAGCTAAATCAGCCAGGATTTTATATGGTCCTAAAGCGTTTCCCTGACATCGTGTGGGAGAGTATGAGGGGAGAACAGGATTTGGTGAGAAGTCAGATTACGCAAGTTCTTTATCCAGAGGAAAGGGATACAGATAATTAACTTTGCATCCATCTTTTGACCCAGTACCCTCCCATGTCGCATTGTCACTATGTCACTTTATAATTTTTTTAAAAAAAGTTTGGCCTCTTATTATGCCCAATTGAGTAGCATGAGTATTGTGGGTAATTTCTTACTTATAATACTCAGTATCCTGTATTTACTGCCTTCCTGAACTCTCACCTATGTTTTGCGATAGAATTTTGCTAGCTCACATCCTGATCAGTTAAAAATTTGTATTAACAAATAAAGAACATGAGAGAATTGCAGAGGTGTGCTCTGTGCAATTACAAATTGAGCTTTGTGTGCAGTTACTTTCCTTTTTCAAAATAATTTCAACTTTTATTTTCAATTCAAGGGTTACATGTACAGGTTTGTTATACGGATATATTACATGATGCTGAGGTTTGGGGCGTGAATAATCCCATCACCCAAGTACTGAACATAACACCCAATAGTTAGTTTTTCAACCTTTGCCCCCTTTCCTCCCTCCTCCCTCTATTAGTTTCCAGTATCTATTTTTGCCACCTTTATGTCCATGAGTACGTGATATTTAACTCCCACTTATAACCACGTACATGCAGTATTTGATCTTCTGTTCTGGTGTTAATTCACTTAAGATAATGGCCTCCAGCTGCATCCACGTTGTTGCAAAAGATATGATTTCATTTTTTATGGCTGCATAGTATTCCATGATATATATGTACCAGATATTCTTTATCCAATCCACTGTTGATGGGTACTTGTATGTTTTCTATTGAGGAATGTCTGTTCATGCATTTTGCCTACTTTTTAATGGGGTTATTTGATTTTTGCTTGTTGATTTGTTTAAGTTCCTTATAGATTCTGGACATTAAACCTTTGTTGGATGCACAGTATGAGAATATTTTCTCCCATTTTGTAGGTTGTCTGTTTATTGATAATTTCTTTTGCTGTGCAGAAACTTCTTAGTTTAATTAGGTCCCACTTGTCAGATTTTGTTTTCGTTGCAATTGCTTTTTAGTCAAATTCAAGGCCAATATTCAGAAAATGGTGTTTCCTAGGTCTTCTTCTAAGATTCTTTTCTATTTTGCCTTTTTTTTTCTTTTGTTTGGAGAACGGGGTCTTCCTCTGTTGCCCAGGCAAGTCTCAAACGCCTGGGCTCAAGCTCTCCCCTCACCTCTGCCTCCCTGAGTGCTGGAATTACATGTGTGAACCACCATGCTGAGGTTTTACATTTAAATCTTTAATCCATCTTGAGTTAATTTTTGCATATAGTGAAATGTAGTGGTCTAGTTTCATTCTGCATATGGCTAGTCAGCTATCCCAGCTTTACTGAATAAAGTCTTTTCCCCATTGCTTGTTTCTGTTGACTTTGTTGAAGATCACATGGCTGGAGGTATACACTGTACCAGTACCATGCTGTTTGGGATTTTTTTTTTTTTTGAGATGGAGTCTTACTCGGTTGCCCAGGCTGGAGTGCAGTGGTGTGATCTTGGCTCACTGCAGCCTCCGCCTCCCGGGTTCAAGCGATTCTCCCACCTTAGTGTCCCTAGTAGCTGGAATTATAGGTGCCCGCCACCACACCCGGCTAATTTTTAGTAGAGACGGGGTTTCATCATGTTGGCCAGGCTGGTCTTGAACTCCTGACCTTAAGTGAGCCACCTGCCTTGACCTCCCACAGTGCTGGGATGACAGATGTGAGCCACCATGCCCAGCCAATGCTATTCTGATTACTGTTGCCTTACAGTATAATTTGAAGTTGGGTAATGTGATGCCTCCAGTTTTGTTCTTTTTGCTTAAGGGTACTCTGGCTATTTGGGCTATTTTTGGTTCCAAATACATTTCAGAATTATATTTTTTAATTCTGTGAAAAATAACATTGGTAGTTTGATAGGGATAGCATTGAATCTGTAAATTGCCTGGGGCAGTATGGCCATTTTAATGATACTAATTTTTCCAATCCATGAACATGGAATGTTTTTCCATTTGTTTATATCATGTATGATTTCCTTCAGCAGTGTTTTGTAGTTCTTTATAGAGATCTTTCACCTCCTAGGTACTCCTAGCTATTTTATTTTTATTGTAGCTATTTGAAATGATTTGGCTCTCAGCTTGAATGTTATTGGTGTGTACAAATGCTACTGATTTTTCTACATTGGTTTTTGCATCCTGAAATTTTACTGAAGTTGTTTACCTGTTCTAGGAGGCTTTTGGTAGAGTCTTTAGGGTTTTCTAGGTGTAGAATCGTACTGTCAGCAAAGAGAGATAATTTGACTTATTCTTTTCCTATTTGGATGCCTTTTATTTCTTTCTCTTGCCTGATTGCTCTGGCTAGGACTTCCAGTACTATGTTAAATAGGAGTGGTGAGAGTGGGCATCTTTGCCTTGTTCCAGTTCTCAAGAGGAATGCTTCCAGCTTCCAGCTTTCGCCCATTCAGATGTTGGCTGTGGGTTTGTCACAGATGGCTTTTATTATTTTGAGGTATTTTCCTTTGATGACTAGTCTGTTGAGGGTTTTTAACATGAAAGGATGTTGGATTTTATCAAAGGCTTTTTCTGCATTTATTGAGGTGATCATATGATTTTTGTTTTTAATTCTGTTTATGCTGTGAATCACATTTATTGATTTGCATTTGTTGAACCAACCTTGCATCCCAGGAATGAAGCCTACTTGATTCTGGTGAATTAACTTTTTGATGTATTGCTGGATTCAGTTTGCTAGTATTTTGCTGAGGATTTTTGTGTCTATATTTATCAGGTATATTGGCCTGAAATCTTTTTTTTCATTGTGTTTTTGCCAGATTTTGGTATCAGGGTGATGCTGGCTATGTAGAATCAGTTAGGGAGGAGTCAGTCTCTCCTCCTCAATTTTTTGGAATTGCTTCTGTAGGATTGGTACTAGCTCTTCTTTGTACATCTGGTAGAATTTGGCTGTGAATCCATCTGCTCCAGGGCTTTTTTTGGTTGGTAAGATTTTTATTACCAGTTCAATTTTGGGACTAGATGTTGGTCTGCTCAAGGTTTCAATTTCTTCCTGATTCAATCTGGGGAGGTTATGTGTTTCCAGGAATACATCAGTTTCCTCTAGATTTTCCAGATTGTGTGCATAGAGATGTTCATAATAGTCTCTGAGGATTTTTTTTTATTTCCGTGGGATTGGTTGTAGTGTCATCTATGTCATTTCTGATTGTGCTTATTTGGATTTTCTGTTTCTTTGTTAATTTAGCTAGCTGTCTATCAATCTTGTTTATCTGTTCAAATAACTAACTTTTGGTTTGTTGATTCTTTGTATGTATGTTTGGGTCTAAATTTTGTTCAGTTCTGCTCTGATTTTAGTCAATTCTTTTCTTCTGCTAGTTTTGGGGTTAGTTTATACTTGTTTTTCTAGTTCCTCTAGATGTGATATTAGATTGTTAGTTTGAGATCTTGCTAACTTTTTGAGGTAAGTGTTTATGTCATAAACTTTTCTCTTCACAGTGCTTGTGCTGCATCCCAGAGGTTTGGGTAAGTTGTATCTCTGTTTTCATTTATTTCAAAGACTTTTTTTTACTTCTGCCTTAGTTTTGTTATTTACCTAAAAGTCATTCAGGTGCAAGTTTTCTAATTTCCATGTAATGTGTGGTTTTGGGAGATCTTGGTATTGATTTCTATTTTAATTCCACCGTGGTCTGAGAGTACTGTTGGTATGATTACTAATTTTTTTTAATTTATTGAGACTTGCTTTATGGCCAATCATGTAGTTTATCTTGGAATGTGTTCTGTGTGCAAATGAGAATAATGCATATTCTGTTTTGATTGGTGGAGTATTCTGTAGATGCCTATTAGGTCTACTTGGTCAACTATCAAATTCAAGTCCAGAATTTATTTGTTAGTTTTCTGCCTTGATGATCTGTCTAACACTGTCAGTGGCATGTTAAAGTCCTCCAGTACTATTGTGGGATGGTGTAAGTCTTTCTGTAGGTCTAGAAGTAGTTGTTTCATGAATCTGGGTGCCCCAGTGTTGGGTGCATATGTGTTTAGGATAGCTAAGTCTTCTAGTTGACTTGAACTCTTTATCATTATGTAATACCCTACTTTGCCATCCACTTTTTTTTTAACTGTTGTTGGTTTAAAGTCTGTTTTATCTAATATGGGAATAACAACCTCTGCTATTCTTATATTATTTTTGTTTCCTGCTTGCATGATAGATCTTTCTCCACCTCTTTACTTTGATTCTGTGGGTGTCATTATGTGTCAGATGGGCCTCTTGAAGAGAGCAGATGGAATTATCATGTTTCTTTGTCCAATTTGCAACTCTGTGCCTTCTAAGTGGAGAGTTTTAGACTATTTGCATTCAGGGTTAATGTTGATATATGAGATTTTGATCCTACTGCGAAGTTGTTAGCTGGTTGCTTTGTAGTTCCTATTGTGTGGTTGCTTTTTAGGGTCTATGGGCTATGTACATAACTGTGTTTTTGTGGTAGAAGATATTGTTCTTTAATTTCCATGTGTAGGCTTCTGATGTAGTTTGGCTGTGTCCTTACCCAAATCTCATCTTGAATTCCCACATGTTGTGGGAGGGACCCAGTGGGAGGTGACTGAGTCATGGAGGCAGGTCTTTCCTATGCTGTTCTCATGATGGTGAGTCTCATGAGGTCTGATGATTTTAAAAATGGGAGATTCCCTGCACAAACCGTCTTTGCCTGCTGCCATCCACATAAGATGTGACTTGCTCCTCCTTGCCTTCCACCGTAATTATGAGGCCTCCCCAGCCACGTGGAACTGTAAGTCCAATAAACTTCTTTCTTTTGTAAATTGCCCAGTCTCAGGTATGTCCTTATCAGCCACGTGAAAACAGATTAATACACCTTCCTTAAGGATCTCTTGTAAGGCTGGTCTAGATGCAACAAATTCCTTAGCAGTTGCTTATATGGAAAAGATTTTATTTCTTCTTTGCCTTTGAAGTTTAATTTGGTGAGATACGAAATTCTTGGTTGAAATATCTTTTACTTAAGAGTGCTGAAAGTAGGCCCCCAATCCCTTTTGGCTCATAAGGTTTCTGCTGAACGGTCTGCTGTTAGCCTGATGGGGTTCCCTCTGTATATGATCTGGTGCAAAGTTACTTTTCTGAAACTGTACTTTAATAATACAAACTGCAAAGCCACTATTGTTTTTGCTTTCTTCTTTTCCAAGCACTAGTCAGAAAAATGGAGAAAGGAAGGAAAAAAGGATGCAAGGCTTATGAGCTATAGTGGTGGTTGTCAGCTAGAACTGTTGTCCACCAGCAGGTGGCCTGAGGGCTTATTAAGACACTTAGTAAGTCTTCTGGGGAGATGTAAAGTAAATGCACAGGAAAATAGATTGTGGAGAGTTGAACTGGAAAAAATAGCTTAGTTATTTGAAAGCAAAATTCTATGGTCTTTAGGTACAAAAGTTACTCTTCTAATAAACCACTTAAGGATGGGAAGAAGACATGGTGAAGGCAGGGCAGACCTCTTCTGTGCTAGGCTTCATGGTGCTTATTCCCACAGCTCTCCAAGATGACTCATATTTTTTTCTTCCCCTCCTCTTCTTCCTCTTTTTCTTCCTTGTTCCCTCCCTGTTTTCCCCTTTCTTTTTCTTTTCTTTTAACCATGGAGAAACTGCAGTGCAGAGAGTGTAGATAACCTTCATAGTCCCACACAACTCATGGCTGGCTACTGGCACCAACACCTCTACTTCTTATTCACCATGGAAGCCAGCATGTTGGCTAGTGTCCTGTTTGGCAGCAGAGGCTGGAGTCTCCAACGTTAGTTAACTCCACTTGAGAAACACCTTCTTACATGCCAGTTTGAGACAAAAAAAGAGATAGATAGGGCAGTTCCCCACCACATCCATTTGTGACCATGGCATGAACACAGACTCAAATGAAAGATGTGTATTTTCATCAGAGGGTAAGGAATCATCGACGTGTTTTCACTTTGCTTCAGAGAACTAGTGCTGTATATCAATATTAATGTTCTTTTAGCACATTTTTATACAGATTATTCTTAAAGCAGTCATCTGAGCACTTATATTCCAAACACAATTCCGAATCTTGCCTACTCCCAAGGTCCCCTAAAAACAAAAGTAGCTATCCCTTACTAATGCTCTTGAGAAGACATTCATATTTAAACTTTGATTCAATGAATATACATTATAAAATAATGAACCTGCTAAAGGATCCTTTTACTCAAGTCTTTTGCTCAGCCATTCAACATATATTTTATGGAGCAAGTACCCTGTGTGCAAAACTGAATTTCAGACAGTCAACCAAACTGTAGTGAGGTCAAAGGAAAGAAATACAGAAGTGCATGATTTTTTAGGGGAAAAGCTTTGGAAAATCCTGGTCATGAGAAGTGAGATTTAAAAAGTCATTTTCCTATAATTTAACTCAAAAACATAGATCTGTATTTGCATTGTGGTTAAGAGCACAAGTATTGGAGCTCATTCATTCATTTATTTAATAAACATTTATAGATAATCTACTACTTAGTAAGTACTGTGTTAGGCATTGGGGTACATTGCTTACCCAAACCAGGTATCGAACCTGTCTTCACTGAATCTTACATTGTAGTGGGGCAGATAGATTAATCGATTGACCGTATTGAAAGACATCAACCTGCACCTGTGGCAGTGCTATAATGAAGATTGCATAGGAGGCTCTTAAGAGCCTATTTATTCCAAAGATATTTAATATAATTGAGGAATTGAGATGAAATTGCTGGAGGAAGTGATATCTGATCTAATATATAAGGGATGAGCAGCAGGTGATGAGGCCTGGGGAGGGAAGAAAGAGCCTAGCACGGAGAGCAGCATGCATGGCCTGTCAAGGTGAACAGTAGAATCCCAGGCCTGGAATACTGCCTGTGGGGAGAGAGTGAGTGGCTCTGAGGAAAGCAAGTCTCAAATTGAACCGAGACAGGGAGAGTCTGGCCTTTGTTCTGAATACAGTGGTGAGGCATCCACAAGTTTAAAGCAGGGAGAGTAAATGATCAGGGAGTGGACAGAACAGATACACATTGATCAGCTGGAAACCCACTGAAGTGTCCTAGGATGGAGGTAATGATGCTCAGACTTGTGCAGTGGTATAGAAAAGATGAAGAGGATACATTCAAGATGTATTTCAGAGGTGAGCATCAACAGGACTTGGATAATGGGGGTGTGAGACAGGAAGTATTAAGGATGGCTTGGACAACTGAATAGATGGGGGTGCTTTTCACTAAGATAAGGAAGCTTGAAAAGGATTAGGTTTGGGATTTGGAGATAGCAGGAGAAGGGATGAGAATATTGAGTTACGTCTTAATGTGTACCATTTTGAGAGGCCTTTGAGAAAGCCAAGAGGAAATGTCAAGTAGCAAGGATATGGGTCAGAACCTCTGAAGTGAGGTTTGAGCGGGAGATTAACATTTGCAGATAGTGTGCACAGAGGTGGCAGTTGAACTCCTGCATCTGGATGTGATTGCTTAGCAAAAGGGTGTTCCAGAAAGGCCTAGACCTAAGACCTGAGAGACTAACACTCAAAGGCTTGGCCAAAGGAAGAAGGGTTTGACTGGAAAGGCAGGAGGAGAGGCAAAGGCCACTGTTTCCCAAGTACGGAGAGAAAAAGCTAGAGGAAAAAGAGGTCTCAGTACTGGACAATGCTGAGGGCTCATGTAGGACGGAAAACCCATTGTGTTGGATTGAATAACATTGAGGTCTTTGGGGACACTGGTGAAAGCTGTGGCAGAGTCATGGGTCAGATTGAGTGATTGAGGGTGGGGTAGGTGGGAGGTATGGAAGTGGCTGAGAAGTTCAGGGGAGAGAGGGTGAGGACTGGAGGCAGGTGTGGATTTACGTGCTTGGTGTGTGTGTATGTGTCTGTGTGTGTGCACGTATGTGTGTGTGTATGTTTTGTAAGTGAGGGCACTTAGTGTTCCAGTGTCAATGGGAAGGATCCTGGTGAGAAGGAGAGGTTGAACTTACCCAAGACAGAAGGGTCATTGAGGTCATAAGGTTTCTGAGACAACTCAAGAGATGGGATTAACCTTGGGTGGGAGGAGGAACGGCTTCTGTAAACTTTGAATTAGTGAGGTATCTCACTTTGGTGGCTTCTATTTTCTCTGTAAAGCATGAGGCCACATCCTCTGTGGGGAGGGCTTGGGGAGGTATGGCAGTTGGGGAAACCTGTATGGGAATATTGAAGGAAGCGGAAGTTCGAAATGGTTCACAGATGGCCGGGTGGTAGTTCATGCCCATAATCCCACTACTTTGGGAGGCCAAGGCAGGAGGATCACTTGAAGCCAAGAGTTCAAGACCAGCCTGGGCAACGTAGTGAGACCCCCATCCATACCAAAAAAAAAATTAGCCAGGCATGGTGGCACACACCTATAGTCCCAGCTACTCAGGAGGTTGAGATGGGAAGATCACTTGAGCCTGGGAGGTTCAGGCTGTAGTAAGCCACAGTTGTGCCATTGAACTCCCGCCTAGGCAACAGGGTGAGACCCCATCTAAAAAAAATAAAAGAAGAATGAAACAGTCCACTGGGCGCATAGAAAAGCAGGTAAACCAAAGCAAGGGTATATAGTGTGGCTGCGAGTGCTGGACCTCTCTGTGCTTGGTAAGCAGGAACCATTTGTGGACACGTTCTGCCTTCATGACAGCCTATGCACGCACAGGAAGAGCAGGTAGTGAGGCTCTTCCCGACTGCCATTTTTGCCAAATGATCACAAAGAAAAGACAGAGAAATAAGGGGATGTGGAGCATTTGCAAGACAAAAAAAAAAAAAAAAAAGTCAATTTCAGCCTAAGCTGAAGAAAAGGACAATGAAGAAAGAAGATTAATAGGTTGGAGAAATTAGGGGGGGCCAGTCCATTGAAGACCCCAATGGGTGCTCACCTGTTGGAAGCAAGTTGGTGAAGACGAGATGGCAGATGTGGTGGGCATGGCCTGAGATTCACTCTGCAGCATGCTCACCTGGGCAGTAAGGTAGATCCAGAAGCGGCTGGCTCCACAGCTGCAGGCCCAATGGCAGGGATCTCCTGGTTCCACCACTGATAGACTGCATGTACTGGGCAGTCCGCCCCCATCTCCAGACCTTAGTGTCCTTGCTGAGATTTGGGGCCAGCTATGCCATCTTTTCAGGTTGGGAGGATTGAATAATGTGATAGAGGTGAAACAGCACAACCCCTGACTCCTGATTGGGAATCTGTCAAAAGTGTCAGCCACTGCTATTTCTTTGTTGTGACACATTTTCTGAACAGATCACAAGTTTTGCTGTTGTTCTTGTTTTACTTTTTTAAATTCTAGGAATCAAGGCAAAAAACAACTCAAATTTTATAGAAATTATGTGATTTGTAAATATATTATTATGTTGACTTAATCTCCTCCCCTGTGACCCTACAACTGAGAGTGGAGAGCAGAAGGCCAGCCATGGGAATGGCAGGATAAGGGTCGAGTGGAGCCAAGAATAGGATGGTTTAGGGGCTTGCCACCTTCAGGTGTCTCTCTTTCTCAGACTAGGACTAATGTAGGTTCTTTTCATAAACCTTGAAATGAAGGTTTCAAGCACTGAGTGACTTAAGCCACTCAAAGGACTCCTTGTCTCAAAAGAGATGTGAGTAAAAAGTTTACTCATTTAGGTTTATGTACTTGTCTATCACCCACACTCAACAGAGATGGGACTGAATTATATTTATCTTTGTATATACAGACCCACGGCAGGTACTCAGTAATTGTTTGCAGTATGGAGTAGACTGTAATTAGTAAAGTTTTTGGTTCTGTAATGGATTGGTGCAGGATATCTCTATCTCAATGCTATAGACATTTTGGGTCAGATAATTCTTAATTATTGGAACAGGATATATAGCAGCATCCCTGGTTTCTACCCGCTAGATGCCAGAGGCAACCCTCCCACCCCAAGATGTGACAACCAAAAGTGCTTCTGGATATTGCTGAATATCTCCAGGATGAAGGGGACAAAATTGCTTCTGGTTGAAAGACCACTGGTTTAGAGGAAATCTTTAATGTGATCTCTTGTGTTGAATTTTTAAAAGTTTATTTATTTATTTGCACAGGAAAAAAAAATGAACTACAATTCAAAATACCTTGCAGGGTATATTTCTGAGAAGTAAGATTCCAAGTATTTTTAATTTCTTTCTATATTCTTCTGGCCTTTTGAAATTTCTCATGTTTCCTACTGTACATGCATTACTCTTATAAGTTGAAAGGGAGAGAATGAAAAAAGTTTAATATTTGAAAACGAGTTTTTGAAAATACATAATTTTTCCTGCTATCCTGACATTCTCGATAATCATATTACTTAAGCTAATGAACATTGTGTTATTTTTATTATTGTAAGTTTTGTTTCATCGTCTAATTTTTCAGATACTTTTACTTATTTATTTCAATCAGCAGTATCATAATCAACTATTAATTCTAGTTCTAGATATTGGTACAAAGTCATTGGTTAGCCAGGCACTGGAGTTTAGTTTCAAAGACACTTGACCCTTTTCTAGAAAGGCGGAAGCTTACCCAGCATGAAGGGACTTTGAGATAACCACGCTGGTCAAGTGTCACTGTGAGAGGCTTAGGGCCCAGGAAACAGGATGGAAGAGGGTATGCGTGTATGTGTGTGCATAAATCCACTGGCATACTTAATTTTTAAAATATCAGTCAACTAAGAGAATCTGCACAACTCCAAATAAGAGAAATATCCAAAAGAAAGGATCTAGGGCACTCTTTCCTTACCCTTTCATTTGCATTGGTTTAAATTGGGGGAAACTCAAAAAGTGAAGGCTCTTTTCTTTAGCACAGACATTCAGAAAGGGATTGGGGTGAATAGTCCTTAGAGAATATGTGGGAAGATAAAGAGCCGACTCTAGCATTAAAATGTGGGTGGAGCAGCGTATTTTCTTTTTAAAAGCAGAGAAAATTTTCTTATTTTTCCTTCAGTGTTTTAATCACAGGCAATCCTAGATAGCAACTGTATTAGTCAGCTCAGGCTGCCAAGACAGAATACCACAGTCTGGGTGGCTTTATCAACAGAAATTTACTTTTCACAGTTGTGGAGGCTAGAAGGTCAAGATCACAGTTTGGGGAGGGTAGGTTTGATTCTGGGGCCTCTTCTCTTGGCTTGTAGACTACTACCATCTGTCTGTGTGCTCCTGTGACCTCTTCTTTGTATGTGTATGCATGGGGCTGGGGGAGAGAGGGTTGGGGAAGAGGGAGGAAGGGAGGTTGGGGGAGAGAGAAAGAAAGAGAGAGAGTAGGTGCTCTCTGGTGTCTTTTCTTATAGGGCACTAATCCCATCATGAGGGATCCACCCTTATGACCCCATATAACCCCTAATTTCCTTCCCAAATCCTCATCTCCAAAAACCGTAGGGGGTTAAGATTTCACCATATGAATTTTGGGGGAACACAGACATTCAATCCACAATACCTAATTAATGATAACATGCAAAAATGGGTGACAAAATTGCTAATTATTTATGAGGCAAAGACTGTCAAGTTTTCTCTTGAATAATATTTGTAGTTCAGTGGAATGTAGGCATTTTTGTTGTTGTTGTTTTTTATTTCTCTTAGATGCCTCCTCACATTGCTGCACTATACTTCTTAACAGAAGTGCCGCTCTCCCCCATCAATGTTGCTGTCTTTTACTAGGATCACCAAGTCAGGTTACCAGTCAAAAAATGATCCAGAGGCCAGGTGCAGTGGCTTATGCCTGTAATCCCAGCACTTTGGGAGGCCGAGGCAGGAGGATCATGAGGTCAGGAGATCGAGACCATCCTGGCTAACACAGTGAAACCCCGTCTCTACTAAAAATACAAAAAAGTTAACCGGTCGCGGTGGCGGACGCCTATAGTCCCAACTACTCCGGAGGCTGAGGCAGGAGAATGGCGTGAACCCGAGAGGCGGAGCTTGCAGTGAGCCGAGATTGCATCACTGCACTCCAGCTTGGGCGACAGAGCAAGACTCTGTCTCAAAAAAAAAAAAAAAAAAAAGATCCAGAAATGGATTTCTAGTATCCTCTAGAATTTTTTTCTGGTATCTCTGTTAAAAATATGTCTAAGTAAGTTATTTTATCTGCATCAATATTGATTAAATCTCATTGTGACATAAATATTCAATCAGTATCCCTGCCCTTCTCTCTCTGTCATTGAACTAGAACATTACACAGATACTTCCCACTCCTTTTTTATCCACTTATCTTAACCTGTTCCAAAGTACGTATTCTCCTGTCTGTGGGTGCAAGAGTTATTTCACCCCGTTATCCTCTCTCCAAGTTATCCTATCAACTTCTTTCTTCCCAGTGCCAATTACTCATCAGGAGCCTACTCCTCCTTTTATTTCCCTGTTCAGAGCAACCAGCACTTTAATACATTAGCCAAACATCTAAATATTCCCTAATATTTATTATTAAGCCTCTCCTATATGATTTCAAATGTCATTATGCAGAAGGACAGAGTAAAATTTTCTAAACCACAATCCTTTAAGCCTGTGTTAACAGAGGCTACAGTTGGTTGCAGTTATGTTGGCTATAGTTACACATTTGTGTTCTACCAGTTATCTGTTTGCATACTGCAAGCAGAATACTTCACCTGTTAGTAGATGTGAAGCTAATTTAACCCGAGATTTACAGAAATCAAGTTTCTAGTCTTGCATTATACTTCCAAGGGAAGTGCCCTGCACAAATTTCCATGTAGAGCGTGGTGGCCTTTTTTAATGAATTTCTCCACTGCAAGAATGAGATGCTTCTTGGGAGAAGATTCTGGAAGATACTGGAGTAGGAATCACTAGGAATCCTCCCTTTGTAGACAATAACTGCACTGGCAGAATCTGTCTGATGCAATTGTTTTGGAACTCCAGAGTCTTGGAGTCTATCAAAGCCTTGCAACTTCCAGAGAAAGGCTTGCTTGGACAATAAATAGTGGTTAACATGGTAAACTGCAGTTACGTTCAGTCGTTCCACCTCTTATCTTAGCACAGTAGTAGTTACCCATTTCACACTCCCACCCCTGTGGCAGGCAGGTATGCATGCGTTCCTGGAGCAGCTTACACACTGCTCGTGGGAGCAAGGGTGGGCAAAAAGGGTCTTGTCTTCCAAAGGTCAGGGATCTGTGCTCTGACTGCTGATTGCTGCTTCCGATCACAGAAGTGCAAAGAGGTGGTGAGCATTGTTGTCACATCTCCCCGCATTGTTGCAAGCCCCACCAACTGAAGTGACTCAGGGAATATAAAAAGCCAGTGCACTTTTATTTTTTACCCCCTTCCCGTCATTTTTCTCTTTTCTTCTTTTGGGACCAGACATTAAAGACTAAAACATCCAAAAGCAACCATGTGTATGGAGAAGTTAGAAAATGACTATGTATGGCCCGGGAAAGGTACAGGCCCAGGAAAGACCTAAGGAGACCTTATGTTTATACCTCAGGCTAATCCTTGGCACAGAGACAGCCTACAACAATCAAACAACAACAATTTTAAATATAAAAAATTAGCAAACTCTGGGGAAAGAATCTGATTTCCAGAGTCACCACATTTTAGATTTAAATGCTCAGTTTTCAATAAGTAATCACAAAACTTACAAGAAACAGGAAAGTTTGGCTCATTCAAATGAATAAAAATAAGTCAATAAGAAAATGTGCCTGAAAAAGAGCCTGATGAGATTTCCACCAAAGACTTTAAAGCAACTGTCTTCAAGATGTTCAAAGTAGGGGAAGATGTAGAGAAACTCAAGAGAACAATGTATTAACAAAATGGAAATATCAATAGAGAAATAGAAAACCTAAAAAGAAACCAAAAAGAAATTTTGAAGCTGAAAAGCACAATAGCTGAAGTGAAAATTTTACTAGAGGGCTTCAAAGGGAGATTTGAGCAGGAAAAAAAAACAGAATCAGCAAACTTGAAGTTAGGATAGTAGAAATTATTGAGTCTGAGATTCAGCTTATGCATTGTGAGAATTTCAGAGGATGAAAGAGAGAAAGGGGTATAGAGAATGTTTAAAGAAATAATTGCTGAGAATTTCCAAAATTAGTAGAAGACATGAATATAAACATCCAAGAAGCTCAATGAACTCTAAGAGAAACTCAAAGATCCAAACCGAAACACTAATCGTACTTTCAAAAGACAGAGAATGTTGAAAGCAGCAAGAAAGAGGCATCACATACAAGGGATCCTTAAGCTTATCCTCAAATTTCTCGTCAGAAACCTTGGTGGCCAGAGATAATGGGCCAATATTCAGTACTAAAAAACACAAAGATACTGTCAACCAAGAATTTTTCATCCAGAAATACCATCCTTTAAAAGCAAGGGAGGTTTTAGTTATTTCTTGCCTTCTGCTAGCTTTTGAATGTGTTTGCTCTTGCTTTTCTAGTTCTTTTAATTGTGATGTTAGGGTGTCAATTTTGGATCTTTCCTGCTTTCTCTTGTGGGCATTTAGTGCTATAAATTTCCCTCTACACACTGTTTTGCATGCTCATGGGTAGGAAGAATCAATATCGTGAAAATGGCCATACTGCTCAAGGTAATTTACAGATTCAATGCCATCCCCATCAAGCTACCAATGACTTTCTTCACAGAATTGGAAAAAACTACTTTAAAGTTCATATGGAACCAAAAAAGAGCCTGCATCACCAAGTCAATCCTAAGCCAAAAGAACAAAGCCAGAGGCATCACACTACCTGACTTCAAACTATACTACAAGGCTACAGTAACCAAAACAGCATGGTACTGGTACCAAAACAGAGATATAGATCAATGGAACAGAACAGAGCCCTCAGAAATAACGCCGCATATCTACAACTATCTGATCTTTGACAAACCTGAGAAAAACAAGCAATGGGGAAAGGATTCCCTATTTAATAAATGGTGCTGGGAAAACTGGCTAGCCATATGTACAAAGCTGAAACTGGATCCCTTCCTTACACCTTATACAAAATTCAATTCAAGATGGACTAAAGACTTAAACGTTAGACCTAAAACCATAAAAACCCTAGAAGAAAACCTAGGCATTACCATTCAGGACATAGGCATGGGCAAGGACTTCATGTCTAAAACAGCAAAAGCAATGGCAACAAAAGCCAAAATTGACAAATGGGATCTAATTAAACTAAAGAGCTTCTGCACAGCAAAAGAAACTACCATCAGAGTGAACAGGCAACCCACAAAATGGGAGAAAATTTTCGCAACCTACTCATCTGACAAAGGGCTAATATCCAGAATCTACAATGAATTCAAACAAATTTACAAGAAAAAAACAAACAACCCCATCAAAAAGTGGGCAAAGGACATGAACAGACACTTCTCAAAAGAAGACATTTATGCAGCCAAAAAACACATGAAAAAATGCTCATCATCACTGGCCATCAGAGAAATGCAAATCAAAACCACAATGAGATACCATCTCACACCAGTTAGAATGGCAATCATTAAAAAGTCAGGAAACAACAGGTGCTGGAGAGGATGTGGAGAAATAGGAACACTTTTACACTGTTGGTGGGACTGTAAACTAGTTCAACCCTTGTGGAAGTCAGTGTGGCGAGTCCTCAGGGATCTAAGACTAGAAATACCATTTGACCCAGCCATCCCATTACTGGGTATATACCCAAAGGACTATAAATCATGCTGCTATAAAGACACATGCACACGTATGTTTATTGTGGCACTATTTACAATAGCAAAGACTTGGAACCAACCCAAATGTCCAACAATGATAGACTGGATTAAGAAAATGTGGCACATATACACCATGGAATACTATGCAGCCATAAAAAATGATGAGTTCATGTCGTTTGTAGGGACAGGGATGAAATTGCAAATCATCATTCTCAGTAAACTATCACAAGAACAAAAAACCAAACACCGCATATTCTTACTCATAGGTGGGAATTGAACAATGAGAACACATGGACACAGGAAAGGGAACTTCACACTCTGGGGACTGTTGTGGGGTGGGGGGAGCGGGGAGGGATAACATTGGGAGATATACCTAATGCTAGATGACGAGTTAGTGGGTGCAGCGCACCAGCATGGCACATGTATACATATGTAACTAACCTGCACATTGTGCACATGTACCTAAAACTTAAAGTATAATAATAATTAAAAAAAAAAGCGAGGGAGAAATTAAGACATTCCCTTATAAACAAAACTGAGGGAGTTCATAACCACCAGACGTGCCCTGCAAGAAATGCTCAAAGAAGTCCTGCACATTGAAATGAAAAGACACTAGAGAGTGATTCAAAGCCATGTGAAGAAATAAAGATCTCAATAAAGGTAAATACCTTAAACAACTATAATAGGTAGTCTTAGTATAACAATGGTTTGTAACTCCATATTTTTTCACAACTTAACAGACTATGCATTTAAAATAATTAGTTTATGGTTTGGGGCATACAGTGTATAAAGATATAATTTTGGAACATCAACAACCAAAAAGGGTGAGAGCAGAGTTTTTGTGTGTCATCGGACTTAAGCTGATATAAATTTAAAGTGCTGTAACTTTAGTAATCCTATAGCAACCACAAAGAAAACAGCTATAGAATATACACAAAAGAAAGTGGAAAAGGATTTTTTGCAACATTTCATTACAAAAACTCAACTAAACGTTAATGAGAGTAATATAGGAAGTAGGAAAACAAAACTAATGTAATTGTAATTACAAGAAATGTAATCGTAATTACAAGTAATGTAATCGTAATTACATGTAATATAATTGTAATGCAATTGTAAGGCACATGAAAAACTAGTAGCAAGATGACGTAAGTCTCTATCACTAATTATTTTAGATGTAAACAGATTAAACTCTCCAATCAAAAGACAGAGGTTGGCAGAATAGGTTTAAAAGAAAAACGAGATCCAACTATATGCTGTCTTCAAAAGACTCACTTTAGATCCAAAGACACAAGAGATTAAAAATAAAAAGATGGAAAAGGCATTTCATGCAAATAGTTACCAAAAGAGAGCAGAGGTAGCTATGCTAATACCAGAAGAAAATAGATCATAAAATGTTACAATAGGCAAAGACATTATATATTAATAAAATATTTAATACCACAAAAGGATATAACAATTATAAACATTTGTGCACCTAATAACAGACCATCAAAACATATAAAACAAAAACTGAAAGAATGGAAGGGAGAAGTAGACAGTTATATGGTAATAATGGATGGAAAAATCACACATACATAAGGAAATAGAGGACTTAACACAATGAAGCAGCTATCTAACCGATACATACAGGACACTACCCAACAGCGGCATACAGTCTTCTTAAGTGCACAAGAAACATTCTCCAGGACAAAACATAGGTTAGGTCACAAATTAAGTCAAAATGAGGCATATACATACAACGGAATATTATTCAGCCTAACAAAGGAAGGCAATTTGCACATATGCTACAAAACGGATGAACTGTGAGATGAAATAAGCCAGTAACAAAAAGACAAATACTTTATGATTCCACTCATATGAGGTACTTATAATAGTCAAAATCATAGAGACAGAAAGTAGAGTGGGGCTTGCCAGGGCTGGGAGGAGGGGAGAATGGAGAATTGTTTACTGGGTCAGAGTTTGAGTTTAACATGTTGAAGAGTTCTAGAGATGGATGGCAGTGATGGTTGCATAACATTAGGGATGTATTTAATACCACTGAACTATATACTTAAAATGGTTAAGACGGTAAATATTGTGTGTATTTTACCACAATAAAAAAAAAACAGGATAAAAAACAATTCAACAGTACAGTACAAAGGACCCCATGTGCTGATTACCAGCCCCCACAATCACAACCCGTGGTCAGTTCTGCCCCCCTCGACCTGTATTATTTTGATGCAGATTGTGTGTGTGTGTGTGTGTGTGTGTGTGTGTAACATATTTCATGAAAACGCAGATTCCATTCAGTGATATAAAACAGCACATCATAAGCTTTTTTGCACGTAACTTGTTGTTAGTTCTTTTTTTTTTTTTTTTAATTTAAGGCCGAGTGCGGTGGCTCATGCCTGTAATCCCAGCACTTTGGGAGGCCGAGGCAGGCAGATCACGAGATCAGGAGATCAAGACCATCCTGGCCAACGCAGTGAAACCCCGTCTCTACCAAAAATACAAAAAATTAGCCAGGCGTGGTGGCGGGTGCCTATAGTCCCACCTACTGGGGAAGCTGAGGCAGGAGAATTGCTTGAACCTGGGAGGCAGAGATTACACTGACCTGAGATTGCACCACTGCACTCCAGCCTGGGCAACAGAGCAAGACTCCGTCTCAAAAAAAAAAAGAAAGAAAGAAAAAATGGTGGAAAGGGTGGAGAAATTCCTTTTAATGGGTACAAACCACACAATGCAGGTGACCATTACTCTAAAAGCCCAGGCTTCATCACTATGCAATATATCTGTGTAACAAAACTGTACTTGTGCCTGCTAAATCTGTGAAATTAAAAAAAAAAAAAAACCATGAATCTGATTTGCCTTTAGTCACCAGATGACTGCAGATAGGCACACAGAGGTGTGAGACAGCACTTTCCATTTGCCCTTCATCTCTTGTTCCTCTGCCATTCCCCATGAAGCCGTGCTGGGGCTGACCTGCTGGAGGATGAGACCTGTGAAGCTGAGTCAGCTGCCCTGGTCATCCCAGCCAAGGCCATGTCCTCTCTGCTCAGCCAACAACTGTCCAACAAACATGTGAATGAGCCCTGCTGAAATCAGAACTGACCGGCCCACCTGAGCCTAAATTCCTGACAAACAGATGTGTGAACTAAGTAAATACTTAAAAAAATGAGATGCTGATGGTCCCTGAATTTCTCAAGAGGCAAAGAATGGTCCCACCTCGCAACTTATAAATGTTCAGAAGTTAGACGGCCACAAAGAAGTAGCACCTCATATACATTCTCTTGCTATCTACAATAAGGTGAAGGAAGGCATTTATCTTCTCTGCAACCAGAAAACCTATAACCCAAATGCCCAGGAACACAAGAACACTGTTCACCATTCTGCTGTGCTTATTAGCAGAAGATATATCAGCTCACAAAATCCCCTTTGAAACAGAAACTAAAATAATGCTCAATGATCATTCTACTCCCACGGGGGAGGAGGGAGAGGAGCATAAATCAGGACAAGAGCTGGGTTTAGAACTTGGATCACGTGTGGCTTTTCTCCATGATCACAAACCCCAGCTTCCTATAATTAATAATTGGATGTATTAAGTGTTTTATGGAGCAGTCCAGCCAGAGAGCAACTATAAAATGGAAACATGGACCAGCTTGGTAAAGGGAAAGATGAAATTGTAGAATTAATTTGTTTGTTCGTTCATTGAGTATTTCATAACAATAAACTTATTGTATTTATAAAGGGAAAAACCTCTGGGTGTAATTTGGCTGCCTGGTTGTTTATATCCTACAGTGCAGTTTCAGTATGTTTCATGTTAGTGTGCCTGTTTTAAAATGTTTTACTTCATTATCGTAAGACGTTTTTAATGCAATGAAACTTCAAGCCAGAAAAATCTTAGAAAATTAACGAAATAGGGAGTAGAGAGAAATGGAGATAGCATTAAACTAAATACAAAGAAAAAATTGAAACAAATTTTTTTATTTGACAAAAATTAGCCGGGTGTGGTGGCAGGCACCTGTAATCCCAGCTACTCAGGAAGCTGAGGCGAGAGAATCGCTTGAACCTGGGAGGTGGAGGCAGTGAGCTGAGATCGTGCCACTGTACATCACCAGCCTGGGCGACAGAGTGAGACTCCTTCTCCAAAAAAAAAAAAAAGAGTCTCTTCATTAAAATAAACCTAATACTTCACTTGTTTAGTAAAGCAATGCAAATTAATACCTGATGATAAAGTCAGAAGATGTATATATGTTTGTGTTCCTGCTTTCTTTCATTTCACAGTCTAATTCTCCCAGACTAGGATTTTTGCTAGCTATTTGTTCTATCACCCAGAATTTTGAGAAGGCTTAAAAGCATATTATTGATTTGTGCATTTGGTGCAAAATTCAACAGGTATAAGGGGGTATCTCTCCCTGAACCTGATCCTCAGCCTTCAGTTTCCTCCCTTGGAATAATCACTGTATACTTCTCTTGTGTGTCTTTCTAAAAATATGTTCTGTTTATTTAAATATATGTGTGTATGTGTATTTACACAAGTGATGGCATACCACATACATTGTTAAACAGTTTCCTCGTGTCCTTTAGCAATAAAATCTGACGAGCAGTTCTTAACACATGGAGCGGCACACTATAAGTGACCAGTCCCTGCCCATGGCCATCTGGATGGTTTTCATGTTGCTGTGTAAAGGAGGCTTCAAAGTGTCTTCTGTAGGTGTCAGCTTGACTGGAAAATAAAAAGTGTCTTCTGTACTCATCACTCATGCTTGTGAGAATCTACAGGATAGATTCTGTGTGTGAATCTATCCTATTCTAATCCTTTTCGGCATTTCCTCAGCTACCCTTACTCGTTCATTTTTCCAAATGAACTTTAATATCAGTTTTTCTGGTACAACTTTTTTCCATTCCAGTTGGTTAATTTTTGGATTGCAATAAATTTATGATTTAACTTTTAATTTTACCCTTTGTGAACTTGACCATAGTAAGCTGTTCCCATACTCAAATATTTCCTGTCCTGTAATTGCATTTTAAGTTTTCCTTTATGTAGAACTTGCGTCCTTCTTACGAAGTTTATTCCTAAGCAGTTTATCGTTTTTGTTGCTGCAATAAATGGACGTATTTCTTCCTTGATGTCCTCCACCTAAGATTGTCTGTATGGAAAGATTGTATATTTCTGTGTATTACATTTAATCCTGCCACTGTAATCTCTTCTAATTTGTAATTTTTTTCATGTAATTATTTTGGGTTTCTAGGTAAATAAACATGTCACCTACAAATAATTGTCATTTTACCTATTGAAAGTTCTTTATTCTAATTTTCCCCTTGAACTGAAATATCTTAATTACTTTATAATAGTGTATTTAAGCATACTCCTGGGCAGACAGGGTCAGGGCCCTCTGCGATTGTAGGTGACTGTGTCTCCTGTGTGGCCAGCAAGAACCCTCTAATGCCTTCACTTAATTCTACTTTTGCTTTAATTTTAGTTCTGTTGGCTGTTCTTTTATTTGCTGATAGAAATTACAGTAATTCAATCCTCATATTTGTTTAGTGTTAAAGAACAGTGGGTGAGAAGTAGTCATGGTTTCGGTGATTTAAACTTTCACTTTTTAGGTTTCTTTACAAATTCTGTTTAACATTCAGAGAAAGCAAAATAAGTCACAGCAGTTTAAAATTATCCAGTTTAAAAGGTATGGAGTATTATTTTAATATTGAGTCTATTTTACTCTGGTCTTATTATCTGAAAACTGATAATCTTGTGGGGAACCGAATTAATTCTTTTCTTTCTTCTATAACTTAATTCAGTGGTGACTCCAGTATCACAATGCTGTTAAGTCTCATTAGTATAAACACTAGCTGTGAACTCCCATTCACAATTGCTACAATGAGAATAAAATACCTGGGAATACAAGTTGTGAAGGACCTCTTCAAGAAGAACTACAAACCACTGCTCAAGGAAATAAGAGAGGACACAAACAAATGGAAAAACATTCCATGCTTATGGATAGGAAGAATCAATATCATGAAAATGGCCATACTGCCCAAAGTAATTTATGGATTCAATGCTATTCCCATTAAGCTACCATTGACTTTCTTCACAGAATTAGATAAAACTACTTTAAATTTCATATGGAACCAGAAAAGAGCCCATATATCCAAGACAATCCTAAGCAGAAAGAACTAAGCTGGAGGCATCACGCTACCTGACTTCAAACTATACTGCAAGGCTACAGTAACTGAAACAGCATGGTACTGTTACCAAAACAGATATAAGGTCTGATGGAACAGAGCAGAGACCTCAGAAATAACACCACACATCTACAACCATTTGATCTTCAACAAACCTGACAAAACAACAATGGGAAAGGATTCCCTATTTAATAAATGGTGCTGGGAAACTGGCTAACTGTATGCAAAAAACAGAAACTGGACCCCTTCCTTACACCTTATACAAAAATTAACTCAAGATGGATTAATTAAGACTTAAACGTAAAACCCAAAACCATAAAAACCCTAGAAGAAAACCTGGGCAATACCATTCACGACATATACATGGGCAAAGACTTCATGACTAAAACATCAACAGCAATTGCAACAAAAGCCAAAATTGACAAATGGGATCTAGTCAAACAAAAGAGCTTCTGCACAATGCAAGAAATTATCATCAGAGTGAGTAGGCAACCTACAGAATGGGAGAAAATTTTTGCAAACTACCCATCTAACAAAGGTCTAATATCCAGAATTTACAAGGAACTTAAACAAATTTATGAGAAAAAATCAAACAACCCCATCAAAAAGTGGGCAAAGGATATGAACAGACACTTCTCTAAAGAAGACATTTCTGCGGACAACAAACATATGAAAAAAGCTTATCATCACTGGTCATTAGAGAAATGCAAATAAAAACCACAGTGAGATACCATCTCACGCCAGTTAGAATGGTGATCATTAAAAAGTCAGGAAACAACAGATGCTGAAGAGGCTGTGGAGAAATAGGAATGTTTTTACACTGTTGGTGGGAGCGTGAATTAGTTCAACCGTTGTGGAAGACAGTGTGGCAATTCCTCAAGGATCAAGAACCAGAAATACCATTTGACCCAGCAATCCCATTACTGGGTTTACACCCAAAGAATTATAAATCATTCTACCATAAAGACACATGCACACATATGTTTATTGCAGCACTATTTACAGTAGCAAAGACTTAGAACCAACCCAAATGTCCATCAATGATAGACTGGACAAAGAAAATGTGGCACATATGGACCATGGAATACTATGCACCCATAAACATGAGTGAGTTCATGTCCTTTGCAGGGACCATGCATGAAGCTGGAAGCCATTATTCTTAGCAAACTAACACGGGAACAGAAAACCAAACATGGCATGTTCTCACTCATAGGTGGGAGTTGAACAATGAGAACACATGGACACAGGGAGGGGAACATCATACAGTAGCACCTGTTGCGGGGGTGGGGTCAAGGGAGGGAGAGCATTAGGACAAATACCTAATGCATGTGGGGCTTAAAACCTAGATAATGAATTGATTGGTGCAGCAAACCACCATGGCACATGTATACCTGTGTAAAAACCTGCACGTTCTGCACATGTATCCCAGAACTTAAAGTAAAAAACAAACAAACAAACAAAACACCAGCTGTTTTACTGGTGAGTGGATGTGCAAGTTAATTAAGATTCCTGGTTGCAAGAATATTAATAATCTAGGTTTTATTGTTGTTAAATTTAACATAACATGAGGAAAATTAAGGCAATAAATTATAGATTTGATCTTAGCTTAGAAACCAATTCGTTATGTGACCTTTGGTAAGCCATTTAACCTCTCTACTTAGATATTTTCAACTTATGAATGTGACTGTTATTAAACATTCAATATTAAAGTAAATGTTAATTAATATTCAATATTCAACCCCTTATGTTTGTAATCATACTCTCAGTCACTATTATAAGTCCTCACTAAACAGCCCATGGTGTTGATAGTGTTACTCAGTGTGGTTATTCTGATCCTCACGTGACATTTTAGATGTTGAAATTGAATAGGTGTTCATGACTTCTTCCTTAGCTCTTCAGCAGATTGAGGGAGTGGCTGGGATTAAAACCCACAGTCATATGTTTTTAATCACCTGCTGTCTTTAGCTCACCGTAAGTTCATCAGACTGTCTCCCACAGCTTATTGTCTACCACTTTCTCAGGAAGTTGGTAAAGATTAACTCTTACTTCTTGCTAAAGTCATTACAAATTGGAAATGTTGAATAATACAAATACAAGTTGACCTCCTGGAGATAAGACACTGGCATTGTAAAACACAGTGATGATATTGTAAAATATTTTAACTAAGGAAAATAACCCCACTTGAAATAATGGTCAAAGGGGCACCCACCTAATTTTCTTTAAATTCTATATACCAAGCCTTTTCCTTTCTTCTAATCTAGGACACCAGAATTTGTCTTTTGTTCTAACCATACTTTGTTATGATGTCCTATTTTTATATTTCTAAGGCTAAAAGAATGTTCATTGTAGAAAGAATCAATGGGAGGAAAAGACACATGAGAGAAGTCAGTCGTATCATGATGAATCTGCCAATTTACTGAGTTTTTGTTCATCTGCAGCTGACGTAGTTTAAGTGATAATGTATGACCAACATTTTTTACCCTAACAGCCATCAGATAGATAGAAGCAAAATATTCACTAAAATTTTAGAACAGGGGTCCCCAACCTACAGGCCATGGACAGGTACTGGCCCAAGGCCTTTTAGGAACCAGGCTGCGCAGCAGGAAGTGAGCGGCAGGCTGGTGAGCATTACTGCCTGAGCTCCACCTCCTGTCAGATCAGCGATGGCATTAGATTCTCATAGGAGCGTGAACCCTATTGTGAACTGCACATGCGAGGGATCTAGGTTGCACACTCCATATGGGACTCTAATGCCTAATGACCTGCGATGCAACAGTTTTATCCCAAAACCACCCCTCGCCCAAGCCCCTGTCTGTGGAAAAAATGTCTTCCACGAATCTGGTCCCTGGTGCCAAAAAGATTGGGAACCACTGTTTTAGAATATAGAGCAGCAGTCCTGAAACTAATCAGCAATACAAAACTACACATAGTAAAGGTCTGGAAGAGTTAAACAGAGTGAATGTTTTTAGAAATGGAGAAAAACTGAAATATATTCACACACAAATGCATTAATCAGACACTGATAGCATGAAAAGGCGTAGGCATGTCTGAAGTTTATGATTTGTTTTGAAAAGATGAGATGAACCTTGGTTTTCATTCGATGCGGTGAGGTCTGTGGGGTTTGGGGCCAGTGGATGCCCTGTCTGAATTTAGAGACCTCTCAAAGGAGAGGCAGAGGTGACTCTTCTTAACCAAAAAGATAGTGTCTTTAAAGTAGATATTTTTGTGACATTTACCTGGGCGATCAGTGCTGCAGCTATCCAATGGATGCTTAGCTATGTGTTCCAGTTCTGGAATGTCATTTTTCCAGGATGATGTCTTGTTTTGTTTTTACCAGAACCAGGATGCTTGTTTTCTCATGCTCTCTGCAAAATTGTAACTTTACTGAGGAATTTGGAGAGATCCTATCAGTATGATCTCCCTGAGGTGCTGAGAGGAGGTGCTGATGGGAAGTCATGAGTAAACAGGGAAAAGAAAAGCCTCTTGGAAGGGAGGGCTATAAATTATTTTTAAACCCCCTCTGTGATTATTTAGCTAAATGCAGGAGGCGTAGTGAACTTTATTTTCAAGTGTGTGACCTTTTCACAGTCATAAACTGCATACCAGAATGTGCAGTGGTTTTAATTAACCACCCTGTTGTGTGAAACCAAAAACCAAACTGAATATGAGGGTCTTTTTTAATACTCATTGATTTGAGTAATTAGAAAAAAAAGGAAGCATTGTAAGCAGCATTCTGCAGCTGAATTTATCCCTGTCTTTTTACTTTTAACTAGAGTTGGAGAAAAAAATGTAAATTATACTATTTGGTTTCATTTCTTAGTTTGGAAAAATGAGTATGACCAGCAGTAATTAATTAGCAGAGGCACTATTTATGTAATGGTTTCCTTCAGATAGTGTACCTTGAGGGGGGAAAGTAGGAAGTTTGCATATTTTGTGGGCTTTAGTGACTATAATTTAGCAAAACAATATCCTGGAATGTATTAGGAAATAAAAATGACAGATTCATCTTGCTGTATTTTCTGCCCTGAAAAGCTATTTATGTAAGTGTAAATGTTGTATTTGTATTGTAGTACAAAGATAGCTGCAAAAGATGGGCTCCTTAGTCACTGTTTTTGAGATGACAGTAAAACAGGGAAAACCAGGAGACCACCACCTGTGTTGTGATTATCAACTCCATATAAAACATGCATGGATATGCTCTCATTTTAAGAAATTCCAATCGATGACCATCCAAACTTCAAAATGCGTAAGTGAGGGTAGTTGTGAACATTGCAAAAGAATGCTGTCAAAGAAGTAATAAGGCCGGACGTGGTGGCTCACACCTGTAATCCCAGCACTTTGGGAGGCTGAGGCGGGCGGATCACCTGAGGTCAGGAGTTCAAGACCAGCCTGGCCAACATGGTGAAACCCGGTGTCTACTAAAAATACAAAAATTAGCTGGGTATCTTTATTTTTAATCTTGGTGGGACTTCTTCCAGTGTGGGAAAAGTGATCAAATAAGTCACACAGGTAGGTTTTTTAAAGGAGACTGACAGACTTGTAAAAAGCGTAATAGCTATGTATTCGCACAGGCATTTTGTTGCAGCTGAACTGCATTGGGTTCAAATAATAAATCTACCACTGAAACACTGCACGAACTTGGGCAAATTACCTAAGTTTTAAACTTCAGATCCCACTTGGAACATACAGGATAATTGTACTCTTCCCCGCGTGGCTGAAGACAGGTGAGGTGTGAAAGGTACAGCCCCACACAGGCACACAGTTTATTATCACGGTATATGACTAGGTTTTCAGTTACAATTACTTTAAATACCTCTTCCAGGCAACTTCAATAGTTGTAAACTATTAAACTCTCCCCTTCTTTTTACATATTTCCCACAATGTCCAGCATGGTGCTTATCAAAACGGGGTACTTGGTAAATGCTTGTAGCATGTTGAATTATTTGATCCTGATTTATTTACTTTCTCATTTCATAGAAAGCTAAATTAGTCCACAGGAAATTAGCCATGTATTTCTACACCTTCCACTGGAATGTTCTTCGTTCTATCAAAAGGAAAGAAAAGCTGGCTCACTTTCTGCAGATTTTTTACTTTTCCATTTGCGTTTTAAGGACTATTAAAAAAAATAGGACTTTCTTTTATCTTTCCACATCATGAATCAGTGCACTCAGATGCAAAGATCATTTTCCACTTTTCTGATCTTTTCCAGTTTTATTATCATCTCCAAAGCTAATGAGAGCCACTGCTCCCTATCTATTCTCTGCTACAGAAGTCAGTATGTCTAGCCACATAAATGATTTCTTTTAAACTCTTAGTATAGCCACGCCTTTACTGGAAAGGAGCAGGAAACAGCGCCCAGGGAGCGACCTCACTGTATTGAGCTCTGGCCTCCTACCAGGCATGCCTTCCTCAGGGCTTTGCATCTGTAACCTCACTTATCCTCACAGCATCCCACAGGCCCTTGTTTTACCAGTGAGTAACCAGAGGCCTAATGGGATTAAGAAATTTACGCAAGGTCAGGAGGCTCAAAAGTGAGGGTGGGAAGAGTCAAACCCGAGCAGTGTGACTCCAAGGCAGGAATCTTAACCACTGCCTGAGGACTAACAGCAGCACCTCTGCCTTTGTACAGAAGGCACAAATATGTGCTCAGTGATACTTCTTGATACATAAAAGTAAAAAAGAGAAAACATTTTGAAATGCATAAACTTTGGATTTCACTCCTGCCTTACTTATGGCCGGGTGACCCTAAGCCAAATCACGTAGACTTTGTGCCTTAATTTTCTCAAATCAACAACAAATTAAAATATACACCTTACAGAGATGTTGTTGGGATTCGATGTGATAATCCTTATAAAGCAAGTAAGTAGCACTATGCTTGGCACACAGGTGGATGATGAAGCTACTGTAAGACTCATTTTTAAAGACCTTTTGAGCAGTGCTAAATTAGAGCATCAGCTATAATCTGTTGGCAGTAAGAAATCATTGGATGTCTATAAACTTGTCCCAGAGGTACATGATCAGATTTGTGTTGTTGAAAAAATGACTTTAAAAGCATTGTGGAGGCTGTAGTGAGTGGGAGCAGAATCAGAGATAAGGCACGTGGTCAGAGGCTTCCCTGAGGTCTGGGCAAAAGGAGGTGAAGGTTTGAGCAGAACGGTGGTCATAGACACAGAAGCACAGCTCCATGAATACTGCAGAGAAGCAACTAAAGGGATTGAGCTGCCATTTGGAGGTAAGAAAAGGAAGTGGTTACACATGGCCTTGTAATAGCAGCTGAGCATATGGTGAATATGGTGATGCTATTAACCACAAAAAAGAAATACTTGTGGAGAAATAGATTGTACAGTGAAGATCATGAGGCTAATTTGAGAAAGGCTGAATTTTAGATTTCCTACCAAAAATCACAGAGAAAATGTTTATTAGAAATTGGCCCAGGGTACAGAAGTTACATCTGAGACACAGACCAACATTTGGGATTAATAGAGAGAGTGGCAGAAGATGCCTGGTAGTAAATGACTATCAGCAGCATCACCACTACCACACTGGGTGTCCCAGCAGCGCTCAGCACATCTTTGTGGCAGGAGGAGGAGGTAGAAGGGAAGGACTAGAGAGTGTGTGTAATGCCTGAAGAGAAAGTGCCTTGGAGAGGAGAGAGGCAGGGGAGGCAGGAAGAGCTGGCAGGGAGGCTGATAAACCCGCCACCCCCCCACCCCGCTGCACCAGGAGAACTGGGACCAGAGGTGCGCCATGCAATGGCTTCGATTCTCAACTTACCTCCGTTTGTCTATATTGAAGAAGATTTCACAGAAACCCCAAGGATCAGTGTCTTCCCTTTTGCGCACTCCTCACGAATAGTCTGAATGCTGCTATTTAGTCAATTCCATGCAGGGAGGGCCGCAAAAGGCAGTTGCCCCACTGGGGAGCAGTTCCTGTTGCAGGTTACAAAGGGGAACAGGATGGCACGCCGCGGTGCTTCCAACAGATTGTGTCTGAAAATGAGTGACTCATGGTCTTAGCTCTTTGTCACCTTCAGTCTATTTTTCCATTGTCCTTTTTCTGAATTTCTTCACCAAGCTTTATGCTACCCTTCAGATATATTTATTGGCAGTGCCTCCCACAGCTACATGGAAATACCCTGAAAAAGGGAAAAAAAGTTTCACCATCCTCTGCATTTCAATGAGGAGACTTGGGTTCAAGATATTCCTTTGCCTCTGCAGAGCTCCTCCCCGCCCTCAGCCTACAGCAGGCTAGCTCCTCTATCCTCACAGCCTGGCCCTGCTGTCAAGGTGCCCACTGAGCACCTCATTGCAAAACTCGAGGACTGTGTCCAGGGCTTCACTTACTTGACCGTGGAAAAGCGTTGGGCCCGGTGAGACCATTCCCACCTTCTTGAAATCTACTTTGGCTTCCCAGACATCATCCTAGACTCAATTTTCTCCCATCTGGCCTTTCCTTCTTTCTCAGATTCCTTTGCTGCCTCCTCTTTCTCTATCCGACTTCAAATATTATTTCATGGAGCTCTCTTCTCTCCCAGTCTCTGAGTAATTTCACTCAGTCTTATGGCTAATGGCTTCCAAAGTTCTGTCTCCAGCTCCTATCCCCACCTTGACCTTCCTCTGCTTAGTGAGCACGTCCACCCCAGACATATGAAACTAGTCCAAACCAAATTTATTATCCTATCTTCCAAGCCTAGATCAGAAAATGGCTCCACCATCTAACCAATTGCTCAAGCCAGTAACCTAGGAGCGTCCTTGACTCCTCTCCTTCACAAATCACCTATAACCAATTAGAAACCAAACCTATTGATTTTGCCTCCAAAGTCTTCTCTCCCTCTCTGCTTTTGCAACCTAGTGCAGGCCCGAAGAGTCTCCCTCACTTTGACTACAGGATGGTGTCTCCTTATCTGGTCTTCCTGTCTCTCTGCTTACTTCCCTACATCTTATTCTCCTTGTTGCAGTTAAAGTGATCTTTCAAATCTAATCATGGCACTGAATGCTGAAATCCCTTCAGCAGCCTCTCCAGCTGCCTCAGAATAACCAGCTTTCTGGGACCTTCATGACCTGGTCCTTGCTCACGTCTCTATCCCCATCTGTCTCCTCTGCCTGCCCTCTCACCTCTTGCCTTTGCACATACTGTTTCCTCTTTCCAGAACCTGCTTTCCCCCTTCTTCTCACCTCCACCCAATACCTGACTATATCACAGCCAGCCCTCTCACCTCAGCCTGGACGTCTCTTCCCTCTTTAGTCTGAATCATTCCTAGCTCCCCCTCCCTCCATCCTTCCCTACAATATGAAAAGGAGCTTTGCTGGTTAATCTCATAAATCCTATAATCCCTATACTTCTCCCGTCATAGCATTTATTATACTCTATTTTAATTATTTAACTGTCTCTCCTGTAGAATGTGAGCTCCATGAGGGCAGGGAGCATGTGTGTCTTGTTCCTCCCTATATCTGCATTGCCCAACTTAGGGTCTGGCACACAGTAGGTACTCAAGACACTTCCGAATAAATGATGCACCCTGGGAACGCAGAGATGGACAAGAGGACATGCCTCCTGTTTTCAAGGACACAAACTTTTAAAGAAAGAAACATGAATAATTATCACATCACAAGTACTGTAATAGAAACACACATGATCTAAATTTGCACAGAAAAGGGAGTGGCTAACTTTGTCTGGAAGACATGAGTTGATCTTTAAAAGTGTGAGGAGCCAATATAAGATCCATCTTTGGACTTAGCTCTGCTACTAATTAGCTTTTCATCTTGGGTGAATTAACCTGACTTCTCTGAATTGTAATTTCATTCTCTACAAAAGTGGAGATAATACCTCACTTTACAAAACTGTAGGGAGGATTAAATAGACTAATTTAAGTGACATATATGAAACCTGGCACCTAGTAGATGCTCAGTAGATAGTAGCTATTTTATCATTTGATTGAATTTCATTTACACAATGCTTCTTGAACTAATTAATGCACCTGAAGACGAACGAAGAAAAAAGAATACATTTCTTGAATGTGACTAAAATTACAACTTCAGCTGGGTCAACATGAGGGGGTTTCTAAACTACAGTCTAATGTATAATTTATCATTTGCCTCCATTAAACTCTAATGAACTATTGAGAACCAAGGGGACAGTCCTTACACAAAAAGTCTTATTTTACCACAACTTAGGGAATTATTTGCACTATTGCCTTCATGCTTAGAGTAACTTACTAGCTCTGGGTCATCTTTATTCATCCAGATATTGATTCTACATAATATCACATAATAAGCTCTCGCCTCATCAGCCTAGTATACTTAGGGAGGTATACTTTAATGGTATAAAATCTGTGACTGTCCGTGAAGCAGCAGAAATGCATTTGAAGACATTTGCAATGAATATAATTCTGATTAAAAGCTGTAGGTAATATCCATGCATCTCCCTTTGTTTCCTTGGGGGAAGACTAATGCACTATAAGCCTATCTTTTTGATGTTGATGATTAATCCTAAGAGATAATATTATGACATTTCTATCAACCACTTTCACCTCACTTTCAGGATGCCAACAAGTTGATTTCAGTTAGTTTGGGGTCCCTGAGATGTTGTTAAGTCATTAATTAACTTGCGTAGCCTCAGGCATCTTTGCTGGAATCCTTGCTGCTGTCTCTTCCTGTGCTAATCAGAATCTTTGCTCTGATTGCTTCCAGACCTTAACTCTTTCAGAGCACAGACATGTCATTGGTTTGACAGTTCCTAAAAATTATCCAGTTGTCTAATAATTCATGCTACTGTTTAGATATTCAGAAGTCATTTGTTTACAAGAAGAACAAATTCCAACTGGCCCTCAGAATTCAGAGTAGAGCGGAAATGGTAGGTCTTTCCCTGTTTTAGAACATTTAAGGAATCACACAGTATGCCCACAGCACACGGAACGTCTTTCACTTCTGGATGTAGCTGATGCCACTAAGTCTTTAGTACATGGTCAGTGGTAATGGCCATTCTAGAATCTACCAGGCTTTCCGTGGGTAGGAAAAGGGGTTGGTGTCATCCTTTACTTCAGAATTTCCCATGGTTCTAGCCTTTGCAGTGGGGGCTCAGCCCTGCTGTTCATCAGAATCACCCGTGCAGCCTTTGCTCACGTGCACATGCTCAAGCCCCACCTGAGACCAGTTCTGGAAACGGAGCCAAGTGTTGGTATATTTTTCACTTTTAGGGGTGATTTGGATAAACAGGTATGGTTGGGAGTCACTGTCCTTGGGGTGGGCAGCCTCGGTTCGACTTTCCAGCTTCCTCTCCTGCTGCACTCAGGACTCTGCCCGATCAATCACTTGCACATCTCCATCTTCATGGTGTCACCTCTACCGTGAGTCTCCTCTTCCTCTCTACTGAAATCCCAAACATTTCTTGAAATAGTGGCTCTTATACCTTACTATGCATAAGAAAAACCCTGGAGCATCTGAAAGAGTTCTGTTTCCAGCTCTCCCTGCCCTAGAGGTTCTGCTTCACTGGGGCTGGGATAGGATGTGCACAGGACATTTTTTTGTAAGCTGTCCAGTCAACTCCAAGACAATCATGGCTCTGGTCTGAAAACGACTGCTTTCCGCTTTTCTCTGCACAACCTTCCCCAAATCCAGCTCTCAGAATTAATTGCTCTCAAGCTCTGGTTTCTTGTCAGAACGACTACATCTTTCACCTTTTACTAAAGATTCCCATGGAGAGGGACAGTTGTGAGTTCATAACCAAACTTTTTAAGGCCTTGCTTAGGCAGGGCTAAATGAAAAGTTTAAAAAAAAATAAAAGAATTAATTGCTCTTTCCTCTGATCAGAGCGCTTCACTCATCCCACTGGTGTGCACTCTCTGCATGATATTATGGGCTGTTACCCAAGAGTCTGCCTCCTCATTTAACGGGCAGTCGTCAAGGGCAGGGGCCATGCTATCCTCAATTTTGTGTTCCTGCCCTTAATTCAGTGTCTGGCACAATTCAGAAAATGTATGTCAAATAGACAGTAGTGTTTTGTGACATAATATGTATTTATAATTTAAAATTACAGTGTAAAACTCTAGAAAAAGTAAATAAAATTCCACAGCTGCTGCTCTGTGACTCAGCGTCAGTGTCAAGAGGAGACTGTTTTCTTCTAGATTTGGGGCGGCTGTGGCGCGCCAGCATCTCTCACGCTGTCACTGCTTGAGAAGTGTCTCCAATCAGCAGCAGGCCCAGACTGTCCACTCTCATTTCAACTGCATTTAAATCCATTTTGCATGTTTCTTTCAACATCAGCTTTTGAAATCATTTTCCAAGAAGAAAACAATCTCTGCTGGAGATGCTGAATGCTTGTGGCCATTTTCTTCTTTCTTTTTGCCAGATTTCTGTAATGGGCAGGACCAGCATCCCGTGAAGGGTGTTGTGTTCACCTCATGACCACGGGCTCCAGGGAGATGGTGGGCTTCATCCCTCAGCTCAGGTGGGCCATTTACCACCCCCTCTGCTCTGGGCCATTTACCACTCCCTCTGCTCAGCTCTGCCCTGAGAGGCGGATGGTCAGGAGGCGGTGGTACCCCTGGCCTGGCTGCTTCTCCATGCCCCTTCCCCACAGGCTCTCTCTCCACAGCGTCTTTTCTCTGCCTGCTGCACCCCTGCCCTCTGCCCACCACTTGGCTCTTCACCCTTCAGGTCTCCGTTCAGCTATCATCCTCACCAGGAAAACTTCCCAATCCTCCTAAAACGAAGTCAGGGGCTCCCATGTTCTCCTATTTGTTTATCATAGGTTTTGTAGACTTAGCAAATCATGCTATTAGTTAAATCACCTGTTTGCCAAGCATGCAGAGTGGTATAATAGACTTTGGAGACTCAGAACGGGAGCAGGAAGGGGATAAAGGATAAAAAGCTACATATTGGGTACAATGTACACTACTCGGTGTGTCTCTTTGCACAGAGACTGAGCTTTGTGCTTCCATTCCTGGCCTTCATGGGCCACAAAGGTGTCTTTGCAGTTTCATTCCTATGAAGAATATTTGAGTTAGAGATACTGAGCTAGTCCCTGTGGAACAATCAAAGGATAAAAACACATGCCCCTTACCTGCAGATTGCTTTCAGAGAAATTAAAGCCATAATCACACAGGTAAGATTACACAGATCAGAGCCAAATGGTGCCTAAGGAGTGACCATTGTAGTTGGCGTCCCAGTATCTGCAGCATGTAGTTCGAAATTCCAGCCGTCTCTCAAAGTCCACCTCCATCTGACCCCTTCCAAAGGCTCCATCCGTGCCCCTGCTGCTCCCCCGGAAGAGTCCTCCTCTCTAAACACATGGTCTGTTCCTTGCCCTCCAGATAAACCATGCCAACCCCACTTCCACACCTTCCAAGCAGTGAAGCTCCACCTGGAGTATTTCCCTTGCTCTGTCTCCTGACATGCCCTGTCCTGTAGTGGAGGCCTGCCCTGACCATCCAGCCAAGCGTTCATCTTCCGCAGTGGTCACAGGACACTCAGTAGAGACTGCACCGAGTTGTGAATTTTTATTTTTCTTTTTTATTTTTGAGACAGAGTCTTGCTCTGCCATGCAGGCTGGAGTGCAGTGGTGCGATCTTGGCTCACTGCAACCTCCGCGTCCCGGATTCAAGCGATTCTCCTGCCTCAGCCTCCTGAGTAGCTGGGACTACAGGTGCATGCCATCATGCCCAGCTAACTTTTTTTGTATTTTTAATAGAGACGGGGTTTCACTGTGTTAGCCAGGATGGTCTCGATCTCCTGACCTCATGATTCTCCTACCTCGGCCTCCCAAAGTGCTGGGGTTACAGGCGTGAGCCACCGCACCCAGCCATGATTAATTTTTTTGTAAGTGCTTTCTCCCCTCAAGCACCATAGTTTATTTCTTTTACAATTCCCAGTGCTCGGTGCAAAGAGTACTGGCTCAACAAATATTTGGAGATGGTAGTCACTTCTGGCTGGAGAAGTCAACAAAGATTCCTAGAGGATGTAACATAAAGGAAGTGTTGTTCTAGATCCCCCAAAGGCTCCTGGGACCTAAAACTCCAAGTTCCACATTTTTGGTATTGTGATGAGAAGAGTCTCTGGGTTTAGGTCTTATCTCTGGGTGGCACTGAGTGTTGACCATGGCTTGCCATCCACCCCCACCTTCTGCAATCTTCTCAAACACCATGTCCTTCTGGCTTCCCTCCCACATAACCGCCCCTTCTTCTTCTTGGACTCCGTAACTCAAAATTTGATTACTAGGCACCCTTTCCTTTCTCCAGACCTTATGTCTTCTCTACACAGTCCCCCTGGGGCACATCATCTACTCCATGGCCTCAGTTAGCAGTGTTTGTGCAGAATACTTTGAAATCTACCTGTGTCTTCAGCCCTCATCTCTATCCTGAGCTCCTAACTCACAAATTCAGCTGCTTGCTAAATACTCCATTTGTATGACCCCAAGCACTTCCCTCATCATCTTTCCTCCCCGCAAACCTCCCCTTCCTCCCTGATCTCTGGGTCGGTAAAGGCATCCCCTTATATCCACCCCACTTCAGTCCACTCCTACTGTGACTGCCTGAATCTAAGCCACCAGGATTTCTCACTTGATTTCTACAAGGGCCAGTCCTCCCGCTCTTCCTGTTTCCACCATTGCCCTGTGTAACTAATCCTTTCTTCACACTGCCCACCAAAGTGACATTTTTGAAAGTCAGATGTAATCAAGTAATGTTTCTGCTTGAAGCTCGCCAAAGTTTCCCCAATATTCTTGGGGTAAGGTCAAGTTTTCTTAACAAAACCCTTTGTCCTCTATTCCCTTCTAGCTCCTCTTCCCCTATTCACCATCTCCTCTGCTTCCTGCCCCACTCTGAGCTCCAGCCATGTGGACTCTCTGTTCTGTTATTCTAGTCCTCCAGGCTCCTCTCACCTCTGGCTTCTGATCACATGCACACACGCCCCTCACTTTGCCATCCCCTGCTAATCGAGATTTGGATGCCAGTGCAGACTTCACTTACCCTGCAGCCATCTCTAACCTCATGGTCTGGATGGGGCACGCTTTGCTTTTCTGCCTGAGCAGCCTCTACTTCTCCTCTCCAGGACCTTACCATTCTGTATTGTAGTTGCTTGCATAATTGTGTGCTCAGTAACAATTTGCCTACAGGATGGATGGATGGATGATCTGTTTACTGAAAAGGTAGCTTCTGTGAAAATCAGGCTTCTTCAAAGAAGAAGGCCCACATTATAGAGAATTCATCAGTGGTAGGTGAAATTTTAAGAGACGGTAGAGAAGTGCCACAAAGTATTTTACTTTAAGGATGCATTATGTTTGTGTAACCATTATCTTTATACAGCACCTTTAAAACTCAGTTTTGTCCCAACAACAGCCCCATAGGAGGCAGAAGAAGCAGAAAGAATTGATTTTCATTTACCAAAGAGAAAATCGAGGCCCAGAGTAATGAAGTCTCTGGCCAAAGGTCATACTGGGCTCTTGACCTTGAACTAGAAGAGAAGTCTTCTCATTGCCAGCCACAAGCCTCCACAGACCACTTCCCAGGCTGCCTGCCCTCAGAGTGGCTATGAGAAAACGGAGTGACTTTCTTCTCTCTACCAGGAAAGACCTGGTACCAAGAGAAGGAGAAAATAGTTGAGAAAGCATATCACAAGAATAGAACAAATATCAGATCAATCCCTTTTATCACTCACTCATTCAGCAAATATTTCTGGTTGCCTAATATGTGCCAGATTTGAGGATCATCATAGACAAAACTGGAAGCTATGTCTGCCTCATATGTACAGTAGGAAAGCCAGACTAATCAAAAACATGGCAAATCATGCAAAATTCGAATTGCAAGACCCCTGAAAGGCAGGCATATGCAGTACTTCAAGAGCAGATGGCAGGGACGTTGGACCAGTCACAGAGGGCCGAGGACGCGCTAAGGAACTTAGGCGTTCACTGGGCAAGGGTGGGGCTAGGGCTGCCAAGGGTATGAGCAGAGTGAGAAGATGGGGAGAGACGGTGAGCAGGAATCTATGAGTGTCTTGGAAGTGGAAGGATGAGAAGAAGAGCACAGCTCCTCATCATCATAGAAAAGTGAAGGAAGTATTTAACTGAAAGTTTTTTACACATTGCGTTCTGAGTCAGCCAAAGACTGTGTTCCAGCCAATTGTAGCTGACAAGTGAGGGGAAGAGCAAGACAATGCAGGAAGCTGGAAGGAGAGAGAGCTGGCACGGAGAAGGAGCGGGTGAGTCTTCCCTTCACTATGATGTTCTAACTTTAAAAAGCTGCCTCCCATTGCCAGCGGGGCTGGGGTTCACCTGCCAGTGCCTGCCTCTAGGTCCTCATTGCAAGTCAGTCCACACTGAGACATTCCTTCTGGCATCAGAATTGGACCTACAGGGACCCTGCAGTGAGTGACTGGAAGGTTTGATTATTTGTTTCCCCTTAAAAGAGTGAGCCTGTGTTTGAGGGAACCACTTGGTCACACTGCTCCATCAGGCGAGGAAAACAAAGCCAAGACCTGAGGAACTGTGCTGCGATGGGGACCTCTGGCTGCCCCTTGGAGAAGAAAAATGGGAGAAGCAGAAAGGAGAAGAGAGGAGAGGTGCCAGAAGCAAATTAGAGATGGAACGAGAGACAAGCTTGCACAGAGAGTAAAGGCACAGCATGTTTATAAAAGTGCACAGACCCACAAGAAACTGCACGTGTTCCCATGGATTCTTACAGAGTTTTTGTTCGTTTATTTGTTTGTTTCTTAGAGACAGGGTCTTGCTCTGTGGTGTAGGCTGGAGTGCAATGGCGCAGTCATAGCTCACTGCAGCCCCAAACTCCTGGGCTCAATCGGCTAATTTTTTTTTTTTTTAATTTTGTAGAGACAAGGTCTCACTATGTTGCCCAGGCTGGTCTTGAACTCCCAGCCTCAGGTAGTCCTCCAACCTTGTCCTCCCAAAGTGCTGGGATTATAGGCATGAGCCACTGCGCCCAGACTCTTACAGAGAACTTAATACAGAAAATGCCAGGGCATGCCATCACCACTAATCAAAAGAGAAACATGGTTAATCCTGTTGATTTCTGACAAAACTGACATTAAAATCTGATGTTTGTGTATGCTTTTAAAATTATCTACACCAGAGATTTGAAACCTGCAGTTCTTCTTTATCTCCTTTTTGTCGATTTGCTTGTTTCCTAAGAGATTTTTCTCCTCGTTGATATTTATTTCATCAGTTGGCAAACATAACTATACATCCCTCAGTGCATTTGCTGTGGCCCTCCCTGACAGCTCTTAGGATAACCTTTCCTCCATTCTTCATCTTGATTGTTTTGTGATCTTCACTCCGTGTTTTCTGCTTTTCCTCTAATCTGTGTCCAGTTTCTAGATGTTAGCTGTGCCAGGCTTTACAGCACAGGTACCTGAGCTGACTCCTGAAATGTCTCTCCTCCCATCTTCGTAGTCCAGCAGCCCGCAGGTTTAAGGAGTTATTTCAGATTTTATTTTTAAGGAAAACTTGAATTTAATGTGCTTCAAGCCAAAGAACAAAAGAAAAGGTTTCTGTCCAGAAGCAAAGTTTACTACTAATGGGAATCGGAAAAGCAGCCCAGGCCATTGTTTCAATAAACAGTGATGACTTTTCCTTTACTTAAAAATATCCCTTTAACAATTCAACTTCAGCCAAAACTCCTGTCACTTTTTACTATATATTTGTGTTATTACAAGAAACCAGGAACATAGGGGAAACAGGCCTCTGTCCTCCATGTCTAATGGGTCTGTTGTATGCCTAAAAGCCACCGTGTTTCCTTTGAGCTGGTCTGATTAATTGCTAGTGACTACTTGCTTGTTGAGGATGGAGAAGGAGTGGAGAGGCACCGAAGGGTATGATATGTCGCTGCCTTCACAAGGGTAAATAAATGCTGGCAACACCTTGGGGTGGGGAGTAGTTCATTTTGAGTAGACTGAGAGAGAAGTAAAAAGCCTTAGTTTCCAGGAAATATTAGAATGGGTAAATAAAAATTCAGATGGGGCTCAGTCAGAATACTACTCGATTAATACCACAGACTGAGCTTGTCACCTGTCCCCTCCCCTAATTTTCCCTTGAATTCCATAGAGCTGTCTATGTCAGGTATCTGTGTACAGAAACTTTGGCCTCACCAGCAAATACTATAATTATTTTGAGGTCATGGGAGGATCTACCTTTATCTCTTGATCCTTTTTTTTTATTGTTTATCTTTCTGAATATGCTATCATGGCTGACAGACTAAATGAGAACTTGTCACATGTCACTTTAGCTTGTCTTCTTGTGTATTTTCAGCCAGCATTAAAAACACATAGAGTGGTAATTAAGTCTTCTTTAGAAATCATTTCTTACTGGTGATGTGCTTTTGGTCCCTTGATGAGACACCATAAGTTGATAAATTATTCTGTTGACAGCAGTAACAACAACAGAGTCTGCATAATTATAAACCCTTCCCATGCCGGCACTTAGCAAAGTCATTATCCAGGTTGACTTCCCCACTTTGGAATAAGGAGACCAACATTAGCAGATTATCAGAAATATTCTTGCATTCTGTATTTTGGAAGGTGTCACTGAATCATTTGACAAGTGAAGGGTGATTCTAAAGTCATGGGCATATTAAAGAAATGTTCTTCTTGATGTTTAGCCTTGCCTCATACTGATATTTTATTAAATTTGCTGTCGTAGTGAGGGCTGGTTAGGTATAAACCCACAGGGAAGATCCTATGTTTTATTTTGTGAGGAAAGACTTTCTATTTATTTTACTTCCATTTTGCTTTTTTTAAAAAAATAAATAAATAAATTAGACTTCTTCAAGGAAAAAGATGTTATATTATGTAAATAAAAGGAGACAGATGGGTTAAAGCGGGTTGCGGGGAGGATATTTCCATTTTAGCTCAGCTTTGGAAATCTAGGCCAACACTGATAAAAATTGAAGAAACACAGATTGAAACCAGATCTGTCATACAGGAGAAATGTGCAGTATTAATACCGCACATGCAAGTGGCGCTGACTACAGCGATCATTTATGCAGGTGGTGGGGAGGCTCCTTTCCAGTTGTACTTGTTGAGGCTTCATTTTTTTTAATAAGTTGAGTCATCACTGATTAAAAGGAATCACAAACCATTTTTCATGTGAAATTTGGAGGACATTTTGAAGGCACAGCACAGTTCCTCTCTGAGCTGCCTGATCCTTCACATTCATCCTGGGTTTCTTATTAGATTAGCAACATTTTAAACTCTAAACTCCAACTTGGTGAGATTTTCATTAGCATTTCTTATTTCATGTTCTGGCTTTTATATTTTAATGCCTGTCTTATCAAGAAAGAGAGAATAGAGGCTTCTTAATCAGAAATGTATTACTTTCAGTTTACCACCTTAAAAAAAAAACACTTCGCACCTTGTTGAACATCCAGTCAAAACTAGAATTTAAAAGCATCATGGAAAACACGACAAGGATACAGAAGGGAAACATCGATTTTAAAGAGCCAAAAAAGACTGGTGATGGAGGGTTAAAGTATGTTTCTTAAAGTCTAGATAAGATGACTAAGGAACTAATGAAATATGATTCTTAAGTGCATAGCTGACTCATAAGAGATAATGGGCAGCTTTGTTTGTAGTCTCATTTAAGGCTAAATAGAATAGAACCAAATTAGATTGATTTAAATATCAAAGATGGAAGTTGTGCTAAGAATTCTCACACACATTTACAGGAAGCCGTTTGTGTCCTTACCTGCAACCACAGATTCAACCAACTGCTGACTGAAAACATTCAAAACAAGTAAATAAATAAAAGTAACATACAACAATAAAAATAACACAAGTAAAAAACTATACAGTACAATATTTGCATTATGTTAGGTATTATTAGTAATCTAGAGATGATTACAGGTATACGGGAGGGTGTGCATAGGTTGTGTGCAGATACACACCATTTTATATAAGGGACTCAAGCATCCTGTCAATGGTATCCAAAGGGGTCCTGGAACCAATTTCCCCATGAATACCAAGGGGCAGTGGTACTAAAACTGGCCTTTAGGACCTTGACTTCTCCGTGGACTTTGGAAGCATAAGCATTGTAATGTGTCGAGTTAGAGAGCCTTGAGTTCCTGGTGGAAACAGGGAAATTCAAGGCTCCTGGGCAGCCTGGACCCAGACCCTCAGGTCTTCACCCAGTCTGTCCTCTGCTGCCTGAGGACCAGAGACTGGCCTCATCCTGACTGGTCATTGCTCCTCCAAGGCACATGGTGCTACTAACACCTACCTGTACTGTCAGCCTGAGGCCCCAACTCCTGGACTCACTCTCTGGCCCTTACGTTTAGGTTGCCATAGACCTCTTGTCCTGCCTGCCCATCTGCCTTTCTGTAACTAAGAATCTTTGCCTGCCAGATGCTCACCTTTCTTGCCACCCCTAGCCAAGGTCATTCTGTCTGAGGTCTGAACCCGCCTTATAGCTCACCCCTCCCGAGGTCTGTGTGGTTCCTCACCACACCTCTGAGCCACTTGTGCCGAACAAGAATCACTGGTATTTATAGCTGGACAATAAGTAATTCCCATCCCACTGAGAGTGTTAAACCCTGAAATGGGTTCCTAAAGGAGGTCTATTGAAGTAGGAGAGGCTCTCCATTTGTCTGAAATGGTTTATGTCAATCCGTCAGACAACACACAGACTGTTGCCTCATTCCTAGACTTAGCAAACATCAGGTTGTATAAAGGCATTGGCAAAAGAAAAGAGCCACATTGTAATAAACAGTATGCAGTTTAGGAATTTATACAAAATCCAAACCCGTGATACTCTGGACTGAATGTTTCTGTTTTCCCAAATTCATGTGTTGAAGCCCTAATCCCCAATGAGGGTAGTAGGAAGTGGGGCCTTCAGGAGGCATTTAGGTTCAGATGTGGCCATGAGGGTGAAGCCCCCAGACACGATTATGCCCTTGTAAGAAAAGGAAGAAACATAAGAGCTCTTTCTCCTTCCACACACACACCTAGGAAAGGCCACGTGAGGATGCAAGAACTTCCCTCCCATCATCACAGCCTCTCCTCACAGGGCTTCCTCAGGTGGTGTTGAAGCCACCAATCTATAGTATTTTGTTGTAGCCCAAATTAAGACACCTGGATAGAAAGTTGTAACATCTCATATTGTTGAGGAGCCCACAGACATCTCTTGTCAGATACAGATCGACCTTCCTTGAGCTGTCACGTGCCTCTAGAACAGCAAAAACCAAGCCAAGGCCGAGGTCACAGCCTTCCTGCAGAGGAAGAGTGGGGTCTGTAGTTACAGAGCGGAGTGTGGAGGAGGGCTCAGTGTGCTGGGGAGGAGGTCTCCCATTCTCACTCTGCAAGGATAGATCCCCGTGGCCACTTACCATTGGGATCAAAGAAAGGTCATATTTCCTTATGATTTCTCCAGATCAAGCAATGAGATAACAAAAGAAACCACATCTTACAGATCCTCTGGTAAAGCAAAACATAAAACACAACTATCTTAGCATTTTGTTTTGCCTTTTTAATTTGATTTTTGAATAGGTAGCCAGTTCACATGGTACAAAAGTCTCATGTATCCTTGAGTTTCTTTAGGCATAAGCAAGCAAACTTAGTAGATTTTCTTACCCTCACCGTTTTTTAACACAATAAGTAGCATGCTGTATGTACTGTGCTCCCTGGAATTTTTTTCACATAACAGTATATCCTGTGAATTTCAACCCACTCATAAAAAAGGGAGCCTCTTCTTAGTGCCTAGAGGGTAGTTTTATAGCTCCATGGTAGTGTTCCACTGGATGGATATATCATTATATTACCACTCCTCCACTGTGGACGTTTGGGTATTTCCAGTCTTCTGTTATTACAAACAATGCTATGGTGAATAACCATGTACATGTGTTATTTTGCACATGTGCTAGTAGGCCTACAGGATAAATTCCCAAAAGTGGAATGGCAGAATGAAACAGAATATACATTTGTTACTTTAATAACCAATCACCCAACATACATAATATATTGATTTACATTCTTTCCTGTAATTATTGAGAATGCTTTTTTCTGAGTACCAATAAAACATGTTATCAAACATTTGAATTTTTTTCCAACAAGGTAAATTGAAAAATTTTATCTTGGTATAAATTTAATTTGCATTTTCTTATCGTGAGTTTTTTTTTAATTACAAGTAAGTTTTTGTATTATGAGCATTTTTTTCATATGTTTAAGGGTCATTTGTGTTTGATTGGGCAATCTTTCTGTTGCCACGTTAGTTTTTTTCTTAGCAGTTTCTAAGAGCTCTTTATCTTTATGCTTTAGGACACTAGATTTTTCTCCGTGATATGAGTCGCAAATGGTTTTTTTTAAAACCCCATTTTGTTGTCTGGCTTTTGACTTTACTTTTTTGTGAGCGTTATGTTTGTTTATTTAGTTGGTTGGCTGATTTAGGCTTCAGTTGCCCTTGTTTACCATTTTTTTATTTACTCTTGGATTTAATAACATAGAGAGATCTTTTCCATGCTATGATAGAATTCTGCTATATTTTCTTCAACTTTTTTTATGGGTTGTATTGTTTACCTGAAATCTTTTAGCCATTTGGAATTTATCCTGTAATATCATGTCAGCTATGAACCCAACTTAATTTTATTTGTTTTTTGTTCAGAAAGATACCCTGATTCAACACTGTTTACATCATTTCCTTACTAACTTGAGATGCCTCCTTAGCATGTACTAAATTTCCATAAATACTTGGTCTATTTGTGAACTTCCTATTCTGCTCTGTTGGTCTGTCTATGTACTTGTGCCACATTATTTAACTATTGAAGTTTCTTAACATGCTTTAATATCTGCTAGATCAGTTGTAGGAGTGAAGAGAATTTTCCTTACTCTCCTTTCTGAAGGTTTGATAATTTGAGCCTATAAAACATCTGGCCCTCATTGGGTTATGGGGTAGTCATTTGCCTGCAATTCCTTCATGCTTATGTACGTTACTAAATTTGTATGCCAGTTTTTTTATATTAGTGAGAAAAATGATGTTTTCTTCTCCTCCCCTTCACACCAGATTTTACTCAATAATATTGCCTTAACGGATGTTTGTCTTTATACTATTAAATTTCTGTGTACTTCTGTTATTTGATTTGTTGGCTTTGTATGATATTCTTTGACTCATAGTTCTTATATATCAAGCAGTCAAGGAGCATATTCTGTCTTTGACCTCATGCCTCCCTTTTTTCTCCAGTGTTCTCCATTGTCGGAACTCATGTTCTTGAACTGTTCTGTCCCCTTTGTCTTCTTTGTGTTTTAGACTTATACATACTCAGTGTTCGGCATCAGCCTTCTTGCTGCAGGGCTTCCCCTCTAGAGATATCCTCCAGAAGCACTAATGGGAACCATATTTCTTGAGTTTGTGCATGTTTAAAACAGTCCGTAACCTGTATATTTGAAGGACAACTTAGACATAAAATTCATTCTTATGCTTTCTTTCCTTGCATATGTTATAGATGTGGCTTCAGTGTCTTCTGTTTTTTTTTTTAAATTATGGTAAAATATACACAATATAAAATTTACCATTTCAAATGCTTATACACTGCTAGTGGGAATGTAAATTAGTTCAGCCATTGTGGAAAGCAGTGTGGCGATTTCTGAAAGAGCTTAAAACATAATTACTTTTCAACCCAGCAATCCCATTTTCAGGTACATACCCAAAGGAACATAAATTTTTCTACCATCAAGATACATGCATGCATATGTTCATCACAGCACTATTCACAATAACGAAAATGTGGAATCAACCTAAATGCCCATCAACAGTAGACTGGATAAAGACGATGTGGTACATATACACCATGGAATACTACATGGCCGTAAAAAAAATGAAGTCACGTCCTTTGCAGAAACATAGATGAAGCGGGACACCATTATCTTAAGTGAACTAACACAGGAACAGAAAACCAAATACCACATGTTCTCACTTATTAGTGGGAGCTAAACATCGAGTTCATATGGACACAAGGAAGAGAACCACAGACAGCAGGGCCTACTTAAGGGTGGAGATAGGAGGAGAGAGAAGATCTAAAAACTACTTATCAGGTACTATGTTTATTATCTGGGTGGTGAAATAATCTGTACCCCAAACCCTCATGACATGCAATTTACCTATATAACAAACCCGTACATGTGCTCCTTTTTGTTGTGTTTGTGAGACAGTGTCTCACTGTGTCGCCCAGGCTGGAGTACAGTGGTGTGATCTCAGCTCACTGCAACCTCTGCCTCCCGGGTTCAAGCAATTCTCCTGCTTCAGCTTCCTGAGTAGCTGGGACTACACAGGCACAAGCCACAATACCTGGCTAATTTTTGTATTTTTAGTAGAGATGGGGTTTCACCATGTTGGCCAGGCTGGTGTCAAACCCCTGACTTCAAGTTATCCACCCACCTCAGCCTTCCAAAGTGCTAGGATTACGGGTGTGAGCCATTGTGCCCAGCTGACAAACCCACACACGTACTCCTGAACTAAAAGTAAAAAAAAAAAAAAAAAAAAAAAAAAAAAATTATCATCTTAACCATTTTTATGTGTACACTTTGGTGGCATTAAGAATATTTTTGTTGTTGTGAGACCAGCATCACCATCCATCTCCAGAAGTTAGTCATCACCTGAAACTGAAACTCTTCACCCGTTAAACAATAATTCCCCATTGCCGCTCCCTGCAGGCCCTGGTAACCACTGTTCTACTCTCTGTCTCTATGAATTTGACTACTCTCACTATCTCATATAAACAGAATCATACAATATTTGTCCTTTTGTGTTCACTTAATGTCATGTCTTCAAGGTTCACCCATGTTGAAGTACATATTGGAATTTCATTCCTTTTTAAAGGTAAATAATATCCCGTTGGATATATATGACATAATTTATCTGTTCATCTATCAGTGGACATGTTAGGATTTCTTCGGTTTTCTACATGTAAGATCATGTCATCTGTGAAGAGAGATAATTCTCCTTCTTCCTTTTCTATTTGAATGCCTTTCTATGAGTTAGAAAGTGTTCCCCCTCTTCAGTTTTCTGTAAAAGTTTGAGAAAAATTGATGATAGTTCTTTAAATATTTGGTAAAATTCACCAGTGAAGCAGTCTCGTCCAGGGCTTATCTTTAACAAGGGGGTGTTGATTACTGACTCAATCTCCTAACTAGCTATAGGTCCATTCAGATTTTCTGTTTCTTTATGAGTAAGTCATGGTGGGTTTTGTGTTTCTGAGAATTTGTCCATATCATCTGTGTTATCCAACTTGTTGGCAGACAGTCGTTCACACTACTCTCTTATAATCCTTTTCATTTCTATAGAATCAGTATGAATATCCTCACTTTCATTTGTGATTTTAGTAATTTGAGTATTCGTTTTTTTTCTTAGTCAATCTAGCTAAAGTTTTGCCAACTTTGCTAATTGTTTTTGAAAAATCAACTCTTGGTTTCATTAATTTTCTCTTTTATTTTTCTCCTCTTATTTTATTTTATTTTCTCCACTATAATCTTTAATTCTCTTCATTCTGGAAGCTTTGGGTTTAATTTGTTTTTCTTTTTCTGGGTCCTTCAGGTATAAAGTCAGGTTGTTGGCTTAAAATCTTTCTTCTTTTCTAATGTAAGCATTTACAGCTATAAATCTGCCTCTTATCATTGTTTATGCTTCATCACATAAGTTATGAGGTGTTTTTATGTAAATTTGTCTCTCAATATTTCTGATTTCCTTTGTGATTTCCTCTTTGACCCATTGATTATTTAAAAATGTGTTGTTTAATCTCCAGTTTTTCTTCTGTTATTGACTTTTAATTTCACCTAATTGTGGTCAGAGGAGATACATTATATGATATCCATCTTTTTCAATCTATTGAAACATGATTTGTGGCTTAATATATAGTCTATCCTGGAGAATGCCTCATGTGCAATTGAGAATAATATATATCCTGCTGGTTAAAGTGTCCTGTTTATGCCTGTTAGCTCTCATTGGTTTATTGTGTCATACAAGTCCTCTGTTTATTTACTTATCTTCTATTTGGTTGATCTATCCATTATTGAGAGTGAAGTATTGAAGTCACAAGTCATTATTTGAGAATAGTCTATTTATCTTTTCAGTTATGTTCATTTTTGTGTCCTGTATTCTGAGAGTCCTTTATTAGATGTATGTTTATAATTGTTATATCTTCCTGTTGTATTTTACCTTTTATTAATATATCACACCCTTCTGTTTCTCTTGTAACCTTTTTTATTTAAAGCTTATTTTGTCTGATAGTAATATAAGTGCCCCATTCTTCTTTGGTTACTGTTTGTGTATGGAATATCCTTTTTTATAGAGATACTATATTTTATATAGTATCTCTATAAATAGAGATACTATATTTTATATAGTATCTCTATAAATAGAGATACTATATTTTATATAGTATCTCTATAAATAGAGATACTATATTTTATATAGTATCTCTATAAATAGAGATACTATATTTTATATAGTATCTCTATAAATAGAGATACTTTTTGCATGGAATATCCTTTTACATCTTTTCCCTTTCAAACTGTTTGTGTCTTTGGATCTAAGATGAGTATGAGTATCTTATAGATAGAATATAAGTGGCTTATGGTTTTTATCCACTCTGCCAATCTTTGTTTTTTGATTAGAGAGTTTAGTTCATTTACATTTAAAGTAATTGCTAAGAAGGAGGGACTTACTGCCTCCATTTTACTGTTTGTTTTCTATATACCATATAGGATTTCTAGCCTTCATTTTCTACATTATTGTATTCTTTTGTGTTTAGTGAATTTTTGTTGTGACAATTTGAAATTCCTTTTTCAGTTCTTTTTGTATATACTCTGTACTTATTTTCTTTGTGATGACCATGTACATTATACACTTAACACCCTAAAATTGTAGCTCTTTAATTTGAATTTCTACCCGTTTAATTTCAATAGCATACAAAAATTCCGCTCCTATATAGCTCCATTCTCACTACTTTTCAGTTACTTGTATCACAAATTACATCTTTATGTTTTACGTGTCCAAAAACATAGGCTAATAATTGTTTTTATGCATTAGTCTTTTAAATGATGTAGAAAATAAGAAGCAAAGTGACGAACCAAAATTACAGTAATACTGTTTTTTAAATATTTGTCTATGTATTTTTGTTTACCAGAGAACTTTATATTCTCATATGCCTTCAAATTAGTGTCTAGAGTCCTTCATTTCAACTTGAAGGACTCCCTTTAGCATTTCTTACAAGGCAGGTCTACTGAAAATGAATGCCTTCAACTTTTGTTTGTCTGGAAATTACTAAGTTTCTCTCAAATTTTGCAAGAGAGTTTGGCTTATATAGAATTCTAGGTTGATGATTTTATTTTTTTCTTTCAGCACTTTAAGTATATCATTCTACTGCATTCTGGCCAGCAAAGTTTTGGCTAAGAAATTCTTCGATAACTTTCTTGAAGATTCCTGTAATGATGAGTCACTTTTGTTCTGGTGCTTTCAGGATTCCTTCTTTGTATTTGGCTTTTGAAAGTTCGATTATAGTATGTCTCATTGTGGGTCTTCTTGAGGTTTACTTTACTTGGAGTTTGTTGAGCATCTTAGATTTGTAAATCTGTGACTTTCCTTAAATTTGGGAAGCTTTTAGCCATTGTTTCTCCAAATTGTCTCTGTGCTCTTTGCTCCCTCTCTTTTTTCCTTCAGAAACTCCTGCAATGTGTATATTGGTCTGCTTATGCTGTCCTACAGATCCCTTAGACTCTTCACTTTTCTTTAATCTTACTGCTTTATATTCCTCATACTCAATTTCAATTGTCTTATCTTCAAATTCACTAATTCTTACTTCTACTCAAATCTGCTTTAGTATCCCTCTAGTGAATTTTTCATTCTAGTTATTTTTCTGTTGATTTTTTTCCTTTGAGTGGGTCATACTTTCCTGTTTTCATATACCACGTATTTTTTTGTTGTTGAAACTGACCATTTGAATCTCATAATATAGTATCTCTATTAATCAGATTCCCCGCCTTCCCCAGGGTTTGCTGCTTCTGATTTTGGTTTTTGTTTGTTTGGGGTTTTTTAATTGTTTTATGGTAGCTCCATGCCAGACATCAGCATGAGGTGTAAACTTAAGGTCTTCTCAGGTCATTTCTGAGCCCACTGCTTTCCTTGGTCGTGCATGGTGACTTACTAAATTCCCTTGTATATGTTATTGCTTTTAAATGTGCTAATCCTTAAATGTTTGGCTCCCCAGAAGGGGAAAACTGGACGGAAATTTTTTTAAGGCAATTATCTTCACATACCCTGGAAGCCACTTTAGGCAATGGGGATTGCTATAAAGGCCTCTGGCCTGCACCTTCATAGTCAGTTATGAGGACACAGATCCTCAATATTTGGAGGACAAGGTACTTATTGCCCACCCTGGTTCTTGAAAGCCACATGCAAGTTGCACCCAGATTGTTGGCACAGCTGCCTGCCACAGGGCTGGAGGATGGGAAGTGAGTAGTTGCTACTGTTCTAAGAGCTGAAATTGACCAAAATTAGCCATGATTTACCACCATCTAAGCTGACCTCCGGAAGCTGCAAGACTCCAGAGATCCAAAATAGTTCTATCAGTCAGATTCTGCCAGTGCAATTGTTGTCTAGGCAGAGAGACAGATTCCTGGCACTTCCTACCCACCATCTTCCCTAACATCACTCCTGTCCTTTGTTTTTGAAAGTTTTGAGACAATATGTGATGCTTGACTGGATGCTGTAATGAGTGTTTATCTTTAAGCTCCAAAAACTTTACTAAGATAGGTCTTGTTATTGCATTCCAATTCACTGAATGTGGCACATGGTATGCCCTTATGATATATAGATTCAAGTACATTCACATATATAGATTTAGGAAAGGGTTGTTTTTATTATATATTTAAATATTTGCTCTGTTTCATTGTTTTGATTTTTCCTCAGACACACTAATTATGTATGTGTTGAATCACCTTCTCTAATGTTTTTTAAGTTCTTTTTAAATTTAAATTTCATTTTGCTTGACTTTCTCATTTTTATCTTTTATGAGTATAATCCTGACTCCGGGTTATGCAAGGTCCATTCTCCCTTTCTGCTCCTTCGAGTTCCATCTCTATTCCTGTAATGGTTTTATTTTTCTCCTCTACTTCTTTCTGGAGTTCTGCATTGCCTTTTATTGACTTGCTGTCTCTTCCTCGAATTGTCACATTTCTACTTTATTTTCTTCCTTCCTAGAGATAATTGCCTCACTAAGCTTTATTTTGTGTTTCCAAACATGTCAGAATGTCTGATCACTCTTTCATCTCCTCAGTGGCAATATTTTTATGGATACATTTTAAAAATTTAATAGATTTTACTGGTCTCATTCACATTTTTCTCATGGCATCTTTATAACAACACCATATCATTTTTTTTTCTTTTTCTTCTTTCTTTTTTCTGAGCTCACTCATTACTTAATGAGTTCAATTTTCCTGAACTAACTATTCACACACATCTATATTGACAGGAAATGAGGGCTAGGCTTTCCAACTAAAAGGTTTCTCTCTCTTGCCTGACACTGAGACAGAGTGCTTCCTGCAAACATGGCTCCTCTGGACTATTCTCTGTGTAGCCCTGAAAACTCTAACTCCTTGAACAAAACTAAGTCCAGTAGGGCTTCTTTTATACCAACCCTGCTCACCCAAGGTCCTGTCCCCATTTGTACAAGCAAGGAATGTGCCTTTGCATTCTGGCAGTGGCCACCCAGGAGATCGGCCACCACTCAGCCCTTCTTTTCTTCCCTTCCCCTGCATATCTTCTAGCCAATCACAGTTGCTTCTGGCCCTTTTTACAGATATATTGAATCTAGGGAATTTATCTGCCTTCTAGTTTCACTGAAAATGGAATTTATGGTGTTTCCTTTATTTTCTTCGTTGTTTGTTTTTGTATGATTCTAGGAGGATGAGGAGAAATGCTCACAGCCATATTCCTTGCTGATTAGCATGTTTAAAATGACTTTAATAGAAAAACATGTTCTTTTCTTTCATTCCATTCAACACATTTTTATGAAGCACAGCACACTCTGAGGAAGGTAGGGCGTGCTCAGAAGAAAGAGTGAGCCCTTCCTTGGTGGGGGCATAAAGGTGGAAACAGCTATTACAGTTACAGGGTAGCATAGGGTAAGTGCTGCTTTGCAACCTCAAACCAAGACATTTGGAAGAGGGAAACCAATTGATTCTCTTTGTGGGAATCAGACATTTTCAGGAGAAGATAGCATCTGAACTAGGCCATAAATAGTGGGTGGAATTTCAATAAATATAAATATGAGAAAAATGTTTCTGCTAGGCAGATTTGATAATCAAAAGCAGAGAACTAGGACAGCATCCTCAAGGCTCTGTGGCTATCTGGCTGCACTACACCAGAGACACATCTGAGACAGAAAGAAACTTGTGGTGAGGCAGTAGGTGGGACTGTGAGTCAGGTGTCTTGGACACCATGCTAAAGAGTGTTCCTTCATCCTCTGCTTAATGAGAGAAAGTTCAGGAATCATCTTAACTGAGTATCTGGTTTGTTTGTCATTTCATTTTGTCTTGATTTTGAGGAGAATAACTTAGTTAGATTTATGGCAGAGAAAAATTCTGAGGGCAGGTTGGAGGAGACTTGGAATAGAGGAGCCTGAAGGCAGAGACTATCCCAGGTGACTGCAAGTGGCAGCTGGCCAGGCTGCTGACAGTGAGGACAGAAAGGAGGGGACAGGAACAGACAATGTTGACTTTTACCTGACCCTTAGGGATCCTGGAAAACAGCAAAGGTTGAGTAATCACCCCAACCTTTGTGTCCTGGAAAATGACTGATTGCAAAGAACGCCCCTTCCCCACGTGACTTAGAGAAGTCTGGTGGATCACCCCTTGACTGCCTCAGACAAGGCCAGACACAGTCCTTCCAAATGCCCTTTCTTTGCCTCATAAATGATTAGCTGACCTCTTTTGCCAAATGGGGACAAAGTACTTGTTAACCACCCTTTGGTTAAGTGACTTTCCTTCCCCCAGGCCCACCCTCAGCCTGAGCAAGCAGACAGCCTTCCTGAAGGGCCCCTCCAGGAAAATAGGTTGTCCTCAGGCGAAACATTCTCTGAGGCTAACAGACCAGGCTTCTTCCACCAGGCCTCTCCTTTATAGCCTTGTTTTCTCCCATCTAGCCACAGAGCCTCTGCAGACGCAGCGCAGGGGAGGGGGCTTCTCCCTGTTCCTAGTCCCCCTCCCGCTATGGCAGCAGTTTGTTACACCTTTGCAGTAATTCTTTCAGATGAAGTGCCTCTTTTCTTGCCTTTCATTTGACAGTAGCAAGTATTTAGGATGCAGCATCGGCCATACCTGGCCACCTAATGGATGAGAGTTTGGGGCAGGAAGGATCAGGCAGGGCTGAGATTTGGAGCCAGGGTGTCCCTGAGGGAGGAAGCACCATGAAAAACCACGCTGCTGCTGTTTTGTATCTATGGTTTTAGTTTGGTTTGTTGTAGGTAGAGGCTAAATTCTTTATTTTAACTTTTGGAAAGAAAACACAACTAAGGAAAAATCTCTGTGGCTCTTATATCCCCTGATATCCCTGGGGGATTGGTTCCAGGACCCCCATGGATACCAAAAGCAGCTACTCGAGTCCCTGATATAAGGTGGAGTAATACTTACATATAACCCACAAACATCCACCATTATACTTGTGAACTCAAAATATCTGAGACAGGTCTCAACCAATTTAGAAAGTTTATTTTGCCAAGGTTAAGGACGCGTTGGTGACACAGCCTCAGGAGGTCCTGAGGACATGTGCCCAAGGTGATCAGGGCACAGCTTGGCTTTATACATTTTAGGAGACATGAGACATCAATCAGTATGTGTAAGATTTACATTGGTTCCGTCTGGAAAGGTGGGACAACTCAAGGTGGGGGAGGGGGCTTCCAGCTAGATAAGAGACAAATGGTTGCATTCTTTTGAGTCTCTGATTAGCTTTTCTTGAAATACACAATTTACATGTGAGAGGAAGGTAGAGGGATAGTCACTTATGCCTTGTTCTGGTTCAGTGAAACCACAGGGCTGAGGAAGCAATCAGATATGCATTTGTCTCATGCATTTGTCAGTGAGGCCCACTGGGATGACTTTGAGTTCTGTCTGTCCTTTGTCCACAAGGAATTTCCTGATGGGCAAATTGTGAGGAAGGTGTGTAGCTTTTGAATCTCTGTCACTATTTTGTTTAGGAATAAGATGGGAGGCGAGTTTGCCTGACATAGTTCACAGCTTGAGTGTTCCCAGCTTTACTTTTCCCTTGATTTAGTGATTTTGGGGACCTGAGATTTATTTTCCTTTCACATACTTAAAATCATCTCTAGATTACTTATACCTAACACAGCGTAAATGCAAAGTACACAGTTATTATATTAATACTTAATTGCTTTTTTACTTGTAGTGTTTTTACTATTGTAATGTTTTTTATTGTTTAGTTTTTTCCCAAGTATTTTCAACCTGCAATTGGTTGAATCCATGACATGGATACTGAGGATCAATTGTGCTTCTAAAATGCACCCCTCCTGAGTTAGTCTCCCCACCTCTCTTTTAAATCCCCAAATGAACTGGATCGGGAGGGAAAATAAAACTATTAAGAGCTACTTTTGATATTGGTGGTTTTAGCTTCATTTCCTTTGATCCATGTAAGGAATTCATTAATTTAGTATCTAAATAGGGCTTAAGTCCTGCCCCTTATAAAGAAACTCCTGCTGCCCCTCAGTCCCCTGCCCTTCAATGCTCCACTGGTCCACAGCTGACTTTCTGCTGCTTTCTGGATTCACATCATTGTCTTGATGTGCTCACTCTTGGCATCTTCTACATACTTCATAACCTGCACTGATGGTGTGGTCAGGCCCAGTCTTTTCCCACGGAAAAGCTTCTCTGAGCTTCATGTTAGGGATGATGATGGAGAGAGCAAGCACACTGAGTAGAACCCCAGAGCGCACCTACCATAGCCACAGCTGCTAGAGTGCTGCATGCTGGTCCCGGCGTCTGGCCCAGATCGGTGTTTCTTAGCCCAGACCCCCTTTTAACCCTTCTCTTGTTTGGAAAACAAAAACAAAAACAAAAACGTACAGCTCACTGCCAGCGCTCCATTTTACATAAACATGCTCTTTGAGGCTGAAGCAAATCTTACTGATTTTCAGTGTGGAGATGAAATATAAAAACTGTTCTTGGAGTTATTGCTAAACAGAACTAACATCAAGATCGTCTGAATCATCAGAATCATCTATTTCGGAAAAAATCAGATTCATCAAGTGAATCTTTGGCCAACCACTGTTCCAGAACGATGTTAACATCATGTGTAGGAATGCTACATTTTCTAGGATTTGACATTTTTAGCTGTCGAGAATTACTATATTTTGTAAATGGAAATATCACTAGTTAGAATGCTATAAATAGAATGATGTCTTTTGTTTCCAAAGTCGATATGCTAGAGTGATGCAAAAATAATAATAAAAGCAAAATATTTGCAGTAAAGTTATCAATACTGCAGCCACACACGCCTCCAGCTGGTGAGTATTCTCAGGGCAAACTGGAAAAGGGTTAATAAACAAAAATCTCCTGCCCTTTTTTCATGGAAATTGAAAACTCAAAATAACAAAGACAGCGTTGCTAAGTAGCGGGGATCAATGGACCCAGCTTGGCTTCTCCCTACCAGCCATGCCCTGTAGGGTGGCATTTTCCTGCTAAGTAGTGGGGATCAGTGGACCCAGCCTCACTCCTTCCTGCCAGCCATGCTCTTAGGGTAACATTTTCCTGCCCCTTCTCCTCTGCTGTCATTTTACTGCACGAGTTCTTAGAACTCCCAAATCTGTCTTTTGAGTATTCCCTCAGCTCTATTTGCAGAGTTCTGTCTCTCCAGAAGTGCGAAGGCTCATTCTTGGTCGCATGGGTGAAATAATCATCCAAACTTCCCTGAAAACAGAAAGAAAAGAGCAAAGCTAGGTACACATCTAGCTTACTTGAAAGCATCTCCTTCACGATAACCTTGGCTGGATTCAGAGTTCCCATTTTCTTATTTTCACAAATGAAATTGTCATAAATCAGAAAGACTACCTTGTAAATAACTCTTCAAAAATAGCTAGTCTGTAGTATGTTGAATAAGAAAAAAAAATGGTTCAGGCTTTGGCCCCCGGCATGGCTTCACAGGGCAGTAAACGTGGAGCCCAGCGTCACTGTCACCGTCACCATGCAGGGACACACAATGGCGAGAATGTTCAGATTTAATCAACCCAGGAGCCCACTGCCATGTTATTTCGTAAGTCCTTGATTGCATCTTTACCTTGCAGTATCCCTGCATGGCGTGGTCGCCGCTGTGGAAAGCACAGATGGTGATTGTCAGACCCATGCATCAAACACGTAGCCCTCCTGGACGCACATGTTTCTCTAGCTGGCGCTATGAGTGTGTCTGTTTTCCAACCATTTTGAAAATTAGCTTTCAATATACTTTGGAAAAGTCACATTTCTGTATGCATCCTCTTCTAGTAATTATAAAGTCTCACTAAATCAGAATGATGAACAAAAGGGAGGCTTATCTCAGTGTAGAGGGGATAAAACACCCTGAATAATTGTAGAACATTTGTAAAGGCATATAAATGTGTGACATCTAAATCTACAAGATTATGGTTTTTATGTGGAAGAGAAAATTTACAATTTCAAGGGTATTCCTGAGAGCAGAACTGGGACAAAATGATAGAAGTTGAAGGAGACAGTTTTACTTCAGTCTAAGGAGAACCCAGCAAGTATTGGGGCCCCTGCTTGGTGGAGTCGCTTACCTCCTGGAGGTGACCTCTTGGAGGTAACTCTCTGTCGCTGGAGGCAGTCTGGTCCCTATCTTTCCAAGAGAGCAGTACAGTGGCATGGGAGCCAGCGTTAGTGGAGACTGAGCCCACCATGCCTGGCTTCAAATCTTACTTTTACTATTAATACTTATTAACTTTGCAACTGTGGGCAAATTTACCCCTCTGTGCCTGCCCCACCTGCTTCCCTCGTAATGGGGCTGATAATTTTGAGTTGATATTTGGAAAAATTAGAACAAGAAGTGGCAGGTACATAGTAAGTGCCATGTGAGCATCTAAGGTAAGTAAGGGAAATATTTTCTAAGGTGTCTGAGAGATATCAAAGAAGGTCTTTTTTGAGCACCTGCTTTGTGCTAAGCATTAAACCAGACACTGAAGACATAGCAGTAAGTGAGACGGACACAGGCCCAGCCTCCACGCAGCTCACAATTGTGCTAGAGAAAGACAAAAAGCAGATGCCTGGCCGGTAGAGGCACTTTGGTGACAGGGGATGCCCTGGGTCTGGGGTTCACTGCGCAGTGCCTAGGCTTTCCGGAGGAGGGCTTCAGAGGAAGTACCTGCATGCCCCAGGAGCAGAGGGCCTGGTGGACAGGGAGGTAGATGGTGCAGATTATGTTCCTGGAAGAGAAAGGGGCATGAACCACAAAAGCCGGGTTCCAGCGTCGCCAGTGGCTGCAGGCACTTTGAGGCTCTGGTGATTTTGTTTGGGACCGTTGTTCCTTTGAACCCCTGGCTTATTCATTCATTCCTTCATCTAACTTTACTAACATAATAGAGTCTAAAACTTAGTGCAAAAACATGTATTTTTTTTAACTTTACCCAGAAAGAACTGCATTGTTACAAATTCCATTCCTGTGCCATTTGAATAAAACTATTGGGGAAAATACAGTATCTATTCACATTGTGTCCTTGTAGGAAATAATGGCTATAACCACAATTCAATTTTTTCATTACTTTTCCTACATAGGCTGAAATAACCAACATAATTGTATAATGATTATTATTATAATGCATAATTTTGTAAAATTTTTGCTTGAAGGATCTCTTAGTGGAATTATTTTCTTTGGTGAGCAACAAGTAGTAAAAGTCATTTGGTGTAAATTAACGACTCTGTTTATGCCTAATCCTAAAATAATGGGAAAAAAAACTTGCTCTAGAAGAGCTTGTCCAGGTTAGCTCATCATATTTTAGTTCAGAAATAGAGTGAAATACCAAAAGCTGTTTCACGACCCAAAATAGTGGGCATATGCTCTGTCAATTGAGTAAAATTGTTAAAGCTCTTCTTGGTTTAATTTGCAGAGACCCGTGGCTTGCTCAGTGACACCTAGACAGGCTGTTCTTCAGCCCATTTTCACCCAGCTGTGCTTTGTGCCCAGATTTATCTGGAAAAGTCATTCCATTTGGGAAGAAAGGGTTATTTCTTTGGAAAGAGTTACTTGGAGACATGGATGTCTCTATGGAGAGGTTTATGTGGAAATGTTGCTGTGTAGAAACAGAGGACGGTGTTTATGGGAGGCTTCCTCCTCCTGACAGATACACCTGTGCTCACTTTGGTGTGAGCGCTGGAAAGAGAACAGGCCACGAGGTCACCAGGGCCACCTTTCTTGGAACTTTCAGACATAGCTGGCTGCATAAGATGCTCATTTTTCTCTCAGTCTTGCATTCCACCAACCCATCATCTGTGCCCCCAGGTGATCTTTCTGGAATCGAAATCAGATCGACTTCTCCATTCATGAAACTCTACCTAGCTCCTTGTGTTAGGCTGTTGTTGCATTGCTACTAGGAAATACCAGAGACTGAGTAATTTATAAAGAAAAGAGGTCATATTGGCTCACGGTTCTGCAGGCTGTACAGGAAGCATGGCGACGGCACCTGCGTGGCTTCTGGGGAGGCCTCAGGGAGCTTTTACTCATGGCGGAAGGCGAAGTGGGAGCAGACATGTCACATTACAAAAGCAGGAGCAAGAGGGAGAGAGTGGGGGTGGAGGGTGCCACACACTTTTAAATGACCACATCTCGTGTGAACTCAGAGTGAGAGCTCACTTATCACCAAGGGGATGGCCCAAGCCGCTCATGAGGGATCTTCCTCCATAATTCAGACACTTCCCACCAGGCCCCACCTCCAACACTGGGGATTATATTTCAGCATGAGATTTGGGTGGGGGCAGGCATCCAAACTATATCGCTCCCCGTGAGCTTCCAGGAGTTGTTCAAAGTACTTAATGTTCTTGGGGGATTTCCTGGTCTCCACCCACCTCACTCTCCAGCCTCATGCCCCACACTGTCCCCGCATAATGGGGGATATGATAGTGTGGGGGCACTCTATCAAACATCGTATCATACTACAGGTTTGATACACCCTGTGGCCCAGGCCCCCATAACCAGGCGCCATGTGTACCTCTGCCTGAAAGACCTCAAGCCCCGTCTGCCTAACAGGCTTCTGTCCACCTGAGGGCCCAGCTCAAACCTCCCCTCCCGGGGCTCCTCATCATGCCCTATTGTCAGCCTGAACTCAGCACATCACCCTGTCCTCCTCGCACGTACCTCGTTGCTGCAACCGATTCTTTCCACATATGCCCTTCCTGCTGGACCATGAGTTCATGAGGGTAAAAAATAAGTCTCCTTCATCTTTGTGTCCCAAGAACCTGGTATAATGTTGGATAGATGGATGGATGGATGGATGGATGGATGGATGGATGGATGGATGCACTGGATGGATGTACTGTTGGCCAAAAGCCACAGCCCAGGGCTACACAATAGAGGTTTCTCGGTGAGAGTTGGGGGAAGAGGAGAAGTGTGGGAAATCCCTCCAGGGCAGTGGACATTCACCTCCTGGGGTTGGCTGGGCTCAGCATGTCACTAGGTTCAGCCAGTGTTGATTTTTTTCAGATGACCTGGTATTTTACAGCTGAGCAGGACTCCACAGAACAGAAGTATCTCCCAAACATTCTAATGTGGCTAAACTTTATATATTAACATTTGATTACAGAAATTTTAAAGGTGGGGCTGGCTAATTCTTTGTTCTTTTAAATTCAATTTTTTAAAAATCTTGACACGGCAGCTGTGAATTTTTTGTTATTTTACCTCTAAGATCTTCCTCTTTCCTCGCTCTAGTTATAGAGCAGTGTAAGTGTGAGAATAATTAAACAGGTTACTATTATAGCAGCTTTAGTGTAGACAAAAGATGCCAGGTAGCAAGTGACCAACCTGCCATGTGACTTGATGGGAGTCATTTAGAGTCAATCAACAGAATGTTTATGTGCCTCTTAAAGGCAAAGCCGTGTTCATCTTGAGGACTGAATAAGAGACAGACTCTTCCCTAAACGACTCATTTGCTTAACATGTATTTATTAAGCCCCTACTGTATGCAAGGCACTGGCAAGGCTTACAGTAATGGGAATACAGACAAACTTGCACATACTAAGTACTGACTGTGATAGGAAACATGATGAAAAAGATAGTGTGCTACAGGAGAGAATGAAAGTCATGTACGGGCATGGAAAGAACCTCAATTATATTTGAGGGTCAGCATGGGCCTGTCTGTGGAAGTGCCATTTAATCTGAACTTCTAGGAGTCAGCCAAGCAAAGAGAAGAGGGGTGGGCATTCCAGGAGGAAAGAACAACAGAGGCTACCAGCAAGATGCATTCAGGGGACCAAGAGGAGGCCTGCTGTGGTCAGGACACGGAAACAAGGTGGACTGGGCAAGAGACGAGATCAGAGAGATGGGGAGACAGATGAGTGAATCAGAGAGGAAGAAAATGATATTCCAAGCCTAGGCCCTGTGTGCTTTACACATGTATCTCACTTAATCTTCACGACCATCCCTTACTGCTGCTGTCATGTAAAAGGTACCATTGGTGAGTACTGGGACTGAAGAGTAGCCCATCACACACACACACACACACACACACACACACACACCCACATGAACCCTACTAAAGTTTGAAAGGAATTCCTTCAGGGCTTAGACTTTGTAATAGCTCTCTGGCTGAGCTGATGTCTATATTTGCTAGCTAAGTCTAGATGATGTTTTATAGAGGAAACATGGGACTCAATTACTATCCACGCACATAAGCAAAATTAATATTGATGGCATGTGGAGAGTAGAACACATTCATTCTCTTCATCCCAGCCCTTTTTCATATATATGATACAGATGATTCTGGGTTTGTGACTAAATTCCATTTGTTTGGAGGTGAAATTGTCCACTTTTAGTGAAGTGCAAGAAATTCTTTTCTACAAGTGTTTTCAGTGTATCCTGAAGTCCCCCATGTGAATTAATAACATGCCAAACATTTTCTCTTTGTACTATTGCTTTGTTTGGATTTATTTTGTAAGGAGACATAGATTTCTTTGAGTTAAAGGCCCTCAGAAATCTATATATAACTAGGCACTTAAACAAGAGCAGAGTTATAAAGTAGTTGCCATTTTAGAAGATTTATTTTGTGTGGCAAGTATGGAAAATCGATAGTCCAGCAATACACGTAACCTTCCTGTAGAACAAGATCACCTTTTTATAACCCTACTTTGATCATCTTACTTCCCTGCCCAAAGGCCTTCCCTGGTTCCCCACAGCCAAAGGGAAACAATGCAAGCCCTTCTGAGTGAGTGGCATTCAGAGGCCTCGTTTTGAGCCTGCTTATCTTGAGGATGGACTCTTAGGGATCCCGGAGAGAACGCAAGCTCATCTCACGCCACCTGTCACCTGGTTGTATCTTTGCCCCCAACCAGAGTATAAGGCCCACTCTACTTGCCTTGTGCCCTCACGCTCTCACCCTCACCTCCAGTGGTGCCTGCCCAGCCCTGCACTTGGCCTGCAAAGGGGACCTTCCAAGTGGATTCGTTCCCTCAGTTGCTCAGGACCTACCAGAAATGGTGAGAAAAGACAGGGTGCAGCCTCCAGGAGCAAACAGTCTTATTGTTTGACATGTGAAGTGATTGTGGCCAGTAACATTAGCCTCACCTGAGAGCACATAATAACTGCGGAATCTCAGCTTTCCCTCCCTGCCCCAATTCTGCATAAACAAGATTCCCAAGTGATCTGCCTTGCATGGTAGGGCTTGAGAACCTCTTTAAGGCCCACAGAGGGTCAAATTGGGTGGGTGGGTTGGTTGATTGATCAGTTTTTGTTTGCATGTTTGCTCTACAATGGTTTTACATCTGTGGATTTAAACTGTCCTTCATTTAGCACACTGCTTTTAAAGGCCTGTTAATGTTATGCCATTAGGTTCTGGAGAGCACAACTAAATTATAAGTAAGCAAATACAGATTTATCTATATGGTTTAAAAAATAAAACTTTCCACATACTGCTCATGCTGCATTCTGCCAATATTTTTTTATTTATGCCTTTTTTCAGGATATTGTGCTAGTTCAGAGGTAGTAAATTAGCATTTTGTAGGCCATGTTTGGTCACATACATGATTGTTTGGACAACACAGTTTTGATAAATTTTTAATTCATTGCAAGCATTTAAAAATCAAGAGGTTTTCACATAGAAAGCAGATTTCTAGCTTCTCTTGAAAGCCAGGCAGCCATGGGCCCACATTCCTGATGGCACAGTGGGCTGGAGCTGGGAGATCTCCTAGAAGTGGGGCCTGTAGCCTCCAGTTCCCCACAGGCCCCCACCTCTCTGTCTCCATACTGGCCTCATAGAACCTAGGCGAGTAGTGGAAGTCCTCAAAGGTGCACCACTGGATGACTTGGTGGAGTTTGTCTCTTTCTAGTTACCTTCAGGGTCTTAGTATAGAAGCGCTCCTCACAGAAGGAGAGAAGAGAATGAACTGGTGGTAAGGACAAGTTACAGGACTCTAAGCTATGGTGTCTCAACCCTGGTGACAGGGACCTTGTAAAACTACCAGTTCCCACTTTCCATCCACACCCCTAGAAACTCTTTTAATTGGTATGGGCATCGCCAGATGCCCACATCTCCTCAGATGATTCTAATCTGACTTGACAACCCCTGATCTAGCCCACCTATATTACTTACAAAGAAAAGTGAAATGTGTCAAAAGAGTGATTTTTTTAAATGCATATACATACGTACATACATATATTGACTCATTACTCTGGACATTGATGATTGAAGATGTATGATAATTTTGTCTAGTGGCCTAACATTTACCTTACTTATCTACAGAAAAAAAGAGTTAGCTAAGCAAATGAGTATTATATGCAAGATTGCTCCAAATGCTTTATAGAAAGTAGATTTTTTTAGTGATTTAAATTCAAACATAGACTTAAGCTAAATATAATTTACATTTTCTATTTAAAAAAACAAAGATTTGGAAGAGATGAGCAAGATCTGAATATATCATACAGGGCCCCTCCAACAATCGTAGAATTGTTTTTATCTCATGATCTGTTATCCCATAGCCTAAAATTTTATTTGTATTTTAATTAGCTTAGAATAATTGTTTTGACTGTTGGAATTTAGCTGTGTATGACATAGAAGTATTCATCTAAGAATGACTTTAGAGGGTAACTTTCTGTGATGCTGCAGCTTAAATGGAAAACCACCTCCTTCCCAAGTCCACTGATTTGCTGATGGACTACGTTGTCTTGGCAAGTGAAGTCTCTGCCATCTCTGGCAGCTCTTTCTGATTAGGGATCTGACAAGCACCTAAGTAATTCATGCAATGACTTTATGCAAGAAATTTCATTATTTCTAATAACTTACAGTGTTTTAATATTTTAATGTATTTATGCTTAATTATATATTGTAATATGCATTAGCAGAGCTTCGTCTCTGGATCTAAGTAAAATACAACTAATGCAAAATTTTCTTCCAGTTTTTTTTTTTAAACAGGGAATTAAGTCCTGAAATGAAACTACATGCAAAGACAGCAAGCAATCTCTTGCCAGAGAAAATATTGGCATAATAGATTTGAATGTCCCAGTTTATCAGTTCACTTCACTAAATCCCCAAATCATACACTGGTTTAATTTTTTTTTCAGAAGTTGTATTGCTCACCTTTCCACTAACCTATTTTTAGTAAATTCTGTTTTGTTTTATGAACTTTTACTAAAAGGCAATCTGAGCGAGGGAGACATTGAGAAAGATATATCAAAGAATGTGATTTATGATAATGGCTGCTAAAGGTGGAGAGGGGAGGAGCTGGAACCAGTGCCAAGGTGAGGTTTGGGGATTTATTTATCTGTGTTGCTCGTTGTAGGAGGATGCTAAAGACAGATACAAGTAGCAAGAACTGAAATATAGCTGGCTCCTGTTGAGTGCATCCACACGTGGCCACGGGTCTGTGTGGGGTTTGCGAGTACATTCCCACACTGCTGGGCTTCGCCCCATGGTTGGGGCTGGAGTGAGGGAGGGGACAGTGCAAAAGTGTTAGATTAATGTGAATTTGTGAAGCACTATGTGGCTTTTGAGAAATAAACACATTTTAGAAGACCCTCCATTCTCTCTTTTTCCTTCATTCCTCTTTTAACTTCATAGCACATTTTCCCTTCCCTAGGGAAGTCAAAAGAAGACAAAAGAAGGGAACAAAATGGGGGCATCAGACCCCTCTCCGTCCTGAGCCTCCTACAAGCACTGATGAGGCAGCTGCTCCTTGAGGTCGCTGTAGGCTTGGTCGCCTGAGGCTGGGGCAGACCTTCAGGGTCAGCGAAGCAGCAAGATGCAAAGGCACCACAGACAGCTCAGCCATCCCACTGATGGTGGGAGAGACCTGCTTGCTTTTTCATTTGGGAGTTACCTGCTCCCTGGCCTGGAGGAGAAGGGAGAAAACAGAAAAAGGAGTAATTCCTAACATTTGCATAGCACAATCTCATACAAGGGATTTAATTTCCTTAGCAATCCTATGTTAGTAACTGTGAAGCCTCTTAAAAAATGAGGCTCTGGGAAGTCAGATGTCTGGATGAAGTTTCACAGCAAAGGCACAGTGTAGTTGGACTCGGGCCCATGCCCACTGCCCAAGCCCCTGTACATTCCTCTAGGCTATTGCATGGAAGGCACAGGCTCACTGGCATCGGTTCCAACCAGACAGACTCACTCAGGCAGTTCCCCAATATAGGGAAGGCTCGCTCTGGCACAGAACTATTGGTTTTGTTTTTAGCAGAATTTAACAGTGCCTATTTTGAAATCTTTGCTTAAGGGCACATTTTAAAGTTTAAGAAAAGAAAAATTAACAGCCATCAAAGGCAATGAAGGGAGATGAAAGCTCCAAGCTAGAAGCTCCCAAGGAATGTTTATTAAAGATGACCTCATCATATGATGTTGCATGCAAACACTGAAGTATAAACTTCATAGAGACGAAAAAGCAGAATATTAAGTTAATGGAAAGAGCAGTGAAATGGAAGTCAGGTTCCGGGTTTGATTCCCACCTCATATCATTTGCTAGCTCTATGGCTTCTGAGGCAATCTGCATATCAGTTTCCTCATTTGAACATGGGAACATGGTATAATATCTCACAAGACTACTGGGGGCTCAAATACCATCGTATATGAAATGACTTTTAAACCTCTAGGTGAAAGGTATTCTCATTCATACATGCTCACTTGTTAGGAGACTCAGGGGAACAAGTCAAAGGCAGGCATCTCTTTCGGCCTCTCAGCACCTTCTTATTTCATTCTCAGGTAAATCAGCTGCTCCACCAATACAATTTTTGTGGATTGGTTGCTCTCTCTGGCCAGGTCACTTTTCATTTCCAGACCTCAGCCAAGACTGCATTCTTGCTCAGCACCCCTGGTTGCTGGTCCTAGACACACCTGCCCAGAGTCATACCTGCTGTTGCCCTCTGACCCTCTACAGCATCCCTCTCCAAGATCCCAACCACAAAATACCTCCTTTGAATTAGCTTCTCTCCTGGTCCATTTGTAGCATCATCCCCATCCCTCACTTCTACTGTGTGTGATCTCTGTTTTTTGTCCTCAACTTGAGCTGTCTTTCCCTAGTCTCGTGCTCTAAAACCACCCCATGGACATCACACCTTAAGACTTTGCCCTTACTCCCAGGTAGGTAGGTAAATAATTCCCTCAGCATGTCATCTCCCTAAGCCCTCATCTCCAGACCATTTTTTGCCTATTTGTTAAGAACCTTCCTTTATAACTTAAACATCCTTCGGGAATATAACGTAGGGTCCAGAGCACAGACCTGGGAGCCAGGCAGCCTCATTAGGAGTCCTGACTGTGCTACCTTCGGGCAAATCTCTTAGGCAAATTCCATTCCCTTTTTGTGCCTCCTTTTCCTTACTTAAAATCCTTACAACAGTGCCTGGCATGTAGTAAGCACTGCCTGAGTGTTGGGCCATGGAGGACGTGTTCAGGCTTGGTCAGACAAAGGGAAGGAGGACTGGATTTTAGTTACTGGGAACAGAACAAGCAGAGATTTTTGCCCCAATATTTAATAATCTATTCTTTACCTGCAACATTATGTTACCTCCAGGGCTATTCAGGTCAGCCTTAACAAAAATCTGCCTTCCGGTTTCCCACTGATTCCCTAGTATCATCTCTCCCATTCTTGCCTCTGCTTCAATCCATTATGCACTTCTTTCCCAGCTTGTGTTTCTCCTTTGTATCTTCACTAGTTTGCTAGCACTCTCATTTGAACCTTGAGTAGGTAAGAGCTTTTTACTTACATTTCAGAGCAGTTTATAAATAGGCTGCTTAGTTTCAGCCAGCAGGTACAAGCTTTCATTAAATTCTTCCTCCTTCCCATAGTGCTGTTATCTGGAGCTCCCAGGAAAAAAAAAAATGGAAAAGTTGAGAATTATGTTTTCCTAGTCATTAAGACAGCATAGTTTGAGGCCCAAGCAGCAGTTTTTATTTTCCTTACCAAGAATTGACCAATGATTTTGACCAATAATCTATACCTATAAAAATTTTCCCTTCTGAAAAAAATACTCCTAAAGACACGTAGATCATTAGCTATGATTAAGAAAGCCAAGGTCCAAAAATAATTCAGAAACAACATTCAGATTCACTCTGGATGAAAATTACTCTAGCGTATCAATTAATTTTCTCACCAAGAAAGAAATGAGAACATGAGCAGCAATGCTACCTTTGATAGAAATAATGTATCAAGGTGGGGGAAGGGGGACTCCCTTTTCTGTTCAAAATCTGAAATGGAATTACCTCTGGAATATTTTAAAAAGCTTCCCCCCCAAAAAAATATTCAGTTATCTGAAGAATTTCCTGCATTGTGACAGCAACATAATTAAGCATATTTAACATTTTCTTTGGATTTCTATTCATCTGTCGTCATTTTCAGTTTTGAATAGCATAATGGAAGCCACTAAAAAGAGGAAGCCATTAAAGAGAAATCATTTTTCTGTGGTATATGAAAGTTGTCACCATAGTGTTAAGATGGGAAATATTCTACAATAAAGTATGGCTCAATAATGGGATTCAGCAATACTATCATACTTCAGAAATGTGGCCACAATCATTTATCCTTGCATTCCTCCAAAGAATTAACACCAGTATGTCTTAATAAATTTACATGGCCTTTAAATAAATTTCAGATGGGCAGGGTGCGGTGGCTCATGCCTATAATCCCAGCACTTTGGGAGGCTGAGGCAGGCAGATCACCTGAGGTCAGGAGTTCAAGACCAGCCTGGCCAACATGGTGAAAACCCATCTGTACTAAAAATACAAAACTTACTCAGGCACAGTGATATGCACCTGTAGTCCCAGCTACTTGGGAGGCTGAGGCAGGAGAATTGCTTGAACCTAGCAGACAGAGGATGCAGTGAGCCTAGATTACATAATTGCACTCCAGCCTGGGTGTTAGAGGAAGACTCCATCTCAAAAAAAATAAAATTCAGATGATCTTGCCATTCCCAGGTTAGAATAAAATATGACACAATGAAGCCTCACTGTATCATTGAGGAGTGTTTAGTATGAGGAAATCAGCCTACAGAAAGACTGAAAAATCAGAGGCAGTAAGTTCCCTGAAGAGTCCTGGGCTATTTGGGAAGTGGGAGGGGTCACCTAGCCTCAGAAACTTGCTGTGTCTGGTTTTCATCACTGCCATTGTGTTCCGTCACTCCTCAATCCTGTGCTCAGTGTTTTCCCTTTCAAATGGCTTATTAGAGGCTCTGCAGAATGTTCCTAAATATTACCCGTGATAACCAACAGGATCTTGAGAGTGTGGTGACAGCCTACTCGAGTCAGTCTTCTTCAAACGCTAGCTTCAGGAAAGTTGTTCTATTCCCTAACACTGTTTTTTTTTTAATCCCCACCCACACAAACACACACGTTAGCAGCTTGCCTTTTATAGTTGATAATTAAGAAAAGGGTTGTGTTGGGGTTTCAAGTGTTGGTGTTACCACTGACTTCTCTAATTCACTAGCAGTGATTCGGTTATCTACGACTGGGTAGTCTTTAAGCATTTGCTCCTTAAAATGTAACTGTATTCTAGTGACAGCACTTCCACAGTGGCTATTCCTGAAGTAGAAAGTAGCCGTGTAGAGAAAATTACGGATTCCAAATGCAGTTATTTCCCACAGCAGTGTAAAACAGGTTTGAATACAAGTGTCATTTACTTGAAGAAGAGGCTTACCATATCGTTACAAGTAAGGAGTTTCCTTCATGCTGGAAACGAAGGCCTTAATTTACAAGACTGTGTTTCCTCGTGACGTGAGCAACTTGAGCCTCCCTTAACAAAATCGCATCAGTTTTCATATTACTGTCCATGGTAGGAGTAAAAGACTTAAGGAAATTGTCATCTTTCTGCTGAGGTGATGAAGCCTTCAGCCGGTTTCCTCAATTGCCCCTCGGTTGTTACTGGCATTTCTGATATGATAGCTTTAAACCAGTTACTAAGAAATAATTACTTAGTAGTTATATTTACTAATATGGATAGAAAACATCATTTTCAAATTCTGCATCTTTTGGCCTATTCACATAAATGGGAAAACATAGTAAATTAATTAATTTCAGGGTAAATCATATCATCTCTTATCCCTCTTAAGCATATGTGTGATGAATATAGTAGCTTTGATCCAATCTCTGGACTTTTTTAAAATAGCAATGAGATAGATGTCATTTTTGCCAGCTATTATGAGTATAAAATTAGCATCTGAAATGAACTAATTTATAGCACGTTTCTCAATGTGTATTTTCTGAAACTATGCCGTTGACTCTGTACGGGGCATTTTCCATGACCTCTGGGAGTCTTTATGAAACCCAGGCTTCTGAGTGGCTCTGTCTGTGGTTTCTCTGCTTCTGTGCTTCTGCAAAAAATTCTAATTGAAAGGTGTGAATTTCATGTGACAGAGACCTTGCTTCAGACTAATTGAATGTTCTTGGCTCCTATGCTGACCTGTCATGAGGAAACAACCTCTGGCTGTGTCCACAGCTGGGTAGACCTGGGAAGTCTATTCTGCACTGTAAAGAAAGCCAGAAGCTCAATGAAGAGGCCAGATTGTTTAGGCCGTCTATCAAGTTTAAGAAAAGGGTGGGGTGGCAGGAGCTGGGCCAAAGTGCAGGGGAGTGGGCACCCTGTGTGGGAAGCAGGAGTGCAGGTCTCACTCCGGTGGGAGCTCGTAGCTCCACTAGCAGGACTCTCTTTAAATAGGAGGTTGAAACGCAACATAGAGGGGCTAATTCTATTCCTTCATTATCCCTTTGCTTCATAATTTGTTCTTTAACTTATGCAAGTTACTTGTTCCTGCCATTTAAACATTTCAAGTGTTTTGCTTTCGTTCTTCCTTTTTTTTCCCAAAACACACACACACACACACACACACACACACACACAGAATATTGAAACCTTTTTGTTCCTTTGACTGTTGATAAATAGGAAAAAGATACAGTGTCTGTGCATGTTGCATCGGGAGATATTTATTCTAGAAGAGAATAATAGATGACAGAACAGAATAGCTTTTGTGTGACTTGGAACTGGAGTTTATTTTTAAAAAAAAAATTTTTTTTTTGAGATGAGATGTCACTTTGTCCCTCAGCCTGGAGTACAGTGGCACAATCGCAGCTCACTGCAACCTCAAACTCCTGGACTCAAGTGTCTTCGGAGTAGCTGGGACTACAAGCAGGAGCCACCAAGGCTGGCTTTTTTTTTTTTTCCTCAAAGAAAGGAGTCTTGCTGTGTTGCCCAGGCTGGTCTTAAACTCCTGGTTTCAAGGGATCCTCCTACTTTGGCCTCCCAAAGCACTGGGGTTACAGGTATGAGCCACTGCACCTAGCCCTTGGAACTTAGTTTCCGACAGGACCTGAATCCCATAACGAAGAGCACAGAGCCTTTTGCATGTTTGATCTCACTTCAGTCTTCTTAAAAGTTAGTGTCATTCATTGTTTCTTTTTTCATAATTCTAATAATTTTTAAAGAAAAGACTGAAGTCTATGGAATACCAAGAATACTCATTTCTTTTACTTGTATAACAAAGAACTTTTCATAGTTCTAATAATTTTTAAAGACTGAAGTCTGTGAAATAGTAAGAATACTCATTTCTTCTTTTACTTGCATAACAAAGAAGACTAGCCTTAATTTTATTTTCTATTTGACCCATATATTTTCTAATCATCACAGCCCACTGTGCTTGCTGCCTGTAATTAGCATAAGGTGAGACCAGGCCAAGGAGCCCAGAGAACACCAAGAGGTCAGTGGTGGGAGAGCATATTTGAGTACACACATTTGATTTGTGTGAACAGAGAGAAACCTGAAAAACAGGCAGGAGGGCCTCCTCAGAAAGCTAAGCAGAGGGAAATTTGGTGTGGGCACAGACACCTGGGCATGCTTCCCCAAGCAGCACAGCCAGCAATTGCCATCCTCCGCCTCACTAGCCTTGGTGTATGCGAGAGGGAACACAAATCAGCCCAGGCAAGGGCGGCTTGAGGAGCAACTCATCCTGTGTGCACCGCTGCTTCTGGCTTCTCTGCAAAGCCAGGAAAATGCTGGAAATATGCACAACTCCTACAAGAAGAAAATAGCCCATGAGCTACTTCTTCATTGAGTTTGCCCAAAAGTGAAATGTGAAAAGAAGTGCACAGGCCGGGCACTGTGGCTCATGCTTGTAATCCTGGCACTTTGGGAGGCCGAGGTGGGCAGATCACCTGAGGTCAGGAGTTCGAGACCAGCCTGGCCAACATGACAAAATCCTTTCTCTACTAAAAATATAAAAATTATCAAGGGGTGGTGGTGCAAGCCTGTAATCCCAGCTACTCAGGCAGCTGAGGCAGGAGAATCGCTTGAACCCAGGAGGCAGAGGTTGCAGTGAGCTGAGATCATGCCATTGCAATCCAGCCTGGGCGACAAAAGTAAAACTCCATCTCAAAAAAAAAAAAAAAAAAGCGCAAACTAATTTATTTATACGTTTTCAACAAAAGAATCAAAAGTATACAATATGGTGTACACCTGAGACGGGGATGCTTTGTTTCACTTCCTGGGGGGAATCCTGGCCTCTCACCCTCCCAGAGTGGGTGGGATGACACGTGGCCTTAGGCCTAGGAGAGTTTCTGCTGAGAAGCAGGAAGAGCTGTCTGCAGGGTGCAGGGAGCACATAAGCCTGTGAAAACAGGTGGTTCCCAGAACAAGCCACTTGGCCCTGAGAGCACCCCACAACGCAGACTGACTTTTCTATGTCTGTCAGCACGTCAGCCACTCCATGAGGGGAGCCCTCGGCGGTGCCTAGGAGCCAGCATCTGTGCTGAGCTCTGTGCCAGGGACAAGGCAGCTTTCTGTGCCAGGGACAAGCAGGGTGAGCAGCAGCCCTGTTTTCCCAGAGAGGTGAGTGTGGCCCCTGGAGGCGACGTGTGCCTTTACTGCCTGCCAGGCAGAGCCCAGGTGGCTGTCATTCCTGTACCCTAAGGTGCTCCTTTGACTAGGTCTCCAAGGGTCCCACGCAGGATCCCTGGAAGCAATGTTTATTTTGAGATAAATCTGACAATACCTCCAGGGACCTGTCTTGAGATTCAGATGCTGAGTATTGCAACACAGAGGCTTACCTTGCTAAAGAAGAGACAACCCTTCTTTTCAGGATTATCTGGCCACACCCTGCCCCCAAAGTGTGACTTCTGCCTGTCACCTTCTAAACAGGAATGTACAGGCAGTGTGAGAAATAACCCACTATTGAAGGATTGGAGGAAAAAAATGCCCCTGGTGTGGTAGGCTCTAGGATCAGCACCCCAGCTCCACCCTGGGCTGCTGAATCACTTTTGTCAAGTTACATTGTGTCTCTGAGACTGCTGTGTTATCTGTCAGAGAGGGCTAATAGCACCATCCTTCATGAAGTCACTTGGAGTGAATAAAGCAGATGATTAAGAGGGGCCCAGCACAGGCTTGTTCCCTGGCCTCTGGCAGGGATCATTCCATTTGATCCCAGACTTGTCATTCTGATTGTACACTCCTGGATGACAGGCACGGTGCTGTGCCCTGGGCTGGCTGTGTGTCCACATGAGCCTGGGAACCTTGGAGACACACTGGACCTCAAGAGTTTTTTCAGTCAGGGGTCTCTCTGTTCAAGTTGACCCCTGTGGACCCTCTGCTCAAATGGTGTGCCCAGGGGTCGGGAATGGGGCACATTCCCAGAGAAAAGGGAGGCACAATCCATGAGGCATTCATTCATAGCATGGACAGAGTTGGGGGAGCTCCAGGCTTTCCTTCATCCAAGAAGGATCCACTCTTTTGCCCCTTCCCAAGAGTTATTCCTGCCCCGTTGGTTGTCAGCAAACAGCTATTGAGCACCTCTGTGTACCAGGTGCTGTGCCGGGGGGTGGAGGTTACAAAAACAAATAGAATATGGTGTCTGCCCTCCCAGAGGTAGGTCGTGCTCAGATTTTAAGGCTGATAGCTTATATTCGTTCCCCTGCCCCTCCCGTTGTGGGAGTTGAGAGAGCAGCACGCAGACCTGCTCAGGCTTTTGGACTGGTTGCACTGCCCTCCACCGTAGGCCTGGGTGCCCATATAGCTGAAGCCAGGGCTAACTTCCACATCCATTAGCTCCTCACAACCAGTGCTACATCTACTGTTGGAATTAAAGTACAATTAAACCACGTCCTCAGGCACTGTAATGGCTTATTTTGTGTCCTACTCACAGATGTATAAGGGAGTAGGGCCTTTCAGTTTTGTGCATGCCCAACCCAGCAGGACTTGTTGCTCAGTATCTGCACGTGGAGAGCAGGGTAGGAAGTGACCGGGCAGGAGGATGCCTAAAAAGAAGAAACTTCAAAATAAGAGCCACTCCAGTCTCCTGGTCAGGTTGATGCTGGTGTTCCTTCAGTTATGGTGTCTCCTCTGCCAGTAAAGGTCTAAAAATACATGCTGGGTGATTGGGGTGTAGTATCGATCAAAATAAGTTAATTAATGATGTCTCAAGCTGTGTGAAGCAGATAATAAACTAAAAGATTGCTCTCTAGCCATCAAAAAATAAGCTGCATGGAGGTCTTGTATTGGATGACTAACCTATCAAAAGTTACTATGGATTTTCCTGCACTTTTGTGAAGATGACCCCAGGACTATCTGCTGCTCGTGTATGAAATTGAGGAGTGGGTGAGATTTCATGTTACAAACAACTCCCAGCCTTTTCAGCAATGAGTATATTTGACAAGTAAGACACCACAGGATAAAAACTCACTGTTTTCACTGGTGCAGAATAAGTCAGCATTTGCCACTGCCTTATCTATCCCTGCAGTACAATTCCTCTGAAGGCGCCACAGTCCCATTATGTGTTAAGCACCCCTGCTACACCGCACCATGTGTCAGGTTCACGCTCTGCCATGCAGCTCTGGGGATGAATGGGAAATGGCTGCCCTTGACTTCTTACTCTGTTCATGAGGGCTGAAAAAATAAATGGACAATTTCCATAAAGGGTAGCCAGTGGCAGGGTACCCAGGGGCAGCCTTGGGGAGGCAGGACTTACCTCCTCCTGGGCTGAGGGATGCCACAGAGGGTGATGAGGCCTGAGGGTGGCAAGGAGTCTGTGCCCCAGCCCAAGTGCTCTGGACAGGGCCTGTGCACCTGGAACCCCAAACCTCTGGGTCTAGAGAACCCTAAAGATAGACTTCTGGGATTGGGGATCCCTTGAAAAAGTGCTTGTTGGAATAGTATCAACAGCAGGAACTCAAACCCTGCCCTCAGGAATGAAAGCTGGAGGCTGAGCTCCTTCCTAGAGTCGTGACTGCCTCCTGCTCTAGGACGTGTCTTATCTGCCACTTCCCTGCATATTAAGTGACTTATTCCCTCAGGATGCTACTGTGTTTGCCAATCAGCCCCTTGCAAGAGCCTGCATTGGGGCAGCAAGGCACAGGGAGCCTGATGCTCCAGGCCAGTCAGCCTGGGTGGGAGAAGCGCAGAGGACAGGGGAGGCCATGGCAGCCCCTTGGGGAGGGAGGGAGCTGACTCAGTTCCTGGATGGAACCAAGGAAGGAGACAGAGATGTGCAGAGGTGAGTGGAAGACTCTGGGGCCTAGTTTGGGTAGCCACTGAGGAAACCATGAGGAGACGGAGGCCTGCCTGGAGGAACAGCCGCAGCTTGCAGGGAGGAGCTGGGCACCACAGGGCACATGCCCGCCTGGGAGGAGGGGCCTCTCAGTCCTCAGAGATGCCACTGTGTGGAGCAGGCAGTGGGGCTGAGGCTGGCCTGAGTGCAGAGGGACCACTTCTCCCTGGATGAGGGAGCAGGACTGAGGTGGGAAGGTTACCCATTGAGAGCTGTTGTAAAGCCTGACAGCCGGAGCCCCAAGGATCTGGCTGTCCCCTGGAGGTTGGAGAGGAATGCCTGAAAGATGCCCTCCGGAGTCCAGAGACTCCTAAACTCGGTTCCCTCAGTCCTCCCTGCCAGGACACAAGACCTGGTAAGGAAACAGCAGCTGGGTTGCCGCACACTCCTTTAGCATTGAGTGATTTGGGGTTGGGCAGCGACACTTTTAGAGAAAGTGGCTCTAACTCTGAACAGTTCCTAACCTAGTTTTGAAAGTCATTCTTTGCTTTTGTAGTAAATGAAAAATATCCCTGCCTTCTGGCCTGCGTGCGTTCATTCAGCCTTCATTCATCCACTCAACAGGTATTTGTTGAGCATCAGTTATAAGCCAGACAAACACATGGCTCAGAGTCTCAGGGCAAATGAACCATGGAACCAACACAAGCACCCAAGTCATCCCCCAGACAGACTCTTCCGCTCCTCTAGACTGTCCATGACCTCCTGTCTTCACGCCTTCTGTTATTGGATTTCTGGGGCAGGGTGTAATCCAGGCTACTCAAGCCCTGTTATCATTACTCCACAAGAGTCATGTTAATTGGATCCAGCCACCCAGCCTCTTCCTGCACCCAGGGTGGGTCTGGAGAGAGGCCATGGGCTCAGCACTCTTCTGGACACACACCATCCCAGCAGAAGCAGAATGCTGGCTACTTACAGAGTTTGAAAGTTTCTACTGGCCGTATTTAACGTAATCAGAAGAAACAAGTAAAATTAGTTTTGACGACATATTCTATTTCACCCAATAGATCCAAAACATCATTTCAACATGTAAATCAAGATTCAAAAAATTATTAAGGAGATATTTTACATTCTGCTTTTTCTACTAAGTGATCAAAATCCAGGAGGTACTATAGCACATCTCAGTTTGCACGCTTCACATTTCAGGTGCTCTGTAGTGTGGCTAGTGGCTACTGTTATTGGATAGTACACAGGTGTGGGGCATCCAAGGCTCTTCATTCAACTTCTAACCCTCTCGATAGCCCACTAAGCAGTGGACAATCTCTGACTCTTGTGTGCTTCATCTCCCATATTTATATAAAATTGGTTAAGAGACTGCTTGTGATGAGGGAAGACCAATAGCTAAAATTAGAAAACTGCAGATATTCGTTTATGAATTCTGGATAATAAGGGTATGAGAAACAGAAGACAGTGCAGCAGACAGGCCATGCCCATGTCTGAGGAGCAATATGACTTGGCATCTAAGAAACAGCATGTGCTGAGTGCCTGCTGTCAGAGAGAGGAGCGTTCCTGAGGAGCTCCTGTTCCCATACGGAAATAGACAGTTGTCCTGCACATCATGGTGAAGCCTCTCTTGTTCTGCTTTTTACTTTTGTTTTGTGGATAAAGAAATGGAAATGAAGGGGAATGAGTAGACTCAGAAGCATCAAAATCAAGAGAAGAAAGTGCAGCTGAGAAATGATAGCTTCAAGCACGTTCAGTACGCAGGGCATGAGAACAGGTGATCGTGGGAAGAAAACAACGTTCCCAGCTGAAAAGCCATCTCTGAACATTTCCTTGCTTCTCCAGCAGAAGTCACTATGGAAGCACAGGTCCTGGGTGGAGTAACTTCTCAGTCAGTGCCAGATAAATTGATGGGACTTGGTCGGTGACTGTCACAGATTACACAGTGGGTGAGAGCAATCACATAATTGGATTTGGGGACCGACTGCATTTTTTTTATTTCCTCCTTTTTGCAGCAGAGAACACAGTAGAACTGCTACCCCTTTCATTGAAGAGAAGGTTACTTGTGAAATGGGTCTCCGTTTTTAGTGGGATTAAAAATAACTCAAGGCCCAGTCATGCAGACTGTGGTTTACCATTTATGACTCACTTGCTTCAGTTTTGTTTTGTGAGGCTTTTGTGAAGAAACAGACATATTTTTAAAGAACATTTCCATAAAGGATTTTCCTTCTCATTTGTCAGGGTAGAGCAGAGGTGGGAAGGATGGGTGAGAGGGCAGAGAAGAAATCAGGGACCTACCATTATGTTATTTTCAGACAAAATTAAATCCTTTAGTTTCTAAAAAATATTCTTCCTCTTTTTAAAAAAAAAAAACAAAACAATAGAGACAGGGTTTCTCTGTCACCCAAACTGGGATGCAGTGGTGCGATCATAACTCATTGCAGCTTTGACCTCCTGAACTCAAGTGATCCTCCTGCCTCAGCCTCCCAAGTAGCCAAGACTACAGGTGCATGTCACCATGCCCAGCTAATTTTTTCTTTTTTGTAGAGACAGGGTCTCACCGTGTTGTCAAGTCTGGTCTTGAACTCCTGGCCTCAAGCAATCCTCCCAACTTGGCCTCCCAAAGTGCTGAAATTACAAGTGTGAGCCACTGCACCTGGCTGAATACTTTTCTTTTTAATCTGTGGAATGGGAAGCAGACGGTGCTCTGCCTCGTGTCGCAAGTCTGTTTGGTCGTTTCACTGGAAAGGCAGCCCTAGGTCACACGCTGTCCACAACTGGCAGGTCTGGCTGTCTCAGGCACTCTGGAAAAATTGGCCTTCCCCTGGCTGTGGCGTTCTGACTTTTAAAGGCAGATAGACTTACCAGTGGACTTGCATCTCATCAGGGAATCAACCAGGTTCCAGTGTGTTTATTGCCTCTATAGGAAGGGCAAGCAATGACTTTTCTTTGGAGATGGGTTACTCCTCTCTGAGTGCTGCTAGACTCAAGATCCATGGCCAAGTCTTCCAGTGCTGTGGTCCAGGGCCTCTTCAGACCCTGCAGCTGGACACAGAGCTGAACATATCTGAACATATTGGCCTTGGAAACTTGAGGGTACAGTATATCTGTAAGCACCTTGAATGAAATCTTTAAGCTCTTCATCATATATTTTTTTAAAGGCCATAAAATCCAAAAGAAACACCCATAGCAAGGAAAATGGTAGCAAAACAATTCTTTCAACCAAATCCCCCAATGACAAACCACTGACATTACAAGTTTTATGTATTCTGTTTTCTAGAAGGAGAAGGCATCCTACACGTAAGGACATCTTTATTTATTGTCACATTGGTGTTAGAGGCAAAGGCAGTATTACATATACATTTCATTTTCTGGTGCAGAGAACATTTTGATTAATTAAAATGTTAAAACCTCCAGTAGGAGGGCTGCTTTTGCAGGCTGAATTTCCTTGGCTGACTTTTAGGGGAGCTGGATAGGAGTCATGACGGCAATGAGGTCGTGCAACTGGGAAGCATCTCATGTCCCTCAGCTGTGTTAGGTGGAAACAGGGCTGTGATGCCAGCTCTGGTGGATGAAGTACACAAGTGACCCTTCTGCCCTGTCATTGTGGCAAACATCCTTATCAAATCTGGAAGGCTCCATTTACCCAAAATGCCCAAGATAGAAGAATCTGATCCGTCTGATTTGATGAGAATGGTTTCTGGAAACGGTCTATGCCTTCATCATCAGCTTATGTTCTTTAATTTATTAACAACTTTTTAGTGAGTATCTGATGTGACATAAATCGTGCTGGGCTTTGTAAAAAAAAGTTAAAATCAGTATATTCGCATATTACAAAAATTTATGCAAATTTTAAGTGGATATTTTCAAAAGTGTAATTTTATGCACAGAATTTAAAATAATGCAAATCACCCTAACTTTTAAAAGCCTGTCAACAGTCACATAATTTCTAAGCTGGCAGGCCAAGAGCATTTTAGCATCTGACACGGTTGCCACACATCGGCAACAGGCTGCCTGGGAAGCAGATGTCCACCCTGCAGTGGCAGATCTCACTTCCTTCCACTAGGACTTCTGCAAATGATTTCAGTGGCCACTGCACTGTCATTCCAGGACCACTCAGGTGTGAAATCTGAACACAGCCCTCAAGACCCTGAATCTCAGTCCGGATTTCACATTTTGTGAGTTTCAGACACATTAGCCACACTGGCTTTGGAAGTGGTGTATGTCCCCACATTCACTATCATTACAACTTAAAATACCTTTATAACTTGTAACAGTAACATAATATCTGACATGTATTGAACACGTTATGTACCAGGAGCTGTCCAAATCACAACTCAATGAGGTATAAGTTTTGCTCTTACTCCGTTCTATTCTATTCTATTCTATTCTATTCTATTCTATTCTATTCTATTCTATTCTATTCTATTCTATTCTATTCTATTCTATTCTCTTCTGTTCTATTCTATTCTATTCTATTCTATACTATTCTATTTTTTGTCTCCCTCCTATTACCCCATTTTAGAGTTAGAAAACCTTGATATGTAGAAATTAAGTACCTAATCCCAGGTCACTCAGCTATTATGTAGGGAGATCACTAGGCCACAGAGCTCCTGAGGCAAGTACACACAAGCATTTTTTCAGCTAGACCTGACTATCCCGCCCCAAAATCATCAGCTGTAGAAGACATTAGACCTGCTAAAGAGTACAAAGAAGGCAAAACAGCCCCCGCGAAACACTCCCCAAATGCAAATTAGTCTTGCGTTGTGTTAATTTAGAATCAGGCCGCTTCCCTTTCTCAATCCTGACCTCAAGAGGTTTGCAAATCGCAGTTAAAGTAGTACCTGCCACTGAGTATTCACAACACACTGGGGACCTTGCCAAGCACCTTCTGCCAACTTCTCCTTTTCCCTCACACCAGCCCTGCATGACAGACACTGTCACCTCCAGTCCCATGTCTTCGAGATGACAGAATGGTTATTCCAGATTCCCTATCCAGGGACTCCCTCCTAGACCAACTCAGGTCTTTATGAGTTTTCAAAAGCTCAACTTTAAAACTTTCTGTCTCATGATGTATAATTGATATGGTAAAATTGATAATAGTAAAACATTATCTGTGTTCAACATATAACAGATTCTGGCAAGCATTTCCCAGAACTTGAGGTTGCCTGTAAACAGACACAAGCCCTTATGCCTAGTGAAAACTCTGAACCCCAGGTAGGGGATCCACAGCTCAGCAAGTGCCTGTAGGTCTTTCCCCAGTGCCCATGCAGGACTCCCTTTGGCATATACAGCCTATTCCCCACAGCTTTCCTGCACTCCCAAATTCAGTTTTATTCAGGCTTCCCTTCAAATAGTTTGATTTAATAGGGACACAGGTAACTGTATTCAAAAGCCATAGATAATATAAAGCTAACCTGAGTTCAAATGCACAGCATAAAGCTAGAACTCCATCTCTTTCGTTGTGACCTAAAGGCCATCTTGCTACTTGGACTAACTGAATTCCCCATCTGTCATCTTCCAGAGCCCAGAACCAGCCCTGAGAGTGGCAAGCAGTGGACTGAGGAGCCCCTGGACTGTTCAGCCACACATTAGGTGTCTTTCCAAGAGTCTGCCCCAGCACCCAAAGCAGATAATTTGCTTCCAGAATTATGGTGTGGGAAATTTTCCTGCTGGGGAGCACACAGCTTTCCGGTTTTTGTGTGTCTTTTTTTCTTTTACATTTTTAATGACTTCAGCTTTCATTTGGGAATCACAGAAATCTAATCACCATCACTTGACATATTTGTTCTTCCAATATATAAGATTCTTTCACTGTGTCTTTTCAGAGTCCTATATATTTTGGAAACTATGCATGATTAATTTACCCAGGGCATGAGTTTGAGATACATATATGTTGAGTTTAAGTCCACACTATTTCAGCAAAAACAACTGATTGAGTGATGTGGTTATTCTTTTCCAGAATACAGCCCAGTTTTGGCCCAGGTCTTAATCCCTAAGAGTGCAGGGCTTTAACTCCTGGCTTCCCAGCAAGGTCTTGATCATTTCTGTGTCACTGCAACTGCAGACTGACCCTGTGACTTTCCCACTCCGGGTTTCAAGGGCTTGTTTTGTACATGCCCCTTGTCCAGCCTGACAACTTCATTAAAAAACATTCACATTTGCCAACATACTGCCTTTTCAAGGAAGATGTGAAGTTTCCTTTCAGAACCTGCAGGCTTACATACTGTTGGCTGAACTACACAGAAGAGATAACCTATTTACATACTAAAAAGGTCAGTGTTGGACAATCAGCAGTTAGAGAGGAATTTGCTGCTGCTTGCACCTGGAGCATAAGAATTGGGGAGAAGCTGGCAATTTTGCTGTCTCTTTATCTGTGTAGACAGCAAGCACTGTTAAATATGAGGATGTCTGTTCCGATCCACGAGAGTGGTGTTGCACAGAGAAGCCCAGTGATGGACAAGCTCGCTCGTAGTTTAGAACCTTTCTGATTACTAATGAGTATATGTGACTGTGATCATGCAGGTCAGCCTCACCTACTAAAAGCTGTAATTAATTTGAGGTGGAAATATTTGCATAATGGTTTTTCAGATTCTGTTAGTAAAACAAAAACCATCATAATAGACCTTAAATTATGTGCCTACTGCTTATTTAACCTTCTCTTTGCATTATAAAAGGTAGACTTCTGGAGGGCTTAAAACATTTCCTTTTGTGGTCTTTTCAAAGTCTCTTCTAATATCAGCAGTTTTATTTTGCTAATGTGTGTTGAAAGTATCTTAAAAGATGTCCTTATAAAGGCATTGGTTTTCTCTGAAATCTCTGTAATATTTTTGCTCCTTATCCATTTGTAGATTTAAACTAAATAATTAGGGAATTGAGACCTTTTCCTTAAATGTTGAGATGTAACATAAGATTAAAGTCACTTTTGAAGACAGGAAACCAGCACAGAAGGCTGTTGATAAGTGTGGGGCTGAAGTGCATGGAGATCCCGTTGAAGTCTCACTCCTTGGTTGCAGCAGCCAATCTTGTGCAAACAAACAGCCATTGTCCTTTGTACTTTATAACCATGGTACATTCAGAGCTGCTCAGAAAAGAGCACCCCATCTAAGAGTGCCTGTGTTAGGGAGGTCATGTCTCAGCTTCCGCTGCTTTCCAAAGTCCCTGGCTGCCACAGGATGTCACCCCAGGTGAGGTCATGGTGCGCTGCTGGGGATCTGCAGCAGCAGCAGCTGATATCACCCAGCTTCTCATGGGGACCCTTGCTACATGTCATGTTCAGTATCACTCAGGGGATTTATGAAGCCAGATGTGGACTGAGGCTCATTCTGTCTTTAGAGACTCATGAGGCTGTTTCCAGGAAGAAATTATTCTTTGTGTACATACACATCCCAGATGGTTTGGTGTGCCAATCTGCTTATTAGTCAAATTCTGCACGGTTCCTTGATTCCTCTGACTCCTGATTTAAGGAGAGAGAAGCCAGTGGCAGTGACAAGCGAGCCCTTCATTGGCCATCAAACAGCATCTCATAGAGATTATTTGAATGTGGCTGGCACACAGCCACAGTCTTCTGGGCATGGGTAACATCTGTCTATGACCACTGCTCAAAAACAGACTGGTGGCATAGGGTATGCTTGGGGGTGATGCTGTACGATCAGAAGACGCGGGTTCTGGTGGTGTCTGCACTTTCCGTCCCCTGACTTGGGCCCTCCGGACTGCGGGGCTGACACAGCAGTGCTTGCTCTCTGGGAGCCTGAGCCTCACCCCACCCCACCTCTCTTACAGAATACTCGGTGGAGCAGGCGCAGCAGGTGCTTCACCAGTCAGTGTCCATGTCCACGGTGTCAGCCCACCCTTTTCGGGACCTTCCCCTCGGCAGGGAGCAACACTGCAAGTTGCTTCCAGGCGTGGCTGACATCCGGGCCAGCCAAGTGGCACGTTGGACTGTGGATGAGGTGAGTGGAGCTGCTGGGGGGCCAGGGCTGGGGTGTGCCTGCTGCTGAGAAATAGGCGGAAGGTGCCCACTGACCATTCTTTGATGTCTGGGACAGCGCCCTTTTTCTCTTAGGCATCGCATCTGCCATGTAAACTTTAAAACCTAAATTAGAGGGAGAAGCCAGATATGATTCTGAGGAGATGAGGAAAGCCCACCACTTGCCCAGATGGTTTTGCACCTCCCCTCCGCAGCCTTATTCCAGTGCCCCCCGAGGCCCAGAGCTATCAGCTGGGGCTAATTCAAGCAGAGGGGCTTAAGCCTCCAATTCCATATCAGAGATTTAATTTGGGCAAGCACAAATGTGCAAGCATCTGAGGCTTGCATCCTAGGCACGTGTGCTCTGGGAAAGGTGCCCAGCCCAGGACATCCTGCACCTCAAGGATCCATTTGCCAGTTGCCCTGTGGTCTTATGGGATCCAGGCACACTCATGGCAGAGCAGGCCCCTGCTGCAGGTTTGCTCATCTAAAGCTACAAGATGAGCAGGCCCACCTTCGCTTCATTTATAAAGTATATTTGGTCACAACATTGTATGAGAAGCTGCACAGAGGGGGCAAGTTGGATCAGATTTCATTATAAACATGCCTTACAATATTGGTTATTTTACATTTTATTTTATTTTATTTTATTTTATTTTATTTTATTTTATTTTATTTAGAGACAAGGTCTTGCTCTGTTACCCAGGCTAGAGGGTAGTGGCATGATCATAGCTCACTGCAGCCTTGAACTCCTGGACTCTAGCGATCCTCCCACTTCAACCTCCTGAGTAGCTAGGACTATAGGCATGTGCCACCACACCTAGCTAATTTTTTTTGTTTTGTGGATACGGGGTCTCATTATGTTGCCCATGCTAGTCTCGAACTCCTGGCCTCAAGCGGTTCTCCCACCTCAGCCTCCCAAAGCACTGGGATTACTTGCAGGAGCCACCTTGCCTAGCTTCAATATTGGTTATTAATAAGGAACAGTTAAGCCCCATTGCTTTACAATAATGCTGTAGAAATGCTTCATATTTAAAATGTATTATTTAAGGAATATACCACTTACCTGTAATTCCTTTGGATAAAGATACTGTTTTTACTAGTCAGGCCTTAGAGAAACTGTTGTTTAAGTGAAGGAAAACCCTGGGTCACTCTGAGGGCAAGATTAGAGCTACAGCTGCAGTTAAATTAGTCACACAATGTTCCTGGAGCACTTACTTCAGTCAGCTTAATCTTGGTTTAAGTCCGCCTTCCCAGCCTTGGGCCAAGGAACAGGCAGGCCAAAGCCCACCCAGAAATTGGAGACACTGAGTGTGTCTCCTCTGCCCTCTTTGTCACTGGGCTCATGGCCCCCTGGCATCATGGCCCCAGTTCCATTCCCACCTGTGTGTGCAGAGCAACAGAGTCCAGATCGTGAGGAACGTGGTGGAGAAGGCAGAATTCTGGGCATGTCTCTGCCCAGCTTACAACAATCCCTGGCTCCCCCTGGCGCCCTTCACAAGTCCCCTTTTCCACCCTTGCTTGTCCTGCCATTCTTGCCGTCCCCTCCTGCCCCAGGGAGTCCTGCTGCCCCGGCCTGTTCTTACACTCAAACAGTCCCGCCTTCTCCCACTCTGCCCACTGCCAGCAGCAGCCTGGGGCTCCATGCTCACTTCCAACTCTTGCGGATCCTCGGTCTGAGCCAGAGGTCACCTCTGGCAGGGCATCTGCACTCTGGCCTGACCTCGCACTCACTTGGCATGACATCTTGAGAACCCCTCACTACACTCTGCACTTAATAGGCACCTGGTAAATGTGTGTTGAATGAATGTTGAATGACAAGGAAATCAATTGTGAACTGAATTTTGAAAAAAAATGGAATGTATCTAATCAGAAACAAAGAAGGGAAGCCATTTCAGTTGATGGGGAAACAGAGGTGGCTGCATGGAAGTGAGTTTCACAGACTTAGTGATGGCAGACGTGCACCACGCCCTGTGCAGGCATTAATCATGATAAACCAGCTATATGAATATAATGACAGTAAGGCGGATACTCACTTTCCCATTTTACTCATGGGGAAGTTGAGATACCCAGAGACGAAGTGACTTGCATCAGGCCACAGTCAGAACCAGGCCATGAGCTGACTTCCTGCCCACCATGCTCATTGTGGCCCTGGGCACAGAGGAAAGTAACCCAGGACCGGGAGATGGGCCTGGTTTGAAAGGCCGCAGAGGCAGGGCAGAAAGTGTGCACAGCCCACAGTCTGCTGGACAGAGCCGTTCTGGGTTCTTATGCGGAAAGTCACTTTGTGAAGATGGCGTTTCAGGAAGATGAGAATTGCACAGATCTGTAGAGAATAAGACGAGAAGAGGTGGATGAGAAGGAGACACCCAGGAAGTGGAACCATCAGGGCCTTGGTGGGGCACTGCCAAGAAAAGAACTCAGATTCAATAGACATTTCAAAGGCACAGGCAGTAGCACAGGGAGGTAGATCAGACATAGAAGAAGAAAAAGTGAGACGTGCCAAATGCCATTCCATTTACAGTCTCAGCACTAAACAGTTTAGTACTTAATTGGGGTAATAATATGTGAGAGCTGAAAGACCCAAAGAGTTCATCTGAAGGAATGGGGAAAGAGTGGTGCCATTAGAAGTGAAATTTGGGGCAAAGTCCAGTTTGGGGCCAGGAGGATAACGTGATGACTGCATTATTGGACACGTGACTCATGGTTAGCAGTCCCTGTGAATCACAGTAGTGGATATAGAGATGTCCCAGTGGACATAAACTCAAGATGGGTGCCCTTAAAGGCTGCAGGCAGAGGTTACCAAGGTGCATTTCCCAAGGTGTGAGTGTCCAGAGATAGGGTGAGGATGGGTCGGCAGGGCCCCAGTTAGAAAGAGGAAAGAAGAGCCGCAAAGGGGCACTGACTTCCAAGGAGTCCCTGGAAGCCGGGTGTCAGGGGAAGATGAAACCAGAGTGTGCGGTGCAGCAGGACAGGTGTCAGAGCTGGTCGGGTTTTGAGGCTGGGTTCCTGGAGTTGTGCCTCAGGGAATTTGGAAAAATTGTGTACAGTATATGCATTTTTAATGGATAAGGGCCAGAGCTTTTATTAACTTCTCAGGGGTGCCATTATGCAATAAGAATAGACACCACTGTTAGGGACATTAGCAGTGACTAGAAAATGGGAGCTATGATTGGACAGATTTCAAGCGTGGCACTTAACAGAAACAAAATCACGGGATTGGGAGGTGATTCAAGGGAAGTAGCTGGTCTAGGTGAAAGTGTCATTAGGACAGAGAAGATCTCAGAAGGAGGACCAGAGAAAGAGAAGCTGTTAGGAAGATGAGAGCCCCGGTCTTTAGTTCTCTGTTGTGGGTACAGGTGGAATCTCAGCCCTTGCTGCTGGGAGAGGCCTTAGAGCTTTTCTAGATTTAAAATATGAGCCATGGGAAAGTCTAAGTGCCTCGCATACAATGCTCCTGCACCTGTTGCTTCCATAACCTTGTCTTCCGTCAGGGATGCACTCCAGGGAAAACCATTTTCATTATTCCCTACTGTTGAGCATATCTTAGTCTTGCTGTCTCCCCAACTAGATGCCCTGAGGACAAGGACCGCATCCTGAATTTCTTTCCATGTCCTCACACACTACAGCACATTTCCCAGTACCAACATAGGTCCTCAGGAATAGTCTCTGATGGGTTGAAAATGGGGGCTTTGTGATTGCTGTGTTTGTATCTTTGAAAATAAGGGAGCTACTTAGGGGACCCCAGTGAGTACCTACCCACAGCAGAGTGTGGGGCTGCTTAGAGAGGCCACAGTAAAAATGACGAGCAGGGCAGCAATGATGTGAATGGCAGTTCAGGGCTGAGCTGGACTGGTGGGGGCTCAGGGGTGCTTTTGCGCTTTGTCAGCACTGGGTGTTTCGGAGAGGAGCCTCCGCAGCCAGGGATGGGGCGTGTTGGAATGAACTGGGCATCCTTCGGGAAGACTTAAAACAGCGTGTCTGCAGCAGAAGGTTAAGTGAAAGCACAGCCTCTTTATCTGCCTTCCTGGCCTGGGAGGAAGACCTCTGCTGTGCTTATGCCACCTGTGAAGAGAGGCTAGCGCAGGGCCTTTGTAACACTCCACAGAGCTGTGAGCTGCCTCTTAACTCCTTTGTTACTATGGCTGTCTCTCTTAGAGCAGTGTTTTTCAAAGTGTAGGTAGGCTTTGAAGTCAACTTAGTGGTTATAAAATGAAAGACCAGACGAGATGAGAGCACTTCATAGGTTATAAGGATTGTTGCTTTGTTAAACTTTGGTGAGGGATGTGTGTGGGTGTGCACATGTGATAAGTTGTGGAGGTGTAAAGTATGTGTCTTACTCTGGGTCATGAAAATATCTTGTACAGGAGTATAAGCTTTTATGAGTAGGGACTAATATAGTTTCATATATTTTTATATCTTTGAATCTTTTGCTATCTTATTGCAAAGCATCTTGCACAGAAGAGGTGTTTGACAAATGTTCGAGTGAGTAGATGAGTTCATGAATGAATAGGCAGGTGGGTTTTATGTAGTCTGTTCCCTGATTCTGCCAGGTATATATGTGTAGGCACACGCGGGCAGGCAGGGCGTGATATGTGGTGTGCACATTTACCCCCCTAGGTATGACTCAGGTATGCTTGGTGCACGTATGGGTACTTTTATTTCTCTTATTAAAAACCACTTCTTAAAGCACCACATATAAATTGCCCTAGCCTCAACCAAGTGCTCCCTAAATGTTCATTAACTTTGAAAGATGGCAGTCACTTTAAAAGCAGCCTTTACACAGGAAGGGGTGATTTGAAAAATTCGGGGTATTGCTCATAAGCAGAGCAGCCTTATACAATTGGGCCCTTAGAAAAAAAAAAGGCAAATAAACTCTGCTGTTAAAGAATAAGACTCAGGCTGGAAACATGGTCCCCAGTGGACGATTAGCCAGTAGAGTCAGGCACATATCTACAGGCTCAGCGAGATAGAGAACACCAGCATTTGGAAAGATTTAAAGCAGCGGCAGCCCCACGGAAGAACATGAGTCCTGCTGAGCTCCAGCGATGATGCCAGGGAAAGTAGGTCGTGGGGGAAGTGAGGTCGGCTGGCAGGATGGGCTCCTCTCAGAGCCTGGGCAGTGTCATCCCTCCCAGTCTCCCCAGACTGCTGTCTCATACTTAGAATTAACTTTCTCAGTGTCCTTCCAAAACAAAACAGGGATTTTAGCTGTAGGACACTGCGTGCCTGAGAATGTGGGAAGTGCTGGTGTGTCAGTGGTCACAGCACTGTGGGGGACACCTCCCAGAGCCAAGGCCAAGGGGAGACACCCACATGGCAGCCCCCATGCCACCAGGCACTGCCCAGAGCCAAAGCCAAGGCCCAGGCCACCCACTGGGCTCCAACAGCATGATCACCCCCTTTGAAAAAGGAGATGACCCCACTGCCATGGCTTCTGTGGGTGCAGGGCAAGTGGATGGTCGTTTCCTCTTCTGCAGAGGTCATGCCCCTCTGGACAGCTGTCCACATTTTACCACAAACTTGAAGAAAAAAAATCTCTCTCTTTTAAAGGGAGAATGAGAGGGAAACTTCTTGATATTACTCTATTCTATGCTAAAGCTCACCACTTTCATTGAGAAAATCTGTGGCAGAACTTTCTATGAAAGCTCAAAATACAATTTATTTGTAGGGGAAGTAATTACCGACTAATAATACTGAATCAAGGCCTTTGCATATTTTAAAATTCTTGGCCAGAGAAGTCTGCTTAATACAGTTCATGGAACTTTTTCCTTACTTTGGAAAAAGACAGATAGGCCGAATCAAATGGGAATCTCTTTCCAAAATGGCAGAGCCTTTCAGAGGAGTGTGAAGCCGAGGAGGGTGGCCAGGTGGAGGATGAGGTGGAGGTGGCAGGTGCTGCTTGCGGGCCAGGTGGAGGCCACCACGGGGCAGGGCCGCGTCTGCTCTGTTGACGCTTTGGTTTAACACATTATTTATTCCCTTTAAAAAAATCCAGTCTACCTTTCAGACATTGACAATGATTTCTTGGCTAATGATACTGAGAAGGGAGACTGTGGTCCTTTTTTTGTTTGCCCAGAAAAGGACAGTTTAACATAGGCAAATCATCAAAGCAACTTGCAACACTTCTGCTGTGAACAGTCCTTTGGGCAAGTATGGAAAAGAGACCATGTTTCTAACCAACCACTTCTTTCCCTACCAGTGGGGAAGCCACTGTCCCTGTGCTGACTTGGCTTTCCCACTGCAGTGAGTGGTTGACATCTGACAAAACATGGGTCGTTAGCTAGTTACTGGTCCCTTGTCTCTATTTCTATTATTTCCTCCTATGACACTATGAAAAAGTGAGCCCAGCAGAAGAACTGGGGCAATGTTGCCCCCCAGGGGCATTTGGCAATATCTGGGCATATTTTTGGTTGTTACAACTCAGAAGGGGACTTTCCTACTGGCACCTAGTGAGTAGAGGGCAGGGATACCGTTAAACATCCCACCCCACCCAGGACAGCCCTCACAGCAAAGAATTACCTGGCCCGAGGTGTCAGTATTGAGGTTGAGGAACTTGGCTTTACAGCATTTTCCTGCGCTCATCTTTGATTCCTGCCCTGCCTAGCCCTGAGGCTCAGCATGAGTCTGTACAGACCCTGCTGGACCATTTCTCTAGCTTCCTGCAGCGCTGTGGTCCTTGGCCCTCAGTGCACACTGGAACCAACTGGGAAGCTCTAAAAATATCTACCCAGTGCTTGGACCCAATCCAACTCCATTAATTTATCATCTGTGTGGTGTGATGCCTGGACTGCAGTCAGCGTGAAAGCTCTGCAGAGGATTCCAGCGTCCCACCAGGGTGGAGTGCCAAGGCTCAGGGCTCCCCGCTGCTGTGGAGGAAGTACAGACCCACACCTGGAACCACGTGGCCCTCCCTCTTCCCGCCACTCCCTGTCTACTCCTCAGCTCAGCCAAACTGCATTCCTCCTGCTGCTCACACCCACCCTTTGGCCCTGTGTTGTCCTGCTTTGGGGTTTGCTGGGATTCTCTATGCCTAGAATTTCTTCCCCGTACATCCACCCCAAATCGCCGTGGTGGAAATACTATGAATCCAACAGTGAACCTCTCACAGACCCCCTTCTTCCTGATGACCTTCCTGAAGTCCCACCTAAGATTTGTGCAGTCCCTTCCTAACACCCATAGCCTTCCTACCTCTCTCAAGGGTGTTAGCATGTTTGAACACATGTTGTGGTCAGTGATAAGCTTTCCTGTCCTCCCTGTTCCCCTCAATCCTCCACCGCTAATCAAATCAACTCATTGAAAATTCAAGCACCACCAGCTCCCAGGGCAGCTCTTCCAGCAGCCAGCATGAGGCCTCACACATAGACAGGGTTGGAGTATATATAGCCAGCACAGTTGTCTGAGGAATGACGGAGCCAGGCCACCCTCAGTGTCCTGGGCCCCAGCCATCTGCCACCAACAGCACTGCCACTGCCATCACCTGCCCCAGTTGCCCTGTCTCTGCAGCTTGACCAGCGGCATTCCACAGCTTTCACTAGCTCCCAGCAAATACTGAGCACGTGCTCTACATGCTTCCTTCTCACCTAGAACAAGAAAACTGTATTAGCCCAACAAACAGCTCGGCTTCCTCTGCCTGAACTGCCAGAGTGTCAGGTTCTCAGGTGAATTAGCTCGTAATACTAAGAGCCCGGGCCAGCAGAGGCACTCACTAGCACAGATGCTCCTGGAGCTTGGAGGTGTCCTTGCATGACAACAATATGGCTGGTGTGGGAGGTTTTTTTGTTTGTTTGTTTTAATCCTTATCACTCCAAACTTTAGGTGAAGATTGTAAAATGACTCATGAATGTATTTGTAGCACCAGGGTTGAGTAAAGCAGACATGGACATGCTGATCACCCCTAAAAAAAGATATTCTGAACTCTTCACATTTGCACAGACTAAATATAGCTGTGAGACCACAGGGGACAGAGCTCAGGAGGGGGCACAGGTGTCCAGCCCTAGGGTATGCCCTGAGGGAGTTGGCCCTGACTGCTCTGTCACCTGGGATCAGCAAACACCTGGTGCTGTCTCCTGCACCGTCAGGGGCAGCGTCTGCTGACTTCTCCTGGAGAGGCTTGGAGGGAGCCTGTGCTCACAGAGCTCTCTGAGGGTGGGACGTGTTGATAACTGCGCTCTCCAGCCTCAAGAACCTTTCCCGTGAAACCAGGGAGAGGAGAAGGGCCAGCACACACAATTCGGTTGACACAAGAAGCAGAGAGCCAAAAAGAATAAAACAAGCAAAACAGTTCCCCTAGAAGTATCACCTCCCAAGATTACATTTACTGTTGCACTTCATTCAGCCTGCCTTTCATCCCCTGCTGCGACAGGACTGGAGCTAGCCAGTAGTGCAGACCACTCAGTTGTCATTTCTGCTGTTGGGAGTCTACCCTTTATCAGGTTTGTTCAATCGGCTTCCCAAAGGTATCTATTAGGAACACTCAGTGGCTTCCCGAGCTGATAGCCAGATCTTTGCCTGAGCTCTCTCTTATTAAAAGGATATCTGGGGGCATGTGGGGGCATGGTGAGGGTGAGAAGTTGAAATGAAGAGACTGATTCTCCAGAACTTAGGGCCTAGAGATAGCAAACCCGAATTCCAAAATGTCTCTGCTACTTATCAACCGTATGTGGCCTTGGGTAAGTACTGAACCTCTTTTGGCTTCAGCTTCATCATTTATGTGGGAATTCAGCTCCACATAGATTCTCTGATCTCCTGTGATTCACCATGCTCCAGGTAAGGGACTGGGCCACAGAGATGAGCAGGAGAAGGCCTTGCCTTCGGGTCTGCCTTTTAAAGGCAAGTGAGCAGGTCCTTACTCCTAATGGTCGCTGTGATGACTGCTGCACAAGACCACTGGCCTCGCCCTCACTGACCCCATGGGGGAGTCAGGAGAATCAGATGCAGAAGCTTGCAGAATGCCAGAGCTTCACATATGGAGGCTATTACTGTCGTCATTATAACCATAACCCTCTGCAGGTCAGCCCGGTAATAAGAGGACAGAAAAAATACTGGGGGCTGGTCTAATTTCTGAGTTGACAAATGCTAATGCAACTTGATAGTTACTATTTAATTCCCAAGAGTTTGAGAGATTTTAAGTATATTTTACTTAAATGTTGGATTACTGCAACCCCCAAATTATTTCAGGTGCATGTATTAAATTAGGCTTTTCATCTCGCACTGTAGGTGGCTGAGTTTGTACAGTCTCTTCTGGGCTGTGAAGAGCATGCCAAGTGCTTTAAGAAAGAGGTAAGAGATGCAAAAATTATATATATATATATGTATATATATATATATGTGTGTGTATATATATATATGTATATATATATATGTATGTATTTCTATACTTCTAGACCCAGAAGTGTTTTGTTTTCATTTACTTAAGTGTAAATAAGTACAATTTGGGGGCAGCAAGACAAAGGAGATCCAGCAGGAATAGAGCCCAATTATGCAGTGTGAGACCAAGCTGGGTCAGTCTCCGCCTTCAGTCCTCTTACATTTTGCTAGGTTTTGTTGCAGAATGCCATGGTGCTTGGTGCATACAGCATGCTCAGTACGTATACTATTTGCTGGAAGAGTAAATGAAAAAGATAATTAATTAATACCTATCAGTGTCATGAGGCCTCTCCATTGGTGGCTTGAAGCCATTTGCGGGAAGGCAGGAATCCTCCCTTGGGATTGCACCTGGGAAAGATTGGGGATTTGTCTACTCCAAAGTCAGCATGGGACCCTCCTATCTATCCCTGCCCTGCATTTGCTTCCAGAGCAGCCCCAAATCCTTCTACGGGGTTTCTATCTCCTGTCCCCTCTTGGTTGGGAATGTACTGAACTGCTTCGCATATTTCCTGGAATTAGTATCCATAGCTATAGGGGCCCCGGAAGAGACTGGACCAGCTACAGAATGATGCACATACTAATCCCAGTGCTTGTGTATCAGGGGCTTGCCATGTGCCAGGCATGGTGCTAAGCATTTTACAACCATTATCCTTTGATCCTTGTGACAACACTACAATGGCAGCTTACCGATGAAGAAGCTCAGGCCCAGGAAGGTGAGGCAGAGCAAGAAAAGGGCAAGAAAAGTCGGATTCCAGCTCATATCCATCTGAGAGCTCAGAGCCTCCATCGCTGCTCTAGAACTTTCCAAGAAAACCATCCTCATAGAAACTGAAAGGCAGCACATACCTCTCCCTCTCTCAGGTTCAGAGCATGCATGAGTTAAGGAAGTGCTGAGTTTTGGGTTCTGGACCCCTCCGAGCACAGTAGAGGAACTCAGCATCAAGGTCAGATAGCCTCAGTCTGGGTAGCTGCTACCTGTGGGGTTCGCCTGGCTCTGCCTGAGCTCAGCATGGCTTGGGCATAGTTGGCCACGTTCACACATACAGTCTACTCTGCAGGTAGCGATGATCAAGGCTTGCTTTGTCCTCAAGTCTGTCCACGTAGGGTAAGAGGGAGTGGCTTTTTGCAGGTTGAATTGCTTATATTTGGCACTCACTGACCAGTACTGTCACTTTAGGCAGATTGCTGAACCCCTCTTATCCCTCCTCTCTGAAACACAGATTTACGAGAGGGGCCCTTAAAGATTAGGGTGAGCATGTTTGAAGCACCGAGCCCTGTTCTTGTCCCAAAGTAGGGGCTTAATAAAGGCAGCAGTATATAGCAGAGGGTCTCCTCTGGGCTCCAACAAGCTCTGCCAGAAATCCCAACTTTGCCCCTTAGAAGCTGCATGAGCTTGGGCAAGTCATTAAGCTTGCAATTCCAGGTTTCCTCACCTATATTACAGGGTTATCAGGAGGATCAAACCCATATAATAGATTACTGTAGCTCCATAAATGTTAGCTGTTGTTGTCACCATCACGACCTTATTCTTAGGACAATGGGGTATTTGGACAGCAATTTTTGCCTGAAAATGCTGGAGCTTAGCCAGGTCAGGGTATGGATGTAGGCTCATTCTCCTCTGCCTTGGGGAAAATGCCTTTTCCGAGGGAAAAAGTGTTTCCTCCTCTAGATGGATGAGTCCTTATCAGACAATATATCATAAATGCACAGGAAGGTTTTAAAAACTTTTTTAAATATTATAACTTCAAAACGCTACCCTTGGGGTCCCAGGGTAATTCTATCAGTGAGACATTGACACTACAGGATTTTTCTTCCTCTTCTTCTTCGTCGTCTTCTTCTTCTTCTTGTTCTTCTTCTTCTTCTTCTTCTTCTTCTTTTTCTTCTTCTTCTTCTTCTTCTTCTTCTTCTTCTTCTTCTTCTTCTTCTTCTTCTTCTTCTTCTTCTCCTTCTCCTTCTCCTTCTCCTCCTCCTCCTCCTCTTTCTCCTTCTCCTCCTCCTCCTTCTCCTTCCTTCTTTTTCCTTCTTCTTCCCTTCTTTTTTTTTTTTTGAGGTGGAGTCTCTATCTGTTGCCCAGGCTGGAATGCATTGGGATGATCTTGTCTCACTGCAACCTCTGCCTCCCAAGTTCAAGCAATTCTCCTGCCTGAGTAGCTGGGACTACAGGCGCATGCCACTACGCCTGGCTAATTTTTGTATTTTCAGTAGAGATGGAGCAGGGGCGGGGGGTCTCACCATGTTGGCCAGGCTGGTCTCAAACTCGTGACCTCAATTGATCTGCCCACCTCGGCCTCCCAAAGTGCTGGGATTACAGACATGAGCCACCATGACTGGCTGGGGTTTGTATTATTAAATTTGAAAAGGTTTAGAACCACAGTTCTAAGTTCGTGGAAGAATGTTTCCATAGAAAACCCTTCCATTCCTGCCTTCTTGGTTCTGGAGCCAGGAATCATCTGAGCCAGGCTGTGTCAATCAGAGACGCTGCAGTAGTCCCTGGAGTTGTGCTGAGGTCACTGGGGCATCCAGAAGCTGGGGAAAGCAGCCTACACGGTGGCCACTGCCATCCTGTGAGTCTCGGGGAAGCTATTACTTTCATGCTGTAATATCTTTTTAATTTAAAAATATTTAATTGTCAAAACAAGATTGAATACATTCAAAGTGTATAATGTGATGATTTGATATACATATACAATGCGTGATGATTACCAAAGTCAAATTCACTCTTTCCATTACCACCCATGCCATACATCAGAGCCCCAGATCTTGTTCATCTGGAGCCAGGAATCATTCTGTGCAAGTTTTGAAATGTATTTTTAAAGTTTAATAAATAAAACATTTATTTTATGTGTATTTTTGCTTATAATGGTATGTATTCTTTAAAAAATTTAAATACAGGAAAGTTGAAAGGATTAAATAAAAACTAACCACTATTCTACATCCAAAGATAATTTCAGTTAACATTTGGTGTAAAGACTTCAAAATATTTTAAATATGCATATGTATACATGCAGCCATGCATGTTTAATTGTACAAAGTAAAACTGAAATCTTTCTCTATCATATACCATGTTCTGTTGTTTACTGATCTATAAAAAAAAAATTCCTAAATCATTAAATGTTTCAAGAGAGTTGATTTTGGGTGACTGCATAGTAGCCCACTCTGACTATAGTATTATTTACTTCTGATATTATTGGGAACAGTGGGTTGCTTTCAAGATTTCAGTATTATAAATAATACTAGCATATACACATTGCACATTATTCTCTTGGGAAAAATTCCTGGAGATTTACTTGGTTTTAAGGCTCTTGATACAAATTCAAGCCAACCTTTTTAAAAGACAACAATAGAAATGTAGCCTGGGAACAGTTCGTGTATATTGAATTCGTATTTAACAGCATGAGCATCTTTTCAATTTAACTTCAAAGTTCTAGAAGAAAGAATTGGAGTGGAGCAATGGTTGTAACTAAGCCGAGTGAGAGCTACCGTCATTCTCTCTCACTGGTGAGCTCAACACGGAGGCTATGACGGGTTCCACATCACACTCAGAACCAAAGTGTTACTGGTGAGTAAACAGGCTTCCGTGGCAAAACATTTTTATTTGTGTCTATTTATGTATTTGCAGCAGATCGATGGCAAAGCCTTCCTGCTTCTGACACAGACGGACATTGTCAAAGTGATGAAGATCAAACTGGGCCCAGCACTGAAGATTTACAACTCTATCCTGATGTTCAGGCATTCCCAGGAACTCCCTGAAGAAGATATTGCCTCAGGCCAAGAAGTCAGGGGATGAATGGGCTCCCTGAACTTCCTCTGGCACCAAGACCTGCGCTCTTTCAGCAATAAAAGTGGAGCACATTAATTTGATGTGAATGTCCCCATGGCCGTATCCACACTGAATCTGGACTTTTTAAAGTGTCTGTGATTTGTTTACATGTTTAGAGGATTTTGATGACTGGTCCAGTGCCAATGACTCAGAGGCTTAGGCCCATCTGTGGGTTTGGTTTACGAACATTGTTATCTTTGGTGGGATCCGCTCAGCTCTGATTTGTTTGCAAGACAGACCAAAGAAGCCCACACATCCACCTTTATTCTTCTCCGTCACCAGAAAAGAAACCATTTTCCATCTTACAAGCATAACACTCTCAAGTGGTGAAATATTAGAAAAGCAGTGTTCATGAATACATCGTTAATGTTTTTACCAGAGCAACATCGAGCTTGGCTCAGATCTGCCATGGAGCACAGCTAGTCTAAGAGCTAGAGGCCTGGTGCTTTCAAAAGACTTCATGTGAGATTTTTGTGTACTTTACTCAGGAAAGTGTGAATCTCTAAAAAATAATAATAATAAGCACATGTTTTCATGATTCATTAATTCTCCTTTTTGTTCCATTAACCATTTCTTGGTTGTGCTCCCAAGCTTTCCTGGAGCCTCCACAAAGGAGAGTAGCCAGGAGTAATGAGAGGACGGTCAGGTGGGCACTTCCAAAAGCTGGAGAGACCCTTCTGAGGACCCTCCACCATCAGCGGGGCCTCAGGGGACCCTGTCCTAACACTGGTGTGGCTGCTGGGCCAGACGCTCACCTGCACAGAACTCCTCCCTGCTCCCACTCTGAAGGGCGTTTCAGAATTGACTCATTTCCACTGCAGTCTGCCAGAACCCCTGTAATAAGGAGCTGTGTTATATTACATCTGGGGCTGTGTGCATCTTTACAAATGGAGACACACTATTCAAAGGGAAGATCTCTAAAGTAGGGAGCGTGGTACTTATTCTTTGTTTGAAACATTCCGATTTGTTGTCAGGCCTTATTTGTTTTTTGTAAGTGATTGTATCGGAGGCTTAAGTTGTGTGGAATCAGTCCCACAGTGTTGAAAGACAAGTACCTCTTTTCTGACACTTCTTACTACTTTTACAGGTAGTAACAGCTACAAATACTCTCCCAGAAGTGGAGGGACACCATTTGTGGGTGGGGAGAAAGAGGGAGAGGTTCTATGTCCACTTGCTTCATTAAGAATGTTAAGGTTTAAGAAAGTTGATTCTGCTTGGAGAATTTCTCAAGCTTTACATTTTTTTTTCACTGAAGAAAATAAACAAACTCTAAGAGGTGTGCATATATAACATTTCTTTAGATCTTTACCTAAAAGGAATTTTAATATATTATTGGTTGATGTAAATTTTGTTTCTGTGGAGTTTTGTTTGTTTTGCTTTTTGTAGACTGCCATGTGCAAGTAAAATTCCTGCTTCTGCCATGTTAAAATTTTAATATATTTTAAATGATAATAAACAGAGAAAACAAAATTTATACCTCACTACCTTAATGCATATGTTGATATGACCTGTGCCCATGCCACAGCATGGAGTCTGTTTTTTGTCAGCCATGGAAGAACAGAGGTAACGGCCCACATTAGCTAGCAAGGAAGTCAGCCATTTTGGAGTGCTGTCTTTCTTGGGATATATTTCCCAAGGGAAGCAGGTTTAGGTGTTAATAATTTGAGAGATTAAATGGGAGTTTTTAAAATTAATAAAAACCTCAAAATTGCTTATTGTATAGGTTCCATGGAAGACCTGAGATTTGTGGTTTGTATATCTAACACATGTCATTTCAGCAGTAGGGCCTTGAACAGGTTGCATAATACCAAATCAAATGGAGTTGAACTATTGTGCTCCTAGGAGACAGTGTGATCAGACAGAAAGGGATCGATCCAGGTATCTAGCTGCCTGCCAGACACCCCCACGTTGTCACTCAAGCACCTCAACCTTGAGGTATTCAACAGGGAGCTTTGATCCCTCCATTCTAATACTCCTTACCAAGTGAACGACGCCATCATCAGAGCAGCTGCTCAGCCAGCCTGGAAACTCAAATCACCTGCCTTTTTGTCCCTTTCTGTGGTAGAATTCTTCTTCTACCAACACAAAATCACTGGAGTTAGGAGGAGATGTGCAGACAGCACTGGAGAGCTGGCCCAGGCAGGCCCTGGCACACTGCAGACATCACAACCCAGCCAGTGCCCACCTTTTAGACATCTTCTGTTCCTGTCCACATCCAGGCTGGATTTGCACTGAGCTTCTTTATTTCTCCAAACTCACCCTGCTCCCAGGCCCCACTTTGTATTTGTGGGTCCTCTGCCTGAGGCCATCTCACCCTTCCTCTTCCCACTTCTCACTAGTCTTTCTGGACTCCATCACTATTCGGTTCCTGACTCACTTAAGAGCCCCACAGCAGCCTGCTCCTCCCCGTTGCATTGCTGTTCACTATTGTTATTACTTGTCTCTCATCCTTAGCCTAGAAGATCTGAGGGGACAAAGACTGGGTCTGGCATGCACATCATTTATTCTAAGCACCTAGCATAGGATCTGGCACTTACTTGGCACACAGTAAGTGATTTCTTGTATCAATGAACAAAGCGAGCCAACCCAAATCAATGCAAATCTCAGCTCTGCAACTTCCTAAATAGGTGTAACCTCTCTATAAATGAGAAAATAATACCTTCTCCAGGGTTTTGTAAAATTTTATTTTGCGGATGTCTGCATGGATGTGAGTGTAAACAGCACATATAAGGTGCTGACACCTGACAGCAGCCATTAAATAGGCATCAGGAAAACAACAGGAACAAAAATCCATTCCTTTAAGTCAACGGAAGACCAGACTTCCAGGAATCTCCTGGAACAAACCCCTTACGTTTGCATCAAGCCTGACACAGCCTTCAAGGACCCCTCAGGGCCCACTCTTCTAGGTGTCACTCATGTTTGGAGGAGCCCCTGGGGTGCTGTCAAGGGGCCCCAACTGCCTTGGACCACCTACATCCAGCTTCCTCCACCCAGCTCCCTTCCCCTTCTCCTGATGCTCTGCAGGAAGGTTTGCAACATAAGAGTTGAGATTGTTCACTCTGCCAGGAGGACCCCCACCACTCAGGGGCCAAGCAGCACCCAGAAATGGCACAGGTGGCTTGAAGACCTTGCTGCTCGTGGGCACAGCCTCAGCCTCTAACTCTGCTCCTCTTTTCCTGATCCCCTGGAATGTGAATTGAGTCAGGGACAAAGGAAAAAATTATCAACAGGGCTTCAAGAAACACGAACTTCCAGGTTATTAGAAAGAGTTCCCCCCAAGGACCATTTGTACATCACAATCATAAGTACACACCATGATGCTGGAAATTAGATCATTAGCATGAATCCTAAGGGAGCTTAGGACTTCTGAGACTAGAGTCTTTGAAAGCCTGTAATTTTAGATAACTCTTGCAAAAAAAAAAATAAATTTCTCTCACTTCCAGCAGCCCTAGGATATTAAAAAAAAACTATCATTCACAATCTTTGAACACCGCTTCTCCCCTGTGATTAGAATTCCTGACCTTGTAGAACCCACGTACCAAAGCATTTCTAAGACTGACAGCAAAAGAGATTGACTCGTTGTTAACACAGGATTCCAAGTCATGACAGCTTTCTTTTGCTCAGCACTGACTTTCAAATACACCTGGGATTTCTTGGACAAGTCATCTTTGTCCAAAGAATCTCCAACTTTTGAGTAAGAGTTGGAGGCGGTGAAGGATCATGGAAAGTGCTGGGGCTTTGGAGTGAGGCCCAGGGTTGAACCCTGAGTCCTACACCTTGTCTTGTTGTAGAAGTCAGTCTTAACCACCCAGCACATGACTGACTTGCCATATTTACTTATTTCTTTTGGAATGTTGAATTTTGCTTCATTTTAAGGAATATTCAGTTTGTCTCTGCAATTCCTAAGGCTGAAGAATGTGTTCTAGACTATGAAGTGTTCCTATGAATATATTCTTAATATTTGAGAATATATTCTTTGTGAATATTTTCTCTTGTAAATATTCCTCTTAAAAACACTCTTATCAATATATTCATGAAGAATATAATTGTTAATTGATTCTTAAATATTCAGAATTCTTATATATTCTTCCTATGAGTAAATATATTAATGAATAATATATTCATAAGAAATCTTTCTTCAAAAATACATTCTTGCTAAACTCTCTCAGTCTCTGTTTCTCTCTACCCTTCAGTTTCCAGCTGCAACAGGAGCTGGGACAGCTCAATGTCTCTACAGTGATGCTGTGAAGACAAAACAAAAACCGATTAACTGAAACTCAAGAGTTGCCAAGTAAATTTGCTGACTGAGTTAACAAGTAAATCCGCTGACTGAGCCATTTGGTGAATTGGCGATCAACAATTTGATTTCTCAGTGAAATTGCCTGCTTCCAGTCTTCGCACCATATATTCCTTTCAGGCAGACAATGGACTTTGAATCTAGTGATCAATAAAACACACCCCTGATGCCACTGACAGGCTGGGATGTACAGGTGTGTCCAGAGAGTGGTTAAGAGGCTGTGAAGGCTCAGCTCTTGAATGATGAGAGCAGAGGACCAAGCCAGCATGCTAACAGCAGGTGTCTCCCTCCCTTGGGCCCACAGTGTGCTGAGGGACAAAGCTGCAGATACCCCAATCACTGTGTGTGATGCTGGCACACAGGAATGACAGGAAAATCGAGGCAGGTCAGAGAGAAGGGTGGCAGGGTAATAAAGTTTAAGAACAACCTTTAAAAGGAAATGAAAAGCAAAAGGTGGCAGAAATGGGACTTTGAGTTTAAAATACTGAGTTTATTTTTCTCCATATAGTTTTATTTCATGGGATCAGACTAGTTGCTTTGTGCTTTGTTTTGCCTACAAGGCAATACCCATCAATTCCTCGTTTACTTCAGTTTGAAATTAGATTACGTTCCCTTTGATTTAGGAATCTAGGCATCAAGGCAAATTGATGCATGAAGAACACAAAGTGCTGAGAAATCCCAGGTTAAACTTAGATATTCCTACAATACATTGAACTGCAACCATCGAACTGCAACTAATGGCTGTTGTGTTAAATATGCATGGAGATTATTTGGATATGCAGGAGCCTGTATTTTACTGTGAAATGCTGGGGCCTGAAAGGTCTTTCAGTAGGAAAAAAAAACCCATCAAGAATTATTAGCTAATATTAACTCAATTTCATTTAAAAAATAAATAAGGTGTTTTTACAGGATCTCTACCTGAAAACGCACAGGTGTCTCCACCAGCTAGTTATGTGCATGGGTCAGATTTGTGTGGCATCTGGCTTCCGTGGAGGCAGTTGTTTATAAATTGCTTCATGATTTGAGGTTAGGATCTTCTCTGATAATTTGCCTCAGAAGGGAGTGAAGGTTTTGTTTTGTTTTGTTTCCAAGAAGAAGCAATTTGAATTTAATTTGGTCTGGCTTCTCCAATAAGAGTCAACAAGCCAATCAAAAATTCTTTTATTAAAGAAAAACTCACTCAGACAGGTTACTTGGTGTTGGTAATTGAATTCTTCTTTCATTCATTTTTTTTTCAACCAATTTGCAAACTTATCCTCCAGAGCAGCCAGCTTTTCTTTACAAAAAATTTTTTTAAATGTCTTTCACAAGCCCCTGTTAACTATCAATTTAAAACCAGATGTTGTCCTTCCAGGACCTTCAAAGAGATTTAGCCCTGTGTCTTTTAGGCTGGGAAAATTAAATATAAGAATAGAAGAAAAAATATCATCTATATACATCTATATTGATTCTGAAGTTTCCTTCAAACACATCAGCAAATTCATCTGAACAGATGTCCCCATCTGTCCATTGTGGAAATGGTTAAATTCATTCATTCAGCAAATATTTATTGCGAGTCCACTGTGTGCCAGGGTCTGTTGGCATTTGGGATATATCTGTCAACAAATCACATAAAAATCCCTCCTTTCATGAAGCTTAAATTCAAGTGGGTGCAAATGGAGAATATTTAATAAGCATAAAAATATGAGGGTGAATAGAGGAAGAATAAATATGGCCTTATGTGATGAGGATATGAACTTGCCGGTCCACAGATCTCACAGAAAATATGGTTAGGCGGTGCTGTTCAGCGCAATCCCTTGGCGTCTAGGTTTGCATTCACAAGGCACATAACTGCACATCCCCGGATGTTGCTGTGGTTCTCTCTAGGTCTTGTGCATGCCCTGCAGTTTGTGAACTGTGGAGATGTTCTCCTATCTCCCCAGAGGGCCTAGAACAATCCTTCACACAGAGGTGCCTCTCAGCACATATTGCTAACCAACTGGCTCATGGGTGTGGATATTATTATTTTATTTTTATTTTTATTTTATTTTATTTTTTTGAGACGGAGTCTCGCTCTGTCGCCCAGGCTGGAGTGCAGTGGCTCAGTCTCGGCTCACTGCAAGCTCCGCCTCCCGGGTTCACGCCATTCTCCTGCATCAGCCTCCCGAGTAGCTGGGACTACAGGCGCCCGCCACCACGCCCGGCTAATTTTTTGTACTTTTAGTAGAGATGGGGTTTCACTGTGTTAGCCAGGATGGTCTCGATCTCCTGACCTCGTGATCCGCCCGCCTCGGCATCCCAAAGTGCTGGGATTACAGGCGTGAGCCACCGCGCCCGGCTCGGGTGTGAATATTATTTTAAATACCAGTTTGAATGTTAGGAATTAAGCAACCTGTTAACCTGGAAATTTCTAGATCTTTTTCCCCCTGGATTATAAGTAGTAATTAACAAGAAGTAATCAGACAGACTTCTAATGTGATTAACTAAAATTGTCATCAGGCAGGTAATTTTAAATACTGCCATGCTTCAAACACAGACTCATTAATTTTAGCTCAGTGGTGTTCTAATATTTATTAAGCATACATAAGAATTTTAAGTATGCATATGTTTTCACATAGCTGTGCTTGGTAATCCTGCCACCCCCAGAAATTATCCAACACTTGATTCTCACAGCCCTCCAATAGGGTAGCTACAGATTAATGATATGATTTGAAAGTGGATATGATACTGAACTAAAAAGGATAACATCTTGACAATGTCTGGTTCAAGAAGGTGAGAAGACTGACCCTTTATGTGAGTCAACAGTAAGTACCTAGAACAGGTCCTGCCTTAGAATTCTTTTCAATGTCCCCCACAGGACAGACTTTTCAGATTAGTCATGTTGGTGCATGTTAATTTGAAAATTGCTTTCCCTTACAGGACACACAATGTTAGTCAAAGCAAGTTATTTGTTTTAAATTTATTTTGCTCTAGGCAAGTCCTCTTAAGTGGAAAAGTCTGTAAGTCATAACCCTTTGTTAAGATCTGAGCTAGGAGCAGACTTCTAGTCATAATCTTTTGAGAAAAAGACCAATTTTGCAAGTCTGGGTAGTCGTTTGAAATTTGAGAAGTCATTTGGAATTTGTGACAACTCTTAGTAGAGTTGGGTTGACAGAAACTTATTTCACAATTCAATCTATGTTATGTGCAGACAATTGGAATGTCTGCCTTCAGGAGGAAACAAGAGATAACAAAAGAAATAAGACTCTGAAAAATTTTAAGCTCCAAGTTATATACTTCACTTTTTACTGGTTTTAAGCTGGTTTTTCTTCCATTTCTCCATAGACAATAAATCATTACACACATCCTCCTCAGAAGAAACTTCATAGCATTCTCAACCCTGATGAAGACCTGAACATAAAGTAATAGATGAACATGACTGGAATCGTTGACTCCTGTGGTTATACTCATTTTCATTATGCCATTTCCAAAAAGTCCCCAGGAAAAGCAATTATATGAGCTCCTCCAGGGACTCATTCAATGTAGCCCCTTGAAGAGAAAGATTATGTCTTATAAAATTTTCCACCCTTGTAAGTGCTAGCACAGTGAATTGCACTAGCTGGGTAAATAGAATTTTATAATTAACAACTGTGTGGTACAGACGAGGCACTCAATAAATAGTTATTGAATAAACAAAAAAGAAATAAAGATGCACTTTTTCCTATCCAGTTTCTATTCTTCAAACTTCTGCTTAACATGTAAAACAGCTGGTCTCTCCTATTCCTATAAAATCATCTTTTATATTTTTTGAAGACCCTAATGAAATCATCACTTAGTCTTCTCTTTTCTAGACTAAATCCTCTTTTTATCATTTAGTATGGGTTTGTTTGTTTGTTTTGTTTTGTTTTTAATTCTAAAATTTTCAAGTTTTGCCTCTACTATTATTTTTACTTTTTTTCTAATCCTCATCTCATTTATCTTCACAGCTGTTTGCTCCATTAGAAAGCCCTCTCCCTATCTCCTGGTCCTTTGGAGGCCAGTTGTTATCACTCTGACCGGTGTCTTGTTTTCTGCCAACAATGCCATAGATATTTTCACTCTTTCAGTCCAACTCTTGCAAAAGTGTAATCAGTGGGACAGGAGATGGAAACAGCCCAGAAAGCCACTGAGACATGCAGCGATGAACATACTAAGCCTGCTAATGCTCAAAGACAAATCCCAGAGACTGTTATGTTGCTAATGGTTTGTGGAATGTTGCACCAAACAAGCCCCTTAATGAAGAGGCTTTAGGCAAATTAGAATAAATTAGAATGCAGCTTTTAGGCATTAAGGATGTTACCTGAGACCTTCTGCATTGCCTGTGTTTGGTGTCCTACGTGTCTAGCTATTTGAAGACTTTTCCACTGGACTCATTTCATATTTTTTTCTGCCCAATCTGAACGTCTTTCTCACTTATCATTAGTATTGCATGATCTAAGCACCTCTGATACTTTTTCAATATTTCCTGCAGCACCTTGCCCAAGGCTGAGAACATAGTAACTCAATAAGTAATAGCTGAGTTACATAAAGTTGGTTATGTAGAGAATTAAAATGATTTTTTAAGACCTGACTTTCAATCTTGGAACTGTTAATAAAATAACTTGCTTTAAATAAAGCTAACCCGTGTCAGCCAAATTATTTATGGTTCTATCTTTTTTGAGTGACTTATGTCATGGCAAGGCACCCAGGCCAATGTGACCTGTGATAACATGGATGTCACCAGAATCTGCATGGCCTAATCCAAACCAAGCAGACACCTCACTTGGATGAGAGCATTAGCAAAGGAGAAAGTCCTGCCTTGGTTGTCACTGAGCTTAGGATGTGCATGTAAGTATTCTTGGTTGATTCTACTCCAAGTAATTATTTAATTAGGAGCTTGGGGATAGGTGAGAAGAAAAACTAGTTTATAAAAATAATCTAGGGAAAACTAGGCAAAGCACTATTTATTAAGTAATTTAATCATTCATTCATTCATCCATCACATATTGAGCATTTACATACATCAGTCACTATGCTTATCAGATAAGCACAAGTAATTACATGTAATTTTCTACCTTTGACTATGTAATGAATAAATAATTGAATCATCAAATACGTGAACAAAAGTCAGAATTACAATATAACTTTTAAACAGTAAAAAGCCTTTAATAGTTCACACAAATTCTGATAAAATGTCTCAGAAAGTCTGAAAGATCTGAACCACTTAAGGTAGGGGTTTTCCAATGTTTTGGATGACATCCCCCAGAAAGAGACATGTCTTAAACACAACAGGCATGCACAAGTTTCTGCTCAATTGAGTTGGTTTCAGTTGTTGTTGTTTGTTTGTTTTTAACTCTGGTCCCAAGCCATTAAGTTGATTTCCTAACCGAAGGGTTGTGACCAAAAGTTGGAAAATGCTGCCATGGGTTACTTGACAGTGGTGGCTCTCGGCCCTGGCTCCACATCAGAATCAGTGAGAACTTTTGTAAAAAATGCCATTGCCTGGGCCCTAACACAGCCAAATTGAATTAGAATCTGGAGGCAAGTGCTGAGACCTGGTGTCTTTCCAAAGCTCCCTATATGATTCTAATGAGCAGAGAGGGTTACAAATCAGTACTCAATATAATGGAAATGTTCTTTTAAAATAACTATTTTTAATCATATAAGTAATATTTGCACCTGTGGAAAAATTCAAATAGCATAGATGAGTATAACATGAAAATACATCTTTGGCTCAAGTCTTTACCCCTCACTTCCACTGCTAAGAGGTGAATATTATAAACAGCTTCTTGTGTATCCTCCCCAATATTACTGGGTTATTAATGGATTATTGCATACGGGAGTCTATGGAGTTTCCTCAAACTTATGTTTCCAAGTAACTTTAATACTTTATCAAGATATAAAAGTGCCTGTTGGCATTTTGATGAGGATTAAATTGGATCTATGGATTTAATTTAGGGTAAACTTATGCATTTACAGTATTGAATCTTCCTACCCAAGAATATGATAGGTCTTTGACAGGTCTTTCTACTTATTTATTTTTATTTTTTTTTTGTCCTTCAAGAAGTGTTACACGTTGTTGTTTTATTTAATAGCCCCCCATTTATTTTTAGAGATAGGGTCTCACTCTGTCACCCAGGCTGGAGTGCAGTGGCACAATCAGATCTCTACAGCCTCAAACTCCTGGGCTCAAACAATCCTCCTGCCTCAGACTCCACAATAGCTGAGATGACAGGCATGCACACCATGCCGAGCTAATTTTATTTTTTTGTAGAGTTGGGGTCTCACGGTCTCAAACTCTTGGGTTCAAGGGATCCTCCAGCCCTCCAAAGTCTTGAGATTATGGGCATGAGCCAACATACCTAGCCTATATTTTTAATTAAATTTATGTCTAGGCACATTATCTTTTTTATGCTATTATAAATGAGATAATTTGCTCCATTATATTTTATAGCTGAATACTATTTGTTTACTGAAATGCCACTGAATGTGGATATTCATTGTGAAACCAATCCACCTAACTGAACTATCTTCTGCTGGTAACAGAATTCCTCCAATTGATTCTTTTGCAGTTTCTAGGTAAATAACTACATTGTTTGAAAACAGTAATAATTTTGCCTCCGTGGTTGAAGTATTTATGTCTCATTTTTTCCCTTATGTAATTGCATTGATTAGTACTTTCAGAACAATGGGTTTTAATTTGAGAGGCTTGCAGAAAATAGCATCTATTATAAAAATGACTTACAGCTAAGAATTATGTACATAATATATATAGGCATGTTAAGACTGAGAAAAAATACAAAGAACTTGGTAAAATCACTGTTGATAATTTCTTCAACTGCCTTTTTTCTCTAAAAAGTCTGTCGATTTTAAAGAAAATATCATTCCCCCATGTTTGTGAATATCACAGTAAGATTTTATCATGAATATTCACCACTGTTTTGCCCACATTTTTTAACTCTCCTTGTCAGGTTTGACTTCAGTCTTTGTAGCTTTATAAAAATGTCTTAGAAGCTGTTTTTTTATGCTTTGGAATCATTTAAATAGAGTTGAAAATATTGCTTGAATTTAATTCATACGCTTTACCTGAAACTTCTGATCTTGATGTTTTTAAAGCTTTTGACAAGTTCCTATTGTTTCTCCACAATAATTTATCTGTTTTAATAGATCGGCCAGTTAAAATGCAGGATTTCCAATTAAATTTGAATTTCAGAATAACAACCAATGACTTTTTTTTTTTTTTAGTAAAAGTATGTCCTAACTGTTGCGTAAGACATACTAAAAAATTATTTATCTAAAATTCAAATTTCTGTATACTAATTCTGGCAACTCTAGTAGTAGACTCTCTTGTAGAGTAAACCTTGGTCATAAATATTTTACTGGAAAAATTTAATTGGTATTTAGGTTTTCAAAAGTTTCAACATAGCATTGAGCAGAGTGGTCTCTTGAAATATTTTCTCATTCCTAATTTTGTGACTGCTCCCATTTTCTTTATTGGGTCAGTTAAGGGTTTGTTATTTTATTGGTTAAATGAAAAGCAACTCTTGGAATCATTATCTGTTCTTTCTACTTTTCTAATTAACAAAATAAAAATACCTAGGTTTATGTCTATTTTTTCCTTCCTTGTACATTCTTTAGGTTAATTTTGCCATTCCTAGGGGAGATTCCAGATAGAGACAAAATTCTGGAGTTCCCAGAGAGTGGTTTATACTGTGCTGAGTAAGTAGGGGGTGAGAAGAGAAGACGACTCAACTGTGTAACATTCCTTAAAAAATTCTAACATTTACAGACGTGGTAAGAGAAGAATGAACTCAAAAGGAAGCCTGAAGGAGTAGCCAGCAAGGCAGATAGATCCAGGAGAATATTAAATCCCTCCAGCACTTTAAGTCTGGGCTCATTCATTCATAAAATGGGAATAATATTATCTGCATGCAAAATATTAAATGCGTGCAAAATTCCCAACGTATAGCAGATGTTCGAGCATCGTCATTAACTGCCAGTCCCTCTGCTGCTGGGATAAGGTCCTCTGCTGCCCATGCCCAGGTCTAAGTCCTGTCGGTTTTCTCCACTCATCTTGCTTATCGTCTCAGGGGCTCTCTGCCTGCCCTCTGCATTAACTTCCTGCTCCATCATTGTTCTCAGAGCCTGCCACTCATAACTTGGAGACTTCATTGCTGCCGCTGCTACTGCTGCAGTTTCTGCCCTGCTCTTGGCTGCCTGCCCATTTCTCCTCAGAGCTTGGTTTCCTGCAGGCTCATTTTCATCTGCTGTCCTCTCATCTCTCCTTGAGGCTTCCCTTTTTCTTTGGTCTTTTGACTCAGGACAGCTACTGAGCCTCTAGTACCTACAAAGAACCCCTACCAGGAGCGTGGCCACATTGGCGACTCCTTCCTGCATTACACTGATCAAGAACCGCAGCCCTGGGACCAGTCCAGTGTTCACCCAACACCAGCTCCCATCTACTCTGTCTCTTCAGGCTTTAGGGTGACTCGTGGATCTGACATCTAAGCAAACCCCATGATCATCACCTCAAAAGCCTAGAAGAAATTATTGTCTTTCCCTTTGACTTTAGACTTGAAGGAAGAGCTTCCAGGTAGAAATATTACTTACTTTAGGAGACAACATATTTTTTGAAATGTGATCTTGATCTCATTCCTCTTTTAAAAAAAGTAGACTGAGCTAGGCATGGTGGTTCATGCCTGTAATCCCAACACTTTGGGAGGTTGAGGCAGGAGGATCATGTGAGGCCAGGAGTTCAAGATCACCCTGGGCAACATAGCAAGACTCCATCTCTAAAAAAAAATTGAAAAGAAATAAAGTAGACTGCTACTCCCACAGCTGAAAGATGAAACAGAAAATGGTCATCCCAAATATTCATAAAACATCATTGCCACTGACACATAAACTGCTCCTGTGGAAGGGGAACATCACTCTTCAGAACTTTTAGGCTCTTCCTTTTCCATCTTATCTGTGTGATGCATTCAGTCAACATCTGTGGATGCTACTTACAGTTTGTTTTGCTATTGCTCTCATGCACCTGCCAATACTGTAGCCACAGACCACACGTGGCCATTTAAATTTAAATTAACAGTGAAGTTAACTCAGTTCCACAGTCACAGCAGCCCCACTTCCAGCGCTCAATAGCCACGTGTGGCTCGTGGCTGCCAGATGTGCAGCACAGATTAGAGAAGGCTTCCATCACCACAGAAAGTTCTGTTGGGCAGCGCTGCCCTCAGCTATTACTGTGGATGCAGAGCCAAAGAGCTTTACGCTGTCACCCTTGGAGAGCAAAATCAGGCAGATTAACCCCCTGAGTCTTGCCATCCTTATTTCCAGAAATGACAGCAGTTTGCTGCTACTGGAGATTGAAAGAGCCCAGAAGTGTCAACCCAGAAAACAGATCTTTTATTCAAAATTTTTCCATGTGGAAAGGAAAATGTCATACGATGTCATCCGAACTTTGGTTTCAGAGTTCCTTTTATATTTTAAAGAGAAAACAAAAGAGACAATGATTCTTGTTTTCCTTTCTATTTTTTTTCCTTCTTAGTCTTTAAGCAGTGAAGCAGACTTGAGAACAATGCTCTTTTCTCTGCATCCAGCCTACTTCCCAGCTTCTGGGATCAGAGGAGAAGAACAGGTGAAAAAAACACAAAGTCACCTTGTCCCTTATGAAATACTTATGTAACATTGCATGGATCCAATGTACATAGCACGGCAGTGTTCAAATGCAGCCTGCTCTGTGAATGCCAAGATGGAAGGAGGAAGCAAGCATCTTCCCCCTTCTCCCCTCTCCTCTCAGTTCTTTTCTCATGCAAATGGAAGCTGGCAAAGCCTCCTGCTCCTTCTCCTCTGAGCACTGAAGTCTTTTGCTCAGCCCAAACATCATCACTGCACTGCAGTGAGGGGCCACATGGAACGGAGCAACCATCTGCCTTGTGCCTGGGGAGGGTTCCCTCTGTGGAGGCAGCATTTTATGGTAGCAGGGAGAGTTCTGCGGAAAGGTTTGGCTCTGTAGACAGGAGGGCTGGAAATCAGAGATGTGACTTCCTGGAGTTTTACAAGATCATCTGCCTTCTCTTGGAAATTCTCAGGTTGGAATGTGAGGCTTGGCAGCTGCTGCCACTGCTGCTTACAGTGATAATAACATCAATAATACGAATATTCACCACCTTTTCACCCGCCAACTTACTTCATTCTCATAGCAACTCTACGAGGTAGGTCCTTTTACCACCCTCACTTTACAGATGCGGAACTTGGCACAGGCAGCTCATATCACCTGCTCAAGATCACACAGGCAGGGAGCAGGATTTGAACCCAGGTATTCTGGATGTACAGGCCACACAAACCACTATGCTGGTAGCATGGCAGCAAATGGTGCTGAACAAAACCCTGAGAAAAATAGCCAAATTTGCCACCATTCCTCATTCTGCATTTCAAATTGTTTTCTAATGATCTGGCCCAGCTAGTTGCTAACAAATCCCATAGGGCCAGTCAGCTTGGTACAGGGTAGACTTTGCAAAGACACATCACACGGTGCACTCCCAACCTCCCTGTCCTAGTCTGTTTGTGCTGCTGTAACAAAATGCCACAGATTCAGTAATTTATAAAGAATAGAAATTTATTTCTTATGGTTCTGGAGGCTCTGAAGTCCAAGATCAAGGTACCAGCAGATTCAGTGCCTGTTGAGGGCCTGGGCCTTTTTGCTATATCCTCATGTGCTGAAGAGGCAAAAAGGGATGCATGTTGTGTTTTCACAGCAGAAGAGATGGGAAGGCCAGGCCAGGCTATTGTCTGAAACTATTGTGTGTGTGTGTGTGTGTGTGTGTGTGTGTGACAAGGTCTCACGCTGTTGCCTAGGCCGAAGTGCGGTGGTGCAATCATAGCTCACTGCAGCCTCAACCTCCTGGGCTCAAGTGATCCTCCTGCCTCAGCTTCCAAAGTAGCTGAGACTACAGGTGCACCGCACCATGCCCAGCTAATGTTTTACTTTTAATAGAGATAGGGTCTCATTATGTTGCCCAGGCTAGTTTTGAAATCCTAGGCTCAATGATCCTCTCATCTCAGCCTGTCAAAGTACTGGGATTACATGCATAAGCCACTGCACCTGGCCTGAAGCTTCTTTTATAAAGAGGCCTCGTGACTTACTCACTTCCCGAAAGTCTCTACCTCTTAATACCACCACAATGGGCATTAAGTGTCAACATGAATTTTGGAGGGACACAAATAGTCAAACCATCACCCTTGCCCAGCAAAATCACCCTGAACCATGCATTTATGGTGTACAGAGAGAGTCAAGAAAGAGTGGGGATGGTGCAGTCCAAACCCTTGTGCTCGTTGGGGAACAAAAAGTGCACAGTTGATGAATAGTCCAATGTTTGGTTACAGGAAAGACATCCAGGTTTATTCCTTTATTGCACAACATTGATTGAGGGCTCAGGATGTGTTAGTTGTGGTGTTATGCTCTGTGAGGTAGCATGTCCATTGTCAAGTGATCAGGCCCTGGGTCAGCCTTCTTTCAGCCTCCTGGATGCCTACACATCCGGGGTCACATCCAACTGGGCACTCCTCTCGTGGTTCTTCCTTAACACAACCTCTTCAAGCTCCTCCCCTAGATGACACCATGTTGAGCTCAGCTGCAGCAGCAGTGAATTATACAGGGTGGGTGCTCACTGAACAATTTCTAAATGACTGAGTGAAGAAGTGAAGACAGCTGTGTCCTGGATGCCTCCACTGAGACCAAAGGTATCTTGGGGCTTTTGAGAACAACTTCAGTGGCCTCTATGCTCCTGCCTTTTCCCTCTCACAGGAAACTCACATGGCTGAGCCTCTGGATCCTGGCTTTGAGAACTGCTTCTCAGAGCTTCTCATCTGCAGATTGCATCCCCTGCCAGCCAAGGGCCCCGAAGTCTGTCTTTAAGGAGCTGAACATCTGGTTAATCATGGGCCCAAGAAGCAGGTGCATGGCCCACAGCTGCAAGATCATGTGGCTGCTGAGGGCCTGAAGTCGCAAGTCTAGCTCCATCTATGTGCCCACCGCCTTCCCAGAACAGCACTCCTCCTTGCTTCTCTGGGCCTGCATCGGTTGGCAATGGGCAGTCTGAAAGCAAAAGCCCATGATGGTTTTCAGCCACAGGATCTCAGCAAGGCTTTCTTCCCACCATGGCATGGCTGGTTTTCTGAGCCCGCTAGGCTTTCTGCAAACAGTGCTTCAGTAAAACCTAGGATGCAAGCAGAGGCCGTGCTGTCCCCCCAGGGAGTCTCCTCTTCCCCAAGGGGCTCAAACTGTTGCTGCTCACTTTTCTATTAAGACTCTATAATCCAATGAGAGATTTTATAACATAAAGTTAGGAAATAATTCTATATGTTACAAGCAGTAATAAAATTAATACTGTGAAAATGTGTTTGCCTTAAATATAACTGCAAAGAGGTTATGATATAGAAATATGTCTTCAAAATTAATAACATCATGGTTAATCTAACAGACTATCAGGCAATGGACATAAATAACGTAAGCAAAATTACACATAGCCATAAGAGGAAATATTTACTATTACTAGTAATCAAATAAATGTCAAAGGTTCAAATAATAAAACACCATATATATGTATAAATATATATAAATATATATGTATTATATATATATATATATATTTTTTTTTTTTTGAGACAGAGTCTTGCTCTGTTACCAAGGCTAGAGTGCAGTGGCGCGACCTCGGCTCACTGCAACCTCTGTCTCCCAGGTTCAAGTGATTCTTCTGTCTCAGTTTCCTGAGTAGCTGGGACTACAGGCATGCACCACCATGCCGGGCTAATTTTTGTATTTTAGTAAATACAAAATACAAAATACATGGTTTCACCATGTTAGCCAGGCTGGTCTCGAACTCCTGACCTCAGGCAATCAGCCCGCCTCGGCCTCCCAAAGTGCTGGGATTCCAGGAGTGAGCCACCGTGCTTGGCTAAAACACCGTATTTTGATGCTGAAACATTTGTCAAATGATGCAAAGGCTATGAGGCCAGTGGACAGGGAGGCAGACACACTCACACTCCATCCTCTGGCCCTTAGAAGGACACACTTCTTGAAAGACTTGTTGAACTCTTTGTCTTTCTTTCCTGACCCCAATAACACAAGTCAACACCTAGCATGATGGCGCCTTCCTCCACCTTTCCTAGCATCTGTGCTACCAAAAATGACCACTGAGCACCTTCTTAAATCCAATGGAGACTTTTCCACTATCATTTGAAGTGATTTGTCAACCACAGTGTCACTGATATCCAACTCTGTACTTTTATACCTTCACACCATGGACTTCTGTGGCCTCACTGCAGCCCTCCTCCTGGGCTGACTGCTCCTTTGTAAGCTTCCCGGCCTTTGTCCGTGTCTGCTGGCCTCCCTGGCTCTGTGTCAACTCATAGGGCCATCTCAGTGGCCTGTATGGTGGGATGTATCTGAGGCAGGTGCTGCAGGAGGGCTGTCCCTTTGGCGACCCTTCCAACAAAATAATCTGTAACTAATTGCTCAACCTGTATTCAAGACCAAAGCTTGCAAAGCTTCCCAGAAAAGCCAATGCCCCTAGAGCTGATCAGACACCCTCCCCAGAGGAAGACTTTTGATTCTCTGTCCTTGATGGTCTCACCGCCTCACCCCAAATGACAGACCAGAACATTTCTCCCTGAGGGAAGGTCTTGAGAACATAATTGTCTCTTATTGGTGCTTTTTAGCCCCCTTTCTAGGTTAGGTGCCGGGTCACAGTTGCTGGCCTGCTCCTCGCTCCATCTCAGTTCAGATCAATGACTCCCAACATATTGTCTTCATCCTGTAGTTCCCCCTGCCCCCTAGCTCCAGACCTGTAGCTATAAGAGCTCACTGCCTCCCCTTGAATTTCCCCTTCAAATGTGGTAGATTCAAAGTGAAACAAACTCAACTCACCAAGCACCTGCTCTCTGCACACCTCCAGCCATCTCCTGTGCCTGTGTGCCCTCTCTGCCTGCCTGGGGCCACCACCCACCCAGTCATACACATAGGACAAGCTCAAGAGCCCTCCAACTCACTTAGTCACTTCCCCCAAATCAGATGTGACTGAATCCTATCGATTTTGCTTCCTAAATAGCCTGGGAACAGCCCCTCTCCACTCTGGCTGCCATTTTCCTATGGAAATGACAGTGTTTCTCACCTAGATTACTTTCACCACCTCCCACATAGCCTCCCTGCCTCCAGCCTTCTCCCTTCTTGGATATGCACCAAAGTGACCTTTATCTAATACCCAGGGTTAATCACTTCCCACTCCTACTGAGAACATTTCAATGGCTCCTTATTGCCCCCCAGTTTCTCAAATGCCTTAGATCAGTGGTCACCAACCATTTTGGCACAAGGGACCAGTTTCATGGAAGACAATTTTGCTACAGACCAGGGGTTGCGGGGAGATAGTTTCGGGATGAAACTATTCCACCTCAGATCATCAGGCATTACATTCTCATAAGGAGCATGCGCCCTAGATCCCCTGTGTGCACAGTTCACAATAGTGTTTGCGCATCTGTGAGAGTCTAATGCCACTGCTGATCTGACAGGAGGCAGAGGTCAGGCGGCAATGCTCGCTCATCTGCTGCTCACCTCCTGCTGTGGGCCCTGTTCCTAATAGGCCACAAACTGGTACTGATCTGTGTCTCGGGGGTTGGGGACCCCTGCCTTAGATGATACTAATAATATGGCCTAGTTTGTCTCTGCAAACTCCTCTCTCTAACACCTTACTATTCAGTATTATTGTGCTCCTTTCAGTAACTTGAATTCCCCTATACTTTCTCTCAAAAATCCTTGTACATCCCCTTTGGACAGACTGCCCGGGCACCCTGTCTCCTCCTGCTCCCCTCGGCTCCTGCATACTCTCCTCAGGCCTCAGCCTGGATGTCCTTTCTTCAGCAGCATCAGAGCCCCCCGTTTCAGGGGCAGGCATTCTAGTTCTTCTGCTAGTGCTGTCTGACAACACCAGGGGCTTCACACATCTCGCACCCAAATGAAACACCCTATTGTAAGTGCTTCTAAACTTTCTCTGTTTCCTGCAGACCTATGAGCTACAGAGGTCAAGCAGTCCTGCCTCTTTCCTCTCTAGCTACAGGGCCCAGGACCCTGTATAGTCTGGGCATTACCATCAACCCACATTCACTAAGATAAAGAAAGGAATACACTATGAACTTCTAAAATGTACACGCCCTAAGAATCTGTCCAAGAAAGTCATTAGAAATATGGACCAAAGTTTTCTGTACAAATATGTTTAAAAGTCATTTATAATAGAAACATACTGGTAATAACATAAATGTAAAACAGAAAAAGAACATCCAAGTGAATGAGATGCATCTATGTAGAAAAATGCTGTAAGTAACCAGTATAATATTATCTGTCGCAAAATAGGGAAAATATTAGGATGCACAGTTGTATACGACAATTTAGTAATATTTTACATCTGTATAGGAAAAGACAGGAAAGGAACAAGCCAAAATATGAATAGGTTTTACTTGTAAGTAATGCGATCGTGGATCATTTTCTTTTTTTTTTTCTATGCACTTTTCTGTATTTCCCGAACTTTCTTAATTGAACTTTGATAAGCAATACTTTTCTAATTGCAATTACGCATGTGTGCATGCTCATGAGCACACACAGGCACGTGTCCTTGGACTTCACAGCATCTAAAGATCAGACTCAATGGGCAGGGCTTTGGGTCCCTCTTTGAGAGTGACTGTGCTGGGGACAAGCTGTGAGGTTCTAGAAGGATGTGCCCATCACATCACAATCCGGCTGCATGCTTCTTCTGCTTCCTTATTAAGTTCAGATGCCACTGTGAATACCAATCATCCTTCCCTCTGTACATCCACACTTAGGGACCCCTGTCCTTCAGCCCAGAACTCTTCTCCACCTTTTAAGTCAGCCTCATCCAACATGCATGCTGATGTTCCCCAAGTTCTTGAATTGCACCTGAACCAAATGCACCTTTTTGTCAGATTTTTATCTTTCCTTTGTTTAATAATGGAGACAACCACTAGCCTTGAACCTACTAAGCAGCTAGCTGTGCTGCTGACTCGGGGAAGGTGGATGCTTACAGCTGAAAGGTATGTTCTGCATCATCAGTATCAGTCCTTTATTTCATAAATGAGAGAACTAAGGGCACACATAGCAAGAAAGAATGAAGCTTAAAGCAGATGGTATGTCTGTGGGTTGTATCTGCTATATATATATGTGTGTGTATATATATGTATATACACACACACATATATATACATATATATATATACATACATATATATATATATATATATTTTTAGAGATGGAGTCTTGCTCTCTCACCCAGGCCGGAGTGCAGTATCATGATCTCAGCTCACTGCAACCTCTGCCTCCCGAGTTCAAGCAATTCTCCTGCCTCAGCCTCCCGAGTAGCTGGGATTACAGGTGTGCGCCACCACACCTGGCTAATTTTTGTACTTTTAGTAGAGACGGGGTTTCACCATGTTGGCCAGGCTGGTCTTGAACTCCTAACCTCGTGATCTGCCCACCTCAGCCTTCCAAAGTGCCAGGATTACAGGCGTGAGACACCTCACCCGGCCTATCTGCTATATATTATGTGATGGTCTAACATGGCCTCTAACCTATGTTTTCCTTTAAAAAAGTATCTAATTCTTTTAAGAACCAAACCTTTAACATGCTGATTAACTTCAAGGCATTTACCCAGGGTGGGTCTGAGAGAAAAATGGAGCATTTGGGCCACTCATTCTGAGTTTACATTCTACAGAGATACTCATAAAAATGATATAAATGGGAAGGCTGAAAAGCAAGATCAGCGAATTACTCAGGGGTCTCAACCATTCTCCTACCCTCTAGAGCTCTTCTGGATATTCCCAATGAGTTCTCTTGGCTATTCTGTTCTGTTAAGTTCTGTTCTAGAGCACTGGCCATTTGGCTCCTCTCTGGCTCCAGCCTCCATCATTGCTGACACTAAAACCATCAGTTATACTTCTAGTGCTTGCCAAAGTTGCGGACTGCCAACCACAGCTGGTACTGTCCAGGGCCTGCCCTGAGCACACTGACATCTGCCCGTGCTGAAGATGCAAAGCCTGTTGCAGCAGGAGCTGCTGGCACCAGCCCTGATCATTCCCTCCTTTTGCAATGCCTCAGCTCTTTTATTTCCATCTGTTGTTCTATGATAGGCTGCTCTCCCCACGTTTCTGATGTGAGTCCATGTGACCCAGGCTCAGGGACAATGCAGAGGTGGATATTTACACTCTTCAGATACCTCCACCCCTCTAAAATACCCTCTAAAATACCCTCTTCAGATACCTCCATCCCTCTGAAATACCTCTAGATGGATGGAGGTAAGATACCCGCCATGACCTCAATGAAATGTATCCTGCTCAAGGACCCTTTCTTTCTGTCTGCCTTCTTTTCCAAGGTTTTCCTTGGTTCCTCATACAAATAAGTCCTGAGCAGTCCTACCCTGCTCCAGGATTCCAGTCACCCAGACACAGCTAAATCCTGAAGCGATTCAATTGAGAATTCTCACCACATCTTGATACCTGTGATGGGTCAAAAACTCTGAACGTACGAGTATCCCTGGCATCCCTCCCTGTCCAGTCAGGTTCCCCTCTCTACCTGCACTCGGGAACAATCTGCTTCACTAGCTTTGTTCTTAGGCTTGCATGATGCAGACTCAGGAGAATTAAGAGGAAAAGAAAGAGGCACCCAGATCAGAATTGGGAAGAACTTACTGATGGTTGCAAAAACGAGAAACAGGAAGAGTGGCTGCCGGCCACCTGAGTTATTTTTTAATTTGTTTGTTTGTTCTCATGGTGTGCTTCTTTTTTCTGGGCAATCTCTCTTACGTTGGATTATGTGTGGTTCACGTGAATCTTGGCTTCAATAGAATGACTTATTATTTGTTGGAAATGTACTAGTGACTACTGGAAATGATTTACCCCTATTTTCCTCCATAATGTATATGTCAAAAAAGCATAATAATATGCCATGTCTACAATGTTACTTGGATTTGGGGGCAACATGTTAGATATCTGCATGAAATAAATAACGTTCTAAAGAAAACCACTACCACTTTTGTGTATTGAACATCCTAGAAATGCTACAGAATAGTCAGAGCATTAAACTTCAGACTGGGCGCGGTGGCTCACACCTGTAATCCCAACACTTTGAAAGGCTGAGGTGGGTGGATCACCTGAGATCTGGAGTTTGAGACCAGCCTGGTCAACCTGGAGAAACCCCGTCTTTACTAAAAATACAAAAATTAGCCAGGTGTGGTAGTGGGTACCTGTAATCCCAGCTGCTCGGTTGGCTGAGGCAGGAAAATTGCTTGAACCCAGGAGGCAGAGGTTGCAGTGAGCCAAGATCACGCTACTGTGCTCCAGCCTGGGTGACAGAGCAAGACTCCGTCTCAAAACAAACAAACACACTAACAAACAAACAAAAAAACCCTTCAATGCCAGCACTCGGGACCAGAGTGTGAAACATTAGACTCAATAGCAATCTTGCTTTTCTCATCAGACAAGAGGATATAAGTCACTACAATACTGTACAGAACTTTCGAGTTGCCAAGTAATTTCTTACATATTAGCTAATCTGGATGTTCATAACAGCCTGGGAAGAGATGGAATATATAATTAACTTAACTTGAAGATGAAAATACTGAGGTTCAGAAACATGTTAAATAACTTAGTCAAGGTCACATGGCCAGAAGGAGCTGCTGCTGATGATGGAAAAGTTGTTCAGAATCCAGATGAGCCAAATATCCCTGAAGCCCTGATGAAATTCTGTTGAATGACTCAAGTGCCTTCGATACTGTCAGAAGAGTGGGAGTACTTATTAGTTGATTGGGAATGGAGAGATTGAGATTAATGTAGATGTTCAGACATGAAAGTGAAGAAAATAAGGTTGCTGTTAGTTTAATGACTTCACACAGCGATTATGTAATACTCTGGGCTCCCCATGCCCCATGCTGACAGCTCCATCAATAGGACATGGGAAAGTGTGCAAATTCCTGCAGTAACTTTGCGTTTTGATAATAATTTATAATGATTGAGTGAAATTTCTGAACTTATCAACCAGACAGGAGGAGGAGGCTGAAAATTCTTAATCCAGGAACTTTGCAAAGTTGCTGACAATAGATTTTACAGCCAAACTGTCTTTTTACATCAAAGTCATTTGAGTCTGCATTGGCAAGAAGAGGGGAAAACTGTCCTAAAAATTTATTTAGTTGATTGATACAAAAATACAGGCAAAAAAATGCTATGAGGGTGGTGGCTGATGTTTTCTGACCTGAACAGCATGACAGAACCATTCTCCAGTTGGTTATTGGGTTTCATGTGCATAACTGTGTGTAGCAAGGGAAACCCAGGTTTATCTCTTTTGGTATAAATTGTAATCTCAAAATTACTTGGAAAAAACTGTCCCATTAAATACATTAACAGTCAGAGTCCTGGGTAAAATCTACATATCTTAGGAATGACCTTGACCTACGTCCATGCTAACTTGCAGCATGATCTTGGAGATGTCCTAAAAATCTAACTGCTCTTCACTTAGCCTGCCTAACACATGGACTCCTCCTCCTCTTTGGAGAGAGGAGAAAAGAGTCTGTGAACTAGTGGTTATTTTGAGGATGTCGAAGGACATGATAAGATGAAAAGCAAGAGATGACTATCTGCATTCCCTGGACACATTGACTACCCTCCTCACTAGGTGGCTGTGAGCCCATCTCCATGACTTTCCAGGGAACCCCATAAGTGAGGAAGCACTAAACTGGCTACTCCACTCCCTTTCTCTATATTTTAAGAACGTCTACTCATCTACCACTTCCTCCTTCTGAAAGCTTTTCCACTCCCCAAAATGATCTTTTCATGTTTACCCCTCTCTGATTTTACAACTCACAACTCTTTACCTCTAATTTAGAATATTTCTTATGACACATCTTGAATTTTCATCCTTTACTGGTGGCAGAAGCACATGGAATCATAGGAATTTACCAAGTTTTTCTTCTTTACCTTCTAATGAGGGTGGGTCTCCCATGAGATCCTTGTTTTGCCAAACTCTCAAGAACATCTGAAGAAATGGGAACACAGAGCTCACATGAGGCATGAGAGGGAAGGATAAAGAAAAAAGGGACAGAAGGAAAGGAAAGAGAAGAGACAAGAAGCATGCTATGGGAGAAATAATTTGGGGGAAGAGAAAAATATTCAAAGAGGATTTTTAGAAAGTTTGGCTGCATAATGTGAGATGTAACTTCCTTCCTTGTCTCCTGGTATTCACCCTTCAGAAACCTTTAATCAGAATCTTCAATAGGTTCTGTGTGTGTGTGTGTGTGTGTGTATTTTGATGCGATGATGTGCTGAGACTGAAGTTAAGGGAAAAACATGACAGCCTGGATACAATCAAATTCTACACTGTTATACATTTTCTTATGTAACTTTTCATGTGTGCATGTTTTGCATCTCTCTCTAAATTACAAACTTATTGAAGATAATAATTTGAGGCTAGACAATTATTCTCTGTATCTAACATATTGCCTATCACCATGCCTTACATGTGAAAAATACACATTAAATATTTTATTCGTTGATTGACAAGAAAAGCATGTTTGGTAAGAATTATGATTTGGTATAGTAGGAGCCAACAATAGGAAATCAAAAACTTCTGCAAAAGAACACACTTGTGTTGGGATCTTTTCAAAAAGATCCTCTAATGTCAAGGCATAATTGTATTCATAATAACCTGGAATAAAAACCTTAATACTTAGTCTTATGCTAAGAGAAACATAAATGCCTATAAGCCTCTGAATCCAACTGGTGTCATTACCTCCCAGTCAAATTGTGCACTGCAAACAGAGCAGTCTCTGAGACGACCCTGCTTCAGGCTATGGCAGGTTGTCTGAGGGGAAATTAACTGTGGATTGAGTATTCTGAGCAGTGGAATGCTGGTAACTCTTTAACAACTGACTTTTCAGAGGGAAAACAAAGCCCTAGTCTATAGCATTTGCCAATTTCCATGGTGAAAATACTCATCATGGCTGATTTCAAGCTCCCAATATGGCGTCACTGAATATTAGACTTGGAAAAAGATACCCCAAGCCAGCTCTTCCAAGCCAGTGTAAGTTAGCTCCAGCACACCACTGATTCTAAGGCTGTCCTTTTGTGGACATCCAAAAAGCAAGTATGCAAACTGCAGAGGAAGATGGGCTCATGTGTGTGTGTGTGCACACAAGCTTCTTTCAGAAACATGAGGCCAAGATTTAGAAAAGTGACACGAAGCACTAAGAATTATTTGTAAAGCATGAGAGAAGGAAAAAAATATACACAAATATAAGGCTAGTCAACCAGCTAATAAAATATATCCACTTTTGGTACTATATTTGCAAAACCTTCTGAAGTTCCATTAGCCAGCCAGGCTGATGTGATTGTATCAGGAGAGCCAGAACCCCAGAATTATAGACCATTAATCCCTCAGGGGTCATTCAACTAGCTCCTGCAAGGTGTGAGATTTTATTAAGGTAGGTATAGAATGAGAAATGTGCCAGTATCTGAACTTGGGTCAAACACCTGAAGATTTGTCTTTTGCTTGGTCCAAATCCTTTTGCATCGGATACTCCATTGTTCTTTGTTGTGCTTTGTTTCCCCAGGACCTAACTACGAAGTGCAAACATGTACAGGTCTGGTGACCCACAACACTGGGAACAAGCTTAAAACAATTGAGAGCTTGTTGCAAGTCAATTTAGTTTGTCTTTTAAAACAATCTCTTTCTGGTAGGTGTATTGCAAGTGGTGTGCATGCATGTGTGTGTGTGTGTGTGTGTGTGTGTGTGTGCAGGCATATACCTGGACATCTGTACTATTTCACCAAGGCCCTGCCACTCCCTCCTCCCCAGCCTAATCCCTGTACCTACATCAGAGAGAAGAGGCATGGATGGGGGCTCACTAAGGGTTCTCATTCATCATGAGAAGGCTGGCCTTTTAAATTTAATTAATTGAAAGACCTACTCTGAAAGGTTATATGTACCTCATTGGTATGACTTATGCACAATAATAATCCCAACAAAAGCTATAAAAAAAGCTCCCAGGTTTGAGTGTGTCAGCCTGGTAAGAAAAGGTGCACAATAGGCTCTTTCCATGTCAGACAAAAGAGGCCATCAACTGTGCTGTGTGAGGGGTACTGTATCCCTGCTTCCACGTATTTCTGTTATCCTGACTCCAGAATGTCTGTCTTTAACCCAGAACGTGTTGGGCTTTCAGAATTCAGCCTCTCAGAAAAGACAGCTGGATTCATAATAACAATACCAAAAGGTCTGTCTTAGTCTTTTTGGGCTGCTATAACAAAATACCACATACTGAGTAGCTTATAAACAAAAGAAACATTTCTCACAGTTCTGGAGGCTGGGAAGTCCAAGATCAGGACATCAGTAGATTCAGTGTCTGTTGAGGGCCTGCTTCCTAGGTGGCAGTCTTTTCACTATAACCTCACATGGCAGAAGGAAAGACCCAGCTCTCTGGGCTCCATTTTATTAGGGCACTGATATTAATCACAAGGGCTCAGCCCTCATAACCTAATCACTTTGCAAAGGCTCCATCTCCTAATACTATCACCTTGGGGATTGGAATTTCAACATAATAATTTTGACATGAACACAAACAATCAGACCACAGCAAGGTCATTTTGAATAAACCTTTGCAGTTCACATACTTTCACTGTAAATTAGATGACATAATGAATGTATGTTGTGTCAGAAAAATAATCTACAACAACCTGCTGCTCCTGACACTGGAACAAATAGATGTTATAGAAGAGCTTGGTCACTCTCTTTAATTCTAACCCTAAAGGTTAAGAATATACACACAAAACTTTCTTAATAACAAATGTGGTTTTGTATTTCATTTATCTAACTAAAAATTTTAGACTATACTAATTTTTTCAGCCAAGATGAACCATGTCAGCCAAATTTTAACTCTACATATAAATAAAACAATTTCCTAAGTCTAGCTTTTAAAATTTCAAGGGAGTGCTTAGCCAGGAGTTTAATACAATTTATTAAATTGAATAAAACTAAAGCTCATGAACATAGTTTTATAAATGCTAATCATGTCTGTCTTTCAGCCCTAATTTCTATATCAAAAAGTTCACAATTGCTACAGCTTCTTATCTGATTATATATTTTATCACTGTTTTGCTGTTAATAATTTTCCCCTTAAATTCTATTTGCCTCATATTAATGCTGCTACATCAGCTATATTTTAAAATTTGGTCAGTATTATTTACCTAGTATACCTTTTTTCTCTACATATCTGTATCATTTTGTTTTATATGTCCTTTTAAAGTAGCATATGGTTGGATTTTGTTTTTAATTCATTCCCATAGTCTTTATCTTAAGCTAATGGATAGAGATAATCCATCATTGTAATTCGTCTTATATATGAATTTATACCTACATTTCACATTGTTTTTTCTGTTATCATCCTTTTCATCTGCTTCTTCACTTCCCCATTCCTGTCTTCTGTTGAATTGATAGGATTTTCTATATCCCCAACTTTTGTCTTCCATGGAAAGTATGGAAACTAGAGTTATATTTATATTATTTTTAACTTTTTATTGGGAGATAATTATAGATCTACATGGACTTGTAAGAAATAATACAGAGAGATCCTGTAAACACTTAATTTTCCTCAGTGGTAGTATCTTTCATAACTGTAAGGATAATATCACAACCAGGATATCAACATTGTTAAAATCCAGTGACCTTATGCAGATTTCATCGTTTTTACATGCATTCGTGTGTATGTGTTCACTTCTGTGTGATTTTATCCCATGTGCAGATTCATGTATTTTCGTAATGACTTTAAATGTATAACATACACACCAAACTATAAACTTGCATATTTGACTAATTAGAGTTAGGGTTCTTTTGCTTTACTGAAATCATATGCTGTAGTTATTTGTACTTTATAATCTATTGTTAATTACGTTTACTAGCATATTTTATTAATTCCTATGTTTATTGCTTTTTTTTCTGTCGCTTGGATTTCCTTTCTTCTTGAATAGATACAACCTTTAACAGTGAAGGTCTGTGCTTGGTTAACTCTCCTTTTATTATGCATAAAAATGTCTCTATTATTTTGCATTCAATCTTGAATGATAATTTAGATGGGTATAAAATTCATGATTGAAAATGATATCCCTTAGTATTTTGAAATTTTAAATCCAGTTTTCTGGCATTTATCATTGATGAGAAATCTCTCTTTGTATCATATCTTTGCCAATAATCTGTCTTAAAGGTTTATCCCTGTGTAACTCACACACCAATGATAGATCATTTCCATCACAGCAGAAAGTTTTATTCTGCTGTGTGCAGTTGACTCTGCCTCCACCTCCTGCTCTCAACAAGCACTGATCTGCTGTCACTGTAGATAACTTGTTCTAGAATGCCATATAAATGAACTCATATAGCATGTACTCATTTGTGTCTGCCTTATTTTACTCAGCATAATGCTTTTGGGATTCATCATGTTGTTATATATATCAGTAGCTTGCACCTTTTTTAAATTGCTGAGTAGTTATTCGTTATATGGATGTATCACATTTTATTTGTCCATTCATAAGTTGATGGATAGTTGGGGTTAATATTAATAAAGCTGCCATGAATAGTCACATACAAAAAAAAAAATCTTTTTTTTCTCCCTGGTAGTTTCTAGGATTTTATTTTTTATTTCTGATTGTCTACATGTTCATTCTGACGTTAAGTTATAGATTTATTTTAGTTTATCTTTATTAGCATTTAATAAGTACTTTCAATTTGTGGACACATTTCTTAAAATCTGGAAAGGTTTTAGCTATTACCTCTTTCAATATTGTTTTCTTCCATTCCCTCTTGCTTCTCTTCTGAAATTTCAACTGACATTTGTTGGAGCCTATCAGTCTATCCACCGTGTATCTGAACCTCTCTTTCGTATTTTACTCTGGGCTCTCTATGCTTCATTCCAGGGTAATTCTTTCAGCACTACTCTCCAGTTCATTGATTCTTTATTTGTGTCCAGCCTGTTGTTTAAATTGTTTATTACATTTAAAAATATTAATAACATTTTTTTATGTCGAGAATTTCAAACTGAATGTTAGTATAGCTAGATGACCTTGTTTTTATTTTTGCCTCTTTTTCTTTCACATATTGTTCTTTTTATGAGTATTATGGGCATACTAAATATACCTATTTTAATATATTTCTCAGACTGATAGACTGTTTTAACTTCTGGACTTAATTCATGTTAATTATCAATTTTTTTGTTGTTAGCATCAAATGTCTTTGTGAATTTTACAAACCAAAAAGTCTTTTGAAAGATTTGCAGGATTATTTCGAAGTTTTAGTTTGGTTGTTTTGTTTTGATTTCTCCCTTCCTCTGTGCTCCAAACTTCCTGTCTAGAAGTTTAGGAGTTGCCCTCATCCACCTGTCTGAGCCACAGCCCAAAGTTAGGTCTTATATTATTATCCAGACCTGCTTTTCAGTATAATTATCTTCATTTCTGTCTCCTGGTCAACAGGACATTTCATGAGGCTCCGTGTTGTCCCACTATGCCTGCAATCCCCCTTGGTTACGTAAGCTGTAGATGTTAGCAGCAGTTTTTTACAGCTTCTCCTCATGAGAAATGGGTTAGCACCCAGGCTTCAAACACTGACGTTGGTGCTAGACTCCACCTCAGGTGAAGGGCTTTGGTCTCCCTTATTCTGCAGGAACCAGACTGCACCTACCCCTGCCTGCTTCCAATCCCAAAAGCAGTGAACCCACATCTCCAACCTAACTGCTGTTTTACATTGTTATTCCATTTCTGGTCTCGGGAAATTTCATAGGGAATTGTAAGCCAGCTTTGGTTATTTGCCTTTTCCTTTTATTTTATTTATTTATTTTGGAAACAAGGTCTCTCTATGTTGCCCAGGCTGGCTTCCAACTCCTGGGTTCAAGAAATCCTCCCACCTCAGCCTCTAGAGTAACTGGAACTACAAAAGTACACCACTGCATCCTTCTTCTATTTTATCTTCTATTTTGTCAATCATTTCTGTATGCTTAGAGCACAGAGAATACTTCAAAGTCTGAGTTTACTGCACCATCCTACCCATTTACAACAATGAAAATTAACATTTGCTCAACATTTGTGTGCCAGGCATTCTTCTTAGTCTTTTTATATCTTACTTCACTTAATACTTAAAACACCTTCTGTGAGGCAGGTGCTCTCCTATATCAACATTTAAATGAGAGTAAATAAATACTCTCCAGAATTTAAATAACTTGTTTTATATAAGTATTCTGGCAAGTGGAAAAATGGGCTTCAAGTCCAGGATGTCAGACTCCAAAGCCTCAATATAATAAAGACATGATAATGTCTCCTCTTAATAACCTGAAATTACTGGCTTTATGGCCCTATAGAAGAATCTACAGGAGTAGGAATGGCATGAGCTGTGAATCTGCATTACTGGTTTCTAGTTAGAGCTTGATGTTCCTGCCCAAATCTCATGTTGAAATGTAATCCCCAGTGTTGGAGGTGGGGGCTGTAGAAGCTGATTGGATCATGGAGGTGGATTCCTCATGAATGATGTCATATCATCTCCTTGGTGCTGTCCTCAAAATAGCGAGTTCGTGTGAGATCTGGTCATTTAAAAGTGTGTGGCACCCTCCCTCTCTCTCTTGCCATGTGACATGCCTGCTCCCTCTTCACCGTCCAACATGATTGTCAGTTTCCTGAGGCCTCCCCAGAAGCCAAGCAGATACCAGCATCATGCTTCCTGTACAGTCTGCAGAACCATTAGCCAATTAAACCTCTTTTCTTTATAAATTACCCATTGTTCGGTATTTCTTTATAGAAATATAGCCTAACACAGAGTTATTTTACTAACTACCAGATGGGAAAGTCACTGAAGCAACTTGCGTCTTTACTTTTTTATAAAATGGGATTAGTAACAAGTAATTTTTCTCCCTGATTCCTTATGAAGGTCAAAAAATAATGAATTTAAAGCATCTTTTAAAAATATGCTATATATTCATAATGTTTTACATCGATGTCAAGCTTTTATTCCTGTATTGAAACCAAGAGATGTCATCAGCAAAGCTTATATTATTTTGTCCGACTATATTGCCTTGCAGTTGCCCACGCCATAGCTCATTTTCTGCTTCTCTACCCACTCAGGAAATCTCATGAGATCTTACTATGGTTTATCCCTGTCAGTTTGACATTTCACTTCCATCTTTAATTTTGGAGATCTCACTGTATACTCTCCAATCCAAATCACTTATGAAACAATTAAACGAACTCTTAAAATTTTTCTGTCTAGAGAAACAATCTTTTTTTTCTACCTTTGGTTTCCTATTAAGCAAATTCTTTATCTATAGCAAAATAAATACCACTCCCACATCACTCCCTGGCTGGTGGTTAATATCTTGACCATTCCACAGATTTTTTGTTTCAGCATTCCTTTCCTTATCAAGGGGGAACATCATAGGAAAGACCAGACTATGGAGTCAAATCCACCTGCTTTGTCATCAACTAGTGGCCCAACCAGGGCCAGGCACTTAGCATCCTCAAGCTTCAGTTTTTTTCATCTATAAGGTGAAGATAATATGTCAATCCTAAAGGAAGGATGCAATGGTTTTGTAAGGCAAAGTATACCAAGTGTCACATAGAGTATCTGGCACATAGTAGGTTTTTGATAAATAAAACCCATCCTTATCAGAATCGGAAGCCCGAAAGCATTGACTTGATGCAAATGTTGAAAAAGCATGTGTTGACTACATTAACCATACTCCAGTGATGCAAATAACTTGCTTCTTTTTTTTCACTTTTATTGTACTGTCAGGTTCAATAATGCAACAACATAGTCTAATTTTCAATGTTGATAGATGATGATGACTCATTTCAAACTCCAACAAACATGTAGGCCTCATTTTCCAGATAGGCAGTGTTTCTTTTCAAGCTACTTTGATGTCTTTGAAGGGAAAGAAGTGTAGGATCTTGAGTAATGATGGTGAGTGTGATGAAGCCTGCAGAAGTGTCCATTCCGAACCTGGGGACCACGAGTGCTGTCCTTTACAAACCATGTACAAGCTGTTGATTCATTGGTGGCTAGAATGTGCTGTCCAGCCAAATGCAAATCTCTCCTTGAAGAATCACTGACCTCCTCCATTCAGACATGGCATATATTTATTTATTTTTATTTTATTTTGAGACTGAGTCTCACTCTGTCACCCAGGCTGGAGTGCAGTGGCATGATCTTGGCTCACTGCAAGCTCCACCTCCCGGGTTCATGCCATTCTCCTGCCTCAGCCTCCCGAGTAGCTGGGACTACAGGCGCCTGCCACCACGCCCAGCTAATTTTTTATATTTTTAGTAGAGATGGGGTTTCACCGTGTTAGCCAGGATGGTCTCAATCTCCTGACCTCGTGATATGCCCCCCTCAGCCTCCCAAAGTGTTGGGATTACAGGTGTGAGCCACTGTGCCTGGCCCAGACATAGCATTTTATTTGAAATGAGCTTCACATTTTTTTGTGATCATTTTCATAACCTCCATGAGTACAAGACAGAAAGAGTTTCAGCCTGAATATAACTTTAAACCTTTGGCCTAAGCTTTCCTAGACTGAGCAAATACAGGTGCATGTGTATGTGTGTGTGTGTGTGAGAGAGAGAGAGAGAGAGAGAGACAGAGAGAGAGAGAGAGAGAGAGAGAGAGAGAGAGAGAGAGAGAAACAACTACTCAGGGAAAAAGGAACTAACTCGGGGGAGGGGAAAGAGACAAGGGAAGCAGGAGAAAGGAGAGGAAAGCACAGAGAGTTTCATCACTGTCTCCCTTTATCTTCCTCTTAAAGAAATGTCCCCACCACCACAGATGTGTTACCTCGTTAACTGCATATTTCCAGAAAGATGCTCTGTAAAGCAGCAACATACCCTAATTTTCAACACTGATAGATCATGATGACTCATTGCAAACTGCAACCAACATGTAGGCTTCATTTCCCACATAAGCAATGGTCCCTTTCAATGTTAACTTGTTAGCAGCATATTTCCAGAAAGTTGTACAGATTACCGTTGCCATCATATACTATAGGAAGTAGAATTATTTCTTCCTAGAGGAAAGGAGATATAATTGCCCCTTGTTTTTTCATAACTATCTATATTTGTTTGCTCAGTAGATTTCTCTCCAAGTCCCTGAGTCATATCTTCCCAGAACACAAAACTTAAACCTTCTTTGCTTTTTATCAGAAGACTGACATTCTCATATAACATTTCATAATAACGTATTCAAAGGACACATTTAAAATATATGAAATGTATATGAAATAAACTTGTTGAAAACTAAAGATATTACAAGCCTCAAGTTATCTTAATAAAGAGCCACATTAGCTTGCAGAATCAAAATTCAGACTAAGGCCCAGGATGAAGTCCCTTTTCCACTTCTCATACAGGTGGGTTTCAATATTTTCAGGTGATGCCCCAGGATATGATTTTTAATCAGATTACTTCAAATCTGTTTTCCCCTACTTAAATAAAAATGTGCTATGTGGAAAAAAATGTGCTATGTGGAATAATACAATCAAATTTAAAATATGATGACTTCATAGCTGCCATTTATATTCCTCTGAGCTTGGCATCAAACTGAAAATTCCAATAACTTCTGAAAGACTAACATCTCTCTGCTCACCACTTACAGCTATTTCTCAAATGTTTGTGAAACCATTATCCTATCACATTTTAGGGAATTTTCTTCAGTGAAACTAAATTTATGTCTCTATTATTTCTGAACATATGTACAGGTAGGAATTTTATAAAACTATAGTGAAAAATGTTCTGGTATTGATGTGCAGCATTAAAGACCATCTGTCTTCCATATAAAGACGTGTATAACAATAAGATAAAAGCTATGGCTTCCCAATTAAATATTACCCTCAGCTGAAAACCAACAGCTTTCAGTATCAGAATACACTAAAATAAGTTCTTCACTACATCTTCCCACCCACGACCCCTGGAGGCTTCTAAGGAGCCATAATCCAGATATCACTGTGACTTCGTGGCCTCTGTAAGAACTGTATTGGATTAGATTGAGGTCCCTGTGCACCTCCAAGGGCTTGTATTCTCATGGCCACTTTTCCCCTTGTTTTGCTAAACAGACATGAAATTCAGGCCCTTTCTTGGTTTACACACACCCATACCCATACACAATTATGCAAAGCCAACTGTATTGAAGGTTGGAGGACCATTAGGGAAGGTCATATATTCAGTGTATTTCCAACAACTTAGTATCCCACAGTATGTATTCCTGTCCTTAAATATCCCTTGTCCACCCTTTCTCCACCCTCTCCTATCAAGGAGGTTTCTCACTGACCCCTTACCCATGCATTACCCAGCTTCTTCTCCTCATTCCCACCTCTTATACTTCCTGTGCCACCCTTCAAATTCTTTCCCCCAGTTCTTCCTGCAGGTTTGCAGAGCAGTTCCACTCACTCCAGGTCCTGCTCCCTAATGCACTGAAGTGCTCCACGCACAATAGCACCACTGGATCACAGGGACACACTCCTTAGAAAGACCATGAGGTTATACACATCATTTTCCCATTCTACAGTATACATTTCTCCTAAGTTTTGGATTTTTCAAATCATTTTATTTTTCTACAGCTTTTTCATTTTTTTTGTCAGAGACCATCAAATCTTTTTGCAGTTTATAAGAGTTCAGTCTCACATTCTATTGACATAACAAATAAACTGATTTGCTCCCCAAATGGAAATTTTAGAGAATGATACATTTTGTCTCACAAGTTGACTGATAGTTAAATTGCCTGCAGTGAGACTGATAGTAAATTTTCTCTTTTTTATAGGTCCTATTTGTGTTGCCATGATACTTTCTTAAGTCTTGATAAACAAATGCAGAGTCTCCTGCGACTTTGAGAAGCTTAGGAAAACAAATTCTCTCATATCCAAGGAGTAAGGAACTACCGTTAATCAACGCCTGACTCTAAACTAGGTGTTTGCGTCATTACCACATTAAAGTCAGTATGTAGTTTTGGGAAATGTTCCAGAAATGTATAATGAACAACTGTCTCAGCATACACTAGTGTCATCTTTTTGTATCATGTAGCATTTTAAAAAATATAGTGCCCCCATGTAATAGTTATTTTCCTTTCATGATGGAATTCATCCTTTTCACAAACTTTCAAGTATCAGGACCACATTTTAACATCAAAAACTTTCATAGACCACTGTTAATTGGAAAAAGCATTCCAAATGACTGCAACCAATTATGACTTTGGCAGCATTTTCAAATTAATTTTCATTTTATTAGTCACTATGGTACTTACATTAGATACCCAGTCCCTGTAGATGGGATTGTTAGGAGAGGCCTCTCTGTGGAGCTGACGTCTGAGCTGAGAAGTGAAGGAGCTGTCATGGGAAGACCAGAGGAGTATCAAGTGCAAAGGTCTGGAGGTGAGTATAGGCCTGGGACATTCAGAAAAGAGGAAGAGGCCAGTGTAGCTGGATGTAATCAGCCAGGATCAGCATTCAGGAGGCTGGTGTGGACCCGACACTGCAGGGCTTTGAAGCTACTGTAGTCCTTTGAGGGTACTATAACAAAGTACTATAGACTAAGTGGCTTTTAAGCAACAAACATTTGTTTCTCACAGTGCTGGAGGCTGGAGTCTAAGATCGGGTCCCAGCATGGTCAGGTTCCAGTGAGGGCTTTCTTCCAGGTTGTAGACTGTCGTCTTCTTGTTGTAGTCTCACATGGCAGAAAGAGAAGCATGGGAGATCTCTGGACTCTATTTATGAGGGCACTAATCCCATTCATGAGGGCTCCACTCTCACAACCTATTCAACCCCCAAAGGCCCCATCCATCTCCTAATACCTTCACACTGGGGGTTAGGTTTCAACATAGGAATTCTGGGGGGACATAAATGATCAGTTCATAACAGAAGTCAAGGTAAGAAGAAGAAACTTTACTGTAAGGGAAATGAAAAATCATGATAGGATTGAAGCAGAAGAGTGGCATTGATCTGATTTAAGTTTTTACAAGATCACTCTGGCTGCTGCTAGGAGAGACTGTTGGGGGCAAGGGAGAAGGCAGATCTATCAGGGGTTCACTGCCTTAGCCCAGGGGAGAAATGATGGGGCTTGGCCTAGAGTGGGAGCTTCTGAAGGGAGAGAGGAGGGTGTAATGGGGGTATAGGGCATGCACGTGTGTGGCACACAGCATGTGGATCAAGTGTGCACTGTGATGATGATGCTGCTGCACGGACAGCGGGAAGCAGTATCCACTTGACGTATTCATATGTATGGTTACATAGGTGCCTTTTGATAGCACCAGGTCCCTCTTGAGAACGACTGCTTTAAAATACAGCAGTAGGTGTGGCAAGAGACACATTTCCTCCTTTCCATCATCAGGTGAACTTTCTGAAGTACTGCATGAACTATTTTCATCTGCAGAATATTGAAGGTAATTCTTTCACATCAGTGCCTGATGAGGATTAATTAGTGAATGCTTACAGGGTGGTTTAAAATGAAAAATGAAAAAGTATTTAAATGTCAGCTATAGCTCTCACTGTATCATAAGCACTGAGCTCTGACGCTTGCTGAGAATTCCCCTTTCCACAGCTATGCTCACAAGGTGGTAGGAAAGCAGGAGCAGTTTTTTCTAACTGCAATAAACCATCCATCTATCACTCCACACCATTTTCCAGGAAGAAAACAGGAATCAAGTCCCACAGACGGATTCTTCATTATCTTCTAGAAAACTACATAAAATGGTCATTTTTTCCTTTTTGTGAGTCTCACTCTTTTGCCCAGACTAGAGTGCAGTGGCACAGACATAGCTCACTGCAGCCTCGATATCCCAGGCTCAAGTGAGCTGGGATCTGTAGTCCCAGCTACTCAGGAGGCTAAGGTGGGAGGGTCATCAAGGAAAACTGTAGCTTTCCTTGGCTCATGACTTCCTTCCATCTTTAAAACCAGCAGTGTAACATTTTCAAGCCTCGATCTGACTCTGACACTCTGCTTTTGTCATTACTTCTCCTGCTCTGACTTCTTTAGAGACCCTTGTGATGACATTGAGTCCTTGTGATGACACTAGGACCACCAGAGAATCCAGGATAACCTCCCGATCTCAGGTCTTTCACCATGTCTGCCTTGCAAGGGATCCCATTCCAGATTGAGGCAGGGGCGGGGATTAGGATGCAGATGTCATTGGAATTATTCTACCTGCCACACCCACAATCACCAAGCATGAGACTCTTCAGTATTGTGTTGGACATGGAAACAGGTAGTTTATAATTTTTTAAAACATTGCCCAATTCCTTAGAGTTCAAAAGGAACCAACAATCTAAACCACTTAAGGAAAGTGGAGTGATCTCCTCTCTGTTTAAGTAAGGATTCATCTGTACTTCCTGTCAGGGCGTAGGGACTCAGAGGGCTCTCTTACTTCCACTACACCCAGAGAGGCCCATTGAGGAGACTCCTCCCTACCCAAGTGGCTACAGTGCTGTCTGAGTGGATCTGGTGGCAAGCTTGACTACACTGCAGAGACTGCTGTGTGCTGGGCATGAGCTCTGTCCTCCATATGATCAGCTGGCTAGAGGCACCTATATTCAAATTCCATCTGGCTCATTGTTTTACCTGTATGAAATACAGAGGTAGAATGTGTATTCCTGTGTTAATAATCTCTGTTAACTGCATAGCAGCATTATTCTAAAACTTGGTTAATTGAATTAAAAAGTATTTCAGATTTACACTGAAAAAGGAAAAACATTATCAAGCCACACAAATCCAGAACTACACTTTCATTCAGTCACATATTTGTATGGAGCACACTGTGTGCTGGGGAAATAGAAATGAACAAGAGAGATGAAGTCTCAGCCCTTCATGTGATTGGTAGTTGGCATCAGAGCCACGAAGTACATCAGAACGCTGGGGTTGCCTGCTAGATGAACTTCAGGGAAGGCCTCTCTAAGTCAGCACAGCTACTCTGAGCTCTGAAAGATCAAAAGGCAACCATGTGAAGAGTCAGGCAGACCGCTCTAGACAGTTCTAGACCATTCCAAGTAACAGATGCAAAGATCCTGAGGCAGAAAAGACATGAGGATGTTGAAGGAATAATTTAAAATGTCAGTTTGGTGGAGGATGGTGGGCAACAGGGGAAGAGGAAGAAACAACAGGACCAATCAAACAGAGCCTGATCATTTCAGTTTTATTTGAAGATAAATAAGAAATCATTAAAGTTTCAAGCAGAGGAATGACATGGAGAGACTGACATTTGTCTACGACCATTCTGGCTGCTGTATGGAGATGAGCTTGGACACGAGCAAGGGTGGAGACAGGAAGACCCCGTAGGTGGCCAGCACAATCCCCCAGGCAAGACGGCCGATAGTGCCCATGGAGACGACCCGACGGGGACATAGCCAGCATCCTAGTCTGAAGGTGGAATGGACAGGGAGTGCTCCTGGATTACATGTGGTGGGTAGGACAGATGAAGACTTCAGAATGAGTTTTAAGTTTTGGCTTATCAACATGGCAGATGGTAGTCTCATTTATGAAGAAGAGGAAGATCGGGGCAAAACAGATTTGCGGGAGAAAGTTAACACTTCTCTTTTGGATGTTTATTATTAAGAAGCCTGTTAGACACAGAGGTTGAAATGTCAAATAGATTGCTGAATAGACAGTCAGGACAGTAGGACACCAAATGCAAAACTAACATTGTTTCGGCACAGAGTTCCACCTTCCCTGGGCATCACTCTGTCGCCATAGGAGATTTGTTTGTTTGAGATGGAGGTTTGCTCTTGTTGCCCAGGCTGGAGTGCAATGGAGCAGTTTCAGCTCACCGCAACCTCTGCCTCCAGGGTTCAAGCGATTCTCCTGCCTCAGCCTCCCGAGTAGCTGGGATTACAGGCACCCACTACCACGCCCAGCTATTTCTTTTTGGGTTTTTTTGTATTTTTAGTAGAGACCGGGTTTCACCATGTTGGCCAGGCTGGTCTTGAACTCCTGACCTCAGATGATCCACCTGCTTTGGCCTCCCAAAGTACTGGGATTACAAGTGTGAGCCACTGAGCCTGGCCCATAGGAGTTTCTAACAAATTTACCCCACTTCTGGGGATGACCCAGGTTTGCTAGTTGATGAAGGAGACACCCCTGAGTATTACAAATCTGTTTGACCCTTAGGCCTCAGAGCCATCAGTATGAAGTCACTAGTACTGAATATCCAAAACTGTCTTTGGGTACTTGTATATATTTAGTGTGTGACTGGAACAAAGTTTCTAGCACAAGAAGGTACACAAAGTTTTGTTGAATGAATGGTTTCCTTTAATTGCCTTATTTTTTATTGGAGTGAGAATGAGATTAGCAAGTATGAGTCTAACTTTCCATCAAACAAGAAAAGTGGCTGGGCATGGTGGCTCATGCCTGTAATCCCTGCAACTCTGGAGGCTGAGGCAGGAGGATCGCTTGAGCCCCGGAGTTTCAGGCTGCAGTGAGCTATGATCACGCCACTGCACTGGGGCCTGGGTGACTGAGAGAGACGCTGTTTCAAAAAAGACAAGTGACTTACGAATCTGCAGGATAGGCCAGTGCTTCTGAGACCTTAATGCACAATCACTGGGGATCTTGTTGAAATGCAGATTCTGACTCAGTCAGTCCTGGGTCGTGCTTGAGATTCTGCAGGTCTAACAGGCTCCCAGGTGTTGCTGAAGTTGCTAGCTCTCAAATCACACTCAAGTAGCAAGGGAATATGACTTACCCCACTTTTCTCCCATTTCATCAGGCAACCTTTTGTGAAACAAACAACATTCAGTGGGCAAGGCTTCCACAACCAAATATGACCCCAGACTGCTGTTGCCTGTGGACTTCCACAGCAACTGTTTCTGATGCTATCATTTGACATTCAACATTTATTGCCTTATATTTTTAATTGTCATCCCATGCCTATATGTCTTATTTTCCAAACAAAACTAAAAGTGTCTAGAGATCAAGGACAAAGCTCTGTGATTTTTTTGTGTATCTAGCTCCAAGGCTCCATTCTCATACCTTGCACAAGGCGGCTCCCCAAGGAATATTTGTTGATTGACTAATGATGAATTCCTCTGGTAGGGACTGTGGATCCATGAGCATTAGTTAGACTCATGCAGAAATAGAAATATGACTTTGGCCATAAAACTTAAACTTTAAATCTGATAGATTTTAGTTATCCCGACATGCAATAAAGAGATAAAAAGTGTATGTCTATGTGGAATAATTGGCATTAGCTGTAAAACAGGAGTCTTCTAAATGTTGGGCAATTGAAAAAAAGAAAGTATTTCAGAGCACTTGGACCTCTAATTCCTTCTCAATTACAAAAGGATTACATAAAGCTGTACATTCATATTAAAAACACATTAAATAATAATCATGAATATAATCTAAAATAATAAAGTAACTGTAAGTTACTTGATTGATGTGAATTATCTGTAACATTTTCGTGATTATTCCTTAATTTATTGCTCCATAATATGGAAGCTTTTCTGCCTTTCAGTACGCATGGCAGTCTAATCTTATATTTCCTTCCCCTGAACTCACTCACAGCTGAACAGTTTGCTCATATACCATGGCAATGAAAAGAACATTGAGTTATGTGGGAAAACAACCTCAGTGTGGCTGCCACTTGGAACCTAGTGCTGAATTACATACTGCAATTAAGATGAAGACCATTGTCGGAGTGACTGGCATCTCTCCAGGGCCCAGCACTTTCCTTCTGTGCTCCCTGGGAAGGAGTTCCTGGCACAGAACTCAGGATGGTCAGCTTCGGTCTTGGTCCATCTGCGTATATTAGAGGGGCTACTCCTAACGGTAGCTGAGTCCCAGTAACAGCAGAGGGGAAGCAACCACACCTGACTTTTCTCCCCACTTTTTAGGCGTGTCACTTACCCAGTCATTCTTTAACAGCATTTTGAAAGGATCTCTTCTGGGTATAGTGCTGTGCTAGGCTCTATGTGAGATACAGGGATGGGATCTCCCTCTCTAGGAGCTCAGAGTCTACCAAAATGAGCTCTGAGGAGGCTGGGGTCTCACCTGGCTTGGTCACACTGTATCCCCAAATCCCGGAAGGTGCTTGGCTCACAACAGGTGTTCAAAAATGTTTATCAAATGAATAAATGAATAAGACAATGGATGAATAAGTTTAGTGGGTAGCTCAGATATATAAACGATCAGCTTCTGCCTAATAGAGTGCTTATGCAAAATAATACCAAACCTACAATTTGTGGAGCCCTCACTAAGCTGCATGCCACACACTGTTCTACGGACTTTGCACATTATCTATTTTCATCCTTACAACTACCTCTGAGTAGTTGTGATTTTTACACCATTGCACATGTGAGTGGATGGTGTGAAGAGATGGCAAGCATTGTGTCCAAGCTCTCACAGTTAGTGATAAAGTGATAACTCAGATTTAGGTCTGCTGATGCTTGAGGTCCTAACCAATGCACTCTATTGCTCTCTCCAGACTTTATTAATAGCCAGAGATTCCAAGTTGAGGATCCCAGTTTAAGAAGGAAAAGCAGTGGGTAATTTTTAGCCATGGGACATGATAACAAAAACAATCTTTATCCTGCTGTTAGATCATCCTGCTTTCCACAGGGCTTCCCACAGTCCGAGTCCAAGGAAGATGCAGAGAAGAGGCCCTGAGCTGACTCATCCACTGGTCAGAAGATTCTAGATGACAGAGCTTTCCTCAGAGAATTCCAATTTTCATTAGCAGGCTGAAGACAGGTGGTACTCCTTCAAGACAGGCTACAACAGAATACCTTGCTTTGAGCACTTTTAAATATGAGAATCTCCTAATGACAGCAGAATTAAAGAGTGGGGACAAAAATAGTCAAGATTTTTTAAAAAGTAAACTTTTTTCAGTGCACTAATTTCTATATAATGTAACAGATATTTCTATATCATATGACAAAGGAAGCTGTCATATACACCATGAATATTTGATATAAATCACAGACTTATAAATTCTAAGATTATAATCAGATTACTTAACCAGCATTTACTTGGGGCATGACTGCAGAGCTAGCTGCAGATGCAATGGTGCAGGTCTGACTGGAGAGCAGGAGTTGGGGACATTGCAGAGTCAGAGAATCCCCAGAGTCCCCAGCATCTGGGATGGGAACAGCTTAGAATGAGAGGTGGGACAACACCCAAAACAAATGTTACTTCCCTTACAGTTGTGCCCATTAGATGTTTTGGAATATCCTTTCTCTACGCTGAGCCACTGCCTCACGTTTTTAGACTCCGCAGCTTCGCTCCCTGGAGGGGAACATTGTAGGTTGAGGGGTGGTGCCTCTCTCTCGGCATTGTGTGATAGTCCAGGACAGTTGGGCCCGTGGAATTGTATTAAATCAGTGGAAGGAGGGTTTACTACACTTAGCTTAGCAAATGGCTTACGTGGTTCTCAAAGTCATCCCCACATCAGCAGCATCAGTTAAGCCAGGGGTCTGCAATTTTTTCTTTAACAGTCTAGAGAATAAATACTTTAGGCTTTGTGGGCCAAGAAACAAAATTGAGCATCTTATCTGGGTAGTTATTATATAACAAGGGAGAAAAACAAAATTCCACTAAGTTTTCATTGATGAAATTCAAACTGTAATATTGGGTACAATTTTTGTGTAATGCAGGTCTACTAATGAAAAGAATGTAATTGTGAGGGGGGACAGAATTTTGCTTAATTGGGGTTCAAAATTAGTGTTGCCTATCATGGAATCATTTGCAAAGGTTCATCTGTAAAAACTATTACTAATTTGCAGACCTTACAAAAACAGGTGAAAACATGGATTTGGCCCTAGGGCTAGACCTGGGAACTGGTTAGAAATGCAAATTATAAGGCCCACTCCAGATCTACTAAATTAGAAAGTCTGGGGGTGGGGCTGGTAACTTGTTTCTTAACAAGCCCTCTAGGGTATTCCGATGCACGCTACTATTTGAGAACTACTGGTTTAAAATAAATGTGGAAGGGCCAGAGTTAGCCTTGCCCACCCTGTTATTACCATGGTAACGTGCATTTCTCAATCACGGTCTTCAGCTCAATCTTCCCATTACCATTATTTCAATGAGTTTGGGTGTATATTTACATTTTTAAAAATAACCTTTTGGGTCTTAGGCAACTTAAGAAACATGGCACGCCCACACCCACTCTGCAATTTCTAAACAGAGGAGCAGGAACTCCTCTGGGAAGTGGCTCAAAGCCAGCAAGGAGAAAGCACTTCTCACCAATGCTGGGAGCATAAGCTCTCAGGCAAGTCGTCCTCAGTAGGTATCCCTAGATATCCGTAATAGAAGTTGTGACTTCTCACCTTTACAATTGTTACCTCAGCACTACCTCTGGCCAGTGAAAAATAAATGGAGCTACAACATAGAGGCTGTTTCTTGATTGAATTGGCGGGCTCAGTGTTATCACCATTTCAAATGATTTATAAATAATATTTTTGTAGCAAACTCAGAGGGAAGAACTATAGAGACTGTCCCCTGGGTTAATTCCCTTCCCACTCTGACTCATGTTTTTCTCTCTAAACCTCTGCCTCCATTTCTCCATGTGTATGATGGAAACAATCAATAAAACCTCATTGACAGGTTTGTCTTGAGAATAAAATTAGGTTTGGGAAGGTCTCAGCAGTTGATGAATGCTGAGAATTATTCTTACATATGATCGACCTAACAGACTGACAAGCTGATGTTGACGTTGACAAAAAGCGGGTAGAGAACCTATTATCCATGCAGTATCTCTCCTGTGGCTAAACACACCACTTCCTTCTCCATCTGGCATCTTTTAGGCATACAGAATTTTTTTTGCCACAAAATTCAAATAGCTCTTTCGACCCATTGGGCAGGAAGCCGGTGCAAACATTTCAAATAGGTTCCCCACCAGCCTGACCCCACCACTACTCACTCTGAAATTCAGATCCCTTGAGTCGCTTGGGGGTTAGATAACAAAAGGAGAAGGTGGAGGCCATTGTCTGTGGGAGAGCTTGGCAAGTCTTCTAGGAGCAGCTTCCAGAAGATTCCTCTTAATATAATTAATTGATCAAATTACCTGGATAACACCTAAGAAGTCCTATAGAGTCAGACCCAAGTGGATGAGAGGTGGGATTTTTACTATTCTTGTTTTAGAATTATGGGGTAAAACCGGGAAGGCTGCAGACATCAGAGGAGAGCTCTATATTCTCCTACTTTAAAATGTTGCCTAAGACAAGCAACAAACTCAATGTACTTTGCCCTCTGAGAGAGCTCAGAATCCTTGTCCTCAGGAATCATGCGATCAATGCAAAGGTAAGACAAAAACCCCCAAGTAGGCAATGTCTAAGTGAGGGTTGATGGAGGTGCTTTTAACAGGAGGTGGAAACTGAGGAGGTGGAGGAGAATTTGGAAAATGTATCCTGAGGCAAAAATTTAGCTCTGCATCTACTTAAAAAATCAAACTAGCTAGAGTACAACTTCTTTTAACTGGCACTGAAACTGAAGAAAACAAGAAGGAGAAATAATAATGATTTGAAGAAAATTAAGCTGTGAAAAGAACTCCATAGAACACGACTATAAAAGACTTCTTTAAAAAAAAAGGACATACTGGAATTATGGGTGAATCCATAATTGTCTCAAAATGTTTTGTCTTAATAGATGACACTGTTAATTATTATTTTTGAATTCCCACTTCATGCTAAGCTTGGTACTGAGGTTGTATCCATGGTGTATATTTGTTATCTTCGATTCTTTTATTATGAAACTGAGATGAAGCAGGGACCCCTGCTTTCAAAGGAAAATCTTGAGTTCCTTCAAGGGAAATTCCAGGCACCTAGCTATTCCTAAGAAGTAAATGAGCAACTTGGTAAGTGAGAAGGTAACAGTAGCTTAAAACAATAGCCAAGGAAGCTAGAATCAGGAGACATTGGTTCCCTCGAGAAAGTGAAGATAATGTTATAATATATGTCCCTGAGTTTTCAGAAACTCAGACCCCCACCAAATGGACCCACTGGCACGGAGACCTCAGATGACGGGGGGCTGTAGACTGAACTCTGACTGCCATGCGTTGTTCGAAGTTTCTTTCTGAGGGGCGTGGAGGAAGCAACAACCACGAGTCAGATCTCATATTCTTTTCTGCTGATTCCAAGTCTTTAGACAAAGATTCCCTTCTTTAACCAATTGCAAATCAGAAAATCTTTGAATCTGTCTATGACCTGTAAGACCCCACTTCAAGATATTCTGCCTTTTTAGGCCAAACCAATGTATAACTTCCATATATTGATTTATGATTTTGCCTATAATTTGTTTTCCTGAAATTTATCCCTTCTGTTAAAAACCCTTACCTGCAAGCCATTGGGGAGTTTGAGTCTTAAGTGTGAGCTGCTGTATTCTCCTTGCTTGGCACTCTGCAAATAAAACACCTTCTTTTCTCCCACTGCATAAACTCAGTGTGCATGTTTGGCCTTACTGCACTGGGCAAGCAGGCCCCAGTTTGGCTGGGTAACAAAAGCCAAGAATTTTAAAACAGAAAGTACCTCAGTCTATTCCCAGAAATAATTCAGGTGGCTTTTAGATGTCAACTTATTTCAGGCCTGTATTAGTCTATTTGTACACTACTATAAAGAACTACCTGAGACTGGGTTATTTATATAGAAAAGAGATTTAATTGACTCACAGTTCCATAGGCTTATCAGGAAGCACAACTGGGAGGCCTCAGGAAACGTACAATCATGGCAGAAAGCAAAGGGGAAGCAGGCACCTTCTTCACATGGCAGCATGAGAGAGGAAGAGAGAGCGAAGATGGAAGTGCCACAAAAGTTTTAAACCCTAAGATCTTTGAGAACTCAGTCACTATCATGAGAACAGCAAGAGGGAAATCTGCCCCCATGATCCAATCACCTCCCACCAGGCCCCTCCTCTAATTCGACATGAGATTTGGGTGGGGACACAAATCCAAACCATATCAAGGCCCGATTGTATCAGGAGCTAACTGGTTCTGAGAATCTTCTAATCCCGAGCCTCTGGTAAAGCAATGAACATTGACCACTGACGACAAACAATGCTTTTGTTCTAATTTGTTTCCTAACTTGCAAGCAAGTAGTGATAAGAGGGAATGGACAAAAATGGAGTTTTCAAAAGTGAATTCTAGCCACGGGCTAAGTAAGCCTTGCTTCCTCCCCAGCTTCAGAATCCTGAAATGACTTTGGCTAAACTGCAAAGTTTCATGTGGCTCTGTTTCTTTATTTGAAAATGGCTTTGGTATTTTATATTTTGCAGTTATATATTAATTATCTTGTAGTTAGCTTAAGAGTTCTCACTGTTCTTAGTAACATTTTGTTTTTTATTATAATTACAAAAGGTATCTATGGTCTCTTTAATAACGTTTGACAATAAAAGAAAAATACACAAAGAAATTTTAAAAATATTACCCATGAAGTCCCATCACCCAAGATATATATGCCAAGCAATTTTTAAATGGGTTTCTTTACTGTCTCTTTGATTCTGAGCTCTAGTAAATGGAAAACTAAAGTTCTGAGAAGCCAGAGCTTGTCTGATGCAACAGTGTGAATGTGGAATTCCCCTTCTATTTTGTTTGAGTTAAGGAATGCATTTGGATGCAAGTCACCAAAAAAACCCTATCAATAATGACTTAATCAAAGAAGGGAGGGTTGCTTTTCACATAATAAGAAATTGGAAATCGGTGGGGCAGGATTGAGACACTGGCACAGGGATGCACCAGGAACTCAGGCTCTCTTCTGTGCTGTATTGTTCTAAGCAAGCTGGAATTTATTCCCAGGCTAGAAGGTTAAATTTAAATAATAAATACAAGTTTTCTCAGAAGCCATCCCCTGCAGACTTCTGCTTCTAACATGTAGTCAGAACTGGGCCACAGAGCTCAGTGATGTGATGTGAGATAATGTGGATATCTGGCTTCCCAACCTGTAGAGCAGAAGACAAGGAAAGGTTTAGCAGCAACTTTTAGGTAGCCAAACAGCAGTATCTGTTGCACACACCTATAAGTTTCCAATTTCCAAAATCATTTACATTTGAATTATACATTTTTTAATTCTAATATTCTCTTTTCACTTAGTATATCATGAACATTTCATGTCAACATTATATGTAGTTACTCTACAGCAGGGATCAGCAAGCTATGAACTATAAGGCAAAGCCATCGCATTGCCTGTTTTTGCAAATAAACGTATTGAAACACACCCACACATCACTCATTCTTACACATTGCCCATGGCTGCTTTTGCACTACAGTGGCAGAGTTGAATATTCTGATAGAGACCATAGGGTGGGCAAAGCCTAAAATAGTTACTGTCTGTTTTTTTTGCAGAAACAGTTTGCTGACCTTAACTCTACAGCATTGTTTTTAATGGATGCTGATTTTTTCATACAATAGATGGATAGAGATGGATAGCTTATAAATGATCTAACCAATTCTCTACTTTTCAAAATTGAAGTTTTTCTAGTTTTCACCATTTTCAAGAAAGTAATGATGAACATCAATGTACATAAATTTTTGCATGTCTAATTGTTTTTATAGGAAACAAGGGAATATAGCTCAGTTGTTAAAAATGTGTTCTCTAGAGTTTGGCTGCTTACGTTCAAATCCTGACTCTACCAATTTGTTAGCTGTGACCTTGGGTAAATGATTTAACTTCTATGGACCTCAGTTTTCTCTTTTGCTGTTCTATTGGGAATATAGAAATAGCTCGTCAACATCTTAATTTGCATTTTCCTAATGGCTAGTGATGTTGAACATCTTTTCATAGACTTATGTGTCATCTATAAATCCTCTTTGATAAAATGTTCATTTTATAGCCCATTTTCCTATCAGATTGTTTTTTCTTTTACTGTTGAGTTTTAAGGGCTCTTTATATATTCTAAATAAGAGTCAGACATGCGGTTTACAAATATTTTCTCACGATCTGTAACTTATCTTTTGATTCTCTTAACAGGGTCTCCTGCAAAGCAAACGTTTTAATTTTGATAACGCTCAACTTATCAATTATTTTTTCATTTATGGATTGTGCTTTTGGTGTCATGTTGAAGAACTCTTCAAGCCCCATGTCCCACAGATTTTTTCCCATGTTCTAAACATTTTATAGTTTTATTTTGCTTTTAAATCTGATTCATTTTGGGTTATTTGTTTAAGCAGTGAGGTTTTTTGTCTAGATTGGTTTGCTCATTATTGCTGAAAAAAAAAAAAGACTGTGGAGGACAGAGAGCTTTATTTTCTTAAAAAATGTCTGCAGACTGGGGAGGCACAGCTTTCAATACAAGTGAAAATGTGCTCGCCTAAGAACAAAGGGAGGGTCTGGCTTAAACAGGGAAAGTTTCTCACCCCGATTCTCAATCAGGTCCACGTATGCAAATGAAAGATTTAAACTTGTGCCAGTCTGATTGGGTGGCTTCCAAGCCCCAAACTAGAAGTCTTTGTAAGATAGTTCTTCGGCCGGGTGGTGGGGAGAGGGTGTTTCTGGCCACAGTTTATCTAGGCACCATCAGAAACTGGTTTGGCTTGATCATACAAAGGGAGGCCCTGTGACACTTTTGCAACACCTTTCTGAGAATACTGACTATATGACCACCACCCCCTCACGCAGCCATGGCAGACTGGTTCTGTTTTAACTTTCAGCACCTCTGTTGGTTACAGAGAATCTGTTTTATCTGTTGGCCAGGAACCTACCTAACTCTAATATGGACTCATGGATTCTTATTTTATTCAATTGCTGTTATTATTCATTTTGTGTACACCTTTAATCCAGAAATTCTCCTTCTAAGACTTTTCCCAAAGGTAATAATTAGTATCCCATCACTACTTTTTTTTTTCTCTAAAAGTGCCTTGGCTACTCATACCTCTCTATTCTTACACATAATCTTTAAAATATTCTATTTTACTTTGTTAAGACATGATTTACATAGCACAAAATTCATCAGTTTTAAGCGTACAATTCAATGGACTTTGGTGTATTTAAAGACTTGTGTAACCATCATCATGGTTTCATTTCAGAACATTTTCATCACTCCCCTCACCAAAAAAAAAAAATGGGGAAGAACCTTTTGTGTGCACTTGCAGTCACTCCTCAATCCCACTCCAACCCCTGGGCAACTACTAATCTAGTTCTATCACTCTAGATTTGCCTTTTCTAGACTTTCACTACAAATGGAGTGATACATTCCAATATGTAGTTTTTTGTGTCTGGTTTATTTCACTGAGCATAATGCTTTTGAAATCATCCATGTTGTGGCAAGTAATTGTATTCCATTTCTTTTTATTGTTGAGTAATATTCCATTGCATGGATATGTCACATTTTGAGGATCCATTCACTAGCTGATGGGTATTTGCATTGGTTCTACTTTTTAAGCTACCATGAATAATGCTGTTATGAATATTCACCTACAAGTTTTATGTGAAAATTTGTCTTCATGTCTCTTGAGTAGATCCCTAGAGTAATGTTGATAAGTTAAAAAGACAAATCCAGTCGGATGTTGATTGGAATTGCATTAAACAAAAGGAATGATTGACATATTTATAATATTGGTTTTCTATTCAGAAATAAGGCATTTTCCTGTACTTATTCAACAGTTAAAACCTCCTTCTAGTTCTTCTTACTTATATAGGCTACTTGATTAACAGGTTGCTCTCTAATAATTTTAATGCATTTTTGGAGACTCCCCTTTGCCCACCAATCTGTTCACTGTCCAGTACATGGAAGGAGTGCAATAGATATTGGCCAGTCACTTTCCTTGGTGTGAAGGATGCAGCAGTGAAAAAGATGACGTAGCTGCTCTTATTGAGCTTACTTTCTAGCTGACTAAAGGAAGAATTTGCCTGAAATCTTAAAATAGGTGAAGAGTGCTGAAGCAGTGGAAGTAGTTAGTGAATGAGAATGAGAAATGGTGGAATTCTAGGTTCTAGGTAGGGGCCAGGGCCATCTTTTCAATCTAGAATGTCTCTGAGATACAAATCACTCACATTTTTTTAGACTAGCATGCAACTAAGGTTTTGTCCGGCTCTTCAAGCACACAGTACTAGGAAGATCTATGACAAAGATCTATGTAGTCTTTGCTAATTGTAGGACAGGAGGGAAGATGGGTGAGCCACACTCTCAGAAATAAAGTTAACTGCAATAAAGCCAATGTGACTTCTATTTACAACCTCATCAGTTGGTAAGATCTTGTAATCCCTGTAATTCCTCAGGTGTATTACTTACATTATGCAAGCTACTGGCTCATGAGATTGACAGCAAAACTCTAAAAAATGTTATTGCATTTAGTTGGAGGATATGAGAAAAGTGGTAGCCTAGCCAGGAAAATGCCCACAGGTGAGAGTAGAAGCTAGCAGAGTTCCTAGAAGATGAAAAGGAACACCCAGAGAGGCTGCGTAGATGAACAGTGGGGTCTCGCATGGGAAGAAGTGCTTCCTCCAGAGGCACAGGGTTGATAACCCTTCTGCCTGAGAATCCTACCAAGAGTGGGGGCTGCAGGAAGAAGAGCCTCCAAAGCCTCCTAGAGAGTTTTGCAAACAGCTAGTCCATCATGATCAGCCTCACACAGAGATACTGTGTTGAAAAAGTTAGGTAATCTATCGAATGAACAGTAATGATAAAATGCTGAAGACAGAAGTACAATAGAAGTGTTTGAACTAGATGTAAGCATATCACCTGGATTAGGTAGAGAAATATTTCATAGAATGTTTCTTTAAAAATAGACTCAAAGTGGGTTAACCTCTTTCTCTGTCTTGAAACAATACAGGGCCCTAGGTACTTGTCCCTCTGTGGATAATGAGATCTTGAATACAGATAACTAGAAGATGAATTCCCCTGGTGATCCTGAGCTTCTGCGGGTTCACTAACGATCAGGAGAAGGGAGTAAACAGAACCCTAACAAATGGTGAGACAAAACGAAGAAGGTGTCATAGACACTGGAAGGATAGAGAAATGATAGCAAAGCGTTTGTTTTCCTTGGATGAAGAAAATGCACTAGGATAAACTAAGTGACACTCAGCTAGGAAAAAAATGCCAGCTAATATCTCTGGGGTATTGTCTAGAGAAACAAGGTAGTTAATGAGCTAAATAAACCTGAACAGCCATGTTGCTGAAAGAAGGTAGAAAGAGCAGTGAATAAGAAAGCAGGTAGGTGTTTGCAGTGTGATTGCAAAGGTCAATATGTTAAGTGGCAAAACCAAAAATAATGGCCGAAGACAGAGATTCTTAGTACCTAACCATTCAATAGCTAAGACCATGTTTTTTAAAATTATATTCTTTGAGAAATACTGGTTTTCCATAACTAGGTCAAGATGTCCCATGGCTCAAATAGAATGAGTGTGTTCTTTTCCAATTTTTAGGAGAAATAATGTTATCAGACAAAGGTTCATAGCTTTAAGGTTTTCTTCTATAAGTATTCCTTACATATTTGATGTCTACTATATTTCTATGTAAGAATCGAATGTCAGATGGTTTCGTGATAGATACAATCAAAATCGTATGTGAATTTATTTTAAGTTTGATATTTCATAATATTCCAAGAAGCACTCTGAGATTTTCAAATGTCCCACCTCCTGAAGAGATTTGCGAATCGCAACTCCAACTGGGGACAAAGTACAAACCCAAACCAGTAGCTTCTGTGTGTTGTGGGAATTGTAATTTTACCATGTTTTGTATAAACCAATGTTTCTGGTTGCACAAGAGAAGCAGAAAAAGTGGGCTAATGAGCGTTACCTGAAGGACCTATCCCGAGTTTCCACAGCTTTAAGTGAGAATATGAGGGCTCAGAGAACAGGAAGGAATCTTAAAAGCCATCTAGTACTTTTTTAAACTACATCATTTGATACCAACTATTCAACATTATGCACCATTTAAATAGTGCATTAATATGTATTGGGTCCAACAGGTTATGCAATATGCCCTTGAGATTTTCATGGCTGAAAAAGCAACGAAGGAATGAAATTATCTAGTTTGACTTTCTGCATCTTTTAAATAAATAGGACATTTCAAGTCTCCTCCTCACCTATGAGGTGAAGAGATCATCCAGGGAAAAGATTCAATACTTTGACATAGTTTAGAACCTGTCTTGCTTAGAGACAGAAACTAGCTGACATTTTGATATCTCCGCAGGCCAATAGAGACAGGAACAGAAAATCGGAGCACTAGCTCCATTGATGAAATCCTGTAGTCTCGTAACTTCCTCAGAGGTGAGCAGCATGGCCCCCTGACCCCAGTCCAACTGGGATTCCTCACCTCACCTTCCGCTGCGATAGGCTGCAGGGCAATTCCTTTACTGCTTACAAAACGAAGCTGCAGAAATTCTGAGTTCCCACATTTCTAGAATAAGCCATTAAACCTATCTGCGTTCTGATGAGTAAGCTCGAGGTAACTGCTGTAAATTACGATCTTTTCTCATTCTCCTCCCTTGGGTTGCGGATTCTTAGCCTTGATCATACACATATTTATCTCTGTAAATGGAAAAAACATTTCTTAACCCCTCCCTGCTCCGAAAAAAGTGGAGCTATAACACTGATTGGTATCAAATTTCTAGAAAGTATAATCTTTCTATCATTGCATTAATATTAATGTCATCAAAAGTCAGAAGCTGTAAGTGATTGGGAGGAATTTGGAGGAAATCTGTGACACAGCCTCTTTGTAAGGTGAATATACTAAGTTCTTACACAATTTGCTGTAAATACTTACCTCTCTCTCTCCCTCTCTCTGTAAATTTTTCAGTAATCAAGCCCTGATCCTTGTGGGGCATGGCTTTGGAAAATAATGAAATTCAGAAATATTTTGAAATATTATCTCTGATTTTTCTGCATATCATTTTCCAATACACCATACCATTATTTTGCCTCTATAGAAAGCTATGTAATCACTTTGCTTTGCCTGTCAAGAAGTGATGTTGGCATCTTTCTCACTAGAAAAGAAATATTTGTGATGCTTTTCTGATGTATTGATACTTTAATCTTCTTTAGTGTAAAGAAGCCAGCTCAGATTGTAAGAGTTTATCTTCTTTAGTATGAAGAAGCCAGCTCAGTTTGTAAGATTTTATAGAAATTCAGGACTAAATTTAGTGTGAAAAATGTTGTGTGCATTTTTCCTTCTGAGAATATACACATATATGTGTGTGTGTGTGTGTGTGTGTATGTATACACACATACTATTTATTACTTTAGTGCATTTTAATCATTTAACATATCTTTTATGGTTGGGATAAGATCATAAGAGTTTCATTGGATAAAAACACATCATCAGTGTTGATTTATTGGTTTTATATATTAGACATATATATGCTTTGTGATGATAATTTGAGGGAGGCAGTTTTCACTTTCACTATGACTCTGTATTTACACCCCTAAAGAATATAAATGTCTTACAGATGTTGCCATGGGGTCATCTGAAAGTTGTGTGCAAAAAGAAGGGTTGGCACTGCTTCAAATGTGAAATTTCATGCCACAGTGTGACCCTTTGCTCCCTTACACGTTGAGTTACATGTTTAATAACTCAGTAGTGGAGATTTCCAAACACTGTGGAGATACTAGAGGCCGCCCCTGATTCCTAAATGGTGGGACTCACAGGATGCTCCAATGGCATGGGTCTGAGATTTAAGGAAACCTAAGCCTATTGCAAAACACAATTGCTCTCGGAGGGTGAGGCTCAGAAGATAAGGAGGTGAGAGAGTGGAGACCAGGAAGCCACTGCCGCCTGGCTGGGACTCATTCAGAACTACAAAGCATTCTGGGGAACCATCGTGTATCTTTCAGATCTGACCCAAACTTCATAGGTAGCACTTGACCTTGACTGCATCTCCAGTACCCAGCACAGTGCCCAATAGGGAATGGCCACTCTGTAACTATTCACCATCATCATCACACCACCATTAACGTCTAAATAATACTTTACAGGCCTCATCGCCCATACCCCAAGCAACATCTGTAGTGGCAGCTCCATGATTTCTGTATGGAATAGGCTTAGGGACAGTGATATATACCTAGCCAGTACTCATCTTTTTCTTCCATCTATTCACTTGGTGGGGCCCTGGAGGGACAGTGGAGATGAGGCAGGACCAGACTTCCCCTTCTCCACAAATAACTGATGCTGCCACTGCCACTGATGATCTCATTTCTTCCTCACAACTACCCTGAAAAAGAGTTACAAGTCACCCTCGTAGACAATACAACTATATGCAGAGACTTAAGTGACCTGCTCAAGGTCATATGACTGGAAGGGGCTTAATTACTCGGGTACAAATGGTCTAAATCCAAAGAGTAATCCCAAAGTAAATTCGATCTCCCGGAAAGCTGAATTAAGGCCCCAAATTCACCAAGTCTGTTTCCTAAACAGATGCATAGATCTGAAAAAGCCACCAAATTTTAACTTTCCTCTTCTACTCTAGCTAAAAAAAACATGCTGCTGCCCTACGTAAGAAACATACATTTAGCCACAGGTGTCACAGACCTCCAGGTTCACTATTTGAAATACATATTTAAAAGCAAAATATTCTCTTTCTTACACACACACACACCCTCCACAAGCCTAGGATGGTAAAGATGGGGATCATTTAAATTCTGTTACCCTATCCCTAAAATGAGAAAATTGGAATACAGCAGTGGTTCTTGAGGTTTAACATGCATGCAAATCACCTGAGCATCTTGTGAAAATGAAGATTTGGAATCATCAGGTTTGCAATGGACCCCAAGATTCTATACTGCTAACCACCTCCCAGGTGGCACTGATGCTGCTGGTTCTTGGATTATAATTTGAGCATTAAGTACCTTAAGGCCCCTTCCCACTCTACGTTTCTTACCATCTCTGTCAATGGCACACTTAGCTGCCTGCTACCTAGGCCATCATGTCTTCCCTGCCACCTTGTGTGGCCCTGTACACCAATCAAAGAAGTTATGCCCCACCCTATCCCTTTCCTCCACTCACCCAAATCCATGCCAGGTCAAGCCGGGGGGGATCCAGACTCATGAAGTATTCCCTAACTAATTGTCTCCCTCAATGATCTTTTTCTTCTTTTTTGCCTAAGGTGTACTGATGAATCTAATTAGATTATATGATAATAACACCGTGTCCTTTATTATTTTTTCCCCAGGAATACTTTCAAGTGATCGACTCCTTTTCAGCTTTCAGTTCTCAGTGGAATGACACTTCTTGGAGAAGCCTTCCCTGAATTCCCAATCTAAATTGTTCTCTCTTGCTGCCCGTGTGACCAGTCACAGCAACCTCTTTTAATTTCTTCGTACCGCTCACCAAGATTTGAAATTTTCTCACTTGTTTATTTACTTGTTTTTTATCTCAAACTCCCACCACTGAGAGTGACTGTGTTTGCACAGATCACCACTACTTTATCCCTACTGCCTAGAACGATAACGATAACACAATAGACACTCAGTAAATATTTGTTGAGTGAATGATGCAAGAATCATAGGGTGGGGTACACAGAGGTGCTTAAGAAAATCCTTACTGGATGAATCAGAGCTCTGCCACCCAAGTAGCAATCCAGGAATTGCTACTTGGAATTCTTGGGTTTCTTTCTTTACGTTTGAAAACTAGTTCTTTATCTGTGTGTATCCTTTTTCCTGCGGTGTATACACAGCAGCTCATATCACAATTAATTTTGAAAGCAGATCAGACATGTGAGCAATTAGCTCTCAGTAGGACAAGTCATCTCTCCATGCGCTTGTAGATTATACAAAATGATATGAATGACATTAGTGTGGACATTTAGGATATGTTTTGGGAACACAGGGCACATTCAGCTGTGGGTCTCATCTTGGCTGCTCCATTGATGGAGCCCTCCCTGCAAAGTTTTTTCCAGGCTCAGCTTTGATCTGCTTTCAGGCCTGCCAACAAACTCTAGTTTCTCATCTCAGACCTCAATTATTTCGTAAGAATCGCACAGAATCCAGCTTTGATGGTGTACATGAAAAATGGTAGAAAATTCAGGCTATTGGGGAAAACTGAATGTATAAAAATGAACCCCACTTATTAGAGACACCACCCCTGATAGGTCTGTCACTGAGAAAGACAAATGAATGGGGCTGAAGACAGAGATAGAAGCTGTCATTGCTACATGCTATTGACCTGGAACGGAGGCAGCAGAATCTGCCTGATGTGTTCTAAGGAAGGCTCTTTAGATCTTGCACCATTTCTTTTTTCCACTGTTTCTGTGGTGGAAGTGTTTGGGCTTGAACTTCTTTGATTCCTCTCAGAAATACAAGAAATGAGCTTGATCTTGATCTTGACACTAGCATGAGTTTATCCTTGGTTTCAAAGCTGAAGTTCTTGAAAGTGAGTTGAGCTCTATCTCTTCAGAAGTTCATTTGTGGGACCCTGGGGACTGCATGCAGGAGCAACTGCCTGTCCCTCTAGCATGGCAGTGTTCCATAGGAAAGGGCTAGAAACACAAACCATGCAACCTCTAACTATGAGAAACCCCAAGGCTAAGCCCAGCCCAGCTTGGAAACACTATCCTCAGGCTTTGAAGTTCTGTTGTTCCATCCAGGCTTTGCTTGTTTTTTTTTTTTCTGCTTATTCTCTTCTAAAATAAATTTAATGTTGCATTTCATGTTTTCTGTCTTATCGGGCTCTTTTGTCCTTTGCATGTTCCATGAGAAAATTGAGAGGCTATCAGGTACACTGTGGTGGGGCTGCAAATAACATATAGGATGCCTAGTTAAATCCGAATTTTAGGTAAACAACAAAGAGTTTTTTAGTGGAAGTATATCCCACGCAATAGTTTTATTTGCTAAATCTAGTGACTCTAGTTGTATGCTTATTGTTTTATTTTGTCATGCTTTTTTGTCATTTTGTTTTTTATTGGCAGAGGTATGAAAAGGGTAAGGAAGGAATGAAGAGAAGGAGTTATTTTGTATCCTGTTTTTGATCTGGGGTTGACCGTTTCTGTCTTCTTATATAGAGATGTCATACCAAGGTTTGAAGGTCCTTTCTATGAAATCTTCCAACTTCTGGTCTGAAGAATGTCTCTTGGTTGTGTTTTTGCAAATTTCTAATTTGACTACAGTGTGTCATGAGTTTGAAATCTGAGTTATTGAGCAAATTGAAATTAAAGGGTCCCGGTTAATTGCAAAATGAGCAAAGTTGCAATGGAGAAAAGTGTTTTCATTCTCATATGGAGCAAGCTTTCTGGAGTGGCATTGGACCTATGTCATCTGGGTAGGGGTAGTTCAATCACAGCAGCTGATCCTGTAAGCCTACTTCAGAGATAATAAGTACAGATACAGTTCCATGTGGATCCCAGAAAATATGAATGGAACAGGAGAGTGAGGGTATCAAGCTGGGAGATGTTAGGACCAATAAGGTGATAGCTAAGTTTAATGAGTGCTTACTACGTGCTAAGCATTAGCCTACACTGACTACACTCTTTTAATCTTTACTACAATGCTATGAATAAGGTATCAGTGTCATTATCCCCATTACAGATGGGGAAATTGAGGCAGACAAGATTAAGTAATTTAGTTAGTGGAGGAGATAAACTGGCTCCAGAACTCACAACACTAAACTACTTATTTCTGCAGCCTGCACTATCTGTGAGAGAAAGGTGTGTGCAGAGGCAGGAGGTGCTGAGCTGTTGGTATAAGCAGACTTCCCTTCTCTGGCACACTCCTGGAGACCAAGAAGGTCCTGTGTGTGCCCATGACGCTGTCTTCCCCTACGCAGCCCTGGGAGCACAGGCAGGCGAGTCAAGCACACCAGGCTAGGTTGGTGAAATGATCCAGGAAGTAAATGAGTTGTGAATAAATTATGAGACTGAATAAATTATATAAGGATTTTTTTTTAAGATAGAGCAAATGAAAGGTTGCAGGTCAGAATTTAATCCAACTAAACTAAGCTAATCTTCATCCTCTTCTCTTACTTTCCCAGGGCCTTCATTATGTTCCCTGCTACAAGGTCAGAAGGCTGTGCTGAGCTCCAAAATCTGGAGACACTAGTGAATTATTAAGACTAGGTAGTTGTAGCCTTTCAGTCCTTAGCACGGTGAAAGTGGGGTCCCACAGTCTCGGAAATCATCCAAACTGAAATGGCCAGGGAGATTAGAAGGAAAATAACGCCAGAAGGGCCAAGAGTATCCTTGTTCCTTTAAAAATAACTCTAATAACTTGAAAGCCCCTGGGAATGTATGTTGATTCTGTATTACAGAGGGGATAACGGACTCCGCTGGAAACAGATGTGATCTGCTTGATTTCCTCTGATACCATGAGCTGAAAACAAAGAAAACTACTGAACGTGATAACATTCAGGTTAAACAGTTCAAAGTTCCAAAAAGCGCAGTTTGGAAGGAAGCCTTTGAGTAATAAGCCATAAATTTTGTTGCAATCATCAACATAAGACAAAACTAGCTATGTCCCAAGGCCCTTTGTCTAGAAAAGAATTCTTTTCTTCTCCAAATCCCTCAAATGAGTTTTAAATGTGCAAATGATGGCTATAATTTACACAGAAACTTGAAACTATTAGCAGTTTAATCCACCTAAAATCCTAATGAAGTTCTGCAGTATTATTCCTGTTTGTACAGCCCAGCAAACAGAGCACAGGAACTGCCGCCCATAGACTCTGGCAGCTAGCTGTGCAATGAAATGAGACTGTAGGCCCAATCTTTGTAAAAAATACCAGATTATTATTGGGATTCAGGAGATCTGGAAGTTCAGAGCCAAAAAGGCTTTAGAAAACGACAACTAGATCTTATTATTTTTCCTTTGCAGTGATTTCTCTAAAAGGAAACAACCCAATGTGGGATTTAAAACTTTCCCTTCATTATGGTTTGTTTTCTAATAGCCTGAATCTGAGCATGAATAGGTAGGGGGAAGGCGGTGGGTTCCGGACACCCTGATCATCATTCAGATTCGTTATTTGCTTGAAAAGGGTGACAGAGGCCACCTTTCCAACAGGTGAATGCAGGGTTGCCTTTTAGAAAACACTTCTGCTTCGTTCCCTCCTGTCCCCCACCGTCTCTATCCCCATCTCTTAGATCACTGTTCACATTTATATCATTGAACTTGTAAATTGGTTGTCTTTATTGTTCTTTTTGAAAAGTGTCTGCTCTAGATTTAAGCACAAGTGAATGCTGTGTATGTGGGGAACAATCTTGTAACAGGAGCTGCGGGCAGCAGAGCCCTCCTGTGTGGGTTTTGTGGACCCCTAAGCAGCAAAACTCAGAATATATAACACCCACCACCACCAAAATATTTATCTGGATCCAAAATTTCAGACAGCACTTGCTTCATCTGCTCTTCTGTTCCTTTCTTCCTGAATCCTGGCTGCCTCATTTCAATAGATAAATGAAATCTTTCTCACTTTCTCAATACTCTTTGGGGAAATTCCACTTTGAAATTCTCTTTTCCCTGTCATTTTTACTTTACAGTTGAGAAGACAGGGATGAACTAGGAAACAGGATCTCGATCTCTTTCTCTCTCTCTCTCGCCTTCTCTCTTTTTTAAATGACGTAGGGAGTTTGGACATCCTCCCTACCCCCACCTCCCCTCTCTGATTCCAACCCTGATTCCTGATTCCTGGAGAATTATAGTTTTCCTTTTAATGCTTGCTGATTACCGCACCGGGGAGGAGCAGGAGGGGCTGCCCAAGGAAGAGCCCCGGAGCCCATTCTGATCTCCGAGGAGCCCCAGCTGCCGGGTCCCGGTCAGGCTGGTCACAAAGCCCGGCGGGGCTGGAGCGCGAGCGCATCTGGCAGAGGCTTCCAAGCGTCCCGCGGTGCGCCCGTCCCGGCGGGGGCGGCTCCACTCCGCCCGGGCCCGAGTTCGCTGGGGGACAACTTACTGTGCTTGCCGAGCGTCCACACTGCAAACTCCCAAGCGGGAGGGGGAAGAGAGCCCAGGCTGCGCCGTGCCGAGGAGTAGAGGCAACAAAAGACCGAGGCACGAGGGGAGGGAGGCAGGCACGGAGGGACCGCGGACTCTGGCCCCTAGCTCCCCGAGAGCGCCCCTCGGATGCTGCTGGGGAGACCCTCCGGGCCTCTCTTTGGGGCCTCTGGGGCCCGCGGCTCAGACAGGTAGTTGGAGGAAAGAAGAACAAAGCTGCCCGCGGAGGCAGGCGGCGGTCTCGGGGCGCCCCGGGGCGGGGAGAGCCGAGGCCGAGGAGGCACCCCGCGCCCCCTGCCCCGCGGCCCGAGCGCCCCGTGCCGGCTGCCTCCGCCGCCTCCCCTCACGCCTCCTCCTCCCCGAGGAATCGGCGCTTCCGAAGGGACGGGCGGCGGGCGGCGGAGGACGCGGGGGAGCGGGGAAGGCCGGCGGCGTGGGGGGGGGCGCCGGAGGAGGGGGTGGGGCGGGGGGCGGGGGCGGGGGCGCCCCCCGACTCCGCCGAGCCGGGCGGGCCCCGACCGCCACCCTGCCGCAATTTCCCTGTGTCATGGCTCCGGTCTCTTAGCAACAGCCGCCAGTCCGGCCGCCCCGAGCCGCCGCCGCGGGCTCAACTCCACCCGGCGGAGCCCGGCGCGCCGCAGCCACACAAAAGAGGCGCGAGGGCCGGCGGCGCGGCCGCAGGGGCCCGCCCGGGAGCGCCGCGCTAGGGGACGCCGGGAGCTGGAGGATGAGCGGCGGAGAGGAGGGCTCCGAGGCGGGATGCGGGATGCGGGATGCGGAGGACCTGACACTTCTTGGAAACTCTTGGAAATGGCTCCCGCCACAGCGCCGGCGGGGACTGCGAGCCTGGGGCGGGCGCTCGCCCCCGCGGGGCTGCTGAGTCGCGCTCGGATGCGGGGCCCCGGGGCGCTGTCCCTGCGCTCCGCCGTCGGCTCGGGCTGAAAAAGTTTCTCCATGGTTCCTTTGTGTCGCCCGAGCGCCCGTTCGCCGGCCCCGACCTCCCTCGGTCTCCCTGGGTAAGTGAGCGATCTTGCGTGCGGAGAGTGCTGCCATTTTGAGCAATTCTGCCAGTCCCCAGCCCTTGGGGGCCCCTCCCCGCCCCTCGGGTCCCCGAGTCCCCGCGCCCCGGGCTGGTGTTCGGTGAGAGGCTTTTTCCCGGGCTGGCTACACGGGATGCGCTGCCCAGAAAAAGCTAGTTCAGGATTGCCCTCACTTGGCTCCTGCCTGTCTTCTTTCCAGAGGCGGACTCCCAGCTGCTGCACTCATGTGACTCCAGCTAACATCAATAAGCAGACCAAAGCCAGGGGCCAGGGGGTCGCCGCCCTGCCAGTGAGGGGCCGGGGTCGAGGACCTGGGTTGGGTACCGGGCACAGCACAGCGCTCCCAGCCTGTGGGATCCGAGCCTCCGAGCCTCAGAGTGGGGCTTAATCCATCTTGAGCGGAGAACTTGAATGTCTCTCTTGGAAGCAGTTGTATTTTTAGACATCCCTCCTTTGCTTCCCCCATCCTCCATTCTTTAACCACGGTAAGACCAGCTCCAGGCAGTAAATTGCGAGGGCAGCCAAGCTTGACTGCTAAGTTTGTTTTCTTTCATTAGGTATAAAGGAAAACCTCAAAGGTGGGTCTCCCGTGGCATCTGACCTTTGTCTGTATTTCGTGTCAGATGATGATACATTAAAAGGGAGTACAGCCTTCAACAGAGCTGAAGGAATAATAAACGAGGGAGTTAATTACTAGCTATTAAACTCATTTTAAAGATGTGCGGTAAAGGACTGTTGAAATCCATTCCAACCTTCCTTACATTCTACCGGAGCCAAAGCTGCCTTGCTGAGGAGAAATCCAAGTGGGTTTCCTCCTCCCCCAAGGCATCCAGCCTCCCGGCGCACCTGATCAATGCCCAACAAAACATGTAGCCTTTCTGCGGTGGGAGAGCCACCCTGCCAACTGAGTCTGAGTTCGCTTCTAAAAAATGTCTGGTCCTTAAAGCCTTCTTAAGATAACCACGGATCTCCAGATTATTTAAGATGCTGGACTCCAAGGATCACTTAAAACAACAGTCTCTATGTTACAACCACATAATAAATGTGCTTACTTATTTGGGATTAGAGATAGACAGTAAGCTCTTTTTTTTGTTTGTTTCAATCTGTACTTACTGGTGCAGCTTAAAGGTTTATAGATGTATTCTCTATACTGACCCCTCTCTTATCTACCTGGTGCTTCTCTTTACTGAAACCCAGCTAAGTCCCAAAGAGATATTGATTTGCAAATATTGCAAAGAGCTGATTACCATTTACATTCCCACTGATGGAGAAAAGATCCTGCCTATATTGATATAATGGAGGAACTCAAGGGCCAAAGCCTTTCACCCAATCACCAATTAAAAGCAAAATTCTACCTACCACACATTTTCAAGGGGGAATTTATTCTAAAACATGAATTATCTGATAAAGGATAGAAGAGCAAAAGGCTTGGGCGTGATATCTAAGTCTTTCAGTTCATACAATGTCCTTGATTTTAGCATCTCATAGGAGGGAAAACAACTAATGGGACAGAAAATGTTCTACTCTGGAGATACAGCAAGACTGTAATTTTTAGAGGCTGCCGAATAACTACAAATATGCATTTGTGAATTTTCCTACCCAGGCTTTTACAAACAACTAAATAAACTTCCTAAGAGTAGTCCATTGATTGTTGCCACCCTCCCTTCCTAAAAATGACCTCATGAGAAAGGGATAAGGGGGAAAAACAAAACAAAACAAAACAGTTTTGGCTTGGGGGAAATGTCATTCTACAAATCATCATATTATGTAGACTGCTTTACCTAGTTAGTTGCCTACTCATTTGAATACTGGGACTCTGTAGCATGCTCTTGGCACCTTAATAAGGGGTCAGAAAGCTATTATGGCAGAGTGTTAGTTTTTTTAATTGTAATTTTCCCATATGAGAAAAAGATCTTTCTCTTGGAGATTCCAGGGGACTTCTCAAATTCCCTGATGAAATCTGACACATGATACCTTTAAGGGAGTTCCTCTGAGGGAGGAAAGAAGGCCAGAAGGAAGAGCTCAGTTACATAAGCAGTTACCTAAAACTAAATATTCCACCCCAAGAAGCTGTCCAGATGTTGCTGAGAGGAGAGAAGAAGGCTGTGCAAGGGATCTGCCTGCACATAGCTGTAGGAACAGGCATAGGTGGGAGACAACTTTGTGAAGGGATTTATTGTCAGAGTATTGCAATATCTCTGCTGCTTCCCCAGTGGTGAACTCTCTATTAATTATCTGAAGTAAATAAACCGCCTGCCTGCCATTATATGACCTTTGATTTTCATCCAGTGAAATAAATTCCTTTGTCTTTATACAGTAGTAACTTTCCTGACTGTTTTAGTGACTTTGGGCCACACATTGACAGATTCCCCAGCTTAGAGAGACTTGAAACTCCTGTGACAGCTCCCTTGAAAAATCTTCCAATTCCTGAAGGACTGAGGGAAAGAATCTTGACAGGGAGGTCCTTAACCACTACTTTGAGTCCCTACATTTAGGTTTTACTAATGGTTGGAACTCCATTGTTCATTTCAAACCCTCATATTACCATGGAGTGTGTGGAGGAGATGGGTGGGGAGCGAGGAGAAGAAGGCATATTCTCAGATGGTTTTATCACCACATATTAGTTATTGCAATGTTTTATAACCACCTATTAGTTGTTGCAACAACGTTTCCCTTCCCTAGTGTCTACCTGGCTCCAGCCTCTGTACACGGCCTTGTTTCAGTTAGTGGATAAAGGCCCTGGGGTGGGGGGCACACACGGAGTGGGATCTGGGAGTAGGGCAGCTGCAGCGTGAGATGTCACTGCAGCCAAGCTGACACCCTCTGACTGTCTTCCTCTGCTTTGCAGCAGGAGGAGGTGGCTGAGCAGCTAGTGGGCAGTTGGCGCCCTCCCTGTGCAAGCCTCCATCCCAGAGGCTAGTCCTGCACTCCAGGAGCTCGCCATGATCGCCACCGGCGGCCTGCTAAGGATTTCCGCCAGAAAGCAGGATCCACTCCGCCCCCCAAGCCAGATACCCAAGCGCAAGCGGAAAGCCAAGAAGAGGCGCAAGAACGACGTGGTGGTGGTGAAAGGCAAGCTGAAGCTGTGCTCCATCTCAGGGCTCATCGCCCTCTGTGGGATCCTGGTGCTGCTGGTGGGCATAGCCATGGCGGTGGTGGGCTACTGGCCCAAGGCCACCGGGACCAATCGGGAGGGGGGTAAGCAGCTGCCGCCTGCGGGCAGCAGCCACCGGGTCCCAACCACGGCCAACAGCAGTAGCAGTGGCAGCAAAAACCGGTCCAGGAGCCACCCTAGGGCTCCAGGGGGTGTCAACTCCAGTTCCGCGGGCGCGCCCAGGAGCACGCCTCCAGCACGAGCCGCCTCCCCGTCCTCCTCCTCCACGTCCGTGGGCTTCTTCTTCCGCATCTTCTCTGGCTACCTGCACTCTGACAAGCTCAAGGTCTTCGGGCCCCTCATCATGGGCATCGGCATCTTCCTCTTCATCTGCGCAAACGCGGTCCTCCACGAGAACCGGGACAAGAAGACCAAAATCATCAACCTGCGGGACCTCTACTCCACCGTCATCGACGTGCACAGCCTCCGCGCCAAAGACCTGGCGGCCGCCGCGGCCGCCGCCGCGGCCGCCGCCGCCTCTTCGTCGTCGTCTGCCCCCGCCGCGGCGCCCCCCGGGGCCATACCGCTCAACGGCTTCCTCAGCTACGTGCAGTCGCGGGGCCTGGAGCTGAAGCCCGGGGGCTGCGGTGGCTCCGGGGACGCCTTCGGAGCGGCGGCGATGCTGGCCAAGGGCTCGTGGCCTCCTCACCCCGCGGCGCCGAGCGGCGGCCGCCCTCGGGGCGCCGCGTCCCCGCCGGACCTGGCCTCTTCCCCGCGCTGTCCGCGGGAGCCCCCGAGCCTGGCCGAGGCCGTGTACAGCGTCTACCGCGAGCGCTCGGGCGTGGCAGGCAGTCGCCGGGCCGCCGCTGCCACCGCCGCCGCAGCCGCTAGCAGCTGCAGCAGTCCGGCGCCCTGCAGCCCACCCGAGAGCTGGGGGCGCCAGAGCACGGCCAGCTCCTTCGTGGACTCCTCGCTGAGCGCCTTCGCGCTGCTGCCCTTGCAAGGGGGCCGCGATAGGGGCGGGGACGCGGAGGGCGCGAGCTGCAGCTGGCAGAGGCCTCCGGGGGAACGCGGCTCCCAGGAGATCCCGAGGGGCGAGCTCGACCTGAGCATGACCAACCTCCGCGGCGCAGAGGGCAGCATGCGCGGGGCGCGCCGGGAGCCGGAGGAGCCCGAGGGCGCGGTAGCGGCGCGCGCCGCCAGGGGGCAGGGCGGCCGCCTGCCCAGGACCGGCAGGTACGCGGCCTTGCGGCGCCGCAGCACCAGCGGGCTCCCGGACTACCGGGCGCCGCCGTCCCCCGAGCCCCCGCCCTCCCCGGGGAGTGCGGACCCGGACTCCAGCCCTCTGGCCAAGGCCGCCTCCCCCTCGCCACCCCTGCGGCTGGAGGGCTCGCCCCCCACCAGGCGGGACTCCGGGAGCTCCCAGTCGGATGACCCATCCAGCAGCAATAAGGGCTACACACCCCTGCGGGAGGCCGGCACCTCCACCGAGTCGGTCTTGGACGCAGTAGCTGGTCAAACGCGAGACTCTGCTGTGGCCGCCCCCGTTCTGGGTGCGGAGCAGAGCTCGCCGGAGGGTGCCAGCCAGGAGCCACCCACGGCCGAGCAACCTCAGCCGGTGCAGAGGCAGTTTACAAACAAGGAGAAACTCATCATGATTTCCAGGTCTCATGCCATAGGGGTAGAAGAAGAACTGGAAAGCACAGGCATTTAGAGAAAGGGGTGGGTTGGGGAGGAGGAAAGAGAAAATGGGAGAAACGCCCACTTGAATCAGTGCATTAACAGGTCCCTGTTTCTTTTGTGGACTGATCCGAGGACATCATTCAATATCCAAAGAGCTGCAGAATGTTATCCTTGAATTGCGTCCACAAGATTCCTGTAGATAACTCCAAGGATTTTTTTTTTTAAGCAAACTAGTCTTTTTATGTCCGATGGTGATTGTATGTTCAATGAAAACCAAATGTATTAAAAGGTCAGCAATCTAGTCCATTAGATAAAATCTTTTAATTTTCTTAGGATCAAAATAATATATTTTTGACAGTAACTGTGCACTTTACTCCGACTTTTTTTTTTAATCCCTCATTTCCCGACCCCTGTACTCTGCGCTGGTTTTGCCCACAGCTGCTTGCGAATGGCAGGCTTTTTTCTCCATTCCTTTGCGGAACATAGAAGAGTTTGTCTCAGTTCTCTTAGAATTGATGTTACTAACTGAAGTCAAAGCCAAAAGCATGAATAATTCAGGAACGAGCACTTTCCTTGCCCCACCCCACTGTGCTCACCCAATGCCCAAAAGCTTCTTCATTTTTAAACGGGTGTGTACGTTTTGCTACTAGGCTATGTGGTGGAGACTGGAGGGGACCAGGAACTAGATGGACTGTTACATTCCGAAATTTATATCAAGTACACCATGCTTTATTGAGTGTTATCACACCTGTATTGAAAATAGCATTAATATTTAAAATCTTTTTTAATAAAAGAAGTTTCCGAACAAACAGTTAAACATAATATTGCCTCATTTGCCTTGGAGCTAGCTCATCTGGTACCTCTGAAATATTTTGCTGTGACACTGCTACCAGGACTGTTGTGATCTTCCCCCAAAGTACTCAGCACCATTGTCGCATGTCCAGCGTATTTTTAAGCTTAAAATGTAGGGTAGTATTTAACATTTGGGAATTTCTCTTTCAAATAGAATGAAACGTTAAGTAAATAGTAATATGCCTATGATACTTCTCATTTACCTGCAAGTATTAATTTGCAGAGCACCAGGCTTAATATTCTCTTCCCATCCTCTTGGCTATCACTGATTATAAGTTAATGGTCTTGATCCATGGCCTACATAGACAAAAAGATAATGTTTTAATAATTTGGTAGATTGTTTACACTTGATGTCATTAAAAGTGAATTAGTTAATTTTCAAGACCAGGAGACAAGATGTCTTCATTTTGGTCTCCTTGGGCAAAGCGCTAGTCCTGTAGACAGAGTGCAGATTCCGAGCTGAGATTGGACCCAGCTGTTGGCATCTCCTAGCTGTGAGGCCTTGTACAAGTCACAAACTCTGAGTCTCAGTCATCTTTCTGTAAAATGAAGAGAACCAGACATATCTCATGGAGCTATGAGAGGAATAGAACAGGGTCAGGGTCAGAGGAGGGTTTATATGTGTGGAGTTTACCAGAACCCTTGGCCCACAGGATGTATTCAATAGATGGGGGTTATTGTAATTATTATTACCATTGTAATATATTGCTGAATGCATAGTGTAGAAGAATGGACCTTCCTTGAACTTGAGCTCAAGAAAGTCTAGTCTGAAATCTGGGATATCCACCTATTATCTGTATAACCTTAGACAAATCACTTAATCCCTCTGGGCCTCTGGTAGATGATATAATCTCTATGATCTTCAGCTCTAAAAGCCTTACTTAAATTCAGGCTCTTGTCCTGGATGTAATCATATCACATTTGTACCTACAACTTGGCAAAGAGTGAATATACGTCGTCAATTACCATTAGCTCAACATTCTGTAATACACTTTAAAAGGGCCTAATTTATTCTCAGATTGGATCTGCATTAAACCGGTAACTCACTTTAAGGCTGTAGATTAATATATTGGGCTCTTCTATAAAGCAAAAGTGAGTTTGCACTAAGGAGTGACATGCAAGTGTAATAAGACCTCAAGGTAGTGTTAAATTTCAACAGTCTCAATTGCTTTATCACACTTCCAAAGTAAATGTCAAACTTCCTTAGGTTTTCTTCTCCATTACCTTGGGTACTGGGTAATTTATATACTGAGATAGCGTGTTACTTCAAGGGGAAAACAGGTTCTGGTGTTCTACAATACTGTTTCCAGTCCTCGGAGAATGCACTGTAAATGTTACATTTATCAAATGCTAAGTGACATTTAGCAAATAATAAAGCTAATACCTCTTAGCTTAACTAAGGAGGGGTGGACAGAATACTGTTTATATCTCACAAACTTAGTTCCATATCAGATAATATCTAACTTAACCATTGAACAATTTAACTAGATTTTTTTTCTGAAGATAGACAAAGATGAGCTCAATTTTCCAAATCTTGGGAGGAGCCTGTGATTTCTTTAGACTTCAGAGGAAGTGTATAAGTGTAGTAATTCACAATCGTAACTTTCATAGGAGCAGAAATCTGCAATAATGCTAATTTTCACTCAGTACTTACTGTGGGTTCAGTACTATTGTAGGAGCTTGGTACACATGATCTCAGTGAATCCTCACAGCAACTCTATTGAAGTAGGATCATTCTTACCGCTGTTTTGCAGAGAAAGACACTGAGGTCAGAAAGATGGAATTGTTGTCCAGGGTTACACAGCTGGTAAATGGTGGATCCAGGATTTACACAGAGTTTGGAAGATTAGGTAGACCTGTCGGCAGATGCTGAGTTGAAATGGGCATTTCTGGAGACCATCAAAATACTTTATATATTCTTTATTTCCTGCCAGATCCCTTTCCAGACCATTCTTAGAGAAATGCAGAAAATTGTCAGAATGCACAGTCAGATAAAAAGCTGGAGTTCGTAAATCTTCAGACGGGCATGAACAAGTTTTTTTGTAAGTGACTTTTCAGGGGTTTTTGTACACAATAAATAAGAGTATTTGAAAGGGCCTTATAGATGATAGAATCCCCCCACCTTTAATTTATAAATGAGGTTTCTAAGATTTAGAAAGATGGAACAATTTATTCTGAGACAAACAGCAGTGGCAGGACTCGAATGTTAAATTAAAATAATTGCAACAATTGGTGTGATGGTATTTTTTCCCTGAATTTCTGTCATGTACCAGCTGGGTGACCATGGACAAGTTACATAGTCTCTCTGTGTCTCAATTTCCTTTTCCACACTATAGGAATAATAATGTCCCTATCTTACAGGACTGGAGTAAAGATTAAATGAACTAATATTTGTGTAAAGTGCTTATAATGGGCTTGGAACATAGAGAGTATTATACAAAGGTTTGTTCCTTTTATTTAAAATAGAATCAACTGCTAAACAATTACTTCATATGACCTTCCTTTTTATTAATAGAATAATTTTAGGCTTAAAAATCTAAAGTATAAGGCAACATAGCATAGTGGCTCAAAGTGTGACTTAGGGGGTTATATAACATTATAACTGGGTCTTCACATCTAGTAAATGGAGATAATAAATGGAATTTGGCACATAGAATTAATTATTTAAATGAGGACTAAATAAACTAATATAATTAAAGGACTTAGAACAACTCCTGGCACATAAAAATATTCAGTAAATGTTAACTACTATTATTAAGGCAAAATACAGAAAAGCAATTAGTAGGCTAAATTTACTACTCAGTAGTTAGGGACAACCATAAACTTAATGTACTAAAAAGTCTTTAAAATTTAGGTATATCAGAAAGAAAAGTTAGACCTTAAAACATGAGGGCTTATGCTGCTGCAATGCCTCCTGGTAGAACATAGAACTATCAAGAGCTAGACATATGCTCCTTATGGTCCCAGGATCATAATATTATATAACAATGAATGAACGCCCAAACTGGCACACTTGGCTATATTTAGCCACAATTATTGCATTTCCATTTATTGAGGCTAGCCGTATCAGAAAGGCCAGTGAAGTCCTTGAGGTCTCAGCCCCCTATTAGGCTTCAAGTAAAGATCAGGTGCTCTATTGAGTTATTTAAATTGTCTAGACAAAAGTTTTTTCTATATTAATTTTTTTCTTCAGTAATTTTGAGTTCTTTAAGATGCAGTTTTGATTTTTTTTTGAGCTAGAGAACTTAAGAAAAACCCTCTGACACATAAAATTAGTACAGACTAAGTATATGGACTTGTATTTGGATTAGGATAGTATTTTTGCCACGATATAAAAATACATTTTATAAATAAGATCTTCTTGTATTAAGGGTTGCAGTTTAAGATGGATATTTTTCTTACTTATAACAAAGAATAGGTTGATGTTTACGGAGTTTGTTTTCCATAAACCCAGACTATTTTAAAATTTTTATTGCTATTTGGAAGGGAGGAATAAAACTCATTGGGTGAATATTTAGACTAAATTTTTGAATGACTAACTCTGAAAAACAATCTAAGACACCCCACCCTACCCCAGGGAAGTTATCTTTGGGGTTTTTTCTTCAAAAAGGAATGAGATTCTTCTTTAAATTGATAAGAAAATTCAATGTTTTATCTATTAAGCCACCACCAGTTAAGGAGTCCAACTTTAGTCAAACTACCTGCAACTCTGCCAAGACCTGAGAAGCTCCTTACTTTCTGTATGCCATCCGTTCATCTATGACATCAGAAAAGCACTGTGCTAGTGCTGAGCCCACATGGGTGTGAACTACAGTAGGAGTTACAAATGCCAGCCATCCTAAGGACTTAGCCTTCATCCCAGAGCCAGAAGCATTTCAGGATTTCCACCACCTGGAAAGATATTGTTATTCCACTTGAAATGGGCTCTTAGCTGTTGCCCCTTTAATAATGCCAGCTATGACATGGACATGGGCTGATTCGTTAGTAAGATAACATACTGTCATTGCTGGTGAAAAGACCGAAAAAGATTATGCAGATTCTCCTGGAGTGTTACAAAGTATGGGCCTGTCTCAATAACCTGTGCTTTCTGATCCTACATTGTGACCAAGTCCCACGAAGGCTGACTGTCAATAACAAGGGAGGAAAATAGGCAGGCCCAGGGGTGGAAGAAAAAGAGCATCCTGCCGAAAGAAAAAAAAAGATAGGCCAGAATCACTAGGGAAGCTTTTTGTTTCATAAAGGAGCATTTGGTTACTCTTGTTTACAGATCATTTTGTATGTAAAGTGTCTTAAAAATTGCAATAACTTTTATTCCTTAGCAAATATTCTTTTTGCAAATGCATGGCTAGACATTAATTCATATATTTTTTAATATTTAAGAAATTCAACACAACATTGTATTATTGATGCAAACCCACTTGATACTAGTAAATGCTAAACACCTAATAATATTTAATAATTGAAAATAAATTTATGGGCAAATTTATGAACAATTTATTTTAAGTTGAGAAACTCCAGTATCTTTAAACTATGTCTATATGTCTAAAGAAAAAAAAATCTAAAAGTTATTAATGACTGATATAACTAGGTCAGTCGAAGCAAACCGGATCAGAAAATGACTTTGTCTCAGTGGAGGACTTTTGCTATTGTTTTATGTGGCTAATTGCCTTTTCACTCCCTTTTGTATAGACACAACCTAAAAAACACCTGATTTCACCTGTATAGTAAGCAGCTGTGTTTCAAGCTTCTGCCCTTTTGGTAAACTACACAAATTGCTTTCAGATGAGTTTCAGATATATTATACTCTGCCTATCATGAGTCAGATAGGCACTGTGGTAGGTAGAAAGGACAAAAATATCCTTTTTGTGTCTGTGAAAGACACAATTTCTGACCACAGAATCTTGTAATAGTATTGTTTCTGAGACAGGCACATAAACCATAATTTTACTATAATGTGAATATTACAAGAGAGTTATGATACAAATCTTCCAGCTGAGTCTTGAGAAATGAAGAAAATGTCAGATAGGTACAAAAAGCTGGGAAAGGTGTGTTGGCCAGTGGGGCCAGCATGAGCAAATGCAGAACACAAAACACAATTTAAAAAGCCAGATGTTCATAAGGTAATTGATATTTAATTATTACCTAGTATCTCCATAGCATAGAGGTGTTTATTTTGGAAAAAAACAACAAAAACAAAACAAACTATATATCTCTGATCTATAGATATAGATAAATAGATGTCTCCTTTATAAGTAGCAGAAGGATATTCGAAATTAAAATTACGATGGTTTGGCATTAAAATGCTCAAAATATATATACCTACATTCTATATTTAATGATTCATTTTTAACTGACCTTCACTAGCAGGGCTTCTTAACTGAGAAGTATCAGTACATAGAACTAACAAACTAAATTCTTATTGGACCTAAGCTATCTTTATGAGCAAGAATGATTTTTGCTGAATTATACATTGCTTTAAAATTACCATTAAATTTGAAATTTCAGATTCTGGAAATCATTTCCCTAGACGTGTGTATAAGGAGATAAAACTGAGAGGAGAATCTGTCACTTGGCAACACTGTTTGCATCATGGATCAAGTGTGTTGATCCATGTACCGTAAAGACTGGAGACAGCATAAACTTGGGGGTTGTTCTATCAAGCCACAGGTCATTTTTCAGAATCTACACATGATAACTGAATATATTTCTACAGATTTCTACATCAATTTTGCAGCAGCATTTATATCAGGAAACATAAATAATTTATCTTTGTTAATAATAAACATCCGTTTTTTTGTTCCTCACGTATGCGTTCATAGCAAAAGGAAAGGTTAAGACCCAGACATACTGTCGCAAATGTGTATGAGTATTGTTTGTGGACTGGCACCAAAAACACTATGCCTTTTGATTTTTAAACAGCCAGTCATTTTGAGATAGTCACTGAAAACAGATTTGGCCAGAATAGCAAAGTATAGATGCAGCTTAATACTTTGTTTATGCACAAAGCTGCAAACAAAAAGATACAGGCAAAAAACCTGCTTTTCAAAACAAATATTCTATTAAAGTAAAAAAAAAATAATTTTATTAACAAAAGTATAATTTTGTTAGTTTGAATTCCTCACATAATTACTTGATTTCTTCAAAATCTTTTTAGTGCATAAACACAGTCAAGGCAAACATATAAAATGTGTTTTCTAATCCATGAAAGTGAGAATTCTGCAAAACCACTTTGCATTATAGATAAAATTTAATAGATATCATCAGTTATGGTTTATTGTCAGAGCCACTAATAATTCTTCCATAAGGTTATATCTATTGGTAAGAAGATTAAAAATTGGAAATGCTGGTAGATAAAGTGCTGTGGTTAATATGTCATGGTAAATGATATCAGGAAGCACATAGAATTCTTGATAAAGAGCAAGAAAATTCAAAAGACTAATTTGGTGACCTAAATACTAATCCTTCTGCTTATGTAACCATTGCAGGTTAATGTGTTTGGAGCACTAAATACGACTTGAGTGCTTGCTCATTTGATTGTACAATTTATTCTCTTTGTATTTCTAGTTTTATTTCAGCTTCATGCCTGAGAACATCTCTTGATTTATTAATCTTGCTTGGGATTACTACTTTAAAAAATTGAATGCATTTATAGTGATAGTAATAGTAATAATAATAATAGTCTTAAAAAAGACCGAAAAGTAATTTGAGCACTAATAATAAGTAATTGTTTGCGTCCCAATTTTTTATATCTTCTCAAATAGAGAGTAAATTGACTGATATCTTCTGGAAACATGTGCCACTGAAAAGCCAAAACACAATTGAAGTGCATGTTTGCAATCTCCTCGTTCCTCAAATCCCATGGATGTCCAAAACTAGAACCTTTCTTTGATTCATGTAGGATATTCTGACTAAGTCAGAGAGATGCTGGTGAATGCTTTCCAAGATTTCTTTTATTATAAAGTGAATGGAAAGGACATTTAATAATGCTATACCTGCCTGAAAAAAATGCCAGCTTTCATTAAGTCAGTGGCAATTAAATGCAACACTTGGCAAATAAATTGAACAAAGCATCTGGCTAGCCTGTAAGTATGAATCATCTTCAATGGAAGTACCAAATTATAGCAAAAAAAAATAAAGGGATATAAAAAGGAAAATAAAATTCAGACATGATTAGGGCCATGAGTAAAAATAATCCAAGTTGATATGTGGCAACTTGTAATGCAGCATAATTTTAGAAAATTATTTAGTGAATGTATAAATGTGACATGCCTGAAAAATGTTAATTAAACTGGTTTACGCAATGGTGGAGATGTATAATTATTTAGACATGCTCCCATAGTCCTTTGGAAGAAAATTGTAAATTCCAGCTCTACAAGGCTGTTTGGATTATAACCCCTGGTGCTGAGGGTTGAATGCAAAGCCTTTTTATCCACTGAAAATGATGAGATCCCGGAAGTGTCACAGGCTTGCCTCACTCTTCTCTGATTTCATTCACTCAGATTAGAAAGGGCAACTTGAACAGCAAGGAGCATCTATATCTTTAATGCTTTCTCTTTTACCAACATCTTTCAGCACATTTAAGTCATGGAGGAAAGACAGCAAAAAGATGCTAGTTTGGGTCTCATAAGGAGTAATCCATCCATTGTATCTTTTAATTTATAGGCAGTCCTTATAATCTTAAAGACAGAAGAAGGGGGAAGATTGTCTATTAAAATCCGGAACATTCTTCCATCATGTCTAAAACTAATATGCCTGCCTGAGATTGATTTCTGAGTCTTGGCCTGAATTACAGATTTGGGAATCAGGCTATTGCAATAAAAATTAGAATTGATGATAGAAATATTAGTGGAAGGATACCTGGGACTTTGAATTGCAAATGTTATGGGCTGAAGGAGATCCTGGAGGTGTGATTAGTGTTCATGTATGTGCACACACACATGTGCATCAATGAACGAACTATTGAAACTTAAAGCAAGTCAATTTTGTAACTTACTGATTTTGAAGTCTGTGAACAAAAATAAATACTTTTGAGAATAAATCATCACATGCCATAGCAAGAAAACCTTTGCTTCAAGCAGATAATAGGACTGACAAGCTATGTATGCCATAGTTCTAATGACATAGGCTGTGACCTTAAGAAAAATTGAAAAATTCCAAAACAAAATTTATATGTCATAGAATTTGGTCATGGCCCAGGCTTAGGAAGAAACTTGATCATATTTATACTAGCAAAGCGATACATAAGACTTGATGAATTCCATGGAGAGTTTTTATATTATATTTTGGTTTTCATGTGAAATTGTTTGGATTCTCATTATGCCCACCATAATCAGAATTATCAGCCTAAGTGAAGACTGAAGTATTTTGGAGCTCTGGTCCTTGCTACATGGGTTTAATTAGACAAGAAAATGCCCTGAAAGTGAGGTGAACCAAACAAATGTCAACTTTACAGGCATTGAAATTGATTTCAAAATGTTTGCATCATTAAATTAAAATAATAACAATTCATTAGCCAATTACATTGCTCAATTTGAATATACAGGATTTTTCCTCCTAGATTCAAATTAAAAAATTCAGAGATGGTCAAAATAATTTTGAAAGAACTTACGTTTGTTCTGATGCCAGGTGGGGGTCTTCTGAGGGAGGATTTGCTATGAAGAGTGTTCCAAGAACACTCCAAGTGTAAAGCCATAAACATTCATTTGTGGAGATGTCATACACTTTAAGATAACTCGATTTTCTCTAGTTTGGTCTTCATAAAACTAGACTGTGACTTTCTCCTTGCACTCCAAAGCAGAATATAATCCTTGTTTACAAAATAAGCAAAACATACCTTTATAGCAATACACATTTTATCTTATCACACTATATTATGCCTAGGGAATTTCAATTAAATGGTACCATTAGTTTTCCCTTCAATTTTGGTTTTCTTTAGACCACAAAGTGTTCAAGGCTGGGTCTAATTGGCATAAATGTGGTGTGAATTTTACCACTAAAGAGCAAATCTGTTATTATTATTATTATTTTTGAGACGGATTCTTGCTCTGTCACCCAGGCTGGAATGCAGTGGCGTAATCTCGGCTCACTGCAACCTCTGCCTCCCGGGTTCAAGCAATTCTCCTGCCTCAGCCTCCCAAATATCTGGGATTACAGAGGCCTGCCACCACCCCCAGCTAAATTTTGTATTTTTAGTAGAGACAGGGTTTCAACATGTTGGCCGGGCTGGCCTTGAACTCCTGACCTCAGGTGATCCACCCGCCTTGACCTCCCAAAGTGCTGGGATTACAGACATGAGCCACCACACCTGGCCCAAATCTGCTGATTTAGGTTAAAAAACAACGTATCCTACTCTATCCTTATTGAAAACCTATACTGATCATTGCCCAATTTTCCCTTGAGTGTGTGCTAGAATGCTAGGGCTCTACTGAGAAATTTCAAAAACCATTTTATTTTTTTATTCATATAAATTTAAAGAGTACAAGTGCAATTTTGATACATGGATATCTTGAATAATGATGAAGTCTGAGCTTTTACTGTGTCCATCACCTGAATAATGTACCTGGTACCCATTAAGTAATTTCTCATCACCCATTCCCTCTCACCCTCCCACTCTTTCAAGTATCCAATTCAAAACTATTTTAAGTTAAGGAGTTAGTATTTAAAATATATCAATAGCCCATTTCAGACAGCTTTGTGTCAAATCACTTTCCCATGCTTTTATCCCTAGATGACTCAGTTGTCTTCACATTTTTTGTCCAGTGTAAAATTTTAGATTTCCCTGCATCTTGCTCCCCCTACTGCCAAGTAGGTGTATGTGCTCCTTAAAGTAAAAACAAATGCCACATTCCAAAGTACTTTTTGAAATGCTTTTTCTATAAAATGCATGCCCTTCCCTGTTGTCCCTGACCTCCCACCAAAATGTGAAGTGATCTGGATAATAACATTTTCTTTTTATCACCATTGCTCCCATTAATAGCATATGCTTACTCTGTATTCTTTCTGAATTCTTTTATGTAGCTAGGCTCCCATCCTGGAAATGTGAACAAATGTCGGTCGCAAGACTCACTGCCAGTTTTCTTTAACCAGAAGTACTAATGCCGGCCACACTTCTCACCACTGTTCCTTCTATTCATCAATTTCTTTAGCAAACATTTATCATAGACCTTCTAATTTTCAGACTCTGTCTTTAAGAATGAAGATATCAAAAATATGTACTTTTTGACCTTGAAATGTCATATTCTAGTAGAGGACACTGATATGTAAACAAATAATTTCAATGTGTGACATGTGGAGGAGAATTTTATGAAAATAGCATAGTCAAGAGTGTACATTTTCAGCACTGAGCTAGCTCTAAAAACTTTCTCACCTGCAAAATAGGACAAGTACCTACCTCAGCAGGTTTTTGTGAGTATTAAATGGCACAAGGCATATAAGGCCGTGTGTCTGGCATATGGTGGGTGCTCAGTAAATGCCGGCTACTATTATTACTAGTTAATAATGACATGATAATAACCAGCAATTATTTGGTTTCCAGGAGTAGGAACTATTCTCTCAATCACTCACCACTTGGAAGTTTCTTCCCCTGGTGTGATACAGAATTTTGAATCATTCAGGGTTCACTCAGAAAGCAGAGGCACTGTGAGCTCTCTATGGCACAAGGGATTTAGTTCAAGAATGGGACGTTGTCTGGTCGTAGGAGGATCTGGGGAAAGTGATGTTCCAGGAAGGAATTTGGAGTTTCGGGGGAAGTCACCAACCTGAGAAGTTAAGCACGTCCAAGCACCGAAATAAGGCTGCAAACTGAAGACACGGGGAAGCCATCGGAAGCTGTGCTTCTGTATCGCTACCATCTCTGTGGATCTGCCACCTGGAGTGAGGTGGGGGGCCTAGGGCTGCTCTTATTCCAGGTGGTCATCCTTCAGAAGAAGAGCTGGCTGCGGAGAGGGGGAGAGTAAGGACAGGCTGGAGCCCACTGGTGCCACTGCATCTGCTGTAACCTCATCGAACGCAATGACCCCCAAGGGCAACAACTGCTGTGTTACTTCCACCTTCTTCAAATTGGTCTTCTGGCTGACTCTAACTCAGAATCCTACAGAGCGGTATATTCTGAGAAAATAGGTCTAACCTAACCAAGTCCACATGGTTAAAAAACACCAGAGTCCATCTGTTGTCAGTTTGGCATCCATATGCACCTCTTTAACTATATTTAATTTCTAAATAAGGACATAAGCAACATCATGCTTCTACCTAATGTGATGTAGCTGTCTCTCACACACCTGAAAACACAGCAAAACTCTCTACAAAAAAGAGTACAAACTCAGTCTTCTTTAGTGATGCTCATTCTTGTAGCTAGTTCACCCCCAACCCTTTGCCACCCTGTAGTTTAAGTATTGAGGTATATAATCAAGTGAACTACTATTAACGTATCATAAGTTAGACAAAAGAAGAGTCAGAGCAAGGAAGAAAGAAATAAGTTTTCATATTTTCTATTCTCTTCACTTTGAGCAAGAACATTGGCTGGTTGTGATTCCCTTTCTGGCAGGTGACCTAAGCCTTCCTTCTTGAAAGGTCTGTGCCCAGAGCTGTTCTGCCTATATGGGGTTGCTGTAGTTTTTCCTTATAGGACATAGTAATTCTAACAGGCACTATCAGGTTCTCCTGCATTCGGGACAGCCTCCTTACCCACACTGTGGAGTAGCAAACCAATTTCCACTTGATAGTCAGAATAGTCACATCAGCTAGTACAGGCACTCCTTTCTTTGCCAAGATGACAATCTCAACTTCCAGTTTAATGGAACCAACACTTTGTGCTTCATGGAAGCATCCCTGTCTTTGGAACTAAGATCTTTAGACTAGCATAGCCCAGAATTGCAGCTACGGGAAGCAAAAATTTCACATACGAGTGAAATTCACTTACTAGTCATTAGAGGTAACAGTGGGAGGAATCACTTCCATTTCTACCCCTTCATCATTAGACACGTGAATCATAACTATGGGAAAGGCATCAAGGCATACTGTTTGCTGACTTGGAGAATATACCATATTCTAGAGAATGTTACCCCAGCCTGCAAAGTGTTGCCACACAGCTGGTGTTACAACTAAGCCTTCAAAAGGCCATTCCATCATTCCTTCAGGCTAGTTGTTTAGATGACTGAAACTGGTGAATTTCATGAACATGAGCCCATTGACAAACCACATTTACTGTAAAATTAGTTCTATTGGCAGAATCAGAACTATGTGGAATATCATGATGATGAAAAAGACATTCTGGAATCCACAGATGGTGGTTTTGGCAGAAGCATTTCAGTAGGGAAGGCAAATCTATATCCAGGGTAGGTGTCTATGCCAGTGAGAATAACACACTCTCCCTCCCATGATGAGAGTGGTCCAATGTGATCAACCTGCCACTCATACTGGGGGCTTATTATTGTCTCTGCTGCCATGGCAACTTTGTTCATGAGCCCAATGGGAAAAAATACAGTATGCATATACCCATGTTCATAACAGCATTATTCATAATAGCTAAAAGGTAGAAACAACCCAGGTGTCCATAGATAGATGCATGGATAAACATAATGTGGGATATACCCACAGTGGAATATTATTCAGCCTTAAAAAAGGAAGGAAACTCTGACACATGCTGCAACATCAATGAACCTTGAAGACATTCTGCTAAGTGAAATAAGCCAGTCACAGAAGGACAAACACTGTATTATTCCAGTTATACGATGTCACTAGAGAAGGCAAATTTATGCAGACACAGAGTAAATTAGAAATTACCAGGAGTTGGGGGAAGGAAGGAATGGGAAGTTGTTTAATGAGTACAAAGTTTCAGTTGGAAAAGGTTTAAAAGTTCTGCAGACAGACGGTGGTGATAGTTGCATAGCAATGTGAATGTAATTAATGCCACAGAACTGTACACATAAAAGTGGCTAATAAGGTAAATTTTATGTAATGTACTTTTTACTAAAAATCTAGAGATTAGGTCTTACTCTGTCACGCCCAGGCTGGAGTGCAGTGGCACGGTCATAGCTTGCTGTAGCCTCGAACTCCTAGGCTCAAGTGATCTTCTTGCTTCAGTCGCCCAAGTCGCTGAGACCACAGGTGCAAGCCACTGTATCCGGCTGTTTTACCAAAATGTAAAAAATAATTTAAAAATACAGTAAACAAAGGGCTGTCAGTTATTCACTCCTCAGTATGAATTAAGCCAGATACATTCGTGTAAATACCTGTGCTTTAGGAACGAGGGTTAAGACTAAATAGGAGAAAACAAAGGTTGTAAGTCTGGCACCTGTGGTGCTACTCTAGGAGAGCACATTAAGAGGGGGATAAAGTGGAAGGTGATGCTTAATTTATCAAAGTCTTTCAGAGTAAAATGGCAGAGGAGTGTAGTAAATGCCACTTGAGACAGCTGCCTGACTTGCAGTTCCTTCATCCTTCTGTTCACACCTGGCCGTAGCTAATTGACCTAGGTATTGACACCAGACCTGAGCTTGGCCAGTCACATTTTCTTTCCCATATGTTTAACATGTGGAGGAAGGAGAACCAGAGAACAAGAGCCCTTGAGGTTGGGTCTCATTGTGTTAACCACAGTGCTCCAAATAGTAGGTCCCCAAAATCTTGTCACTGAGGTTCCTGAAGCTGCCCTGGCTCCTGCAAGGGTAAGCCTGATTTTGCTGTCATTGCTGTTGTTGTTAGACATAACAGATTATTCCAGTTCTCCTTCCTCTCAATTTGTTTTCTTTTGTTTTTGCTTATTAGCTAGAGTTGGCTATTGTGCTTACAATGAAAATACCTGAAACTTACAAGGAAGCACAGGAGATTCCTTATTGCCAGAGTTTAATGGGTATCTCTCTCCTCCTCACATTGCCCTTGGTATTCAATGTCAGGTGTGCAAGTGAGTGGCAGTACACTCAGCACCCAATTAACAAGAATATTTTATTTATTAATTTTTATTGGGGTAAAATACACATATATACTTTACTATTTTAACCATTTTAAGTGTGCAGTTCGCTGGTAATAAATACAATTATATTCCTTTGTTCTAGGAATTTTTGACAAATTGACACCACTTGCTCTCATAACAAAGACTAAACATTTATTGAGTATCTTCACACACACAAGAATACTCCCAAGTCACAATCAATGGTCACTCAAATAATAATTGATAAAACTCTTCTAGAACAAACCACTTTGAACTGTCCCTTCAATTTTACTATAAGAAGAGTCGACACTGCTAGCCCTTTTTTTGTTCCTGTGGCTCAATATAAGTTTAGTGCTTCTAATTGTAGGAATAGAAACTCTATGTAAATTGAATTATCATAATTAGCTTACAGATCACTGTAGTACTTATACACTTTTCTTCCCTTTGAGGGTTTTTTAAGAGAAAGTCACACAATAAGGAAAAAAACCAATAAAATTTAAATAGTATGTTTGTTGTTCATTTGCGTTAAAGACAAATGTTTGCTAAATGGAATTTTTTAGAATGTCTTTTTACTGGATAGAGTTGGCCTCCTCAGCAGCTTCATCTGAGGAAAAATTTAATCACAGCAGCATACCTTTTTCTGAAACTCTCTAAGACAACATTTACCCCAACCTAGGCCTAATTTAAAATGCAGGTACAACACACACACACACACACACACACCCCTATTCTGTCTGCTGTGGTGAGTAAAGGTGGTTAGAGCTGGAGCCAGAGAATTGTGAACAAATAATGTTTCCTTGTGTTCCATTGCCCTAGGTGATGGTTCTCAAAATACTTGAAACAGCAGCACCAGCATCACCTGGGAGTTTGTTCAAAATGCAGCTTCTCAGGCCTACCCCTAGGACTGTTGAATCAGAAATTCTGGAGGTGGGACCCAGCAATCTGTGTTCTAACAAGTTTAACAAATGCTCCAGGTGATTCTGATACATGCTCAAGATTAGGAACCATGACACTAGACTACCATGAATGCTGATCAGTCATTTTTCAAAAATGTTATCTTTTGGTTCCAAAAACTCTGACAAGGGAATATGCATGGATGAGGAGATAGGTCACTCTGAGTGGACAAAAACATCAACAACAAAAATGAATGTGTAACACCTTCTTGGGGGCATGGGAGGGCAGGGAAACAGGAGGGAGAAGCTGTCATCAGAATCACCTTAAATCCAATGCTCCTTTTGATTCCATCACAATGACTGATGGGGAAAACTCAGACTTACCTCAACTGCCAGGGTGCTAAAGGGATTTCAGAATCATGTAGTTCATCTCTGCCTTCTTGGTTCAAGGTTAAGATAGCCTCATCACAGCCCCTGTGGGTGACTTTCTTCCCACTGATCCCGTCCCCTTGAGTGCAAATATAAAGTAGAGCATACCCAGTGCATTAGTCTGCTAGGGATGCATAACAAAATACCGCAGGGTAAGTGGCTTAAACAACAGAAATTTATTATTTTTTTTCATAGTTCTGGAGGCTAGAAACCCAAGACAAAGCATCTGGCAGGTTTGTTTTCTCCTGGGCTTCTCTCCGCAGCTTGCAGGTGGCCATCTTCTCCCTGTGTCTTCATATGGTCTCACAGAGGCATGGTCTCTGTCTCTATGTCCAAATTTCCCCTTCATATAAGGACACTGGTCAGATTGGATTAGGACCCATCCTAATTACCCCACTTCAACTTAATCAGCCCTTTAAAGGCTCTATCTCCAAATGTGATCACATTCTAAAGTCCTGGGGGTTAGGACTTCAGCATGTGAATTTTGGGGAGATGCAATTCTGCCCATAACACCCAGAAAGAAATAAGTTCTGCTGGGGCAGCCTTCCATGAAGCCTCCTGCTTAGCTACCTTCTCATTGAAGACACCAAAACCTTCCCTGTCCCTGTCACTTATTTATAACAATACCTGAAAGAGTTCTTTAACTCAGGGCTTTATAAAGACAATAAAAAGATTGAAAATGATTGATCAAATTTCATGGTATGAGAATGAAATAGACTTTCCAGTTTTCATAAGTATAGTTATACTTACATGTACACACATAAAAGTGTCATGCAGTACAATTCCAGTATAAATATAACTTAATAAAAATTGGGGAAATTCTAAACTGTCAATCTAAAATGAGTGACAGAGACCAACTCTTCAAAGCAAAGAATTCATTCAGGAAGAGCAAGGGATTGCAATGAAAGATATGTGTGCTATGGCAGACCATAGGCACATCAAAGTGGAATGGGGAAAGTGAAAGCTCTTAAGAAAAAAAGGAGTCCGCAGAAGCTGTTTTGAAACAAACCATTGGTTACAGGGCCTTGTTGCAGGAGCTGGCATTAGCTCATGGGTGGAGGCAGCTGTTGTGAGGAAAGTTTCTTTGTGCAACCGGCTTATCTGGAATGCTGCAGCTTTGAGGAATTCCTTGCACAACTGCCATCATAGGCAGGCGTGCAGGAGGTCCCTCTTTCATGGCCTCCTGGCTTCATGTATTAAGATTTGACATTGGTGACTCCACTTTGATACTGATAATTTTCCCAAAACTATTTGTGGCTAAGTAAATTGTTTCTCTCTGAATTCTTTTTTCATCATCCAGGTGTAGTGTCCAGAGCTCTCATCACCTTTTCTGTGCCTTTCTGCACCCTGCAGGAGGGTCTCCACTACCAATGGCAAAAAGGACTTTGCCTTTGGTCTTATAATTGCTTCAAGCATGTAATGCAAATCCCCACATTCATTCACTGCTAAAAATTTTGCTTCTTCCAGGGAACTCTGCTTCTTCCAGTAGACAGCATGCAAAATGCCTGCTGTCAGTTGCTTATTACCCAGGAAGTGGGCCTCTCTGTCTGGGTGTAAATCAACTGCTTTCTCTATCTTTGTTGTGCTGTAGGGGTGGGAGGGTGATATAGTCCACAGCTTTTGGTTGGTGGAGTGACTATCTTCATCTTGGTAACCCATTGAAAACAGAGCCTGAGACATGGATTTGCGTGGAGATTGTTCATTACCTTCTTCTACAACTGCCTTCCTCTACAACTGCCTTCCTGGCCAAGAGTTGAGAGCTGATAGTGTGAATGTCCTAACCTGCTGGTTTGGATCAAATAACCTCAACTAGCTAAAGGCTAGACTCCTTACCTGCTCGAAAAGCACATAGTGCAAAACTGAAGCCCACACTTCGCTGAAAGATCAGGGCCTCTGAATTGGCCTGGAGATCTTTAAATGTTAACTTAATTTTAATCAACATATTTTCATTGGCATAGGTCCTTGAGTTCTCCAAGTATTATAATGGTATGTGAGTTTTGAGGAGCCACTTTTAACCCCTTTGACCTCACACACATATATTACAGCTGGGGTGAATGGCATGTGGGTGCAGCACAGAACCCCTGAGAAGGTAAAGAGCACCTGTTTAGCAATTTCAGTTCTCCTGCATGCTGTGTCCCATGGGAGTTAAGAACCTAAACCAATATGTACTGAAAATAAAGTTTTAAATCATATGCACCAGAACTTCTGAAAACCAAAGCAAATACTGCCTAAATAGACTAATACTGAAAAAAAAAAAAAAAAACAGATGTGAGCACATAGTGTATGGACAGAATGGAAAACCTAGATTTGGAGATAATTCCAGGTACAAGGAAGCAGAGAGATGAACCCACAGGAAGAGTTGAAAAAGCCTGCAGTTTTCAAAGGGAAGTTCTTATTTTCTGTAACTATTTCTATAGCTGCTGCTTTTCTGCTGTTGTGATTATTTATAGACAGTCAAAAGAGTCTCTCTTTTTCATGTGTACGTTCCAATTAAAATCTGGCAGCAATTCATCAGACCTGTGAAGGCAATGCTGTAACTGTGTCAGCATCACAGATAACTTGTGCAACCTGGTGCCAGCTCCTCAAATTCAGTTTCTTTCTCAGTAAAAAATAAATATTTGGAGCCCTTTATTGATAAGGTAAGCAGTGAAAGGGCTTGGCCATGGGACAAAATATTTTGACAAAGTCTTCATGGTGGTTTTCATCGTCGGTCTCTCCATGTGTGTCCAGTTCCAGAAACAAAAGTTCTACCCCAATGTTGTGCTCCCGCTTTGAGCAAAAATATTATTTCTGTGGAATATAAATTTTCTTTCAGCTTCTCACAGTTCAATGATTCCTGGCAACATCAAAGAACTGAGACAACAAAATGAGATGCTTTCTGAACACAAAGAAGCCGGGTCCTTCAGTTTCTTTCAAGAAATAATGGTGTCAGCAACACCTCTCAGCTGAGATTATCATCATCACAAATGGCCCTAACCAACTGGAGAAATGCCGAGTGGTTATAGCATGGGCAGACATGATATTTTCAAGCCAGAACACATCTAGCATTTGAAGATATTAAGATTTCCTGTTATTTTGTAATGATTACTGCATCTTACATACTTGGGAGAGAAGAACAATGAAATATAAGAAAAACCTGAAAATGAATAATTGTTGGGAAGAATGATTTGTTTAAATAATAAAGAGCATCCGTGGGGAATGCTGTTCCACAAATATTACCCCAAAACTGTGTGACTTGAGGAATGGCACAGGAGATGGATTTTTCTTTTGTGTGTGAACAAAAGCGAGATAAATCCCAACAAATTGCACAATGCCTCTTCCATTCTCATCCACGTATGTAACCTCGTTTCCTTCTCTTTGGAACTGACCACCATGACCATGTCCTGGCCTCATGGAGCCAGATACAAGTCAGTAAATGTAACTTTGGGAAACAAAACAAGAAAAGCTGACTGCTTCCTAAGGCTCATGCGTGTCCACATTCAGTGATGAGGGATGGACTTCCTGTTCCTCAGCAGAGAAGTATGGAGTCCACCCACAAGTTGGTATGTGAACTTATTATTCAAGCCAAGTAAGTTAATCCACGTGGGGATATAAATTTATTCAAGCAGATTTGAGTCAGTGTTGATCTGAAAAGGTAGGTGTTGATACCAAGTACCAGAGTTCCCACCTAAAATAAATCCACACTTATCACAGATCAGCGGTTCTCAATGAGGGGTGATTTTTTGGTCCCCCAGGGAACACTTGGCAATGTCTGGAGACATTTTTGGTTGTCACAGCTGGTGAGTGTGTGTGCAAGTGTGCATGCGTGCACTTGCTCATGCTTCTGGTATCTAATTGGTAGAGGCCAGGGGTGTTGTTAAATACCCCATAATACACAGGACAGCCCTCTCCCCTCCACCCAACAAAGAATTATTTGGCCCAAAATGTCAACTGGTGTTCAGGATAAGAAATGCTGTGATATGTTAAAGATAGCCGCAAATGTTTTTCAGCTTCTTTCATCAGGAATGGAATTTATTCCTGCCTGTGACTTGCCCTGACTACTAGAATGCAGTGGGTGTCATGTTCAAATGCCAGAGCTGAAATCTCAAGGGGCCTTTTAGCTTCTGCTTTTGCCCCTTGGGGATGCTGCCCTGAGACCATCATACCAGAAAGAAGCCCAAGATGAAAGTCCAGGAGATTAAAAGACCCATTTGTCCCACATACACCTACAAGGTCAGCCGACTGAACCCCCAGCCAACCCACAGCATAGTGAGAAATAATACATGACTGTCTTAAGCCAACAAAATGTGGGTCATCATGCTATACAGCAATAGATAACTGAAACAGTTCTAATAAAAGATAACTTGAGTGTGGATAGAGCTTAATTTCCCCAGTGTTTCCTAAGCAATGGGTCATCAGATATTTCTAATAGGCCCAATGGAAGTGGCCCCAAGAATGCAGCATGTAAAGCAATTGCTCCTTTTCCTCCATTGACACAACCAATCACATTGTGTGGGAATTTCTGGGAAAATCTCTCTTCACTAGTGAAAATATTCTAACTACCACTGGGTCTTGCTTTCACTTCTTCCTCTTTGTCTTGAGTCAGCAGTGACTGGGATGTCTTTAGGGGAAGAGAAGAGGATAGAAAAGCATCACAGTGAAGAATGGAAATCCCTGGTAAGTCATTTTGTGGTTGTATCCTTCTTGCATTCCACATTCAGTCCTTGGGAGAACCCCAAAGAGATTGTGATTCCACCCAAAAGCACTAGAAGATGGTCCTTTGCAGTCGCTCACACCCCTGTGAGCTGTAAACTCAGCAAGATGCCAAGGACCCGCTCGAATGTGGCCTGAAGGACATTGGGAGTGAAGAGGAGCACAGGTATCTTCTGCACTCTTGTCGGGCAGAGGATTCCCAGCCCTGCAGGGGCTGACAAAGCTCTCTCCTCTCCTCTCTGCCTCCTGAGAAGCTCTAGTTCTCTACTCCGGCCCACAATTGTGCAGCGTAAGAAATCAGGTGCAGAGCTTCCTCCACCCCAACGTCCTGTCCCACAAGAGCAGAACCTTTTTGAAAGCTGGCTGAGGGGAATCTGGGGCTGAGGTGCTTCATCATCAACAATGAGCGTCCTCCGGGATGGGGCTGACTGCAGTGTGGAATAAGGAGGCCTCTGTGTTGTGAGGCAATCGTTTTGCAAAACAGCTGAGTGAACCACGATTGACTGTAGCCTCAAGCGCCTCTGCTCCAGCCCTGCTCTGTGCTTCAGGGGTGGGTGGAGGAGGCAGGGCAGTCAGTGTCTTTCCCAGGTGAGTCTACCGAGTGGGGAAGGAGGCTCACTGATGTGAGTACGGAGCAGGAGGCACATGGAGAGTCGCCGGCAGTTGAACCAGATCTTTGAGGGAATGAAAGAGACCAGCATGGCCCCTGCCAATTACGCATGGCACCTGCGGTCAGGTCGCTTTCAGTTCCCTCATGCGTCAGGGATTCTCAACCCTGGCTACACATTAGAATAGTCTGGGATTTTTTTTTTTTTCTCTAGACCCATCTCTAGAGAATCTGATAAAAATGATCTGAGCTGAGATCCTGGCTTCAGTAGCTCCTAATGTGCACATATTTGTTTGTTACTTTGTTTGGGGGTGGAAAACAACTATTCTTTCATTCTGTGTTCTGGATTAAGGCTCTTGCCTTCTTCAGACCTTGGACAGCTCACAGAGGGTTACACCCTCGGCCTTAGTGCCAGGAAAAACTCACAAGAGTCCTACTGCGCCCTCTTGTGTCAGCCATGATACCGTACAGTTCCTAAGGAAAACGTTTTATTACACAAGTTACCGCCAGAGAAGAAAAACATACAAAAAAGAAAAAAATATACAAGTAACCTGTAATCCTCACTGTTAGACAACATATGTATATCTTTGCAGAATTTTTGATAAATTTTGTTCTTTCCAAAAATAGAAGGTTGTGTACGCTGTCTTGTTAACATTTTACTTAATAACCATGAATATGTTTTCGTGTAAATGAATTTAAATTCTGTATTATTTTAATTGCTTGTGCAACTGAATAGTATTTCACATGCAATGGTAGCAAAAATATTTAACATTTATTGGGCACTTACTACATGCCAGGAACTGTAGTTAGTACTTGGCATAGATAATCTCATTGTATATGCACAGCATCCATATGAAGTAGGTATTAAAATTATTCCCATTTTATAGATAAGGACATCGATGTTAATTTCCCTAAGTGGCATAACCAGAATGCAACATAAGCATTTTACTCTATATTACCAGGTACATTCAATCTATCCCTTACTGTCGTCGTATTGTTGCTTCCTTTGGAAATTGTCTTCTTTTCTTTCTCTCTCTCTCTCTCTCTCTCTCTCACACACACACACACACACACACACACACACACACGCCATAGGACTGTTTCCTTATTCCTTATGCTAGACTCTTGGATGGATTCATGGATTAAAGGTATGAATTTTAATGGTTTTACATCTCTTACCAAAATTTCTTCTAAAAATGACACATTATACTCTCAGCAGAAGGCTAATGGAATGTATGTTGTGTATTCTTGTGTTTTAAAAAGTATCAGCTTTAATTTCTAACATAGTATGGGATATACTAGTATATACTAAATTGGAATACACTATTTTACATACACGTAAACAAATGCGTTTTAGGGTCTAAGTAATTTTTAAGAGTGTAAAAGATTTCTGATGCCAAAAGCTTAGAGCACTGCTGCCCTAGGAAGAGAAGCCAGAGTCCATTTGTATGCCCGCCACCTGCGCATCAACACCCTCTTCTCCTACTCCTCTCTTTTTGGTCCATAGACTCACCTTGGCTGTAGGAGCCACTCTTTCCTGTCAAAAAGGCCTTTTTAATTATTTGCATTTTTATGTCCATCCCTCACTTGTGTCAATAGGTGTAGCAACCATGCAGCCCTACATTTTCAGACACAGTTTTGTTCTTCTATTACTCTCTCTTAGCCTTCCAAGAATGCTGAGATAGGATCAGCCTGTGTCCGAGGAGGAGCAACATGGTGCTGTGGAAAGAGAATTGGGTGTGAACAGCACTTCTATTAGTGACCAGTTTGGAAACTATGGGTAGGTTACTTAATCACTTTACTCTAGGTTTCCTTATCCATAAAAATGAGAACATTATCTACATTTTTAGGATAGAGAAAATTAAATGAATTAGATATTTAGTGCCAAGCTAGGCAGAGAACAGGAATTGGACAATGTCTAGTATTTCCCTGAGTCTGTATTCATCCCTTTATTTTCAACTTTTTAAAATGCCTTTGTGTTTTACATATGGCTCTTGTAAATATCATATAGCTGGATTTTTAAAACATCCAACCTGACAATCTCAGTATAACTGGAGAGTTTTATTCATTAACTTGCTTTTCTTTTTCATTTTATCACCTACTCATGTATGCTTCTTCAATGTATTGTTTAGTCTTGGTTTTTTGAATTTACAAAATTGCCATCACACTAAATTGACTCCTCTGTGAATTTGCTTCTTGCACTCTCCATTATGTTTTGAGATCATGCATATTATTGTGTGAAGCCATAGTTTATTCAATTTCTTCAGTGTGTAGCTCATTCTGTGACTATATCAAAATGTATCTCTCTGTTGTGTTGAGTTAGATATCTGGATTACCTCTGGTAGCATTATATATATATACACACACACATATATACACACATGTGTGTATAGATACACATACACACATACACACGTGTGTGTATATATATATATACTCATGTATATATACACACACATACACACACACACACACACACACACACATATATATATTCATTCATTCATGCTGGTATGATAAATACCCCCATGAGAATGTCTCCCAGTGCATATGTGCAGGATTTTCTAGAAGTGAAATTGCAGACCCCAGGGTAGACATATGTTCTATTTACCAGGCAATGCTACACTGTTTTTTTTTTTCTTTTTTACCTCTGTGACATACAATGATTTTGTGTAACAATTATAATTATTAATGATAACACACACTAAATCATATCAGAATTATAGGAGTTTCCCATTATTTTGGAACACATATCAGTAACATATTTATACAAATCAGCTCAAAGAAAGCCAAACAGCATTTCATATTTGACAATGCTTCCTGTGTGATCTTTATACCAAATAAGCCAAATTTCACCCTTTGCATTAGTGTACTATTAATGTCAACCCGAATTCTTAATAACATCTTATAGACAAATCTATCCAATCTTAATCAGTTTGAGCATAAGGTAAGATTCTCATAAACCTTTTATAACCGGTTACAATTTTCATTAAAGAGCAGATCAGTGTTCTAAGAAAACCCCTTTATTTATTTATTATTATTATTTTATTATTTATTGTGATATATATTTTAATATTATATACCATATAATATGACATATTGTATTATATTAATATGATATATTATATCTTATTATTTTATCATTTTATTGTTTATTATTAATTAATAATTAATTTTATTTATCTTATTTTATATTTGCTTTTATTTTAATATTCAATTTACAGAAAAAGTGAGTAATACCCCTTTAACTTTAGCAAATATGTTCACACACAGAATCTCTTTTACAATTAATTCTTTATAAACCTTCCACAACTTGTTCAAACGTTTAGATATTTTCTATCTCACTTAAAACAATCCTTTAACTCTCTAAACTTAAGCAGGAAATGCACATTCCCTTGGCTTCTTATAGTCTTTTACTAAAAGTATATTCTGCTTTCCTTACATGCCTTGTGTGTAGAACTGTTTCTCTAGTAGTCTCAGATACATGTTACAATGTTAACTCTTAGCAACGTTTACTTTTGGTGAAAAATCTGGTTAGTAAGCAATTGTGTGAAGCCTAGGACAGCAGACAAAAGTGCAGATAAGGCCTGACTCTTTCCAACATGCTAGGGGGTATGGCTAACTCCACATGTCCCCAGGCCTTATCTAGAATCTAATACTCCAAAGTAGGTAAACTGAACAATTTTTAAAACTTAAAGAAGCAGTTTATGACCTTAAAGCATTTAGGACACCTAATATCTGACCTGCCTAATTTAGACCAAATATCTAAATTTTGAAGACATTTTAATTTTACCAATAACCTTTAAAACTGTCTTTATTTCCCAAAGCTTACTAAAGTCAGATGAACCAAAAGACACTGTAGCTTTTCTTTGTCTGACAAAATATGTGATTTAAGCTCTTATTACTTTTAAACCAATTAATCAAAACTCTTTCACATATAAACAGCACACACACAACACATACAAATAGACAGACAGAAGAGGATACAGTAGTTGTATAATTTTTCATTCACCAGTTTCTTTCTTTTTGTTTTAATTAATTCTAGGGTACATGTGCATAACGTGCAGATTTGTTACATAGGTATACATGTGCCATATTGGTTTGCTGCACCCATCAACTCGTCATTTACATTAGATATTTCTCCTAATGCTATCCCTCCCCCAGCTCCCCACCCCCCAACAGGCCCCAAGTGTGATGTTCCACACCCTGTGTCCAAGTGTTCTCCTTGTTCAGTTCCCACCTATGAGTGAAAACATCCAGTGTTTGGTTTTTGTCCTTGTGACAGTTTGCCGAGAATGATGGTTTCCAGCTTTATCCATGTTCCGCGAAGTACGTGAACTCATCCTTTTTTTTATGGCTGCATAGTATACCATGGTGTATATGTGCCATATTTTCTTAATCCAGTCTATCTTTGACGGACATTTGGGTTGGTTCCAAGTCTTTGCTATTGTGAATAGTCCTACAATAAACATACGTGTGCGTGTGTCTTTATAGTGGCATGATTTATAATCCTTTGGGTTTATACTCAGTAATAGGATCACTGGGTCAAATGGTATTTCTAGTTCTAGATTCTTGAGGAATCGCCACTGTCTTCCACAATGGTTGAACTAATTTACACTCCCACCAACCGTGTAAAAGTGTTCCTATTTCTCCACATCCTCTCCAGCATCTGTTGTTTCCTGACTTTTTAATGATCACCATTCTAACTGGAGTGAGATGGTATCTCATTGTGGTTTTGATTTGCATTTCTCTGATGACCAGTGATGATGAACTTTTTCATGTGTCTGTTGACTGCATAAATATCTTCTTTTGAGAAGTGTCTGTTCATATTCTTTGCCCACATTTTGATGGGGTTGTTTGTTTTTTACTTGTAAATTTGTTTAAGTTCTTTGTAGATTCTGGATATTAGCCCTTTGTCAGGTGGGTAGACTGCAAAAATTTTCTCACATTCTGCAGGTTGCCTGTTCACTCTGATGGTGGTTTCTTTTGCTGTGCAGAAGCTCTTTAGTTTAATTAGATCCCATTTGTCTATTTGGCTTTTGTTGCCATTGCTTTTGGTATTTTAGTCATGAAATATTTGCCCATGCCTATGTCCTGAATGGTATTGCCTAGGTTTTCTTCTAGGGTTTTTATGGTTTTAGATCTTACATTTAGGTCTTTAATCCATCTTGAGTTAATTTTTGCATAAGGTGTAAGGAAGGGATCCAGTTTCAGCTTTCTACATATGGCTAGCCAGTTTTCCCAGCACCATTTATTAAATAGGGAATCCTTTCCCCATTTCTTGTTTTGGTCAGGTTTGTCAAAGATCGGATGGTTGTAGATGTGTGGTGTCATTTCTGAGGGCTCTGTTCTGTTCTATTGGTCTGTATATCTGTTTTGGTAGCAGTACCATGCTGTTTTGGTTACTGTAGCCTTGTAGTACAGTTTGAAGTCAGGTAGTGTGATATCTCCAGCTTTGTTCTTTTTGCTTAGAATTGTCTTGGCTATGTGGGCTCTTTTTTGGTTCTATATGAACTTTAAAGTAGTTTTTTCCAATTCTGAAGAAAGTCATTGGTAGCTTGATGGGGATAGCATTGAATCTATAAATTATCTTGGGCAGTATGGCCATTTTCACGATATTGATTCTTCCTATCCAGGAGTGTGGAACATTTTTCCATTTGTTTATGTCCTCTTTTATTTCATTGAGCAGTGGTTTATAGTTCTCCTTGAAGAGATCCTTCACATCCCTGTAAGTTGGATTCCTAGGTATTTTATTCTCTTTGTAGCAATTGTGAATGGGAGTTCACTCATGATTGGGTTCTCTTTTTGTCTGTTATTGGTGTGTAGGAATGCTTGTGATTTTTGCACATTGATTTTGTATCCTGAGACATTGCTGAAGTTGCTTATCAGCTTAAGGAGATTTTGGGCTGAGATAATGGGGTTTTCTAAATATACAATCATGTCATCTGCAAACAGGGACAATTTGACTTCCTCTTTTCCTAAGTGAATACTCTTTATTTCTTTCTCTTGCCTGATAGCCCTGGCCAGAACTTACAACACTATGTTGAATAGGAGTGGTGAGAGAGGGCATCCCTGTCTTGTGCTGGTTTTCAAAGGGAATGCTTCCAGTTTTTGCCCATTCAGTTATGATATTGGCTGTGGGTTTGCCATAAATAGCTCTTATTATTTTGAGATACGTTCCATCAATACCTAGTTTATTGAGAGTTTTTAGCATGAAGGGCTGTTGAATTTTGTTGAAGGTCTTTTCTGCATCTACTGAGATAATCATGGTTTTTGTCATTGGTTCTGTTTATGTGATGGATTATGTTTATTGATTTCCATATATTGAACCAGCCTTGCATCCCAGGGATGAAGCCAACTTCATTGTGGTGGATAAGCTTTTTGATGTGCTGTTGGATTTGGTTTGCCAGTTTCTTAACTGAATTACTAGCTTCAGGGCAGAGCCCTTGGATGAACAGGGCCAGGAAAGCATGCATTTCCTATGGCCTAATAAGCAGGCACAGCCAAAGCCAGTCAATTGGTGTTGCATGCAGATGATTTTCCTTTGGGTCAGAGGTATCTTAAATATAATCCCCTCATGGTTTGCCAGAAAAATGTTACTGGAAAGGGGTCCTGATCCAGACCCCAAAAGAGGGTTCTTGGATCTCACACAAGAAAGAATTCGATGCTGAGCATGGTGGCTCACACCTGTAATCCCAGCACTTTGGAAGGCTGAGGCAGGTGGATCATGAGGTCAGGAGTTTGAGACCAGCCTGGCCAAGAGACCAGCCTGGCCAATATGGTGAAACCCTGTCTCTACTAAGGCATGGTGGCTGGTGCCTATAATCCCAGCTACTCGGAAGGCTGAGGTGGGAGAATTGCTTGAACCCAGGAGGCAGAGGTTGCAGTGAGCTGAGATTGCGCCATTCTACTCCAGCATGGACAACAGACTGAGACTGCTACTCAAAAAAAAAAAAAAAGAAAAGAAAAGAAAGAATTCGAGGCAAATCAATACAGTAAAGTGAAAGCAAGTTTATTAAGAAAGTAAATGAATAAACAATGGCCACTCCATAAGGCAGAGCAGCCTGCATTGTTTTCCAAAGTGATTATACAAATGTACACTCCTATTATAAACTGATGAAAGTTCCTTTTGCTCCATATCCTCACCAATACTTGATATCTGGGTTTTAATTATCTTTGTCAGTCTGAAGGATGAGAAATAAAATAATATTGTGGTAAGAATTCTAATTTCTCAGATTAATAATAAAGTTGAGTGTCTTGTTATTTGCCTATAATCTTTTGTATTTCTTTTTCTGTGAAATGCATTTTCATGTTCTTCGTCCATCCTTTTAGGTAGGAGTTAAGCATTCTGGATAACATTTTCTCATCTATTATGTGTGTGGCAAATTTCTTTTTAGAGTCTGTGATTGGTATTTTCACTCCCTTTTTGACATCTTTTTATAACCATGAGTTCATAGTATCAAAATAGTCAAGCTTTTCTTTGCAGTTTGTGTCTTGTATAAGAAATTCTTCCCTATTTCAAGACATAAAAAGTCATTAAAATATTTTTCCATATTATCTTCTCAAAATTGCATAGTTTTGATTTGTACGTGTTACTCTTAATCTATGTGGAAATTGTTTTGTGTTTGGTGAAAGTAGGAATCCAATTTCTTCTTTTGTCTATGTAGATAACCAGTTTTCTTAACACTATTTTTAAAAAATTTTAAATTTTGTGAGTATTAATAATACCTACGAGGTATTAACATTTATGAGGTACATGAGCTATTTTGATGAGGGCATACAGTGCATAATAATCACATCATGGAGAATGGGGGTTATCCATTCCCTCAGGCACTTATCCCTTGTGTTACAAACAATCCAGTTGTACACTTTTAGTTATTTAAAAATGTACAATTAAATTATTTTGACTATAGTCAACCTGTTGTGCTATCAAACACTAGGTCTTGCTGTTTTTTTTCTAATTATTTTTTGTAGCATTAACCATCCTCACCTCCCCCTGGTCTCCCACTACCCTTCCCAGCCTCTGGTAACTATCCTTCTACTGTCTCTCTCCATGAGTTCTATTATTTTAATTTTTAGATCCCACAAATAAGTGAGAACATTCAATATTTATCTTTCTGTTCCTGGCTTATTTCACTTAACAATAATGACCTCCAGTTTCATTCATGTTGTTGCAAAGGACAGGATCTCGTTATTTTTTATGTCTGAATAGTACTCCATTGTGTGTATGTACCACATTTTCTTTATCCATTCATCTGATGATGCACACTTAGGTTGCTTTCAAATCTTGGCTGCTGTGAACAGAGCTGTAACAAATATGAGAGTGTGAATACCTCTTTGATATATTGATTTCCTTTCTTTTGGGTATATATCCAGCAGAAGGATTGCTGGATCACATTGTAGCTCTATGTTTAGTTTTTTGAGGAACCTCCAAACTGTTCTCCATAGTGGTGATACTAATTTACATTTCCACCAACAGTGTACAAGGGCTCCCTTTTCTCCACATCTTGCCAGCATTTGTTATTGCCTGTTTTTTGGATGTAAGCCATCTTAACCATGGTGAGATGATATCTCATTGCTGTTTTGATTTTACATTTCTCTGATGATCCATTAGTGATGTTGAGCACTTTTTCATATGCCTGTTTGCCATTTGTTTGTATTATTTTGAGAAATGCCTATTCAAAGCTTTTGCCCATTTTTAAATTGGATTATTAGATTCTTTTCCTATAGAGTTGCTTGAGCTCCTTACATATTCTGGTTATTAATCCCTTGTCAGATGAGTAGTTTGCAAATATTTTATCCCATCTGTGGGTTGTCCCTTCACTTTGCTAGTTGTTTCCTTTGCTGTGCAGAAGCTTTTTAACTTGGTATGATCTCTATTCATGTATTGAATAACTCATCCTGATTGGAAAAAAAAGTCTTCATTATGTAGGCTATCTTTAACATTTTCCAATAAAAAGTTTTATACTTTTCTCCATGTACTACTTACACATATTTTATTAGACAAATGCAAAGTAATTTAATCTTACTGTTATAAATGATATATTTTATAGTTTAATTTTCTAACGGATTGTTGCTTGTATGTAGAAATACAATTAACTTTCATATATGGAGTTTGCATTCAGAAACCTTCCTACGCTTTTATTAATTACAGCCACTTCTGTAGATTAATTGAATTTTCAATGCTATCATCTCTAAATAATGAGTTTTGTATTTTCATTTCCAAACACATACTTTTTTTTTTTTTGCTTACCTCATTGTATTCACTAGACTCTCCTATATAATGTAAAACATATGATAGAGGGCATCTTTGTCTTGTTATTGGCTGCAAAGGGAATCTTTTCAATATGCCATTTTATTATTATTATTATACTTTAAGTTCTAGGGTACATGTGCAGAATGGAAATTATAACAAACAGTCTCTCAGACCACAGTGCAATCAAATTAGATCTCAGGAATAAGAAACTCACTCAAAACCACTCAACTACATGGAAACTGAACAACCTGCTCCTGAATGACTACTGGGTAAATAACGAAATGAAGGCAGAAATAAAGATGTTCTTTGAAACCAATGAGAACAAAGACACAACGTACCAGAATTTCTGGGACACATTTAAAGCAGTGTGTAGAGGGAAATTTATAGCACTAAATGCCCACAAGAGAAAGCAGGAAAGATCTAAAATCAACACCCTAACATCAAAATTAAAAGAATTAGAGAAGCAAGAGCAAACAAACTCAAAAGCTAGCAGAAGTCAAGAGATGACTAAGATCAGAGCAGAACTGAAGGAGATAGAGACACGAAAAACTGTTCAAAAAATCAATGAATCGAGGAGCTGGTTTTTTGAAAAGATTAATAAAATAGACCGCTAGTCAGACTGATAAAGAAAAGAGAGAAGAATCAAATAGACGCAATAAAAATGATAAAGGGGATATCACCACTGATCCCACAGAAATACAAATTACCATCAGAGAATACTACAAACACCTCTATGCAAATAAACTAGAAAATATAGAAGAAATGGATAAATTCCTGGACACAAACACCCTCCCAAGACTAAACCAGGAAGAAGTCAAGTCCCTGAATAGACCAATAACAAGTTCTGAAATTGACACAATAATTAATAGCCTACCAACCAAAAAAAGTCCAGGACCAGATGGATTCACAGCTGATTTCTACCAGAGGTACAAAGAGGAGCTGTTACCATTCCTTCTGAAACTGTTTCAATATGCCATTATTAAGAATGATGCTTGCTATAGGGTTTCTCCTTTTTAAAAAATGTCCTCTGTCAGATTATGGAACACTTGCAGAACTTCTCATCATGAAAAGAGATTTTTCACTGACTGCTTTTTCTCCATCTATTGAGACGGTGACATGATTTTCTTCCTTTAAACTGTTAATTCAATTATTTCAGTGAATTGTTTTCCTAATGTTAAACCAATCCTTTGATTCCTGAGACAAACATTTCTAGGTGATAATATATTATCTTTTTTTTTTTTTTAGGACACTGCTTGATTCAGTTTGCTGATATTTTATCTAGATTTTTTTTTTTGGTTTTATGTTTTTCCCCACTTTCTTGTTTGGTTTTGGTATTAAGACTACACTGGCCGTTATTCTCTGGAAGAGTTTGTGTAAACTTGAAATTAATTGTTCCTTGAATTTTCCTGTAAAGTCCAATGGGCCTGAAGATTTTTGTGTGTGTGTGGTTCTGTTGATGGATCCAATTTTGTTAATACTTATAAAAATTTGCAGATTTTCTACTCCTTCTAAAATTAGTGTAGAAAGTTGTATTTTCAAAATTATGCCATTATGCCTAAATTTTCAAATTAACGGGCTTAAAATTGGCTATAGTACATTCTTACCTATTACATTTCTGATGTATTGATAGTTAAGTACTTTTTTATCCTAATACTTCTCGTCTTTTCTCTCTTTCCTCTTACCCTTTTGAGAGTCTTGTCTGTTTTATTCATCTTTTCCAAAGAACCAACTTTTGCCCTTTGTTCTCTCATTTATGTTTATTTTCTCTTGCATTAATTGTGGCTTTTTTCTATATGATTACCTTCCTTCATTCTACTTCCTTTGGACTTAATTTGCTGGGTTTTGTCTAGCTTCTTATGTAGGATGATTAATGCCTGATGACCTTGACCTTTTTGATCCTTTTTCTTTTAAATGAAAGCATTAACAATTATTAAATTTCCCTACAAGTACCATAGCATTTCACAAGTTTGACATAGTATTTTGCTTCTCCTTTGATCCGTGAGTTATTTAGTAGTTTTAAAATTTCCAAATATATGGAATTTATTTCTAGTTTTGTTTTAACTCATTCTTAGCTTAATTGCGTTTTGCCCAGAGAACGTTTCTGTGGTGTTTGTTTCTGTTGAGGCTAGCTTTATGACCTCACAGGTGATCAACTCTTGAAAATGTCCCCACCTACTTGAAGAATGTGCATTCACTAGCTGTTGTGTGCAATGCTGCATGTATGTAAACTTGCAAATTGTACTGTTAAATCTTCTATATCATTATTCATGTTTTCTCTGCTTGAACCATTAATTTCTGAGAGAGGTGTGTTCACATATTCAACTATGTATTTGTTTTCTCCTCTTGCAGTTCTATTTTCTGAAAATTAAATTATGCTTTTAGGTGAAATTTTAGAACTCCATATCTTCCTAATGAATTGAACCTTCTATCATTCTGAAGTGAAACTCCACCACTTGTAATGCTTTATTTCCCTTTTAAAAAACGTTTTCATCAGATATTACCTAGCTATGCCTAGTCTTTTCTGGCATACTTGATTAATATTTTCTTTTTGGTTAATGATTTCCATTCTGCATTAGTCTTTGAGTTCTTATGATTTGGGTATAAGTAGCATATAGCTGGATTTAAAAATATTCACTTAAGTGGATTTTTAAGAATTTCTTTCAGCAAAGCTTCTGGCTAGCAAATCCAGAAAATCACCAGTTTCTATTTATCTTATTTTGCCTTCATTCTTAGAAAATGCTCTCTGAGTATAGAATTCCAGATTGTCAGTTCTCATCACCCCAAAGCTACTAGTCCACTGTTTTCTGGCTTCCATTGCTGTCCTTGAGAAGTCAGACATTAATCTAAATGCCAGTTCTTCCTTGGTCTTAGTCCATCTTTTCTCTCTGGCCTCTAAAATCTTCTCTATTTGGCATTCTGAAGTCTCATTATATGTCTATATTTTTTAAAAAGCCCACTATCTATTCTGCTCTTCACTGGGTTTCTTGGATCTGATATTTTCTCCCCAAATTTTGTCTCTGTTTGTTCTTATCTCCCTCTGAAACCTCAGTTAACCATGTTAAATTTCACTCAACTCTCCTTGTGTCAACCTTTATTTTGTCTTTTTCATCTCTATCTCTATACTACATTCTGGATAGATCGATCTGTCTCACTCATTCACTGATTTTCTCAGTAGCGTAATTTGTTTAATGTGTCCAAGTTGTAAATTTTTAATTATTATAACTTTCAGTTCTAGAAGTTTGTTTAGTTCTCTTTCAAATCTGCATGGGCCTTCTTAATAGACTGTTTTCTGTTCATATTTCAATCTTCTCTTTTATTTCCTTAAATGTATTGAAGTTCTCATGTAGTCTGGATAATCTCTTCCCATTGTCTGTTGATTCTGTCCTCCTCATTCGCGCATGTTCCTTTTGGGTGAAAGCTGCTCACTTTCTTAGAACTAGGTTGCTAGGAATTCTCTGAGGTGTGAGTTGAGGTTCAGTTCTTCCGGAGAACATTTGTTTGCTTCTCTCTGCTGCTTTAGGATTCCGCTAACACTGTTCTGTTCTAAATTATCAGTTTGAAGTCTTTTTGGAACATTTTGCTACTATAACCTTAGACCAAAAACCTGCATGAGGACAAATTTATGAACATGAATCCTCAGGGAAGATTTCCTCCCTTTACCCAGCACCAAGGGCAAGACAGTCTGTTTCACTGTGGGCCTCTCACTAACCTTGAAGCTAAGGATGTAGCTCTGTGAGATCACAAATTTATGCAGACTGCTTCTATTAAATTTTTCCACCTTGAGCAGACCCTGGGATCTTATGATTACCTCCTGTGTGGTGGCCAAAGGGTGGGGGCGATGTGCTGCCTAAGCTCTCCAGGTCCAGCAGAAACCCTCAGGGTGAAATCTGGCTTTGGTGTATCCATGTCTTTCTGGATTCCTGCTTTCACTTAACTTTGGGGATCTATGGATTTATTAATCTTATACCATCTCATATTCCATATTCTGTGCATTTAAATAATTTATTTTTGTCTTATCCAAACTTCTACTAATTTGTATTGAGAAGGTCATCTCAGGTATCAAATCATTTATAAATACAAAAATTAGTAGGGCGTGGTGGTGGGCGCCTGTAGTCCCAGCTACTTGGGAGGCTGAGGCAGGAGAATCACTTGAACCTGGGAGGTGGAGGTTGCAGTGAGCTGAGATGGTGCCACTGCGCTCCAGCCTGGGAAACAGAGCAAGACTCTGTCTCAAAAATAAAAAATAGATAAATAAATAAATATCATTTATACAGCCAGAAATAGAAATCCTAGACTTGACCCAAGCTTCTTGCTTTGTGCCTTCTATTTGTCCTCCATTTTCCATGATTTTTTTTTTTTTCAACTTTTTTGTTTTTATTTTTCCCTTTCTCCTTGTACTGATTTGTGATTCATTGTTTCTGTGTTTTTAGTATTTACCCTCAAAATGTTACCTGCATCTCTACTTTAACCTTGCTTCTGAACAATAACAAGGCTTAGAAGATTAAATCCAATTACCCCTCTTTCAATTTACATGGTATTTTTAAAAAATCAGTATCTTAGCTCGTTATTTAATTTCACAATTTAAATATTTTAATTTTCTATACAAAAATTTTTTCAGGCTGGGTGCGGTGGCTCACGTCTGTAATCCCAGCACTTTGGGAGGCCGAGGTGGGAGGATCACTTGAGACAAGGAGTTTGAGACCAGCCTGCCCAACATGGTGAAATTCTGTCTCTACTTAAAATACAAAAATGTGCCAGATGTGGTGGCTGGCACCTTGGGAGGCTGAGGCAAGAGAATCGCTTGAACCCAGGAGGCACAGCAGGTATATAGTTACGAGTTGCCAGTTGTTTTTTTCTTAGCACTTTGAAGGTGTTATTATCCAGTCTTTTAGCTTCTATTATTTCTGCTGTGACCCCCACAATTTGTTTTTCTCCTCTATCCGCCCCCCTATGTTCTGCACTTTTTCTTCTCAAATACTGATGACATTTATGTTTCAGCCTTCTCATTGTGCCCTCCACATAATCTTTTTTCTTTAACTCCTTATCTCCTGGCTGCATTCTGGGTAACTTGGATTTATCTTGATGTTTATTATTTTTTCCCTTCTTTCAGGAGGTGCAGGGCTTCCTTTTAAATTGAATGATAAATTCAACGATTTAATGATTAAATTGTATGATATTAATTCTCTCTTCATCTGTGCATAACATGCTGTCTAGAACATTTCAAGAATTATACTTTTTATTTCATCTGCATTTTTGATAGTCCTTAGTTCCTGCTTATTTTTAAAAATTCTATTTTGGATTGTAATAGTTCTTTCCTATTTCAAATCTGATCATGCCAATCATCTGAAGTCTTTGTTCAGAAAGTAAAATACTCTATACTGATGAATTGCTTTTGCAAACTCTCACTCTGCTGGTTTGTTTCCTTAGGTATATGAAGATTGTGTGTTTGACTATGTTTGACCACACAATCCATGAGAGTTCTGTGTTCTTGGGTTGCTTTCCTCCACAGATAATGTGCCTACAAGGAACTCCTAACATTTCAACTTTATCCACTTTCAGAGGTGGGTCCCAGGTCCAAATCTACTCCTGGTGTGGGCGTCTGCCCCCAGGAAAAATCCAGCTTCTTGCTATGCTCAAGTCCAGTCTTAGCCCACTGTTATGTTCTCTTGTTTGCAGTTGTTTTTGTTTGCTTGTTTTGGCCTTGAAAACTCTGCGTTTGCTTATGAGGTCAGCAATGCTTGAAAAATCGTGCTTTTTATAATCTATTCAGAATCTATCGGTACTTTAGCTAATCGACTCTTCATAATGTCTAGTCTGCCGGATTGTTAGATGTCAGAAGTCTAATAAATGACAGTTATTATTGATTCAGAAAATACAGCTTTTATACCACGGGGCCATGTGGGATCCAGTCTTGGAGTGCTGAGAAATTAATAAACAGTTATTCAAAGAGGTTGACAAACATAATTGATTGTTGCTGAGTTACACAGATTTTTGAATCAGCATTTTCGAAATTGGAATTAGGTCTTCATAATGTAAATTTGTTTTGACACAGCTGCCATTTCAGATTCAAATGACAGAATTTGGTCTGGAGGAAGCAGCATACACTGTTCAGTTGTTCAACAAGGCGGTACTGATGCCACTGATAACACGGCTTCCTGCGGCAAGTCTTTCTGCCAGTTCACATCAAAATATGCATCTAGCATGACGGAAAAAGTGACCTTTTGGATCCCCAAGTTCATTTTCTTATTGTCTCCTTCTCTCCCTTTTCTCCTCTTGCTGGCTGGCAAAACTACATCTAGATCTTAAGTTTAAACCCCAAAGGGAAGCAAACCATTAAGAATCGAATGGGTGCTTGTCCGAGAATCTTAGGCCCTCCAACATCAGAAATTTACAAGACAGAAAATAAAAGAATGTGCCTTTTCGGTGGGAATAAAGATGGTTTTGTAGTGTATCCTGTGTGCTGGAATAACTAATCTAGTTGAGGTCTTCATAATAAGATGCACCCTTCTATTTTCACTCATCTCAGATATGAATTATTAAAGACTGTCTTATTGTTCCTCTGTAAGTTCTGCATATAATGTAGAACTCATCTTGAAAAAAAGGAAAAACTGGAAGTAACAGAAAGAAAAATAATGCATCTGGAGCTTATGACTCCCGCCCATCGTTAAATCACTTCTTGTACTTTTGTACCAAAACATTTTCCCCATTTTATTTCCATCTTGTGCAGAAGGTAATTACCCTTCAGAGACACCTGCAGGGAGAGGCTACGAGGATGTCTGATAATTTTTAATGTGTTTGTCTCTATATTTTCTTTCCAACATTCTACTAAGTCAAGCACATCTGCTGTAAAGCGTCAGTGGAGGATGACTTCATTAAATGTTAAATACTGTTTTCTGCCTTTACAAGTGTTTGTCCTACACAAAATCCTCAAATGGTAGGGGCAAGCAGGAGGGTCACAAAAATCTTTATGAACCCCAAACTGCCCCTTGCAATAGGCCACCCACTGCGATGCTGTTCGTTTCTTACAAGCGTTAACCACCCGCTGCTTTTCCCAGTAGAACAACTGTTATAATAATATCTCTACATAATCATTTTAATGATAACTTGAGACAATATATTTGTTGACTAGAAACAATCTTTAGGATGTGTAAAACTTATTTGTACCACAGCCGATCATTCAAAATGAAAAAAAAAGTAGACATAAGCCTTATATTGCTTTTCCCAAAATCTATTTCTTTGCCTTTACATATATAATCAGAAATATAGATTTCAATCTATTTTATATTCACTTTGGAATCTTCCCGTTCTATAATTTTAAGCCCTAGGAAAATCTGAGACTGTTAGTTTTCCTTTTAGTGCCATCTGCTGGTCTAGTTATTCTGACTGGGTTCTAGTTTGTTCACTAGAGAAACTCAGGGTTTTCATACAATGAAAAATTTTCACGCAGAAATCTTGCTAAAAGATTTTTATTTCACATGAACCTAATATTTGTTATATTTGAATTTGGAGATCTTTTTTACTTAATCCCCAAAGTTATAATTATCATGACTTAAAGTAATTTTTTATGTGTATCCATATCTATGTTATTTTATATTATATGTTATTACAATGTATTGAGTCTGACAAGCTGACTTTTCTATTTCCCTTGATAGTTACAAAAGTTTGGAAAGTTAACATTAATGTTTAATTACTTAATTTCAAAGAATGAAAATTTAAGGCTACAGAAAAAAATTGATAACTTGAACATTTTATATGATTTCAGTGAACTGTTTCTAACCTCAGAAAAAAACATTTACACTTAACCATATACACTATTAAAAATGTGGGTTTTGAACTGGCGAGTCTTGGATACTTTCTGCATTATCATATTTAGTTATGAGCAATTTTGTTCTGGTTTTCTGTAGTCTATGACTGACACCTACCAAAATCCCAGATGTTCATTTATTGTATTGTTTCAAATAGATGTCTATCCACAATTTGCAATCCATATGGCTTTCCAATAAAGGGTATTTCTCCAGCTCTGTGCTTGCATCCAGATCTGGAGGGTGCCCAGTGGTTTGCTTGCTGTGCCTCTGGCATGTTCACCATCTCAGTGGTTAGCCGAACACTGGAAAACATCCTCTCTTTCCTCTGCTCACTGATGAGATATAATTTATGTTGATTCAACTCTTCACAAATTGCCATCTGTCAGCTTTGTTTTTTCTAATCCCTCATCTCCTTCCTCCATTATAATTGTTCAAACTGGCAGAAGCTCAGGTATTGGCTTAGAGCAAAGGCTCTCTGTCAACAGAGAAGATCTCATTTGAAATCCACACCTCACTCATAAATTGCCTTCTTTTCAATCTTAACTGTGGCAATATTTTCATTTGGTTTCTCATCGTCCTCCGATTCACAGGAAATAAAACAGCAGCACCCACTGACATCTCTGGCTTCTGAGACTGGATTGAGAAGCACTTTGGCATCCATGTCTTCCAAATAATCTGCCTTCCTTGGTATTCTCTGGTCTTGTTTTAGGTTTCCAGGGGCTAGACATATGGAATATTGACAGTGAGAATACCCAGATTCCTGCTTCTTTGTGTGCCTGGGGCACAGATCAATTTTACTGAAGATTTTTGTCCGAAAGGGACTAACTTCTTATTCTTCATATAGATCTTTAAAAAATCTTTCTATAGCCCTGGAATATAGGAAAAGTCATTTAATGCTAATTAGAAAGTAGACAAGCACCATTTAATTAATAAGAATATTAAAACGTGATGAAAATCTTCATGTCAACAGACTAAAATTAAGCATAAGTAAATCTTAATGTTTTCAGAAGTGCTTTCCTTAAGCTGAAATTTCTCAACCTTGACACTACTGACATTTTGGGCCAGACAGTTATTGGTTGCGTGGGTCCTTCTAGTCACCGTGGGATGTTTAGCAACAACCCTGGCTTCTATCTACTGGCTCCTGCTAGTATCCCTGTCGCCCAGGTTGTGACAACCAAGAATGTCCCCAGACATTGCCAGATATCCCTTGGGAGATAAAAGTTACCCCTCCAACTGAGAAACAAAATCATTATATATGAACATTAATGAAAGAAAAATACTAAAATATGAGCGATTATCCAGAAGTCCAGGTGGTTTTGTTTAGCTTTCAAATGACCACACTGTAAGAGCAATGTCAAAGGAATTAAAACATGACACAAAAATACAGAATTTCAAAGGAGAGAGGAATATAAAAATATTTATTCCAGAAATGAAGAGCTAGGATGTAGCTCATGACCACAGACTGTGGACATCTTCCCAGCAAAACGTGAGGCCCGAACACAGGACTCATTAGTCAAATATTCTAACAGAGATGTTTCCAATGACGTTATTTTTTATTTTATAAGAAATCAGAAACCTGTGAAAACTTGTGATGTATTGCTGTTAGTGGCAAACTGCTTTTAAAACCACTGATCTGATGCATACAATCTGAGTGATAAAAGAAGGAAAAGTCTCTAATGGGTTATGTTAATGTCATGGTTCTTGGCCACAAGCCTTCCGAACACACCCTCATCGATGACCTGTCTATACTTGAGTTTTATGCATTTCCTGGAAGCAGAGTCCCTATGCTCCAAGTATGCACCAGATTATCTGGCAGCTTGTTACAGTGTTCAGCCTGATCCCCATTAAGCATGGGAGTCATACATTTGTAGTTCTGAGGAAGCTTTTCCGATGGACATGTTAATACATACCATGGCATTCTATTATAGCAAGTTTCCTTACTTCATGCAGTTGGATGTACCATGAGCTAAATCATGCCCTTGAAATATAAAATCTCATGCGATACAAATTTGATATAACATGGTTAGTTCTGAAATAGAAGTGTTAGGTCCAACCCAAATCCTTGCCTTATAAAGGAATTACATTTTAAACAATCATTCATACTGTATCATATCTACCACTTAAACTAGTGTCTGACTTTGTAGTTTAGGGCTAATGGAATCAATCATGCCCATTATGGTTGGTGGAGACAATATCTTAGAGCAGTTAAAACAATGGGTGACCTGACTTTGCTTACCTGTTTCTGCATCTATAAAATGGAGGATAATAATAGTTCCTGTGCCTCCTAGGTTTGTTATGAGGGTTAAATGAGATACTAGATATGAAACGTATAGTTCTGTATCTGGCATGTAGTAGTAAAGGCTCAATAGTTCTTAGCCACTAGTACTTTATTTAATTACATAATAAATATTTTTATGGAGGCCACCAGGTGACTGTGATAGTCTCTTTTACTCCAAATACTTCAATAGGTAACCTATTGAAGTAGAACTAGGGAAATTAACACCTAAAAAAAGTGGTTAGCCTTCTTAGAAGTAACCCAAGACATTTTGAGTGCTTGGTAGAAGAGATTGGCAAACTCTTAGGTAAAGTAACTGAAATTTTATAGAGAAATGTAGGACCAATATATTATATCCTAGCATACAACCAACAGGACATCGAAAGTCATCTTGGGATATTTAAAACAATTTAAGAAGGAGAAGGAGGTGAAACAGCAAGGATTTCAGTTTCTTTCCAACAGTGACGAGGGTCTTAACAAGCAGCTGTACCATTTCTGATCCCTGTGGTGGGTAGATGGTGGAAGCTGCCACACTGGACTATCACAGCTGAATTGCTGGATTGCTAAGATATGCTGCTGCTCTGATTCCTGCTTGCCAAAACCACCTTCTGAGAATCATTTGACTTCCCTTGTAGACTTCCCACTGGGACAATATGTCCTGGCATACACACATTGATGTTGTGGTCCACCTGGAAGTTATAGGGCTCACTGTAAATGACACCTTTGCATGCTTTGGGGGTCTGGTAAGTCTGTGACAGTTCAGAAAATGCCTCAAGAATGAGAAGCAGCACAGGACATGCAAAGCTAAGAACTCGGTCTCTGAAGATTGATCTGACCACAGGCGTTTGTACAGAACAACGTACTTTAAGTGATCTCTAGCTCAGTGATCTCAATATCTCTTCAATGCCTGAATACTTTGCTCTTTGCCACTCACTCAATGTGGGAACTGAGTCTGTTAGTCTTACTGGTAACTATAATCATTGACAGAGTGAGGATTCTAGGCTTCTGAACATGGTCAGCCCTCTCCCTTAAACAGTGAGAAACTGAGCAGCAATTTAATTATTAAACATGTATACATACATCTATAAAATTCACTGCATTATAGAATTATGAGAAAATTGTCTTCTATCTTTGGAGGGTGAAAGGCCCTAGGAGAAGTATCTAAAAATATCTCAAAGATATTTCTAAAGAAAAAATTTAATGCACTGAATACCTATAAAAAGAAAGTCAATTGTTAAGTGTTAGATAAATTTTTTAAAAAGCTTAGCACAAAAGAGGTAGCAGATGGCATAAAAATATTTTGAATGTCTTGATACTTATAAAGGTAATATGAAATAGAAATGTAAGAATTATTAGCTATTAGTCCAGGAAAACTGTTCAAATACCACTACATGGTGTACCATCATTAGGAACTTCCATAAAGGTTTGAGATTTGGGCTGGCAATCTTTCTTGTCACATAACTGCCACTACTTTCCAGAAGCTTATGCCCTACAGTGTAGTTTGGCATTCTATTACATGTCTGTTGGGTCACACTAGTGAAGAAGGAAAGAAAAGAAGGAAGGAAGGAAGGAAGGTCATTATTGGGGGGTAAAAAACCAACACAAACTTGTATGTTCACTGGTGGCCAAAAACAGGGTCAAAATGACCTATTCCACAGGTCAAAGAGCATTTGTCTCAAGACTATGAGGTGAAAGGAGTGTGTGTGTGTGTGTGTGTGTGTGTGTGTGTGTGTGTGTTTTGGGATGGGAGACTGTGACTTGATGTTCTTCTGAAGGTTGTTTGGTACCTCAATTTTTTTATAAAATATGCCAAGCCTGTAAACTAGGACATCTTAGCCAAGGGGATTTTCATTTTGGCTGTGGAAGAACACTTTTTAGAAACACTAGTGCTTGGAGACTTCCACCAAAATAAGCTGAATAATTGTGATTTTTGTTTTTTTAAACTAATAGAGAGCTAATAATGCAAAGAAGCTTAAATTAGTTGAATTTCAGAAAGTGACGAGCCCTTGCCGGGAGATGAGAGACCCATGACTTCTTTCTTACCTGTGGAGTGGCAGGAAGGGTAGGAGCCCTCTGTAAAGGGGAGTCAGGAAAAGCCGGCTGTGACAGTCTGCTCAGGCTGGCATGACCAGCACCACAGGCTGGGTGGAAGTCCCAGATCAAGGTGTTGTAGGGTTGGTTACATCCTGATGTCTCTGTCTTTGGATAGTAGATGGCTGTCTTCCTCCAAGCCTCCACAAGGTCTTCCCTCTGTGTCTGTGCCTTAATGCCCTGTTCTTAGAAGGACACCAGTCTTATTGGATATGGTCCTGTCTACCATAATTACCTCTGTAAAGATCTTATCTTTAAATAGAGTTAATCTCTGAGATGCTGGGATTAGGGATTCAACATATTAATTTTGTGAGGACACAATTCATCCCAACACCACCAGCCCAACTCTTAATGAGCTTTTAATACCCAGAGGTAGTCTGCTTCACACAGTCAGAATTCCATAGGCCTAGGCACAAAGCAACTTTTCCCACCTGCAACTCTTTCCCCCAGGTCTTTACTGAATGTTTAGGGGGAGTACATCCATTTCCTGTTTCTGCAGTGATAAAAGACCACAGACTTATTGGCTCAGAACAAGATAAATGTATCATCTAACAGTCTGCAGGTCAGAAGTCTGACACAGTCTCACTAAAATCAAGGTGTCCACAGGGCTGCCCCATGAAGGCTTGAAGTGTCTCCCCCAGGGGCAAGGCAGTTGCCCTCCAAAAGAGATAGGAAGGCAGGAAGCCAAGGGGCCTCCACAGAATAGAAGGCAGTGCTGAGCAGGGCTGGAGAGCACAACCTCCCCAAGATTCCAGAGCAGCTGGCAGCTGGGATGGAAAGTGAAGAAAAGTCTCCCAACTAACCAGAAAGCTGGCCAGTTCAGCTGTCAAGGAAAAGAGCTTTCCAGGATCTCACCAGTGCTTGTATCCCTGGCCCTGAAGAAGAACAAGGTCTGATTCTGACCTAAAACACTGGAAACTGGTGGTAAACTGACTCAAACTCAAGTTTCCACAAAGCTCACACCCAGCATGACTGCAGATGAGACAGAATCAGTCTGGAGTCAGTGTTATTTACTTCTGTCTCTACCATTCTTTCATACAAAATGTTCAAGTAAAAGCCAATATTACAAGACACACAGAGAGGAAAGAAAATGTGACCTATGGTCAAAACCAGGAATGAGTCAACAGCAGCAGACCCAGAAGGCCTAGACATTGGAATGAGCAGATAGGAACTTTACAGTGACTCCGATGAAGATGCCAAAAGATAAAGACACCAGGGACTGCATACAACCACTGACTGACTTCTAACTAACTTCTAGTTAGAAGATTTGTTTCTTACAAGGTTTTGGGTTGGCTATTCTGAAACTAATTTATATATGTATTAGGGTTAAACATATAAAAATATTATCAATAATGAGAGTCAGGCTTCTCACCATCCAAGAAAAAATTATGAATTAGGAAAGGAGGAAGGCAAGAATGAAACATGAGGTGTTGGATTGCAATAGGAGAAATTAGTATGAATTCATGAACATTTTTTTAAAAAGTATATTCAGTAGAGAGATATAGAAACTAATAGATGTGTGTATGCAAGGGTGGGTATGCATACATATATTTCCAAACTCTACCGCTGAGAGGGACTGGAGGCAGTGATTCCACAGCAGCGATGAGCACACCTGGTGCCCAGATCTTGGTTTCTAAATCCCATTCTCCATAAAAGGAACCACAGCTCCTTGAAAAAAAGTTTGATTCTAAGGCAGGGTTAGGGAAAATATAAGATAAAACAGGAGCATCTTCTGGTACCAAAAAGTAAGGAAGTATCTGAAAGATGATGGGAATATATCAAGAGGCACAGACACCAACATGAAAAAAGCTCCCAGTGGCCAAAGGTGGAACCATTTAAGAAATAAAATAATAATAATATTTTATTCAAATACATAGAATGAAATAAATATTTATGAGCACATACTGATATAAATAAATAATTGAATAAATGGGAGAAGAGCTCTTTCTTAGAGAATTCTAATTAATAAATGTAGAAGAAATAAGGGGAATCAAATATTACTGATAGAATACTGCAGTAAGATTGTTGTAGGAAAGATTCACCAATGGATGCTAAAATTAGTGGACAAAAGTTTAAAAAGAAACAGTGTATTTGCACAGTCTCAATGTACCTCCCCAAGGAATGTTTGAAAACTTTAGAGTGAAGAAATCCAGAACCCAACACCATTACCATCACTAGTAATAAGACATATCAACATTACATATCACTGCTATAGCTATAATACATTGAGAGAGGTACTCCACTTCTGCAGAGTTCACTGAAAATGCATTACTTCAATCTAATCATGAGAAAACATCAGACAAAGCCAAACTGAGGGACAATCTGCAAAAACCAGAATTCTTCATCAGTGTCAAGGTCATGAAAGACAAGGAAACACAGAAGGACTATCACAGACTGGGGAGACTATGGCAATAAGACAACTAAATGTGGCGGGGCATGGTGGATCATGCCTATAATTCCAGCACTTTGAGAGGCCGAGGAAGCCTCTCACTTGAGGCCAGGCGTTTGAGACCAGCCTGGCCAACATGGTGAAACCCCACCTCTACTAAAAATACAAAAATTAGCCGGGTGTGTGGTGCATGTCTGTGGTCCCAGCTACCTGGGAGTCTGAGGCACGAGAATATCTTGAACCTGGGAGGCAGAGGTTGCAGTGAGCTGAGATCATGCCACAGCACTCCAGCCTGGGCAACAGAGTGTGACCTTGTCTCAGGAAAAAAAAAAAAAAAAAAAAAAAAGACAACTAAATGCAAGGTGGGGCCCTATATTGAATCCTTAAACAGAAAAAGGATATAACTAGAAAAACCTAGTGATATCCAAATAAAGTCTATAGTTTTGTTAATAGTAATGCACCAGCATTAATGTTTTAGTTCTGATAATTGTACTATGGCTATACCAAATTAAGGGTATTCAGGTTCTCTGCTGTTCTTGAAATTTAGTATAAGTCTAAGATTTCAAAATAAAATGAAAAAGAAAAAAGGTGCCAAAGAATCTGGTGGAAAAGGTTGACAATATCCTTGTAGAGATGGACAATTTCCACAAAGATATAGAAACTATTAAAAAAGAACCACATAGAGATGTCAGAACTAAAAAATACCAATTGCTGGGTCTTACACAGCAGAAATCCTGATGTAATTGGTCTGAGACTGAGTACAGGCAGTTGGAGTAATGTGTGTGTGTAATTTCCTGGGTAATTCTAATTATAGCCAAGGTTGGGAACTAGTGGGCTAGCCTAACCAAGTTAGCATTAAAATATAAAGAAACCATATAGTGTGTTGTGGGTCCCTAAGACTACCCTAATACTTGGAGTTTCTCTAGAAGAACTCATGGGGATCATTTAGTTTGAATCATGGCTAAGATTCCTTCCAGCAACATAGTAATGATATACAGCCAGACTGTAAGAGAAAAAGCCATGGTGGAGTCTTGAGAAACCAATGTGCAGGCTTCCTCATGCTTTCTCCCTCCTGCGAGGGGACACCCAAGAGCATGCTTCTTTCTTCAGCAACAAGCATCTGCTGATTCTGCCCAGGGATGCCCATTAGATAAGTCAAGGTTCTCATTAGAAAAGCCCAAGGTTTTTATGGGGAGCTGGTCACATAAGCACCCTCTGCCTAACATGTAACCAGTTCAGACTCCCAGAAGGAAAGCAGGTGTTCAGTGTAAAACCACATTGTGTATAGGCACAGGGAGTCACTCTTCTCAGTTAGGAAAAGTTGAAATCATCATAAGGAACTGTGTACCAGTCAAATTCTCCGACGCAAGGCAAGGGACAACCCCAATCCCTATGATAACTCCATGGGGTGGATATTATCTTACTTAACAGCTGATGGAATTTGAAGCTTAGAGATTTTTCTTTTACCCCAAGAGATAACTTACCCCAACATCACAGCCAGAAAGTAATTATCCAAACCCACAGTTCAGTTCTGATACATTCTGTTCTGAATCTTTGTTTTTTTTCATTGAAGTTAGAGATAGAAAATAGTTTTCCCTCTCTTTACCATAGAGCATTTTTGAACAAAAGAGACGATGTCTTCACAAGTACCTAGAAAGATAATACGCGAATCCTATTCTTTCCATGGTTATCATCAATGTAGGTAGTTTTAACAAAAAGAAGGGCCTTGGGTATATCAATAAATATGACATTTGAACAATCAGCTTTAGGAGTTTCCTGAATCTTTTTTCTACATAAAAGTAGTATATGAAAGTATAAATTTTCCAAATTATTGTTAGTTTGCTTTTTATTTTAAATGTAAGTATCTGGGAATTTGTTTTTCATACATTTGTTTCCTCTTATTCCTGGACCATGTGAAATTTTTTGTAAGCAGTTACACGATTCAAAGCTGCTGGCAGTTAACCAACTTGTACAAAACATGTGCTTCTACCACCTCTCTGGTAGTTCTATTTCAATAACCATTAAGCTTGGTTTTACTACCAAGACTCCTACATGTAGTTCAGCACCTGGAAACCAAAAGGTGAAAGAAAAGGCCTATTCTATTCTCTACTGGAACAAATCCTCCCTTTGTACCATGCCCTAGAGGGCACCCATGGTCTCTCCCTGGATCCTGGGAGCAGGACTTCGCTGGCTGATCCAGAGATCGACTGTAAAAACTTCAAAGAGGAGCCGTCCTTGTGGTTGGGTTCTTGTGGTAGAATCATCTCTCATAGGACAAGCCATGGCTGCTGCAAAATTGATGCTGATGGAAGCAAAGATGCTGATTTAGGATTTCCACTAAATGATAGCCTTAATTAAGAGTCTAAGTTTCTAGAATAGGAGTCAGCAAACTTACTGAAAGGGCCAGATAGTAAATATATTAGGTTTTGCAGGCCATATGGTGTCTGTCTCCATGACTCAGCTCTGCTGTTGCAAGAAGCCTTAAACAATACGCAAACACATGGGCATGGCTGTGTTTTAATAAAACTTTATTCACAAAAACAGGCAGCCAGTTGGATTCGATTTACAGGCTGCAATTTGCCAGCACCTGTTCATTAGCAGACTTTGCTATCTGTGTGCTTTCCTCTAATTTAAGATATCTAGGGAACTGTTACCTTCTTTATCCGTAGTGTACCTAATTATTCCTTCCTAGAGCATAAGCACAGTCTCTGTATACTAATACAAGAAGTGTCATGAGATTGGTTTACATACTTAATTTTCTTTGTAATGGACATCAGTACTCATCATTCTTAAATACAGAAATGCAGATAGAGCCTGTGTGTGTTAATCAACAGCACAAGAACCACTGTGTCTGTCACACTTCCACATCCTACATGAAGAACAGCTGGCATCTGACTGCTTTTGCAAAATGCATTTCAGGTACAATGTCAAAGAACTATCTCCAGATCCCTATATACTGTACTACATCTGGAAAAAAAAACTAAGTTGTAGAATCACCAGAAATCATATTGGCCCCACCATGCAGAAATTCTTGGAAGACCAAACTTTACAAATACAAGTAAAATCTAAGTAAGGCATTCTGGTTCACAGTAGCTTTTTTCCTAAATGCAGTCTGAATTTCAAAATGTAGCTTAGCTTATTCAGTGATTGATTTGCACAAAATATGAATGCCATAAAACACGATTTGAATTTTAACTGTAGATGTCTTGGGTATTCTCCGTTTGCATTAAAACCATGGCCAGTTGTATCATATAGTAATTACAACCAGTAGATGGCATCTAATAGCTAGAATAATATTTTGGAACTATTTTTAACAACAGACTTGCTGATTTATGAGGGTTCACCCTCTGGTGTTATTTATACTGGATCATTTTAATTTTTAGCCTTCATCATCACAGTTGAATTTTAAAATTTCCATCCAATGAATTTATATAAAGGGTTACAAAAAGAAGAAAAACCTCCTCAATTTCAACTGGATAGTTTTATTGCACTTCCACATAATAAGCAGATTAATGTTCTGAATTTAAAAATTGATATAACTTGAAGACATTAAACACTGAGCACAGGCATTTCAAATATAGTTGGCTCTCTATGATTGAATAAAGCTGAGTTGCTAATTTCTGGACCAGGACCAAAAAATATATAATGAGTGTAACACCATACACCAACCAACTTGAACAAATTCAATGAGTCAATTGAGTTTAAAAGTTTCACAAATAATTAAATTACTGAATAGGATAGACCAGAAGGAGAAAACCAAATTATTTAATTCTGTTCCTTAGAGCTCAATTTGCTTTTTAGCTGACTGTATTTAGCTATCTGCAACTAAAACAAACTAATATCATTAAAAACCCATCTATTTTCTTATGCAACCTCAACAAAATATCAATGGGTTTCACCACTTGCAGATAGTATACTTTTTAAAAGGAGGTAAAATCTGCCAGTCTCAACTCTTTCTTTCCCTGCAATGCTCATCAAAGCTAGCATTTTAGATTATAAATAATCTGAGGCCAAGAATAAAAAGAATGCTTCTTTATGTTGTCTAGGTTGTGATCTACATATTTTGGTGTCTGAGTTAGATGGATTGCATAAATAAAATAGCATTCTTGGAAATATGAAGGACAGAGGTCTGTGGGGGAAAAAGAATCATCTAATCAGAGACTTGTTTCTTACTTTAATCATGAGCCATAAAAACAGCCAAATCCCATGTCATGCTGCAGTAAAGGTTACATCAGCACTTCATACAATATTTATTGTGTAAAGGAAGCCCTGCAGTCCAACTCCAATATGACATTAATCTTCCTGCTCTCTATATCCCTCATTCCATCCTCCCGCCTCACGCCCACCCCTTCCCTCAGTTAAATGTGCTGGTTGGTGCCGCTTATATAGTGGAGATACCTGATGGGAGGGCACTGATATAACAAGAAATCTAGACGACAAAACAAACAGAGAAATAGATCCAATCCTAGGAAAGCTGCATTATACCTTTTAAGAAAGGGGGGGGGGGTCAATCATTTCAGTTTGCCCTAGTTCGAGGGGATTCCTGGATGTGGGACTTCCAGTGCTAGGGCCAACAATGTCTTAGACAAACCAGAAAAAGTTCGTGACCTAATGTTTAACAGGCTTATGGCTTCAGAATGTGAAGGCATCATTCAAAATTATTTATTACACCCTAGTCGTATAAGAAATCACCAAAACCAAGACATGGTACTGGGCTGTGCTACTTAAAGCCTGCTGCTACTGAGACAAAGGTCAGGGTTTAATTTCCAGAAAAGCCAGACAGCTTTTCTATGATCTCAGACTTCTTCATTACACCCAACCATCTAGGCTCATGGGTTTAGGGAGGGTGAGACAGGGCTTTAGAGAGCTAACAATTCAAGGAACTAAATAGCTACATTGGGACCAGCATCTAAAATCAGAGCTTACTGGCAGTATTTTCCTGTGGTATTGCCCATTCTGTAATACTCATTGAAAACTTATTTATACTCAAAAGAATGCATCAGAGCAGCTGAAAAGCCATGCAGGCGTAAGGATTCAATCAACCTAATTACTGTTCTTCTCCATGAAGCTGCTCTGGATAACTTGAGGACCGTCAGGTGGGATTAGAAAGCTTTGCTGCCTGGAAGTCTATGCTCATTTTTTGAAAAGCTCTCTCTCTGACTCCTGGTAAACAAGTGATGAAGAAAGGTACTGCAATGGGATGCAAGTTATATCATCACCTTTACTGCAACAATCTAGGGAATGGCAATATATGATCTAGCAATTGAATAGCCGAAGTTATTAAAAGGTCCCCTTGGTAATTGTACACTGAAAACTCAAAACTAGCATTGTTCCATTTAGTACAAACCATGTCACAGAAAATGACTTTGTTTTAACAGAATCCCTTCTGATAACGTCTGCTCACATTAGGCCAGGTAGAGAAAGAAGAGAGAAGATTTCCCCCTTTTGCCTGTGCTCCACTCTAGTTATTCCATTTCCCCATTCATGTCTTATAAGCCCCCTCACCTTTCATCCACATTCGCCTTCCCCGAGATCAGCACCAGCTCAGAGACTTCACTCACTAGAGTCTTGTTGCTTTTTAGCAACCCTTCTTCTGAGGGGACCGTGGAGCATCTCATTATTCTTCTTCGGAAACTGGATTTGTGGAAAAGCGTGGCCAGCCCTGCCCTGTATGTGTGTGGTGTGCACACTTGTGCACAGAGGCCTCTGCCAGAAGAAGTGGCAGATTGGCTGTGTAGGCAGCAGTTTCATGGAGCCCAGAAATAAGTTCTGCGGCATATGCAAATGTAAGCAATGGGGGCAGCAGAACGGGCCTCTAGGTTCAAAAATGGCAGTTGTCTCCAAGAGGCCAGCCTTTTTCAAAAGCAGACCACTAAAAGTTATTCTTACGAAAAATGCCTCCCTCTGAATGAATCTCAAGTTTCTACTAGTAGGTCACTGGTGACTTCTTAAAAAGCCGTAAGTAGCTTACAAAAATATGTTATCCTGGAAAGGTAATGATTAGCAATGTATTACATGTAGTTATTCCAGAGTTCAAGAGATAGTGAGAACAGATGGATACATTTTGACTCCAGGTCCCTATGAATAGGTGTTTGAAAACAGTCCCAGGGAACCAACGGCTAGGAGTTGGGGGATAAGGGTTACAGGTAGTCTACCTGATAATCTTATCAAAGGCCAATAGCCCCTCCTCTCTTTTGCCTTCTTTTCCTATGAAGGGAAAAGGTGAAAAAGACTCACACCTGGTACAGCCTTACCAGCCATGGTGCCACAGGGATTTCAAACAAAATGTCCCCATCAAAGAGAGAAACAAACCTTTTTCCTTTTCTACTTTCACACAACACTTTCAACACTTCTACAATTCAGTTCAATTATCGGGCAGACACCAACTGGGTGTCCTACAATTTAACACAATTCTGACACAATCTACCTGGAAATAGTATCAGATCCCCCAGGTTAAGGGATCGGTCCCATAGGACTAACTCCACTCAGACACCAGTCACAGGTCCAGGTGTCACCTGTGCTTCTGATAGACCAGCTATAAATGGGGGCCCCCATGACTCCCTCCTCGGGTTGGATAATTTGTTGTAACGGCTCACAGAACTCAGGAAAACAGTTTACTTACTAGATTCCAGATTTTTTATAAAAAGGAACACAACTTAGGAGCAGCCAGATGAAAGAAATGTATAGAGCAAGCTATGGGAGATGGGGCTGTAAGCTTCCACGTCCTCTCTGGGTGCAGTTACCCTCCCAGCACCTCCACGTGTTCATCAACCTAGAAGCTCTCCAAACCTCCTCGTTAGGGATTTTTAATAGATGATTTATTATATAGATATGACTGATTAAATCATTGGCCATTGGTGATTAGGTCACTCTCCAGCCCCTCTCCCCTCCCCAGAGGTTGATGAGTGGGGCTGCAAGTTCTGAGCCTTTAATCCTGTGGTTTGTTTCCCCTGGCAACCAGCCCCCATCCTTAGGGGCTTTCCAAAAGTTATCACATCAACATAAGCTCAGGTGTAGATGAAAGGGGATTGTTATGAATAACAAAAGATGCTCCTTTCACCTTTATCACTCTTATCACTTAGGAAATTAAAAGGGTTTTAGGAGCTCTGGGCAGAAACCTGGGAATGAGGACCAAATACGTACTTTGGATTATATCCTAATACCACAGCATCATGTATCTGAATCTATTTAGTCCTAGCCCTTGGAAAGCAAGGGAGGTGTTTGAGAGTAGCTAAATATTATAAGTCATTTTTAATGAAGATAGGTCTTAATATAGATTTGGATACCTGGAAAGAAAATATTTGCAGCCCAGTAATTTAAAAACCAATATGCGAGCCTTTTCTTTCTTCCTTTTTTAATTAGAAACGACGGATTGTCATTCACCTTTTCTAGAGGATAAATCATTCTATGAAAAAGGTGTAGTGAAATGATTAAGAATAGAGGCTCTGTAGTTGGACTATCTAGGTTCATATCCTAGTTCTGCCACTTTAGTGTGTGGAACCCAAAGCTATTTGCAATTTAATTAAGTTAAAGATACTGGAGGTTCCTACAACATAGTGTGCTTGAAGTGTGAATAAATACATGGTTAGAATTATAATTGGCACATAGCAAATTCTTGTTATTTGTTATAATTGTCATTATTGAAATCATCACCCTTTGTGAAATTGGGTAGAGGTTTTCACTAAGATAGTAGAAGAAAGGAATTTTACTTATTCCTGGAGGAAGGAAAAAATGATGCAGCAGTGATTTTTAATTGTATGTTAGTACAATATCCTGACTAGGAAACAGTGTTCAGTAAATGGATGTTATACAAATCACTGGCTGTATTTATTGCTTCTGTGACAACACATTTCAGATTTTTCTGGGATCATTTTATAACATTTAACACATTCTGTTTCTATATTGCTATACACTTCTGGAATATCTCAGATATTCCAAACTTATGGCCTTTTCATGCAAAGGGAACTTAAAATTCCTCTAAGTTCTTGCTTTCTGATTTTAGCTTGAAAATATAATATGACCACCTCAGTACACTTTCCACTGTACTCCTGGGCTTTTGCCAGTTTCTTTCTGGGTCACACAATTCCAGCTCATACTGATAACACAACTGTGCTTATGTATTACTTATTTGATTCTTTAGAAGTTCAAGTCTATTTCAAGGCTATTCAAGAGAATGTTGGACCTTTGTCAAGAAGCTTACAGAATTAAAACAAACCTCAGTAGAACATTCACAAAAGCAAAGGAATTATTTCAAATGAGACTATGATGTGTTCATAAGGAGATTATTCTATTCTGTATTCAAGACCCAGCTCAAAGATCACCTACTTTGTTAGTCTTTCTCAATTTTCCCAATTGTGTTTGTTCCCATATTTGAAGTTGGCAGTACTCTCGTCACACTTTAATTATGGCATTTGTCATATTGTAGCTTATCTATCTGCAAGTTGTCATTCAAAAGACCACCAGGATAGCTGAATAGTAGAAAGGAGAGCTTTGCTGGAGATACCGGTTTGCAAGCTGGGAAGAGAAAGCCTCCACCTTGGACTGAAGAGGGAAAGGACAGGTTTTAAGTCTCACAGGGCCAGTATCATACATACTCAGCAGGCTTGGTGGGAAAATAATACATGTTTATGAGAGGAGTAAATGCATGCACAACGGGTAAACGTATATGTAACCTACTCTGCCATGTTCAATTTGGGGTGGGGTTTTAGCATTAAAATGAGGTAGAATTTGGCTCATGTCAAAAGGTGAACTATAGGCCACAACGACAGCTTGTGTGCAGTCTCTATCCACTGGCTGAAACTTGAAGTCTGTAATAGCTTATCAGAAAAGACTGTTTGTAAGACCAGTCCCCTGTCCAATCAGAGTTGCAGTGGTCTGGGTTGTAAATCAGCCTGATAATTCCTTTTGGTAGGGGGTTAAATAAGAGTGGGGTTTTTCTTACAGTCACAGGAATTTAGAAATTTGCCATGCCATGGCATCCAGGCCCTGAACCCTTGACCAATAGGTAACTGTTTCCTTAACCATAGGGTCTTAGTTGATATAGTCTCTCACATCACAAAGTCTAACCCCTTCCCTCTTCTTCTACTCCCTGTCTCCCCCACAGCCTATGCATGCTCCAGTGTAGGGACTTCTGTGGGTAGTCTCAGCCACCAGTACAGTATATAGCACAGAATGGGTGCCCCCAAGATGTTTATTATATATGGTGGTGCTAACCATCATCAGGTTCATCTCTCCTCCATTGTACACAGAGGACCATGATTCCTAGATCACTTGCAACCAAGGCCCATGTGCAGTTCTTTCCACTGGGATGAGAGCAGAAGTGATGAGCGTCACTTTAGGTTGACACCTAGAGAGTGTGAGATCCCAAAGCTGTGGCAAACACTGAAGTGACATATAGAGGTGGCAGTGCTTCCAGTAGCCCAGGTTCCAGAGTAACCCAGGAGCAGAGCTCCTTGCTGCTCACTTTGGAGGTGATTAGAAAGGTAAACCTTTATGGTTTAGCCACTGAGATTCGAGGGGCTTTGTTACCACAGCATATCCTATCCTATCCTATCCTGACTAATACACAATGGATGACAAAGATTTTGACTTTTTTAGATTCAGACATCAGACTGGAAGCATCTTAGCATCACGGGAAAACACCCTATCAGGAGTCAGAAAATAAAATATGTGCAAGCATGCACATGCACTTGTATTTTAGTCACCGACAAAGTCCTGGCATTTTTACTTCCTTGGGGTTAAAACTAGGGGGCTGAACTGGAATGATTCTAAGTCCCATATACTGTAATCCCACGAATTTGAAGAAATTAATTTCAAGGTTAAATGCTCAAATTTAAGACATCATTGATCATGAGCTATAAGTCAAAAAAGGTCACTGGTCACTACAAATCCAGGGTAGAATCTCATTTATAGTTCCTTAGCAAGAATACTTCCCTCTATCACCTGCTTCCAAAAGAAAATGGTTTCTATACAATTATACAGCCTATCATCTGGCTATCTAAATCATCTGGTGATTCAAGACAGATTTTTGTCGGCCACACTCAACCTTCTAGGCAAATTGGCATTATAGAAATAGGAGGTCCTAAGCTTAGCCTGCGTAGTGCAAACCATCCCAAGGGAAATGTCAGCTCTTTGGAAGAATGAGACTGTAGGTTTAACTAAATGGGCAGGTCCAATCTGGCTGTCTGTCTGTCAGGCAGGTGGCTTTGAAGTAATGCAGACAGATTGGTGAGTTCATGGTTGATGTTAAGGCCCATTAAGTGCAACTGGGCTCTGCCACATTGTTCTCTGATTATATGGTTTGGCTCTGTATCCCCATCCAAATCTCATCTCAAATTGTAATTACCATGTGTCAAGGGAGGGACCTAGTGGGAGGTGACTGGTTCCCCCCATGCTGTTCTCATGATAGTGAGTGAATTCTCACAAGATCTGGTTGTTTGATAAGTGTAGGGCTCTTTCCCCTTCATGCACTCTTTTTCTCTCTCCTGCTGACCTGTGAAGAAGGTGCCTGCTTCCCCTTCCACCATGATTGTAAGTTTTTTGAGGCCTCCCCAGCCATGCATAACTGTAAGTCAATTGAACCTCTTTATAAATTACCCAGTCTCAGGGAGGTTCTTTATGGCAGTGCGAAGATGGTCTAATACATCTGGATATTTCATGGTTTTTATATAAGGGGTAGGTTTAACAATTGCAGCTTAGGTCCTCCATCACTAGAGATGCACTGTATCCATCCATCACTAGAGATGCACTCTCTGCAGAATTTCACCAAGGAGAAGATCCAGGAACTTGCTCTCTGTTGACCCTGCTCTTGAGAGAGCAATGCCCATGGAGATGACGTCCAGGTTCTGAGCAATGGTCCTTGTCTTGTTCTTTAGAAGACAGTTGTGCAAAGCAGCTGATCCACCCTCCACCTGCTTTGTATAGAAGTGGCTCATTGTGCTGCTGAAAATGAGAGCTGCCACTACTAATCTTGGGGTGGATTCCCATGGGTCCCAGCCTGGGATGCTCATGTAAATCACCTAAGGACCAACCTGACAGCTTGACTGAATAGGCCATGGTGGGGCCTGGCCTCTGTATTTCTTATAGTGTTCCTGGATTGAGCACCAGGGCTTTGCTCTGAGGTAAATTAGAATAACTTTTTTCCCATTTCTGTGCTCTAAGTTACCATTGGTAGGCTATAAACAAGCCCAAGGCTATAAACAAGCCCAAGGCTATCAGCACTGGAGCTCAGTTCTGTTTTTAATGGAGGAACCTTTAGGAGCAGTTTATGTTTTGAGCCCCAGGGGAGAGGCTGATGCAGAGGCCACTGCAGCACTGAGCATAGAAGCACCTCTGTGCCCTCAACATGGCAACTGCTTACCTGGAGGCCTGGAGCTCAGGTTCCAGGAGGCTGAGTCCTCCTGAGAGCCTGAGGAATGCATCAGGATCCTTTGGTACAGGCCAGTTCCTGTGGCTGTCATCTTACAGTCTTCAGTAAAGTCCTGGGGAGTTTGTGAGACTGACAGTTCATCATTTGGTTGTGTAAGAATTTGTTTTTTAAAAAGGAGCCTTTCTTTTACTTCCTACCAATTTCAAAAAGGCTTTCCACATTATTTCATTGCTTTGAGGAAACCCCTTTGATATTGGGGTTTGCATCTTAGCCTCTTAATTATGTGTACATCCTGGAGCCTGGGGGAAAGAACAGAGCCACCTTCCTGTCTTAGTTTCTGCTGCTGAAACAAATTACCATAGGTTTAAACAACAAACGTTTATTTCTCAAGTTCTAGAGGCTGAGAAGTCCAAGATCAAAGTGCTGACAGATCCAGCATCTGGTGAAGGCCCTCTTCCTGGTTTGCAGATGGCTGTCTTCTCATTGTGTCCTCACATGGCCAAGAACAGAGAGAGAAAGTAAGTTGTCTCATGTCTCCTCTTTTACAGGAACTAATCCCATCATGAGGGCTCCACTCTCATGACCTAATCACTCCCTTAAGGCCCCGCCATCTCACTGAGGGTCTGAGTGTCCATAATACTGCCTAAGGTCTGGAACCAGTCACCAAACACTGGCCACCTCCCATGCAGCCTGGGCATATTCATGCCACCCAGTGCTTTCCCAGGGTGTCTGGAATGTGCCTCTCTTCTTGCAGTTGAAAAGCATGAATACCTTTGGGTTAATATCATCAAGCACATGCATTGGCTATTTGCCATAGATGAGAGACCTGTTGAACCCTTTAAAAATATTGAAATTTAATCTCCACAATAACTCGTGGGATATTCTATAGCAGAGGAAGAAAGTGAAACTCAGAGCATTTACGTGTTTTTCGAAAGGATGCTAGGAAGCAGTGGAGAGGAATCCACACTTATATCCTACAGACCCACATCCATGGAACCTGGGGGGTTGATATGGTTTGGCTGTCCCCACCCAAATTTCATCTTGAACTGTAGTTCCCATAATCCCCATGTGTCATGGGAGGGACCTGGTGGGAGGTAATTGAATCATGAGGGCAGTTACACCCATGCTGCTGTTCCCATGTTAGTGAGTGAGTTCTCATGAGATTTGATGGTTTTATAACGAGGTTTTCCCCCTTTTTGCTCAGCACTTCTCCTTGCTGCTACCATGTGAAGGACGTTTTTGCTTCCCCCTCCACCATGACTGTAAGTTTCCTGAGGCCTCCCCAGCCATGCTGAACTGTGAGTCAGTGAATCCTTTTTCCTTTATAAATTACCCAGTTTTAGGTATGTATTTATTAGCAGCATGAGAATGAACTAATACAGGGGTCCTAGCCTAATTCAGGTCCTAGCCTTTGCACTCTTCATAACAACAGTGACATATGTAATGTAGATACAGTGCCACAGTCCATGGGATTGTTACACATTCCACTCCTGGTGGGAAGGGCAGCATTCAGGCACTGGGGACCAAAGGACTCATGGGTTGACTCTTCCAGTTGCTTCTGACTTGAGGGCAGTTCACAAGATCACTTATCTCCATTTGTGTTGGTGCAGGCTTCCTCAGTGGGGGTGGGGAGAGATGCAAGTTGAGAATTTTCACAAAAAAGTGTGATTTTTTTTTTTTTTTTCTGAGACAAGGTCTCACTCTGTTGCCTAGGCTGGAGTGCAGTGGCACTATACAATTTTGAGAGCAAGAACCCATCATGGCTCACTGCAGCCTTGACCTCCCAGGCTCAAGTGATCCTCCCTTCTCCCATGTCAATCTCCCTGGTAGCTGGGAATACAAGCATGTTCCACCACGATCGGACAATTTTTTTTTTAATTTTTTGTAAAGACAAGGTCTCATTATGTTTCCCAGACTGGTCTCCACCTCTTGGGCGCAAGTGATCCTCCTGCCTCTGCCTTATAAAGTTCTGGGATTATAGGCATGAGCCACCACACCCAGCACATTGTGGTGTTTCTTATACATGATAAGACTTTGGAAATATGGATGTGTAAACGTTTTAAAAAGAAAACTCAAAATGAAAAATTGATATTTGGGGCAGAGACATTAGGAACTGAATTTAACAGACCCACCTGCAGCATCTGGGATAGGCCTTGAAACTGTGGGGCTGCGGGGCCCTGGGGAGGAGCTGGCCCCTCTGCGGTCAACCGAGAACCAAATTCTCAACTTGCACCACTCCCCACTCCCACTGAGGAATCCTGTACCATCACAAGAAAGGTCACCTCACAGACCTCCTGGGGCTCTGCACAGCCGCCCCCTAGAATGGCCCTCTGAGGCCCAGAGTGGAAGTGGGGGAAGAGTATGACTTCCTTTCAAAGTAGTTCTACTCTGCTTACTCTGCTGCTGTAATCTTATGAGTTGGGAAGCTGAAAATTAGGGGAATAACCCACCCTTTCTTTTCTTTTCCTTTCTTTTCTTTTCTCTTTTCTTTTCCTTCCTTCCTTCCTTCCTTCCTTCCTTCCTTCCTTCCTTCTTTCCTTCCTTTCTTTCTTTCTTTCCTTCTTTCTTTTTCTTTCTTTTCTTTCCTTCTTTTCTTTTCTCTTTTCTTTCCTTCCTTCCTTCCTTCCTTCCTTCCTTCCTTCCTTCCTTCCTTCCTTTCTTTCCTTCTTTCTTTTTCTTTCTTTTCTTTCCTTCTTTCTTTTATTTTCTTTGGAGTCTTGCTCTGTTGCCCAGGCGGGAGTGCAGTGGCACAATCTCAGCTCACTGCAACCTCCGCTTCCCAGGTTCAAGCAATTCTCCTGCCTCAGCCTCCAGAGTAGCTGAGATTATAGGCGCACACCACAATGCCCGGCTAATTTTTGTATTTTTAGTAGAGACAGTATTTCACCATGTTGGTCAGGCTGGTCTCAAACTCCTGACCTTGTGATCCGCCTGCCTTGGCCTCCCAAAGTTCTGGGACTGCAGGTGTGAGGTCACATTTTCTTTTAAGAAGAAATCTAATATACATTTAATACAAGAGGATATGTGAGGACTAACTGATGAGGAAGGTTGCTGAAGTTACCTTTAATTTGAATACAAAACATGAACGTAAAATCTCCTGGTGGCATCTCTGGCCCTCAGGAGCATCTCATTCTGCACCGAAGAGGTGAAGGCAGGGAGGCCCCCCTGGAAGTCAAGGCAGGACTTGAGCTCAGTCCAGAGTTCCAGGAGGGGGAGGGAGAAGTGGGCAGACACTGCACTTGAGCAATAATCACCTCTCTCCTTTTTTTCTTGTGTCAACTTGGCTACCCCTGCTGCTTAACCAAGGAAGGTTTGTCTTTGATGCTTTAGGGGCAAGAAGAAATGACCTCAGCCCAGCACAGTGGCACATGCCTGTAATGTCAGCTACTTGAAGCTGAGGCAAGAGGTTCACTTGAGCTTGGGAGTTTGAGGCTGCAGTGAGCTGTGATCATGCCACTGCACTGTAGCCTGGGAGGGAATGCATGGAAATACATAGCGAGACCTCATCTCTTAAAAAGGAAAAAAGAAAAAGAAATGACCTAAAGAATACTGTGAGGATATCATATCACCTTCTTGTTCCCTTCAGCTCTGTAAGTGCCCATCTCAAAACCCAGAGCCCAGTTTGGGAAAGTGCTCAGTGTAAACTGAGGACTAGCAAAAGCAAACGCTCACTGCTGATTCACGTTGGAGCCACAGCCTCTCCTGGGAATAACAGCCTTCTGGAAACATAACAGGTAAACGGACAGCTGAGGATAGGTGACACATGCCCACCACTTCCTGGGAGTCATTGATTGGAGCCTCTATAGGAGAGTTGGGTTGTATTTTCCATTGCATAGATGAGGAGTCCACAGCACCAAGGAGAGCTCTAACTCACGTTTGAAGGGTATTTTAATGCAATCCAATAAAGTTGCTTCCTGGGGCATACATAGTGCAAACCTATCCTGAAGTTCACCTTTAGGGAAACACACACACACACACACACACACACACACACACACACACAGAGCCAGCGGTTATTTAGGAGAACAAATGAACCATTCCAGGTTCATCTGCTGAGCCATAAACCTGAGCATTACTTAATTGCTTGCTCTCAAAATAGTATGCAGCCTTGGGAGAGCACAATTTGAGTCATTGCACCCAACTAGCAAAAGGCCTTCTATTTCTACTTTAAGCTGTTGAGAGGCCCCTGGGTAGAATGTTCACAGGAAGAGGCCAACAGCTGAATTTCCTGACTTGTGCTTTCTCCATGGATGGGAGGCTCCTGAGGGACACCACCGGGAATAATTCCCACTAGAGGAGAGTCCAGAGATCCACAGTCAGCAGCACCTCAAAAAATGTTTCCCTAGAGCACTGTGGAAGTTTACAGTTTCCTTCTTTTCCCTATAAACCTACCTTCTTTTCCCTCCAGAGTGAATATTACATAAAAGTATGACCACCAAAAACTGTTTTACACAGAACTGTTTAAGATGATAGATGAACCAAGACTGATTTTATACAAATGACAAAGCAGTGTCAGGGCCCTGCCCAGTGTCTGCTGTTCTTCAGACACCTTCATGAATATCACTGGGTTGCAAAAGCGGCCCATCCCATGAAATATTCTATTAAGAAGTTTACTTTGCAAAAGTCCTTCTACTTCAGTTTATCTCTGTTCCAGTGCCAGGGACCCCTGGTGAAAGATATGTACAAAATAGAACCATTAGGCATATGAAGACTGCCAGATTGTCCTTTCTTCCTGCGAGACAAAGTGAAACAATAGCTCACAGAGGTTCCAGGGACTCAGAAAGGAATACTTATCCTCAGGGAATACATGAAAATACTTAGTGGTAATATTGTGAACAATGCCCCCAAGATCAGTAAGTTCTTCTGACTGCTACCCCCAAGTCCAAACTACAATATCTTCCAAGGCTAGACACATAGTGTGCTGCTGCAAACACAGGCTCCTGCAAACACTGGCAAAAGAATGCCAGCTGCCATTTGCCTATTAATAAAGGATGCACAAGTCGTTAAATGCTGTGAGATAGACCAGAGACTAGAATTTTCTAATCAGAACTAATCCCTCCAGGCATATAGCATTTGATACATCAAAGGCTTAATATTTGATACATCAAAGGCCTTCTCAGTAATTCTTTTGAGGAATCAAAAAACTATGCTAATGAATGTATGAGTTCTGGACTATTTAATCGGAACTTTTTTTTCTGACTTCGGATAAACTTTTCATAGCTTCTTTCGGTTGATGAAGCCTCTGCATATGTGCTATGATTAAAGAAGATCCAAGAGAACCAATTGTTCCCAAATACCTTCCCTGCCAGCTCACCGCCCCCACCTTAGTGAATCTCTTAGGTTAAGGATTTGAGAGCCCTATTAAAATACATGTTGCCCCAGAGACATAATGGAAAGACACAATCACCCCTTAATACATTAGGATAGACTCACTATCCAATCAGCTCAGATGTCGCTTTAGTGACATTGAAGGATTTGAACCCTCAATTGATACCTTTGATGGAGCTTGATTAGGCTGTAGGAGTTCATTACTTGGGGGTATTGGTTCCTGGTAGAAGGGGGAAACATCCAAAGAGAAAAGAATAAAGGACTATAAAAGGGCATAGGATCACCTGAAGCAGGTGGATTCTGATCATATCAATCAGATAATTCTTGATTTGAGCACTCCAAGAGAAATGGGGCTTTGAAAGAGACTTACCTTTTCTCCACCCACTCCTAACTAAGCTGCCAATCTCTAACCCCTCTGGGGTTTATTTGTATGTTCTGTAAACTTTGTTGCAACACTAATTATACACGATCACCTTTTTTGTTCATGTGACTGGCTTCCTACCTGCTGTATCCTGAAATAGTAAGGACCACTTGCTTCCCCAAGCACCTCGGCCAATGGTCAATGCCTGACCCAAAGGAGTCAGGTAAAAGTTTTGTGAGTGATTTCATCACTATCCAGTTAACTTCCTACACACAGATAGGATCTAAATAATTTTGATTTTTCTTCCCTTTCACGTTGAATGAGGGTACTTTCTTTTTCTTTGATAACAAGGGCTTGTCACCAAGGCATCCACTTGCGTGTGCCATGCATTTACGGAATTACATCTTCTAGGTGGGCAAACAGCTTTCTCCAGAGCACGCAAGGCTGGCTGGGTGGGTTTCAGCCCGTGCACTTTCCCCCCCAGGCACTTTGTAAAGATACACACAATGTGTGGTGTGCTAGCCTGCTTCTCAGCTTGCCCGTTGCCTTAGTTCATGAAGCGACCACTGATTGTGTATCTGACCACACTGAATATAACAAGAACATCTGAAGAGTTTTATGGATGTGGTTTAAAACATGTATTTTAAGACTCTAAAATAAGATACTGTACATATGAATCTATGGAAGAAAAATACCTGTATAAAAGTATAATATGGCCCTTCCAAGTTTTAGAACACATCCTTACAACCACATACAAGCTAGTAGACTTACACCAAAGTCTTAGATGATGATGATTGCTAATTTGTGCAAGTTTTAATGAAAACACTTTAATGAGCCCTATAATTCCCAGCAAAGATCACTCTCCTGTATAAACATCAGGAGGTTGATGAGGAAGCGTTTACTCCAGAGCATAATTCTTCTCCCACTTAACTTCTACCAAAGAAGAGAGAAACAGTGATTAGAAGGGATTTCATTCTGGGTTTTGTGAGTGTGGAAAAGTCGGGCACCCAAAGTTCAATAATCTCATGCCACTTTGACTTTACAGCCTATCAAAGAGTCACTGGGAACCCAACTGCATACTGAATGTGTCAAAAACACAAGACCTTGACCTGTAGTGTCCATGGAGGCCTGCTTGTCTCCCAAAGAGGAATGCTGGCCTCCGATCCCAATAAAGAGACAAAATTTTCTTTCCTAAGCTGGATGCTCTTAGTTTTGTGTTCTGTTAGATTCTTTTGCATGCAATAATGTATTTCACCCATTACTGTTTAAATGTATTGAGTTCCACTTATATTCTCTTCCCTGATGCTTTTCTGGCCAGCAAAGAACTGCCCACCAAATTCATTGATGGACGGAGGGAAACTGTTTTTATCAAAAGTATATTCCCCTTTTTTTCCCTTAAATATATCACACTTCTTTTTTTGTACCAGTTAATGCTGTCTATTCTAAATCCTCAACACCATTTTTCACACACACACACACACACTCATTTACCATGTATCTGTTCTCAACCCTTCACAAGCTTTAATCATAGCTCTTCCTCCACCTGAAAGCCCTTCTCACTATTCTCTCAAGTGACATAAAGCTAAAAATTTGATTTAAAGTTCATTCTGTGGAAAGCAAGGACAGGTAGGTGGAAAACACTTCTCATTTATCTTTCCTAATAGGGCCTTCAGAGGTTTGGAGTCCTGGCACTGAGTCAACACAGGACCTCTTGGCTTGCATATACTGAATAGTTTAACTATTTGGGCAACGAGAATTATTCTACAGTCCATTTAGAAAGCCCCTGAAAGAACTTAAGGTGGCTTAATAAAATTAGCCAAGAGTGCCGAACTTGAAAATGGAAGAGTTCTGCAGAGCCGGTTATCACTGACATATTGAATGGTTTATTTCAAATAGAAGCTCCAAGAATTTAATGGCCACTATTTTTTCTTGTTATTTTGTCTTAAAAGGAAGGGGTACAACTTTAAGTATTGCTAAAATCCCTAAGCTTTTATTTTAATAATACACACCAAAGATTATATTCACATAATTGCTCAGAATGATTAAAGAAAAAAACGGCAAAATTGATTACTCATTGATTACTAAAATTTCTCACAGTCATCAAATTCATTGATCGCCATTCTTCCTCTTCTTGACACCAGCAAAATGGAGGCTTCAGTCTCATTAAGAAAGAAAAATCGACTTTGACATATTTTTCTTTACTGTAGCTGGACACTCCTAATCTTGTTACCCAATTGGCCAATGCCAATTGACATTGAAAATTGATGCCGAATGCCAGGTATAGTAAAAAAAAAAATACAAAAAAACCTGCTCTGGGCAGCTCTTTGTAAACTAGATTAATGATCAAGGGAAGACAATGTATTGCTGAACACCATTCCCTTGGTCCCTAATTCATTGGTCTAAGAAATTAACTATTTTCTGTATGTTGAAGGTTCCACTCATATATCCCATTGACAACTTGCTGCTGTCTAGATATATAGGTGTAAAGAAAGTAATTTGGACCTGAAGATTTAATAGTACTAAGTATCTAATTTTCCTTGCTTTTTATACTTTTTATTCTTTTTTATGCTTTTTATTTGTGTGTGCTCAAGATTACATATATACGGCTCCCTTATATTTATACCGATTATGTGAATTCCTGTTAAGTATGAGTTCTAAATGCTATGCCAAAAAAGAAGGAAGCAAAGGATTATGCCTAAACATATTTCCTCAAATGGTTTGTTAAAACAATTGAAGCTGTGAAAACATATTGAGTGCAAACTTGTATACAGCTAAAAGAGTTCTCACTTTTGCACTTCATCATCAATCTTGAGTTGAGTGATGATCATGGGTGACATGTGTCATCTGCTTTGGGGTCAGTGCTTGCAGCAGTTGGAGAAGCTGACGTTTAGTTTTATCCACAATCTATCTACAAAGCTGCACAGGGAGAGAAAAGACAGCAGATCTACTTTGCTTCAATCAGAGTATCTTTTGTGATCCAGAGACATTTTATTGTTTGCTAGAGAAGCATGGTGAAAGGAAAGGTGAATGGGAGTCAGTTTACCTGAGAAAAGCAAATGATACAAAATCAGGGACTAGCCAATAGCAAAGAAGACTTCAGGAAACATCACAGGAAGACAGAGCCCTGAATAGGAACTGATACCTGGGCGGGTTCTAATGGTTAGCAACCACTTTCAGTAAAAAAGGAAGAGGAAGAACAAGGCATAGCCAGAGCTCTATCAGTTCAGCGTGTGGAAGGTAGGAAAACAAAAAGGCAGCCCTCCAAAATGCTAATCTAGCTGTTTTGATGCCTCTCACTGAGGGCTCTGAATTTAAATATGTTTTAAATGGGAAGCTGATCAGCTACCTTCCCTGATATGCTCTTGGCGCTTCCAGCAGAACCTGCCAGGTGGGTTTCACTGAGAGGCGCACAAAAGCAGAGACCATTGCTTGCTGCCATGATGCTAGTGTTGATCTGCAGATCTCTACTTGTCATCTGCTAAACAACTGTGAGCTGTCACTCCAGCCGTGAGAAGGCAGCTTCCTTGTCATGGCACTTAGATTCCAGGCTCTGACTTTAATGCCTGCATGAGTTTGTTTAAAGCAGCTTGTCCAAAATTTGACTGCAACCTGTACACATAATCTTTTCCTGAAAAAAGCCACCTACATTTAACACAGGCAACTGTGCACATGGGCAGAAGGGTAGCTATCTGGAACCTAGAGAAAAATATTGCTGCCTGGCCCCAAATATTACACCATTCCCCAATTCCTGACATTTTTAGCTCAAAGTCCTTTATTTGGGCTAAAACAACATCTTCCCAAAGGCTTAAATTAAAATGCAAATATGTTACCTGGAAGGGGAAATTATTCAAGTTTACTAACGCATTAGTGAGGATTGGTTTTTCTGATTAGAAAAAGTGTCTTTTTAAAATGCAGCATCCTAAAAGACTAGAATATACCCTTTGGATGGTTGGTTGGGGTGAGGGAGAGGGAGAGAAAGGACCCAGCACCCAAGATTTTAACTAGAGAGAGTGAATGGCATATCAGCTGAGCATGTTCTGAACGTCAGGGGCCTTTACATATTTTAGTTAATCTTTATACCAACCATACGAGGTACATTTAGCATCTTCACCTTATAGATAAGGAAACCAAGGCTCAGGCATTTAAAATAACTCTGATAAGTAGATATAGAGCCAAGAGTTATGCCTGGTTTGTTAGACTACAAAGCTAGTGTCCCAGGAAATGTCTGAAGGGGTTGGAGGGCTACCAGTGAGTAGATGAATTGACGGCAGCCTCTGCCTTTTCTATTCATCCAAACACCAAGGAGGAAGGAGGTAAAGTGAAGATGACCACACACTCCCAGAAAATTTAGACTATAGAAGATGTGTGGAAAGATAGACCTGTTACATTTTACTATTGTAAAATGTCACATGACTTTGTAGGGTGATGACAATATTGTATATCTTGATTCCAGTGTTTTTTATACATTTGTTACAACTTATCTAACTGTACACGTAGGACCTCTGCCTTTGAAGGCATATAATTATACTATGAAAATAAGTCATAGGTTTTACTTAAATCAAATACTTTTAGGACCAACTTCCAGGGTCTATGCTGGCTCTTACTTTCCCTCTTTGGTCACAATAGAGAAAAACAATTTCTTCAATTAAGGGAGTAAGATAGATCTTTGACTTGTACATGGCTACTACAGATGTCAGGAAAGAGTATTTTTTAATAGGGTCCGTGGAAGTTTGTGTGCCTTCCGATATCTCACTCATGAGCCTGGTGATAACCATGGCAGGAATTCATGCAGAAAAATTCTCTGTGATGATGGTCCTAGACTACAAAGAAAATCAATGTTAATTTGATAAGCATTAATTTGTAATCCAACATCCAAAGTAAATTCATGCATCCCTTGAATGTCAAATTCATTTAAAAAATAATGCTAACCGGATTCTCTTTCAAAAGTCTAAATATAGTTAAATAAGGCTTGTAGTGCAATGCTTGTAGAACAATGTAATTATTGTGGTCTTCATATACTTGCTTATTAATTGACTATTGAAATTGGAAAAGCATTTCCATAATTAATCTCATGTCATTTTCCAATTATAAATTTGCTATAGCGAATTTATAATTCACTGATGCAGCCTCAAAGGAACTGAAGGTGATGGCTTGTTTTGGGGAATGGAGTATTTTCTGAGACAATCCAGGATAGTTGCCTGATCAATACAGTATTTTGCTTTTTGAAATCCTATGCACAGAGGGAGTAAAGTGAAAGCAGCGTGAAAGTATTGTTTCAAGCTATCTTTGAATAGGTTGAAAAAGGTGAGATTTTGTGGGAAGAGTGGAAACCCAGTGTGATCAGATATACTGTAGAGTTTATCTAGACAGCTCAGAACATGCTCTGAAGCTGAACGGCACACCAGCTGCAATATAAGCTCTTTACACCTCAATGTGTTAAATTTGCCGTAGGCCACCCAAGATGCCAAAGGCTTAAGAGTAGATGAAAAAAGATGGTGTATTAGTCTGTTTTCATGCTGCTAATAAAGACATACCTGAGACTGGGTAATTTATAACGGAACGAGATTTAATTGACTCACAGTTCCACATGGCTGGGGAGGCCTCACAATCATGATGGGAGGTGAATGAAGAGCAAATTCATGTCTTAATGGCATCAAGCAAGAAAGCTTGTGTGGGGGAACTCCCCTTTATAAAATCATCTGATCTTGTGAGACTTATTCACTATCACAAGAACAGCATGGGAAAGACTCACCCCCGTGATTCAATTACCTCCCACCCAGTCCTTCCCACTGCATGTGGGAATTATGGGAGCTACAATTCAAGATGAGATTTGGGTGGGGACACAGCAAAACCATATCAGATGGTGACCATCTCTTTGAAATCTGAAGAACACCATGATGACCACCTGTATCTATCCAGTAAATCTAAGCCTTTTAGTTTGGTCAAAATAAGCCAAAGATTAAAGGTCTTTATTATATTGCAGTAAAAACAGTTAACATGAGATTTACCCTCTGAATAAATTTTTAAGTATGTAATTCATTATTGTTGACTATAGGTATAATGCTGTACAGCACATCACCAGAGCTTGTTCATCTTGCTTGACTGAAACTTTACACCATATGATTAACAACTCCCATTTCCCCCTCTCCCCAGCTCCTGACAACCATCATTCTATTATTTGATTCTATGAACCTGACTATTTTAGATACCTCATATAAGTGGAATCATGTACTTTCTATGACTGGCTTATTTCGCTTAGCATGATTTCCTCAAGTTTCATGTATGTTGTTGCATTTTGCAGAATTTCCTTCTTTTTTCAGGCTGAATAACAATTTATTGCATGTGTGTACCACATTTTGTTTATATATTCATCTGTTGATAGAGATTTAGGTTGCTTCCACATCTTGCTATTGTGAATCATGCTGCAATGAACACAAAAGTACTAATAACTTTTCAAGATCTGATTTCAATTCTTTTGGAAAAACACCCAAAAGTAGGATTGCCAGATCATGTGGTATTTTCTATTATTAACTTTTTGAGGAAACTTCATGTTGTTTTACACAATATTTATACTACTTTATACACCCACCAACAGTGTATGAGGGTTGATGAGGATAAAACCATATCATCACCAACACTTATTGTCTCATCTTTTTTGATAATAGCCATTGTAATAGGTGTGAGGTGACCTCTCGTTGGGATTTGTTTTGCCTTTCCCTGATGATTAGTGACACTGAACATTTTTTTTCCCAGATACCTGTTGGCCATTTATATGTCTTCTTTGGAGAAATGTCTACCCAAATCTTCAGCTCATTTATGTTTGTGGTTGTTGTTGTTTTATTATTGAGTCGTAGGAGGTTTTTTTTATATATTTTGGAGATTGAGCACTTATCAGATATATGGTTTGGAAGACTTAGCATTGTGAACATGTTCATATTACCCAAAGTGATCTACAAATTCAATGCAATCCGTATCAAAATCCTAGTGGCATTTTTCACAGAAACAGAAGAAACAATTCTAAAATTTATATAGAACCACAAAAGACTATGAATTGCCAAATCAATCTTAAGATAAAGGAACAAAACTAGAAGAATCATATTTTCTGATTTCCATGTATACTATAAAACTATAGTAATTAAAGCTGTGTGGTGCTTGCATCAAGACAGGTATATAGACCGGTGAAACAGAATAGCAAACCCAGAAATAAATTCATGTATATCAAGTCAATTGATCTTTGACAAGGGTGCCAAGAATACACAATAGAGAAAGGACAGTCCTTTAACAAATGGTGTTGGCAAACCTGGTTGTGCACTTGCAAAATAATGAAATTAGATCCTTATCTTATGCCATACACAAAAATCAACTCAAATGACTTGATTGAAGACTAAGTGTAAGACTTGAAACTGTGAAAGTCATGGGAGAAAACACAGGAGAAAACTTTATGTCACTGGTCTTGGCAATGATTTCATGAATATGATACCAAATCACAGGTAACAAAACCAAAAATAAGCAAGTGGGGCTATATCAAGCTGAAAAGCTTCTGCACAACAAATGAAACAATCAACAGAGTGAAAAGACAACCTACAGAATGGGAGAAAATATGTCTTATTTTATCTTCCAAAGATAGTCACTCAGAATGCCCAAGAGACTCCTGAAAGAGGAAAGGGAGTAGAAGACTGGCTTATTACTATTAAAATATTACCTATCACCTATTAGGAAACAAATACATTAGGCTAACATGTTTTTGATTACCAACTTGGAGCTAGGCTAGGCTCTGAGATGATGGGACTGAGAAGTTGTGAAATTAGAGATAGAGAAGCAGAGGGGCAATGTGAAAAGCACAGGGCGCTGTCCAAAATGCTGCAGGAATTTCAGTCTATGCTTTGGAGAGTCCTCTGGTCAATGCAACCTCAGGGGCAACCGTAGAAGAGATGTGCGTAGGGGCCCTGATGCCCAATTTCACTTCCAGAAGGGGTTGGCCCTTGCATTTAACAACCCACGAATGAAAACCAATGTTTAGTTTAAAGGGCGAAACTGTTCACAGTATCCCAGCTCCTGGTAAGCTGGACACGGGGGACAGAGTCTAGGAAATAAAGAGACTCAAATTCAGGTTTTGGATTTGCTACCCCAGTGTTTGAGTGAGTACTTTGCTTTAACTCTGGAGACTTCAGTTTTCCCAGCTACACCATAAGATATGAAAGTAAATGATCTGTCAGGACCCTTCTGCTTTAGTATTGAATATTTATGTTTTTTTCTCAAGGAGAACAGGCCTTGGGATAGGACTGGAGAAGTGATAAAACATTTTTTCACTATTAATATACAATCCACATCCTTTATTTGTAGACTATTTCACAGGTTCTCATGTTCTTTGCTATGGGTTGAATTATATCTTCCTCAAATCCATATGTTGAAGTCATAACATGCAGTATCTCAGAATCTGATCTTATTCGAAATAGGTCATTGTAGGTGCAATTAGTTAAGATGAGGTAAAAGAAAGACATAAAAGGTATTCAAATAGGAGAGAAAGAAGGGAAATTGCTACTGTTTGCTGATGACATGATCTTATATATAGAAAATCCTACAGACTATACTGAAAAAATCTGTTAGAATTAATAAATGAATACAGTAGAGTTGCAGGATACAAATTCAACACGCAAAATCAGTAGACTTTCTATACACTGACAACAAATTATCTAAAAAAGAAATCAAGAGAGCAATCTCATTTATAATAGCTATGAAAAAATACTTAAGAATAAATTTAACCAGGGAGATGAAACACTTGTACACTGAACACTATAAAACATCAATAAAAGAAATTAAAGAAGACACAAATAAATGGAAAGATATCCTGTGTTCATGGATTAGGATAATTAATATTGTTAAAATGTCCATACTACCCAAAATGACATATAGATTCAATGTAGTCCTTATCAAAATTTCAGCATTATTTTTCATAGAAATAGAAAATAATCCTAAAATTTATATTGAAACAAAAAACTTTGGTAACAAAGGCAAGGCAATTATGAAGGAAAAGAACAAAGGTGGAAGTGCCACCTACCTCATTTCAAACTAAACTACATGGCTGTAGTAATTAAAATAGCATGGTATTACCACCTGCCCCCCCACCTCCCCACCCCCCACCACAAAATAAAAAGATACATTGACCAAGAGAACAGAAAAGAGAGACCAGAAATGAACTCATACATTTACAATCAACTGATTTTTGACCATAGAAAAACTGGATATCCACATGCAGAAGAATGAAATTAGATCCTTATCTTACAGCATATACAAAAATCACCTCAAAATGGATTAAAGACTTAATTGTAAGACCAGAAATTCTAAAACTACTAGATGAAAACATAGGGGAAAAGCTATATGACATTACTGTGGGTAGTACATTTTAGATTTGACCCCAAATGTACAGGCAACAAAAGCAAAAATAGACAAATGGGATTACAACAAAGTGAATGTTTTCTTTGCTGCACAGAAGCTTTTAACAGTGTGCAGCAACAATCTATGGACTGGGAGAAAATATTTGTAAGCCATACATCTGATAAGGGGTTAATATCCAAAATATAAAAGGAGCTCATAGACCTGAATAGCAAGAAAGCAAAAACCCAGCTGAAAAATGATCAAGGGACTTGAATATACATTTCTTAAAAGAAAATACAATAATGGCTAACAGATATATACAAAAGGTTCAACATCATTAATCATTAGGAAATCACAAATTAAACCACAATGAGATATAATCTCAAATCTGTTGGAAAAACTTTTTTTCAAAAGATGAAAATAACTGGTTGGCGAGGATGTGGAGAAAGGGGAGTCCTCATACACTGTTGGTGGGAATGTAAATTAGTACAACCACTATGGAGAACAGTTTAGAGGTTCCTCAAAAACTAAAAATAGAATTACCATATGATCCAACAGTTTCACTTCTGGGAATTTACTCAAAAGACCTGAAACCACTTTGTCAAAGAGATGTCTGCTTCCTCATGTTCATTGCAGCTCTAATTATAATAGCCAAGTTATGGAATCAACTTAAGTGTCCATCAACAGATGAATGCATAAATAAAATGTGGTATATATGCACAATGGAATACTATTCAGCCTTCAATAAAATAAGGAAATTCTGTCATTGTGATAACATTGATGGGACTGGAGAACATTATCCTAAGTGAAGTCAGGCACAGAAAGACAAACACCATGTGTTCTCATTTATATGTGGAATGTAAACAATTGAACTCATCGAAGCAGAGAGTAGAGTGGTAGTTAAAGACGCTGGACGCTGGCAGGGTTGGGGAATGGGGAGGGGACTGTCAAAGGGTACAAAATCTCAGACAGGAAGAATATGTTTTTCTTCTTTTTTTGAATTCCATTACACAGCATGGTGAATACAGTTAATAACAGAGTATTGTACATTTCAAAATTTCAAATGTTCTCACCAGAAAAATGTTAAGTATTTTAGGTAATGGATATATTAGCTTAGTTTAATTATTTCACATTATATGTATGAATTATAATACCACTTTGTACTCTGTAAATTTATATGATCATAAATTGTCAATTTATAATTTTAAAATGAGGTTATACTGGAGTAGGATGAGCCTCATCTAACATGACTGGTGTCTTCATGAAAAGCGGAAATTTGCACACAGAAAGAAACATGCTCACTGGGAGAATGCCATGTGGTGACGGGAGTGATGCTGCCATAAGCCAAGGTCCTACTTAAATCTGGGATAGAAGCCTGGGACAGATCCTGCCCTAGATCCTTTAGAAGAAGCATGGCCCTGTCCATACCTTGATCTTGGACTTCTAGCCGCTAGAATTGTGGTGCTTTGCTGTGGCAGCCCTAGCAAACTAACACATTTCTCCACCTTGCTTTTATGCACGTCACTTTCTTAGCAAATTCTAACCAACACTTGTCACTCAATTCTTCTAGAAACTCAGGTCTTCATTTTTTCCCTTCAGGCCAAACAATGTTTTTGCCACATCAAGAGGCCTTTTCCATAAATTTGGATGGCCACTTGTCATTTGATTTTAGTAAGCAGAGCATAGGGTTAGGCCATTAAATTATCTATTCAATCATGAAAATTAAATTTAAGTCTGTCTACATATATACTGTGTTCCATTACCTAAAATGCAAAATTTGTTTAAAAAATGATGGCAGTGACGGCAGATGATACCAACAGTGATGGTAGTAATAAATAAGACATCCTGGAATAAACATAAGACATTACAACATTTCCAATATAAACCTTTTTTTCTCCCAAAGATTGCTAAGCATTTTCTGTTAGGCCCTATGCCAGTTTCCTTTACAGAATATTGAACTGGATCTACTGAGACTTAATGCACCTGTCCATTAGATTTGATGTTTCACCAACCACCTCACTCTCCAAGGAAGTGTTACTTTTAGAAATTAAGGCAGAAATCTGAGATATAGCATATGTCAGCCACTTAGAGGAAAAAATGCCCCCATAAAAGTATAAAGCAGAAAAGTATAAGAAGAGCATGATTTAATTTAAAATTGTGGCTTTATAATTTATAGATTAATTTAAAACTACCCTCCCTCAGGTACTCAAAGTCCCTTAGAAAGGGAATCTCTCCTTATTACACAAAATGGGCACACACAAATTCAGGGCTTAAAACATTGCATTAAATGATAGTAACAAATCTAAAAATAAACTATCCTAGATCAGTGCTTCTCAAACTTTCATATGCAAAAGAATCACTTGAATTATCGTTTAAATGCAGATTCCCAGATATTCTGGTATATTCTGATGCAGTAGAAGCTACGCATCTGCATTTTATTTTATTTTATTTTATTTTATTTTGAGGTAGAGTCTCACTCTGTCACCCAGGCTGGAATGCGGTGGTGCGATCTTAGATCACTGCAACCTCTGCTCACTGGGCTGAAGCCATTCTCCCATCTCAGCCTCTAGAGTAGCTGGGACAATAGACTCGCACCACACACTCAGCTATTTTTTTTTTTTTTTTGTATTTTTAGTAGAGACAGGGTCCTGCCATGTTGCCCAGTCTGGTCTTGAACTCCTGAGCTCAAGCAATCTACCTGCCTTGGCCTCCCAAAGTGCTGGGATTACAAGCATGAGCCACCGCGCCTGGCTTCATCTGCATTTTAAAGAGCATCCTGAAACAGGAAACAATGATCTCTATGTCATGTAACATTTTTTTCTAATAAAAAGTTATTCCTTAACTGTCACCTTTTATAATAATCTTTTAAGTAAATATTCAAATCAGATTTTTTTTAAAAATCCATCAGAAAATATATTCTGACTTTTAGCTTAGAACCCATGGTCACTATAAAATGTAGTACCATTTCAGCCTTATGAGTCACAAAGATTTACAAATAGGACCAGAGCTCACCAAGGAAAAGACATAAATTCACTAATATCCTTGCAATGGGAGGTAACTAGAGCCAAAGGGTGGGGACAGACATTTTGAGGAGTGTTCTGGATAGAAAACCCTTTTCTCAGTTTGCTTGAGCATCTAGTGTTTGAACACACTTGTCTCTTAAATAAGGAGAACAGCTCCATTTTTTACACCCCCCACAGGCTCAGTGAAATACTACATTGCTCTATTTTTATGTTACTTTATAGCTACATAGTGCTATCTCATTTCATCCTACATTTAATTTTAATATGAAAATGTTATGTAAATTCAGTTCCAACATCTTCTTTTGGTGAATTATAACCTAAATATCTGGATTTACAAACTCTTCTGCATTCTGGGTATCACTGCTGATTTTCTAATAGATATTTATGCTTGGATGTCTCCCAGGCATCCCAAGCTTAACACAGAAATTATTGCCTCTTTGGGCTCCAGACCTGCTCCTTCTCCTATATTGCTTGCCCAGTGAACAACAAAGATATCCATGCTGTATTTAACTCCAATTTTGACTTGAGAGTCAACATAAACTTGTGGTCCTCTGATTCACTTCCGGTTGGTCATCAGGTTCTGTTGGTTCTTCCTTCCAAATATCTCTTGAATCCCTTCCTCTCTACCGTATCCCTAATGCCACTGCTTCAGTTCAGAGTCTCACTGCTTCTCACCTAGATCAGTGCTTCTCAAACTTCAGCATGTGTCAGAATCACACAAAGCTCTTGTAAAAGCACAGATTTCTGGGTCTCACTCCAAGAGATTCTGATTCAGTAGGTCTAGGATGAGCCTTGTTCTATGCATTTCTAACCATCTCCCAGGTGATACTCATGTTGCTGGTCCATGGTGCACACTTTGATCAGAATCAGTGTCACCTGGTGCTCCTCAGCCCAGACGCCTGCTCAAATCTTCTTACACAGCACACATCTCAGTCCCCTTGCTCTCAGTCAACAAAGCTGCTTGAAGAAGCCTCATCATGGCCCTGCCAATGATGCATTTTGTGAGGATTCAGTCACCTCAGGAGACAGACCAGCTCTGGTCTATCTAAGAACCCATGGCATGCTGGGCCTTGCAAAGCAATGGGGAAGACAGGTTTCTTCCAACTGTTTCAGCTCTATCTGCATGCAGGATCTTATCAGTTCTCTTATAACAAAAATCCCACCCAGGCAAAATATCTGTTACAAAATACTGTGATGGGAAGATGATGAAAAATGGAATCATTGTTAGAGAATGATTTTGCCCCTAGAACAGGGGTCCCAACCCCTGGCAATGGACCAGTACTTGTTAGGAAGCAGGCCTCACAGCAGGAGGTGAGTGGCAGGCGAGCCAGCAAAGCTTCATTGGTAGTTACAGCCAAGCCACTCCCTTTCACTCGCATTACCGCCTGAGCTCCGCCTCCTCTCAGATCAGCTGTGGCATTAGATTATCATAGGAGCACAAACCCTGTTGTCAACTGCGCATGCTAGGGATCTAAGTGCGTGCCCCTTGTGAGAATCTAATACCCCCCTCTCCCTTCCCTCTGGTCCGTGGCAAAGTTGTCTTCCACCGAACCGGTTCCTGGTGCTAAAAAGGTTGGGGACCGCTGCCCTAGAAAACTGCTGCTCAGGAGACCGTTGGTCCTTGTGAGGTCCTACTGTTCCTACTTAAAAGTCCTGACCAAGTAAATGCCCAACAGAAGCGGAACACAAAGCAGGAAAATCTAATGGTTTCCATTAATTATTCTTTGTGGAAAAAATGCTTCTATAGGGACTGTAGCAGAAAATAATAAATAAATCATTATGGTAATAAAGTAAGACTAGAGAATGCAGTGTCTAAATTCATGCTTCTTTGTAGGAAGATGGAATGATGCAGGGTTTAAGAATATGGGCTTCAGAGTCACACAAACTTGAGTTCAAATCTCAAGCATATCACTTAGTCATGTAGATTCGGTTATTTAACTGCTCTTAGACTCAGTTATTTCATCTCTAAAATTGAGCTAAGATCACCTACTCTTAGGATTGTTGTTAGAATCAAGCATATCTATGCAAATCTCCACATATACTATATATCTTTATATATATGTCCTATATACCTCCATATCTATCTCCATATGGATATCCCCCATATATCCATATATGTATTACACATAAACCATACACACACACAAACACACACACACACATATATATATTATATATATATATGTATACAGACACATATATACATATATGTTAGTAGTATACTGCCTGGGATGTAGTAAATGTTCCATAAATGGTAGAGGTAGTAGTAGTGTATGATTATTAATAAGGAATGAGATAGAATGACCAACTTAAACCTCTAAAACTTGAGAAATAACTTTCCTTACTGATACTTCATCTTGTTTGTTCTTGGTATATTTCCTTAAGCATACCAGTAAGTTATTTATTTATTGAGTATGTATTGTGTGCCAGCCATTATGAATACAAAGTCACATGAGGCATAATCCAGGCTCCCTTTATTTCTAACTCTTTACTCTCACTCCCCTTAACTCACCATCAAATTTTTTCTCCTTAATTTGAATGAGGTGAAACTGCTGGTAAGTAGCATTGGGACTCTCTTGGTTTGGACATTGAAAAGTGTCAGCTTCTCTTGCTGATACTTGTTTACATGGTTCTGCCATCTTGCAGTGTAGCTTTTGCTCAATCAAGCCTGGTGCAGCCTTATCATGTCTTTGCAATCAAGTAATTTCTGCAAAAGGTGTATCATATTTCCTTGAGTGATTTCCTTATCCCATCGCTGCCTTTTTAATCAATTCTTCCTCTTGAATTTTGAAGAGACTTTCTGCTCTGCCATATCTGTCTCATGGTGATATTGCTGTCGATTTGGGTCCACAATGTTTAGGACTTCCTTGTCCTTGTCCTTGTTCTCGGATTGTTAACTTGTCATATTCTGCCTCTGACATGGCTGTTCTGTGGCTTTCATCTGAAGGCTCACTTCCTTCTGGAAATGGTACTGATAGTCTTAGTCAAACCATTCTCATCAGTGCTTGGGTCTTGGTTCTTTAAGATGCTCTCATTTAGGAATAGATTCTCCCCATTTAAATGCTGTTCTTGCTGCCCAGTGTAATCTTTATTGCACTTTCACTTGGGCTTATGGCAATGCTCTTTTCTTCTCCAAAATGATTGTCTTCTCTTCTAGGCATTTTAATATTTTTATTTTTTTTCTTTCCAACTTCTATTTTAAGTTCAGGGGTACATGTGCAGGATGTCAGGTTTGTTACGTAAGTAAACGTGTGCCATGGTGGTTTGCTGCACAGATCATCCAGTCACTTATGTATTAAGCCCAGCATCCTTCTGAATAGCCCAGCTATTCTTCCTGATGCTCTCCCTCTCCCATCTCCCACCTTCTGCCAGGCCCCAGTGTGTGTAGTGTTATTTTCTACCATGTGTGCATGTGCTCTCATCATTCAGCTCCCACTTACAGTGAGAACACGCAGTGTTTGGTTTTCTGTTCCTGTGTTAGTTTGCTGAGGATAATGGCTTCCAGCTCCAAGTAGCAGTTGGAACTAAAGATATTTTTACTAACAAACAACCTGGGCTTTTAACATTCTACCAGAAAAACTTGATGGCTAATACTATGATAAGCTGAAATCAGAAGAGTGATCTAGTAAAACAGACTATGTCAGGCAGGAGAGAGCACTGTGAACTTTCATACCTTCAATCTTTGGTAGGGTAAAAAAAATACAGTTTTGACACTCAAATAGGCTATTCTATTTCTCTCATATTTGATATAGTCCCAAGATCCAATAGAAGGCACCTTCATCTAGTGAGATTAAGCTTCAAATGACTTTGTGTTCAAATCCTACTCTTACTTCTGTGACAACTTAGAATTTCCTCCATATTTCCTAACACAGATGAACATTTTTTCAAATTTTAATTTAAATTTTAAGTTACAGGGGGCATGTGCAGGATGTGCAGGTTTGTTACATAGGTAACATGAAATCTTTAAAGGAAAAAAACTGATCATATTTATTTTTATACTTACAGTATTTGGCATACAATTCCTGTTCAGTAAATATCAACTGAAGCATGAGAGAAACGCTACCTAAATGACATGGTTATTGAAGTACTTAACAATAATATAAAAAACATATGTAGAACTACAAACTGTAACACACTGGAGATTAACTTCTGCCATAACAGTATGAGGAGCTCCACTGACCTGTTACCCAGTAAAAGTGGTGAAAATTATAAAGCAAACAAACAACATATTTAAATGCTCTGGAAATGATTCTAAGGACAAACAGTGAAGAAGCATCTATTCAAGAAAATTCAGTAAGAAATTTGAAAGTCTGTGGTATGTGAACCAAGACTACTTACTCCACTCTTCCCCCTATAAAGCAGAGACTCCACTCCAGACTGCTGCAGCCAAGACCACAGGGCTTCCTTGCCCCACCAGCTTCTAGTCAGAGAGGCCTTTATTCCCAGGAGGAGCAGGACTTCAGTGTTTCTCATCTTGCCCCAGCTATCTGTTACTGCAGCTATGTTCCAGATCAGTGGAAATGAGTAGTAAGAGCTCTTTTCTTCTGCCCAGCCCCACCACTTGTGGAATGGAGGCTGTACCGGGGCATGACGTGCTAAGAACACTGGGGTGCTGATTGCCTTTCCCTGGCTTGTGAAGTGGTGGTCCCACACAGGAGCTACAAACTCATATGACCTCAGGCTCCTGCTCCACTCCCCTGCACAAAATATAAAGTTCCTAGAGTGAGAATATCACTAGGAGAGAAGCTTGCCACTATCCTCACACCCAGCTTCAAAACCTTGGCTCAGATCATTTTACCTGGAAAGGAAAACAAGCATTAAAATAGATATCTCTTAATCCTTTCTCCCAAAATCTGGACTTAATTTGCAATAGGGTGTGGAGAAGTTTAAACTTAACAGTGCTCTCAAGAACAGTGGATGTTATGGGAAAAGGTAATTGAGAGGAAATTCATGGATTTAATGACTGTAGACAACTAGTTTGCAGGAGAGAAGCAGGAATAAGCCTGCTAGAAAGAGCCTTCCTGAGGGCAGAAGAAATATCAAATACTGACTTCAAAAACTATTTATTTAGGGAGGGTGGTGGGAGGGGGGTAAAGAACGAAAAACTACCTCTTGGTTACGATGTACACTACTTGGGTGATGGGTGCACTAAAATCCCTAACTTCACCACTATAAAATTTATGCATGTAACTAAAAACCACTTGTACCCCTAAAACCACTGAAATAAAAAATGAAAATAAAAAAGAAACTATTTCCTTAAAGGAGTCACAATTTGATGAGATCTATTCATAGAGCTAGTTTGCAGAGTTTGGTTCTCAGACCTAAAGGAAAGTACAATTAAAGAAGTAAAGGATCTCTCATTAAAAGAGATTTCCCACTAATCACTTTCATCGGAATGGTGGGGCAGGGGGAGAAATCTGCCCCACCATTCCGATGAAAGTGATTAGCGGGAAGTCTCTTTTTATTTTATTATTACTTTTTTAGAGATATGGTCTCACTATGTTAAGAAGGCTGGTCTGGAATGCCTAATCTCAAATAATCCCCCCACTTCAGACCCCCAAGTAGCCGGCATTACAGGTACTGATAAAAAAAATAGACACATAGATGTATGGAACAGAATATAGTATCCAGAAATAAAGTCACAAATTTACAGCCATCTGATTTTTGACAAAGTTGACAAAAACATACAATGAGGAAAGGACACCGTTTTCAAAAATGGTGCTGGGAAAATTGGATTGCTATATGAAGAAAAAAACTGGATCCCTATCTTGCACCATATTCACAAATCAACTTAAGAAGGATTAAAGACTTAAATGTAAGACCTCAGCCTACAAAAATACTAGAAGAAAACCTAAGGAAAACTCTTTTGCACATTGTTCCAGACAAAGAATTCATGACTAAGACCTCAAAAGCACAGGCAGCAAAAGTGAAAATAGACAAATGGGACTTAATTAAAGTAAAACACTTCTGCACAACAAAAGAAATAATCAATAGAGTGAAAAGACCACCTGCAGAATGGGAGAAAATATTTGCAAACTATGCATCTGAAGGGGGACTAATATCCAGAATTTACAAGGAACTCAAACAACACAACAACAATAAAACAAATAATACCATTAAAATATGGGCAAAGGACGTGAATAGGCATTTTCAAAAGAAGACATACAACTGACCAACAGGCATATGCAAAATTCTCAATGCCACTGATCAGAGAAATGCAAATTAACACCATAAAGAGATATCAACTTACATTAGTCAGTATGACTATTATAAAAAGACAAAAAATAGCAGACATTGGTAGGGATGCAGAGAAAGGGGAACACTGTTGGTGGGAATGTAAATTAGTACAACCTCTATGGGAAACAGTGTGAAGGTTTCTCAATGAACTAAAAATAGAACTACCATTCAATCCAGAAATCTCACTACTGAGTATCTATGCGAAGGAAAATTTATTATATCAGAAACATACCTGCACCCATATGTTAATCACAGCACTATTCACAGTAGCAAAGATAATCAATTTAATTGATTATCAACAGATAAATGGTTAAAGAAAATGTGGTATATACAGGAAAAAAAAAACAACCCCATCAAAAAGCGGGCAAAGGATATGAACAGTCACTTCTCAAAAGAAGACATTTATGGGGCCAACAAATATATGAAAAAAAGCTCATCATGACTGGTCATTAGATAAATGCAAATCAAAACCACAATGAGATACCATCTCATGCCAGTTAGAATGGCGATCATTAAAAAGTCAGGAAACAACAGATGCTGGAGAGGATGTGGAGAAATAGGAATGCTTTTTACACTGTTGGTGAGAGTGTAAATTAGTTCAACCATTGTGGAAGACAGTGTTGCTATTCCTCAAGGATCTAGAACCAGAAATGCCATTTGACCCAGCAATACTATTACTGGCTATATACCCAAAGGATTATAAATCATTCCACTATAAAGGCACATACACACGTATGTTTATTGCAGCACTGTTCACAATACCAAAGACTTGAAACCAACCCAAATGCTCATCAATAGTAGATGGGTTAAAGAAAATGTGGCACATATGCACCATGGAATACTATGCAGCCATAAAAAAGGATGAGTTAATGTCCTTTGGAGGGACATGGATGAAGCTGGAAACCATCATTCTCAGCAAACTAACACAGGAACAGAAAAACAAACAACACATGTTCTAGCTCATAAGCGGGACTTGAACAATGAGAACACATGGTCACAGGGAAGGGACATCACACACTGGGACCTGTCTGGGGTGGGGGGCTAGGGGAGAGATAGCATTAGGAGAAATACCTAATGTAGATAATGGGTTGATGGGTACAGCAAACCACTATGGCATGTGTATACCTATGTAACAAACCTGCATGTTCTGCATGTGTATCCCAGAACTTAAAGTATGCTAATAATAATACAAATAAATAAATAAATAAAATGGGAACACTTGGAACAAAAATGACAATATATTAAAAATAATTATTTCTGGGTGATTGTTACATGTTTAACTGTTATTAATTTGTTGTTTCTCTGTAATTACTATATATACTTGTTTAAGTCTATATATATTGTATGCATATCATTGCAAACATAAGAAAATAAAAAGAATTCTCGTGACTATAAAAAAAAAGAAAATGTGGTATATATACACAATGGAATACTATTCAGCCAGACAAAAGAGTACAATTGTGTCATTTGCAGCAACTTGGGTGAAGGTGGAGGCCATTATCTTAAGTTAAAGAAATTAGTCACAGAAAGACAAATACCACATGCTCTTACTTATAAGTGGGAGCTAAATAATGTGTACATGTGCTTGGAGAGTGTGGAGTGATAAACAATTGAGACTAGATGAGTGCTGGGGTGGGAGGGGGTGGATGATGAGAAATTATATAATGGACACAATATATATTATTTGAGTGATGGATACCCTAAAAGCCCTGACTTCACTTGTATGTAGTCTATCCATGTAACAAAATTACACTTAGATCCCATAAATAAGCCCCATAAATTTATACAAATTTTTAAAAAAGAAAGGAAAGCATGATGAAAATGTTACATCAAATAGAGAATATCAATGAAAAGATAGAAATTATTTTAAAAAATGAAAATTTTGGAATTGAAAATTACAATAACTAAAAGAAAAATTAATTCAAAAGAAAAGAACAGAGAGTCAGAAAAATGTGAAATAACATTAAGCAAATCAGTATCTGTGTAATGGTAATACTAGGAGAACAGAGAATGAGGGAAGAGCAGACAAACTTTTTTGAAAAAATAGTTTGAAAACTCCCCAAATCGATTAAAAATAATATACTACACATCTAGGAAGCTCGACAAACTTCAAGTAAGTTAAACATAAAGAGATTCACAAACAGACACAACATAGTAAAAATACTGAAAGTCAAAACAAGGAGAAAATCTTGAAAGTAGTAGGAGGAAAACCAATCGTCACTTGTAAGACAATTCCAATGAGATTAGCAGCTGACTTCTTATTAGAAACAATGAAGGCCACAAGAGAGTAGGATAACGTATTCAAAGTGCTCAAAGGAAAAAACCATCAACTTGGCTGGGCACAGTGGCTCACACCTGTAATCCCAATACTTTGGGACGCCAAGGTGGGTGGATTACCTGAGGTCAGGAGTTCAAGACCAGCCTGGCTAACATGGTGAAACCCATCTCTACTAAAAAATACAAAAAATTAGCTGGGCGCAGTGGCATGTGCCTGTAATCCCAGCTCCATGGGAGGCTGAGGCAGGAGAATAGCTTGAACCTGGGAGACAGAAGTTGCAGTGAGCTGAGATTGTGCCACTGCACTCCAGCATGAATGACATTGTGCAACTTTGATGCAAAAAAAAAAAGAAAAGAAAGAAAACCATCAACCAAGAATCCTAGATCCATCCAGCAAAACCATCATTAAACAAGCAAAATACACAAAAATTTTCAAATAAACAAAAATTGAGAGAATTGATTGCTGGCAGATCCTCTTTACAAAAACGACTAATGGAGTTTTTGAGTTTGAAAGCAAATGATCCTCGACAGTAATTCAAACTCACATAACAAAACAAAGAGCAATGGTAACGGTAATTATGTAATTATGAAAGACAATGTAAATGCATACTTTTCCTTCTTTATTCTCTTAAGTGATTTGAAAAGCAATTGTATAAGATAATGTGTATGTAATGTAATATTGGGCCTATAACACAAGAATAAAACATATGTATAATATAGTTGCTAATAACAGTACAAAGTAGGTTTGTAGGAGCAAAGCTGTATTGGGCTAAGGAAATCACTCAGATGGCAAAATAATAATTATAACAAGGTACTGCTGTGTTTGTAACATAGTGGATGTAATATGTGAAATAATAAACCACACAAATAGGAAAAAGAAATAGAGCTATACATGAGTAAGATTTCCATATATCCCTAGAATTAAGCTAGTAAAACTCTGAAGCAGATTCTGATAAGTTAAGATGTATATTGTAAACCCTACAGGAACCATTTTTAATAGCTTTAAAAAAAAGTAAAAAAATTACTAAAGAAATTAAAATGTTCCTGAAGAAAATATTCACTTAAGCAGAAGAAATTATTAAAAGAGAAATAAAGGAACAAACATACATGAGACGTTTAGAAAACAAACAGGAAAATGATGGATACAAATCCAATTATATTAATAATAATATAAAATGTGAATGGATTCAATAATCAAATCAAAAAATAAAGTTTTTCAGAGATACAATTGTCTAAGGAAATAATTACAATGGAATACAATTAGGAAATAATAGCAGAGAAATTTTGGGAAACACCCAAATATGTGGATGTTAAACAATATATTTCTAAATAACCAATGGATCAAGGAAGATATCAAAAGAGAAATCAGAAAATATTTTGAGATGAATTAAAATGAAAACACGACATACCCAAACTTTTGGGATGCAGCTAAAACAATGTTTAGGGGAAATTTATAGTTTTAAATTTCTATATTATAATGAGAAAGATCTCAAATTTTGTAATCTAAACTTTTCCCTAAAACAGTGAAAAAAAGAAGAGCAAGCTAAATATAAAGCAAGCAGGAAGGCAGAGCATTATAAAGATTAAGTTGAAAATTAATGATATAGATAATGGAAATACAGAGGAATTCAATGAAACCAAAAACTGGTTAAAAATATCAAAAAATCACAAAACTGTAGCTAGATTGACCAAAAAACAAGACTCAAGTTACTAAAATTAGAACTAAAAAAGAGATATTTCTTCTGACCTTATGGAAATACAAAGGTTCATAAATGAATCCTATGAATATTTGTTGTATTAGTCCATTTCATGTTGCTATAAAGAAATATCTCAGGTTAATTTTTTTAAAAAAAGAGGTTTATTTGGCTCACAGTTCTGCAGATTGTATAAGAAGCATGGTGTCAGCATCTGCTTCTAGTAAGGGCTTCAGAGAGCTCCAGTTATGATGAAAGTGGACGGATACTCAGCAGCATGTGACATGGCAAGACAGGAGGAAAGAGAGAGAAAGTGCTATGATCTTTTGAACACCCAGCTCTCACATGAATAGAAATGAGTTCTAATAAAGATTATTACAGAAGAGCACCAAGACATCCACGAGGGACCCACTTCCATGACACAAACACATCTCAGTAGGCCCCATCTCCAACATGGGGGTCACATTTTAACATGAGATTTGGAGAGGATAAATATCCAGATCATATTAGTTGTATGACAACAAATTAGATTACTTAAATGAAATAGATACATTCCTAGAAAGACACAAATTACTGTGACTGATTTCAGCAGAAATAGACAATCTGAATAGACTTTTAACAAATGAAGAGACTGAATTAGTGACCCAAAAACTACCCACAAAGGAAAGCCCAGGTCCAGAAGCCTTCATGGGTGAAGTCTGCAAAACATTTTAGGAACCCTTAATACTGACTTTTCATAAACTCTTCCAAAAAAGCAGAAAAGGATTAAATACTTCCTGTATTAATTTGTTCTCACACTGCTATGAAGAACTACCCGAGACTGGGTAATTTATGAAGAAAAGAGGTTTAGTTAACTCACAGTTCCACAGGCTTAACAGGAAACATGACCGGGAGGCCTCAGAAGCAGGAGAAGCATGCATCTGCTTCACATGGAGGCAGGAGAAAGAGAGGGAGAGAGGGCAAGGAGAAAACTTCCATACATTTTTAAACTGTCAGATCTTGTAAGAACTCACTCACTATCATGAGAACAGCATGGGGGAAATCCATCCCCATGATCCAATTACCTCCCACCAGATCCCTCCCACAACATTGGGAATTACAATTCAACATGAGATTTGGGTGGGAATACAGAGCCAAACCATACCATTACACCCCTGGCCACCCCCAAATTTCATGTTCTCATGTTTGAAAACATAATCATGCCTTCTCAATCGTCCCCCAAAGTCTTAATTCATTTCAGCATTAAATCAAAAGTCCAAGTCCAAAGTATGATCTGAGACAAGGCAAGTTCCTTCTGCCTATGAGCCCGTAGAATAAAAATCATGTCAGTTACTTCCAAGATACAATGAGGGTACAGGTATTGGGTAAATGCTCCTGTTCCAAATGGGAGAAATTGGCCAAAACAAAGGGACTACAGGCCCCATGCAAGTCTGAAACCCTGCAAGATAGTCATTAAATCTTAAAGCTCCAAAATAATTTCCTTTGACTCCATGTCTGACATTCAGGGCATGCTGATGCAAGGAGTGGGTTCCTGAAGCCTTGGGCAGTTCTGCCCCTGCAGTGTACAGCCCCCTTGGCTACTTTCATGGGCTAGCACTGAGTGTCTGCAGCTCAGTGCAAGCTGTTGGTGGATCTACCATTCTAGGATCTGGAGTATGGTGGCTGTCTTCTCATAGCTCCACCAGGCAATGTCTCAGTGGAGATTCTGTGTGGGGGCTCCAACCCCACATTTCCCCTCTGCATTACCCTAGTAGATGTCCTCCACGAGGGCTCCACTTTTGCAGCAGACTTCTGCCTGGACATTCAAGCATTTCCATACATTTTCTGGAATCTGAAATCTAGGCAGAGACCCCCAAATCTCAATTCTTACCTTCTGTATAGGCCCAACACCATGTGGAAGCTGCCACGGCTTGGCAGGGCTTTCACTCTCTGAATCTATGGCCTGAACTGTACCTTGGCAGCTTTTAGCCATGGCTGGAGCTGGAGCAACTGGGACACAAGGTGCCATGTCCTGAGGCTGCACAGTGCAGCTGCGCCCTGAGCCTGACCCATGAAACCATTTTTCCCTCCTAGGCCTCTGGACCTATGATGGGAGGGATTGCTGTGAAGACCTCTGAAATGCCCTGGGGATGTTTTCCCCATTGTCTTGGCTATTAACATTCAGCTCTGCCTTACTTATGCAAATTTCTGCAGCCAGCTTGAAAAATGAGTTTTTATTTTCTACCACATGGTCAGGCTGCAAATTCTCCAAACTTTTACACTCTGCTTCCCTTTTAAATATAAGTTCTCTTTGCTTATGCAAATGAGTGTAGGCTTTTAGGAGCAGCTGGGCCACATCTCGAATGCTTTGCTGCTTAGAAATTTCTTCTGCCAGATACACTAAATCATCTCTCTTAAGTTCAAAGATCTACAGATCCCTAGAGCAGGGGCACAATGCCTTGTTTTTTTGCTAAAGTATAATAAGAGTGATCTTTGCTCTAGTTCCCAATAAGTTCCTCCCTTCCATCTGAGACCACCTCGTCCTGGACTTCATTGTCCATATCACTATCAGTATTTTCATTACAACCATCCAACAAGTCTCTATGAAGTTTCCAAACTTTCCCACATCTTCCTATCTTCCTCTGAGTCCTCCAAACTGATCCATCCTCTGCCCATTACAAAGTTCCAAAGTTGCTTCCACATTTATGGGTATCTTTATAGAAATACCCTACTTCTAGTATCAGTTTTCTGTATTAGTGCATTCTCACACTGCTATAAAGAACTACCCAAGAGTGGGTAATTTGTGAAGAAAAGAGGTTTAATTGACTCATAGTTCCTCAGGTCTAACAGGAGCATGACTAGGAGACCTCAGGAAACTTATAATTATGGCAGAAGGTGAAGGGGAAGCAAGTACCTTCTTCACATGGCAGCAGGAGAGAGAGAGAGAGAGAAAGAGCAAAGGGGGAAGTGCCACATACTTTTAAAACATCAGATCTCATGGGAACTCACTGATTGTCACAAGAACAGCATGAGGGAAATCTGCCCCCATGATCCAATCACCTCCCACTAGGTCCCTCCCCCAACATTGAATTAGAATTCAACATGAGATTTGGATGGGGACACAGAGTCAAATCACATCACTTCATAACTCATTTTATGAGGCCAGTATTATCCTGATATACAAACAAGATAAATACATCACACAAAAAATAGACCAATATATCTTATAAATATGGATGTAAAAATACTCAACAAAACACAAACAAACTGACCACATGATTATAAAAAGAACCATGACCGTGACCAAATGGGATTTATCCCAGGAATGTAAGGTTGGTTCAAAATTCAAAAATCAATTAATCTAATACAGTATCACACTACAATTTTTTTAAAACTCACTTTATCATCTCAAAAAAACACAGAAAATGCATTTCACAAAATCCAACATCCTTTAATAATAGGAACACTAAAAAAAGAAGAAAATATTATCAACTTGATAAAGTCCGTCTACAAAAAATTCACAGCTAGTGTCATACTGAACAGTGAAAGAATGGATGCTTTTCCTCCTGAAATCAGTAATAAGAAAAAAATGTTCTTTCTCACTACTTCTATTTTACATTTTATTAGAGGTTTTAGCCAGGCAAATTAGGCAAGAAAAAGAAATAAAAGATCAATCCAATTGGAAAGGAAGAAGTAAAATTATCTCTATTCTCAGATAACATAATCTTATATATAAAAAATTGTAAGAAATCTGCTAAAAAGTGATTAGAGCCAATAAATGAGTTCAGCAAGGTTATAGATGTAAGAACAATATACAAAAAAATCAACTGTAGTTCTGTAGACTTACAATGAGCAATCTGAAAATTAAATTAAAAAGTAATTTTTTTCACAATAGCATCAAAAAGAATACATAGTAATAAATTTAACAAAAGAAGTGTAAAACCTATGGTGTGAAAACTACAAAATGTAATTTAAAGAAGTTAAAGGTCTAAATAGATGGAAAAATATTCCACACTCATGGATCAGAAGACTTAACATTGTTAAGATGGCAATACTCCCTAAACTGATCTACAGATTCAACAAAATTTCTATTAGAATTTCAGCTGACTTACCTGTAGAAACTGACAAGATGATTGTAACATTCATATGGAATTGCAACAGACCCATAATATCTAAAACAATTCTGAAAAAGGGCAAAGGAGGAGGACTTTAACTTCCCAATTTGAAAACTCACCATAAGCAACAGTAATCAAGACAGTGGTTCTGGCACAAGGACAGACATATAAGTCAGTGAAATAAAATTGAGGGAATACCAAGAAATAAACCCATACCTGTATGACCAGTGAGACAGGGTGGAGTGGAGTGGCGCAAACACAGCTCACTGCAGCCTCAACTTCCCGGCTTAAGTGACCCTCCTGACTCAACCCTCCACATAGCTGGGACTACAGGCATGTACCACCCCTGCCTGAGTGTATTTTTTGTAGAGATAGGGTTTCACCATGTTGCCCAGGCTGGTCTCAAACTCCTGAGCTCAAGTGATTCGTCCACCTCAGCATCCCAAAGTTCTGGAATTACATGCATGATCCACTGCGCTCAGCTCCAGCTGATTTTTTGACAAGGGTACCAAGAACATTCAATGAGTAAAGAATAGACTTCTCAATAAATGCTGCTGGAAAAATGGAGAGCCATATGCAAAAGAATAGGATTAGCACTTTACCTCATACTATATGCAAAAATCAACTCAAAATGGATCAGAGCCCTAAAGATAAGAGCTAAAACTAAAAAACGTATAGAAAAATTATAGGCATAAATCTTTATGACCTCAGATTTGGCAAAGGATTCTTAGCTATGACACCAAAAGCATGTGCAATGAAAGAAAAAATAAATGGAATTTTATTAAAATTAAAAACTCTTGTGCTTCAGCAGACACCATCAAGAAAGTGAAATATTTACAGAATGGAATAAAATATTTGCCATATATCTAATAAGGGACTTGTATCTAGAATATATAAAGAACTCTTACAACTCAATAAAAAGACAAATAACCCAATTTAAAAATGGGCAGAAGATCAGAACATGCATTTCTCCAAGAAAGATAATACAAATGACCAATAAGCATATGAAAAGATACTTGACATTATTAGCCAGGACAGAAGTGCAAATTAAAACCACAACGAGATACCATTTCACACACATCAGGATAGCTAGAATAAAAAAGACATAAATAAGTTTGGTGAGAATGTGAAGAAATCAAAACATGCATTCACTGCCGGTAGGAATGTAAAATGGTGTAGCCATTTTGGAAAACAGTCTGGAATTCCTCAAACAATTAAACAGAGAATTACCATATGATCCAGCATTTCCATCCTTGGGGATACACCCAAGAGAAATGAAAACATTTCCACATAAACACTTAGATATTATAGATAATGATGCTGTAAACATTAGTGTACCTGATCCCAAATGTTAATCCACAGACAAATGGGTAAAAGAAATGTGATATACCCAAACAATGGAATATTATTTGGCTATAAAAGAGAATCATACTGATACATTCTAACATGTGGATGAACTTTGAAAACATATTAAGTGAAATAGTCACAAAAGATCACATGTGATATAATTCTGTTCATACGAAAGTTCGAAATAGGAAAATCTATAGACATAGATTAGTTGTTGATTAGAGCTGAGGAAGTTGGGATGGAGGTAGAGGGGTGATAGCTAAAATGTATGGAGTTTCTTTCTGAGGCAATAAAAATGTTCTAAAATTAACTGTGATGGTGGTTTCATATATCTGCAAATATACCAAAAACAGTTGAATTGCACACTTTGAGTAAATTATATCTCAATAAGGCTGTTTATGAGAATCTGTCAGGTACTGTCCAAATGGAAGCTAATATCGTTTCTTTTTTCTTGAGTTACATGACATTTAAAAGGCTAGTTATGCAATGTCATTACAGCCCTCAGAAATAAATTTTTCTTAATGTTCAAGGAAATCATTAAAATTATAAAATATATCAAGACCATTAGGTGAGAATTTCTTCATGTTATTGTTATAAGCAATCATCATCTTACACAGAATTTGTTATTTAAAATTGAAAGATATTTGGTTCTATTTTATTGAAAATCTATATTCTTAATATTAGCCTAATGGTTTCCTTTCTGAGCAGAAAGATAATTCCAGGGAAAGGTGTATTTGGCTTCTGGTTTGATAGTCTTCATAAATGTGTTCTAGTTTGTTACACTTTGCTCATGTCATCATCTTCTAAATGTAGCACATTATATAATATTTATTGTTTTTCAAACGTGAGATAAAATAATTTTGCAGAAATAACAGAGAACTTTTACATAGGATTGGAATTTTAATTTATAAATATAGAAAAATATTTTTCTTATCTGCAAATTTAATGGCTTTTTTTCTAAAAAATTTTGGCTTTGTAACAAATTTTAAACATAAATAAGTGTTTATCTGTTCTAGAAAATAATATCCAAAGACGAAATGGGGAATAGTTAGTACAGAAACAGCCCAGTATGCATTTTCAAATAATTTTCTAATATTAGCAATTGTAAGGAAGCTGGTGGCCATTCTCCTCTTTGTCCATGATCAATTGAAAATTAAAAAGATAAATGATGCTCCAAATTGGTCTTCTAGAAGGATGCCCAGATGGCTCCATATATGGAAACCTGTGTCTTTATTCTCCAGGTAAGACAAGTCATTAGTTGTGGGACTTAGAGTCTGAGGCAAGGGTAGGATATTCCATGAGATACATGTTATGATTAGTAATATTAAATGATGCTTACAGATAAGAAGTTTGAGAATGACTTTAAAATTATTCTGTTTTTATGTTGCTGCACCATGAACCAATGCTTAACAATGCTGAATAAAACAACATTCAAGTATCTTATGTCAGTCACTAACCTATGATTACATTACTCAAACATGGCCAGGAAGAGGACCTGACTTACATTTGGAAGCATATTTAAGTGATTAATATAACAACACAGCAAATAGTGGTCTCTAGAGTTGGCCCAGTTGCATGCTGCTTTTCTATTCCTGGCCTGAAACACAAGATCCAAATGTTGCTGTTTTCCTTCACTGTGGCAAATGAGATTTTTCAGACCTGATTGCTTAGTGACTTTTAACATATGTAGCTTAATCTAAAAGAAAATAATCAATGAGCTTTCCCAGTTCCTTAAAATCCCTAGGCCAAATAGTCTTGAATCAAAGCAGCTCAGGCTAAATCAGATGAAAAGATCACAGAAAAACTATGTAGGCATCTGAGAATCTGGGAGGGTTTGAGTGATGGAGCATGGCCCAGGAGTTGGCCCTAATTGGACAATCAAAGAACATTTCCAAAGCACAGTCTATTGATTCGGAAGTTGAATGTTCTTTGATTATGTAATAACTGATTGATAATGGCAGCTTAGGTGTCTTTTTTTCTTCAAGCATTTTCTTCAAGTTGGAAAATATTCACTATCAGGTAACAGTTTCAAGGATAATTGATAAACTATGGTCAATTAACAATCTTAGCAGAATTCTCTCCTCATCAGTAATTTCACCCAATAATTCTAACGTGGAGTTGTAGGAAGCCATCAAGTCAACCTCAATAAGACCAAGTGGCTTGACCTTGGTCATATTGATGATTAATTAGAAGAGATTCCGGGTGCCACAATTCCTAGTGGAAGCTCTTACTACTCTATCACCAATATCTTTTCTATGGTTCTCAAAGTGTGGTCTCTGAATCAGCAGCTCCAACATCACCTGGAATGTTCTAACAGAAATACAAATGTTAGAAATGCAAACCTCAACCTTGGTCTGCTGAATCAGAAACTCTTGGGGGTGGGGCCTAGCAATCTAGGGTTTCATAAACCCTCCAAATGATTCTAGTGCACACTGATGTTTAATAGCTACTTCTACATATACCCTGGTAACTGCATATCTATCTAATAACTTCAGTGCATATCAAGATATAAACTATTTCCCGAAACAAAGATTCTAAATTACATGCCACACAGGTTTAGTATGCAGGGACACTCTCTTGCATTCTACTTGCTTGAAAAATGCCTTTACTCAGGGAGATTTGATTAAGACTGTAGCAGATGGAGAACTTACTGCATTTGTAACTTATCACACAACATTGGGTTTCTCAAGGTAAGCTGTTCATTCAGATACTTGTCAAACAGTTACATTCAGCTTATGAACTGTTGGCTGTCATCGCCACAGGAACTGGAATATTTACCCAAAGTGAACATTTTAATTAACTCAGAACACCATCTAGTCCTTTTCTCCAAACGTACAGTAACCTCCCCATCAGCACAGAACTGTGGTCTTTTTAATTAAGGCCATTGTTTAAAAGGGGTGGGGGGAACGCCTTGCTACATCATTTAAGATCCTGATTTCGTTATTTAACTAGTAAGTTGTTTTCCCCTGAAGGCTTTGCAGACACTGGCTCACCAGGAGATTTCTGCCTTTAATTTACCTACTCAGGCTCATTTGAGAAACACATTTTCAGCAAGTTTTCACTCAATTTCCATATTGTCTAATTCAGCCAAACCAGTCACTAGAAGCTTATATAGGATTAAAACATTCGTATTCTCTTACATCGTGGTCCAGGGATAAACTCTCTATCTAGCTAAATTAAGGTGACAATACCAGCTACTGAAGCACTATTGAAACACCGGGGATGATTTCCTGTAAACTTCGCCCTCCCATCCCACCCCCCACCAACCCATGGCATGAGGCTAGAGAACACAGGGAACCTTGTTTCAATCTACACAGGTTAGGAGCAAACATCACATCTTTTATCCCCTTTCATGTTAATTTTAGTGGGTGGCATTTTGGCTCTTCATTTATTTGGCGAAGGAGGAGCATGGCAAGACTTTTGGCAGGACGCAGGGGACAAGACTCCCAAATCTCAGGTGCTTCAGGTACCCTCTCCTGCAAGCTCTTACTTCTCTTTTTTTTTTCTCCCCGAGACGGAGTCTCGCTCTGTCGCCCAGGCTGGAGTGCAGTGGCGCGATCTCAGCTCACTGCGAGCTCCGCCTCCCGGGTTCACGCCATTCTCCTGCCTCAGCCTCCCGAGTAGCTGGGACTACAGGCGCCCTCCACCACGCCCAGCTAATTTTTTGTATTTTTTAGTCGAGACGGGGTTTCACCGTGTTAGCCAGGATGGTCTCGATCTCCTGACCTCGTGATCCAGCCCGCCTCAGCCTCCCAAAGTGCTGGGATTACAGGCGTGAGCCACCGCGCCCAGCCTCTCACTTCTCTTTCTACCTGCTCTGCACGTTCTCACTTCCCTCCTTGTAGCCTCCCAGGGTGCATCCAACGAATTTGTTTTCACGGGGAATAAACAGGTGTCCCTCATGAACAGAACATGGGCTGATTTGCACAACCAGAATTAAAATAAAGGGCCCCAAAGGGAAGCCTTTCGTAAAATGAACTATGTTCAAAACATGATCCAGGAGAGCAGGCTTGTTTAATTTAAGGAGAGATGGAGAGCTTTATTTTATTAACAAAATACCTGAAGGAATTCTGCTCCCAGTTCAGACTCTTTAATCACATCAATGTTAGCACTGAGGGTTGGTCTAGCTCAGATGCTGGAGATGATGTTTTGACAAATTCAGGGGAGATACAGCTTGGCAAGTATTCACTAGGTTCACACTGCTTCCATTTCATCCGTTCTCTCCACATTTGCTAGTTCTTCTGAATCTTCTATTTTTTGGTTACTATCAGTAGATTTAATAAGAATTTTTAATATAGCATTTCTAATCTAATGCCATATTAGTATTCCTGAAAAACCTTATGGTCTGCATAATTACATGCTAAAAACTACACGACTTATGGAAAAGAAACAGGATTACAGTGGATCATTCAAAACCTATAGAACCTTGTAATCAGGAAGTAACAAAACATTAGTAATCCTAATTAAAATATTGGTACAGTTAATTCTCCACTGAGATTTGCACCTAGATTCATTCCAAACATGGTTGTAGCCTGATATGCCTAGGACTCATGTTTTCTTCCTCAGGCTGAAGTTCTTGAAGCCATTTACTTCTGATAATGAGACCAGTTTCATAAACATTAAAAACATGATCCGAAGGTCACCCTCATCAGTCAATTTTTGTTGACATAGAAAAATTTGTAGCTTCTTCATCTGCATTTGCAGCTTCTCCAGATAGCTTAATGTAGTGCACTGGTTGTCAAAGTGTGGTCCTCAGACCAGCAGCTTCATGCAGAAATTTGTTAGAAATGCCAATCGTTAGGTGGTATTTCAGACCCATGGAAACAGAAACCCTCTGGGAATGGGGGTTGGCCAAGAGGGGGAGCCCAGACTTCTGTGTTTTAACAAGTTTTCTAGGTAATTGTGATGTACTAACGTCTTAGAACAACGGACATACTGAAAAATGTCACTGTTCTTGAAGCCACCATACTAGCCACTTCTTGCGGAAGGCATTTCTGCGTAATTTCAGGTTTCTTTCCATAAAAGTCTCCATATATTGATAAGACTTTGATTTAATGGTGAGAAAGCTGGCTTCTGATCTTGTCACAACATTGTCATACTGGAAAAATAAACTGTTTGCTGACAAGACCAACAAAATTCACATCAATTCCCTACTGACCAATAGCATATGAACTGAGTCACATTAAATAATATCATGTTGTAGTTAAACAGATTGATACAACAAAATTGTTAGGTACAGTGGAAAGAGCATTGGCTTTAGAGAGCAACTGACTGAGTCTGAAAAGTCACTTCATCTCTCAATGCCTCTCATCCTCCATCTACAAATTGGGGATAGTAACCTCTGCATTGTGGAGTGCCAAGGTGTGTGAAGGAGACGATGGACATAAAATGTCTAGAATACAGCAGATGCTTGAGTAGATTCTAATTCCCTGCCCTTCATTGTTTTTCTTATAAAGTACTTTACTAAAAGAAAATGAAAAATAGAGGCAGAATACATTTATAGAGATATGATAGCTGATTTCTTTCAAGTTTGTTCTGTTTTTCCTTGTCTGGTTCTTGTAGGTGATGACTTACGTCAGACTGGGATGAGCAATGTGAATCAAACTGAAAGTAAAAACACTAATGGAATTGAGAGTGATTGTATTATTTTCTACAAACTCACCTGGGAATGAAATAAATCATTTAACAATTACAAAGGTGCCCCAAATATTATAACATTACACAGGATATTAATGGTTACACAAATAATGATTTCATTTAAACATCTACAAATTTTATATTAGTAGTCGATGTTAAAGTAGTCGTTCTAATAACATGACTGTGGTAGCAACACTTTCATGTTACAGTTATGAAAGCAGAGGTAAAGTCTGCCATGACCACAGCTATATTCACCAGCACCTGACACAGCACCAGGAAGGACGTATATGTTCAACAAATACTTGTTGAATGAATAAATGTCATGTTTTAGGTAATTCAAAGTAATTTCATACATATTTTATCTGAATCCCTAGAACACTAACACTTGGTAGGCTGAGAAGATTATGAATTCCATTTTATAAGTATGAAAGGTAAAATGACAGATAGAAAGGAAAAATGACAGATAGAAACTCAGAGATGTAAAGGTCAAGGTCTTAAAATTTTGGCAGAGGTTCAGACTTTCACAACTTACTTAATCTACAGAGACACAATCTGCTCTGAAATATTTACAGTCTGTGCATGAGCTTTCTTCCAAATGAGGCTTTCTTCTATTTGAAGTTCATATTTGGTGCGATGTGCAGCTGGCTGCCAACATATGCATTGACCGAACTCTTGGGTCAGAGGTCCCCTGTAGAAGGATTCAAGAGAGGATAAGAGATAATGGAATTTTTCCTCTGGGCTTAGTCAGAGCTGAAACCTTCTGCCTAGTATCATATTATTTTTACTTAAAATACATAATTTAAAAACTTCTAGTAAAATAGATTGTTCTAAGAATATTGGCATTCTTCTGCTCTCATGACTACATTGAACCTGTGATCTTATCAAGAGAGGATCATTTCCATTTGCTTAAGGTGTATGTGTAACTTTATTGCTAGACAAATCTTCAGTCTAAAGAAATACCAGGCTGTAAACAGACCTCCCATAATTTCATTACTATAGATAAAACATACATAACTTCCCCAACGAATACGCCAATAGTTACGGACTTATGGGCAATGACAAGAGTCAAGGAACTGAGCAAAATCTGTGAGGTAATGAAATCCAAGAGGCATAGAATCAAACATTACTGAGTTAAGAAAACAGTAGCTACAATTTTAAAGCATAGAGCAGTATCTGAATAGGCATAGGATATAAAATGGTTGCACTGTCACAGATAATATGGAAGACAAAAACACACACAGACACTCAAGTAGAAAGTGTGAAAATTATTTATGCAGCTTAATTTAACATGTTCTTGTTTATTCTTCCTAAAAGCATTTGATTTCTCTGAGTGCTGGTAAAAATAAATTATAGTAGTCAGTAAAACACTATTCCAGTCCAGTGGAAAATTATACTTAAGCGTAAAGAATGATTTACTTGGAACTAGTAGCCAATAATTCTTTTTCCTTCTCTCTTTTTCTTTGTTTTAGTTTCACGGGTGCCAGCTTTTTATATTGGTAAACTCATGTCATGGGTGTCTGTTGTACAGATTATTTCATCATGCAGGTACTAAGCTTAGTACCCAATAGTTACTTTTTCTGCTCCTCTCCCTCCTCCCACTCTTCATCCTCTGATAGGCCTCAGTGCCTGTTGTTTTCCTCTTTGTGTCCATGTGTTCTCATTATTTAGCTCCTACTTATAAGTGAGAGCATTTAGTATCTGGTTTTCTGTTCCTGCTTTAGTTTGCTAAGGATATCATTATCCAGCTCCATCCATGTTTCTGCAAAAGACATGATGTTGTTCTTTTTTATGGCTGCATAGTATTCCACGGTATATATGTACCACGTTTTCTTTATACAGTCTACCTCTCTTTAATAATGTTTATACAACTTTAAATAAACTTATATAACTTTAAATACATTTGTATAAAAACAACTTTAATAAGATGTTTTATTAAAGTCATTTTGTTTGCTTGAAATTTTAATTTTGTAAGTTTTTTAGTTTGACTGAAAGATGCATTTCCAAACTGGAGACCTGGAGCTGGGATTCTGCTAAGCAGGCCAGTCAACATTCTGCTGTTGCTCATGCTTGTGGGCCTGACTTCAGAATGATTGCACGATCTCAAAATCTCAGTGTGCTTTTCTGCACAGTTAGAAGAATTAGAAGTAGTTAAAATTTAGAAACTGCATTAAATATCATGTATTTAAATCTGAAACACTGAGGAGACTTCTAAGAGCTGATCTTGTTGGATAGGAAAAAAATAGAAAGGATTATTATCTCCCACTTCAATTCATGTGAAGCTCAGGAAAATCTCATTCGATTTTGTTCAAATTATGCTCTCGCTCTGTGTGAATGATATATGCTATTTGAGAAAATGAGGGAAATGATCAGCTCTACGTTAATAGTCCATGAAAAGATGCGCTTATTGTGTGTGTGTGCACATACGTGTGTGTGTGTGTGTGTGTGTGTGAGCTTTTATAAAAGAGATGGCTTATTTTTTTGCAAAAAGACGATAGTTAAGATTGTAGTTTAGGGAATATGAAGAGATTTATGGTCAAGTTTAGTAGGAGTAACCTTAAATAGTAATTAATTTGTGGCACGGTTATCATTTTGGTTAATTTAGCCCTTCCCTATGCACAAGGGGTGCTGGGAGCTCCATGTTAACAGCCCTTTGAATTACTGTTTCATGTTTTTTGGTACTGGAGTTGAAAAGCCCTTTTAAATCACTATGGTATGTCAAGCCAAGTATTTTCTTCAGTTCGGTTTCTAATTAAAGTTAAAAGAGGGCTTATCAGTCAGTCACTGAAAAGTAAGAAATACACTGAACAAAAAATAATTTTATTCCAAACTTTTGTCCCTGACAATGATAAGAAGTTGTCCTTAGAAAGAAATAGGAGGTCTGGGCATGGTGGCTCATGCCTGTAATCCGAGCACATTGGGAAGTGGAGGCGGGCAGATCACTTGAGGCCAGGAGTTCGAGACCAGCCTGGTCAACATGGCAAAACCCTGTCTCTACTAAAAATACAAAAATTAGCTGGGCGTGCCTCACTTCCCAGCTACTTGGTTCAAGTCAGGGTATGGCACTGGGCAGCTCTTGATCTAGTCAAGAACTTCCCCCTCCTGCCTTAGACACAACCTGTGCCCTAGGCTCTCAGATCCTCCATCCCCACGGAGTCCTGTCTCCCCTCCTATTCCCTTAGGTCTTGTGCTCTCTAGAACAATGGGGGAGTCCATAGGAGTAAGGAGGTTGATGCCCTACTGATCCGGAGCCCCAGCTGAACCACTGGCACTTTGATTGGACCTCCAAAAAAACATTCAGGGACATTTTAAAAAATGCCTTTCTCTATGGCAAGACTTCCCATAGTGGTTAGACATTGGAAGCAAGGAAACATTATAAAGCAAAACCTTTTGAATGTATTCATTCATGTATTGACTTATTCATAGTCATTTATTTCTTTTTTTAAGTCAACAAACATTTTCCCACTATATTAGTTGCCTATTGTTGCTGTAACAAATTACCACAAACTCAGTAGTTCAAGACAACACAGAACTAATTTTCTTACACTCTGGAGGTCAGAAGTTCAAATTCAGTTTAACTGGGCTAAGGTGAAAGTGTTCACAGGGCAGGTTCCTTCTGGAGGAAATAGGGAGAATCTATTTCCTTGTCTTTTTCTGTTTCCAGCAGCCCTCTCCATTCCTTGGCTTGTGGCCACTTCCTCCATCTTCAAAGCATGTGATTTCATTCTCTGCTTCCATTGTCACATTGCCTTCTCCTCTCACCCCAATTCCTCCTGGCTCCCTCTTACAAGGATTGTGTGATTACATCAGATCCATTCAGATAATCTAGGATAATCTCATCTCAAGACCCTCAGTTTAGTCACACTTGCAAAAACCCTGTTGTCATGTAATATAAGGCAATATTCACAGGGGATTAGGACATGGACATATTTGGGGGCCATTATTCAGCTCACCACAAGCATGGCTGTGGTGCTTGCTGTTAGCAATGCAAAACCTGTCAGATTAAAGTCTATCCCAAAAGTCTTATGATTTAGGAAGATGAGATATATGTATTAGTAGCAGATTGAAAAGATATGCAGCAAGATCAACACAGATGGAAAGCCATGTATGTTCAGAAGAGGGAGAAATTTCTTCTGTGTCTGGGCAAATGGCAGCCTTCCACCCGAAGTAGTATTTGAGGCTTCAAGAAAAATAATGTAGTTGCAAGGACCACAAAATGCAAGAAGAGGGCAAACAGATGATTGTTAGGGAGGGCAGAACACATAAGGCCTAAAATTTCATGCAAAATGGGGTAGTGGGAAATAAGTTCTAAAGGAGAGTTCATGACTTCTAGGTGAGGGGGTTGTATTATGTTGGGTAGACAGCAGGAGAACCATTGAAACACATGTATTGAGATGTGCTGTAGAAAGATTATTCTGCTGACGGCAATGTGCATTATGGGCATTGGTACTTTGTGGTCTACACATGTGAGTGCGAGTCCAACCAAGGAACACACCAAAAGCCAAGCATCTCAAGCCAGTTGACAAGGGCCTACAGATTCAAGAATGAACTCTAACATATTCCCTTCCTTGGTCTTATGCACATTGTGTACATTGAGAGAGAATCAACAGAATGCTTTAAAACTGAAGATATCTCCCCAGCCTGTCAGATGCTCTCTTCATCCAATCCTCTTAAGATGTAGGATTGGGGTCAGTAGCATTTGATCATCTTTGTGATGTAGTTAAAAAGAAATAAAAAACGTGGCATCTTAAGAGAGAAGACCATTGTATCTGTATCTGTAGCATTACAACTTGCTAGTGTTGGGGCTCAGAAAACAATACCCTGCAATGAAAGTCTCAGAAGCAAAAGTTATTCTCTGATCTTCTCCTGCCCTCCTGTATCTCAGTCCCATTTTCCTTTAAGGCTATATAGAAACTAGAATCCCTCTTCCCCACAGCGGGTCATAGAAACCAGAATCTCCTTCCCCCAAAGCCAGCCATAAAACCTTAAAACACTACTCTAACTTCCCCTCCACCTTTCTGTGTAAAAAATGGCTGTTAAGAAATAGTCTGACTTACCTTATTTGACTGTAGGTCCTAATACCCCCATTCCAGAGAGGGTCCTGCCCCATACTTTGAAGGAAGAAATGCGTGTCCAGGGAGGCCAAGAAGAATCTAGACAGACAGGCCCTTGCTGGGTTTCCTCACTCAGTCTATTAGCATTAGATTGTACGTTTTTTGTCCAATCACAGTTCTACAGGGCTGTCCATGCTTTGTTAAACCTAAGCATAAAAAATGTCAATTTCCGGCTGGGTGCAGTGGCTCACACCTGTAATCCTAGCACTTTGGGAGGCTGAGGCAGGCAGATCACTTGAGGTCAGGAGTTCAAAACCAGCTTGGTTTACCTGGTGAAACCCCGTCTCTACTAAAAATACAAAAAATTAGCCAGGCATGGTGGGTGCATGCCTGTAATCCCAGCTCCTTGGGAGGCTGAGGCAGGAGAGTCGCTTGAACCCAGGCAGTGGAGGTTGCAGTGAGCCGAGATCGTGCCACTGCACTCCAGCACAGCCTGGGCAACAGAGCGAGACTCTGTCTTTAAAAAAAAAAAAAAAAAGTCACTTTCCCTGTATCATTGGGTCTTCATTCTAAAGGCTCCCACGTATACACTTTAAATATATTTGCATGCCTTTTCTCCAACTAATCTGCCTTTTATGAGTAGATTTTTCAGCAAAACTTCAGAGAGCCAAGGGGAAGATTCTCCTTAGTTCCTATAGTTTCTATAGTTTGATGTCACAGACAAGATGATCAAAGTCCCACCCTTCTGGAAGCCTCAGTTAAGGGAATCCGGGAACCTGATTAGCTGCAAAAGGGTAAGAATTTCTAGCCATCCAGGCTTCCAGCCTCTTTCTCTGTGCAATCCAGTTGAGTGGATGGTAAAAATCACTGTTTCTCTGCAAAATTTTGATTAATAGGACCAAAAGATTTGTGTGTGACTAGCTTTGCTGTAGCAACTCTGGTGTACTTTTGGATTCTTTGTGGTATGAATAGTCATGTTATTTGACCCCTTTCCTCCCAGAAATAGTCTTTTCCTTTGTCTTTCTATGTTGTTTGTAACAAGAGGTACTGGATAAAGTTTCCTCTTATCTTGTTTGATTTATCTGAGAGTGTGACCTGTGACCAAGCAGGAGCACTCTGTCGGTCTCTGCCACCTGCTGGGCATGATTTTCAGGTCATGTCAGGTGGTCAGTCTGAAAATGGCTAGCAACCTGAAACTTTTGTTCAGAATATGTCAAGCTCTCAGGAAAGTTTGTCTTAATAAGAAGTCTTGTTGTGGGGTGGGGGGAGGGGGAGGGATAGCATTAGGAGATATACCTAATGTTAAATGACGAGTTAATGGGTGCAGCACACCAACATGGCACATGTATACATATGTAACAGACCTGCACGTTGTGCACACGTACCCTAAAACTTAAGGTAGAATAATAATAATAAAAAAAGAAGTCCTGTCCATAAGGAACTTTTGTTATCTCAACCCTTGTTGCCTGTGTAGTGCTGGAAAAGTCCAGTCCCAAGAGGGCCTGCCTAGTATCACAGATTAACAGGTCTGTGACTGGTGGCACCCCATAAATTTGTGGGTTACTGAAGGCAAACACTATCATTAACTGTCAGTGGCAACAAGAATCTTTTGCTATCTTAGCCTATTCCTAGGAGTGAATTTTCTGGAGGGAGTCTTTGGAATTGCTTCTTCTCTGAAGTTGAATTGGGTTGCTATTGAGGTGCTATAAATACACCATGGGAAGTTCTAATTGTCAATGGCCAAAAGATGGATGCTTTAAATTAAACTCCTAAATTAAAAAAAAAAAAAGAGATCTCTTATTCTAAACAATTGATTGGAAGACCAAATTAAAAGAAAGACATTAAAAAATATCATGCCTAGCCTTAGAAATTCTCCCTATAAAAAGCAAAAATTGGACCTAAAACAAAGCCAAAATATTTGTACAAACTGCCTGCTTTAGATCCCTGCGAGAATGATAATAGAGGCCACTCCCTGTGGCCTAGTAGTTAAAATTCCTGGCTTTCATAGCTGTTGCCTGGGTTCAGTTCCTGACCAGAGATCAGTCTTTCCAGTTTTGATATTTGTGTGACTTTTGACTTTTGGGGGTACCCGTTTGTTATTGATCATTTTGATTTCCTGTGTTTTTCCTTTTTTTTTTTTGAGACGGAGTCTCGCTCTGTCAACCAGGCTGGAGTGCAGTGGTGCAATCTCGGCTCGCTGCAAGCTCCGCCTCTCAGGTTCAAGCGATTCTTGTGTCTCAGCCTCCCAAGTAGCTGGGATTATAGGCGCCCACCACTACGCCCAGCTAATTTTTGTATTTTTAGTACAGATGGGGTTTCACCATGTTGGCCACGCTGGTCTCAAACTTCTGACTTCAAGTGATCCACCTGCCTCAGCCTCCCAAAATGCTGGGATTATAGGCGTGAGCCACTGAACCCGGCCCCTGTCTTTTCCTCTCTGTGGGGGCACGCAAGGTTTGAGGGCCTTTGGTGTAGACCATCAGCTGAGAAACTGAGACTCTGAAAGAATATGGCTAGACAGAAATGTGGACTTGACCTCGTTTGTGGCCAGCAAACGTTTTCGTTTTTTAAGCTGTCTTTGAGGTGGTTCTGGATCTTGTGAGGAGTGCTTTCCTCTCTTTGGAGACACCTCTTGCATCCTTGCTTATATTATAACCATGGTTAGTGTTCAACTTAAAAGGAATCTTTGGCTTAAGAAAAAAAGGTTCAAAAACTAGAAATATTGGCCATTTGTCCCCGCTAAAATCTAATAATAAGAGATTTAAAAGATTTTTTTAGGAGCTATATAGTCAAAAGTCAACTATATTAAAACTGATATTTAGGCCATATATGTACACATATAGATATAGGTTTAATGCCTCTGTTCTCTCTCTCTAAAAAGTCTCTGTCCACTGAATTTCCCTCTTCCTGAACCCCTGCTAACCATACATGCTCCTTTGGTGTGTTTCTCCAATTACTTCTGTCTGTGCCTCCTGCCTCTCCACCCTTCATGGCACATGGGGACACCTAAGACAATTTCTAACACCCTGAAATCTCTAAGGAAAGCAGCAAAGGCACCACAGACTTCTCTTTTGGGGAAAAATGTCTGTTTTTCCTCGTAAAACCCCAATAGTTGTCAAGTGGACAAATTCCTCTTAAATCTAAAGCTTTACTATCTTCTGCATTAAACTCCTTGATCAATTTGGCTTTTAGATACATACATATATATGTTATACGTTGTGTCTACATGTATGTGTATGTCTATACAGATGTTTATATACTGTCTACATATGGTACCAAATTAACTTAAAGATAAATGAGTACTCCTAAATAGCTAGCCCAAATAAATGCTTTTCAAGTTCATGTGACTTCAATAATCTTTGATAAATAAATGTAGTTTTAATATTATTGGTAAAATAAAATAGAAACATCTTCAGAATTTAATTTAGATATTTTTACCTGTGTCTATTGATCAGACAGGTTTATACTGATAGGTATTTTAAGGTCATAAAATAGTTGCTTCTATGATTTTATTAATATGTGAGCTTCTATCTCTGATTTGCACCTCTAGGCCATGATGAGGCCCAAGGATGCAGGAACTGCTCCTTCCTAGCCCATCTGTGCCTTTTAGCCACACTGGGAAGGATTCAATCCTCCAGGCATTGTCCTTTGTCCTAGGCTCTGTATCAGTTATATAATTAAAATTGCTTATTTCCTGGATTTTTCACTGAAAATAAGGATTACTAAGAACTAACATTAAAACTAATACGTGTAATTAAAACCTACCACATATAAGAGAAGCAATTCTATTTACAAAGAATATAAGAAAAGTAAGATGCCTTTTTGGTTTAAAAAATTATGTAAAAAAACCCATAAAATACGGTGTTTCTTTTTTGTTAAAGGAAAATTAATTTTGTCTAGTTTAGAGGATTTTAAAAGTTGCTTTAAATTACAGGGGAAAATGATAAATAAAACTGAATGGATATAAAAAGTTGGGAAAATAAAAAATGGAAAAAACTATAAGAGGTTATTAAAGGTTTATAAAAATCTTATTTTATATGGTCAAAAAGATTAGATTAGCTTATTTATAAGGTTTTATCAAAATTAACTTTAACATTAATAATATACTAATACAAAAGTAAATTTTTATTTTATCTTTTGAACAAGATTTTCATGTAATGTTGATATGAGATAGTAACAGCTTTTTTTCTTTTCTTTTTCTTTTTTTTTTTTTTTTTACCTTTTAAGTAAACTACATAAAGGAAAAACAAAGAGGGAAGAGAGAAAGAGACAGACTCAGTTTGCCTCATTTTGCCTTTATCAGGTCTTATGATTGTTTGGGAAACTGAGTGTTCTGTCTATCAAAGAGTAAAGGTTTTCACTTTTAAAAATCTTTGAATTACCTCGTTGGCTAAATGAGTGACTTATTTTCCACTGACCTGTGATTCAATTTTGAGCAAGTGCTTAAAACACTTATAGTTGACAAACTTTCCAAAATCAGAATGTCAAATTCTATATTCAGTCAGTCTTTTTGGCCTCAAACTAGCTTTTTGGATATTAGAACCCCCGGAAGTCCAAGAAAGACATATTAGCCTTATTTGGTATGCTAAGATCGTACAGGAAGCATTGTCAATTAATAAATTGTATGGCCAGGTGTGATGGCTCATACCTGTAATTACAGCACTTTGGACAGCCAAGGTGGGAGGATCACTGGAGGCCAGGAGTTTGAGACCAACCTGGGCCACATAGTGAGAGCCTGTCTCTACAAAAATGAAAAATAAAAAATTTAGTCATGTATGCTGGCATGTGCCTGTAGCCTTACCTATTTGGGAGGCTGAGGTAGTAGGATTACTTCAGCTCCAGAGTTCAAGGCTGCAGTGAGCTATGATCTTGCTACTGTACTCTAGTCTGGGTGACAGAGTGAGACCCTGTATCTAAAAAATTAAAATATCCTACACATGTACCCTAGAACTTAGAATAAAAAATAAAATAAATTTAAAAATAAAAATAGAAAGGAAAAGAAATCATGTTTAACTTTCTTTGGATTATTTAATATTTGTATGAATGTGTTATTAATTTGTGTTCCAAAATTGTATAACATTCCTGAAATTCTGACATCTCAGTACATGTTAACATTAATTGTGATTGTTATGTCAAATGTTATACGCCACAGAAATAACAAAATTTCCTCATCAATTGTGTCTTTAACCATGGCTATTCTGTCTTTTGTCATCCGCAGAAAATTATTGTTTTACTTTGATTCTTCTCAAAAAGCAGTTTATAATTGCTATAGTCCAAAATTTGCCTCTTTAAGGATATTCGTGGAAAAGGCTGGCAAGTACTCTTGAATACAGGTTTCTGATAACTTCAGAGATTGTACCATTGGACTATAACTAAAAAGACTTCTTTCTCTTTTGGGCTATTTATAGTTTACAATAAATTGGTTAAAGTATATTTTTGTAAACACAAATTTGAAGCATTTTCTTTATCTCTAGCTGATTTCTTCAGAAACTGGAAACTATTTATGAGTATTCTTAATTTATGGCAATATCTTTTTTTTCATAAATTCAATAAGAATCTGTTTTCTTTTGTAACAGGGCATAACTGGAGACACTGATTGTTCTACCAAAGCTTTGACTGGAATGGCATATTTTCAGGTACATCCAGACTATTTTGAGCAGTTGAGGTTGACTTAATAAAGCTGATAAAAAGCCCCTGTAAAGACTGACCTGTTGCCTTGTCTACATCATTCCTTTACAAGGTTCCTGACTTGTGGTAAGAAAAGAATTTGTCACTTTCTAACTGGGACAGAAACCTCAAGTTATTTTGGTAATTTGAGAAAAGAGAAATGTCCCCAATGTGAACAAGAATTACAGGCACAGTTTAATGACAAATCCTTGGCTTACAGAGGCTTTAAAAAGGCTAATCTGAAAATTCCATTAAAAACAGTTCCAGCAAAGACAACTTTATGAAAGTCTATATGACCAATCACTATTCTTGTGACACCTTATGCAAATAATCAGGCCCAATGTAGTAAGAGGAAAACTCATTTTTCAAATAAATTGATCCTACTATGATTTGTCTTTGGTAGGAATTGGGGACTGGAAAGAGAAAAATTATGTCTTAAAAGAAAACTATAGTACACCTGTTATTAGAGTCTAGTCTTGTCCGCTTTTTTTTTTTTTTTGAGCCTACAACTTCAACTGAATCCTAAGTTATTTCCTGGCTACATGTCTCCAAACTAATGTTTCCAATTATTTGCCCATTTTTTTTTTATTTGAAATCTCTGAAATTAAAACTGCTTTTCCCTAAAGCCCTGCAAGATGAGGCTAGACAACTTGATAGAAATTTTGAAAAATCATTACAGCACTTAATATATGAATAGTTTAATATATGAACAACTTAACATATGATTGTGCCTGTTGACATATAGTCTACTCAGAAAGTTCACTGGAACACCTGGTGAAACTACAAACCAGGGAAAATGTGTCAGAGGGCCACTATCTGCTCTCACTTCATCTGAAGATGCTGAGCCCAACATATAAAAATCTTCACTGGCTGCCTGCTCTCTGGATTTAAAATTTGAGTTTGTAGTTTGTTCTAACCATTCAGCTTTGTTTTACATTCATTTCCATTGAAATGACTCTTACTAAACATCTAATTTCTCAGATCATAAAAAGGCTTGACTCTGGTCAAAGCCCATTTGTAGCACACTTGCCTGAAATGAGACACAACTATTAACTGTTTAATTGGATTGGCCTATTCTCAGGACTGAGAGATTGGTTTGATGACTTATGAGACAATTCACAAATCTGATATTGGCACTCTGAAACTTCTTTAGGAAGTTTCATTTTGGGGAATGCTGGGGCTCAGAAAATAATACCCCAAAATGAAGGCCTCAGAAACAGCCACAGAAGCAGAAGTTTTTCTCTGACCTTCTCCTGCCCTCTTATCTCTCAGTCCCATTCTTCTCTAAGGCTAGCCATAGAAACTGGAATCCCTTTCCACAAAGCAAGTGGTAGAAACCAGACTCCCTTTTCGCCAAAGCCAGCCATCAGATGTAACAATATCATATTACTCTAACTTTCCCTCCATCCTTCTGTGTAAAAACTGGCCATAAGGAAATTATCTAATCTACTTTGTTTTACTGTAGGGGGTCCTACCTTACACTTAGAGGAAGGAATGCAAGCTCAGAGAGCCCAAGAAGAATCTAGATGGACAGATCTTGCTGGATTTCTCCAATTAGTCTACTAGCATTAGATCATATCTTTTCTGTACAGTTGTATTTCGACATGACTCTTTATACTTTGACAAACTTAAGCGTGTAAATGGACAATTTCCCCTGTATCTTTGGGTCTTCATTCTGAAGGCTCCAGTGTGTACACATTAAATAAATATCTATGCCTTTTCTCCAGTTAATCTGCCTTTTATGAGTTGATTTTTCAGTAAAACTTCAGAGAGCTAAAGGGAAAGCTCCTCCTTGGCTCCTACACTTCTTCTGTGACATTAAACAAAGTCCCTTTAACCTCTCTGAACTTCAGTTATAATGATACTATGGGTTTTACCTAACTCACTGGATTATTTTAATGTAAGGATCAATGAGATGATAGATGAAGATGCTTTGTACATTGGAAAGGATATTACAAAAATTAACTTGCATTCCAAAAAAATGGTGTGGAGTCTATCATTTCTCAAGAAAGTGTTCCTCATTGTGAGTTGCTGTATTGACTAGGAGGCAGATTGAATTAGGAGAGTAAATTGTGACCTTTGAGGTGTTGATCCCCTAAACTGGAGCATCTAAGGTTGTCTGATGTCATGGGGCCTGTACATCCATAGGGCTGGTTTTCGTCTTGAGAAGTCATGAGGTGGACTTACCACAGGCAATGTGACTTGAGGAAGAGAGAAATAGAGAGATAGAGATGATATACATAGATAGATAGATAGATAGATAGATAGATAGATAGATAGATAATGATAAATCAGGAATTTAATTAGCTGAGTGACTCAGATGGGAATAGTGAAGTCTAACTGGGTTTCTGTTTATGGTAAACAGATGTGATTTGTAATCTAACTCAATTAGCCAGAAATTAAATGCATCTTGAGGCAGAAATATCATGGATTTAAATATTCTCTTGGGTTGGGGAACACTCAGTAAAATGACAACTTTTAATTTTTGTCATCAGAGTCCTAACTTAGAGATGCTCTGCCTTCTCTCAGGGCACAAATGGTCATCCTCTTGCCCAACCCAACACCACCTCTGTTCTTGCTTCAATTATAATGGAAGGTGGCATTTCCTTACTGCCCCAAAGTACTCATGGTTGGACACTTACAGATAATATGGTAAATGAATTCCTGCTAATATCTTGGCAGTTACTCCAGTGTGTTCATAACTACTCTTCCAATGTAGGTAAAAGAAAAATCGAAGAAGGATATTTCTCTATAAGCGGTGCTACTATCAATGGACTCTCTATGGGCACAATGAAGCAGGTGTCGTTGGAGAAGTCATCCTCCCATATGATGCAAAAGCAAGCTAAGCTTCAACTGAACCGCCGAAGTGTGTTTCCACCTCTTATAGGAGAATTCGTTTTTTATCAGTGTCACCTGGGGGCAAAACTTTGAGGTGGAGGCTGAATCCACACAAAATTTTGATTGAAGAGCAATTCAGGGTCTCCACTTTGGGGGCTTCTCTACTGTGACCCAGAAATCCAGACCTTCTGCTCAAAATCCATTACATGTTTTCCTGTCTGCATCCTCACCGCCACCAAACAGGACCTGAGACATTGACACATGAGCCACAACCCTGCCAACAAAGCTGCCTGAGAGAAAGAAGCACATTCCTGGGGATGAACACATGTGGGGCAGGTCCTTGGGAGACATAGATCGACCCAGGTCCCTAGCACCAGCCTCTCCAGCTCCTGTTATGTGTCTTCCCTTGCCCTTCTTTGATCCCAAAGTCCTTCCTCTGGGCTAGGGAAGAGGAAGGTAAGATTCAGATCTATTTCTCTGGGGTGCATATTGCCATGTGGGGAAAGCAGTTGCTAATTCTGAGTGGTGAGCACAAGGGGAAGGGGACTCTGTGATTGAGGTTCTTCCAGAGCTCAGAGTGGAAGGCTGCTGAGGAGCAGGGCTCCTGATGTGGGGGGAGCACGTGGAGGAGAATGACCAGCTCTCATGCTGGGGCAGGCATTGAGCTTCCAGGGAGAATGAACACAGTTCTTACCCTGACTCTGGACCTGCTTCTGGCTGACCCTCTCCTCTTCCACCAAGGCCAAATTATGTCCTTAAGCCTCCTTTTCGCCCCTGGAGGGAAAGGTCATTTTCCACAGCATGTTTGGCCCTCCCAGTTTGGCCCCCAGAGCCTCCCACCCCTCTTCCCACCCCTCACTAGTATCTATCTTCTCCCCACTCTTCCTGGCCCTTGCTTCTAGGCTTCTCTCTTGGCCTCTCCATTCTGCCTCCTTGCATTATCTCAGAACAAAGAACTTTATTAGCCTTCTTATTTTATTGCTGCCCTGACACCTGGCATCACTGTGTGACCTGCATGCCCCTGCTTCCAAAGCCCTTAACCAAGAAGGCTGTGCCAACTTAACCCTTCTTGGGGCTCAGCCCTGTCTGAAACTCCAGGACCAATTCTTGTTTTTTAAGAAATTTATTTTTAATTTTTGTGGCTACATAAAAATTAAAGGAGGTGTGTATATTTATGAGGTACATGAAATGTTTTGATAAAAGGATGCATAATAATCACATCATGGTAAATAGGGTACCCATCCCCTCAAGCATTTATCCTTTGTGTTTAAACAATCCAATTGTACCCTTTTAGTTATTTTTAAATGTACAATTAAATTAGTATTGATTCTCTCTCTATATATATAGTCATATATATAGTCATATATAGTCATATATATAGTCATATATGTAGTAATATATATAGTCATATATGTATATATAGTCATATATATAGTCATATATGTATATATATCTACATATATAGTCACCCCGTTGTACTATCAATTACTAGGTCTTATTCATTCATTCTAATTATTCTTTGTACCCATTAACCATCCCCACTTCCTTTCACTCTGCCACTATCCCTCCCAGCCCTCAGTAATCGTCCTTCTACTCTCTATCTCCATGAGTTCAGTATTTTGATTTTTAGATTCCACAAATAAGTGAGAATATGTGATGTTTTTCTTTCTGTATCTGGCTTGTTTCATTTAACAATAATGACCTCCAGTTCCATCCATGTTGCTGTAAATGACAGGATCTCATTCTTTTTACGGCTGACTAGTACTCCATTATGTGTATGTACCATATTTTCTTTATCTATTATTCTGTTGATGAGCACTTAGGTTGCTTTCAAATGTTGGCTATTAGGAAGAGTGCTGCAATAAATGCAGGTGTGGAGGTATTACTTCAATATCCTGATTTCCTTTCTTTTGGGTGTATGCCTATCAGGGATATTACTGGATTATATGGTGGCTTTATTTTTAGTTTTCTGATGAACCTCCAAACTGTTCTCCATAGTGGTTGTACTAATTTACATTCCTACCAACAGTGTACAAGAGTTCCCTTTTCTCTATATCTTCTCCAGCCTTTGTTATTGCCAGAGATTCTTTTTCTTTTTCACCAGGACCAATTCTGATTCCCATCAGGGAATACATAAGTACCCTTTTCAAGTCAGATCGCTCTACAAGCAAGCTTTCCTGCCTCACACAAAACACCCTAATCATCCACGTGGTAGCCCATATCTAGGAATATCGATTTTCATATCTATGAGATTCCGACTGAAGGTCTTTAGGGGAGAACAGCCCATTTGTGGCTCAAGTAGAACCCTGGGTGTGTCCCTCTTTAGACTACTGACAGAAAATTCTTATGAAATTACTTTAAGGCAGCTGTTCTCTATAGCTAACATTGTAAGGTTTCCTTGTAATTAAGAAGTTATATTACTAAGATACAGTAGACATGATCTGGCTATTCCCATTTAAGGAAAGTTGGCAAAACTTAGACTGATGTACACAGATACTACTACTACTGCCCTTGATTGTGTGACCTTGTGGAAGGTCACTTAATCTCTCTGGGCCTCAGGTTCCTGGAAAGTGGAGTGGAAGGAGATTAGAAAATCACTGAGGTTCATTCTAGCATAAAAATTTTGTCATGGATTGCCACAGGAATCCTTGTGAGTGAACAACTATGGAACTGGGCATAAGGCAGGGCTGCATGTCTGACATGTCTGCTGATAGCCCTCCCTCCCATGCTTAGCTATAGCTCAGAATTTATATGAGCCAGTATTAAAAAGAAAAATGATCTCAAATCAATAATCTAACTTTGTACCTTAAGAAACTATAGAAAGTAAAGCAAATTAAACCAAAATATGCAGAAGGAAGGAAATGATAAAGACTAGAGCAGAAATAATTGAAATAGAGAATAGAAAAGCAGTAGAAAAAAATTAATGAAATCAAATGTTGTGTCTTTGAAAGATCAATGAAATTAACAAATGTTTAGCCAGAGTGGCCAAGAAATAAAAAACAAAACCTCCAATTAGTAAAATCAGAAATGAGAGAGGAAATATCACTACTGGATTATAAGAGAATACTATGAACAATTGTATGCCAGCAAATTAGATATCCTACATAAAATGGGCAATTTCTTAGATGCAAGTTACTGAAACTGACTCACAAAGAGATATAAAAACTGAATAGACCTATGACAAGTAAAAAAATTGAATTAGCATTCATAAAACTTCCCATAAAAAAAGCCAAGCCCCAGGTGGCTTCACTGATGAATTTTACCATGGGTAAAACATTAAGACAAAATTACCACCAATCCTTTACAAACTCTTTTATAAAATAAAAGACGAGCTACCACTTCCCCAACTCATTCTTTGAGATCACTATTACCGTAATATCAAGGGCAGATTAAGACATTATAAGAAAACTATATACCGATACTCCTGATGAATGTAACATAAAAATCTTCAAAATATTACCAAACCGAATACAGCAGCGTATTAAAAGGATTATATATCATGGCAAAGTGGGATTTATCACAAAAACATAAGAGTGGTTCAACAAAAATCAATCAATGTAATAGATTCATTAGTAGAATAAAGGGGGAAAAGCACATGATCATCTCAACAGATGGAGAAAAAGCATTTGACAAAATCCAACACCCCCTTCAGGATAAAAACAAACAAACATTCAGCAAACTAGCAAAGAAAGGGAACTCCTCAATATGATAAAGACTGTAAAAAACCGATAGCTAACATCAGATGAAGAAATGATGCTTTCTCCCTAAGATCAGAAACATGATGAGGACATTTACTCTTGCCACCTCTATTAACATTGTACTGGAGGTTCTAGCCAGGGCAATCAGCCAGGAAAAAGAAAAGGTATATAGATAGGAAATGAAGCAATAAAACCATCTCTATTCAGAGATGATATAATCTTGCATAAAGATAATTTTAAGAAATCCATTAGAGTACTATTAGAAATAATAAGCAAGTTCAGTAAGTTTACATGCTCAATATACAAAAATCAACTATATTTCTACACACTAAAAATGAACAATCCAAAAATAAAAACAAGAAAACAATTCAATTCACAGTATCAACAAATATAATAAATACTTAGGAATAAATTTAAAAGAAAGAACTACAAAACCTATACTCTGAAAACTATAAAATATAATTGAAAGGAAGAAGATATAAATAAATGGAAAGACAACTCATGTTCATGGATTACAAAACTTAATATTGTTAAATGGTAATATTCCCTAAATTGATCTGCAGATACAATGCATTTTTATGAAGCTCCCAGCTGGCTTTTCTTCTTTCTGGACCTTTTCTTTCTTTCTTTCTTTTTTAACCTACTGCTTAGAAATACAAGGGGCTCAGAATAACCAACATAGCCTTGAAAATAAAGAACAAAGTTATAGAACTCCCATTTCCGAGTTTCAAAACTCACTACTACAGTAAGCCGTATTGCACTGGCTTACACAGATATATCAATGGGATAGAATTGACAGCCCAGAAATAAACCTGTACATTTATGGTCAATTGATTTTCAACAAGGGTGCCAAGGCCATTCAATGGGAAAAAGAATAGTCTTCTCAACAAGTGATGCTAGGAAAATAGGATATCCACAGGCTAATGAATAAAGTTGAGCCCCTACTTCACACCATGTAGAAAAGTTAACTCAAAATGGATGGGACATAAATGTAAGAGCTAAAAGTATAAAACTTTTTGGGGATGAGGGGAAAACCATGAGAGTAAATCTTTGTGACCTCAGATTAGACAATGACTTATTAGATATAACATGAAAAGTATGAGTGACAAAAGGAAAAAAAAAGATAAATTGAATTTCATGAAATTCAAAAATTTTGTCCTTCAAAGGACCACATAAAAATGTGAAAGGACAATACACACAGTGGGAGAAAATAATGTTTGCAAATCATATACCCAGTAAGGGTCGTGTGTCTAGACTATCTAAAAAACCCTTATAACTGAACAATAAAATGAGAGGTAAAATAATTTGAAAATGGGCAAAGGATTTGAATAGATATTTCTTCAAATAATGTATACAAATGGCCAAAAAACACATGAAATATGCTCAACCTCATTATTCACTAGAAAAATGCAAATCAAAACCACAATGAGATATCAATCCCCATTAGCATGGTTATGATTTAAAAGACAATTTTAAGTCTTGGTGAGTAGTGGAGAGATTTGAACCCCCATACATTGCTGGTGGGAATGTAAATGGTTCAATGGTCTTGAGAAACAATTTGACAGCTCTTAAAATGTTAAACTGCTAGGTATATCATCAGGAGAATTCAAATCAAATGTCCACACAAAAACTTGTACATGAATGTTTATAGCAGCAGTAATCATAATGGCCAAAAATGGAACTAACACATATGTCCATCAACTGAGAAACAAAATGTGGTATATCCATACAATAAAATATTATTTGAACATAAAAAAGAGAGTAGTTTTGACATATGTTACAACATGAATAATCATTGAAAGCATGCTAAGTGAAAGAAGCCAGACAGAAAATGTCATATATTCTAGGATTCTGTCTATATGAAATGTCCAGAATAGGCAAATAAATAGAGACAGAAAAGCAAATTTGTGTTAGCCAGGTGCTGGGGCAGTGAGGGGAGTGGGGAGTGACTGCTGATGGGTATAGGGTTTCAAATTGGTGTGATCTAAATGGTCTAGAATTAGATAGTGGTGATGGATGCACAGCTCTTGGAATATACCCCAAACCACTGAATCACACGCTTTATCTTTTTTTTTTTGACTTGTATTTTAAGTTCCGGGGTACATGTGCAGGATGTGCAGATTTGTTACATAGGTAAACGTGTGCCATGGTGGTTTGCTGCACAGATCAACCCATTACCTAGGTATTAAGCCCAGCATCCATTAGCTATTCTCCCTCCCACAACCCCTGACCAACAGGGCCCAGTGTGTGTTGTTCCCCCCATGTGTCCATGTGAATCACACACTTTAAAAGTGTGCACTTGATGGTATATAAATCGTCTCTCAGTAAAGCTGTTATTTAAAAAGAAGCCTCCAGTGGTTCCCAAGTCCAAGCTCCATGACAGCATGGGGGGTCCTGCTTTTCCACTCCACTGTCAGCTTCGCTCATGTGAATCTGACAGTCTAGCAATGTCAAGCACCCTGTAGGTCCCAGAGCCTACCACACTGATTCTTACCTCCATGCCTAAGAGCTCATGTGATGCCTTGCATTAGAATGTCCTTCCCCTTCTTGTCAAATTGCTATTTTATTTTCTTTAATAAAATTTTTTTTGATAAAATTTTTTGAGCATGCAGAAGAATACAAAGACTGGTACAATGAAGACCCACTACCTAGATCCAACAATTCCTTTTTCATATGTAACTCTCTAGTGTCATCTAATGCACAGTTCAGGCTTCACTTTGACCAGTTAGCCCCAAGAATCCTTTACAGCTTTTCTTTTTTTTCCAAACCAGGCTCTCACACGGAGAAACACACACTACATTTGATTGTTATATGTCTTAAGTCTTTTTCACAATCAAGACCATTTTTCCCATCACCTTCCCTGGTTTTTGAGAATAATATTTAAGTCTCTTATATTAAGTTTCATATTTAAGAGATTGGGCCAGTTGTGTTACAGAGTGTCCCAGAGTCTAAATTTGTATGATTGTTTCCTTTGGGTATTCTTTAACTTGTTTCTCTAGTCTCTGAACTTTCTGTAAAGTAGAAGTTAGATCTAAATGTTAATTAAATATAACTTTTTTTAGAAAGAGGCTGGGTGCCGTGGCTCACGCTTGTAATCCCAGCACTTTGGGAGGCCGAGGTGGGTGGATCACCTGAGGTCAGGAGTTCGAGACCAGCCTGGTCAACACGGTGAAGCCCCATCTCTACTAAAATAAAAACTAGCCGGGTGTGGCGGTGGGTGCCTGTAATCCCAGCTACTCGGGAGGCTGTGCCAGGAGAATTGCTTGAACCCAGGAGACAGAGTTTGCAGTGAGCTGAAATGGTACCACTGCACTCCTGCCTCGGTGGCAGAGTGAGACTCCTTCTCAAAAAAAAGAAAAAAAAAGAAAAAAAAATAAAGAATATGTCGTGGACTTCATATTATATCATATTAAGAGGCACCTACTGTTATTAGGGTTCATGCTGGCCAACTCATAAAGCTTTTCTTGTTATAGTATCCCTTTAGTTGCTAATTTGTTGTGTGTATGTTCGGGGATGGGGGGTGTATTTTGGCATAAAGTTAATTCAGAGCTATAACTCTGGGCTTCTTCCTTAAAAGATGGTATTGTCTCCCAGACTCATTGAGGACAAGCACTGTGTTAGCCATGGGATATAAACAGATGAATGAAGGACAGCCCCTGTGCTCAGGGATAGGACAGCACATACATGCACATACATACAGAGTCCTGAAGCACCGTTGTGTAGACAAGGATAATGCATTCAACAACGTTGAGCAGTGACTGATTGGAGCCTAACCCAATTTCCAACCCCCAACCTCCAAACTCACAGGAAACTGCAGCCTGGGAAGCTCCCCCGTCCCTGCCCTCTCCTACCTAGGTCCACTGTACTTAGGGCCTGACATGCAGGAAGGCTGAAAGCTCAGAGAGTTAAAAAAAATATTAAAAAGCAATGAAATAATGTCTGACTGTTCCTTGAACATCAGACATAGGACTTGGCTCCTGCTGTCTCAATGTTTACATTAAGAAAAATAGTTTCACACTGCACACCAGGCAGGCATGCATGCGTGCTGTTGTTAAGTCTAAGCAAAAACCCAATTTGCTTTCTACTCACTAGGCTGTATGGAACCAGATTAGAACGAGCCAAGATTTTCTTACTCCGTGGTCACCACGAAAGCCAGAAGCAACTGAATTCTATTCAGCACAGACCTGGGACTTGCTTCTGTGCCAGCATAGAAGCCCCATTTCACGGCATTCTTTCAACATTCAACCACCATGCAGGGTTTATATACCGATCACTCGGTAAAGTCAGTGTGATTGGTTTGATCCCTGAAGGCCTAATCACGATTGATTTTAGAAACGTAGCCATGTCTGGAATTGCTAAAAGAAAATATGCTAGAAAAGGGAAGCCAGCACTATTTGTACAATTATCATGACAAGTAAACAAGAGCATTCCTGCAATTCCTTGATCCTGCTGCACTCCATCTGGAAATGGTCAGCGATTCCCAGTGCAAATCCCTGTGACGTGCCTCCTCTCACTAGATGATTCCCTGGCATAGCCCTGGACGCTCTCTGAAGAAAGTGAGATTGATGCAAGGGGCTCTGATCCACGTAAATGACCTACATAGTGGCTTTGCTCCTGATGAAGTGGTGCTGATTGCTTTCTGCACGTATCTTTCATCATTACTAGGCCCCAGCTCCCCTTCTCCAGATAAAGATATTAAAAACAACACACTGAGCAGAGAAAGCTGAAGAGGCACAATTCAGCCAAGCATCACAGACACAAAAAAGGCAGCACAAAGTGATAAAATGAAAGCAACGCATTTGAAACCTGGCAATGTGGATGGCAAATCTTGATCATCGTTGCCTGCATCCCCTCCACCCATCAGAGACACACCAGCCACACTTCGTCTGAGAACCCATCTCTTGCTTAACATTCCTTCTGGGGAAGTATCTTTCAGATACTTTTTTTTATTGCCAGGTGGTGAAATAAATGGCTCCTTGGTAAATCAAGGCATATAGCAACTCTATAAAATCTTTATTATAATATTCATCTTTCTACTTCTGGTGAAAGACCAAAATAAAGCCCCAAGTTGTTTGACAAAATGGCATGCAGCTCTGAAAACCATAGTCTGAGTCGACAGGATATGTTATATATATTTTTATTTCTCAAGAACTTGAGTTTAAAAGTTATGTGGCTGGTCGTGCTTATCCCTCCTGGGAAAATAGCTCACGACGACCAGGAGGGAGAAGCCCCATGAATTACGACTTCCATTCTCTCTACGGTCATCAAAAATGAATTTCCCCTGGCAAATGGTTTATTTTGCAAATGAGTTTAAGTGATTCATAGGCTGCTGAAAAATAGCATCTTGAAATTTATTCTTAAACATGCTGCTTTATAAACTTAGTTCACACATATGGTGTTTCCCAGGCAAACATTCAAAGACACAGGGATCTAGAAGCCCGTGGCGAGGATGAAACCGGGAGGCCAGAACAGAGCAGCTCTCTGTAATCTACTGGGAAGTAAGACCACATGTGGCCTCCCTAGGACAGGCAGACTCAGGCAGGTTGTGCTGTTATGATATATACATATGTTTTCATCCGCAGTTCCTGGCTCATAACCCCCACAGCCCCGTTACAGATTTGTGTTATAATTTTGGGTGTGTGGGGCCTCAGGAAACAGAATCTCTCTGACCTCCTCCTACCCTCCTTTCACCTGCACAAAGGCAGGACTCTAATCTTCCCTGCCTTTCTGACTGTGGGTTGAGACCCTCCCCAGAGAGGATCCAGCCCTATACCTGGGGGGAAGGAATGCTGGGGTCATGAAGCTTCCATAAAAACCCAGGAGGACTGGGTTTGGAGCACTGCTGAATAGTTGAACACACGGAGTTTCCTGGAGGGTGGCATCCAGGGACAGCATGAAAGCTCTGTGCCTTTCCCCCATACCTCACCCTACACATCTCTTCATCTGTATCCTTTGCAATATTCTTTATAATAAATAGCAAATGCAAGTATTTCCCAAATTAGTCAAACACAAAGAGGGGGTCATGGGAACCCCAACTTGAAGCCAGTTGGTTAGAAGTTTTGGAGGTCCAGATTTCTGACTGGTGTCTGGCAGGGAGTGGTCTTGGGGACTGAGCCCTCAATCTGTGGGATCTGACGCTTTCTCTGGGTAGAAAGTGTCAGAATGGAATTGGAGGACATCCTGCTGGTGTCCGCTGCTTGATGTGTGGGAAATCCCCCCAGCATTTGGCCACACAAGTCTTCTGTATGGATGATTAGTGTTGTGGTGATGTGAGAGCAGAGAGAAAACCAATTTGAGAGTTTTTCCAAAACCCAGGTGCATATAAGGCAACTGATCTAGAACTCAAAGGGGATGAAATCAGAGGGAAGGGAAGGGAAGGGACCACTCCTCCCCTTTCCCCCCTCATCCTCTTTACCCTACGTCTCAAAACAAAAAGGATCATTTTCGTTGCTTTGTGTTTTGTATGAAAACCCCCAAATTATTTTGAAAGGTTCACAGAGCAAGAGTCACATGTCGTCTGAAGCACACCCAGAATGCTGGTATCTTGAGGGTGTGCAGATGGCAGGATTCAGAAACAGAAGGAAGCTCAGTAACTCCAGAAACAGGGTCAGACACCTGGAGACGGGAATGCAGTGACTAAAAAGCTAGCCTGAGGCTGCACTCCAGAGTCTGGGCAGGAAAGCTTCTAGAGAGAAAAGGGAGTGCCCTGCTGGACAGAAGTCAACTGTGAATCTGCCACAGTAGGAACACAGCGTCTCTCAGCTAGCAGGCTTCCTTGGTCTTCTGAGAGTCAGTGGTGCCATGTGGAAAAACAATTTGTCTGTACCCAGAAGACCTGTGTTCCAGTCCTAAGTAAGTCACTTAACCTTAGTTTGGATCTCATTTTCTTCCCCTGTAAAATCTGCCTCACAGGGCTCTGGTGAGTCCTCTACAGATAAATCATCTTTACTGCACCCAACTCACGAATACAAGAAAGTGGAAGAAAGTTCCGAGAAATCCCCAAGTTTTAGAACTTAAAGAAACTGAGCATTCCCCTAAGTGATGAGAGGCAAAGGTGGGGCTAACCCACACATCTCCTCATCACAGAGCAGTGCTCTTTCTATGGCAACAATGAATGGAAGCACAGTAGCAGAGTAGGGGCGACAGAAGCCCACCTCTTTTCCAAGTCGATTTCCCTCTTCCTTGTCACCCTGCTGCTGAAGGGGCCCAGAAGTGTGGATGGTAGCAGTGAACAGTTCTCTCTCCACGGCTGTGAATGCTGGAAGGAACAGCGAATACTGATGCATTATTTAGAGCAATAAAAACAAAATAACAATAGCCAACTTCTATTGGGCATTTGCTGTATTCTGTGCACTAAGTGTTCCAAATGCATCATTTATTTCAGATGCCTCCTAACAATCTTATGAGGTGGATACTAACATTATTCCAATTTTTACAGGTAAAGAAGCAGTGTTGGGGAGCTATTTGTTCCAAATGACACCGTAGGTCCCTGAGGAAGCCGTGATGCTGCCTCCAGAGGCTGAGCTTGTCCCCAGTGTCTCTTCAGTAGGAAAGTGCCTGTGCAGGAGAGGATGGGGCTGTAACCCCCAACCCCAAACCTTCATGAAGAAGAGAGCATGACAGGCTGTCAGCCTGCAAGATAGATTTGGGGGACAGTGGGAACTGTATTCACCATTTCTCTCCATTCCTCAGCCACACAATGTCCCAGCCCCAAACCTACAGAAAAGTAAGAAGAAATGGGACATCCAACTAGAATAGGAAAGGATTGAGATCTGGAAGGGGACAGAAGGATGTCATTGTCATCTTTAGGTATGAGAAGATAACTTCCCAAGCTCCCTAGGAAGCCCTCTCCTCTCTTCCCAGTAAGGAGAGTACAGCAAGAAATGCCCTCAAGTTGCAGTCCTAAGAAACTGATGGAGAAGAGAGCATTTTGTGATGCAGCTGTTGACCACTGGAAGCTGCTGGAAAGGGAGCTCCTGGCAGGAGAGGACAATTTTGCGTGCCAGTGTGTCTCTGTTCATTACAACATTGAAAAATTTTAAATCAAAAATGAGATTTCCAGAAATGTGCTTTCCTAAATTCTTCTCACACGGGTGTCCTATTAATATGGAAATGAGGAAAGATTTAATCATGTTTGACTGTTTGCTGGAAAGAAAGCAAACATGCTGATATGCTAAGTATCATCAGATTTGTTAAACAGGGTCAGGATTACAGGGCTGATAGGGGACTGATGGATTTCTTGCTGCTCATTATCCCTATTGAATGGTTGGAATACATTCAACACTGAGCGAGGCAGGTCAGGGTGGGGCCCCGAGTGCTCCTGCACCTGGTGCAGTGCTCCTGGGAAGCGTGGGCCTTGGCAGTGACCTGGAAGGCTGCCCTCTCACAGAGGGTCTGCACCTGCTCGACCACTGAGCCCGGCCCACTCACTGCAGGGTGGGTGCATGGCTCTGAGCAGATCAAAGTGCAGGATCAAATAAGGGTTCTTCTCTCTCTCATATATAATTGATTACTTTTAACAAAGCATCTCTGCATGCGTGGAATCAGTTAATCTTACTAAGATTCCAATAAGAAAGGAAAGATAGATATTTTTATCTGCCCAATTTATAGGTCAATAAATAAGGCCTAGAGAGGTGAAGGAATTTGTCCAGTGTTGCTCAGCTCAAGGGAACAGATAGAACCCAGGACCCAGCCCACTGCCTGCCCCATGCCAGTGAGTCCACTGCATGCCTGCTCCCATCTCCAGCCTCCAAGTCCCACGTCGGCTCCTGTCCCAATCAGACTCACTTGGAAACACATCTGGGGCTCATCTTGCTCCCAGCCACAGGGGAGGTAGCAGCCTCAGTGTTGTCAACTGAAGAATGATGAGGTTTATAAATTTGGAATGGAGAGCTTATTTTTCATAAAAGGTTGCAGCCTCCAGGGTTGCACAGCCTCCTGCCAGAAGCCAGAAACAGGCACTTTGACAGTGGAAAGACTAAGATGGGGATTTATGCTGAATGAGGTGGCCAACTACGGATATTCAATGAGCTATAGGAGGAGTCATGAATATTTATGAAAGGAGAAACATATGCATGGGAAATTGAGCTTCATGCCTCTCCATGGGACCCATGTTCTTGATCTCTTCAAGAAAGAAAGACATACTGTGTGGCCATCATCTAGCCCTGGGAAGACCACAGTGAACAAGAAAGAAAAGCTCTTATCTTCATAGAGTTTATAGTGAGGACTGTGCTCTTCAGACTTTAATGTGTGTGTGAATCACCCAGGGATTCTGGTAAAAGCAGATTCTGATTCAGTAGCTCTGGGCTGGAGCCTGAGGTGCTGCAGTCCTAACAGGTGATGGCAGTGCTGCTGGCCCCTGGACCACACTTTGAGTGGCAAGGCCATAAGGCTGGATGGAAGAAACTGTTAACAGAGGATGACAATAGGATATGATAGTCCTAAGGCTGGGAGTTTGTAGGATGATCTAAGGTGACACAACCGGAGAATCCACTGCAGAACGGAGAAATCGGATAAGGCTCCCTGGGGGGAAAGGAAGGCTATGTTGAAAGCTGGTCTCCACCAGCTTTCCTCATGCCAATGTCGTGAGTGGAAAAGACGGTCCACTCCAAGTCATGATATCTGTGTGCAAAGTCCTATGAGCAAAAATGAAAGCACAAAGCTTGCTAGCTTGTGAGAGTTTCCTCTGACTTAAGAAGATACCAAGGGAGAGCAGAGAGGGGTTCCCAGGACCCAGAGGTATGGTCAAGGAGCTGCATTTGTAGCTCAGGGCAATGGGGAGGTATTGAAAGGTCTGAAGCAGGACACTGACTGGTAAGGTTTGCTCTTTTCAAAGCTCACTCAGGCTGCCTCGAGGAGAATAGATTGGAGGGGGGCTCGAATTAGAGGGAGAATCAGGAGGCTGTGTTCTAGTAATATAGGTGAAGGGTGTGGGTGGCTTGAACTGGGGCTGTGGCCATAGGGTGGGTTAGAAATGGGCAGATTAAAGGTATGTGATGTGGGAGGTGCCCTCAGCTTGATCACTGATTGGACAAGTGTGTGTCTTCTGTGCTGGGTGCGGTGGTGGAGGATGTGCTGCCCACTATGCCCTTGACCTTCTTCTGTAGTTCCTAAAACCAGGTGTTTATTTTTTCCCCTTTTCTTCAATATGACTAAGCTTTTGTTTATCCAGCAATAGTATTCATCATATTTTCTGAAACATGTGGAGGTTTTTTCCTACCTGTCTCCTTACCTCTTCTCCCTACCTGTTCTCTTAGGCACTGAAGCCCCAGCCCCCTGCCACTGCCCATAACTTGCTTCTAGACTCTCTTAATGTTTTCCACTTGTCCATCCCAACTTCTTTCCATCCTGAACTGCTAGGTCTCAGCCATTACAGGGAAAGTACATCCTACCGTTGATTGGTTGGGTCAGAACATGGGAATGTGTCCAATCAGAGCTCTGCTAGAATTCAATGCATTCAATTCCTAAGCAATGAGGTCTATTTTTTGAACTTTTATTCTATATTTTTTTTGTAGAGATGGGGTCTTGCTATGTGGCCCAGGCTGGTCTCAAACTTCTTCCCTCAAGTGATTTTCCTATCTCAGTGTCCCAAAGTGCTGATTTCAGGCAGAAGCCACCAGGCCCAGCCTAGGAGGTATATTTTAAGCCAAGTGAACCTCTTAATAAGATATTAGTTTTATTTACAGTCAGTTATGAAGAAGAGCATACTTGTTCCACTGAGGGTAAACATCTCTCTGTACTATTCTTTGAGTCCCACTTTTATCCGCTAATGAATTTATTAAAAGGTAGGAAAATTGTGTCTGCCTATGAGCATCACACTGTTAATCAGATTTTTTTATGTAAATGAATGTCCTGAGATCATTACTGAAATTGAGAAGAACCAGCTGAGACCAAGAACAGTCATTCAGCTTTCCAAAGTATGGAATGTAGGTGCAAGGACTGAAGAATCACATAAAAACATGATCAGAAATCTCAAGAGCACAAAAAAAAGTCCATTGTAGGGACATCCACCATTACAAGCCTGCATTTCCCGCATATGTGTTAGCATTTGGAGACATGGAAGATAACCCCAGAAATCCAGACGTAAGATTTCAGAAACCTGTGGAAGACCTGCAGATTTGCATCCCAACTGGAGGCCCACGGCAATGACTTCGACCTTCAGTTTAAGAAACACTTCTTGTCAAGAGCACATCCTTAGCAAAGAAGTCTGTTTATTACCTACTTAAAAATGGTCTCCCACTATTGGGTGCTGATGAAAGATAATCTGTTTTTATATCTTACCCAAACTTCAGCCTTCTCCTTCTATTCAAGCGTGGGAATAATGAGCCACTCGTGACATTGCATATATTAAAAAATAGGCTTTCCTCACATGCAAACCAGAAGATAAAAGGATTTGGATTTAAAAACACTCCTCTGATTTTTTTGTTTGCAAGTAGCATTTCTTCTTGGAACCACAACACTTTGAGCTCATCAGCTGGAGGAGAAATTACTATTGTGGATGAAAGGGGAAAAAACCGGCAGCCATAGCACTAGAGTTTTCACAACACAATCCCTGCATCAAAGAAAGCAGGCTTTCTTTTTCTTGAAGGTCATATATAGAGAGCTGTAAGAAAGGACCTTGAAACAGATATAGTTTGTTGTAACTTCATCTCTCTTCATCCCCAGCGTATCTTGTAAAGGGTTCTGGGGCCTTCCTAGAGAGCATGGCATATACTAACTATTCTTAGACTCTAATGCTCACCTTCTCTTCTTACCTGGGGTTTGGTCTTGTGGCTCTGAGTGTCACCCTTATTTGATTATTTATTTATTTATAATAAATAAATAAATGCCTAAATAAATGACAGAGTCTCACTCTGTCATTAGGTTGGAGTGCAGTGGCGTGATCATGGCTCACTGCAGCCTCAAACTTCTGGCTCAATTGATCCCCCCACCTTAGCCTTCTAAGTAGCTGGGACTACAGGCACGCACTACTATGCCGGGCTAGTTTTTAAATTTTTTATAGAGACAGGGGCTTGCTATGTTGCCCAGGCTAGTCTTGAACTCTTGGTTTCAAGTGATCCTCCTGCCTTGGCCTCCCAAAGCACTGGGATTACAGGCTTGAGCCACTGTGCCTGGCCACCCTCATTTTGAATTGCAATTCAAAACTCACCTCTTTGAAGTAGCTTTTTTAAAAAAAGAAATTCTGACAAACTTTTGTACTGTCCAAGTAGACACTGTAAGCTCTGCCTTTCATTCTCTCCTTCTCCTTAACACACCCACCATCATGTGCATTGATGATGCATGTGGAAAGGGATTCTTACCAGGAGTTACCCTTAGCAATTTTTACATCATGACAACTTTATGAAAAAAAGCTTAGTTCGCATGGGACTGTTCTAGGAATAAAAGCCATGGGTAGAATTTAATAGTAACAATTATTATTTAACATGCAGTTGATATATACATATGAAATTCAAGCTCATTCTCTTTTACTTAAAAGTAATAATGATAGACTTCAACTAAGCTAATAAGCTAAATAAATAACAATAGATTGACCCTAATTAATAAATTTGTTAAAAGCCTTTCCCTGTTAATGGGTCCTTAAGCAAAGATGAGTTTTAAGATACACATTTTTAGAATAGAGATAATGATATAAGTTTTAGAATATAAATTTCAGGTATGTTGATAATATGTGTAGAAATATAAAAGATCCAACTCAACAAATGTATATCACTCACTGTGTACTCATTCCTGATGGGTACAAAGATGCTCTTAAGGCTCGTGTCACCTGGAGAAGATGACTTGAAGATATGTCTACATTAAGAGTGAAGAGGAGATAGAAAAGCTGAAAATACAAAGCAGATGAAGTAAACTATTGGAGAAGGCAGTGGAGAACAAAGTTTGGGAAGGGAGGTTGACCTTGAACTGAAAAGAAGACAGCCTTTTGTCTGAAAATGAAAGAAAGGAATGAAGTTTGGGTCGCAATAACAATAGATGTGTAGTTGAAATTCTTCATGCCCTATTGCTTTCATTTTCCTGATAATATAGGAGTCATGCAGTTTGCTAAGGGTGAGAACACTGAAGGGGGTGAGGGATGCTTGAGGAAAGTGGAAAAATATTAAAATGGTAGCTGACAAAACAGAAGGAAATTGTTTCTGTGCACTCAAGGTCCAGCCAAGGCAGGAGATCAAGAACCTTTAGTGATGCCAACCAGCAGGTTGATAAACCTTCTCCAGTAGGGCTAGCAGCCTGGTAGTAGATAATTTATGGAATGGATGCCTTATTATAGGTTTGTTGGACAGATGCAAAAGAAGACGTCCTCCAGAAAGGATTGGGACAGAGATGAAGCAAGGAGTTATGCATGCTCATAAGCCATGCTCAGCTCCACGTTGTGTTAGAAGGAAAGAGAGGCCTCATGGAGACCAACAGGAGAGCAGCAGCACTAGCAACCTGTCTCCAGAAGAGCAGGTGTTGTGGTGAGGAGGCCGTGAGAATGGGAAATTAGAGGTGAAGAGTTCTAAATTAGAGCAGTTCTTGGCAATGGTAGGTTCCTCGGTGGAAGTCTGGGCATATGTGACAAGAGTAACATAGAGGTAGAAGTCTCTAGATTTGAGGCGCTCAAGGAACTGTGAGGTGAAGATGTCTGATGGACCATTTATGAGGATACAGAAATCCTTGGTGATGCTAGCAGAACAAGGTACAGGAAAAGTCTGTGGGGGAGCGCCTAACAAACAGGAGAAGGAGTAACCTGGAGACTGGGAGACAGAAGTAACAAGGAAAGGTAGCGGGTGATTGTAGCAACTGACTGGTAGGACAGAATCTGTCTGGCAAATCCTCCATCTTAGGAGGTGGAGACTTCCTTTCATTATGAAATTGGGATCGTATTCTCAGACTCCCTGGCAGGTGCATACAGATATGTGAATAGGCTCTGCCAATCAGACATGCCTCCCTTAACTTGCAGCAGGAAGCTCAACTTTGTACCCATTGTGCAGGAGCCACTCTGGAAAGGGACCGCTGCCAAATCTGCATGCACAATTACCACCTGCAGAGGCACTGGCATAGACAGCAGCCTCCAGGAGTGTCTGGTGCCAAGTGGGCTGTGGGTTTTCAGCAGACAACATCTGCAGATTGGTTTGGGGCATTGTTCCTGGTTTCATAGCCTGGGAACCTGGTTCTTCAGTCATGCCTCTCACCCCATCCCATTGCACCATCCCCATGATTCTGTGGCTCTCCAGCATTTTTTGAATACATTCATTTTCAGGCTACATCAGCCAGCCAGTTTCTGTTGTTTACATCCAAGGGAATTTTGACTGACACTGTGATAGAGCCAGATTGATAGTCTCTCAAAGGAGGAAGGGTTTTCACACAAGGGTGCAAGAGGAATGACTTGGAAGAGGATTTGGGAGGTGAGGGATGCTGACCATACCTGATCTCATCCTTGTAGATCGTCTCTGTTCTCTCATCCCAGTACTTCTCTGTGCTTCCTGGAGGACATCACTTTCCCTATTGTCCTCTGAGGCAGAGAAGTTCATGCTGCCACCCTAGAGTTTCCTTCAGAAGGGTAGGACTTACTTTCAGGTGCTGAGCAGGTCTGGGTGGTGGTGCCTGGGGTCCATAGGTTGGTCAGTCCCACATCAAGTCTGGCATTGTATCCAGAGGGTGTCCTCTATGGTCATGGCAGCAGTTCCTCTCCAGGTGCTGTGCTGTGGAGGGTGTGGTTGGTCTCCTCTACCAATACAGCTGGGCACCTGGAGAGAAATCCCAAATTTTAGTTGAATCAACCCGGTTCAGGAATCCTTACATACAAGAACTGAAGGGATCCCTGAACTTGGGACTTAAAATAGATAATAAAGGCCTTAAAATAGATAATAAAGAACTTGCACTTGAACTTGAACTCCCAGTGAAGAGTGAAGAAATGGGTCTTACTGAATCATGCATTACTTAATCAGAATTGTAAGTAAAGATAGAAATAATGTGTAAATATAGCATTTTAAGTACCAATGTGGTTCTGGTATGAACAGTCTTAGCCATGGGTGATCAGAGAATATCCTAGTGTGGGTTCCATTGAAATCCTTTTTCTAGTAAGTCATGTATAGTGAGTTCTTTTCTGCATTCTATTAGGTCCAGGCCAATTAAAATCAAGCACTATTTATTATATGCCCATTATCTGGTAGGCACTTTGCTAAGTACTGGGATACCACAGTGAAGGCAGCCCAGTTTTCTTGAAGGGAGCTTACAGTCTATCTAGGGAGAAAGGCAATTACATTACGCAGAGACATGCAGGCTGGTGGAACTGTGAGCATGCACAGGTCGCGTGGGTGCAGGTCAGCCTGGCCCTTTCTCTGTATCATCATGATACATTATGAAAAGAATGATCAGCTGACTTTTCTGAAATGATTCAAAATCTACATGTTAATACTATTTCTATTGTCCTCTCAATTTCTTCCTCTGTTTGCTATTTCACAAGTGTATGCTGGAACCCAGAGCAACTGAAACTGCGGTTCAATTCTCTCCCAATGCAAAATACTCTGTGGATGTTCTCTGCAAATGCCTCCTTCAAAATGCATCCTGGGAATACCTCTGTGACTCAGTAGGGAGGGTTTTATAGTCTTTGCCGGATGTAAGTTTGAGAAGAACCTCTCCAGTTATGGCTGCTCTGAGCTATTTCCCCATCCTGGGGGACAATTTCTCATTTCCCACCAGCTACCCACCGGCTTCCTTTACATAAGGCAAAATGCTGCCTTGCCAGATGTTTGCTGTTTCTCTGGTTTATCTCTATGATATATGGGTTCCAAAAGTATTTGAAAACTGAAGTTTCAAAATTTTTATGTGTTTTCCCTTGACAATGTTCCCCTCTGCCCGCTCGTTAAATAAAAGCATTGTCTCCAATTTAATCTTTCCTTCTCTGCACTCTCCCTCTGCTCCCTGTTCCTTGGTAATCTCCTGCACAGAGGCTCATAGGCTGTTGGAATTTGGAAGGGATATTGAGATCACTTACTGTAATGGTTCCCAACTTCCTTTTGCTATTCTCAATGAGATCCTTTCTGCAAAGCAGGTCCTGTAGAGTCCAATATATAAACCAAAGACAATGCTTCTGTGTTTGAAATGGGGGTCAGGGCCCACGCCCTGTCTGTTGCCCCTTCCCACACCCACACAGAGTCCCTAAGACACCCGTGACACCCTAAACGGGGCTTCTCAAAGTAGGCTGGTGTCAGGCTCTCCCTCCCACATGCTTGTTAGCAGACATAGCTTCTGCATCCCATGCCCCTGCCTGCAACCCACCGAATGAAACTCTCAGGTGGGAGCCTGGGAATCCTCATTTTACCAAGATCCTCCACTGAGTCTCATATTCATAAAATTTCAGAATCACTGCCCATTACTCCAAGAGCATAATTTAAAAACTGCTCTTCTGGGACAACCCCGTTATTTTACAGAGACACTCTTTGAATTCCAGAAGGCTGGAGCCAGACCTCCCCAACAGAGTACAGCTTTCTTTTCACCTCCACGTAAAAAGGTGCTCAGTCTATGTTAGACTCCCAGTGACCAGTCCTAGCTGCCTACAGGAGCTATCATCGACATTTCAAGCTGCAGAGTCAGACTGACTCTGCATTCTGTTCCTGCTACGCCCGCCATCCCAGGATCACAGTGGCTTCTGGAGGTCCCAAGCCTGGCCTTCGGATCTCAGGTCCTGTTTCCAGCCAATGACTCTAGGTGACCCCCAGCTCCTCTGTGGTTTCTCTATGAAAGTCCATCTCTTGTCATGGTCACCATGTTGAACTGGACTCATCTTTACAGAGCCTGCTATACACTACATCCCTGAAGAAAGACCCACTGTGCTCACAGCTGCACTGATACCTCCACTCTCTGTCCCTCTTAACAGACTCAATGCTGTACACATTGGTGGTTTCCAGGCTTGGGAGAACATTAGCACCACTGGGGAGGGTGTGCTTTTGAAAATACCCACCTAGTCCCACCCAGAGATTCTCCTTTAACTGGCCTGGGATGGGCATTTGGCATTGGCATTTTTAGAAAGCTTTTGCCACTGCCCTCTTCCTCCCTCTTCGGGGACTCTGACGTAAAACAAAGGTTGAGAACTATTGCTGTAATTTGAGTAGAGTTAATTAGAGGCACGTCTGTCTCCCTGGCAAGACTGTAAGACTTGCCAGGATATGAACAATGCCCTGTTCACCTTCATATTGCATTTCTTCCTTCCTTCCTTTTTGTAATTACTGAAGGTTTACTGAGCCCCTACAGTATGCTAAGACACTATGCTGGGCTCACTCTCTTGCACAGAGATAGAAAATTTATACAGATATAATACATTATTATTGTCATCATTTGTCCCTCTTGGACTGTAATCTCCTGAAAGATCTATGCCTCGCTTTAACATATAACCTATATTCTGAAGGAGGGGCAGTGTGCAGTGCAAAGTATACCTACTTTGGTGTCTGGCTGGCCGACCTGTGTTCATATTCAAGATCTGACATTTCTTAGCTACATGGTTGAGCAGGTAACTTAATCTCTCTCTGAACCTCAATTTCCTTGGCCATTAAAAATATTATCTATCTGTGGGATTGCTGTGAGAATTGCAGATGGATAAGGAGCCGGCAAGGGGCTGCCAGTTACTGCCCAATCAATGCGGAGCTTTCTCTTTCCACTTGCAGAGAGCAGTCAGACTTGCTGGGCACATCCCAGGCTGCCTAGATCTTACCGGAGAAAACAGGAGGGAGTGGCTTCTCTCCACATGTGGGACAAAGCCAAGCAGAAAGGATACCTGGTAATTTACCAGTGATTTTTTAAAAAGTTAAATGACAAAATGTTTGCATGTTTAAACATGCTGCAGTTTTAAGGCTTCCAGAAAAGTTTAGGTGGTGATGTTGTTCAAAACAATGGGAAGGATGGCAACAATCTTTGAAGAAAACAGCATTTGAAATAAAAGAGTTGCCTTAATTTGCAAAAATCCATATAGGCTGGGAAGGGGGAGAGTAGTCCTGGCTCAGCTAGTAACCAGCTGTGTAGCTTTGGAATGCTCTGAACTGCATTTTACTCATTGGTTAAATCTTTAAAAATACAAAGCCAAATAAAAATGTTAGCCATTTTAAATCCACTTTCGGAGAGTGTAAAGCAAATGAGACTTAAAAAACAAACAAACACAGGTCTAAATACTGATATTTGACCACATGACACCAACATTTCTTTCCTGATACTTGTTCCATGATTCTCCCTCTAGGTGTGAGTAGGAGCAAATGTATATTCTGGATTGGGTGTCATGAATCCCTGAATCTAGGTTAGAGAGTTTTGCAAAAGCCTAATCTTTCTTATACCTAAAATGAACTCAAGAATTGCTTCTAGACTTCCAAGATGAAGACCTTTATGTTTTAAATGGTTTCTAGCATACTGATATCATTTGACTTCCACAGAAAATGTCATTTTTTATCATTGTTATTCTTATTTTGTTCAGTTAGATGCTTATGGAAGTGGTTAATTGTTTAAGAACTATGCTAAGAGTAGCTTGGGTGCCATTTTACACCTTTATTTCCATTTATGTTTCCTTTCTTTACCAGTGCATTTAAACTGCAGAGTAATATAGTCCTTCCTTTTGTAAGAGAAGTAAAAATACTTTGCACACCTGCACAATTTTATAACAGAAAAGCTTGAAACTCCATTTTTTAAAGTACCCATATTGTATTTTATCCCAAACCATTAAAATTGTTTATTCCTTACCTTCCCTAAGCTAAAATGCAAAGCCATCATTCTGATTCACAAACCCCTGTCAGTTTGGCTGTATAAAAGCAACAACAGGGTGTGTTATACAGGCAAGACAATCTCTGCAAATTACTTGAGGCTTCACATCTAAGACCTAAACTCCCTGGAGACTGGTGGCTCTTCCTTGAGATGGCCCTGCCACTTACTGCTTCCTGATGTGGCTGAAATCGAGAGAGTAACATGATTATCATTATTTTCCAGTCAGAAATTTAAAACCAGACAGTGACAAATCAATTCTCAAGGCATACATTTCCATTTGTGAAAGTGAAAAAAATAATCCCGAGAATCCCCTGTTGCTAGCCTTGAAAGTGAAAATACAACAAATCTCTCAGTGTCAGGGATTTTAAAAATCTCTCTCAGACTATTTTTCAAATGAAAACTGGTGGCAAACTGGATGACATTTCCACTGGGTATGGTGAGACCTCCGAACAAGAGGAGGGCGGTGCTGAGACCAGGGTTTACCAAGAGTCCTGAATAGCTGTATTAGAATAGCCATGGATCAATGTGAAACTTAATACTTTAATGACTGAGCTTCTCTTGAGCTCTTGTTTTTAATTCTCTGGTCTCAAGAGAATCATTTTCTTCTCTCAATCTAATCTTACTGGGAGGAGGAGATAGCCAGGGTATAACTGTGACTCAGGAAAAGCTGAGAAAGAGTTTCCAGTGGGTGAGGACAATGTCCCACTCCCGGCGCAGGCAGCAGAGGGTTAAGCAGGTGGCCAAGCCCTCAAATTCAGAAATGTAGACTTCTCCCCACCTGTATAACTTGGGCTGAGTTACTTAACTGCTGGAAATCTCTATTTCCTCCTCTATTTCCTGCCCCCGAATGGTTAGCATCACATAAAGCATTTAGTGCAGTGCTTGGTACATAGTGAGCACTTACTAATTATTGGGAATTTTAATGATTTTATCTTCTCAGTGTTTAACAGCTTGCATCATGACTATCAGGGGGCTTGGTACATTTTGGGTGAATAAATGACATATGATGGCACTCTGAATTGGTCACTGCTGGAACTGGCTAGTGAACTCATCATCATTGTCATAAGTTTTTGATATATGGAGGTAACCTGTGTGCACAAGCATCTTCTCTGCAGTACCACAGCATTCATCCAGGATGTGTCTATGAGAAGTATGGCGGCTCTGACCTTGAAAGATCCAGGACCCCCAAAAAGAAATGAAATTGGCCCAATAAAATTTATCAGTAATCAGAAACCCTAGAAATGAAATGACCACTATTTTCTCTTCCAAATGTGTTGCGAAATGTGTGCTATCATATGCTCCGAACAGCGCAAAGCTCTTCCAGTTGAGTCAGATCAGTCAATGTGTATCTGCATAGCCACAGAGAAATCAGCAGCAGACGATGTGCTTCTTTGGCCATTCTCCTCTTAACCTTCTGGCGAGAGGTCAATTTGGGGAAATTGAGGCAGTTTAACATCTTTCAAAGGAAAATTTGAGCTGAAAAGGAAATAGAATTCCATATGTGCCCAGGAACTGTAGCATTGCATAGAAACATGCCACACATGTGATATTCCCAATATGAAATCCTGAAATCATACCAGAACCTATCTAGGATATGAACAACAGAAAATTATTAAAAATCTGCTATATGTCAAGCATGGAGGTACAAAGACAAAACACAGTCTCTACCTGAAAGGGTGCAGAATCAAGAGGAGGACAGACTTGTAAACAGACAAGTACAATAAAATCTACTATGCGGGAGGAGGAAGAGTGGGGGATAGAGGAGCCAATTCTTCGGAAAAGGATTAGAATGGGGTCAGTAAGCCTTGAACTGACTCTTGAAAGGTGACGGTTTTCTAGGCAGTCAGGGGGAGAAGGGATTATCCAGACAAAGAGGAAAGTATAAACAAAGGTGCAGAGGAAAGAAAGCCTGACCTCTGTAGGCATCAAGAGCTGGTTTGGCTAAAGCTTGGCTGAAGTGTATGGTGGGCAGGCAGTGGTGGCTTTAGCTCCCATCCCTGCTCCCTCATCTCCATTTGTCCTCTTCTACCAGGCAGGATTCTTGTTACTGCCACCAGAATCCAACTTGGGCTGTTCTAGGCACAGGAGAAGGAGGGGTTTCTGGCAACACAGGGTGAATTGAATAAAGTGCTTACCTGTGACCCCTACTGAAACTCCACTAGATGTGCAGTAAGACAGTAAGGAACCTTTCTAATGGCAGAAACACACAAGACAATAAAAATGGGAAAAGAGATAAGATCAAAAATCATTAAGAAGCTGGAAAGAAAGGTTTACTGGTATCTAACTCAGAAGACAGACCTAAGGAAACAGAAATCTTTCTATAGACAGATAAAGGGAAGAAAAGCTATTATACAATTTTGTCTGCACCCTAGAAGTCCCAAAGGGCATAGGAATTGGTGGCACAAAGTAACTCTGGAAGTGGGGTAAAGGTGGGGCTGAAACAGAAAGATGGGCTTAAATCTGTTGAGTAGGAATTGGACCTCAAAATCCCTCCTCGACTCTGAAGAGCCAGGTAGCTGCCCCTCACCATCTCCAATCAGAAAATGGCATTTGTTCTTTGAAGAAGGTAAAACTGGAATCTCTGCACTGGAGGACAATGGGCACAGATGAGGGTGCAAAGACGGGAATGAGGAAATGAATAATGGTTTATGAATAGAATAACCTCAGCCTCAGTCCTCTTCCTATAGTTAGCACCCAGAATGCTGGTGCTCAGGCATGCAGATGGAAATTTTTTATTTTTATTTTTATTTATTTATTTTTTAATCAGCCCAAGAGAAAAGACCTATAGATGCCAACATGGTAATACAATGGCCAGGTGAAACTCCTCACAGTGAAACCCGCTCCTATCCAGCCCCACCCATATGGGGCTTCCATATCAGCTTTCAGTGCCCTGCTCTTACACATAAGATAATGGTCTCTGTCACATGCCAGACACTTGAGGAAAGCTCTGACATGATGCCAGAGACTGTTACAGCATGAATTGTGTGCCCACAAAATTCATATATTGAAGTCCTAACCCCCAGTACCTGAGAATATGACATTATTTGGAAGTAGGGGGGGTCACAGATATAATTAGTTAAGGTAAGTTTATACTAGAGGAAGGTGGGCCCTAATCCAATACATATGTCCTTATAAAAAAGAATGCCATATGGGCCAGGTGTGGTGGGTCACACCTGTAATCCCAGCACTTTGGGAAGCAGAGTAGGCAGATCACTTGAGCTCAGGAGTTTGAGACAAGCCTAGCCAACATGGTGAACCCGGTGTCTACTAAAAATACAAAAAATAGCCAGGCTTGGGGGTGCATGCCTGTAATCCCAGCTACCAGGGTGGCTGAGGCAGGAGAATTGCTGCCTCTGACCAGGAGTCAGAGGTTGCAGTGAGCCGAGATCATTCCACTGCATTCCAGCCTGGGCGGCAGAGTGAGACTCTGTCTCAAAAAATAAAAGAATGCCATATGAAGGGGACACACATAGAGGGAAGAAAATGCACACAGAGGCAGAGATGAGCCTCTATGAGTCAAAGAGAGAGAGGCCCGAAACAGATCTTTTCCTCATAGCCCTCAGAAGGAACCAACCCTGCTGACATCTTGATTTCAGACGTCTAGCTTCCAAAACCGTGAGACAATAAATTTCTGTGTTTTAAGCCACCCAGTTTGGGGTACTTTGTTATGGTAGCCCCAGCAGACTAATACAGAGACCAAGATCGATAACCAGGATAGAGAAACATGGGGAAAAACAAAATAAGTTCTTTACTAGAATACCTACCAACCGACAAACCCACTATTACTAATATCCTCAGAGAACTGAGAAGATATTCCATCCATAAAACTAGAACAGTGTACTTTTTAAAAAAAGCATTCAGAGAAGTAAAATAAACCATTGGAAATTAAAAATTAAATTAAAATATTTGTAAAAGCTTAATGGGAAGAATAAAAAGAAGAGTGAAGTTGATTTTCTAGAACACAGATAAAAAAATCAAAATGATTGAAAAATGCAGGAAATTATAAAATAGTTAAGAGTAAATCTAGGAAGTATGATACACAAATAACAAGAGTTCCAGAAAGAGAGAACAGAGAAAAGGTAGTGAAGAGTATCATCAATGCAAAAATTCAAAGACATTTCCCAAAATGACAGCTCCTGTATTTCTAGATTGAAAGGGCCCACCCATCGGACAACATGATAGATGAACCCACAACAAAGAGTAGCATCATAAAAACTTAGAACACTGAAGTCCAAGTGAATATTTTAAAAGATTCAAGAGGAAAAAATGGATTATGTACAAAATATGAAGAATTAGAATGGTACCAGGCTTCTTAAGAGTAACTTGGGAGATAGATGACAATGAATCAATGTTTTCAAAATTCCATGCTAACTGGGCAGGGTGGCTCATGCCTGTAATCCCAGCACTTTGGGAGGCTGAGGCAGGCAGATCCCTTAAGCCCAGGAGTTTGAGACCAGCCTGGCAAACATGGTGAAACCCCATCTCTACCAAGAAAAGAAAAATACAAAAGTTAGCCAGTATGATGGTGCTCCCCTGTAGTCCCAGCTACTCAGGAGGCTGAGGTGGGAGGTTCACTTGAGCCAGGAGGCAAAGGCTGCAGTGAGCTGTGATTGTGCCATTGCACTTCAGCCTGAGCAAGAGAGTGGGACCCTGTCATACACACAAAAAATATTTTGCAAAAGGCTTCCTAACCTTGAATTCTATTCTCAATCAAGCTGTCAATCGAGTGTGAGACAAAATGCATCAGAAATTTTACCTCTCAAATGCTTCTCAAAAGTTTCTGAAGGATTTGTTTAATCAGAATAAACAAAGAAAGAGGGAAAAGGAAAAGCTATTCAAGAAATGAGGGATCCAACACCAGAGGAAGAGAAAAAGAAAGAATATTAACCTATGGGAGAATGGTGAGGAAGGATCCCAGGATAAAACCTGTGCATCAGGCCTAGAAAACAATTAGAGCAAAGAAGTAGGGAAGAGAATAGAGGGCTTCCAAAGGTATATCTCCAAGACAGATGGATAGGTAGGCAGAATGGATATGTTTCTTAATGTGTTCTAATGTGTCAAGAAGAGATTTACAGATCTATCATCAGGTTTGGCAATAGTGATAGATACATAGAGCACCATGCAAAAAAATCAAGAAGGCAATTATTAACTCCAGATGAGAGGAGTTATAAAAGAAAGGAATTGTAACTGTGACATAGTAAATACAAAGCTGTAAGTAACTTTTCATGCTCCTAAAAATATAAACATTGAGAATTTCATCAAAAACTAAATGAATCACATTGTGAGGAATGGGGTGAAAGATATGAGTGTATGGGAAGGTGGTGGAGAAGGAGGAGAGCTGCTTTTAAAATAATGAGTATTTTAGAACTATTTAACTCTTCAAATGGTGGACATCAATGTAAATAAAAACTTGGGCACGTATTGAAGATAGCTGAGTTTACAGGTGCAATTTTTTCCTTGCAACCTCATTTACTTCCCCAAAACTTAGTGGTGAAAGGTAGGTAGTATTGTTCATTTCCCCAGAACTCATCGGTGGTAAGTATTATTATCTCCATTGAATAAGCAAAAAATTGAGGCAGGGATCACAGGAAACTGGAAACTCCATCTGCAAGATGGGAAGTGAAGATGAGCTTGCTTTAGGGCAGGAGCCAGGCTGATGCCCGCATCAGCATCAGGCTCAGTGGCTTTCTGCCTCTGTCCAAGGCGAAGTGCACATAAGGTCTGCTTGTGTTTGGCTCTGGAGCAACCATGAGTGGAATTCATCCACTTTCCTTCTTAGGAAACAGAGGGTCTTTGCATGTCAGGGGTGATTCAGAGGAGCACCTTTATTCTCAACATCTACTTTCATTGGAAGAACGTTTTACTTTTGCTATTCTTTACTATCATCCACTCACTAATTCATTCAAAGATATTTGTTGAGTGTCCACTGCATGCCAGGCTGTATGCCAGGTGCTAAGGATACAAAAATGAACTGCTTCCAGGAGCTCACAGTCCATGGGAGGTGACAGGCCCAGGAGCAGAGCATGGTGACACAATGATGCTGGTGCGCCACAGGAAAAAAAAAGGCTCTATGGGATATAAGGGGAACTGGTCCCAGCCTGAAGAGGTCAGACAAGTCCCCTGCAGCAGGAGAACTTGTGAGGACTAAAGATGTTCTGCAGGACAGGAAGGGGTCTTTCAAAAGTATCATGCCATAGGTAGGAAACACTACAAGAGGCTGTACCCAAGATATTCTTCTAGCTTTACCCAACACATCCTTCTTACAGCATAAGAGATTGGGAGGATGAAGGAAAGAGTCTCTAGCTTTCATCCTTCCTCAGTGCCTTTCCCCTTAAAATAGTGGTTTGGGAGTTTCCAGTGATCCACACACGTTACTTACTGTGAGACATCACAGTATGTAAACCTGTGACTGGAACTCAGTCTATAAACCTAAGACTGGAACTCAGACCTTTCAGTCCAACCCACTTGGAAATAAGCTAGGAAATGGCCAAGGGGGAAAAGGTCCCAGCATCAAGGGTAGCAGGACTGAATCTCTTTTGATCTCAGATCTCTGCAGAAAGGGAAGAGTTAAAAAAGGTTATTACATTAGTGTGGGAAAGGAAATGTGTTTTGTTTGAACATAATTCGGGGCGCAGGTGTTTTCATTTACTTTCCTACTTCAAACAGTGAATAGAACCCTTTTCTAATTATAATTAGAAAAGTGTACCTTAGTGTACCTCCTGGCATGTTTTGAGGACCAGCTCCTTGGAATTCCCAGTGGATATGAGATAGGGATAATTGAGCTGCCCAGCAGGTTTGGGTAAACTTCCCTGAAGAACTTGCACGCTTTGCTCATTCTTACTGTTGAGCTCCTGTTGACTGGGCTGTGGAACTCAGCTAACGGGTCTCCTTTGACCTGCACTTGTTTCATCAGGTTATTAGTGGGGTGGAAAGTTCATTCATGTAGACTTCCAGGTGTGAGATGAGCTAGAGAGTGGACGGTGGGGGAATGGGGAGATGAGATTTGAGGAGACAGGGAGCTTTCAGGTAGCTTAAGGTCATTTTCCACTGATGAAGAAGCAGAAAGTTTCCTAGAGCTTAAAGGCATTTGCCTTTAGGGTGACACGGGTACCCCAGAGTCAGAGAAGTAACTGACTTGAGCAGAGAGGAGAGTGGCTTGTTGTGGGCTATACCAAAACCCCAACTCTTTCGTGGGGCTGGTTGTGAGAGCAATAAAGCAGATGTGTTAGATGAAGGCACATCACAGTCCCATGGTTCCAGGAACTGGTTTAATGTAATTACACTGTTACAGCCAACTGCAGGCAAGAAAAGCCAGAATTTACAACCTGTGTTCTCACACACACACACAATCAACACCTCCCATTAACCGTCTACCATAAATTTCCTGCGGATTCACCTCTAATCATCTGGAAGTGCAGTCAGGCTGACCTCTATTCTTTCATAAAAAGATGGCTGCCAGGAAACTCACTGGATGGCATCAGCAGAGAAGCCTTGAGCTGAGTGGTCACTCATGATTTCTTTCTGCAATAGGGTGGTGATGGTGGGAGCCCAGTTAGATCTGATAGTGGGATCAGGGTATACCTGAGCTCTCAGCTCTGTGTACCTTTCCAGTCTGGCTCATGGAGACAGTAGTAAGTATGACAGTTCTGGCAGCCGCTGACCTCTGCTCAACATCAGCCCATTGGAGCTCTTTGCTGAATTCAGAATTAACCGGGAAAGCCATGTAGCAAGCAATGAATTTGACTAGGACAAGATTGGAAGCTTATTCAGAATGGCACCACAGTATTAATCAACTACAATTGTCATGCTGTCCGAGTTTGGTAGAGTGGGTTTTAATAGCCTAGATGTGGTGAATCTATGGATTATTACAGTCAATGATTCTGTGGAATAACAAAAAATTTTTTCCAATTAGATATGGACCAAGTTAATGTGAATCTGAGACACAATTAGGTATTTTCTTCTTACAAAGACAAAGCCAAGTGGGGATTTAAAGCTACTAATCAGTTCCACAGAACCCCAAATCCATAAAGATGACTTCATGGAAAGCTGAGCTGCAGGCTTCATTCTGTAACCTTTGATGAGAAGCAAAGTCACTCTCCTCCCTGTTTGTTCAGTTCAGTTCCTGCTGCCGACATCAGCCAGTTGTCTGAGAGATGGGCACAGCTATTCGTGCTTCATTGGTGTGTGACGGGGCCGGTTTTCCAGCATCTTCATCATTCTCAGGCTATATCAGAAACTCCCCTGGTGACCCATTCCTAACACTCAGGTTAACACAGATATTATAACGAATAACCCCTAGATCCTGAATCTATACCATCACCCCCATTCCTTTTAAACATGGCCCCATTATCTGTTGGGTTATAAAAGCAAGGGAAACCAGTGGCAGGTGTCGGAAATATGACTTTGATAGATCTGTCTCTGGATCTGAAAGGTCCGTTTACATCTCTCAAGCATATGAGAAAGTGATTTTGTCCATCCAACTCATGATTTCACACGTCCACTTTCATTAACAGGAAAGAGAAAATATTACTTATTGTTACTTAGTTATCTAGGATCTATTTTCCACAGAGTTCAATGCACTGCACACTGGGAAGTTAGTGCTTAAAATGTCAGGATATATTAAAGCTGTTAGGTCACAGTATACTTATTCAGAGGATCATTGCTGTGCTAATGTCCCCTGCCCAAACACTGACCATAGTTATGTATGAGGCCATGTTTAGATGGAATAGGAGCAATGGTGTATACTCCCATCAAGCCCAGCTACCATTTCTCCTCTTTTAGAACCACAACTAACTTCTTGCTTTTATGCTATGAGCTACCCAATCACAATTACAATAGAGCAGTTGCAATATTGTAATCTTCAGTTTTTCTTAGTTGTGCTTTTTATTTCACAAAAATTTGAATTTGTTTATTCCCTGACGCTGTTTTCCAGATTTAGGATTCTTTTGGGGAACTGAATTTTCCAGAAGGCTGGATTATGGAAGTGTTATTATAGATTATTAATTACCATAGTATTGGTGGCGAACCAAGTTGCCAAGCATGATGACATTAAAAATCAATTCTTAAATACATTTGATGATTGACAAACCAAATCATTGATAAGAAACCATTATAATTATTTTGAATAATTGCTGTTATAATCCAGTAGTTTCATATTGTGTTAGTTATCTATTTTTGCATAACAGTATTGCCACAATTTTAGCAGCTTAAAACAATTCACATTTATTATTTCACAGTTTCTGTGAGTCAGGAATCTGGGTACAGCTTAGCTGTGTTGCCCGCTCCAGGGTCTGTCATAGGCTATAACCAAGGTGTTGGGCAGGGCTAGAATCTCACCTGAAGCTTGACTGAGGAAGAATCTGCTTCAGCTTCAGTTTCTTGTGAGTTGTGGGTCTGAGGGATTCAGTTCCTTGCTGGCTGTTGATCAGAGGTCCCCCTTAATTATTCGTCTTGTGGATCCCTTCATATAGCAGCTTACACTCAATCAGAAAGAGAGAGAGTTAATGGAGAGGGTCTACTAGCAAGATAGAAGTCATAATCTTATGTGACATAATAATGACAGTGACATCATATCATCTTTGTCATAATTTACTGTTTAGAAACAACTTACAGGTCCCACCTATACTCACAGTAAAAGGATCATACAATAGTATGAATACTACCAAGGGAGGATAATCAGAGGGCTGTCCTAGATCTGTCCCCCAGGAAAATATTCAGAAAGGACAAAATATTTGATCTCTTTAGGAAAACCCCCTTTAAAAGTTTAGGTCTACACATGAAGGAAAAGGATTAGTTAAAAAAAAAATTTTAGTTCTAAACCATAAAGAAGGGAAAAAGGATATTGGTTGCAGGAGCTCAAAATATATATTTTTTAAAAATTTAAGCTGGGAAACATAGATTCAAGTTGCCCCAAATAGATACTCCCTAGAACATAATTTTTCTCTAAGAGCAAGAAAGTAATAACTATACAGGACATATTCATCAGATGGAAGGGAAAGAAGAGAAATTAAGTAGTTATTCTTTGTTAAAAAAAAAAAACACAAAAAACAAAAAAAGTAAGGCCAAAGCAAGCCAGAATAATTCAATGCAACACATAATTATTGAGTATCTCTGCAACTTGGACTCTACTATGTGCTGTGGAGAGTGAGGAGATTGTGGAAACACAAAGGAAGAGAAAAGTAAATAATACGTATTATTTTTCCCCTCAAGTTGCTTGTAACAATAGCAAGCATTTATGTTGATTTCATACTATTCCAGAGAGAAATCTTTACCAACTTTACATGTGTCAGATAATTTCACCTTCAAAACAACCCTGTGAAGCAGGTGTTATTCTTCCCATGATGATGGGAAAACTAATGGGCAGAGAGGTTAGTGACTTGCCCAAGTACACAAAGCCAGGAAGTGAGGCCATGTGGCTCCAAAGTCCATGCTCTGCACCAAGAGTCAGCAAACTACAACCTGTAGGTCAAATCTGGCCAGCTGCTGTGTATGTAAATAAAGTTCTACTGGAACACAACCGTGACTATCTGATTCCATATTGTCTATGGCTGATTTTACAATACAATTGCAGAATTGAGAAGTTACCACTAGGGCCTGAAAAGTCTAAAATCTTTACAATTTGGGTGTTTACAGAAAAAAGTTTCCAACCCGTACTATAAACTATTACAGCATAGTGCCTCTTTGAAGACAAACATACATATTATGTACCCAGACTTCTAAAGGGCAAGGCGAAGTAAGAACTACATATGTAAAGAGGTATAAAGAAAATGGGAGAATGTTACTGTGTCTTTCCTGGACACAATGGTGGTGAATGAGTGTGGGAAGCAGGGAAAGATGAGAGGTTTAAGGTTCTCTGGATATAAAGCTGGTGTAATTTCCTCAACAGTGGAAGCAAGAGCAGCCTAAGTAAAGACTAAACATAGGTAGCTAGATTCAGCAGTTGGAGGGAAAAAGAACAGTTGGGATAAAATATTTATAACCTATACTTACTACAAGTAACTATAATATTATGTTTTTATGCAAATAAAGTAAAAACAAAGTAATTAAATATCTTGAGTTTCAATAGCCAATTTCACCTTTAAATTTCAACAGTCATATTGAAAGCAGTTTCTGTCAACAGAATTAGGCAAGTGGCAGGTAGAGATCATGTGTTGTCTGAGACTCCAGGGTGTTGTACAAATATGAAACAGTCATTGTGAGTTCTAAGAAACCTCAGGGGACATCACAGATAAGCTGAGTACTTAAGCACGTTAGTCATCATGACATCCATCTGCACCTCCTTTGTTCAATTTCTTTAACTCTCGCTCCCGGGTAGACATTTTGTATTTATTCATCACTTAGCTAATTCATACCAAGGGGTTCAGCAAGGGAAGAGTCTTCTTCAAAGCATTTAGCACTGGATGAATATTCGCTTTGATCTCCCGTTTCTTTACTCATTTGCTAATGATAAGAACCGGATGGCAATGCGGAAATTCTGTCCTGTCTGGCACCACAGTTCCCTGGTGGGTGGGACTGGTCCCAAACAGAAACAACCACCCACCTGTGGGTATTTCTTGAAAATGCAACTTATTTCTCTGATAGTAAACACAACATTGAGATAAAGCTGAAAACGAAGAGTTCAATAAAATAAGGAGATATTTTACCCTTCTTCTCTAAAGCTTCAGAAATAGCTGAGATTTTCATAGGTAGTGCGTGGCATGGCACAGGCTTATCCAAAAGATTGAGAGGGTCCCAGCACAGTGGCTCACGCTTGTAATCCTAACACTTTGGGAGGCTGAGGCGGGTGCATCACTTGAGGTCAGGAGTTGGAGACCAGCCTGGCCAACATGGTGTCACACCATCTCTACTAAAAATACAAAAATTAGCAGGCGTGGTGGTGCACACCTGTGATCCTAGCTACTCAGGAGGTGGAGGCAGGAGAATTGATTGAACCCTGGAGGCGGAGGTTGCAGTGAGCTGAGATCATACCACTCTGCACTCCAGCTTGGGTGACAGAGCAAGACTCCGTCTCAAAAAAAAAAAAAACAAAAAACATTGACAGGATTTCATGACTCTGATGTTCCCCTCGGTGATCATGACTGTGAAGTTTCACTGCTTGCTGAATTGTCATTACACAATGCCTGCCTTTTCAGTCTATTTTGCACTTACATTCATCTAGTTTTAATTCTAATTTTATTTTTTTGGCACAATAGAGGTAAGTCAAATGGGGTTGCAGGCACTTGGATTCAATTGAAGATCAGAGCCTCATTTCCAAAAGGAAAAATAAGTCTCTTGTGCATTTGCTGACCATAGGCATTTTAAAAGAGGCTCTTTACCTTGTCACATGCCCCCAGCTTTGTCTCAGCTGCACTCCCTGCCATTCCTGGTCACACACTTCTGTTCTTTAAATATCATCCCATTTCCAAAGAGAAGTTCCGATTATGCCTCAAAGCTGCAGGTACAATTTTAACATTTGCTTTTAAGAAAGCAGATGTTAATTGAATTATTGTATAAGTGCTGTGATCTCACCTACCTTTCAGTTCTTCAGGTTTTCTGTCCATTTCACTTTAAAATGAGGGAAGGATGAGGTTTACCCCACCCACCCCCGCCAAAAAAGGCTGAGTTAAATTTCTTATTAGAGTCTTGATTTTGGAGAACTTGGTGAAGGCAGGAATCAGGAGAGTGAATGATCAACCCACCCAGTAAAACCTCCCTTTTTCTTTTAAAAATGGGATGTTAATGGTCTGTAGAAGGCATTAAATACAGAACTTCTCCACTAGAAACAGAAGGCTGGGTTTTCTCCTGATTTGCATTTATCTCTCTCTTGCATAGATAAAGCCTAACTTTAGTAAGAAGAAAATTCGTGCAAGTATAAAAGATATCAAAGAATATCATGAAACATCAGAAGATGACTCCAAGGGCTGGGCATGGGTGAAAAGGGAATTAAAGCCCACAGAGGAGCAAGGCAGCTGCAGACTAGTCTGGAGACTCACTCTCTCAGACACAGTGCTTTTTAGTCTCAGGGTACTGCCTCAGCTCATAGAGCCCTGGTTTTCCCAAGAATAAAATTAGAGTCATATTTTCCGTTTAACTCCCAGACCTTACCAAAATACGCAAGCAAGAAAACTCCCTTTAGTTCATCTACCAAAAGCATGCAACACCTATGTATTATGATATTTCAAAGTATTGATCCCTTTCCCATAGGCATCTTTACGTGGATGTCTCCCTGTGAGAGGATCACACATCTTGGCCCTGTTGATATCATGTTACTTGCTTTGACCAACGAAATAGAAGCAGAAATGAGGTGTGCTCCTTCTGAGCAGAGCAAGAACTCTCTCATCCTTGGCCATGCTCTCATTCTCTCTGCGAAGAGACAAGCAATGTTGGAATGGGGACCCTTACAACAGCCTGGGTCTCAGATGAAGAAGACATGCAGCTGACTTACAATAGGCATGTAACATGAGCAATAAATAAACCGTTATTGTGTCAGCTGCTGAGAGTCTGAGGATGTTTGTTACTGTAGTATGCTCAGCCTAAGCTAACAGATACATATTGTTGGGGAAATTCTGAAGCCTATGAACAGGTCCAGCAGAAGTCTATAGCATTTATATTGCCCTCATCCTATGCATTTTGATAAGTATTGTCTCTTCTTACCCACCCAGGTATATATTTATTCAATCCATCATTCAATAAATATTTCTTGTGTCTTGAGTGCTTGCCATGTGCATTCCATACTGCCAGGACATAGGAGTAAAGTTTGAACACAAAGATACAATATCTGCCTTGGGGAGCACACCACCTAGAGGAGAAGATGGACATTCAGCAGACAACACTACAAATAAACGCAAAATTACTAATTGTGAAACTACTATAGAGAAAAAAATAAAGGGCTCCATGAGAGATTGTAACAGGACACTTAAGTTAGATTGGGCTATCAGAAAGTTTGCACTGTGGATCAGAAGCACATCCTGAGGCTGAGTAGAATCTGGCCTGAGAGGAGCACAAGTGTTCCAGGCAGGAAGAGCAGTATGTGCAGATGCTCTACAGTCAGAGACAATTGGACATTTGAGGAACAGAAAGAAGGCCAATGTTGTTAGAGCATCATGAGTGGTGCTGGTACGGGGAGAAGCAAAAGAAAGTGGAAAGGTAGATGGGGCAAGGTCACAGAAGGCCCTGGGGGGACCACCCAGCCCAGTGTGCCCCAGAGAGTCCCAGCAATGATGCCCCCTTTCTCTCTCAAGGTACCTCTGTTGAGATAACAAAGTATGTGTCCACATTACTCATCAGACATTTAAAAGATTTTGGATTTTATGCTAAGAGCAATGGGAAGCCTTTGAAGGAGAGTGAGTGAAACGGAGCCGTATTTTTAAAAGATAACTGGCTGCTGTGTGGAAGATGGCAAGAGTGAACAAAACGGAGACCAACGTGGAGACTAAGGACATGGACCAGGAGAAAGAGTGTGGTGGAAATGGAGAGTAGTGGACACATGGGAGCTGTATTTTTATTTTTATTTATCTATTTTTTGAGATGGTGGTCTCGTTCTGTTGTCCAGGCTAAAGGGTAGTGGCATGATCATGACTCACTGTAGCCTCCACCTCCTGGGTTCCAATGATCCTCCCACCTCAGCCTCCCAGAGTAGCTGGGACTACAGGTGTGTGCCACCATTCTTGGCTAATGTTTTTATTTTTAATTTTTGTAGATATAGGGTCTCATTATGCTGCACATGGCAGTCTCAAATGCCTGGCCTCAAGCAATTCTCCCTCCACAGCCTCCCAAAGTACTGAGATTACAGGTGTAAGTCACCACACTTAACTCAGGAGCTATGTTTTTACTAGCAAATCACCACTATGCTCTTCCATTGTTTTCCTTATTGCTGGCTGCAGGACCACAAAGTGAGCCTCCTCAGATGAAGAAGTGAACCATCAACTTTGTTTTCCATTATTCCTATGCCAATCCCCATTGCCTTCACATTTAATTTCTCTACCTTCCCATGAAAAAGAAACAAATGGCTTTATGTATAATACCAACATTTTACTTTTTATGGAGCACAAATTGGCTGCTTGCATCTTCACAACATTCTTCTTTCCTTGGCCCGATCTTCTTCCGTCCCATCAGAACACTTCCACGTTGTTTTTCCTCTCTTCTACACTTTCCTTTTCTACTCTTAGAGAATAAAGAGAAAACAGAAAATAGTTTGTATATATAAGATCAAGAAATATATATATAACATATAAATATGTGTTTTCCATTTAACACAGTTTATATTTTATCAAATAACATAACTACTCACAATGAATAATTTATTGATATAGTCTTTCCTCTTATTTATTGACCAGATTCCCATCAAACAATGTCAGAAAAGCTTGGTATTGAGAGGTGCATAGGAAACCAGGTTAAGATTTATCTCTTAGGGAATGTGAAAACACCTCTCAGGTTTCAGTTTTTCTACCTGTCACAAAATGAGGCTCAACAAATCATTTTCAAGGAATATCTAATTTCATTACTCTATGATGCCATTCTAATAAATTAATCTGAAGGTTATCTCAAAATGCTCTAGAAGTAGTTGGAGCTCAAACACCAGACCTTAAAGACTCATGTCATCCAGTTACATCTCAAGTTTGCCCATTTTTACTGAAATGAGTATCATTTGTGAAAAAAGTATGTCTCTCAAAGATACAGCAACCAAGTCAGAATGAAATATTCCAGTCCTTCAAATTCAAGAAAGAAAAAGACCTTCCTTTGGCAGTAATCCCAAGCCATGAACAAGAGCTCACCAGAATCAACTTCAGGCTCAACCCAGTTGATCAAGGACAACTTATTTACATGAATATATTAATACTTATGAAAGTCAGCCAATCTGTGGCAGCCACACATATCCGAAAGTCAACCAATCAGCAAAAGCCTCACTCCAGTAGCCTTTCTTCCACAAGCCTCAGCCAGGTCAATCAATTCATACACATTTCCATTAATGAAAGTCCACGAGTCCTTGGATGCCACCCTTCCCGAACTCTTTATAAGATCAGTGGTTTACTTTGACCATAGAGACTGTGCCTTACAAGAGTATTGTCTCTTATTTGGCAAGAAACACATTCAAATACTGACTCATGGCCTTTTCTTTCAAGAAATGGAATTTATGGGACTTCCTTCAATACGTCTGGAATTTCTTCAAAATTACATATAATTCTGTTCTTCTTAAACAGAGGCAATTTGTTAAATATGTAGCCAGTGTAATATAAATGTTTTACTAATGAATGCAGCTATGAAGACCTGCATTTTAAATCCCGATCAGAATAAGTATTCAAAGTTTAGACACGGAAAATACAGAAACATCATTGAGAGGACAGAATTCTAGGAGTTTGGGAAATTTAGACCAGAGGCATGGCTCAGCTTTAAGCAGTTATTTGTCTGTGAAAGGAAGGTGCTCGGGTGGTCTGTTTCTATAGGGAAGGAAACACATGGAGCCTGAGAGTGTGGGAAGAAAAAAAAATCCAGGCAAGATGGGGTGCAAAATTTTGGAAAGTTCTTTTCTGATCTTAAGTATTCCTCGGCTCAGTCTCAGACGTATGAATATTTTTATGCTGTTTTAATTTTCTATAATTATTTCCTCTTGTTTCCACTTCATTCTGCAGTAACATCCTTTTTGAAAACGTCAGCCTGCCCTAGCTCTGCTATAGAAGACAAGGGAAAAAGAGAAGGTGGACGTTCAGTGAGTCTCCCCTGAAGACCAGTCCCCCAGGGGATGACTGGGGAGCTAAAAATTCAAGGGGATGTGAAAGTACTGTGAATTTAAACAGCTGTAAAAAGACTTTCACCTTTCAAATTGGCAAGCTAAATATAATATTCCCAATAAGCGAATGTGTTAGTAAATGGTCACTCTTATGTTCTTCTGATACAAATACAAAATAATTCATTTTTTAGAGGACAATATTTTTGATGTTATATATCATAATATTTATCAAAAAGGCTTAGAACATGCATAAGAGCTGAGGTAGTGCCAGAACCCATGATAGATATGGATGAGGCATAGGTAGAAGGGTGTTCTGATATAGAATAAGGACTGGGAGGACGTACTTCCCAATGTTAACAGTGCTTATATCCAGTCTGTGGATTTAGTGTGAGTTTTTATATCTTCATCTTTTTAGTTAATGGTTTCTAAATTGTTGAGAATTTGTTTCTTGTGGTAAGGAGGGAAATATATTTAAGAAAAAACAGAGGGAAATTTTGTCCCTTCCAGCCTCCTTTTCCTCACAGGTAACATTTCCGTCTGTTGACAGTGGGCTTCCCTGTCATATTGATGCTAGGGGAGTAAACTTAACATTGGGAGTTCGATGTTAGATAGGAGATGAGGGGTTTCCATGGGAGCAGACAGGTAAGAGAATTAGAGTTGGGCAATTTGAGCCTTCTTGTGGCCTTACTATGTAATGTGCTTGTAACTGGTCAGGTATTATTCTGTAGAAAATACCCATTGAGTTCCTCAACCTACAGAGATTCTCCAAGAACTCAGGACCAAAGAGTTAAGAGGGCACATGACATTCACCCGAGGCCCAGGGTCACTTTCCATTTGGCTCGCAGCCTGCTTTCCTTCAGACTTCTTCTGAGGCCTTTCAGCCTAGGGTCCGTGGACCAGTGCCACTTCCATGGCTGGGTTAACTTCCTCTCCAGTTGGGTGTTTTTCTTTGCTGCTGTTTCCTTGATTCTGTCTTGTTCCCGAGGACTCATTAAGCCACATATGCAAACCAGATCTAAGGGGCTGTGCAGCTGCAGAGGCCCATTGATATTTAGTGGTGAACAAATCTCTACATTTTTAAAACTCAGCTGTTTGAAATGTGCTGAATGCAAAAATCATTGGTGAGTTACAATATGTTAAATGAGTCTAATTAAATGCCTTATATTATGGCACGGTTCATGATATTTTATTGCGGAAATGATAGCTGGAGCACCTAGAGTGAGGAACACTATATTCTTTGTCCCTTTATATTGGAAAGAATGATTCAAAGACAACTTTGAAAGATAATTGTTATAGGAATAGTTTCACCATTTGAATTCTGTTAGCCTCTTTATAACCTTTAGCAAATGATTTTTCTACAATATTGTCCACTGTCCCCATGCTTTCCATCTATTTAACAGAAGAATAGGGAGCAAATTACATTTAAACAAAATTTCCAGCAGATGATAGTTTCTAGATAACTGGTCTGTTGTTGTTTTTCTAATTTGGGGTTGTTTGTTTGTTTGTTTTTTCATAAAGCAGTTGTGAAAACAAGACATGAAATATAAAACCCTCATGAATTCAATCTAAAATGAGCAGCTTGGGAGAATAACTTCTCGACCCATTCCTAGAAGCACACTTAAACTTTCTTATTAAATAAAAACTCTGGCAATTTCCCAAGATCTCTCATTAGTATTTCTCTATGTTGTACCTGGAAACCTCTATTTAATACAAACTGTTCTCTTTCCCTTGTGCATAACTCTGAGTTTGACTCTATTCCTGCTAAAAATCTATGTTGGAGGACTAGTTCTCTATCATTTCCATAAGTGGTTGAATGACATTTTCAGTGTATTGTTAAATACAAATCATAAGATTGATATTTGCCTTTTAGCTCAGCCAACTTATAATATTCTATTAAAGCCTAATTTATGAACCTGATTTGACAAACTTTTTAGTGCAGTCAATTATTCAGATTGTCAGTAGGTATCCTGCTTGAGCAAGGACTGTAGCATTGAGCTATTGTGGATGATAAATAGTCTGGATTTCAGTCCTGTTACTGCCATTGACATTCTGAATGAATCTTTTTATCTTTGTGTTCTCAAGGAGAAAGCATGGCTCATGAAGGCAAACCTGTTCTCAAGGATACAGAAGGAATAAACATAATCATTGTAAAATGCTTTATAAATAGACAGTGAAATGGCTTACTACATCCTGAACTTGATATTTCATTTTTAATTCCAGAGTGGAAGCCAAAAACTTCTGTCTCAATTGAGAAAACTGGTTCCATACCTCACTTATGGCAGTGGTTCTCCACTTCCAATTTCACTGAAGACGTACAGTTGCCCAGGCCTCACACTGAATCAGAGTACTTGGGGGTGGTTTATGGGCACCTCAATGTGTGATTCTTTCATCTTCTTTCAAGGGAAATGAAGAGTCATTGTCCAACCACAATCGGCCTTGAAGGGTGCTAGTGTTTCACTGAGCTCTCTCATTTAGTCTTCAAACAATACTGTTAGGCTTATTTTACAGGTGAGGAAATAGAGATTTAGGATGCAGCCACTTCAGCTTGCCAAGGTCACAGTTTTCAAATGCAAAGCGAGAAAGAATATAACCAGGTTTGTTCCTCTGCTATTCTGCGTCTAAAAGTGAGCATTTACAAATTTGGCAAAGAAAAAGAAATTGGCAAAGAATTGGAAGGAAGCAGCAGTGTCTTAATATCAACACCAGTTCCATCTGCTGTTTTCACCTGAGTTTCCAGAGCTTACGAACCAGCAGGGAGTATTCCAGGAGGTGCAGTCCCTTGATTGACGGTCAGTGACTCAGGTTCCCACCACCGCTTATCTTTGCTGCCTTCTGTGGCTCTGTGTAGACAAGCTCAAGGCTCATAACAGATGCCATTTGAACATAGAGTTCTGTTTAAGCAACATATTTCTGTGTGTGGCCAATAGTAACAATGATTTGCTGATCTGGTTTCAAAAAATTCTACTAAAATGAAAATCCCGTAGAACAGATGGACTCCTAAGTCTCTGTCCACAGTGGAGTAAATATTTACAACAAAAAGTTTGTTTTGATGCTTAAATTTGTGCTGTGACTGCACTTGAAGGCAGTGAGAGATTTTTTCCAAAAGATATTTATTTGCTTTTGAAAAAGATGTATCTGTGCTTGTTGGTTTAATCACAAGTCTTCCCAGAGAGAGGAAGACAGGTGTCAGCAGGGGCCAACAGGCATGGGGCAGAGCGAGCCAAAGGTGAATCCTGTGTACAAGGGGAAGGGTAATAGCAATGAGAAAAAGTCTTAACTGGAGAACAATGCTATACAATGGAAAGGCATGAGCTTTGTAATTTAAAAATCTGGGTTCAAATCCTGACTTTGCCTTACATAAAAAATTATTTATTTAATGAGTTTTAATCCTGTGCCAGATACTGTGTTAGGCATCAGGGATACTGAGATCAGTGAGGAATAGTTTCTGTGAGCACACAAAGATTTAAAAATGCTTGATGGCTAAGCACAATGACAAGGACCTACATTCATTAGTAGGGAGGCACAGAAAAGGAACATCTAAAAAGTCAAAGGGAGGTGGCAGCCAGGAAGCTTTGCTAACCACTGGTGACTTTGGGTGAGTTACTTAATTTTTTCAAGCTGATAAAATCCATCTTGCTGGATTGTTATGAGGATTAAATTAAATAAGCTATATACAAGGTCTACCATGGGACCAGGTAAATCGAATTTCTATAAGTAGTTATAGTATTAATAATGATGATTGTGATGATAAAGATGATGTTGACATTAAGGAGAAATGGGTCAAAGAACAAGCAGCTCTGGAAGTGGCTGGAAGAGCCAGCTGCTTTGATGCTCTAAAATTAGGTTAATTATCCATTATCCCTCCTCTATGTCCTGAGCATGCTGCACTGAAGGGCTGTTTCATGCTATTAAGTTAGGACAGGGAGCACACCCGCCTTATGTACCATTGTATTCTCAGGACTAGCCCTGAGCTTAAAACATGCAAGTCGCTACAAACCTGCTTATGGATGGAAGAGAGTGAATGAGAAAGAAAAGATGGAAAGAGAAACAGAAGAACAGAAGAGAGAAGTCAGGTGAAATCATTGTTCAAGGACGTTACGTTCTGCTGCCCCCCCCAACTCCATTTCATGTTTTCTGGAAATGCCTTCCATTACCAAACTCATCATTCCATTGTTCATCACTGCACCCTGTGCACCCTGCACAGTCTCAAACCTCATTTCCTTTTTATCTTTCTTTTCTTTCCTTCCCAGAGGGTTGAAATTCTAGCCAGGCCACATACTGAGCTGCACGGTCTGATGTAAGTTTTTAATACTTTTAAATTAAGTGACGATGATCGAAGTCCAGCTAAATATGGCATATTGAAACATACATTTAGTCCACTTCTTCCTAAAATGTTATAATTATAGTGAACAGGTTTTTTTTTTAAATGGGAGAGGTGATAAATTCAAAAGGACAAAGATGACAACAGGGAAGAGTGGTTAAACATCTTTGAAAGTTGGAAAGCTCGTGGAATGAAGGTAAGTGGTTGAAACTTCAGACTGCAAGAGGGGAAACCAATAATCAGCAAGCTGACCCATTACACTGGCCTGCAGAAATGCGCAGAAGTTGACCCATTACACTGACCTGCAGAAATACTCAGAAATTGCAGGTACTTGGAATTTCTGAAGACAAAGGTAAGGATGAGGCTTTAATTTTTTTTTAAGGAGGATGTATTGAACGTCTATAAAGATCACCAAAGATTTCCTCCTCGGTCTGTGCCACCAGGCTGCTGCCCTCCAATACCCTAACCGAAATCTGGAGGTTTCTTCTCTAGAGAGCCTGACCAATGATGTTCTAGGCTTGGAACACCAGGAAGAACCAAGTTTGGGAATACCGCACCATGCTAAAACTAGAAGGAATAAATGGAAGTCTATATATATTGTGGTGTGACACTCCCCTAATCCTTCTCCCCCAGTCCCTCAATGGCCAGGCTCTTACCACCAGAAAGTGATTATAGGATTCCTCTCAGGGAAACTCAGCCAAAGAAAAAAAGTTCTACAGACAGTGATTCAGGAGTCCCCCAGCAAAACTGCCTAAGAGAAAGGCATATTCAATCTAGAATTCCATATTCAAACTATCACTCAAGTGTAGGAGTAGAATGAAAATATTTTCAGACATTCAAGTTCTCAAAAAATTACTCCCATGAACCTGTTCTGAGTTAGCCACTGGATGTCTTTCCACAATATCAAAAGACAGATGGTAGGGAAAGCAAAGAAAAATGAAGACGGAAATACAGTTAACCCTTGAACACTGCAAGAGTTAAGGGCATGAATCCCTCATACAGCTAAAAATTCACATATAACTTTTGACTCCCCCAAAACCTAACTACTAATAGCTTACTATTAACTGGAAGCTTTGCCAATAATATAAACAGTAGATTAACACATATTTTGAATGTTATATGTACTATATGCTTTATGCTTACAATAAAGTAAGCTAGAGAAAACAAATGTTGTTAAGAACATCATAAAGAGGAGAAAATATACTGACTATTCATTAAGTGGAAGTGAATGATCATAAAGTCTTCATCTTTGTCATCTTCATGTTGGGTAGCTGAGGAGTAGGAAGAGAAGGGGCTGGTCTTCCTGCCTCAAGCGTGGCAGGAGTGGAAGAAAATTCATGTGTAAGTGGACTCATGCAGTTCAAACCCATGTTGTTCAAGGGTCAACCGTAGTGGTTCTAATACAGAAGGAAAGATGAAGGATGGTGGTAAAAGATGTCTCAAGCTGGTAGCTGTGCATCAGGGTAGGAATGGCCAATCTGGATTATAGGAGGATGTTGGGCTTCCTCCTATAATGGGTAGGAATGTCTTCTAATGTTTTTTAAAAAGGGAAACTGATAATATTGTCTTCTGCACTGTAATGTATTGGGTGCAGACTTACTGTTGTATTAGAAATGAATTAGTGATAAATCTATAGAAAAATAAACCAAGTCATGTTAGTATTAACTCCAGAGGGGGAAAACATTTCAAAAGAAAGAAGTAAAATGGTTATATGCTATGTGGCTCAGGTATAGATGATACTATATGCATATGAATAATATAAACATTGCTTATTCTGTTAACTAGAAATGGTGATATAACTACTATACCAGGAAAATATAGGTGAAGGGAGGAGTGAATGGAGTGGAAGGAGTGGAGGAGGAAGAGCTAAACCCTTATTACCCACTGTAAAAAAATAACTAAATGAAAGAGAATGAATAAAGCTGAAAAGTCAACAAATCACAGTATAAGGAGAATATTTAGAAAAATGGGGGAAATGCCAGAAGAAACAGCTAAAGTGTTTGAAAAGGATTATTTCATTTGAGGAGAAATTACAGAAGACAAGGAACAAGTCTATATATGTATTATTTAAATGAATATCAAATGTGTCATGCACAAAGTTCCTAGCCATTGCATGGCACACAATAGGAACTTGACAAGTGGTTATAATTGATTCTTGGTCGTAGAAACCTCAGCCTGAAGTTGATTCTGTTGAAGGCTGCCCACAGCCCCTCTGGAAGAACTCAGAGGAGCTGGGAGTGAAGGTAGGTAGAGATCCAGGGGAAAAAAGAATCATCATTAATAGATTTCCACTTTGGTTTTTAAAATATGATAGTGTAACTGAATGTATGTTTATAATATAGAACATAAATACACACAGGTATGACATAAAGAATAAACACATTCCCTAGTATCTGGTGCCCAGTGAATTTACCTGCTCTAAAGTTGGGGGACACTGGTAGAAAAGAGAAGTCTATTTTGTTAGTTTTATTTGCATAAATTTAAAGGGTACAAATGCTGTTATGTAACATGGATATATTGCATAGTGCTGAAGTCTGTGCTTTTAGTGTAACTATCACAAGTAATGTACGTTGTACCTATTAAGTAATTCATCACCCCTCACCTCCACCCTTCTGAGTCTCCAGCTCACTATTCCTCCCTCCATTTCCATGTGTACACATTACTGACCTTCCACTTATAAGTAAGATCATGTGATATTTGGCTTTCTGTTTCTGAGTTGTTTCCTTTAAGACAATGGCTACCAGTTCCATCCATGTTGCTGCAAAAGATATGATTTCACTTTTTTTGATGGCTGAGTAGTATTCCATGGTGTATACGTACCACGTTCATTTTATCTAATCACGTGCTGATGGACACTTACACTTGGGTGGATTCCATATCTTTGTTATTGTAAATTATGCAGTGATAAACACACAAGTGCAGGCATCTTTTTTATATAACTGTTTTTCCCTTTGGTTAAATAGCCAGTAGTGGGATTGCTGGATTGAAGTGTAGTTTTATTTTTAGTTCTTCGAGAAACCTCCATCCTGTTTTCCATACAGGCTGTATCATTTACATCTCCACCTTCAGTATATAATCTTTCCCTTTTCTCCACACCAGTGCCATCATCTTTCTGAAGGATCAGTTGCTTCCTTCAGACTTGACTTAAAAGCCATTGTTATAGCAGTCAAGTAGGGTCCATTGGAAACCAAAGTGAAGAAAGAAGTCTTATCCATTAGGATGGAGATTCTTACATATTTTTTTTTCTCCTGAAGTTTCAAGAGCTTGAAGCTATAATAAGACATAGAGGGGAACTAGGCTGCTGCCTCTGCCATGGAACTCTTCTCAGCCAGGGTGATCAGCAGCTTATCCTCCTTGTCATTCTGCCTCCTTGATAAGCTAAAAATCAAAAACAAAAACAACTCCTTTTACTACTATTGCTACCATTATCACTATTACTTTTTCCACAAATTTAATCTGTTCTGTACTCCCACAATGCACATACAAGACTAGAGTTTTTTTTGGAAAGAAAACAACATCTGCAAGTGCAAGACAAGAAAGCAAATATTAAGTAAAATGGAATTTGCAATGTAGTAGGGAGCTTTCTGCTCAGATTTATAACATCAAAGCAAGGCATTCCGGTTGATGTGTTACTTGTTATTCTAAGGCCTATTCTTCACTCACTGGGAGAGGTGTTGAACCATGACACAGAGTCATGCTGTGCCAATGACCAGCAGAGAAAACGAAAGCTGTAGCCTCAAGATGGTACCTTCTGAAGACCTTCTGCGGGTCTTCATCAGCCAGTCTACAGAATCAGAGTGAGCACACGGGATTTTAACTGTCATAAGCTCTGGGCTGGGGTTGGGACACTTGCATCTTTCTCCTAGCTCTGCCCTCAGAGATGTGCATCTTTGCAGAAGTCATGTCTCTGAAAGCTGAATCTTACAAGTCAGAACATGTGACTGTGGGCTCTCATGTCCTTCAGTGAAGGGAGATAGTTGGACGCTCTGTGAGTTTCAACTTCCTTCCTGTTCCGCCCCTGCTCTTCAATCCAAACCAACAAGGAGAGGCCAAAAACAGGGGTCTGGGTCAAACATGGCTGGATCCTGGCCCAGCTCCAGCTTGTCTTGTAACCTTGGGAAGCTCTCTGCCTCTCTGAACCTTAATTTCCTTCTCTTTAAGGGGGAAAAACAACAATTCTTTTCCCATAGTGCCCTTATGGAATTAAATGTGATAATAGAGGTATAGGGTGGCCACACTGCCTGGCACAGAGTAAGTTTTAGTAAGTTTCCACAAACTTGATGTTCATGCATTTCCTCATTTCTTTTATGCCAGCAGAGGCCATGGAGGAAGAAGGGCTGGTGAGGGCTGCCTCAGAAGTGTTACCTCATGGACTTACAGCTACTAGTTTGCTGAATCCTCTGGGGAGGAGCTGGGTGGGGGAGTGAGCATGGGCATCATTGGGGCAAAACTCCCCTACCTGAAAAGATAGAACCACAGAGAAACAGTGCTGATGTGGACTGCACGTTCTACAAAGACAGCCTAGATGGTTAAGCAACCTGGTGGCCTGCTCTGGGGGAGCCTGGAGGAGACGAGATGAACCGCTCACAGCTGTAAATACGCATTCTGCCCCTAGAGCTGTTGGCAAGGGCTACGCACACACATACACACATGCACACATGTTCACACAATTCACACACATGCTCTCACACATACCCACACATTCACATACACAAGCTTACTCATACACTCACACACATGCTCACACACACACATATCCTCCCACCACATGTTCACACACTCTCACACACACATGCCCTCTGTCCCAAACACATACGCTCACACATACAGGCTCAACCACACATGCTCACATACACACTCATATATGGCTCACAAACACATGCCCTCTCCCACGTGCAAACATGCTCTCACACACAAGCTCATACACGCTCACACACATGTTTTCACACCCACCCTTTGGCACATTCACATGCTCATACACATTCACACCACGCATGCCTTCCCCTACACACATAAATGCTCACACCCTCACATAATGCTGTCACACACATTAACACCATTAACACGCATGCTCACACACACTGGGAGACACATGCGCTCATGGTTGGAGCTCTAACCAGGCTGGACTCATCTGGTTGCTGGTTCTGGCAAAGTTACAGTCACGTTCATTATTCATAAACTATAGTAAATGTCCATGCTGCTTTACAATGGATGAGGCTGATCTGAATAATAACAATAACCAGACAAAAAGGCCACATTCTTGCCCCAAGGAACTTACAGTTTGAACCCTGACTCATTAAGACTGAGGCTAGACCTGCGCTAGCCTCCTGGCACCTAGAAATGATCTCTCTATATACTATAAACTCCTAGTAGAGAGGTGCAGATGCAGTTGTGTACAGCTTTTCCAGGAGGATGTTGAAGTTTTATAAGTAGCGGCTAAAGTTGTGTGAATCTATTGCTATCTCAGTTAAAAAAAAAAAAAAAAAAAGGCCAGGCGCAGTGGCTCACGCCTGTAATCCCAGCATTTTGGGAGGCCGAGGCGGGCAGATTACGAGGTGAGGAGATGGAGACCATCCTGGCTAACACAGTGAAACCCTGTCTTTACTAAAAATACAAAAAATTAGCCAGGCGTACTGGCGGGCGCTTGTAGTCCCAGCTACTTGGGAGGCTGAGGCAGAAGAATGGCGTGAACCCAGGAGGCGGAGCTTGCAGTGAGCTGAGATGGGCCACTGCACTCCAGCCTGGGTGACAGAGTGAGACTGTCTCAAAAAAAAAAAAAAAAAAAAAAAAAGGAAGACTTAGAGAAAATAAATGTGGCCCAGTGCTAAATGTTCTCTGGCATCTGGGAACTTTCATCCAGTCTAGAAATTCATGGCTTCTAGGTGTCTCCTTTCAGGAATGAGAATGGCTAAAGACAGAGCATGGCTATGGGCCAGGCAGGTCCACACATCCTGCATGGTCTCCTCTGTTTCTTAGAAAAACTCTGTGAGTTAGGCAGGCTCCATTCTTCGGGCCATGGAGCGGTGCCCTGCATGCCCAAGATCATAGCAGGAGGCAAAGCTTTAACCGGAGCCCCCTGCTCCAAAGCCCTCCCAGTACACCATGCTACTGCCTCGTCCTTGGACTATATAGTACAATTGCAAATATTCGTCTTTTTCTTGTTCTTCCAGTTCATCTACTTGCTCAAATCCAACAGGAAAACTATAAGGAGGTACTGCAGTTGAGTCAGGGAAGACATTCAACACAGGCAATATACATTATTATCAGCTCTGCTCGCAGAAGGGAAACAGAGTGCCCTCCCAGGCTACACTGGGCTGATTCACCCAGTGTGAAAGTGCACATGGCTGAGGTGATCATTCCAGGGTCAGTCTTAGAGGGTCAGGAGGGGTTGGAGGAAAAGGGCAGTTAGCCTGACTCTACATTATTGCTTAGGGCAAATGATAACATCAACAAACACACTTATTGATTGACTGATGGACTACCCTCAGCCAGTCCCTGCAAGTGTGTATAACACTTATCCCCAAAAAGAGCTGTCCAAGCCAGGCACAGTGGTTCATGTCTGTAGTCCCTGCTGCTCAGGAGGCTGAGGTGGGAGGATTGCTTGAGGCCAGGAGTTCGAGGCCAGCCTGGGCAACATAGACAGACCCTGTTTCAAAATAAATAAACACAATAAAAATGTGTGTGTTTTTTTTTTAAAGAGCTATTTCCAAGTGGTGGATGGATCAGAAGCATAGGCAGAGTTCAAGCCTGCTTGGGAGGCACTGTTTTGGGAGTTACAACACCTCAGTCCCCAAATAAACATTCTTCTGCTGGCTCATCCTTGAACTTCCACTCTCTGAGCTCCCTGACTTTAGCCTCCTTCATTCACATTGCTGATTTGGATGGTACCCCATGGCAGGCCCAAGGCTGGGCTGGGGATACAGGTAGGGAGGTGAGAGTCTGCCTACTGTCCCAGGAGGGAGACAGCAATGGAAGCATAAGAGTGAGCCAGGAAGGCAGCAAGGGTGGAAATGTGCAGGAGGAAGGGAGTTGTCAGCAGAGACGTGTATGAGCTCAGCCTGAAATGGGCTCAGAGGATGAAGCCAGGCGGGGAGCCAGGTCCCAAGACTCTGCTCTGCTGGGCGGAGGATTCTGGAAGGGGAAGATGTTGCACAAGGGAGTGATATCACTGCATTCGTATGTTAAAATGCAAATGAGGACGAAATTGAGGAGATTGGACTATGTAATCTATTATGTCACTTCTGTTCTAATGTGATAAACATCCTTAGAGGGGTAATGATTTTGAAACAAGTTATGTATTCTTTGGAGTGAATAAGAGATCTAGTTTTTATAAAAAGGACTAGTTTTGATATCCAGAGAGGAAGAATAACAAAACAGGTGTGAGCACCTAAGAGAAGTGGAAAAGGGAGGAGATAATGGAAAAAAGGTGGAAATTGTGTAGGAGAAACACATGATTTTCTTACTCCCATCTGGCCAGCCGTGGTAACAGGAGGGACATAAATTATATAAACTCATTAGTTTTACTTTAGCAGAAATTATTATTTTATGAATTTAAAACCCAGTTTTAATCAAAAATACAGTATTATAACAATGGCAGTAATAGACACTGGACACTACTAGAAAGAGGAGGTGGAGGGGGAAGGGTATTGGGTACTGTGCTCAGTACCTGGGTGATAAGATCAGTCATACCCCAAACCACCGCACATCATGCAATACACTTGGGTAACAAAGCTGCACATGTACCCCCTGAATCTAAAATAAAAGTTGAAATAAACAAATCATAACGTATATTTAAAAAAATATTTATAGCGGAATTAGTCCTACATGAAAGATAAAATTTGAAGGAAGTTTTTGTACTTTTGGTTTAGTATAGTCCCCTGAAGAAATTATTAAAGTTGAATTTACTCATACAGTTAGTTGAAGGGCAGTTAAAGTCTGTCAAGCAATCGTCAGCCAGCCTGTAACTGTTTCTGGTGTTGGCTTCTGAAGGTTTTTGGTTTGTATGGGAAGTACAGCCTTAACATGGCAGAGGAAAAGTATGAGTCCGTGAATTTTCACCAAGTGTGTACCACGCAGCAGGCACCATGGCAGGTCCAGAAGATGGGGTGCTGAGCAAGAGAGGGATGGCCTGAAACCTCCTGGCTCTCAAACTCCAGTTAGGGAAATTGAATAACTCAATTAAATAAAAAGGTGAATAGAATCACCAGCACTGAGAACGAAAAGCTAAGAGACAGTTTAACAAGGTAGCAGGATGCATGGACACCAATTTCACATAAGGAGGTCAAGAAAGGCTTCAAAAGGAAGTGGTACTTAAGCTAAGAACTGGACTGAAAAAAGAACCAGCTTGGGGTAGTGGGAGAAAAAGTGGTCTGAGCAGAGAAAAAGCTTGTGTAAAGCAACGCCATGGTGGCTGAGCTTGGGAGAAGCAGGAGGTACAGAAGGAGGTCGGAGGAAGAAAGCCATCAAAACCGTGGAAGATGAAAGCCAACTGGTAAGTGTGAAGAGTTGGCCTTCACCCCAGCAGGCTTGCTGTGAAGGGGATCTTCAATTCTCTGATAACAGTGTGGAGTCTGTTGTTTACAGTGTGGAGTCTGTTGTTTACATGACTGTACGCATCTCAAAACTCATCAGTTAACACAAAAGACCATTCCCCGTGGTAAAATATTCCTTAACACTGTCTTAAGTAATTTGGAAAAACAAACAAATGGGAAATGCTGAGAGTTAATTCTTAGTGGGCCAATCAATATTCCATTATGATTGTATAGAGCGAACAGGAGATCAAAAAATTCTGCCGGAAAAAAATAAACAAGCATGCACAGGAAATTTGGATGAAATGACAGATCTGTCCTATTATTTCCCGTGAATTGATGACATTGCAACTGAATTTAATTTTGTGTTCAGAGATGAAGGAATTCTGTAATCTTTTTCTTTTTCTTAAAAAGAAAGAGAAACCCACTCTCAGGTTCCAGATTGCTCACCCTTAGGGAAATGTTACTGAACTGCCAGGAGGAAGGAGCTTCCAAGGAAATAAGTAGAGCGTAAACTGCCCCTGAAGTATGGATGTCTTTCTACATCTGAGATTCAGAAAAGGAGCTCTCAAATTGTGTGTGGGAATAAAAATAGGCTTCAGTTATCAGTTTGAGGTACATAGAAATGAAAGAACTCTCTCTGATACCTTGTAATTTTACTCTACATTTTCCTCACTTCCCAAAAATCAAGGCAGCCATCCTATTACCATCTGAACTGCTTAACTGGCTAGAGGGGTTATCAGTTTTAGGGAGTATATTAGTCCCCATTTAGTATCTAAGTCATTGCTTTCCTAAGGCTCAAAGCCATAACCTTACAACCAGGTCATGGTGAACGCTGGCACTTTAAGGCTTCTTTTAGATCACACAGTATTGAAAATGACCTTCATTTTCACTCTGATATAGCCACAAAATTGGAAGCCAAGTGGCATTCCATATGAATTATTAGAAGGTCACCTGAAGAAAAATTTTTAACATTCTTCCTCCAAAACATTTCCTCTGATCTTTCAATATTCTTTTAATTTTTCCTTCATTTTGTAAGATTGTGACAGATAACTACCTATCATCTAAACACTGAGATCACAGCAAGTCATTCTAAGTGTCAGAGGGGTTGCCATTTCTAATGGATATCTCCAGGAAATGAGAGAGCACTTTTGGTTGAGAAGAGTGGGTCTTTCTTGCAAAAGCTTCTTAGAGCCTAGTGCATTTCAAAATGAAAACCTGACATCACATCAATAAGGAATGTGGAACTATTTACCTCTGCCCCCTCTCAACTTCTCATGTCAGAATAATGAAAAGCTCCATGCCTCTTTGACTGAAGGCTGACATTCTGTCCTTCATGGATAACTTACTTGCCATAGAAGGAAATGAAGAAATAATTTTCAGAGTTCCTATTGATCTGGCATTGCATTACCTATCTGCTGAGCCAAGCTATTTATTGACTAACTGCTGGCTGGCCACTTCTAATTAGCTCAGCGTTCCCTAGCAGATTTTAGGATGGGATGAAAAAAACACCAGAACCAGATTCTCTGAGGCTGTCACAGAGCTATCTATGTGAAACCTTAAAGTCTTTCTTCACATTTTAAATAACTGCAAGGCAAGGTTTTGTTCTTATGTATAAACAGCCACTTGCAAGAAGGAATGTGAAAGTGTTCCTGGAAACAAATGGCTGAGCCACCTGAAATGAAAGTTCTTCATTTTGTCCAGTGAAATGGTGGAATTCGTATGGTAAGACCAAGTCTTTCTCTGTGTGGGGATTTCATTTCTCTTTTAGTCATCAACCTCATGTAAGAAATATCCTCTTGGGTATTTTTGAAACACTTTAGAATCTCAAAGAGAATCAGAGAGCAGCACGATTTTTTAAAAGTAAATTCTCTATTGAAATATAAGTTACATACAAGAAACTTCCCAAATTGTAAGTGAACAGTTTTGTGTATTTTTACAAAGTGACACACCCGTCGTGTAACCAGAACACAGATTAAGAAACAGAGCATTTTCAGAACTTCAAAAAGTGTCCCCTGTCACTTCCTGCTACTGTCCCCTCAAAGGGCAACCGCTATCTGGATGCCTAACACCATAGGTTAGTTTTGCCTGCTTTTTCACTTTATATAAATGGAATAATATAAGAAATAAATCTTTGGTTCTAGCTCTCTTCACTCGATATTTTCTTTGTAAGATTCAACCAAGAACAGAATTGTGAGGTTGAGTTACATGAGTGATCATATCTGGTCTGTAATTTTGGGGGCCTGATTTTGACAGGTTTTTATGAAAAGCAAAGACCAAAAGCCTGAACCTTTATTAAGAGGAGGTTAGCAGACATCCCAAACTAGTGCAGATGATCTTGAATAGAATACTTGGAGTAAATAGAAACTGCCAACTCACATTACTTCATAAACATTCAAATAGTTGTGTGGGTCCCAGTCCAACAGAATAATGGTAACTACTGACATAATTTCAAGTTTGACATTTATGGATTTCTATCCATGGTATGACAGTGACTCCCTGCTTTAAAAACTTTGCAAAATTTTTCTAAGCTTCTTAAATTCCCTGCAGCTTAGAGCTACTACATAAATATTCACAGGATTTTCCAAGGCAGAAATTGCTGCTTTTCTTGGCTCCTGACAAGCAAACTGACAAGAGACTTTACTGGAACAAGATGCAAAGCACAATCATATTGAATTTGAACATCAACTTTAAAAGCAACTCTTCATAATTTCTGGAGCTAGTAATCAGAGAAGCAGAATATTAATGAGACAACGTCAGATAGTTTAGCTGTTATAGTTGAAATTTGCTTCTGCTTTTAAAAATAAAAATAACCTGTGTAAAAATGTTTTCCTTCATATCGTAACATAAAAGTCAAAATTACTCTTTTATGACAATGAAAATTATATTTTTTCATTTTTGTAGATATGTTTTTCTCTTGCCTGAAAAAGGAACACTAGAAAGAGATCTGTAGAAAAGCTCCCACACTCTGAACTGGTGTTGAAGAGATCCATACGAACATAAGATAAAACTGAAAAGGGATGGAGAATCCAAAATTAGCATAGTTTCAATGCCCAGTTCAGTCTCGAAAACTAAGATGGAGCATTGTATATATCTGGAAGCGGCCCATTCATTCACTCATTCATTCAATCCTTCCTTTACAAAGATCTATTGTGTATGTACTTACCATGCATTAAGCACTATTAGTAATAGTTTACCAAATGAATTAAATTTCCTACTATAGTAAAAAAAAATGCATACTTGGAACCAATGGTGTGTTGATAAATAGGCTCTCTGGAGGGAAAAAAATCTCTACTTTTACTGTTTGCCAAGTTCTGTGATGTCAATATGTTCCCAATGGCTGATTTCAAGACACCAGTGTAAAGTCACCAAACTGGGGTTGGGATGAGATGCACAGATTCGATTCGGCTCTTGTGAGCTGGTAGGAGCCATCTCCAACACACTACTGCTTTAAACGAATGTTTTTAGTGATGGAAAAATTTGCACTTGAAACAGAATAAAGGCAACATAAACAGTATTAGAACTTATCAATTAATCAAAGAAAACTGAGTGTGCATTGTAGGACTCTGAAAGCCCACATATATGGCATCTTTCCAAGTCTAATGGAACTGAAAAGCAAGTAATGGTTTTCCAAGGGGAAGGCAACACAAGGAAAATAATCACCCCTGGGCAGTGATTTGGAAGAGTGCCGAAAGTTCTGATGGCTCCAAATATCTCCCAGTACAATTTTGCCATGTCTGAAATTCCCATAGTTGGCATCTTTCTTTTAGGTTAAATCACTGTGTCTCAGAAGGGCCTTTTAAAAGTGTGTGTGCCCTGAGAGAAGTACAAGCCGAGCCCCAGTAAGCCAGCAAGCAGCTCAGTATAGTGAAAAGAACTCTGAGAGGTCAAAGGGAGGTTCTATTCCTGGCTCGTGAATGACTGGTTGTGTGCCATGGGGCGAGTCACTTTACATTTTTGAGCATTTGTCTCCTCTTGGACCCGATGTCGTCCCCTTTCATTTCCATCTGACATGCTGCAAATCGCCTCTACATCAAGTAGCCCTTCCAGTCTGGACTAGGACATCACATTTGTTGGCTCCTCTGTGTTAGAAAGTCCAATGCTTTGACAATTTTGTTTGCTTTGTTTGGCATGGGGAGACTAGATATGGTGACAGAAATGGATGTCCATTTTTTTAATGTTATTTTCTGTAAATAATTCACAACAAGCCTGGATGAAGTGGTCCTTTTCTCTCAGGGGCTTTTGTGATGATCAATAGCTCTTACTAATACTTTAAAAAGGTTCCCGAGATTCCCAAAGATAGATGTCATGCAATCATCAACATCAAGGAGTCTAAGGACAACGTGGAAATTGTAAGATACAAGAGGAGTCACATTAAACAGAAGCGTATGAGAAAGGCCCAGAATTTTCAATATCACAAACCAAGGTCAACAGCTAGTTAGATTAAACAATTTTAATCCAGTAAAATGGGCATGGATTTTTGAAAGTCAGTTTCCCGGCACTCCCTCACATCACATCCTCCAGATGCCTGAAGTATATGGATGTGCATTTTCATCGTTCTCTGAAGTATCTTAAAAGTTACAGCCTAGTTATCGCAGACCAGAATTCATTTTGGTCAGCAGTAATTGGAGAACAGAGCTGTGCTAATTTCATCCTGCTCGTCATAACTGTACCCCAACTCACGATAGATCAGGCGATGCGTAAAACAGCCTGGGCAGCCTAGTGCCCTCCAGTGCCCTTCAGAGCTTGGGCCCATGGGGCCTCCTACCATGTCAGTGCCATTGCCCTGGTTCCTTACTCCTATTTAGAGAAACAAAAATGTTACCAAACCTCTTGAAATAATAATACTAATAAAAAAGAGCCCCCCCCCCACCCCGCCCAAAACTTGTTCTCCAACCATTTTAAGGCAAAGAAATGTGTTTTTCTAAATACTTGCTTATTCCTGGTGAGGAGGCGTTTTTCTGTCAGGGAACATTTTAGTAGGCTTTAAAATTTTAACACACTAAATTTGTGCATGGGCATCTTGCATGAACTGACATCAGCATGGCTGTGATAGCCAGTTGGCATTAGAGCCCCAGGGCAAGAGGTGGGAACATTAAAAGGAAATTGTCAGGAGTAAAGGCCATTTGAGGTCTTGCAGCCCTAGCTGCATCCGACTTTTTCCAGAGACAGACAGCAGTATCTATTGATTGATGGAGCACAATGGGCATGCATGGGCAGAGAAGCTTCTTCATTTACCTGTTTATATTTACATCAAAATTTCTGATTATGAAAGAAATGCAAGCTTGTAACAATGCAAATGGTAAAAAATAAAAGAAATGAAATGAAACGTTCTCTATAATCACACACTCCAGAAATAATCACATTTTATGTAGACTTCCTTGAGTTTTTATACATGCATAGTATATATGCACGCACATATACGTGTATATATACACATATATGTGTATGTGTGTTGTGTGTGTGTATATATATATACACACACACAGACATATATATATATACATGTACAAAATGTTTTACAACTTGCCTTTCTCCCCAGCTATCCCAGACATCTCTCTACGTTTGTCTACAAAGTTCTATGCCCTTCTTTTAAATGAGCCTCTCAGCATGGTGGAAAGACCTCTCAGGTCAAAGGGGGCTTCTATTCCTGGCTTATGAGTAACTTGTTGTGTGCGGTGTGGTGAGGCACATTTTTGAGCCTTTGTCTCCACATGGACCCAATGTTGTCCCCCTAAAGGAAGATCCTGAAGAATCTTCCTTTAGGATATATGCATCATTGTAATTTCTTTGTGAGGGGAGCATGGGGCAGGCAGTGCCTCATTTCACAGGTGGATAAATGGAGATGCAGGGAGGATGCTTGGCCCTCCCAGAGCCCAGATGACACCCATGGGCCAGCAGGGCTGAGACCTTCCCACCTTGGACTTTCAGGCAAACGTCCCTTCCCCGGTACCAGACCATTACCTCCCCTCTCTCAAAATATAAGTTGCAATGATCACTTTTGAACAGGCTAAGCTGTGCCAACCACAGATAGATTTTGCAGGTTACTGCCAAAAAGGATACTCAAATAATCTTTAAACCACAGGGGATGGTCATTCATCCCTATAGGAACTAAAAATAAAGCCACTGGGTTTTCTCTGTTCTGTTCCCCTACAGAAACTCAAAACTAACCAATGATACATCTGCTCAGAAATGCTTGTGTCGGTTCCCTTATGAAAAACAAGTGTTTGGAAATTATGGCTATTTCTCATTCCCCGTTAAGACGCAGATGCCATTATAAGCATTTCATTCTCTAATGACTGAGAAGACGGCCTATCATTTCAGGGTGAGAAGATGTCTGAAGCCGGGGACAGCCGGGACTGCGTCCCTGAGCAGGGCTGGAGCATCCTGCACTCCCACTCCAGGCTCTTGCGGTCCTGACCACCCGAGTCTGGGGTCCCTGTCCCTGGGCCCCCGATCATCTGGCAGCGTTCCTTGCCTTCTGCCAGGCTCCACTCAGATCCCTCCTGCTCCCTCAAGCCTTTAAGCCCTGCTCCTCCAAGCTTCTTCTGGAGCTCCCAGGTTCGCCCAGGGCCCTGGCCATCCCCCGCCTGTTACAGCACCTCAGAGACTCCCAAGCTGGATCTCACAGCGTTATTTTTGGTCTTTTCCCTCCCCATCATTGCTGCGGGCAGGCTGTCCCCATGGGCCTTACCCACTGATGTGTTCTTGTTTGCTGTCAGTCCCCGCATTCTGCTGCCTCTTGGATAGGGCGGGCCCCTGCTCTCTGTGTCAATTCCACTTCTCACTTCAACCCTGGTCTTACCAGGAGTTGTTCCACGTACACCATCCTAGTCCCTAATCATACCAGACAAACCCTGTCCCTGTTCTTCCTTCAGTAAAGCCTCCGCAGTGCAGCTCTGATCACACCCCTTCTCTCTTGAAAACATTGCAGTAGAGCTATGCCCATTTGCTCTGTGCTGAGACACAGAGATGAATAGCACCTCCATCCTTCTCCATGGAGGCCCAGTGTCTAACCTACAGGGTGGGAACGTCCTTGCCTCAGCCGTGCCATTATTGTGGAATAGGTCCAGGATGGAGGCAGCCAGGGCTTCTGAGGGAACTCCGAACCCAGGCTGGGGGTCAGCAGAGGCTCAGTGGCTGGGACACAGACCATAAGCAAGGCCTGAAGGAGGATTGGGATTCAGCCAGGTGGCAGAGGGACTCATAGTCCCCACAGTCTGTCCTGAGGTTCTCCCAACCTCTCTTCCCCTCTAGCACCATTCTGCCACTGTTTCTTAGCCAGAGGGACATTGTCTCTGCCTAGATGGTAAAGCTCCCACTGCTTAGAAATCCTCGTTCTGTTGTGGCCACTTCATTTCTACTCTCTCCTTTCAGATCTAACCCCTCTTGTGCAAGCCATAATCAACCCTTCCTCCCTCTCTACCTCATTCATTCATTTTATAGTGACTCGGCATGTTGGCTGCTGCTTTGTCAGGTACTGATCTACAGCTGAACGGATACATGGGGGGAAAATTCCTTAGTCCCTATCCTAAGAAAACCATAATTTGTTATTCTAATCAGCTGACTCCCACACCTGAATGTTGTCATTTATACGGCATATGGCTGGGCACAGTGGCTCACACCTCTCCTAGAGCTTTGGGAGGCCAAAGTGGGAGGATGGCTAGAGGCCAGGAGTTTGAGACCAGCCTGGGAAATATAGTGAGATCCACTGTCTCTACAAAAAAAATCAAAAAGTTAGCTGGGCATGGTGATGCATGTCTGTTGTCCCAGCTACTAGGAAGACTGAGGCAGGAGGGTGGCTTGAGCCCAGGAGTTCAAGGCTACAGGGAGCCATGATCATGCCACTACATTCTAGCCTGGGTGACAGAGAAAGACCTTGTCTCTAAAAATAAATAAACAAATAAAAATCTTAAAAATTCTAAATATATATATGACATGTAACAAGTTAGTTTATATTATCCACCTGATTCTCATTTCATTAGTTAGCTTCTGCTTTCTCCTCCTTCTCTTCTCTTCCTCTCCATTTACATTCTTCTTAATTCCTGTTCTAATTGATGTCTTTACTGCCATGTATTACTGATTTTCTTTATTTGCATCTTCTTTCTCTAACTCAATTGTAAGCACCTTTTGGCCAGGAACCTCTTCTTTTACTGTATTCCCCATAATGCCTAGCAAAGTGCCCAGTACATATTTATCCTAGAACATTTTGGGGCACCTGCAATGTGCCAGGCATTCACAATTAAGGTTCTTGGCCTCTAGCATCCCCCAGCTAAGCCTCTAGGGCCCCCAGCTAACCAGGAAATAGATCGCATGTGCGGAGAGGGTACTTGGAGACAACAGATACTCGCCGTGCAGTGCCCTGGCATGGACAGCATTTATTGTTATAAAGTGCGTGAGCGAAGAGACATCAGTCGCCACAGCAGTGCACAGCCTTGGTGTGCAGCCGTCTCACTTCCTCCCCTGTGCCGCCTCTGTGTCTTCATCACCAGCTGTTCATGGAGAAAAGTCTGCTTCCTTCTCCAGGCTCATTCTGTCATCATCAGTGCACCCTGGCATTTCTACTGTTCAAAGCTGGACTCACTGGCACAAGTCACCATCTAATTCAATAAATTCCTTTTATTACTAAGCCAGAGCTGCAGTAATTTATCTCAGGCTCTCAAATCATTTTGACTCTCACGTATACTTAAATTATAAACCATGTCATGAAAATATCTCATTTTCCATAAGTAGTAATAGTCAGGTTTAAAGATTCCAGGATAATATCTTATAGAGAAAAGGTTGTTGAACTTTGTCATTTCCTCTCTACGCCTGAACTATGTTATACAAATATAATAGGATTTTTATTTTCCAGTGATGTTGGAAAACATTTCAATGGGAACTGTTTCCTCTTTCTTTCAAAGCAGAACTTTAAATTCCATAGAATTTAGGAAACATTTTGGAAAGTTCCACCTTGTTTTTGGTTGAGGGTTGCTGATGAGCTGATGTTTAAATTTAATTGAAAAAGAAATACCAAATTAAATTTCTTCTGGATTCTCTCCTTTCTCACCAAAATTTTAATGAGCCTTACATGTGGAAACTTGAGAGTGGATAAATAAATAATAATTTCAGCCACAGTCACATTTGTAGAAGAGTTACCAATGCCATGGGTTATGAGAAATATTTGTTACATATAAAGATACGTAGATGAATAGATAGATAGATAAATGAAGTTTAAATAGAACCAAAGACCTAGTAGTTACCAGAATATTTTGGCAATTTCCTTCCCATATGTCATTTTTTGGTAATAAAATATTTATAAAATCAACTTCAGGACATTTTCAAACACAGCAAAGGTAGGACTGATGATAGCTACAACTTATACTTTTTACACTTCTTACCTTGAGCAGAAAATGGAATTTTAAAGAACTAGAGTTGCTATAAGAGAAACATCTGTTTCTCTATTTATAAAGCAATTGAAAACAAAACATAAAATTCAGTGGGTATTACTCAAAAAATAACATTCTTCAAGAAAACAGTTCAGTTTATCAATTTTATTTCATTACTCACAGGGTCATTTCAACTGTGGAATATTAAGATTCATTTCCCATTATCACCATTAATTGGAATATGGAGTCCCACATGCTGATGATTTTGACAAATTTGTGTGGCTAATAAAATGAAAATCATATTTGTTTGCAACCAAATCATAGGTTATTACTGCCTTCATAACATGCGAGTTGAATTTTACTTCTTTTCAAAACCCTGGAACGCAAGAGCTGTATTTTCTCTGTTATCTTGGATCAAAATTGTCAGTAGGATATTTCATATTGCTCTGTAACACATCGGTATCACTGAATGTAGTGGATAGCATGAAGTGAGGTTAATTGGATTGATAACATGGCAACATCCAAATGGCTGAATATTTTAGCATTATATTTACTGGAAATTTGATAGCATTCTTCATTTCCTACCTCATTTCTGATTAGAAGATATCAATCCCAAAGTTTTACAGCATAACCTTGTAAATCCGACCTCTTTCCTCAAGTGTTTAACTAGTCACCTTGGCACTGACCAGTGACTAATTCACATGGAATAGCAGAGCCAGTCTCATTTTGTTTTACGAGGATGGAGGAGAGAGAGGATTTTCCACAGGGCAGCACTGGTTGATTTGTTTTTCCATCGCTTTTCAGAAGCTCTGTTCTTTCAATGCCCAGGGAAAGGGAAGGTTTATTTCTGTGCTGACAAAACGGCTCATGTGCAATGGGGCCGTGTGCTTCAGGTGCCCACTGGGCATGGCTATCTGGAAACCGGCAACCCGTTACAGCCAGGTGTCTGCTTATCCAGTTTGTGGTTTTGGTGCATGCATTACAGCCCCCACCAGGGATGGCTTGCAATGAGAATCTGGTCTTGAAACCCCACAGCTAAATCCAGATTTCCCACCACAAGTGCTGGCCAGCACTCTGGCCAGCAAGACTTTCTCATGCTCATCCACCAAAACTCACTAACCCTCACTGCATGCCAGGTCTGAGGTGCAGTGGCCAAGAGTGGATGCATTAACTGGCCAGTCACCCGGCTGACATTTACAGAGGGGCTCCTAGTCTCTATGTTTTGAGAATGCACAAATGAACAAGATTCAAATCTACCCTTCTTGGAGTTTAGAGTTGGAATCTCTCTGACCAGAAGTTCAGATTACACAGTTCTGCTTGTCGTGGATGCCACTTTATGATGCTGTTCTGGGGCGCATGGTGTCCTGGAAACAGGGAACAAGCGGGAACAGATAAAGAAACTTTTACAAAGAGGAAGAAATAACCTGCTGTGGAGTAGCTAATGCAGCACCCAAGCTCCAACACCTTCCTGGTGCTGGATCCAAAGGATGACACAAGTCAGCAGTACTGGACCCCAAGCCACAGGGCAACTGATGTTATTAAATGATGACTATGTACCTAAGGTACATTTCTCATTTAATCATCAATACAATTTTGTAAGTTGATACTATAATCCCACTTTACAGATAAGAAACCGATTTAATAACTTTCCTAAAGTCTCTCACCTACTAAATATGAGAATCAGGATTTGATCCCTAAGTTTTAAGTCTTATTTTTTCCACTGAGCCAGATTGCCTTCCTAAGAAGACACAATAGGCTCCTAGCAAGCACTGAGTATTTCTGCTCAAGTTTCTGAGCAATTGGATGGCTCCTGAGAGCCCCCATCCTTCATGCTCTAATTCAGTGGATCCCCCCATCTGGAGTTTCCCCAAGCCAATCAGGCTGGGCAGCCCTGGTATTTGCAGTTGGCTCTTTTCTGTCCCATATGGATGGGTGTGCTTGGGTTGCTGGACCATCTGCTCTTCCAGCCACTGCCAATCCAGAATTTCCCTCCATCTCCCTCTAGCCACCCTGGCAGTTTCTACAACTCCTTCCCCTCTGTCTCCTAATCCAATGGCTTTCTTCATTCAGTCTTCCTCCTGGAGGCTGCTGGTTACCTCCCAGTTCATCTACTTGTCTGGCTTCTAAAGATTATTCTTGTCGGTCCAACATTTTGAGGCCACTGACATGTTATGTTTCGGAGCCAAAGGATCTAAAAATTACGGTTCTGCTACTTAACAACTGAGCAACCTTGGGCAAGTGGCTTTATCTCCTCTATAAAAAGGACATCATAATGACCCTCTCATAGGCTGGTTGCAAGGACTCTGGGCTTCCTTTTGCAAAGAACACAGAATAACACTTGATACCAAGACTACCACATTGCACTATATCAGGCTAGGATAAGAAGAGTGCCCTTCATGGTGATGAAGGGTTGTGCAGTGCACAGCCTCTACAACTGTATATAACAACCTTGCCTGGGATACAGACAATAATCAGTAAATCATTTTCTTTCCTTTCTGCTAGTAGCTGTTTTGGGTAACAAATTGCAATAGGCCTTTAAGGTATCCCATGTGGGGTCCGGAGAGCAGCTAGAGTCAATGGCACATGGTTAAAGTGAAGGTTTGAAGAAAATAGCTACACTATTCTGCTCATCCATGTGAATGTTTAAGAAAAACTGTCATGTAGAAAGCAGGGAGCTAGAAGCTCTGTTGATATCTTCCGGAAGTCCACTGCTCTGTCCAGCATGAGGAATGGTGGGGGGCACTGACTCATTCAACCCTTCCTTTAGCCCAAGGGAAACCCTTTGACAACGGTGCAGCCACAGCACTCCTAGGTGCTCTGCCCTCCTCCTATCTGACAATCCAGCTGTTGACATCAGACAGCAAACTTCCACACAGTACACTTTTGCCAAAAAGTCTTGTATATTGAATAAACATTTATACAATAAATGTATATTTCCCAATAAGTCCCTCTGGGTTCACTGCAACACCAGAGAACATTCTATGCAAGTGGCAAGGTCTCCAAAAAAGGGAATAATCTGAGCTTTTCCAACCCAAGCTCTGTAAGTTCCCAATTTAGCATTATTATTTCCCTAACCCATTGCCTGATAATAAATATCCTTGTGATCTCCTGACCTAGACATGGTTCTTCCAATTAGTGTCCTATTTTTACCTTCTCTTCCTAGCCAAATTCCTTAGCTATGTGATCCATAACTATTCTCTCCATTTTATCTGCTTCCTATACACTAGACTCTAAAGCTTCTAGTTCTTTCTCTTGAAGTGCTTGCTTGTCTTGTTTTATAGGCTCTTCCTTTTTTGAGCATCTCTCCAGACTCCCCGAGGGTTTTTTTGTTTTGTTTTATTTTTCCTTTGAGGTCACCAATGACTTCTTCCTGGTTAAATGCAGGCCTTACTAGGCACCAGATAAATCCAAATGGGGAAAATCTTTTCACGAGTAGTTCTGGAACAACTGGAAGTCAACACAGGAAAAAATAAACATTAACCCCTCCTTCACAATTTTAACTTATATACCAAAAAATAATTAGAACAGGACATAAAGTCTAAATCTATAAATTTCTAGGAGGAAACACAGAAGAGATTCTTTTAACCTTAAAATAAGCAAAGATTTCTTAGACAGGAAACAAAAAACATTACTATCAAAGAAAAAGATTAACAAATTGGACTTCATCAAAATTGTAAGCTTCTTCTGAACAAGAAAACTTCATGATGAACATGAAATGGCAAGTCAGAAACTGTCAGAAAATATTCCAATAAATATATCTGACAATTCATATTTAGAATACATAACTCTTAAAAAAATTTTATTTCAATAGCTTTAGGGGTGCAAGTGGTTTTTTGGTTACATGGGTGAATTGTCTAGCAGTGAAGCCTGGGATTTTAGTGCACCTTCATCAGGATAGCATATATTGTACCCAATATGTAGCTTTTCATTCCTCATCCCCTGCCAACTCTTCCCTTTTCTGAGTTTCAAATGTCCATTATACCAATCTGTATGTCTTTTCATAAGCATAGCTTAGCTCTATAAGTGAGAACATGCAGTATTTGATTTTCCATTCCTGAGTGACTTCACTTAGAATAATGGCCTCCAGCTCCATCCAAGTTCCTGCAAATGACATTATTTCATTCTTTTTTATGGCTTAATAGTATTTCATGGAATATGTGTGTGTGTGTGTGTGTGTGTGTGTGTGTGTGTGTGTGTGTGTGTATGTATCACATTTTCTTTATCCATTCATCTTCTGATGGGTACTCAGGTTGATTCTGTATCTAAAATACATATAGAACCCTTACAACCTAACAGTCAAGAGCAAAAACACCAATAAACATGGCCAAAAAAAACCTTTAACAGACTGAGAAACAGCAAATAAATGCATGAAAAAGTGTTCAATATTGCCATCAGCCATTAGGGAAATGAAAATTTAAAAGACTAACAATACCAAAGTTGGAGAGAGGCAGAACAATTATAACCCATACATTGCTGGCAGGAATGTTAAAATGGTGCAACCACTTTTGGCAACTCTCAGACAGTTTCTCATAATGCTAAACATATAACAATATTATTCCCAGCACTTCTGCTCCTTAGTATTGCCACAAAAAAAATAAAAGTATATATCCAAATAAAGACTTGTACAAGAATGCTTGTGACTGCTTTACTAACAGTAGCCAAAACTGGGTGAAAAAAACACAAGTGGAAACAAATGATGATTAAGAGAAGGATGAATTTTACAAGTGCAGTACAGCAGTGCAATGGAACACTACTCAGAATGAAAAGGAATAGTACATATAATGACAAAGATGGTCCTCAACAACATGCTGAGTGTAAGGAGGCAGACATCAGAGAGGATCTGCTATGTGATTCCATTCACGACGTGGCCAAAACACACCAAACTAAGCTGTGCTGACAGAAATCAGAACAATGGTGTCCTCTGAGGTGGTGTAGGGGTGGGGTGCAGGGACTGACTACTTAGGAGCACAAGAGAACTTTCTGGAGTGATGGAAGTGTTCTGAATCTTGGTAGGAAAGTGGGTTGCATCTGAGAGTATGCCTCTGTCAAAATGCTTTGAGCCATCCACTTAAGATCTATGAATTTCACTGAAAATAATAATTCAATAAAAGTGATTTTCCTAAAAAGCAAAACTTCCTCTCCCAGACATTCTGCTATTATTGAATATCCATTCTAACCCTATAAGCTTGATTTTGTGGGCTCCTCTTTCTGCTCCCAGCCCCTCATTCCATGGGCTGCCAAAAGGCTGGCCCTCATTCCTTTCTTCTTTCCCCTTTGCGTTCTCTCATTTACTCATTCATTCCCAGAATATCCACTCTTAAGATACAGTACAACTAGATCTATAAATTCAAGACTGATTTCCCAGCAAGGTTGGAGAACATTTCTTCTGTAGCCTGTGACGTGGGAGAATATGTCCCAGTTGTTCACATACCCTGCCCCTGCTGTTCAACTCACTCCCTCACATCTCCCCGCTGAAACCAAGTGTAACCAAATTGCTTATCTGGAGATGTCATGAGACCCACAAATATCAGAGCCAGCCTGGCACATGGTGCCATCTGAACCCCCTGCCATGATGCCATCCTTGCTTTCTGCAAATAGGCGGCCTCCTTTGGTTTGAATCCTGCCATATTCAGAGTCTGACTTCACTAGAGAGTGATGACAGCGAATTCTGGTTTCCCAGTGGCGTCTAAGTGCATTGCTGATGTTCAATTAATATTAATAAATAATAACAACTGCGCGTGAGTAAACGACTCAAGCCCCTGGCACAATGAGACCAGAAAAACTGAACAACACATTCTGATGTGTTCTACGGCTTTTAATTAAGATTTGAAAGCTAACAAGCGCTATAAAAAATATGATTTTTTATATGCAGGCGTAGAAATGCCTAAAATTATTTACTTTTACTGGTTTCTCTATGTTTTATTTTATTGTCTTTGTGTTTTTGAAGAGGAACCTTAACTCAGGCAGCCATAATGGAAAGTCATTAGAAACAACAACTAAAACACACACAGCTGTTATTTCCTTAGCTAAACTTTATTACTCAGCTACTACTCTAGCAATACGCAAAAGGATAAAGGGTTATGGAGATTATGACAAGGGGTCTGGCTGAAACATTTTTTAAAACAATTATCCAGACCAAGCAGTTTTATTTTCCCAGCTCTTTGTAGCAAAAACAGTGAATGGTTTGTTCTAGAAATATTTTTGTCTGTTTCTCTGAAGCTTTTCCTATATGACTTAAAAGTTGTATTTAGATATCATTACTGCTTTTATGCCTACTATTAAAGAAATGCCTAATGCTTGGGTATCTTTTAATAACCCACATATTGTTTTACAGAATTGAAATCAATGAGCCACTGGGGAAGTGTTTCTCCAGGTAAAAGGATGCAAACTTCTGAGCTAGATAAATTACCCTGTGAGTTTAGCAGTAGAAAAAAATAGTGCTTTTAACAAGAGATGGTGGAGAGGAGAAACAAAGACCAAGGAAGGTCTCATAGCGACAGTGTATTCGAATTGGACCTGGAAGGTTGATGAGGTCTGCGTTATGTGGATGTTGAAGGCATGAGCTTGCGCACTACAGCAGAGCATAGGATCCATGAAGGGCTTCAATTGTCCACCATTCTTCTAAATGGCCTGCTCCTACGTTCTCCTTTGCTGCTTCTCCTCTTATTCCTTTCTACTTGTCCATTATGCTTAATTTATTCTAGCCTTTCTTTCAGTTCTTTGACGTGAAATTTTTCACCGTCTTTCTGCAATCCTCTTCTCCCAGGTCTTGATATGGTTGTCTCCTCTTCATTCAGGTCATCATTCTGCCTTCCCTGGCCATCCTAGCAAACTCTGCCTGGGCACCCTTGCCCTTTTGCCTTATGAAGTGTCCTCTATAGCACACATCACTAACTGAAAACAATCTTAGCTATTTTATTGCACATTTCTTATCAGCTCCATGAGGACTGAGCATTGTCTGCCTGTTCATATCTCTATCTTCAACACCTAGAACAACCTCTGTTGTAGAGTAAGTGTTCATTGATGGAATGAATTAGTGAAAGGAGAAAAAGGCAAGGACTAATGAGGATTGGGGTAGTTCGCTTTGCATACAGTTTAGTCTGGATACAAAAAAGGCTTGACAGCTGAGGTTGGAAAGTGAGATTGAGGCCTGATTTTGGCCACATTTTAGATGTGGATGAGTGAGCTTGGAAGCAAGGTTCAGCTGGCAGATGGAGTGTGGCACATGAAAACATACATGAAACACATAGGCAGGAGCCTAGGCAAAGCATGTAACAGTGAACCCATGCATGCTTTTGACTGCAGTAGCAACGTGATCAGAGCCATGCCTAGGGAAGATTAAAGTAGGGATAGTGTGTAGGATGGATCTTTGGGAGGAATAAGAGGAAGCGAGACTAATGGTAATAATAATGACAAATGGAAACCACAATTTACTGAGGGCTCATTGGATGCGAGGCCCATTTCTAGGCATGTTCATTATGCTATGTCAGCTGTCCTTGCAGCAAGTTCATGAGGTAGCTAATAGAGTTCCCACTCCACAGAAAAGAAAACTGAAGCACGAAGAGGCTAAGTAACTTGGTGACAGTCACACCACTAGAACAAGAAAACTGGGAGAAATCTGGGAAGAGTCTCGTTTGAAGGGTAGTATGATATTCATTTGTGCTTTCCACCAGATATTTCTGGCTGCCATCTTTCCAGGCATCCTCCAAGTGGGCTTAATCATGAGACTTGTGATGCCCAGTGGGATGTCAGTGAGAGTCATAGATGTCCCTTCCAGGTGGAAGCTTGGAGAACCAGCGTGTAATTCACCTGAGGTTTCTTTTCTTCTGCCACAGACACCAATAATATCCCGTGTGGCTGTTCTGGAGCCAAGGTCCTGAAGTATTTCATGCAAAGTAAAGACCTGTGACTGACCTATGGTATGGGTTGCTTTAAACCACGGAGATTTGACTGTTGTTGGTTCTTTTTTTTAAAATACAGCATAATCTGGCCTGCCTTGCTTTATCCAAGGAGTATCCCCACAGTGCTCTGTAGACAAGGGCAGGGTCTCTGCAATTGCCCTGAAAGAACAGCACCACAAAAGTGTTTACTTTCTCATAGAAACATTCTGGAAATTTTGCCACATCCTTTTATTTCTGCACCTTTACATGCCACCCTTCTTTTTGGAGCTTAAGCATAGAAGGTTGAATAAACCTCACTGCTTGATCATTATAATTCTCCTTGGTATTATCAAGACTGACCAATGCAAGGTTCTTCATGATTTTTCTCCTTCAACCTGATCCCAAAATATATTTATCCTTAAATATGCATGTGGCCCTGTAAAATATTTCTATGAGTATACATTTTTAATTTAGATAATCAGTATTATACTGTAATTCCTGTTCTACTTCTTAAGTCATTTTATTATGGTTTTTGCTCCACACGGGTCTCCCCATGTGGCTGTTGGCACATTTGGTGTGTTGCTTCTCATGGCTTCATTGTATCCCATGCTGGGTCATCTGCCACCTGTCACCTGGCCATGGCCCTAATGATGGGCACAAGGTTGTTATCCTCTCTCCTTTCCTACACAATGCCAGAATGAAATCCAACACACGCACCCCTTAGAAAATTTTGCAAGAATTGCTCTGGGATATGTAGGTGCAAGTGAAGTCATTGGGTCATAAGTTTGGGCATACTTAATTCTGCTAAATGCTATCAGATTGCCACATATTTCAAAATGACTGTATAAAGTGGTGCCAAGAGTACCAGTTCCCTCCGTGCTAATCAGTGCCTGCTTTTATCCACACTTGTAAAGTAATTTTGCCCAATTCTTTGCCTGTCACTTCCTTGGAGATAGCCCTGATGAGGAGCCTGTGAGCTGACTTAGTGCAGTGCTGACCTGGCCTGATGTCATGTCTTGGGCATGAGGCCTCTGCAAGGCACCTCTCCTGGACTGATAGGCTCAGCCCAGCAGGTGTCTCTGCACTGTAGAAGGGTCGCCCAGGGTTAACGACTGTGCTGCTTGTCATTGAAGCGCAGTGCCTGGTCTGGAGTGTAGTAGGCCCTCAGGAATATTTATGGCTTTGATGACTTTATCACAAGAGATTTGGTAATTTACCATTTCAGGACCCTACTAAATTGTTCAGTGTGACTGCTTGAGAGACAGTATGAAATTTCCCAAGATGCCGAAGTCCCTGGGTGACTTCCGCAATGGGAAGCTATACATTTGAATTATTCCAAGGACACTCTGCCTGGTCAGGATCTCTCTACCCGAAGCACTTGCCCCAAGCCTGGATTTATGTGATCATGTCTGATTTTGATGGTGAGAATCACTCACATCCCATTTTCTTCTCTCCTCCTTTTCTCAAGAGGATTTGAACCATAATCCCTCCTTACGTTACAAATGAGAAGTGAGCATATTTAGAAGTTTAGGTTATGAAACAAACTGCAGCAGCAAAACCCACAAAAGCAATCTGAGAGGAACAAGATATCAGGCTCTGGGCTCCCGAGGGGATGAGCCACCAGCGAGTGGTCAACCAGGCCTGCCCACTTCTCCTCCAGGAGAAGGGGAAGCATTTTTATGGCTCACCACAATTAAATGTAAAGACGCGTATTTCCCCAGCTAAAAAAAAAATTAGTGCCAACGCCAGGTAAATATTCTGGGAGGCTAATTAGTGCTGTGGTTGGCTTCCTCCCCACCTCTTCTGTACTCTGTCCTGCAGAGCTACTGGGTTATTTGCCCAGGTCCGCTGCGTTCACCAGCCTCCTCTTGGCATTTTCTTCTATATTTGTCAATGTCATCAGAATGATGCATCAATTAAAAAAAAAAAAAGCAAATCTGTGAGTGCAGTAAAGCCTTGATTGAGAGAAATGTGTGGGCAATGGAGTATTTTGATTAATTCCATGTTCTAGGTAACTGAGAGTTAAGTAACAGATCCTTTCCACTTCAATCCTTGTGACTGAAAATATTTTCAAAATGTACTGCTCCATTCTATCTTCATAAGCACAGAAGAGTGAATGCAGTGGAATCTTCCTTTGATGTTGGAAGGTCAGCAGTAATTCACGGCCATCATTTCTGACTGTCGATTATCAGATCATTCACTTAGATTTAGTAGATGTAGAAGCTGGGCTAGGTATAAATAAAACCCTCATAGACTCTAGGATTGAGATTTAGGAATAGATCTTTCCATTTCCTTTTTATAATTTGCCATCGATGGTATGAAGAGGGGTCTGGTTAATTGATGACCTTGATTAGTTGGATCCTAGGTATTAAAGTCTTGGTTTTCATGTGGACCCTTAGTGAACAGCTTTTGCTTTACTTTCTGATTTACTAGGATTGTTTTCCAGGCTCTTGTGTCTATAGAGTCATGTTCTTCTGTAGACAAGAAGACCTCACACAAATAGTGAATGTTATCCAGACAGTGTTCGGTATAATTTTTGTTCAATATAAATTTGGTTCATATTATACATGTAGGAGGAACGTTGGCTATTTAAACACTCATGATTTTTTTTAACTCCAATAACCTTAATTTACCAAAACATATAACAAAAACTTCTGTTTTGGAGGTAGTGTAGTATAATAGACCGGGTTTTGGCTTTGGAGTTAGACACAGCTCAGTGAAATTGCAGGTCTGCCATGGTTGTGTGGCCATGAGAAAATTAGTTAACCTCTCTAAACTTTGACTTCCTCAACTGAAAAAGAAAATAAAAATCCCTCCCTTATGGGGCCAGAGTGGAGATTAAATCAGAGAGTATGTGTAAGTGCCCAGTAGTGTGCCTAGTAGGTGATGAAGAAGAGTCAGGTCTTCCCCCATGACTTAAAAATAAATTGTATCATGTATTGTATCGACCAAAACCAAACACTCTTTCTATTTGTTTCAGAATTGTGACAGTGTCTACTCAGGCCATCCCTGCTGCAGGCTCCAATTTAGGGAGCAGTTCTCTACTAACCCACCTGGATTAGCACCATCGATTTAGAAGATGTGTGGCCTTCCCAAGATACCTGCTCACACCCCTCACCTGATTCTTTTCAACAACCTTGCAGACTGCTGCTCCAGAACCACCAACATGTGAGTTTTCAAGGCATTTTTACCCAAAAGTCATCTCACTGTTTTTATAAGTTACCTTCAACGTGGCAAAACTAATTTCAGTGTGATGTTAGAAACTGAAATCTGTGTTCACATACGTTAAAAGAAATAAGCAATGTAAATGATGACATTTTTCTTGCAGGTCTTTGAGACAAGCCCTTTTATTACAGGACTTATATTTATATCTGACTGCAGGGAGAAATGAGACCAAACCTTGCTTGATAAACAGGCTTTAAATTGGTATCCTCATACAAGTGCACAGGTCTTCATGCCTCAGCCCCTGCTCTGCAAACAGCAAGTTTAGGTGGAAGACAGAAAGGTTCTCTGAGGCTCTTCCTGCCTCTCTCCTTGGCCATCACCCAAAGCTAAGAGCACAGACACTGAATCCTAGTGCAGAGGGTTATTAACGGTGAGAAGAGAGTATTACTTAACTTTCTTGGTCTGTTAAAAGGAAATAAAAATACCTGCTTCGCAGGGTTGTGACATTTAAAGTAAATGTTTGCTTAATAGGCATATAGGAGGCCATCGAGAAATGGTAAGCATTTGCTGCAGGCACAGGGAGTAGACACAGGAAACAGACAATCAGTTGACCTTTAAAAACCTGTGCTTGAATTTGAGAGAATGTGGAGCAACTGGAATTCTCATGCACTGTTGGTGGGGTGTAAAATGGGATCAACATTTTGGAAAATTGTTTGGCAGTTTCTAATAAAGTTGACTATGATCCTACTCTCTGATCCAGCAATAGTACTCCTAGACATTTATCCAAGAGAAATGAGTATGTATGTCCTCAAAAAAGACATGTGCAAGAATATTCATGTATGCCTTTATTTATAACAGCTAAAAATTAAAACCAGACCAAATGTCCATTGACCGGTGAATGGATAGACAAATTATGCTATATCCACATAAAGGAATATGACTCAGGTATAAAGAAGAAGCAGTGTCTGAAACTTGCAGCAGTGTGAGTGAATCTCAAAAATATTATGTCAAACAACAGGTGCCAGAAACAAAAGCATTCATACTATATAACCCCAACGTTCAAGACTGTCGGTGCTACATGACAAAATAGTGGTTCTGGGAGGATGGAGAGGAGGCATTGAGAGGAAAGGGGACTGAAAGAAGTTTCTGGGGTGATGGGTATATCCTAAACATTGATCTGGGTGATGCTGCACAGATAGCTACAAACTCATCAAGCTGTCGGTTGGTAAGTGAACTTCATACTTGTCAATTACACCTTAAAGATAGACTTAAGATTCCCTTTGGAATCTTAATTTGAAGTTAAGCATTTCATGTCTCTCTGATATCAGATATATCCAGAAATTAAGCAGCTGTGATCATGTTTCCGTCCTGTCCCAGCATGGTGCTAGGCACTGTGATGGGACACACAAGGAATACAATAGTGTCACTTCCTTCAGGATTTTCCAATATGATTACACAAAGCTTCTGACTTGATGCTGGGATATATATTTTCAGGTGCATATTTTGTTCCAGCTGGTGTTTTGCCTAAGAACATTGGGAATTTGACATATATAACTCAGGGGAGCAGTAGCCAGAGACTCACCAGAGGGGACTTTTCTTTGTAAGGCAGTCCAATTGCAGACCCAATCCACCAGGGATGGCTGGGAGTCCTCACATCCTGAATCCTCCATCTGGGACTTGGATGGTTTTCCTAACACACCATTTCACTTTTTCTTCTGGCTTCAGAGAGTTTTAAAACATACTCATGAATTACTTACTTTTGTGGAACCTATTAAATTTGAAGTTTTTATCTTAGTAGAACCAGTAGATTAAAATTTGAGTAATTTCATGGTCTACAAAGACAGTGAAATGTTTACTTGAGTCAGTAAGGCATGCTATTATGTGTGTTCTTAAAGCAAAAGCATATTTATTATGAATGAGGAATTGCTATCTGTAGGCAGAATGCTGGTAGTGGAGAGGGTGCTGGTTACCCTGCCCTCCAAAAATGGGGCCATCAAACACTGCCCACATGCTCTGGGCCTCAGGGCAGAGATGAGTATTGACTTGGAGGACCTGGGTAATCTTTTAGGATCAAAATCATCCTGCATTGAATTTAGCATAACTTGTGTACAAATACCTCCCTCACAATTGCTCTCAGAAGGTAATGATTATTAACGACATCTACTATTTCTGAGTGACTACTGTGACTTGGGAAATGCATTGGTCACTTTATAGGCATTGTATTATTTAATCTTTACAACAGCTCTATGCAATTGAGCTCATTATTTTAGGGGCTAATATTTAGTCAACACTTAAGAAGTCCCAGGCATTTAATCCTTGCAACAATCTCATGAAGAGGGAACAATTGTCCTGTTCCCTTAGCTGATGAGAAATTTGAAGTTTAAAAGGCCATGCAACTTGACTGAAGGTCACACAGATGTGAGCTGTGGAGGCCTGACTAAAACTGAGTTCAGTCTAACACCGGCATCTGAGCTCTTCACCCCCCAACCCCGATCTCACAGACCAAGTTCATGTCACCATCAGTGACAGAAAAGAGGAGCCAAGTGGGGTTGGGCAGAGGCCAGTTACCTGGGGATGGGTATGGCAGGGGCTGGAGAAATCAGATGTAGCCACAGAGCCTGGGACTGGAGAAGGACAAAAGAAATTAGCTCAACAAGCTCAATGGCCATGTGTATGTGTGCATTCATGCATGCATTGTGCGCGCGTGTGTGTGTGCATGCATGCATTGTGCATGTGTGTGCATGTCTGTGTGTGCATACATATGTGTGTGTGTGTGTGCATGTGTGTCCATGTCTGCCTGTGTGCACACGTGCACTGCTTGTTTGGAGGTTATGACTGTGGAGGTGGTGATGTGCGTGGTGCTGGGGTGGAGAGGGCTCCACAGTTTCTGTCCTAATTTTGGAAATAGGTATTCTGTTTCCATGGTGGCTAGTGCCTCAGAGAAGAGTCTGGTGGTTTTCTTTCCTAGAGAATTAAAGTGCTTGGGGACAAAAACCAAAACCCGACTCTACGTCCCAAAATTGCACAGGAAATTTTTAACATGGCAATTTATTTTGAAATTTTAATAGTCTCTGCCTGGAATTATAAAACATTTCTGTGCATATCATTAATTTTCCCAAATGGAACTAGGAGGCCTGCATGGCAGCCCCTGTCACTGCCTGCCCAAGGTCCCCACTCCAGGCACTCCTAATGAACACGTAGGCATGGCACAGGACATGCTTGGCCTAGGGGTGTTCTCTGCCCTGAGCCTGCTCTGCCTGAGTGAGGGCTGGGCCACAGACTCAAGGCAGGCCACGCCCTCCAGGAGCAGCCCTCAACCAGTGGTTGACAGGAGTGACCCCTGGCCCTCTATAAGGAACACAGAGGCATGGTCTACTCTTTCCCCTAACTCTCCAGAGGGTGGCTGGTGGTCAAGAACTCAAACTTTATCTCTTTCCTTTCTTTCACTTTCTCATATCGCCAGTCCCCTACCAGGGCGTCTTAGGATCAACTCCCAAATAAACTTGCTGCCCTGGAATCCTGGTTGCAGTTTTCAGCTTCTGATAGAAAACAAACTAAGATAACATGCACTCAAGTCTTTGGGACTTGGCACCTGGATCAGCGGTTCCTTCTCACAGTGTGGGCACCAGCAGTGGGAGCTAGTTAGAAATGCACATTCTCAGGCCCCACTCCAGACCTCTGGAGTCAGAAACGCATGGCTGGGATCTGGCAACCTGTGTTTGAACAGCCCTCCAGATCATTCTGGTGCATCATAAATTTTTACCTGACTAGAGGTAAAATAACTATGTGTCTATTGCATGAATAAGAGTATGCAGGAAGGGACCGGGTGCGGTGGCTCACGCCTGTAATCCCAGCACTTTGGGAGGCCGAGACAGGCGGATCACGAGGTCAGGAGATCGAGACCATCCTGGCTAACACGATGAAACCCAATCTGTACTAAAAATACAAAAAATTAGCCTGGCGTGGTGAAGGGTGCCTGTAGTCCCAGCTACTCAGGAGGCTGAGGTAGGAGAATCACTGGAACCCGGGAGGCAGAACGTGCAGTGAGCCGAGATCACGCCACTGCACTCCAGCCTGGGCGACAGAGCGAGACTCCATCTCAAAAAAAAAAAAAAAAAAAAAAGAGAGAGAGTATGAAGGAAGGGAAGAGGAATCTGCCTTAGTCACTGACTGGTCTGAGAGAACCACACGCCTCAGAACCTTCCTGGAGGTGTCTGAAGAGTCTTTCAGGTTGGAGAAGATCGAGAAGTATCATAATCTGCCTCACGTAATGGCTTTTTCTGTGACTCAGCTGACCCCAGGCAAGCAGTGGAACTTCAATTCCAGATGATTGCATCGGAATGGTCAGTCTCTTTGACACTGCATTTTATTTAACAAGGTTTCATCTTTGCTTAGGATTCAGTGGCTGACAGTCAGCCTTGTGTTCCGTATTAATTATCTTTTGAGGATTTATGTTTTCTCTTGCCTAAACTAAGATCTTCCTTTGAGTCTAGAAGATGATGACTCTGCCATTCAACAGGCTTGACCATGGCTCGGTATTGGAAGTGATCACAGTGCAGGTGCTTCAGTGAGAGGCAGCAGGGGTGCCCTGCACATAGGAAGGAGGTTGTGCCGAGTCTGTGACTCATGATGAGTGCTCTTCGTGTCTCCCTGGCCCACCACCCATTGCTCCAACTTCTCTACCAGATATCGTTCCATCACATCCAGAAGAAGAGGTCAGGACAGATGGCCTGGCAGGTCTCAGAGTGGATGGACAGGATGGAAAGTAGAGCCCAGAAGTGACTGAGGTGTTGGAGAAAGAGATGAGGTAGGCAAGGCCATGAGGACATCAGCAGGTGGCGAGCCCTGAGCACTGCAATTCCTTGCCTGCTTTGCTCTCCCCTAGTAGAGGACTCCTCATTCAGAGCACTGTTCTAAAGCCAAAATCAGTGGAACCCACAAGGAGAGGTCACTCAGTGGAACCCACAGGCACAGGTCACTCAGCACACCAGGGTGCACACCTTGCAGAATGGGACGTTCAGACCTTGCCACCAAGTTGTGTAATGTTGGAGAGATCACTTTCCTCTCTGGACCTCAGAATTGAGACCAGCAGTTCTCATCATGTTTTTGCAGATCTGTGATTGTTTACTCCCACTAATTCTCTCCCACAGAAGTTTCTTTATGAGGTAGCAGGGCAGGGAGCTCCCTGTGCAGGCAGCAAAGCCAGCAACCCTGGGAAAGCTTGAGAATTGGGTGTGTGGCTGAACATGCTCTGAGGCCATCATGCTGGGATAGCCTCCTGATCCTGGGTCTTGTGTGTCTCATAGACATCAAGGTTTATTAATGACACAGCCTGCCTGGTGGAGAGTGGCTCTTCCAAACATCACTCCCTCTGGGACCAAGAGATCGAAGGACTCTCCTGATGCACAGACTCTTGCCCCTGCACTAATGGGATAATGGGATGGAGTATTTTGCCTTTGGCCTTCTGACTCCCAGGGCCCACATTTGTGCATCAGTAATGCTAATGGAAGCCATAGCTTGGGGAAGGGCCGCAAATCACCTAGGGTCAGTAACCTCACGCTTTGCCTCTTTATAAGTAAAAGCAAAGCAAATGCTAATAGATATTACAGGAGCTGGCTGAAGCCTAGACCTATTTTAGGGATATCCAAGGTTCTGTTTTAAATGGATGTCAGGGAGGGTCCCCCAAATCTTCAGAGGTAACTTCCGTGTATTGTTTCCTGGCCTTTCTTACAAGAAAGTGTGTCACTGCAAACTCTGTGATCTTCAGGAAGAAGCAACTTTGGAAATCTCAGGACTCCTAGACTGCTCTGTGTTAACCCGAGAACTTGCCTACTTTGGAATGACCAGGGCTGCTGGAGCCACTTCAGACATTTGTAATCACATCTCCCTTCAGACAGATTCAGAGCAGCATGGTGGGAGTCCGCATTTTTATTTCAAATGGCAACTTTTGCCACACTAACTGCCACCAACTCATGACTTTTTGCTTTGAAACCATTCTAAATTTTGAAGTCCTTTGCTCAGCTGCTTTGTTTGATCCAGTGTCTGTAGCTACAAATGTGTCTTTCTGATAAGACATTTTTTAAATTAAATTTATTTTATTTTATTTATTTTTATTTTATTTATTTATTTATTTATTTATTTATTTATTTGTTTGTTTATTTTGAGATGGAGTTTTGCTCTTGTTGCCCAGGCTGGAGTGCAACGGCACGATCTCGGCTCACTGCAACCTTCGCCTCCCGGGTTCAAGTGATTCTCCTGCCTCAGCCTCCCCAGTAGCTGGGATTACAGGCGTGCACCACTACACCCAGCTAATTTTTGTATTTTTAGTAGAGAACAGTTTTCACCATGTTGGCCAGGCTGGACTCGAACTCCTGACCTCAGGTGATGACCCGCCTCAGCATCCCAAAGGGGATTACAGACATGAGCCATTGCGCCTGGCCTGATAAGAAATTTGGGAAATAAATAATTGACATAAAACTGCTGTGGCCCGAAGAAGTGCAGCACACAAAAAAGGAGCGTGCCATTGCCTCTGTCTTCAAAGACAGGCAAAGCAGGGCCTTCCACTTGTTGAACAGAGCAGTATGCACAGTAATGTCATTGTATTCGCTTATCTATTATGTTTCAGGAAATTTCTTATGACAAAGGCTAAACGAGTTATTCTATTAATACCCTTCAGTCAGTGGAGTGCAGCCTACTGAGTCAGCCTGCCCAAGTTTAAGCCTTGCCCCACCACTTGGGACAAGATACTTACTCTTCCTGTGCTTCAATTTCCTCATTAAAAGTTATAATGTTTGAATTCATTGTGTTTAGAGCATGATAATATGAGAATTTCAAATTAGCGTGGGGAAACGATGCCAAAGGAAAATGGTCCCAGGATAATCAGTTAACTATTTACGTAAAATATTTTAGTGTGAAATGTAAATAAAAAGAAAAAAAATTAATAGACAAGTGAGTTAGAAGATAATTTAAATAAATGTTTGGAACATAAATATAACTTTTTTTGATAGACTTGAGATGTAAAAAATTAACAATTGAAAAACAAAATTGAATGCCAAATGATAAACAACAAAAAATGCTTTCAATATAAATGTATAACAAATAGATGCTATCCTTATAAAAAGAACTCTTAAAATCAGTATGAAAACAATGAACACTCCAATAGAAAACAGACAAAAGAACAGGAAATTCACAGTAGAAATGATGTTAATTAGCTTGTTTTAATCTTGCCACACTGTATACATTTATCAAAACATCACATTGTACCCCCAAAATATACATAATTGTGATTTTCCAATCAAAAATAATATTAAAAATACATTTTAAAATACATTTAAAATAAAACAACAAAATCTGTGACAACTATCAATTATGAAAAGCATCAGAAAAATGCATATAAAAATATTCAATTACAAAAAGAATCAGACAAATACAAATAAAAAATAAAAATGAGATTTCATTTTGTAATTATCCAATCTTCAATACTTACAAAAAGCAATAATAACATGATTTGGTAAAGGTTTGGAAAAATAGATATTCCCATACATGCCTGATAGGAGCATAAATTTAGTAAAGAAAATCTTCGGTTTCAATACAATTTCAACAAATATTTGAGCATTTATTATTATGTGCCCAGCACTGGGGATGTAGCAGTCAATAAGACTGTAAAGAATCCTGCACTTCTTGGAGCCTTCAATTCAGTTATGAGAGGTTGAAGGGAAGGAGGAAATATATATATAGAGAGAACAATTAGAACACGCTTAGTATATACTAGCTAATACCATAAAGATATAACATTAATATTCAAATTTCACAGGCTTAATAACCCCCACCTGGGTAGCTGTAGAACTTCAGGGAGAACCTCCATCCATACCCATCTCCTTTCAGCTTCTTCAGACTTCCCTCAGGTTCTTGAAGGGGCGTTCCCGGGAAATTACTCACATATTCAGAAAAAAAATTGTCAAAATCCTTTCATTCCTATCTCTTTGTTGTCCTCTCCTTCCCCTAAATTAGTTAAGTGGGGCTGCACTGGCCCCTCCAACAATAATCCTGCACTGCATTCTCTCTGATACCCTCAAAGCCATAAAACAGTTCCAGTGAAGATTCTGCTCTATTCAGGCCTTCTTTCCCCCAAAAGAGTCATGCCCTATTCTATAAAGAAATATGGACTATCAGATTTCTTCCCAGGGCCAACCCTACAGGAGTTACAGAAGCAAGAGGAAAGTATAAATTCCATGCACTTTTTAAAAGCGAGAACACCCTGAGGTGACTGAAGGTTGTGTTGAACTAATGTATGAGAGAGGCAGGTGGCTGGTGGCAGCAATGAGATGAAGGAAGGTGAAGGAAGAGTTTGGTTTCCACCTTCACTCCTTCCCTGAGTTGTCCTGAGACTAGCCTTGCTGCTCCTTCTCCAAGTCAACAGCAAAAGTCCAGGTCACTGGTACCAACAGGGTGCTGTCGGGGTGGCAAGTTGATGAAAAAACAGAAAATGGGGGAAAAATAATATCCATTACAACCCTCAGCTAAAATTCTAGATAATAGTAACTTGATAGGGAGAAGAGTGGAAAAGTGAGGGGGATCAAAAGGACAAGAGAGCTTGTCCAAATACTTACTAGTTAGTGGGAAGATAAATATATTGTTGGCTTTTTAAAAAATCAATACATGTAAATAATCATGAACAGTTTTAGGTTACAGACTGAACACATAAGGACAAGAAAGAAATGTTTAGCTTTTAAACCAGCAGAAGAAAATTCAATTTATCTAAAGAAAATAGATAGAAGAAGAAAACAAAAGCAAAATAGAGCAAATGTAAGTGAACATGAAATAGAATTGCAAAACCAATTTATAATATAATAGTAATCAATGCAGCCATAAAAAAGAATGAGATCATGCCCTTTGCAGGGACATGGATGAAGCTGGAAACCATCTTTCTCAGCAAACTAACACAGGAACAGAAAACCAAACACCGCATGTTCTCACTCATAAGTGGGAGTTGAACAATGAGAACACATGGACACAGGGAGGGAACATCACACACCGGGGCTTATTGCGGGGTGGGGACAAGGGGAGGGAGAGCATTACAACAAACACCTAATGCATGCATGGCTTAAAACCTAGATGACAGGGTGATAGGTGCAGCAAACTACCATGGCACATGTACACCAATGTAACAAAACTGCATGTTCTTTCTGCACATGTATCCTAGAATGAAAAGTATAATAAAAAAATAGTAATCAATAAATGTAAATGGGTTAAACTTGCATATTAAAAGATGGAAATCTTCGGATTTGACTTAACAAGAACAAAAGTTAGTAGTATATTGTCTGCAAGAGAATGTTTTAAAAGAAGACAGAGAAAGGATGGGAAAAGTTAAAAGAAGCAAATTTTAAGCAAAAGTAATCAATATCTGACAGATAATATAAATGAAAAACATGAAAGGGACTCAGAGGAGGTGTCTGGTAAGTCAGTTGAAAGAAGAAGAAGAAAATATAGAACTCATATGCACCCATATACCTAAATGCAGCCTTAAACTATATCAAGTAACACTGACAGAACATCAGGAAGAAATGGATAAAGCAACAATTTTATTTTTCAGTGTTACAGTAAAACTATGTAAAAATATAATAACCAAAAAATTCCATATGGTAAAAACATCAAGATTCAAGAAGCTCTAAGGAAATTCTCCAAATAAATACAAAAACATATCTCAGTTATAAGTGCTGAAAAACAAAAATCAAGAGAAAAATCTTTAAGTCATCTAGAGAAAAAAGATATATTATTCTCAGAAGAACAACATTAAAATCAACCCCTCACTTCTAACGGAAACCAAAAGAAGATGCAAGGTCATAATAAAGTATTGAAAGAAAATAGCTGGCTCTCTAGAATTCTATATTCAGTGAAAATGTCCTATCCATTTTTTTACAAAAAAAAATCCACAAAAGTTTTGAGCAGACCTTTCTCAAAAGAAGATACTTAAATGGTCAATAAGCACAAGAAAAAATGTTATACACCACAGATCACCAGGAAAATGAAAACTGAAACCATAATGAGATACCACTACATGCTGCCAAAATGGATAATTATATTTTTTAAATATCAAAATTAAGTGTGCTGAGGTTGCAGAGCAATTAAAACTTTCATTAATTTTGGTGAGAATATAGAATAATACAACCACTTTGGGTAAAGTTCTGACAGTTTATTTTTATAAAACTAACTAAACATAAATCCATGTTCCAGCCATTTCATGTCTAGGTTATTTACCCAAAAGAAATGAAAACATATGTTCACCCAAAGACTTGAACAAGGATGTTCATAGCAGCTTTATTCATAAAATCCAAAAAACTGGACATAGCTCAAGTGTCCACCAATAAGAGAAAAGAATAACAAATTCATAGAATGGAATACTGATTGACAATAAAAAGTCACTAATTTCTACTGATGCAAGACCATGGATGCATCTCAAAAAACATTATGCCAAGTGAAAAAAAGCTTTACACAAAAAAACTATATACTGTATGATTTCATTGTTATGATTTTTTTCACTGTGGATAAGCTTTGTCCATTTGGATGTTCCTATAAATGGACTTATCAACAGAATAATTGTTGACCTCTATTTAGGGATATAAATGCTCAAGTATTGGGAAAGTATACTGATGTCTACAATTTACTTTGAAATGCACCCAAAATGAGATAAATTAATAAACAGATACAGAGATAGATGAATAGATATGCAAACTTTTATTGGGTAAATAAAATGTAGAATAGTAGTGACAGGATCTAGGTGGGGGTTATATAAGTGTTAACTATACTTCTAAAAATTTTCTATATGTCTGGAAATTTTTATATTTATAATATTGAAAAACTACAATATGGTGAAGATTGCTTAACTTTACTAAAAGCTATAGGAGATTTTATTATTAAATGCAAAGACATTCCATGTTTTGTCATGGAATAATATAATATGAGGATGTAAATTCTCCCCCAAATTAATCTACAAATTAAATGTAATCTTAATAAAAATTCCGGTGTATTTTTTAACTCAATAATCTTAGATTAAATTTTCTATGGAAGAACAAATATCCAAGAGTAACTAACTCAACTTTGAAAAAGAAGAGTAAAGTGTGAGAATTTGTCTAGCAGATTTCTTAAGAGATTATAAAGCCACAGTAATAATAGCATGCAATATTGACGCAAGAACAGACAGACTGGCCAAAATGGGGAGCTTAGAGACAGATCCAGATAGGCCCATGGCTCCATCATAGATGGCAGTTGTAGCCTCGTAAATCCCCTGGGAAAGGATGAGTTGTTTAGTACAGCAGTCCCCAACCTTTTTGGCACCAGGGACCAGTTTCACGTAAGGCAATTTTTCCAGACTGGGAGTAGTGGGGGGATGGTTTCGGGATGATTCAAGCGCATTACATTTACTGTGCATTTTATTTCTATTATTATTACATTGTAATATATAACGAAACAATTATACAACCTACCCTAACATAGAATCAGTGAGAGCTCTGAGCTTGTTTTCCTGGGACTAGATGGTCCCATCTGGAGGTGATGGGAGACAGTGACAGATCATCAGGCATTAGATTCTCACAAGGAGCACACAACCTGGACCCCTCACATGTGCAGTTCACAATAGGGTTTGTTCTCCTAAGAGAATCTAATGCTACTGCTGATCTGATAGGAGGCAGAGCTCAGGTGGTAATGTGAGTGTTGGAGAGTGGCTATCAATACAGATGAAGCTTCACTTGCTCACCCACCGCTCACTTCCTGCTGTGTGGCCCAGTTCTTAACAGGCCACAGACCAGTACCAGCCCATGGCCCTGGCGGCTGGGGACCCCTTGTTTAGTGGATGGTGTTTGTGATGCTGGCTCACTAACTGGGGAAAAAGGAAGCCGAATTCCTCCCTGACATCATATACAAAATGAGTACTAGATACATTAGATGTGAAACGTAAAAGCTATAGTGTTATCAGAAGACAATGCAGAAGACTGTCTTTGTGACCTAAGGACAGGGAAGGACTTCTTAGAGAAGTTCAAACCTCGAACAAACACATTCAGGTCTCCATTTCCTACTTTTCTGCTTCTGCCCCAGTACCCTGTGATCACAACTTGTCTCCAATCATATCAGCTCATGAAAACAGATACTGGAGGGTTGGATGCCATCATGTCAGTAATCCCAGTTTATAATCAGCTAAACCACTCTGCCCTCATATATATATTTTATCTCTCTCTCTCTCTCTCTCTCTCTCTCTCTATATATATATATAAATGCATATGTGTGTGTATATATATATAGATATGGACACAGGGAGTCATATATATTTATATTTATATATGTAAGTATATTATATATAATATGTATATTTATTTATTACTTATATATGAATATAAATATATATAGAAATATATATGTGTGTGTATATATATACATTTAAAACCAGAATGTCAACATTGTATATGAAAATCATATTATCTTAAATTTTAAAAACACTGGAAGGACGAACACCATAATGTGAACAACAGATCTGTTTTGTTAATGGTAAGATTATGTGTTGTTTGGCTGGGCGAGTGGCTCACGCCTGCAATCCCAGCACTTTGGGAGGCCAAGGTAGGCAGATGACTTAAGCCCAGAAGTTCAAAACCAGGCTGGGCAATATAGTGAGACCTTGTATCTTATTTTTTTAAATAAGTTAAAAAATGATAATAATGAATAAATAAAAAGATTGTGTATTGTTTGATTTTGCTTGTGTGTTTTTATGTATCTAATAAATTTTTGGCAGTGATCAGATAGTACCTTTGTAATTATGAGGAAAAACTTACATCTCCAAATGGCCAGGTAAAATGGGGACATTACTTTGGGTGGGTGGGTGACAGCAGTGTCCTAAAGGAAAAGAGGAGGTGTTAACAGGCTGCACCCACACAAAATAAAATGCTGGGCTGCAAGTTCTTTTGTATTCGCCACACTCCTGAACATCACATTAAACACTCAATAAATGTGGATGGACTTGACTTGTTTGACCCTGAAATCACATCTACTAGGACTGCAAGAGCGCCTGCCTGGAAGTGTGTACTTTTATTTGTAAAGTCTAGCCGATACACCTGCATGCACAACACACACACGCTCCCTCCTCTGGATTCTGGACAGCCTGTGAATCTGTCCTGATGGTGCACTGATCACAAGGGTTACTGGGGCTCCTTTTTTCAGAAATATCTCATTCTGCCAGTTTGTCTGTACCTGGGAGTAGAAGGAGTTTAGTTCACTGAATTAAAAATATCCCTCTACTTGGATGATCTCTCTCCTTAAAAATATATATACATGTGTTTCTATAAAAAAAAATTAAATGTCAGTTGTTGATTTTCAACTCTACGATACTTATATTTTAAGAGATCCTTGTTATCAGATTTGAAATCTGACAAGTAACTTCTAAATCAATGATTATGTGGTTAATATTGGTATAAAATATGCACCATCTTAAAGATGAGGTCCATTAGCACTGGAGGTTAGATGAATGAAGATTAATCCATATACTGATGCCTTTTTTTTACATTATTGGCTTTGTTTTTAAGTTAGGATTGGTATCCTTATGAATCTGCCTTTTGGAAGTGGAATCTGAAGAGATGCTTTGTATATATGGAGAGGTATAGAGAACTAAAAGGGGCATTACCGGATTTGCAACGTTAGGATGCTTTTTGCAAGATAGAATATCTCTCTATATTAGTCAAGCATGTTTTTGGCATCTATTTTTAAACAAGCACTGTACCAGACTCTGGTGTTTCAGGAACAGCCACATCCTGTCTTCTTTTATCTTTTGCCTCCCTCTTCCTTTCCCTTCCTCGTTCCATCTCTCTCTTCTTCTATTTCTATCCTTCTGCAATTATTTAACCAAGAAACTTCCACATGCTTAGCAATCTGCTACCTATTTTATCTGTTTTGAAAATACAAAGAATGATTCTTCTCCTGCTTCCAGGAACATGGAATCTAGTTAAAGTGACTATGGTTCTGCGCACGCACATCAAAAGTTAGAATCTAATATAAGTGCAACATAAAAACTCTATGGCATTAGGTTACAAAATAGAACAGATGTTACGAGGTAGTAGGATAAAATAGAAATGAAATAGATGGCCTATAGACAGTGGGAGAATAGGGAGATCACTCAGCTGGAGAAAGCTTTCCACTGCCCTAGCCAGTTAAACAAGTGAACATCACAGAGCACCTGGTAAGAGACAGAAATGGTGTTTATGTGAAATGAATCACACTGATCCTTGGGCAAGCTTAGATCTCAGATGGAGTATGAATGGTGGTTACTTGGCGTGGTGGCAGTGAACAGGGAAGGCACGTGCTACAGCTGGGAAAAGAGCATGCCAATCTGACTGGGACACAAGCTCCTGCAGGGAAATGCTGGACAAAGGCAGGTTTGCCGTCTGCCTCCTTTGTCTTAGGGAATGCGAATTAGAAACTGGACAGGAGCCTAGAGGAGTGTGCTGGACAACTCATTTTCAATATTGCATCATGTTTAAGTATGCCAAACAATGTTCCCAGAGTGTTCATAACTAACTTTTTCCCTGAACCCAACTTACTTGGCTATCAGAATTAAGAGGAAAGAAAATTCTCAAGGGGTCTGTCTCGGGAGAATGATGCATCAGGCCAGGTCTTTTTCACTGAGTGGCTATTGGATTCACAATTTAAACAGTTCCAATCACAGAATCCATGTTTTAATTTAATAATATGCTTTGGAGCATTTTTCCATGTTGATATAAATTGAAAACAACAAGCAGCTTACAGTAAGTGTGGGACAATATATTTTCTCCATGTCTGTACCATAAGCCTTTTATTTTTTACTTTTTATTTATTTATTTTTTGAGACGAAGTCTCGCTCTGTCACCCAGGCTGGAGTGCAGTGGCATGATCTCAGCTCACTGCAACCTCTGCCTCCTGGTTTCAAGTGATTCTCCTGCCTCAGCCTCCCGAGTAGCTGGGATTACAGACATGTGCCACCATGCTCGGCTAATTTTTTGTATTTTCAGTAGAGACGGGGTTTCATCATATTGGTCAGGCTGGTCTTGAACTTCTGATCTCTTGATCCACCCGCCTTGGCCTCCCAAAGTGCTGGGATTACAGATGTCAGCCACCGTGCCCGGCCAAGCCTTTTATTCTAGAAAACCTAGGGTAACTTCTAGAAGGTGTTAAGCAACCACAACTATTTAAAGAAGCTTACTAAATAAAAAAAAAAAAAAGATGTGTCCTATCTGACCTATCTTAGTAATATAAAGCAGTCTTGCATTACATGTCTAATTGTCTTAATGAACTTTAGGCAGTCATATTAAAAGTATCTAGAGACTTAATTAGAATATTTTATGCTCTTTTTTTTTTTTTTTTTTTTGAGCTCTGTTGCCCAGGCTGGAGATGGCACGATCTTGGCTCACTGCAACCTCTGCCTTCCAGGTTCAAGCAATCCTCCTGACTCAGCCCCCCAATAGCTGGGATTACAGGCATGCGCCACCATGCCCAGCTAATTTTTGTATTTTTAGTTGAGACAGGGATTCACCATGTTGGCCAGTCTGGTCTCAAACTCCTGAACTCAGGTGATCCACCCACCTCAGCCTCCCAAAGTGCTGGGATTACAGGCGTGAACCACCACACCAGGCCCTAGAATATTTTATGCTTTTTAAGTAAACTGAAAATTCAAGCACAAAAATACTATTGGAAATGTTCAAGTAAGTTGCATAGAACCCACTGGATATCAGTAAGTGGCCTTCAAAGTGCATATGTAAGAAGGTATGACAGCTTCACAGAGACAGGAAAGCACCATGAACTTGTAATTAGACAGCAAGCTGAGACTGTCCTGATCTGCACTGACAAAACTTTCTACACACAGTTAAATTCCTTGGAATGGGAACAGCAAACACCTTACCCATGGAGGGTACTGCTGGTCAATCATGGCACTCTTTTTGCTGAGTCTGAAGGCAGCTTCAGAGGCCTTTTCAACACAGTGCTGCAGCATACAGTACCCACTGACAAGAGACAGAATCTATATGTCATTTCTGACACAGAGCCATACCTGCAATATACAGATAGTACATTGGCAGATTAAAGAATAAATAAAAGAACTAAATTAACCCTCTGAAAGATGGCACACTGAGTCTGGTGTTACTAGTGTCTTCATTCACACACCATCTACCAACTACCTGAAGAGGACCTACATGGTGCTGGGAATACAGAAATGAAGAAGAAAGACTGAGTATCCACACTCTTGAAGCTTACTTTCTAACATAAGAATTCTATTATTCTCAACATACGCATATAATTGCAAATGAAATAATGTCAATATTTAATAGTTAAGATGGTATGGAAGATGTGCTGATGGGGAATGAAGGAGTAGTAAGGAGAGTTTAACCTATTTGTAGGTCATTTTAGGTCAAGAATGGTCAAAAATCAGTGATTTCATACTGTTTAACACATTTTTTGAGAAAGCGGTCAATGTGGCAAACCAAATCCAGCAGCGCATCAAAAAGCTAATCCACCACAATCAAGCAGGCTTCATCACTTGGATACAAGGTTGGTTCAACATATGCAAATCAATAAATGTGGTTCATCATATAAACAGAAGTAAAGACAGAAACCACATGATTATCTCAATAGATGCAGAAAAGGCCTTAGATAATATTCAACATTCCTTAATGTTAAAAACTCTCAATAAACTAAGTATTGAAGGAACATACCTCAAAATAATAAGAGCCATATATGACAAACTCACAGCCAATATCATACGGAATGGGCAAAAGCTGGAAGCATTCCCCTTGAAAACCGGCACAAGACAAGGATGTCCTCTCTCACCACTCCTATTCAACATAGTATTAGAAATTCTGGCCAGGGCAATCAAGCAAGAGAAAGATGTAAAGGATTTCTAGCACTTTGGGAGGCTGAGGTGGGCGGATCACTTGAGGTCAGGAGTTCAAGACCAGCCTGGCCAACATGGTGAAACCTGTTCTCTACTAAAAATACAAAAATTAGCTGGGTGTGGTGGCGGGTGCCTGTTAATCCCAGCTACTCAGGAGGCTGAGGCAGGAGAATAGCTTGAATCTGGGAGGTGGAGGTTGCAGGGAGCCGAGGTCACACCACTGCACTCTAGCCTAGGCAACAGAGTGAGACTCTGCCTCTGCCCCCATCCCCCCAAAAAAATAAAAGTAAAGGGCATCCAAATAGGAGGAGAGGAAGTCAAATTATCTTTGTTTGCAGATGACATGATCCTATATCTAGAAAACCCCACTGTCTTGGTCCAAAAGCTTCTTAAGCTGATAAGCAACTTTAGCAAAGTCTTAGGATACAAAATCAATGCGCAAAAATAGCTGGCATTCCTATACACCAACAAGTCAAGCAGAGAGCCAAATCATGAATGAACTCCATTCACAGTGCTACAAAAAAGAATAAAATACCTAGGAATACAGCTAACAAGAGAAGCGAAGGATCTCTTCAAAAAGAACTATAAACCACTGCTCAGAAGAAATCATAGAGGACAGAAACAAATGGAAAAATATTCCATGTTCATGGATAGGAAGAATCAGTATCATGAAAATGGCCATACTACCCAAACTAATTTATAAATTCAATGCTATTCCCATTAAACTATCACTGATATTCTTCACAAAATTAGAGAAAACTATTTTAAAATTCAATGGAACCAAAAAAAAGAGCCAGAATAGCCAAGACATTTGTAAGCAAAAAGAACAAAGCTGGAGACATCATGCTACTGACTTCAAACTATACTGTAAGGCTACAGTAACCAAAACAGCATGGTATTGGTACAAGAACAGACATGCAGACCAATGGAACAAAATAGAGAACTCAGAAATAAGACTACACACCTACAAACATCTGATCTTCGACAAACCTGACAAAAACAAGCAATGGGGAAATGATTCCCTGTTTAATAAATGGTGCTAGTCAGTTCTCCCAGTACCATTTATCAAGCAGGGAATTCTTTGAAACTTATACCACATACAAAAATGAAGTCAAGATGGATTAAAGACTTAAATGTAAAACCCAAAACTGTAAAAACCCTAGAAGAAAATCTAGGCAATACCATTCAGGACACAGGTGTAGGCAAAGATTTCATGATGAAAACACCAAAAGCAAATGCAACAAAAACAAAAATTGGCAAATGGGATCTAATAAAACTAAAGTGTTTCTGCACAGCAAAAGAAACTATTGTCAGAGTGAACAGACAACCTACAGAATGGGAGAAAATGTTTGCAATCTATTTGTCTGACAAAGATCTAATAGCCAGAGTCTGCAAGGAACTTAAACAAATCTACAAGAAAAAACAACCCCATTAAAAAGTGGGCAAAGGATATGAATAGACAGGTCTCAGAAGAAGACATACATGCAGCCAACAAACATACGAAAAAAAAGCTCAACATCACTGATCATTAGAGAAATGCAAATAAGAACCACAGTAAGATATCCTCCCATGCCAGTCAGAATGGCGGTTAATAAAAAGTCAAAAAACAACAGATGCTGCCAAGGTAGCAGAGAAAAAGGAACACTTTTACACTGTTGGAAGGGTATAAATTAGTTCAACCATTATGGAAGACAGTGTGGCAATTCCTTAAAAACCTAGAGGCAGAAATACCATTTGACCCATTAATCCCATTAGTTGGTATATACCCAAAGGAATACACATCATATTATTATAAAGATACATGCACATATATGTTAATTGCAGCACTATTCACAATAGCAAAGACATAGAATCAACCTAAATGCCCATGAACAATAGACTGGATAAAGAAAATGTGGTACATATACACCAAGGAATACTATGCAGCCATAAAAAGGAATGAGATCATGTCCTTTGCAGGCACATGGATGGAATTGGAAGCCATCATCCTCAGCAAACTAATACAAGAACAGAAAACCAAACACCACAAGTTCTCACTTATAAGTGGGAGCTAAATAAATAGATGATAATGAGACCACATGGACACATGGAAGGGAACAACACACACAGGGCCTGTGGGGTGGGGGTGGGGGAGGGAGAGCATCAGGAAGAATAGCTGATGGATGCTGGGATTACTACTTTGGTGACAGGATGATCTATGCCACAAATCACCATGGCACATGTTTACCTATGTAACAAACCTGCACATCCTGCATATGTACCCCTGAAGTTAAATGTTGAAGAAAAAATAAAAAGAAAGTGGTCAGTGTTTACCCCTGTAAGGGGGTGACACTTGAACTAATTTTCTAACAATAAGAAGGCCTACAACATTCAGATTCAGGAAATACAGAGAACACCACAAAGATACTCCTCGAGAAGAGCAACTCCAAGACACATAATTGTCAGATTCACCAAAGTTGAAATGAAAGAAAAAATGTTAAGGGCAGCCAGAGAGAAAAGTCGGGTTACCCACAAAGGGAAGCCCATCAGACTAACAGCGGATCTCTTGGCAGAAACTCTACAAGCCAGAAGAGAGTGGGGGCCAATATTCAACATTCTTAAAGAAAAGAATTTTCAACCCAGAATTTCATATCCAGCCAAACTAAGCTTCATAAGTGAAGGAGAAATAAAATACTTTACAGACAAGCAAATGCTGAGAGATTTTGTCACCACCAGGCCTGCCCTAAAAGAGCTCCTGAAGGAAGCACTAAACATGGAAAGGAAAAACCAGTACCAGCCACTGCAAAATCATGCCAAAATGTAAAGACCATTGAGACTAGGAAGAAACTGCATCAACTAACGAGCAAAATAACCAGCTAACATCATAATGACAGGATCAAATTCACACATAACAATATTAACTTTAAATGTAAGTGCACTAAATGCTCCAATTAAAAGACACAGACTGGCAAATTGGATAAAGAGTCAAGACCCATCAGTGTGCTCTATTCAGGAAACTCATCTCACATGCAGAGACACACATAGGCTCAAAATAAAAGGATGGAGGAAGATTTACCAAGCCAATGGAAAACAAAAAAAGGCAGGGGTTGCAATCCTAGTCTCTGATAAAACAGACTTTAAACCAACAAAGATCAAAAGAGACAAAGAAGGCCATTACATAATGGTAAAGGGATCAATTCAACAAGAAGAGCTAACTATCCTAAATATATATGCACCCAATACAGGAGCACCCAGATTCATAAAGCAAATCCTGAGTGACCTACAAAGAGACTTAGACTCCCACACATTAATAATGGGAGACTTTAACACCCCACTGTCAACATTAGACAGATCAACGAGACAGAAAGTCAACAAGGATACCCAGGAATTGAACTCAGCTCTGCACCAAGCAGACCTAATAGACATCTACAGAACTCTTCACCCCAAATCAACGGAATACACATTTTTTTCAGCACCACACCACACCTATTCCAAAATTGACCACATACTTGGAAGTAAAGCTCTCCTCAGCAAATGTAAAAGAACAGAAATTATAACAAACTATATCTCTGATGGTAGTTTGTATTTCTGTGGGATCGGTGGTGATATCCCCTTTATCATTTTTTATTGTGTCTATTTGATTCTTCTCTCTTTTTTTCTTTATTAGTCTTGCTAGCGGTCTATCAATTTTGTTGATCCTTTCAAAAAACCAGCTCCTGGATTCATTGATTTTTTGAAGGGTTTTTTGTGTCTCTATTTCCTTCAGTTCTGCTCTGATTTTAGTTATTTCTTGCCTTCTGCTAGCTTTTGAATGTGTTTGCTCTTGCTTTTCTAGTTCTTTTAATTGTGATGTTAGGGTGTCAATTTTGGATCTTTCCTGCTTTCTCTTGTAGGCATTTAGTGCTATAAATTTCCCTCTACACACTGCTTTGAATGCGTCCCAGAGATTCTGGTATGTGGTGTCTTTGTTCTCGTTGGTTTCAAAGAACATCTTTATTTCTGCCTTCATTTCGTTATGTACCCAGTAGTCATTCAGGAGCAGGTTGTTCAGTTTCCATGTAGTTGAGCGGCTTTGAGTGAGATTCTTAATCCTGAGTTCTAGTTTGATTGCACTGTGGTCTGAGAGATAGTTTGTTATAATTTCTGTTCTTTTACATTTGCTGAGGAGAGCTTTACTTCCAAGTATGTGGTCAATTTTGGAATAGGTGTGGTGTGGTGCTGAAAAAAATGTATATTCTGTTGATTTGGGGTGGAGAGTTCTGTAGATGTCTATTAGGTCTGCTTGGTGCAGAGCTGAGTTCAATTCCTGGGTATCCTTGTTGACTTTCTGTCTCGTTGATCTGTCTAATGTTGACAGTGGGGTGTTAAAGTCTCCCATTATTAATGTGTGGGAGTCTAAGTCTCTTTGTAGGTCACTGAGGACTTGCTTTATGAATCTGGGTGCTCCTGTGTTGGGTGCATAAATATTTAGGATAGTTAGCTCCTCTTGTTGAATTGATCCCTTTACCATTATGTAATGGCCTTCTTTGTCTCTTTTGATCCTTGTTGGTTTAAAGTCTGTTTTATCAGAGACTAGGATTGCAACCCCTGCCTTTTTTTGTTTTCCATTGGCTTGGTAGATCTTCCTCCATCCTTTTATTTTGAGCCTATGTGTGTCTCTGCACGTGAGATGGGTTTCCTGAATACAGCACACTGATGGGTCTTGACTCTTTATCCAACTTGCCAGTCTGTGTCTTTTAATTGCAGAATTTAGTCCATTTATATTTAAAGTTAATATTGTTATGTGTGAATTTGATCCTGTCATTATGATGTTAGCTGGTGATTTTGCTCATTAGTTGATGCAGTTTCTTCCTAGTCTCAATGGTCTTTACATTTTGGCATGATTTTGCAGCAGCTGGTACCGGTTGTTCCTTTCCATGTTTAGCGCTTCCTTCAGGAGCTCTTTTAGGGCAGGCCTGGTGGTGACAAAATCTCTCAGCATTTGCTTGTCTATAAAGTATTTTATTTCTCCTTCACTTATGAAGCTTAGTTTGGCTGGATATGAAATTCTGGGTTGAAAATTCTTTTCTTTAAGAACGTTGAATATTGGCCCCCACTCTCTTCTGGCTTGTAGGGTTTCTGCTGAGAGATCCGCTGTTAGTCTGATGGGCTTTCCTTTGAGGGTAACCCGACCTTTCTCTCTGGCTGCCCTTAACATTTTTTCCTTCATTTCAACTTTGGTGAATCTGACAATTATGTGTCTTGGAGTTGCTCTTCTCAAGGAGTATCTTTGTGGCGTTCTCTGTATTTCCTGAATCTGAACGTTGGCCTGCCTTGCTAGATTGGGGAAGTTCTCCTGGATAATATCCTGCAGAGTGTTTTCCAACTTGGTTCCATTCTCCACATCACTTTCAGGTACACCAATCAGACGTAGATTTGGTCTTTTCACATAGTCCCATATTTCTTGGAGGCTTTGCTCATTTCTTTTTATTCTTTTTTCTCTAAACTTCCCTTCTCGCTTCATTTCATTCATTTCATCTTCCATTGCTGATACCCTTTCTTCCAGTTGATCGCATCGGCTCCTGAGGCTTCTGCATTCTTCACGTAGTTCTCGAGCCTTGGTTTTCAGCTCCATCAGCTCCTTTAAGCACTTCTCTGTATTGGTTATTCTAGTTATACATTCTTCTAAATTTTTTTCAAAGTTTTCAACTTCTTTGCCTTTGGTTTGAATGTCCTCCCGTAGCTCAGAGTAATTTGATCGTCTGAAGCCTTCTTCTCTCAGCTCGTCAAAATCATTCTCCATCCAGCTTTGTTCTGTTGCTGGTGAGGAACTGCGTTCCTTTGGAGGAGGAGAGGCGCTCTGCGTTTTAGAGTTTCCAGTTTTTCTGTTCTGTTTTTTCCCCATCTTTGTGGTTTTATCTACTTTTGGTCTTTGATGATGGTGCTGTACAGATGGGTTTTCGGTGTAGATGTCCTTTCTGGTTGTTAGTTTTCCTTCTAACAGACAGGACCCTCAGCTGCAGGTCTGTTGGAATACCCTGCCGTGTGAGGTGTCAGTGTGCCCCTGCTGGGGGGTGCCTCCCAGTTAGGCTGCTCGGGGGTCAGGGGTCAGGGACCCACTTGAGGAGGCAGTCTGCCCATTCTCAGATCTCCAGCTGCGTGCTGGGAGAACCACTGCTCTCTTCAAAGCTGTCAGACAGGGACACTTAAGTCTGCAGAGGTTACTGCTGTCTTTTTGTTTGTCTGTGCCCTGCCCCCAGAGGTGGAGCCTACAGAGGCAGGCAGGCCTCCTTGAGCTGTGGTGGGCTCCACCCAGTTCGAGCTTCCCGGCTGCTTTGTTTACCTAAGCAAGCCTGGGCAATGGCGGGCGCCCCTCCCCCAGCCTCGTTGCCGCCTTGCAGTTTGATCTTAGACTGCTGTGCTAGCAATCAGCGAGACTCCGTGGGCGTAGGACCCTCTGAGCCAGGCGTGGGATATAGTCTCGTGGTGCGCCGTTTCTTAAGCCGGTCTGAAAAGCGCAATATTCGGGTGGGAGTGACCCGATTTTCCAGGTGCGTCCGTCACCCCTTTCTTTGACTCGGAAAGGGAACTCCCTGACCCCTTGCGCTTCCCAGGTGAGGCAATGCCTCGCCCTGCTTCGGCTCACGCACGGTGCACGCACCCACTGGCCTGCGCCCACTGTCTGGCACTCCCTAGTGAGATGAACCCGGTACCTCAGATGGAAATGCAGAAATCACCCGTCTTCTGCGTCGCTCACGCTGGGAGCTGTAGACCGGAGCTGTTCCTATTCGGCCATCTTGGCTCCTCCCCAACAAACTATATCTCAGACCACAGTGCAATCAAACTAGAACTCAGGATTAAGAATCTCACTCAAAACCATTCAACTACATGGAAACTGAACAACCTGCTCCTGAATGACTACTGGGTACATAACGAAATGAAGGTAGAAATAAAGATGTTCTTTGAAACCAACGAGAACAAAGACACAACATACCAGAATCTCTGGGACGCATTCAATGCAGTGTGTAGAGGGAAATTTATAGCACTGAATGCCCACAAGAGAAAGCAGGAAAGATCCAAAATTGACACCCTAACATCACAATTAAAAGAACTAGAAAAGCAAGAACAAACACATTCAAAAGGTAGCAGAAGGCAAGAAATAACTAAAATCAGAGCAGAACTGAAGGAAATAGAGACACAAAAAACCCTTCAAAAAATTAATGAATCCAGGAACTGGTTTTTTGAAAGGATCAACAAAATTGATAGACCGCTAGCAAGACTAATAAAGAAAAAAAGAGATAAGAATCAAATAGACTCAATAAAAAATGATAAAGGGGATATCACCACTGATCCCACAAAATACAAACTACCATCAGAGAATACTACAAACACCTCTACGCAAATAAACTAGAAAATCTAGAAGAAATGGATAAATTCCTCGACACATACACTCTCCCAAGACTAAACCAGGAAGAAGTTGAATCTCTGAATAGACCGATAACAGGAGCTGAAATTGTGGCAATAATCAATAGCTTACCAACCAAAAAGAGTCCAGGACCAGATGGATTCACAGCCGAATTCTACCAGAGGTACAAGGAGGAACTGGTACGATTCCTTCTGAAACTATTCCAATCAATAGAAAAAGAGGGAATCCTCCCTAATTCATTTTATGAGGCCAGCATCCTCCTGATACCAAAGCCAGGCAGAGACACAACCAAAAAAAGAGAATTTTAGACCAATATCCTTGATGAACATTGATGCAAAAATCCTCAATAAAATACTGGCAAAACGAATCCAGCAGCACATCAAAAATCTTATCAACCATGATCAAGTGGGCTTCATCCCTGGGATGCAAGGCTGGTTCAATATACACAAATCAATAAATGTAATCCAGCATATAAACAGAACCAAAGACAAAAACCACATGATTATCTCAATAGATGCAGAAAAGGCCTTTGACAAAATTCAACAACCCTTCATGCTAGAAACTCTCAATAAATTAGGTATTGATGGGACGTATTTCAAAATAATAAGAGCTATCTATGACAAACCCACAGCCAATATCATACTGAATGGGCAAAAACTGGAAGCATTCCCTTTGAAAACTGGCACAAGACAGGGATGCCCTCTCTCACCACTCCTATTCAACATAGTGTTGGAAGTTCTGGCCAGGGCAATTAGGCAGGAGAAGGAAATAAAGGGTATTCGACTAGGAAAAGAGGAAGTCAAATTGTCCCTGTTTGCAGACGACATGATTGTATATCTAGAAAACCCCATTGTCTCAGCCCAAAATCTCCTTAAGTTGATAAGCAATTTCAGCAAAGTCTCAGGATACAAAATCAATGTACAAAAATCACAAGCATTCTTATACACCAACAACAGACAAACAGAGAGCCAAATCATGAGTGAACTCCCATTCACAATTGCTTCAAACAGAATAAAATACCTAGAAATCCAACTTACAAGGGACGTGAAGGACCTCTTCAAGGAGAACTACAAACCACTGCTCAAGGAAATAAAAGAGGATACAAACCAATGGAAGAACATTCCATGCCCATGGGTAGGAAGAATCAATATCATGAAAATGGCCAGACTGCCCAAGGTAATTTACAGATTCAATGCCATCCCCATCAAGCTACCAATGACTTTCTTCACAGAATTGGAAAAAACTACTTTAAAGTTCATATGGAACCATAAAAGAGCCTGCATCTCCAAGTCAATCCTAAGCCAAAAGAACAAAGCTGGAGACATCACACTACCTGACTTCAAACTATACTACAAGGCTACAGTAACCAAAACAGCATGGTACTGGTACCAAAACAGAGATATAGATCAATGGAACAGAACACAGCCCTCAGAAATAACGCCACATATCTACAACTATCTGATCTTTGACAAACCTGAGAAAAACAAGCATTAGGGAAAGGATTCCCTATTTAATAAATGGTGCTGGGAAAACTGGCTAGCCATATGTAGAAAGCTGACAGTGGATCCCTTCCTTACACCTTATACAAAAATCAATTCAAGATGGATTAAAGACTTAAACGTTAGACCTAAAACCATAAAAACTCTAGAAGAAAACCTAGGCATTACCATTCAGGACATAGGCATGGGCAAGGACTTCATGTCTAAAACACCAAAAGCAATGGCAACAAAAGCCAAAATTGACAAATGGGATCTAATTAAACTAAAGAGCTTCTGCACAGCAAAAGAAACTACCACCAGAGTGAACAGGCCACCTACAAAATGGGAGAAAATTTTCACAACCTACTCATCTGACAAAGGGCTAATATCCAGAATCTACAATGAACTCAAACAAATTTACAAGAAAAAAACAAACAACCCCATCAAAAAGTGGGCGAAGGACATGAACAGACACTTCTCAAAAGAAGACATTTATGCAGCCAAAAAACACATGAAAAAATGCTCACCATCACTGGCCATCAGAGAAATGCAAATCAAAACCACAATGAGATACCATCTCACACCAGTTAGAATGGCAATCATTAAAAAGTCAGGAAACAACAGGTGCTGGAGAGGATGTGGAGAAATAGGAACACTTTTACACTGTTGGTGGGACTGTAAACTAGTTCAACCCTTGTGGAAGTCAGTGTGGCAATTCCTCAGGGATCTAGAACTAGAAATACCATTTGACCCAGCCATCCCATTACTGGGTATATACCCAAAGGACTATAAATCATGCTGCTATAAAGACACATGCACACGTATGTTTATTGCGGCATTATTCACGATAGCAAAGACTTGGAACCAACCCAAATGTCCAACAATGATAGACTGGATTAAGAAAATGTGGCACATATACACCATGGAATACTATGCAGCCATAAAAAATGATGAGTTCATGTCCTTTGTAGGGACATGGATGAAATTGGAAATCATCATTCTCAGTAAACTATTGCAAGAACAAAAAACCAAACACCGCATATTCTCACTCATAGGTGGGAATTGAACAATGAGAACACATGGACACAGGAAGGGGAACATCACACTCTGGGGACTGTTGTGGGGTGGGGGGAGCGGGGAGGGATAGCATTGGGAGATATACCTAATGCTAGATGACAAGTTAGTGGGTGCAGCGCACCAGCATGGCACATGTATACATATGTAACTAACTTGCACATTGTGCACATGTACCCTAAAACTTAAAGTATAATAATAATAATAATAATAAAAAGAAAAAAAAGAAAAAAAAAAAGAAGGCCTAGGCATGTAAAACGACCCAAAATAGAGTAATCTAGGCAAGAGAAGTGTGGAGATGATGAGGCAGGAATACGCAGCATTGAGAGGTAGATGGGCCAAATGACTGAGTTACAGAGTACCAAAGAGAGCTGAGTAGGAGACACAGCTGACTAGATGGATAGAGGCAAGGCCTCTGCAGTTGTGATGGTTAATACTGAGTGTCAACTTGATTGGATTGAAGGATACAAAGTATTGATCCTGGGTGTGTCTGTGTAGGTGTTGCCAAAAGAGTTTTACATTTGAATCAGTGGGCTGGGGAAGGCAGATCCACCCTTATTCTGGTGGGTACAATCTAACAACCTTCCAGTGAATATAAAGCAGGCAGAAAAACGAGAAAAGGAGAGATGGGCCTAGCCTCCCAGCCTACATCTTTCTCCTGTGTTGGATGCTTCCTCTCCTTGAACATTGGACTCTAAGTTCTTCAGTTTTGGCACTCGGACTGGCTCTTCTTGCTCCTCAGCTTGCAGACAGCCCATTTTGGGACCTTGTGATCCTATAAGTTAATACTTAATAGACTCCCCTTTATATATAATATATGTATACATCCTATTAGTTCTGTTCCTCTAAGAAAACCCTGACTAATATAGCAGTCTTAGGTAAGGGGTATGAACTTCCTTTTAGGTACATTGGATGTTTTAAATGAGAGAGTCATAGGATCTGATAAAAAAATTATTAAAGATGGCCCTGGCTGCTGTATGAGGAATAGATTTAAAAAAGCATGGAAGCAGGAAGATGGTTCAGAAAAGTACTGAAGAATTCCAGGCCAGGGATGACAGTGGCTCGAACTAGGAAGGCAATGGAGAGGCAGGTAAGGCTGGCTGGATTCAAGGTACATTTTGACAATAGAGCTGACCAGCCTCATGATAGTAACAATAAAAATTATAATAGGAATAAGCATAAGCAAAACCCATAAACAAGTATTTTTCATCAAATACTTGATATATGCCAGGTCTGTTGCTAAGCATTTTGCATATATTTATTTTAATTTATCCAAAAATCCTATAAAGTAGTTAACTATTATTAGCTATACTCTGCAGTTGAGGAAACAACTCAGAAAAATTAAGTATCTTCTCCAAAAACATATGGTAACTAAGCGATGAAACTGGAATTCAGCATAAATGTGTGTGATCAAAAGCAGAAGTTCTAGACTATTCTAAGTCCTCAGCATCAAATCAGAAGTCTATGAGGTGTTTATCATATGTAACAAACACATAAATGGGGAGAATGAAGTCAGATAAATTTTCATAGAAGGCACTCCAGAAGTGAAGAAGGGTTGGAGGGAAGGACAGTAGCGTCGGGAACTAAAACAAGAGCTTTAGCAAAGTCCTCCTTCATTCCACCAGCTAATGAGAATGGAACCCTGAAGCAAGTGTGGTTCATGAAGCTTACAGCCTTTGATCTGCTAGTTCCTGGTTCAGTGATACCTAACTAAGCATCAAGATGTTTCTTTTCTTCATCAACTCTTTCCCACCCTATAAATGTGCATTGATTTGCTAATCAAGCAAACATATACTACATTCAGATACAGCCTCTTACCCTACCATCTACTGACCCATTTTCTATAAGACTTAAACTTACCCAGACATGAAATTTAGTCTCTTCCCTACTTTCATCAGAGTTGGCAGGAAAGCATACTAAAATTTAAAGGAAGACCACAATTACCACCAACAACATGCTGTAATATATCCCATTGATTTGCCTTCAATCTCTTTTTGCCCCTGTACACTTCCAGGGGGTTGGATCCAGGCTTATTCTGGGTGAGCATGCTCCTTTATTCAACAGGAGGAATATGTTGAATTTAAGAGAGTTTACAACAAGAGATATAAACAAGAAAAAAGATCACTTGAAATAGGTAGCATAGTTGCAGTGTTTAGTGGAACCAAGTTATCAAAGAGAACAGTTACTTTTGCATAAAAAAAGAACAAAAAAGGAAAGGCTCTTCTTTATCAGAGGCTTTAGGCCTCCTAATGGGTGGCAGGGCTACAGACGGTGAAAGATGCTGAAAACACAGCGGTGGCTGAATATGCAAGAAGCCCAGAGCTGCCCACAGTGCAGAGAGGACTGCAAGACCCTCTCCCTGCCTTCTCTGTAGTAGTTTCATCTTTGGATTTAAAGGACATGTTATAGTCAGTTCTTAATCCATAACTGGCTTATCTCCTGTATGAGTGAGCTACTGTCACCTGCTTTGCACTATTCAGGAGCTGACAGTAGGACCTGCCTTGGAGGGGAGACTAAGTGGAGCTGGGGTTAGTACCTGAGCATATGCACATGGCTGTATCCCATAGTCTACGAGTAATGTATCAGGCTATCTCCTTGAGTAATAGATGCCTTTGTCCTTCAAGAAGAGTGGCATTCAGCAGTGATATTTACATATAACTGAATATAGTCCTTCTTTTAACATTTATTTGCAAACCTAGTGCCACTCTGTTGGGATTAGAGAGAACTGTTTTGTTAAATTGCTCCTCTGTTGGTGTTTCCGATAAATCTGACTTCATATGAAAAATAATGTGATCACCAAACTATCTTCCCATCAAGACTCCAGGTTCCATGCCAGTTTTACATGTTCACATCAGACAGCAAAATTAATTAACTCACAGCATTCAGAGGTCTGGGAACTTGATGAGTCAAGGGTCACGGAGAACTCAAGAAAACCTTGATTATAATGAAATGTTAACAGCTAGAGATACATCTGAACAGGAAAGATCAATGTGACACTGCAGAGGCTCATTCTCTAATTGCCTAGTGGAGCAGCAAAATGCTCCATAAATGAAAGTGGCAGCACACAGACATGATACTGGGAATGTTGCTTCTAAAAGCAACCGGAAGGTGCAAGGCAACAGAGGCTGTTAAGCAACATGGGTTTTTACCTCTGTCCTATTGCTGACCGAGGCACTTGGGCAAGGCACTTATCCACTCAGCATGAGCTTCTTCATGTATAGGAACATGCATAAGTCAATCTAGTGATATGCAACCATCAATTACAATCACACTGCAGCAAGTCATTGACCTTTATATGCTAGGTTGTAGGAGCTTGTGAAGAATGCGGCTTCTTTTTCAGTTGTCTGTGATTTTTATAAAACCAAAAAGAACATTTTAGTCTGAATCATCAAAGGATGTGCCTTCCCTCAATTGAGAAAGAATTGCAATGGAGGTGGCACCATAACATTAATCCCAAATAAAGCCTCTTCATGCATGTAATCGAGACCAATTTGCCCCCTACTTTTGTAATGATGGGGGAGAGGGCTGCAGTGAGATTAGCTGTAGCAAATGATTCCTGAATAAACCTAGGTACCCACTTATAGCCCTGGAGTCAGCTCTGATGTGTAGTGACAGAAATTCACGAGGCTTACGGTAAACATCTGCTGCTTCTAATGGAAACATCTTATTTTCATAACAATGCTCAGCTTATTGCAAAGTCTCTGAATAAAATGGACCATTCTAATAAAGCTTGCTAGGTGGCTCTGCACAGCAGCCCCGCAGAAGCTCCACAGGACTCAGTTCTAGATGGAATGCTATATGCTCAGTCAGGGTAGGCTAACTGCTGAAATAAGTGACCCTCAGACCTCAGTGGCTTTGCCCACAAAGGGCCTCTTGCTAACTCCCCTCAAAGCATTTCATTAGTTGGGTCTTGTGATGCTCCGTTAGAGGATCCAGCCTCCTTTCCTCTCATGGCTCCACCATCTCCTAGGACAGGGCTTCTCAAACTCAGTCCTACTGGGCTGGATGATTCTTTGTTGTGAGGGGCTGTCCTGTGGATTGTAGAATGTTTAGCAGCACCTCTGGGCTCCACTCACTGGGTGCCAGTAACACCTCTTAGTTATGACAACCAGAAATGTCTCCAGACATTGTCAAATGTCATTTGAAGGTCAAAAGCACCTCCTGAACTCCTCTGCCATGGGTTAACAGCCATTGCCCTAGGACTTGGGTGTCCTCCACTGAGACCTCTATATTTGGGCAGCAAATAAAGGAAAAGAGAGAAGGCACATCCACTCACAGATGCCTCAGCTCTGCAGTGACACACCCTGTGGGCTCACATTTCGCTGATGAGAAACTCTTCACCTGCCCTCACCTAGAATCAAGGAGGCTGGGAAATGTATTCCAGCTGAATGCTCAGGAAGAAAAGGAGAGCTGAAATCTGATGGGTGCTAGCTGTCTCTGCCACAGACCATACACAAGCAAGAAATGCAGACACCGAATAGGCATATGGGACAGGGAGAAGGTTATTAACAAGCAAGTCTCCAGGTTTTCTGGGCACCATGATCTTTGTTCATTCCATTCCTTCCCTCCCCATCCCTTTCTTTTTAAAAAATAAATTGTATTATGTACATTTAAGGTATACAACATGATGTTATGGGATATGTATAAATAGTAAAATGGTTACTGTAGTAAAACAAATGATCATATTTATCATCTCACATAGTGACCCTTTTTTGCTTTTGTGGCAAGAGCAGTTAAAATCTGCTCATTTAGCGTGAACCCCAAATATGGTACAATTCTATCAGGTGTAGTCCTCACGTTATATATTAAATCTCCAGACTTGTTCATCCTACATATCAGCTACTTTGTATCCTCTGACCTGTATCTATCCATTTCCACTCCACCCATCCTGTCTCTGGTAACCACCGTTTTGTTCTCTCTCTCTGTATATTTGTTTTTTTTTTTTTTTAGATTCCACGTATGAGTGAGATCATTCAATATTTTTCTTTGGGTATGGCTTATTTCACTTAGCATAGTGTCCTCCAGATTCATCCATGTTGTGACAAATGGAAATATTTTGTTCTTTTTTAGAGCAGATTTATTCTGTTGTATATATATACATACCACGGTTTCTTTATCCAGTCATTCCTCAATGGACAGTTAGCTTGTTTCCATCTCTTAGCTATCATGAATAATGCTGCGGTAAACATGGGAGTGCAGGTATCTTTACAAGGTGATGATTTCATCTCCTTTGGGAGATGAAAGGGATTGCTGAGTCATACAGTAATCTCATTTTTAATTTCTTTAGGAACCTCCTCATTAGTATAGTGGTAAGTAACCCTGCCTGTCCCCATCCTTTTCAAGAAGGGTTCCCTCTCAGCCAACTGGTTTCTTCATCCTTCTAGATGCAGAATTAAGGGACAAGAAAAGAGGTTAAAAGGAGAAATAGGCAATCTAGGGCTGTGGAAGAAGTTTTAGGTTAAGCAGCTTTTCAGAAACTATGAGGGAGAAAGAGTTGGAAGTACCATGGAATGTGAAGAAAATAGATGTGAGAGAAAGAAAAAGGAATTTTACAACGTGATCACTTCATGATATTTGAGAAAAACAAATGTAATTCATGTTGAAATTACTCTTTAGTTGCTGGACTATGTTCCCTTGACCACACCTCATGGGTATGCCTTCAGTAGGGTTACAAATCACTAGGATTCAGGTGTATGTAAAGACTGAAAGAGTTACAGCAGTCCAGTAGAGAAATAAAAACAGGGAAGGCTTGGTCCACGACTAGAAGAACATCCATTTCCCTACAGTTACTGGGCCCAAAGGAACCCAAGCATGTGGGAGCCAACATGCAAAGGCCCTTGTTAGAAAGTGAAGTGGAATTTTGGTGGTCAAGTCGGATGTGTGCACAGAATCTCGGAGGTCAAGTAGGCTAATACCTCCCAAACTTTCAGATACATATAATGTGAATCCACAGAGGATCTCCTTAAAACAAAGATTTGGATTCAGTGTGTTTGGGATGGGCCTGAGGATCTGCATTTCTAATGAGCTCCGGGATGATGCTGAGGCAGCTGGCCCAGGAACCACACTGGAATGGTGAGGAAGTCGGATGACAGATGAATTCAGTATACAGGAATGAGGTAGATCCTGGTGAAAGAAGTCATTTTTCCAAGTAGACTCAGAAACTTCGATATCTTTCAGAACTGGAAGGAATCTCAGTTCTTTAAACAATTTCTGTCTGTGTTAAAGGTGGTTCCAAGGTTTATGAACATCTGAGCAACACAATATCCCAAGGTGAAAGCGAAGGGAAAGGGAGCTGAGTGCCGAGTCTCAAGGTAAACTGGAGAGCAGTGTAAAGCGACAGAGCATTTTTATGAATAAATGCTGGAATGACATGTTCTCACATTTCCTCTTTCCCAGCAACAGGTGTTATATAGTTTTAGAGCAAGATGGCACTGCTCCTGAATACACCAATCTGCTTGCAAGCCTTTATGACTTGAGTACTCACCAAGCCATATGAGACCCTGATGATACAATGAATACTTGATATGCCAAAACTTCTACCTCAAATTCTCATGTCACTGTGACTTCAATTTGCCATTGGAGAAAAAAAAACTGCACTCCATTATTAATACCTTTAGCCATTGCAAGGATTTCACATGGTTAGCATTTTTAATGAACAATTATAGCTATTTGCTCATGTTTAACCTTTCCTTTATTAATAAAAACATTAGCACCAGATTCTATTTGGTTCCAAAGCAATTATAAAACAGTTAAACACTGTTATCCTAGGGATGTTTTCCCAAATGTACTCTGAAATTGTCCATACTCAGAACTATTATGAGAATTTCAATCATAAATATTATACTTTCTAACAGGCCAGCTCTTTATTTGCCTTTCAATATCAGGGGTGATGATTCCTATTCCCTCCTCCTAGGCTAATAACTGATCCATTTGTCGTAAAGATAAATTGCAATTATTTTTGTCTGTGTACCCTTATTACTATGCAAATTTCTCTCTTATTTATTTTCAGTCAGTGACAATTGCCTGGACAACCCAGATGAGATAATATCATTGCCACTTACCAGAACTGAGTGATGTTAAAAATATGTCTTGTAAAAGCAACAAAATAAAATCAACAGAATAAAAAAAGGCAAAATCTTAGAAAGCCCTATTAAAAAACAGGAATTCTATGCATAGGTGCTTTGCTGAAAAATGAAAGGTAGCTCCAATATGAGTGATTACAAACTTTGGGGGCAGAACAGCTTCTCTTTGTGCTCTGAGAATATTCCCTCCTTGTTCCATCAACAGAACCCAGAGATTCCGACAGCTACAGAGGAGGAAAGAACCCACAGCAGCTGATGTTAACTAGTTCAGCTTCTGTGCATCTCTCCTTTGAATGTCTTGGGAGATACACATTTGTGGTGGTGCTGTCACAGGGAGAACCCCAAAATTGGGTTCTTGGCTTCTCACAGGAAGAAATTCATGTGTTGGTGGACAGAGTGAAGTGAAAGCAAGTTTGTTAAGAAAGTAAAGGAATAAAAAGGTGGCTACTCTGTAGGCAGAGCTGCCCAAGGGCTGCTGGTTGGTTATTTTTATGGTTATTTATTGATTATATGCTAACCACGGGGTAGATTATTCATGAGTTTTCTGGGAAAGAGCAGGCAATTCCTGGAACTGAGGGTTTCTCCCCCTTTCACACCACCTAGGGTAACTTCCAGAGGTTGCCATGGCATTCGTAAACTATCATGGCACTGGTGGGAGTCTCCTTTAATATGCTAATGTATTACAATTACTGTATAAAGAGCAGTCAGGATGGCCAGAGGTCCTTTTCCTTGCCATCTTGGTTTTTGGCAGGTTTTGGCTGGTGTCTGTACCACATATTTTATCAGTGGGGTCTTTGTGACCTGTACCTTGCAAAACCAATCCTGCCTAATTCCTACCTCAGTATCAGGTTTGAAATTCAAAGATATTCCCCATTTCTTTTTTTTAAGTTTAACTTAATATGATTTTAGATTCAGGGGACACATATGCTTGTTTGTTACATGGGCATTACATTTGTAATGGTGGGGATTGGGCCTCTGGTGTACCCATCACTCAAGTTTTGAGCCTTGTACCAAGTAGATAATTTTTCATTCCTCACCTGTCTCACACCATACTATGCATCTATAAAAAAGAACAAAATCATGTCTTTTGCAGCAACATGGATGGAGCTGGAGGAGGCCATGATCTTAAGTGAACTAATGAAGAAGTAGAAAATCAAATATCACATGTTCTGGCTTGTAAGTGGGAACTAAACAAAGGGATGTAAAGATGGAGAAGAGAGACTCTGGGGATCCAAATGTGGGGGAAAATCACAGAGAATCAAGTTCCTGTTGGCTTAAACCAGCACTTACAGAATCTTAGGTTTGTGGCCACATTATAGTATTACTGATTATTTGAAGTCCTGGCTGTCAAATTACATGATATTTTTGCTAGCTGTCTAGTTTTATGTTAACAACATTTAATGAACACCTTAGGATAAAGATATCTAGATCTATAGTGATTATTAAAACAAGTTCTTGGAGTTTAAAATAATTTTTATATTATCTATTAAGAAATAACTACAACCTGTTTTTAAAATTAAAAAAACCTTTAGCTATTTAGGTAGCTAGTAAGGAAAATGAATCCCAGGATTTTGTAATAGCTTTAGCTTTTGTGTATATAAATACGACTTAAGAAATAAAATATCATTTTGTTTACAAATTGCACAGAAGGAGACAGCAATCTTGAGACATTACCAGGACAAAACAAGAACCAAGGCAATCTCTTTGATGAATATAAATAAAGGTATAATATCTCCAAGTGTTGGACAAATTCTCTTTTTGTGAGAAGGTAAAACCCTGAAGAATTGACATGGTACCAGATACCTCTGAAAATGTTATAGTGTAATTCCAGACCTCTTCAGGAAATTTGGGGCTTTGGTTAGCAATACTTTTCCCTTTCTAATACAAGATAGATAGATTAGCTAGAAAAATGGATTATTGATAGATAGACAAATAATGCACGTGCACGTGCGTGCGTGCGCGCGCTTGCGCGCTTGTGTGTGTACATATTATTTTCTTTGAATTTCAGCAAGCTTGAGAATGGCTGCATCATGGTGGGATATGACTTACAGACAAGTAATTTTCATAACATTTGGCTTGAGTCTTTTGTGATTTCATTTAAATTGTGGTTTCTTCTAGTGTTTTCCGTTAATTCCAATCCACAATCCTCATTCTATTTCAGAAACTCACCTAATAATAGCAGTAACTAAAACCTTCGTATAGTTAATGTTATTTGCCCTTCTCATTTTGGGTTTCACTGTCTTCATTAAGTTGCAACCAGATGATCTCAACGATTCTGAGCCTATAATTTTATTTAGGTTTGAAGCTATAGATGGGGAAAAGAGGAGGGAAATCTAACTCATGTCTTTGAAATGATTCAGCTTCCCTTGGCACAGCATAACCTGGCCTTTCAGTGTTCTGGGTGGGGGAGCAGCAGCTGAGGCAGAGGGAGAAGAAGGGCTTCCTCTGACTGGTTCCTAGGCCTATTATTGGGCAAGTAGGGAGAGCCATTTTCGGGCATTGGCAACCTAATATAGAACCTTATGAAATATTTATTGTGCTTTTATGGTGCTGTTCTGGGTGGTGAGAGAGTAACCTCAAGGAGTTCACAATCCAAGGAGAGAAACACATAAAATATTTACCTTTTTTTTTAGACAACTAACTCTAAGATTTTAATCCTAAAGAAAAAAAAAAAAACCCTGAAAGGAAACTGTTCTCAAATGCCAATCACAGGGTCTCATTTCTTCTGGCTGATTGTAGATTCCCTTGTCAGCTAGTGCTTCTTAAGCACCTGCACTGCACGCAGCTCTGCGAGGCTCTGTGGGGCTGGGAGTCCAGAGTAGGGGTGGGTTTCCTCCCTGAGGTCCAAGAGGTATAGCACCCCGTCCCCTGACCTAAGCCCATGGCAGCACTGAGGCCTGGATGCTAACGGCTGTCTACTGGACTGTCTCTCCCTCCCATTAGGGACTCTCTGAGGGAAAAGGCTTACCGTTCCATGGGTGTGTAGTCCCCACGCCCCACACCCCAGTTCAGAGCAGGATAAGGGAGGCCATCAGTAAATGCTGTTGAGTTGAAAAGAGGCGTTTACTGGCCTCACGTGTCTTTCTGCTGATGACCAGCATTCTGGGGCCGTGGAAAAGGACCTGGGCTCTGCAATCAGGAGACCCGAGCTTAAGTTTGTCCTGCTGATGGCCGTGTGATGCACTCATGTGAGCCAGCCTCCCTGAGTCTCATTTTCACAGTCTCTGACACAGACATGGTAACAGTGACACTCAGTTGTGAGAATTAAATGAATCCGAAAGCACTTTAAATCTATAAAACATCATAGGCATATGAACTCCACAGATAGGCACTTCATCAGACCAGAGGCTGTGCTTGGCTTTCTCTCTGGGATCAGTGTCAGCCCAGACGGTTGTGTTTGGTGGTGCCAGGCCCTGACGCTCAGAACTATTACAGAGGGTGGGATTTTTGTCCCTCATGGGGTTTATGAAATAGAAGAAGAAATAGTTGTGAGTTGTTTAAAAGGGCTAATGTAGCCTTTGCTATCTGGAAGACAAACACAGCAGAATATATAGACCCTCTTCACTCCACCCACTCCATTCCTGTAAGCCTAGCACGCTTGGAGCCAGGGGCTACTGTGATCTTGCTCTAAACTAGGCATTATCTGTACAGTGGATTATTCCCCTATTCGGACAGAAGTTATATAGGCCAGCTCAATAAAGATTCACAATCAAAGTTTGAAATCCTCTTGTGGACTTGGATGGGATTAGAAGAGGAATGAGAGCAAAGACAAGAGATATTTTTCCTTGAGTTGAGTTTGAAGTCTAGATTTTGGAATGCGGGCCAAGATGGTGTTCATGCTATATACTACTTAGGAAAAAAATGAATCCTCACATACATGCAGGATAACAAGTAAACTAATCTAGCTTTGAACTAAAATTAGGAGGAAAACCATTTGACTTCCATCTACACTGAATCAGTCTCCATCTTGATGTGAACAATCAACGTGCATTACTCTTTCAAGGCTGGAGCTGACACTTTGGCCTGCATAGTTCATCAGATGATTGTGAACTGTCTGTTCTTCACTAACCCAATCTGGTTCTTCTTCAGAGGGCTTGTCTGGTTGGACAAGTCTCAGTGGGAAAGGAGTCCTGTTAAATACAAAGTCATCAATGCATTGCAACTAGGTTCTCAACTCTCTGGGGATCCACGCAGTTCTGTACCCAGGCTGGGAGGAGCAGAAGGCATCCTGAAGCAGAATGAGTGACTGATTCTCACTCATCCTGACGAGTGAGAATTTCCAGGTTCAGATGGCCTGGATTGCCATGGAAAGCCTCCTTGGAATACAGCTGACTCCAGACGCACCCATCAGCCCAAAGCTTGCTACATTTCTGTTTGATGATGACACTTTCATTTATGCAAATTTCAGTAAAGTTAATCACTGTCATTCTCTACCTTGATCTTATCCCTTGTAGCCTCAAAGATTTTTTTTATTAACTCCTCCCTAAATCCTATTGCTAAATATATTAATAAGCTTTTCCTTTCAAATGGAGTATGTCTGTGAGCCATCAGGTTCTCCAATTATACCCATTCCTAGCCTCTTCCTAGGGGGGACAGCGATCAGCCTGTCATGGGACAGCTGCATGAGATGGGAGTGAGGGCTCCAGGACACGCCACAGGGGGATTCACACCCACTCCTCTGAGAAAGCCAGAAGCTCTACTGACAGATGATTCCTTCTCCCACTCCAGAGCCCAGTTCCATGCACCTTGCAAACATCTCCATTTTTTGTTTTGACACAATGTCTTGCTCTGTCACCCAGGCTACAGTGTGGTGGCACAGTTATGGCTCACTGCAAACTTGAACTCCTTTTACCTCAGCCTCCTGAGCGTCTGGGGCTACAGGCTCACATCACCACACCCAGCTAATTTGTTTTTTCATTTTTAGTAGAGACAATGTCTCACTGTGTTTCCAAGGCTGGTCCTGAACTCCTGGGCTCAAGTGACCCTCTAGCCTTGGCCTCCCAAAGTGTTGGGATTATAGGTGTGAGCCACTGCATCCAGCCCTCCATGTTCTTTGGATGATAATTTGGATACACGCACTCGGGGACTCTGGGCTGAGGTCATTTCCTCTCTCCCCACCCCAGGAGACATTACTGTGCCAAACTCAGAGGGGTGAATTCTGGCAGTTCATCTGAGAGTAGAATGTGAGATAAAACCCTTTCCTCTTTTCCCTTTAAGATGATTTTTTTCTCTCTTCTATTTTTGTTCCCTTCCTCCTTCTCTCATTTCCTCTCATCTTTCTGTCCAAACTTCTTTTCTCTTTCCTGTACTTTCTTCCTTCCTTTAAGCACTAGAGCCCTTAATTAAAACAAAATTGCACATTTCAAATACATATGTAAAGTGATTAAAAATAACTGCTCTGACTAATGCAGTGAGTGACAAGTTGTCAGCTTCCTTCTCTTCCTGTTCTCCCCTCAACCACAGTATGCATACCTGCAAACACACACACCTATACACAAATGCACACCTGCACTCACGCACACAGCTATACACATATGCACACCTGCACTCACACACACAGCTGTATAGACACACTCCTGTGTACATATGCCCACCTACACTCACACACATACCTATACACATATGCACAACTGCACTCACACACACACACCTATACACATATGCACACCTGAACTCACACACACAGCTGTATAGACACACTCTTGTATACATATGCCCACCTACACTCACACATACACCTGTATACATATGCCCACCTACACTCATACATGCATTAACACATATGCACACCTGCATTCACACACACTTACAATACACACCTGCACACATACACAACTGTATACATGTACACACCTGCACCTCACACACACACCTGCAATACACACCTGCACACATACACAACTGTATACATGTACACACCTGCACCTCACACACACACCTGCAATACACACCTGCACACAGACACCTGTACCCATATGCACACCTGCACTCACATGGACACCTGCAATTCACACTTGCACACACACAAGTGTACACACATACACACCTGCACTCACATACACATTTTCAATACACACCTACACACACATTACACCTGCACACATATACATGTGGGTACACATACACATGTGAACACACACAAACACATGCACATGTGCACACACATGAACACACACATGCACACATTCACATGGGGACACATATACATACATGCATATTGTGCAATGAGACCTGTGAAGGCTCGGAAATCCGAAGGACTTCTTGAAGCCTAGTCTGAAAACCACACTTTTAGGACATTTTGGAAGTGCCACTCAGGGTCATTCCCACTAGGATTTGGGGATACAAGCATACCATGTGTTTTATTGTGCTTTGCCTTATTGTACTTTCCAGATAATGCACATGTTGAAGGTTTGTGGCAACCCTACATGGAGCAAGCCTGAGCACCATTTGTCCAACAGCCTGTGCTCACTTCAGGTCTCTGTGTCACATTTTGGTTATTCCTGAAATATTTCAAATGTTTTCATTATTATTACACCTGTTATGGAGATCTGTGATCAGTGATCTTTGATGTTACAACTGTAATTGTTTTGCGACACCACGAGCCATGCCCATAACAGATAGGAAACTTAATTGATAGATGTCATGTGTGTCCTGACTACTCCACTTACCAGCTGTTTCCCTATCTCTCTCCCTCTAGGGTCTCCCTCTTCTCTGAGACATAACATCATTGAAAGCAGGCCAATTAACAACTCTACAATGGTCTCCAAGTGTTCACGTGGAAGAAAGAGTCATACTTCTCACAACTTCAATCAAAAACTAGAAATGACTAAGTTTAGTTAAGAAGGTATGTCGAAAGCTGAAGAAGCTAGGCATTGTGTGCCAAACAGGTAGTCAGGTTGTGAAAGCAAAGGAAAAGGAAGGAAATTAAAAGTGCTACTTCAGGGAACACACGAATGATGAGAAAGCAAAACAGACTTACTGCCAATATGCAGAAAGTATGAGTGGTCTAGATGGAAGATCAAAACAGCCACAACATTCCCTTCAGCCAAAACCTAACCCAGAGCAAGGCCCTAACTCTTAAAGTCTGTGAAGGCTACAGGAGGTGAGGAAGCTGCAAAATAAAATTGGAAGTTAACAGAGGTTGGCTTATGAGATTTAAAGAAAAAAGCCGGCCTGGTGCAGTGGCTCATGCCTGTAATCCCGGCACTTTGAGAGGCTGAGGTGGGTGGATCACAAGGTCAGGAGATCAAGACCATCCTGGCTAACATGGTGAAACCCCATCTCTACTAAAAATATAAAAAATTAGCCAGGTGTGGTGGTGGGCGCCTGTAGTCCCAGCTGCTCAGAGGCTGAGGCAGAAGAATCGCTTGAACCTGGGAGGCGAAGGTTGCAGTGAGCCGAGATCACGCCACTATACTCCAGGCTGGGTGACAGAGAGAGACTCCATCTCAAAAAAGGAAAAAAAAAAGAAAAGAAAAGAGCCACCTCCATAACGTAAAAGTGTAAGGTGAAGTCAATGTGCTAATGTAGAAGCTGCAGCAAGTTATCCAGAAGATCACTGATGAAGGTAGCTACACTCAATGACAGATTTTCTGTGGAAATATAACAGTTTCTATTGGAAGAATGTGCCATCTGGCCTGTCATAACTAGAGAGAAGGCAATGCCTGGCTTCAAAGCTTCAAAGGACAGGCTGGCTCTCTCGTTAGGGGATGACACAGCTGGGGGACTTTGGAGCCAGTGCTCATTTACCATTCTGAAAATCCCAGGACCCTTAAGAATGATGCTAAATCTACTTGCCTGTGATCTAGAAATGGAACAACAAGGCCTGGATGAAAGCACATCTGTTTACAGCATGGTGTGCTGAATATTTTAAGCCCATGCTTGGGACCTACTTCTCAGAAAAAAAAGATTCTTTTCAAAATATTACTGCTCATGGACAATATATCTGGTCACCCAAGATCTGTGGTGGAGATGTACAAAGATATGAATGTTGTTTTCATGTCTGCTAACACAATATTCATTCTGTAGCCCATGGGTCAAGGAGTAATTTCAACTTTCAAGCCTTATTATTTAAGAAATACATTTCATAAAGTTACTGCTGCCATAGTGATTCTTCTGATGAATCTGGACAAGGTAAACTGAAAACCTTCTGGAAAGCATTTACCATTGTAGATGCTATTAAGAACATCCGTGCTTCACGGGAGGAGGTCAAAATATGAGGATTTACAGGAATTTGGAAGAAGTTGATCCCAACTCTCACAGATAAGTTTGAAGGGTTCAAGACTTCAGAGGAGGAAGTAACACAGATGTGGAAGAAATAGCAAGAGAACTGGAAATAGAAATAGAGCTTGGAGATGTGACTGAATTTTTGTAGTTTCATGATAAAATTTTAACTGATGAGGAGTTACATCTTAAGGATGAGCAAAGAAAGTGGCTGGAATCCACTCTTGGTGAAGATGCTGTGAACATTGTTGAAATGACATCAAAGGGTTTAGAATATTCCTAAACTTAGTAGATAAAACAGTGTCAGAGTTTGAGAGGACTGACTCCAATTTTGAAATAAGTTGTACTATGGGTAAAATGCTATCAGACAGCATTGCATGCTACAGAGAATCTTTGGTGAAAGGAAGAGTCAATCAAGGTGCCAAACTTCAGTATCTTATTTTTAAAAGTTGCCTTGGCACCCCAGACTTCAGTAACCACCATCCTGATCAGCCATCAACAGGGAGGCCAGACCCTCCACCAGAAAAAAAGATTAGGACTCACTGAAGGCTCAGATGATCATTAGCATTTTTTAGCAATAAATTGTTTTTCAATTAAGGCATGTACATTGTTTTTCAGACATAATGCTATCGTACATTTGATGGACTACAATATAGTGTAAATATCACTTTTATATGCACTAGGAAACCAAAAATTTCATGTTACTTGCTTTATTGCAGTGCTCCGGAACTGAATGTGCGATATTTCTGAGGTATGTCTGTAAAAAATTTTGAATGAATTTGTTTTAAGTTGGATAACCTGCTCTCCATTCATGGAATCCACTTTTCCTTAAACTAGACAAGGCCAAATCCACACACAGCCATATGGAGTAGTTAGAGTCACAGATCTGTCTTCCAGATTTCACAAGATATGAGGGCATCGCACATATCACAAAGCCAATGGTCATTGGAAAGGCTCACCCATGTGATGAAGTTTTCAAGGAACTAACAGGTTGATCCCGGGGCGGCTAAGGTGTACTTGGCAGATTCTGCTGTGGAATCTGGCTCATCCATTATCTTCCTGTTTTCCCAGACTTACCTGTAGCCCTGAGCTAGGCAAGAAATTTGTCAAGAGCGACTCCTTCCCTGCACAGGGGATTCAGGGTGCAGAGTGCATTACTGGTCCTCCAGGACTAGGTTACACAGAGAAATGGGGCCTCCCTGTCTGTGTTTAAAAGCTCCAGCTCCTACAAATGAGGTAAATTTAGCATTAAAAATGCTGCATAAAACATACTATTAAGCTTGGTTCCCTGGAAAAACTCATAAAGATGTGTTGCAGCTTTTTTCTTTTTATCTGCAGCATGATATTGCAGTGAGCATCTTTTACATTCCATTCTAAACTTCAGAGAACAGGTGGCCCAATACTGAAAGATATATCATCTTATTTTTCATTAGGTCATGTTTTTAAGAGAATATGCAGAATTTGCAGAAGAGTAACTTAAGGTCTTGTTTTTATTTCACAAGAGTAAGTGGAATCTGGACCTTCCCTAGAGGAAGCCCTGACTGCAATAAAGTACAGATAAAATTCATGACAATGACTGAGATGGAGGCAGAAAATCATGTATGCCAGCCTAATGGGTTACCCTCAAAGGTATCCAGCCCAAGTTACCATCAGTAATAGTTCCTACACTAACAGTGCCTGAGCCTCCACAGTTCTCAAAAGCAGTAGTAACTACCAATCTCTCCAGCTTCCTCCCACCCATAGCTTTAGACTACTGATTTCCCTTAGTTTCCATAACATTGGCTTGTATAGGCATTTTTCCTTCCTGCTCACCCCAACAGTGATGCTTAACAGAATTTGGCCACATACTCCCCCCAGGCAAAGGATGCCTTGCCCCTGTCCAACTCAGATCCCAATTCTCAGATTGCACACTCTGGTAATGGGGATGTTAATTGGTGCATGAGGCAGGGGTGAGAGGTGTTGAGGTGGTAAAGCCACTCCTAACAGAATCTGCAAGGCATTCTTGCTCACATTTTTATTCTGGAGGTGAGGGAGAGGCCTGGGGAAGGGCTTGGAGAGAAGGTGAGAAGGCAGATGAGAATTAAGTAGGCATACATAAAATGTCCTTTCTACGTTTCTTATTGCCAAGCTGACATTTAAGAGATAGCATATAAGAAACAATTAGGGTTCATTGGTTGATCATGGCAAACCCTTTCAGAAGGCCCATGATGAATAGTGTGGTACAAATAGTTTTAACATAATCCAAGAGTCATAAGAGAGATGCAAGGTCACTATATAGAGAGTTGCAGCTGCACGTGGCCAGGAGTTCTGTGGTTGGTTTGAGTGTTGAAGAATGGGTTCAGAGCGCTGGGAGGTTTGTGCATGGAAGACCTTACATGAGGGAACATGCGTAGAATACCAGAAACATAGCATTCAGGGATGAGAGTATTGTTGGTGAATATGCTGCAAAGGTTAAGCAAGGGCTCTATAATCAGGCTAAGTAATTTGAACCCATCATGAATAAAATGGGTCTATTGATCCAGTCTCCATTTTAGAAATACAATTTTAGTAACGATCTAGTGCAAAGTACACAAAGTTGGTGGGCAGTTAAGGGGAAGGAGACCAATGAGGAGATGGCTGAAGGCAGGCCATGCAGGAGTAAAAGACCTCATGGCAGGCAATGGCAAGGTGGGGAGAAATAGGTGTATCTGGGAGAATCTCGGAGAGAGAATCCGATGATGTGGAGACTGATTGAATGAGAGGTTTAGGAGTGAAGGAGGAGTTGAGGATGACAGCAGGGTGTTTGACTTGATCAACCAATTGTATTTTCTCATCAAAGGCATGGGAGGGAAACTGAGGGAGCACTTGCTCCCTTTTTAGATCTTGAGAAGGACAATGGACATCATCTCCCTTTCCTCACCCTTCCAGAAGAGATACATAAAACCTTTTCAGAACTCCCAAGAGAAAGGGATTCATTATTTTATTCATTCATTATATTATTTCCAAATAGAAAGCAGATCTAGACAGGGGCAATAGCTTTATTTCTACCAGAGGACAATGGCTACCCAGTGAAGTATTTATTACGGGGTCAGTCTTCTTCAACCTCTCATTTCATTTATGAGATGGGGGAAATGAATTAGAGTTTTTCTGCTGGAAATATACACTAGATTTTCTCTTGGAAATAACTGACCAATAAACATTTAAAGATTAAGCCCTTGTTCCCATCAGCACTGCACCATCTGGAGAGTTGGCATTCAGAAAGAACAGGGCCCTTCCTTCCCTGTGACGCTTGGGAGCCTGCAGTTTTCCAGTAATGCAGCCCTGGGCAGTTGAAAGAGTCTCTTTTTGGTTTAATTGTATTTTTTGGCTCAGGAGATCTCACATTGTCTGGTAGAGTCCTGGCTCATCACCAATTACTAATGGACCGTCTTGTGGCTATTGAATGCATCATTGGCTTGGTATGATTGTTCAAGTTTTTAAGAGTTGACTTGTAAACAGGTGGAGGGGAATGTTGGACCTTGGTCCATGGACACAGCCAAATATTGCAAGTTCTTTCTACAACAACAAACTGCTCATGAGGCACCTATTCAGGTGGTTTTGAGCGTCTTTCAATTATTGGTAAAAATGCTATTTGTCCCCCAACTCTTCCATTTGCCACAAACTTTTACATCTCATAAAACCATCTTCTCCATTAAAAATGATTTTATCCCCTTTCTAGTTCACTGTATGAATCTGGGCTAATAGAATAGAAACATCTCTCTTCAGCAGTCATGTTGACAAATACTCCATAAATAAAGATTTTTATAAAAATTTGAAAAAGAGAATATAGTACAATTATTTCAAGTCTGCTACCTGGGTTTTATTGCACTTAACTCCAGATAAATTTTAGTGCTGGGGTCATATTGATTTTTATCCATTGCACTGTGATTTCCAGCCATTAAAAAAGTCTTCATTTTCAAATCCATATAGAAGTCTTGCCTGTTACTGTTCTGGGTCTCCATCAGTAAAGCATGATTTGAATGAGCACACATGTTTGTGAGATCCTCTTAGATAATAAATCCTTTCTCTTGAGAGTTCGGATATCTTTGAAACTGAATACATCTACAATGTTTTTCACACAATCTAGTTAGGGCTGCTGGATTTACCAAGTAAAAACACAAGATGCCTGAAATTTGGATTTCGGATAAATAAATACTTTGTAAGTATGCCCTATGCAATATTTGGGACACACTTATACTAAAAAAAGGTATTTCTTATTTATCTGATGCTCAAACTGGGTTTCTGCTATCTCATCTGGTGAACCTAAACTTTCCATAAATTGAAGGTTAGCATATAAACCCAATAACTGGCTTCCTCAACATTTCGTGTCTTTGCACGAGACAATTTAAACCACCAGACTATTTTATTTTGAAGGATATCTTTTCTCTGTGTATATTTGGAGAGGGCTGCTGATAGGGCCCTGTCATATTAGATTCTTAGTAAATAAGCATATGGACCATCCTTATAGGATAAACCCTAAACGAACCTATAAGAAAAAAAAATACGAGTTTTTAAGGCCACATGGAAAGATGGGTCTCTCTCCATTTCATTCATGGCATGCAAGACAGAATGGGGATCTAATATTCTGGGTCACCAGAGAGGTTGGGTGTAGGTTTCACAGTCATTCAAATGCTAAGGCATTTATCGAACACCATTCTTAGGTTATGAAGATCTTAGCCAGGTCTACAACTAGGACTCTAACATGTTTTAAATTGAGGTCTTTTGTAGCCATTTCTCTAAATTACATTTGACAGAGATGAAGGATTCCACTTACATTCCAATGAAAATTGCTTTACTATTAGACAGACCCTCTTAAGCATGTGTCACTTCACAAGGAGAAGCTAAGGACAGCACTTAACATTCTTTTCATAGGTTTGCACATAGAAAAAGATTCCTTTTTTTTTTCACTTCTAAATTCCTTTGGAAAGTTGCTGACCTTAATTTTCCCTTCTCTCCCAGGATGAGAATATTAAGGAAAAAGAAAAAAACTCATATGTTCATGAGGTAATTTAAATACCCAGGACAGCCCAGTTAATAAAGACATTATATGGCATCCGTATTAATCCAACCCTTAATTTGCTATAATCCTAGGATTACTTCCTGAGTGGTGGTTAGGATTATGCACAGACCGTGGAGATGGAGCTCAATTCTGCTTTCACAGGCGAGGGAACAGATGCCCAAACAGGGACATCCCTCCATGAAAATCACACATCAAATATAAGATCTAGTGAGTGTTGCAAGCAGGTTTCCTGAATCTCTTTTACCACAATATTTTCTGTTAACAATTTACTCTTTATGCATAGATGAAAATCATTTAGGTATATTGTTGCTTAAACACGAAAGCCAGTGCACCCATGTTCATAACAACATTATTCACAATAACCAAAAGGTGGAAGCAACCCAACTGTCCATCAAAAGCTAAATGGATAAACAAAATATAGCATATACAGATGATGAGATATTACTCAGCCTTAAAAAGGAAGGCAATTCTGACACATGCTACAACATGGATGAATCTTAAGGACATTATGCTAAGTCAAATAAACCAGTCACAAATGGACAAATACTATATAAATCCACTTATATAACATATCTAGAGTGTCAAATTCATAGAGAAAGTTGAATGGTGGTTGCCGGAGTTGGGGGAGAGGAAAATGGGGGGTTATTGCTGAATGGGTATAGGGCTGGAGGTAGATGGGTGGTGACGAATGCACAACAACGTGAATCTATTTCATGCTACTCAGCTGTGTATTTTAAAAGTGTTAAAATAGTAAATTTTATGTTATGTGTATTTTATGTGACTTTTTTTTTTTTTTTTTGATGGAGTTTTGCTCTTGTCGCCCAGGCTGGAGTGCAACGGCAAGACCTCGGGTCACCGCAACCTCTGCCTCCTGGGTTCAAGTGATTCTCCTGCCTCAGCCTCCCAAGTAGCTGGGATTACAGGCATGAGCCACCATGCCCAGCTAAGTTTTGTATCTTTAGTAGAGACGGGGTTTCTCCACGTTGGTCAGGCTGGTCTCGAACTCCCAACCTCAGGTGATCCACCCACCTCGGCCTCCCAAAGTCCTGGAATTACAGGTGTGAGCCACTGTGCCCAGCCCCAAATTTTTTAAAAAGAGTCTTCACCAAACAAAAGGAAGAAACCTGACTTTATGGAAGTCCAAGGTGCCCACTTCAAGTGCTTGCTAAGAATTGAGTTTAAAACTGAGAATAGATCTGAAGCATTCATCTACATGGAGGATACAAAAATGGTTAAGAAATCTGTTTCTAGGACAGACATGGATGACTTTTAAGAAAGTAGGATGCAATGTTATTCAGGTGGCCTAGAGTGGGGTAAGCCAGGGAGCTGTAGGCAAGGGCATTGAGAAGGCTATCCAATCCCAGAATATCTCCTTGCCCTCTGCCATTTCATTTGGAGATTCAATTTGGTCCAATAGTTTCACTTTTAAAATACAAATGCCCTAGAAGAGTTCTATATCCCAAAACCCCTGGCACAACACATTTAGCCTTCATTTCCGGACTTCCCAACTGCTCATTCTCCAACCTACCTCCCCCAATCCATTCTCCGCACTGGAGACCCCTGTTTATAACTCCCACAGCATCCCATGCCCTTCCTTTAAAGCACTTGGCAAACATGTGTGTGCGTTATGTGCCGTAGTTATTTGCTTAGTATCTGTCCACTCCAAGCTTAATGAATGTAAGCATGGTATCTCCTTTGTCCTTCTTGTGGCTCAGCACCTAGCATAGTGTTTAGTACAAGAGCAGGCCCACCATAAATAACTTCTAAATGTTTGTGTCAGTCAACAAGCAGCTTAGAAGGCCAGTAGGTCCCTGAAGTTCACTTGGGCAATAGTTAAGTGAAGTGACTGAAGTAATCACTGCAGTTCTCTCATCCATCTGATCAGTAGTTGTAAAATGGGCTGTTCTACCCATGCTTCCATTGAAATATCATATGAAGAACGCCTACCAGAAGCACTAAAAATGAAAAATTAACTTAAACATTAAATTTCCAACTTTTAAGATACTGTATGTCAGAAAAATGAAAAGCATATCTTTTAATTCTCCATATTTCAGTCCTATTTAATAGTCACAAGTAAAACACTGTAAACTTTTCCTGTTCAAAGCCTAATGAGAACCAGCATTTATAAAAAACAGAAATAACCACATCATTCTTCCAGTATTTTAGCAGAATGTAATCACTGTGTGTGTGAATATATATGTTTTCAAAAGACATTTTGCCAATGCCCTTAATACTTGGCTTATTAAATACTCTATGTGAATTAGAATGTCAAATAACAGTCCTTTGCATAATCCCTCTTTGTGACCACTAACATCCTGTAGATTTTCTCTGTAGAAAAGGAACTGTAAGGAAAGAGGACAGGTGATTAGACTGTGCAATGTCCTAGGGCTGAGTTTTGAGATTTGCATCAGCGTTAGAACTCAAGGTATTATACACCTGGTAAGCCTCTTAAAATTGAATCTAGGCCCATATTGTAACTAAAATTAATTCACTGCCTTCTTCCTCCATAGAAAAGCTAAACGAGCTAATGGCTTGTTGTACTACAGTGATTTTAACAGAAATATTTTCCATTTTGTCATTTTTCTCCTATGAAAAAATTAATTATAAAGATCTTTGTCTTAGGCTGAAGGGTTACAAAGCCATTTGAAAACTCTGGTTTTGAAGGTTGGAAATTGAGATTTTTTAAAAAAAAAATTCACCATAAACCAGGAAACATTTAATTCTCTACTTTCTTCCCTTCTACCGAATAAAATACCCAAGGATTTAATAAAAACTAACAAGAACCTAAAATTCCTCTCTAGGTTTAGGAAACTACTAATGAAGATGAAACCAACCAGTCTTTTTTCTTTCTTTCACAGGCAGACCATAACTTAAACACTATGAAGAAACTTCAGATAAATTTTTGATTGGATGAAATAAAATAGTGGCCAGGCACAGTGGCTCACGCCTGCAATCCCAGCACTTTGGGAAGCTGAGGCAGGTGGATAACCTGAGGTCAGAAGTTCCAGACCTTCCTGGCCAACATGGTGAAACCCTGTCTCTACTAAAAATACAAAAATTAGCCAGGCGTGGTGGCAGGTGCCTGTAATCCCAGCTACTCAGGAGGCTGAGGCAGGAGAATCGCTTGAACCCAGGAGGCAGAGCTTGCAGTGAGCCAAGATTGCGCCACTCTACTCCAGCCTGGGCGACAGAGCAAGACCCTGTCTCTAAATAAATAAATAAATAAATAAATGAAATAAAATAAACAAACAAAATAGTGGATTTTTTGTTGTTGTCATTATCAATTGGCTTCATCTTTAATGGACATTTGGTGTTTTTCCCAAGAATTCAAGAATACTTCCTTTCTAAGGACTTCTTGTTTCTGCTCCTTCCCATTAGTTAATGGAGAATCTGGAATCAATGGTTCCTGTGACTCCTACTAGGTTCCATTTAGTCTATGTGCCACCATGAGACAGATCCCAGGAGGTAAAGCTTTCACTGTGAACTATGCTTGAGGGCAAAGTGGGCAGTGCCTCGCCTGGAATTACACAATCTGATAGCATACTACAAGACTTTCCAGTCTGATATTTAAAAACTGAGAGCCAACATCTGCTCTCCTTGGGGTCTAAGTTAATTCCTCTTAACTCACAAAATTACCTTTTCATTCCTCCTCCTAGATCACTAGTTTTTTATAACTGACAAGGAATACTCATCACAATATCTGTAAGGCAACGATTTCTTAATTGATGCTAATGATTTCCAGATGTCCTGGTATCTCCTCTCTTCTTGATCTAGCATTTTAACATTTTCTTCAGCATATTTAGATTTTTATAGCCAAAGTCTGTTCTTCATGAAATGATCACAAAAATTAACAGGGTCAACCTCAAGTATTGCCATCAAAGATGAACTCTAGGTGGCAAGTATGCAATACTTAATTATATAACTCATATCAAGGTGAAAGCCATAAAAATACACAGAAATAATCTTTATGAAGAGAAGTCCTCCCTCAAAAATAATGTGGTGGTTCCGCACAAAGTTAAAAATAGAATTATCATATGACCCAACAACTCCACTCCTACATATACACCAAAAAATCCAAAGCAGAGTCTTGAAAGTATATATGTGAACCCATGTTCACTGCACCATTATTCACAATAGCTGAGAAGTAGAAAAAACCCAAGTATTCCTGGATGACTAGATAAGCAAAATGTGGTATATACATTGAAGGGAATATTATTCAGCCTTAAAAAGGAAGAAAATTCTGACAAATGCTATAATATGAATGAACTTTGAGAACCTTATGCCAAGTCAAGTAAGATGTTCACAAAAGGACAAATACTGTACAATTCTGCTTGTATGGGGTATCTAGATTCGTCAGATTCATAGAAACAGAAAGTAGAACGGTGGTTGACAGGAGCTGGGGAAGGGAAAGGAGATTTATTATTTAATTGGTGCAGAGTTTAGTTTCAGTTTTGCCAGGTGAAAAGTTCTAGAGATGGATAATGGTAATGGGCTCACAACAAAATGAATGTATTACACTACTGAACAGTACACTTGAGGTCATGAGTTCGAGACCAGCCTGGCCAACATAGCAAAACCCATCTCTACTAAAAATACAAAAATTAGGTGGTGGGTGCCTGTAGTCCTAGCTATTTGGGAGGCTGAGGCAGGAAAATCTCTTGAACCTGGGAGTTGGAGGTTGCAGTGAACCGAGGTAGTGTCACTGCATTCCAGCCTGGGCAACAAAGCAGGACTCCATCTCAAAAAAATAAAAATAAAAAAAAAAAAAGAAAGAAATGGTTAAGGTAGTAAATTTTGTTAGGCACATTTTTTACCACAATGTTTTAAAAAGGCTTCCCTCATCACTTTATCTGGAGGAGCGCATTGTACTATTCCAAGGGAGCATGCCCACGAAGTATCCTAGGATGAAAGCAGGAGACTGATGGAAAGGGAAGGCAGGACTGGCTTAACCTGGGCTGGGGAAGGAACATATCTGTGTGTCCCTGGCCAGCGAAGTGGACACTGGTCCAAATCATAAAGCTCAGACACGGGTATGGCGAACTTAAGGGTGACAAAGACAAGTGTTAACAAATAAGAGGAATGGGGAGGATAGAGTGGGGCACAGAAGCAGAAGTCTCTAGATAATAGACAGCCTCCAAGGCTGGCAGGTGGCAGCAGCAGTGTGCCCTGGGACCTCTGGCTAGGGAATGGGGCTCAGGGGGAATCTCCAGGAGGAGACCAGCAGGATTATCAGAGCACGATTATTAGAGTCCCCTCCAGTCAGGCTGGAATAGAAGAGAGCTCTAGCCTCTCAAAAGGAGCCTGATGGAAATCAGGAATTGAGAAAGAAGAGCAAGCAATTAATATTTTTAAGTGTTTGCTGTTTGCATTATATTCCTTATTTTACTTAATTCGCACACCATTCATAACAGCTATCAGTCACGTTGCCCTTAGTAGGTACCACGCATAGTTAACATGTTTTCCATAGATTGATTCATTTAATATTCACACAAATAAGTGAGGTAAGTCCTGTTATTATTGTTTTATAGATGAGGAAACTTAGGCACAAAAAGGACATCATGCTGTAGGTCAGGGGATAGAAACTATTATTATCTGCATTTCAGATAGAGAAACTGAGGGCTGCAGAAGTTGAGTAAGTTGCCCAGGTCACACAGGAGATGTAGAGTTGCGCTTTAAAGCTGGGATACTCATTCCAGAGGCAGGATCGGAATTACTCGGCTATCCTGGCCCTTGGGCAAACTCCAAGGAGGCTTAGACAAAAGCCACAGCTCAGGTACACAATCACTCCCAGGGATCCTTCAGTATTGGGCTGATGACTCCAGAACAAATTCAAAACTCACCCCTGATTCTCCTTTCCTCACTCACCTAGTCCCCAGTCCCTTAGAGACAGAGTCAGCCTGATCTGGCCAAGTCTGGCTCAGGATCTGGGTGGGCAGGGTGCAGGAGCACCCCTAAGGGGAGCTGGAGGGATGGAAACTCACCACACCGTCTGACAAGCACACACATTCTTGGTAGATATCAACATTAACTAGCTGTTGCCATAACATAAACTACTGATTTCACTTTATTTTAATTTCCTTTTCCATTTAAAATTGTATGCCCTCTCATCTAGAAATGGTTCTTATTCCAGGAGGAGGATGCCTTAAGCCTAGCAGTGTTATCAATTTTACTCTATTCATAAATCCTCGAGCCTTAAGCATATATTCGTCTAGCTTACTTCAGAGCATGAATCAGAATAGAATATGCTAAATCTTTAACTAAAATAATTTCTAACACTAAATCTTGTCCTTCTGAGCCTAATGAAAAGAGTCTCTGTATCTAGATTTTTGGCCTATCCCTTATGATAAGGCCTCAGATCATGGACATAGAAAAATGTAAAGAGTTCTGTAAGTGAAAGTTCATTAAGAGCAGATAATAACGTGGTCAACATAGAAATGAAAAAGAGGTGTTCCTCATTTCTCTTATCTACCCCTCTAAGGGCTATTGGATCAAATTCTGAGAATGTGTGACCTATGCCCTCTAATACTGTGCTCGGAATTTAGTTTAAACTTAATGGCCTAAATATATAAAGCTGTAGCTATGTTTAACATTCTGGAAGAATATCCTCTTTTACTGAACAATACGTAGTAGTTAAAATACTTTATATTCTTCCTCTATATGGGTACTGATTTAAAATTTGAGGCACCCGCACAGATATCATCATAACATTGTTTATGCCATTTTGATTATGAAGGACAATGTTATATTATACTTTGTCATATACGCTGTCAATCACATGTGGATTTCTATGTATTACAAAGGACTAATAACCATTATGCAATTACAATAAGGCTCGTGGCCTGAAGAAATTGATTTCAACTTTGTAAGATTGTGAGATATTGATAGAAGTTTATAAAATCTCTCCCTTAGTATTCTACTTTTTCTGATAACAAATTTACCAGACATTCAATACTGGAAACTGTAACATGGTTGGGGAAAAGTTGCAAGCTGAGAAACCACACCAACTGATGTGTCTGGTTCTTATATTCAAAAAATTTCTATGGAGTGTGATAATCTACAAATGTTTAAACTGAAAATGAGAGGCTGACTCCAGAAGTGAAAGGTATGTGGGAAACAGGTCAAGAGTTGGTGTTACTGTTCTTTTTCACAAGGGCCTTTCTACCTTTGCTACTTTCGTCAGACCAAGAACCAACTCTTGAGAAGTCTATTTTAGCATCCACAATCATGGCAAGAGCTCTTTCAATTAGCAGAACAGAAGCAGCTACAATAGTAACGTGATTTCAACCAGAAACCCGATTTGCCTCCAGGGGCTGACAGCAACTCTGTGCATGCTAAATTCTGCATGTGACTAAGATCTGCTTCCCATTTATTGGGTCTGAAAGATAATAAAATGTATATCTGGATTTTTAGGTCCTTTATCTGTCATCAGGAGAATACTTTAATGAGTCTTATGTAATTTTTTAAAGGATGACACCAAGAATAACCTGCAAAACTTACTCGCTTAGACTTGCTCAATTTCATCCAAATATAGCATTTAGCATTATTGCCTCTATCTTTTATGACCTGAAATATTCCAAGTTTGACTTGAGTGTCACAATAAACATTCTTCATTCCGTTATTTCCTTACTTCTGAGCAACTATTTGTTATGCGTTCTTATTGATGAGACTTTTTCTAAGAGTGCCTAGCGGGTGCTTCTAGGATTCTCTTGAGGGCCTTTAAAAAATACAGGAGCCCAAATCTCTACTCGAGTTCAACCGAATCCACATTCCTGTGAGTAGGGCTCAGGCCTGCGTATTTGAAAAAGAGCCCCACATAATTCTGATGACCGCCCTGGTTGAAATCATTGCATTTAATAGTGAAATATTTTTTAAAGCCTTTAACATGGGTATTAGGTAATAAGGTATGATGGGGACAAGTTACTCTTCATTCTTTTTGTGTAAATCATGCCTCTTCTGCTGGTGTGTAAAAACAAGCAACAGTGTGGAGATTTCACTACTATAATATAGCTACTTACTTAAAATTCTAGTTTGAAGTATGATGCCATTTTTGAAGGCCCAATATTGCTTTTCAGTACATCCACAAATGGACTCTTTGAGCTTGTATTCCCAAGGTCCTATTTTCCAATTTTTTCTGTTTGCAGTTTGGACATACAATATATTCTTATAATATCTTTAAAAACTGCTTCCAGGTTCTCTGAACAGGACCCTAGAGAATGCTACAAAATGTGCATCACAAGTTCTATGTGACATAGATTTTCTTTTTAATTTTATGTTGCATCATTGGTTTTTGAAGCAGCTGCTTGAAAAGAAACACTTTGCCTTCTCCCGCCTCAAATAAATAATACGTAAAAGCTATTTAAGACGCTGAGAGATCTGGGGAAATAGGAATCATAGGAGACTTAAATGTCTCAGCAATGTAGACCTTCTGAAAAACAGAATAGATAATTCAACTTTTAGAGAAATTTATGTGTTACAAAGAAAGCTGCTCACCCTCCACTTCTCCCCCGACACAAACAAAAAATAGAATATTTTGCATAGAGTATCACAGTGAAGATGAAACCTATAAAGTGAGCTTAATATGTGATGTAATAATGGGAGATTACAGAGTGAATATTGTGTACTTGCATTACATAGAGGATTAGTAAGCTAAGAAGTCTCACACATTACAACATTAAGATGAATTGAAATGTGCCATCCCTATGTCAAGAAAATTCTTTATTAAATCCATTGTTTTACAGACTCTGAGCTCCAGCTTCTGCTAATGGTAAAATAACTTGATAAGACATAACTTCCTGATACAATTACAAAATCTTGACAAATAAAAAATCAAACAACTATTTGAACTATTTGAAATGGCCAAACACAGGCAGAACCTTGAAAGATCAACTACAGTGGGTGAGATTTGCAAGTGTGTGATTTTTTTCTTGGAGATAATCCTCAATCTCTCTGTATTTAAGTGGCAGAAATCAGCAAACTTATTGGCTTAAGGTGCCAGAGGACAGAGTTAAGGCTCAGAGAACTCAGCAAGTTATGAGGCTGGAAGGAAGGGAGTCTCAGAAAATGTGCATAAAAATCTATGAAGAGAAATCTGATTAAACTCTTGGCAGACTACTAACTAAACATGTATGAGGGAGATCTTAGGGGAGGCCAGACCAAAACCAAGAGCTAGAATCTGAAAGAACTGAGCTGAGATTTCACCTGCTGCCCACCATATGGGAGACAATTGGTTGTTCAAAACCAGCCAATTCAATTGCCAGCTAGAAAAAGAAAGCTGCTCTTCAGAAGAATGTCACAGATTGCAGAGTCCCAATAACTTGTCATTCATAATGCCCATTACCCCATGAAAAATCACCAGATTTGCAAAGAAGTAGGAAAATGTGACATTTTTAAAAAGATAGTCAATAAAGACAGATGCTGAGGATATCCAGATATTGCAATCACCAAACAAAGGTTTTAGACCTGCTCAAGGAGGCAATGTGGTATCATCACATTTCAGCCTTTGAGTGATAATATTGACATGAACAATAGTTACAACTTGCTGAGTATTTACATATATTGTCAAATGATTTCCAACAAGAGTGCCAAAACCATTCCATGGGGAAAATAGTGTTTTCAACAAAAGGTATTGAGAAAACTGGATATCTATATGCAAAAGGATAGAATTGGACCCTTACTTTATATAAAAATTAACCCAAAATATGTTAAAGACCTAAATGAAAGAGCTAAAACTATAAAACTCTCAGAAGAAAACATAGGGGGAAAGCTTCATGACTTTGGATTTGGCAATGATTTCTTAGATATGATAGCTAAAGCACAAGCAAAAAAAAGGAAAAATAAATTGAGCTATATCAAAATTTAAAACTTCTATAAATCAAACAATACTCTCTAGCTATGAAAGGCCTAGATGGCATCTTACTCCAATAGAAGGCTGTTTTGCTCACACTGAATATCTGTTATCCACCTCGCCAATGATCTTAGCTACATCTTCTGGATAACTCGATGCATCTTCTCTACTAGCACTTATGGCTTCACCCTGCACTTTTATATTAAGAAGATAGCTTCTTTCCTTTAACCTCATGATTTAATCCCTGCTAGCTTTGAACTTTTCTTCTGCAGCTTTCTTACCTCTATCAGCATTCACAGAGTTATAGAGAGTTAAGGTCTTGCTCTGGATTAGGCTTTGGCTTAAGAGAATACTGTAGCTGGTTTGATCTAACCACACCGCTAAACTTTCTCCCTATCGGAAATGAAGCCCTTTCATTTTCTTATCATACATGTGTTCACTGGAGTAGTACTTTTAATTTCCTTCAAGAACTTTTCCTTGCATCCACAACTTGGTTATTTGGCACAAGAGGCCTAGCTTTTGGCTTGTCTTGGCTTTTGACATGCCTTCCTCAATATGCTTAATCATTCATAGCTTTTGATTTAAATCGAGAGACACATGACTCTTTCAGTTGAACACTTAGAGGCCATTGTAGAGTTATTAATTGGCCTAATGCTAATATTCATGTGTAAGGGAATAAGGAGGCCTAAGGAGACAGAGAGAGACTGCGGAACGGCTGGCGGTGGAGCAGTCAGAACACACACATTTATTGATTAAGTTCACTGTCTTATATGGATGCAGTTCATGGCGCTCCAAAATAATTCTAATAGTAATATCAAAGATCACTGACCACAGATCATCATAGCAGATACAATAATAATTTAAAAATATGAAATATTGTGAGAATTACCAAAATGTAACACAGTGACATGAGGTGAACACAGCTGTTGAAAATATGGCCTGATAGACTTGCTTAACTCAGGGTTGTCACAAATATTTAATGTGTACAAAATGCAATATCTGCAAAGTGTAATAAAGCAAACTGAAATAAAACAAGATATGCCTGTATTATGTGTATTTTACCACAATTTTAAAATATTTTAAATAATTATAAAAAATCTGTCCTTTAGCATAAGCTTGGATTTGTAAACAAAATTTAAATATCAGAACACATTTTGTGTTTTACTCAAATGTATGAGTATCAGCCATTTTTAAAAGGATCACTATAATTAAAATTCATTTGGCAGAAATGTCCAATCACCCATACTAAATGATGGAGGAAGAAAGGGATTGTAACTCGTTTCCACATGGCTAGAGAAAAACTCTGAGATTACTTTTAATGACAGAACAAAGTTTTGTCGTATCTCTTTTATGTGGAGGCACACAAAGTCTACATACATTTCTGCTTTTCCATATGTAATGAATTGCAGCAAAGCTAAGACCAAGGAAATAAAATACACTGTCTTCCCATTTCCCAACCATACCACCACCAAGATTTCTTCAGTTAATGGAGTGAGGGAGTTAACCGCAAAGCCAAGAATCCGAACCTAGGATCTACCTAGGAAGAAAAACGTAGGACTCGGTTTTCTACAACAGTGGTTTTCAAAGAGTGATCTCCAGGCCAGCAATGCTGGCATCACTGGGAATCTTATCAGAAACTGTGAGTGGGGCCAGCGATGAGTGTTTAAAGAAGCCGTGCTGAAGTTTGAGAACCTGATTAGTGTCAATGCCATTACCCCTCAAGGCGTAAGAGCCTGTGAGGGAGGAGAAGGGCAGGAATTCAAAGTGAAAGCTTGGGTGAAAATTTAACATTTGCTTTTGAAGGAATGAAATGGGAAAACAAATAACTAAAAGTAACAGAAAATTGCGTCAATAAAAAGATCTTATGTATATATTCGTCTTTAAGGTTTGTTTTTAAAGAGCATCTCATTCAATTAATGTTTATATTTTATTGCTGTTTTCATGAACATAACCTTTATTCAAAATTTTAGAATCCTTTCTGAATACTATATTGATAAGCCCTTTACAAATGGCTTTAGGTGTGCACCTCACTTAGTCCCCACAATAACACCATCAGGTGGGCACTACTATTGTTCCTATCTTACAAATGAGAAAACAAGTTTCAGAGGTTAAAGTATCTTGCGTGTGGCTATAGCTGAAAGAAGCCATAAAGCTTGAATTCAAACTGGGTCTATTGACCCAGAGCCTCAGCCTGCCCAGCATGGAGTGCTGCCTGTTGGGTAGACCACCCTGGACAATGAACTTGAGTATAGGGTTAGTCCCTAACCCAGAACCATTAGGGACTCATCTTGCACCTTTACCACTTGAATATTAGGTTGTTGCAAAAGTTACTGTGATTTTTGATGTTATTTTTAATGGCACAACTGCAATTACTTTTGCACCAATTTAGCATAATCTGCTCCTGCCTTCTGTCCATTATTTCTACTGAAAATCCCTACCTCACACCTCCCGCTTCAACCCAGGCTTCATTGTGCAGACAAGTTAGTTTTCCATAAACATAACTTTCAACGTGTTAGAGCCCAGTTCAAAACCTCCTAAATATCCACTCTCACCTCTCTTAGTCTTCATGTCCTCCACCTGTCAGGTCTCACGCTGTATTCATGAATTGAAATTCCCTACACCCTACTCTGCTCCCTCTGACAACAAATCCGTATCTGTTATTCCAATCTCAAGCACATTCCCTCCTCCCTAGACTGGTCAGTCTCTTTCCAGTCTCAGAAACATTCTGTGGCCACTGACCTCCATTTTTTGGCTCCTATTGTCTTTCTGGACTGGGATATTCTCCCCTCTCCCACTCATTTCAATTCTGCCCCTCCTTGCCTCTTGGCTGGAGCCCACATTGATCTATTTCTCCCCAGGCTCCTTCAGCTCTCACTGCCTGCTGCAGGGGTCTCTCAACTCTATTGAACAAGATCCCCACTGGCAAAACATTTATGTATGCCCATTTAAAAACTATATAACTGTACTACCTAATGGGCATTGTAAATGCATATTTTAATGCATCATGAAAATAGAAATCAAAAGATAAAAGTTAAATGTGGGTGATTTTCATATTTTCTTTCTTCATCTCAAAATATTATCTTTTATATTTTTCTTTTTTTTTTTTTTTGAGACAGAGTCTCACTATGTCACTCAGGCTGGAGTGCAGTGGCACAACCTCAGCTCACTGCAGCCTCTGCCTCCTGGGTTCAAGTGATTCTTGTGCCTCAGCCTCCCAAGTAGCTGGGATCACAGGCACGAGCCACCAGGCCCAGCTAATTTTTGTACTTTTAGTAGAGACGGGGTTTCGCCATGTTGCTCAGGCTGGTCTCTTAACTCCTGGCCTCTAGTGATCCACCCACCTCGGCCTCCCAAAGTGCTGGGTTTACAGGCATGAGCCACCACGCCTATCTTGAGGGCCCTGGGGTTCCTGTGTACAGTCCGCAGCCTCTGACCAACGCTTTGTTACTTTATCTTTTGCTGCCAGCTTTCCTTGTTCAGCTTGTCAGGTTTCCTTAGTTCATTTTTTATTTTTAATTTTTTGTAGGTCCTTAAGAGGAATGAACTCTGCTTACAGTGACTAAAATGGAGTGCCATAGAGTAGGTGCCCAATTCATTATTGATATCATTCCATTGATGTCCATGGCACCCAGCTGGCAGCTTCTGGCCATCGTGCAAAACAGGATGGTAGTGGTTTAGGTTCGTCTAACTTCAAAGGAAAGTTAGGTAGTTAATGCATCCAATGTCACTTGGCCAGTTCTTGCAAAACTAAGGATTTCCAAAAGAATAATCTGACGTATAGCCCAAGAGAGAATAAAATATCTCACCAAGTCTTGGTGAGTTAATAATACTGTGGTATTTTATTTTCTTCCCATCTTCCTTGCCTCTCTTTAACCCTGTTTAGATGTCCCTGAAGCACCTAGCAAAGTGAAAGGTGACACTATGAACCCTGACCAACATCTAACAAACAATGTAATGTGAAAAAATCACTCTTTTCCTCTAATAAAAGTTTCAGCTGATCATTGCTCCGAATTATAACCTTTGTTGGGAAGCACAGGGAATCCTATTACTAAGGTGTGCTTTTCTTCCTTTATCCTGAGTGTCATTTTCACATCTTTAAATGTACTCTTATGTTATTAAAAAGTCCTGAAACATGTCTCATTTCTTTCTGTTCTCCCCTTCATGTTTTACACCTTTGTTAATGATCTGGGAGATGGAGAAAGTAGCACATAAGTGAAATTTTCCAGCACTGACAAATTAGATAGTTGCAAAGGCTTCAAAGAGAGGGAGGGAGGGAAGATGAGCAGGAAATAAAAAGTCACACTATTCTTAATAAGTAATGAGAAAATGTCTAGCCACTGCCATGAGTGACTCATCTGAAGTGTTAACACCCTAACTTAGACATGCGATAATAACTGGCAGGGAAGACGAAACTCATCTGCAAGGCCTGTCTTCCAAATTCCCTCTTCCACTTTCAATGGAAGGCAGTGGATGCTTTCACTGACCTCTTGGTGAAAGAATGTTACCAACCAAGACTGTGGTCTTGCATATGATTTTGGAAAGCAGAGTCTGGCCGGGAAGGAGCCACTCTCCTGGCCCCTGGAGAACAAGTTTTGGGATTATTCAAACAGTGGGACCCCTCCCCGTTTACCCCCCAGTCCACTCTCATGCTGAGCATTGCAGAGTCTGGCAGTATCCGCAGGCACCTGCAAAACAATGGGGGTGATCTTAGGGTAAAGGGCAAGTCGAGGGCCAGGGTGGGGAGCAAAGTTGCAGGTGTTTCCCTTTCCCTTAGATTTCTGGAGGTCTGTGGAGGTGAAGAGTGAACAAAGCATCATCATGATCACCATGTGTCTTTTTATTTCCTGTGCATCTTCCCTGCTATTGCTTATTAAGCAACTGGCATGTGCAGAAACTATTATGTCTACTTCTGGCCATCACAGGGCAAGACAGTATTAGAATGCTATTCTGCAGAAAAGAAAGTAGTTCAGAGAGATTAAGTAATTTGATTACTTAATCTAGATTCACACAGTCAGTCGGTGGAAGGCCTGACAGCCTGACTTCTAAGCACAGCCTTTTCCCTTCCCTCTGCTATTTCTTGCCTGCATTATTGAGTACCGACTAATTTGTATGTGCTCAGTGTAAATAAAGATCTACGCACCTTTGCCTGCCACCCACCACATGCTGGCCCAATTCCTCTAATTCCTAAACCCAGCACCTTTCCTTGAAGTTTTGTTGTTGTTGCTGCTGTTGTAGTTTAGTTCCTTCTGGATCTCTGTGGCTTCTCTCTGAAATCTCCAGCAGCAAGCCACTCTGACGGCATTTTTCTGAAATGCCAACACTGTTCCCCCTACCACATTCCCTGCAGAATGATTACCCAAAGGAGGGATGTTTTCTCCTTATTTTGATTGTATGTCAAACACGGGGCTCAAATACCCACAAAGTCCATTAACTAAACTTCAACACAATCAATGGTGGAAACAAGCTTAGTTTTATTTACAGTTTTATCTGCTATTTCTATACCACAATTTTTTAACTACGGCTGAAGACTCTAGTCTTGACAGAGGACTAACTTTGTGAGATGTAGGCGGTGGGAAAAAATAGACAATCTAACTCCAAGAAAAGTATCTTGAAGGGAAAAAACTTCCTTTTTCAAGCACCTTTGCCACCTACACTTCAAGTCAAGCAGAATGTTACCAAATATTGTTTCCTAAATATGTCCTTTGGATGCTTTGAAATAGTAATGTTTTTAAGAGTATAAAAAAACTAAAAAATGAGAATTTATTCTAGGACAGTGGTTTTCAAAATGTGGTCTTGGAAATGCTGGGCAGTGGCTGAGACCCTTTCAGGGAATCTGCGCAGTTAAAACTATTTTCACAATAAAATTAAGACATTATTGCCTTTTTTTACTCTTATTCTCTTATGAGTAGACTATGAAGTTTCCAGAGTCTACACGACATGTAATGATGTCATTGCTCTGGCAGCTTGTATTTAGATATTTTTCACTTTCTTACATTTATTCTCTAATGTGATAAATACTGATGCAATCCACGTAAGCAGAAGTTCTTTGGGGTCCCCAGTAAAATTTATGAGTGTGTCTTGGTTCATTTGGGCTGCTGTAAAAAAATACCATAGGCTGGATGCCTTATACACAACAAATATTTCTTCCTTTCAGTTCTGGAGGCTGGAAAGTCCAAGACTAAGGCACCGGCAGATTTGGCATCTGGTGAGGGCCTGTTTCTCATAGATGGCACCTTCTGTGTGTCCTCATATGGCAGAAGGGACAAAGAAACTCCCTTAGGCCCCTTTTATACGAGCATTAATCCCATTCATGAGGGCTTCTCTCCCATGACTTAATCACCTCCCAAAGTTCCCACCTACTAACAATATCAATTTGAGGGTTAGGATTTCAGCATGTGAATTTGAGGGGCACAAACATTCAGATTAGAGCAGAGTGTAAAAAGATCAGGAGAACAAAAAGTCTGAGAGCTGCTGCTGCAAACATACTTACTCATTTGAACTTAGCCCCTCATGAAATATTCAGGAAAAAGACAACATGTCACCAGGGTGGGGAGCGTGAATGTAACAAGAAAGAATGTAACCTGAGTTCCAGTATTCCTGTAGACTGCTCTGAGCACATCAGGCTGGGGTTCACACCTGGCCAGTTCTCTCTGCACAGAGTAGCAAACTGAAGGCAGGAAAACAAAACAGCAGTGGTCTATTCATGATTTGCACACTCATTCAGAGTTAACACTTAGAAAATATGAGGGGATTCACATGGGAATTCAAATGAAAATGGGTCTGCACACATGTTGGGTTTCCTGGTTCATTTGGCCATGCACAGGTACCCGGAGAGCCATCTGAGGCACGTTGCACGAATCTGCAGTGTCTGTCTGTGCTCTTTGAAGAGAGCACAAACAGAGAAAAAAGGCATGTATGCCTGGCACTGGCTCTTCTTTGCATCTGAATGAAAGACGTGGAGGCATGATGGCTTTACAGAGAGCCCACCTGTTCAATCTTGTTGAGGATGGCACTCCCAGAACAAGTAATTGAGCTCAGTCTCAAAGTTGTCTCATTGCCTGTCATGCAAATGCAGTCTGATTGGTTATTCTGAGTGCAATCAAACATAACAATACACTTTTGGTGGTTAATGTTTGCACCTGAAGTTGCAATTATCTGATAAAATAAGAAATAGCACTGAGGTCCACTGCTTCAGAACTCTGGGACGTGAAGAGAGGAAGAGAGTGTCCACTTCTAAAGGTCAAGTTCTGCAACAACTGTCTCCTGGTATTGATCAATGTCCTTAATACTAGCAGCTTTCTATAAAACTCTCTGCTCCTAAGTAATAGTGTAAAACTCAAAATCATTCTAAATAGTCATCCCAGACAATATCAGAAAGTACTTTATCTGGAATAAAATTTCCAGCATCCAGAATTACCAAGTACTTCTGGTTAGCCGCGTGTTCTCATCAGTCACTGCTGAAGGGAGAAGAGCATCCAAGGAGAAACAAAACAAAACAAAACAAAACAAAACACCTTAGCATAGTCCACGTTGCTGCTTAACTCAAAAAGTTTCAAGCAAGGATTGCACAACAATGTAAATGTACTTAATGCCACTAGGCTGTACATATAAAGTGGGTAAGATGGTAAATATCTATATTATGCCACAATAAAAAAGTAGGGGAGATTTCCCAAGCTGCAGTGAAGAAAAACTACTCCAACTCTGCTCTCAGCTGCCTAAATCAAGACAACGATCAGGATTAGGCAGGTAGAATGTGGCAAACTACATTTGATATGGCCTGATCTCAGCCAACAGGAATCCATACTCGGGCAATAAAATGGATATATACCTGTACTTCGAACAGAAGGTTATTTTAATCGCTATATCTGCAGGTGTTTTAAAAACAACCAAATAACAAATGACAGACTTTTGCACCCTGGACTGCCCTTGATTTACTGAGGAGCTAACCTAACCTAACGCTTTGTAAGAGTATTGCTTAGCTTCCATGTTTGACTGCAACATTTCGTGAGGCTTCGTGGACTGCTTGGACTCGTACTCAGACCTCAGTTTGCAGAGTCAGTATTTCAGCACTTGAGCCCTCGAGAAACAGGATCTAAGAATCAGAACTATGGTTGTTGGCTTTTTTTTTTCCAAAAAGTAAAAATTAGACTTTTCGAACAGCAAAATGTTCACAATACTTATTAAATGAAAATAATCAGGTTAGCACGCAGTACATACAGTAAGGTTTTATTTTTATATTTAAAAATATATACAAGAATAAGAGTGTCAAAAATTTCAAACAGCAAATTTGACAGTGGGTGGGATAATCTGGGGATGGGGAGGTGGGAAGCTGTGGAATAATATAAAGGCTTATTTTAAATAAAAACATGGAACTTAACAAATAGCAAATAAATTGGCTTTTAATATAAAATAGTTCTATACAGCTAAATTTAGCCTTTGAAGGATAAACCAGCCAACAACTAAGGACATTAATTATATTCCAATCTTCTAACCAAAATAGGTATGGGTTTGAGTCACTAAATTAAGGTGTAATTTTATATACAAAAGCCTTTTCAAAACTCAGTAAAGCAGGTAGCTAAGTCATGCCCTGTTCTGAGAGAAACTGCAAACTATTGTTATAAAGCAGAGGTTAATTTTCTTCAATGTTCACTGTGAAGCCTGCATACATATATATATACTTTTTTTGTGATGGGGTCTCACTATGTTGCCCAGGCTGGTCTCAAATTTCGGGGCTCAAGGGATCCCCTGCCTCAGCCTCTAAAAGTGCTGGGATTACAGGTGTGAGCCACCACGCCCAGCCCATATGTATACATTTCATAAAAAACAACAATAGTAACAACAATAAAAACAGAACAACTCTCCAGGATATGATATACCTATATTTTAGAAATACTCAATTATTTTGCCCAATTGTAAAGTAAATAATCACATATCCAAATCATGGCCATTAATATATTATTAGAGAAACCATTCCAACATAACAAGCTACCTTGACCTAAGTGTCATAATGGTTCATTCTAAATGTTGTGAACTAGAAAATGATAAATACGCTGTAATAAATGATGGACTAGTTACAGAAAATAATGACAGAGATGCTTTTAGCTTAAAAAGAGACATCGCAACCATAAACAGCCAAGGTTTGAGTAGAAACAAATGTTCTTTTCACTATTCTTTCTATTCGTGTAATGGATTTATTCACTTAAAGAAAAAAGAGACCAAAAACATAGATAGCTAATGTTAATTTAGGCATTTTTTTCTGATACCAGTCAAGAAGCTGGCAATTTCTCTATGGCAATGTTCCTAATAAATATATTTGTTCTCTATGGCAATGTTCCTAATAAATATATTTGGATGATGGCAAACATTATCTGAAAAAAGGAACAAAATGGCTCTTCTCTCTTTGTTAATTATCAGAGATTTTCCAGGTCCTTCTTCTATTTTTCTATCAAAAGAAGTGCCAAATTTGGGATACTGTGTGAGCCATCATTTTATGCCTGAACTGTGATGGGAAGGCAAAGAAAGTGTCAAAAACAAAATCCATTACAACTCTGAATTGATATTTTAAAAAGTACAAATCTGGCACTTTCGATGCTGTTTATCATATCTTTCTTGACTAAAAAATGTAATTCTTAACTAATTATGTTAACCAGGAGGATTTTATTATTTTATCTATTATAATTATATAATACATATTACTAATATGTATTACATATAACTAATATATAATACATATTACTAATATGTATTATATAATTTAAATCAAGGAATAATTATCCAAAATGAGGACAAAAAATCTATGACAAAAGTAGAATAAATCAATTCATTTTTTCAATAAAAAATATTTATTGATTGTAAGAATACCTTATAATAATAACTAACATTGTTTACCAGGTGCTCGAAATTTTCTTAAGTGCTTTACAAATAAGTGTTAGGTAGTCCTTGCATTGCTATAAACACCTGACACTGGGTAATTTATAAAGAAAAGCGGTTTAATTGGCTCAGGGTTCTACAGGCTTTACAGGAAGCACGGTGCTGACGTCTTCTCAGCGTCTAGGGAGGCCTCAGGACGCTATGATCACAGCGAAAAGTGAAGGGAGAGCAGGCAAAACGGGGGAGAGCAGGAGCAAGAGAGAGAGGGTTGGGAGGAAGGACCGGATCTTGTGAGAACTCACTATCAGGAAGACAGCATCAAGCAGTCTTGGGGATCCGCCCCCATGATCCAAACACCTCCCACCAGGCCCACCTCCAGCACTGCAGATTACAATTCAACAGGTGACTGAGACAAATATCCAAAGTATATTAACATACGAACTAAGCGAAACTTCGTAATTTTGTACTGTGGAAGGAGCCTGTCATTATCCCCACTTGACAGAAAAGGAAATCTAATGGTATGGGTACCACAGTGGTCCGTTTGGGCTGATAAGGAAGTTGACATACAGAGGTGCTGGTCACTTACCCCAGGTCAGAAAGACAGAGCTGGAACTAAACCCAGGAAGTCTCGCTCCAGAGCTGGTGTGATCGACCACAATGTGCCACCTTCTCTCCAGGTGAAGGTCGTCTACCTGCTGTAGACAAAGGGGAGAACAAATTCTCACTGTCTCTGTCTTCACAGATCTTGCGGTCATCTCAGGGAATGTCATGAATCGGCCACTACTGAGTGTCCAGAGCTGGGGGTGGGCGAATATACAGGTTATGTGGAATTTAACTGAAATTGAGAGGTGCAAGGGGAGAGCCAGCTCCCCCTGAGGAGGTGAGTCAGCAATTGGGCTTGAGGAATAAAACAGGCCTTAGCAAAATGAAGAGATGGGAAAGAGGAATCCAGGCAGATAAAACAGCCAGTGAGAAGGCCCGGGGTAGAAAAGAGCTCTTTGCAATCGTAGAACTCAGAGTAAGCCGCACTGGGGCCTGGTGAGGTGAGAGGAGATGAAGCTGCTAGGTAGGCAGGTGGCAATCCCTGCCTGGGCTCCATTGTGCATTTATGCATTGCATCTGCGGGGAATGGAAAGTCACTGAAATGTATCAAGTAAAAGAGGGACCTCTCTGGATGAAATGCGGAGGATAAGACAGAAGGCAGCAGGGGTGGGGAATAGTCAGGAGGCTACTGATAGTCCAGGCAAGAGAAAACAAAGGTTTGGAAACTGCAGGACAGAAGAGGTGGGCATATTCAAAACATAATCTGAAGACAGATCTGGCCAAACCTGATAAGTCTCCAGGTGACTCAGGGTCCTACAGGAATCTTTGCTATGTGCACATAAATACAGGTTTTAAAGTTGAAACACTGGGAGAAATGTCATTTTCTTATAGGTTTTAAATTCTAGATTAGCTTTTAAAAATAAGCATTGTCCCTTTTGTTGACCAATGATGTGGGAAATATGAGAACACTAACAAGTTTACTTAGAATCTGATGACTGAACAATTCTCTGGAGCAAATTCTTCCCTTTAAAGTGTCAGTGATACACTATTTACGGAGGAAACAACTCATAATTTAGTATCTTACAGTTCCAAAGAAACCCTTCATGTTTCTGGGATTCCTGTGTGATGCCTGCATGATACCTGTCTCAAATCCCTTTTCACAACATCGCGGGTCTGGCAAAATCTTGCATCAGCCTCTTCCACTGGGGACAATCCAACCCCCACAAACAACTACATCAAGCCAGGTAAGACAAGATCATAAAAGTGAGGGTTAGGTCAGAGATAGAGACTGACAAGATCTAGGAGCCACACAGTCGAGATTATAGGATACTATCACTACAGAAATCGGCTAGTCTTGCTTTGACCTGAAGTGACCCCAGCTGACTTCATAAGAGTATTATAAAGTTGCATTAAAAGGGTAATAATTCAACCCATGGATTATCCATTTTAGATCTATAGAATGACTGTTCCAGCAAAAAGCCCTTTGTCTGGCCCCTGTCTTGATGAGCTTTGCTTCTTCCCTTTCTTGCCTAAACATTAGTTAAAGGGAACTCAAGTCTCTGCTACCACAAAACCTCAGGGACCACCAGCAAGCGTAGAGTTCCTGAAATCAATCAAAGTGAAGGGTTAACACTGCATAATCAGCTACTGCTAGATGTCGGTGGGACCTGAATATATAGATACATGACTTTAAAGCCCCAGACAATACAAGGGGGCCAGAGAGTGCCAGGACCCAGCCAATTGTTTGCCCTAATACAAGATAGCTTTGTGCCTGCGGGGATTTATTTTCAGAAAAGACAGCCCTTTGGGTTAGCAGTGACCCAAATCCCAAGTACACCTAAATCCCAAGTACAGTAAAGGATATGATCATCACCCATCACCTAACAAAACTGGAGGAGGCTCACACCAGCACAATCCAAGGTAATTGGAGAAAGTGGTTGCCTCCTTTAGAAACTGGGCTTCTGATCCTAGTTTCTAGCTGAATGAAAGATATTCAATGATTTCTTTTAGGAAAAATTAAAATGAACTCAATCTCAGTAAATGAAATATCAGCTAAAATGCATGGATTTTCATGACCAAGAGCATGGCTGTCATTTTAAAAGATAAAAAGCATAACTCAGATTAACTTTCACTCCAGTTACCAGCATTGGCTTAAGGTGATACAGATGTCAACAGCTGCCAACTTACATGTATCAGTCTTAGGTTGTATTTTGAGCATTTCTTGCTTTGTAAAATTTGACAAAGAATTCACTTTTCAGATAATAAACTTCAGCTTACTGCTGAGGTTGCATGCGTTGCTCCAGATCAGAAAATAACCTCACTGGTTTCGGTCTCCTAGAGTGCTCTTTTCAGAGGCTGGCATGCATCAAGCAAAGAACAAGGAAACGACAAGTGCTAAATCTTTACAGTGACTTTACGATCTGCAGTTATGTGGAAGGCTTATTGATCAGTCACTGCTGTTTGATATTTTGCTGCAAAGGGCAGAGCTTACTCTGGAACTTTCTGGTATCAGCAACTTGGTTAAATTTTTATTTTAATTTAGGGACAATTTCAAAGAAACCATTCTGGGGCTAGTTCATGCCATGTCAAATGTAACATGTTCTGGAGTACAGAGAAATCACTGAGAGGTCAATTGTTTTAAAAAGTAGAGTAGGACTTCACTTAGGGAGAAAGCAGGATTGTAGCATCTAGAGAAGGAGAAGGAGGAGGAAGAGGTGGAAGAGGAGGAGAGGCTTCACATTTGAGAGCACTTTAAAACTTCTGTCATTGCTCACCATAGGTAGCCTCATGAGGAGGACGATTGTGAACTTCATAGTTTTCAAAGACCTTTCACCAAATTATTTTATTTAATCCTACCTATTCCATAAGATACTCATTGCCATTCCCAACTCACATAAGGGAATTGAGATTCAGAGAGATTAGGCTGAGATCACACAGCTAATAAAGGAACAGCATGAGCTAATAAAGGAACAGCATGAGGCAATAACTTAGGAGGCATTTCAAGAAGTCTTAGGTTTATTTGACTTTTTGCGTAACATTCACACTTTTCAGTGCCAGAGTAACAGCATCAGGAAGAAGAGATTTATGCTGCAAGGGTCAGTCTCCAGTTTGTGCACGGGTAGGCATTGGACACCAGCAATGAGCTTTGCCAGTCATTGTGTTAGCAGTGATGGCTCCTTTGAGTAAACATGGAAAGGTCTTCCTTGCAAAAGATCCTTAATGCACAAACCAGATAGCTATTTTTGCAGAATCCAAAATTCATTTTGAAAGCTACATACTAATGAGATAAATTTAAAAGAAATAACTCTCTTTCCAACCACCTCAACATTCCGTCAAGGATGTGCTGAAAACCTTTAAAAGTTAGAATACCTAAAATTTGTATCAGAGTTATATTTTTCATTCAATTCATTGAGCTCATTGAAATATCCCAAATGTATAGCTATATATTTGGAGAGATTTATAGAAAATAAAAATAACAACTTTTGCAATTGCAAATATAAGTATCTTATGTGTTGTCACTAAGCACCGTCATTAAATAATTGTAAGACTGGCCTCAGTGAAACTTGCTTTCTAAACAGTTTTCAAATGTGCACTCAGAGTCTTCCAAAGTATGCAGAATGAGGTACATTAAAAATGTGATGACTAATCGATGCTGAAAATTTGTCCAATGTGTATGAGTTTCCATTACATTTTATATAAATGTTTTCTGAGGACTTATGCCTTATAAAGGACCAAGTTGGACCTAGGTCTTTAATAATGAAAGAAGAGGCTTTATTTCCCTTGGTGAACTGAGTGGATGCCTTTAAAGAAAGAAGAAGGTACTAGATTTAAAATTTCCTGAACCCCTTTAATGAGTTCTTTCTGCTTCTGTTTTCATAGCAGAAAAATATGTCTAAAGCCTGTGAATAGAATAGATGATTTTAGAGACTGTGTTTGGAAATATTTCTAGGACTTTTGATTTTAATGCCTAATGGTACATAATTTGGTCTGACAAGTGGTTAATTGATGCCTGATAGCCCCTGTTTCCAGATTACGTACTCTAGTTCATAATCATCAAACACAATGAAGCTCAATGAGCTGAATGAAATGTGTTTTATTCTGTCTTTACATTTTTGATAGCCTTTTACTATACTCTGCCTTTAATGTGTGTGCAGAATTCCTTTCTGTGAAACCTTTCAGGTTAACACCATTTGGCCTCAGACTCTCAAGTCACATTGGCAACCACTTAGCATGGGTATATGTATAGTTACTCCTAAATACATTTCTGTATTTTTGTAATTTCATCCATTAATTTAACCAATATTTATTGAGGATCTCTTATATATCAGGCTCTGCAATAGGCACTGTGGAGTCAGCAGTAAACAAAACGGGCCAAACTCTCCCTTTTCACGGAGTTTATAATCAAGGCAGGAGGGCAGGGAGGCTGCAGACTATAACTGGATCAAGACAATATATAGTATGGTAGACTGTGATACATGCTACACAGAAAAGCCAAGCAGGTGAGGGAGAGAAGGTAAATCGGAAGGAGGGAGTGCAATGCTAAATATGGTGCCCAGACAAGACTTCACTGAAAAAGACATGTTTGAGCAAAGACTTAAACGTGGTGAGGAAGAGAGATATGAGGCTACATGGGGAAGAAAGTCCCAGGTAGAAGGAAGGGTAGGAAAGCCAGCGTGCTGAGGAGGGGACAGGTGGAGAGCAGTAGAAGACAAGGTGAAAGAGGCAGATCGTTAGGATCTGCCCATGTGGACGCCGTTGAGCAAGGAAGTGAAATGATGCGGCATATTTTGAAAGTACTATTCAGGCTACTGGACTGACAATTGTCTTTAGGAAAGTAAGGAAGGGGTGGTGCAGGGGATCAGTTAGGAGACGATTACAAAAGTCCAGACAAGGCCGGGCGCGGTGGCTCAAGCCTGTAATTCCAGCACTTTTGGAGGCTGAGGTGGGTGGATCACCTGAGGTCAGGAGTTCGAAACTATCCTGGCCAACACAGTGAAACCCTGTCTCTACTAAAAATACAAAAATTAGCTGGGTGCAGTGGTGGGTGCCTGTAATCCCAGCTACTAGGGAGGCTGTGGCAGAAGAATCTCTTGAACCCGGGAAGCAAAGGTTGCAATGAGCCGAGATTTCACCATTGCAGTCCAGCCCGAGCAACAGAGTGAGACCCTGTCTAAAAAAAAAAAAAAAAGTCCAGACAAGAGATGATGTTGGCCAGAGCCAGGGAAGTCATGGTGGAGATGGTAGAAAGGGTTGAATTCTGGGCCTATCTGAAGGGAGAGCAAACAGAATTTGCTATAGATTGGGTACAGGATGTGAGAGAAAGAATATTATGAAGGATAACTTCAGGATTTTGACCTGAACAACTGCAAGGACAGCAAAGTCATTTTACTGAGTGGGTGTGGTCAGAAGCTGAGGAGGCAGCAGCAGAACCAGGGACCAAGGAGACATGTCACAGAGGCTGTGGTGGAGCCAGAAGCCCAGGGGCAGGAGGATCAAAGGCGCAGCAATCGGAGCAAGAGTGAGGAGGCGGCTGATGTCGTCAGAGATTGTTATATAAGGCCAGATGGAGCAAATAAGTCAATATACTCAAGATAATGGGAGTCAGGTTTCTCTCTGTTTGTTGGAGAAGAGATTTACAAATATAGAAAGGAGAAAGGCTAAAAAGAATCCTGACGTGTTGGCTTGGAATGGAAGGTATTGATGTGAATCCACAATATAGTGATAGTTATAGAGATATAGAGGTACACATATATTTATAGATGGATACAGATACAGATATCCACACATATAGTAACAAACATACATGTGTATGTGTGGTTGTGTGTGACCCTGTATCATTTATTTCCTAACTGTGTCCACTGAAAGGGCCTAAAAGTCTGACACCCCAGCAGTAGTAGCCAACCAAGGGTCCAGATCGGGTTTTTAAATGCCATCTTCCACTGAGAGGAACCAGGCCTCTTTGGAGAGTGGGGCTGATTTCAGGGCAGGGGCAGGGAAGGTACAAAATGAGCCTGGAACATCTTGATGTGCCACAAAGTAAGCGGTTGCTCAAAACACAATGGGAACATGTCAGAGGGACCTAAGAGCCAGCTTGAGAAGACACCCACTTGCAAAATCTGGGACAATTTGGGTATCAAAATGAATAATGAAAGTAATGGAATGCAACCCATAGAATAGACTAGAAAACCATAAGCCTAGACTACAATAAGTAAATAAGTGCAGGGAAGGGCAAGATGTTCTTTATGGAAGGATGCCGACTAATAAATGCCAAAAACAAAAAAAAAACAAAGGTGCAAATGGAAAATTGCCATTTGGCAGCCATCACAATGGTGACTGATTTAGGCAGGCGCTATCAATGCCCGCCAATACTGGCTGTGTGAAGTTTCAATGTGGACAGAATATGGGTGTAACCTCAGAGCATATTCCAAAATACTTATTAATTACCAGTGGGAAAATGGTGACTTTATAATGGAGAATCCCAGTATCCACTAATCCAGATGTTAAAAGTTAACATCATAATGGTGGTTCTGTTAAACTGATACCACATGCCTTTTAATGTCATGCACTCTCAGTGGTAAAGTATCATTTCTTTGATGTTCTTGATAAGGATGTATGGCCTGGATCAGATATGAAGAAACAGTTGATGTACCCAAGTGGAGCAACAGCTTACAGAATGAAAGGTATATGTTTTTAAAGCCATGAAGGTCATGAAAGTTGGGGAACAAACTGAAAAATTGTAGCAGATTAAAGGAAAATAATAAGACATGTCAACTAAATGTAATATGTGATCCTACGCTGGATTCTGGACCATAAAGAAAAACAGACATTCAGGGGAAAGTTGGCAAAATTTGAATAGATTCTATGGATTTGTGGATGGTGTTATCTCAATGTTGTATTATGCTCATGTAAGATAGAATCCTGGTTTGGGGGAAATACACACACTGAAGTACTTAAGGGTGATGGAGCAGCATGTCTGTACCTGCTCTTAACTGATTCAGAAAAAAGAATATTAATCATGAGTATCTATCTACCTATCTAGATATATCTAGAGACATATCAAATATAAAATAATAAAAATTAGGAAAACTAGGAGAGACAGATATTGAATTTCTTCACACCACTTTCCCCTATTTTTTAAGTTTAAATTATTTCCAAATAATTGTCTTAAATGGACCTCATTAGTCATTTAGTCTAATCTTCTCCTTTTACAGAAAAGAAAACATTAAAGGACAAAACTAGGACTCCTCCACAAAGTTATGCACAAACAGTAACATATGAAGATACATGAGTTTTAGTTCTCAGGAAACTCAATGAGTATCAAGAGTGTGACTTGCCCATTCAAAAGCTACACTGACAGCAGCATGTTGAACTGACGTGTTTTGCTAGGAGGACTGGGCCGAAGCAGTGTGTTTATATTTTAAGGAGGTCAGAGGCAATTTGGAGGGTAAGAGATGAGGAAAGATTGTGAAAGCAGATCATGTGAGGAGAGACCAAAGGGACAGGTCATGTTTAGCCTCAACAAAAGAAGTCATGCAGAGCATCTGTGATTTGTTTTAAACAATTTGGAATGCTTTTTTGTGAAACACAGTTTACACATTTGGAGGACTACCATGAATAGAAACAGAACCAACTGGTAAAAAGGGTAGTGAGACACATTTTACCTTCAACTATGGAAAACGAAATTCCATAGTTTCATATTTGACTATGTTCCACTATGAAATAGAAGACTATTCAGGGGTAATGAGACTTTCTTTTTTATTTTATTTTATTTATTTTTTTTGGTAGAGGCTGGGTGGCGGGGTGGGTTGAGGTCTCACTTTCTTGCTCAGGCTGGTCTTGAACTCCTGGGCTCAAGTGATCTCCTACCTCAGCCTCCCAAAGTGCTGTGAGCCATGACACCTGGCCTGAAGGTAATGATTCTTATCACAGGTAATGCATAGGCAAGAGGGGCATTTGGTGGAAATAGTCTAGTGGCAACAAGTGTTGGAAGTGATAGGTGACCTTTAAGCCCCTTTTAAACACAGCTTATAATAGTAACTACTATTTATTGAATGCTTACTATACGCAGAGCACTGCAGATGCATTATCTCAGTCAGCCCTTACCACAGCTCGGACAGGTAGACACCCTTATCTTCTTTCCGCATATAAAGAAAATGTTTACATAAAGTGTCCCACATGCAAATTCAGCAAAACACACACAGAGGTGTTGGAGAAGCTGTTCCAGGTCTCAGTTTCCACACTGACTTCCTTCACATTCTCTTTTGTCTTCTTCAGAATCTTCAGCCACAGGGGCTCCAGTGTCCACTGATTTCTCCCACTGTCAACAGACTCTCCCATTTTCTCTTCCAATCCTTTCTCATTCCTCCCTCTTTCCTACATCATACTTTCTCATTCACACCAGTCTTCAAGCTCTGTCTCTAATATGAAGGAACATTGTTTTCCTGAGGAAGAACTTTTCATCACTTCTATGCTTGGCACAGCACTCCCAGAAAGAAATCCATCTTGTCTAGTTGTGCCTCACCTGGCTACCAACGTAACAGACACATATCTAGTTTAATAGTCACTGCTACCCCCATTACCCACCCTTCTGCCCCTATTTTTTTTTATCAGCTATTCCTCCAGTTATTGAATCAATCTGGACTTAAACTTGAGCAAGCCACACCTTCATTCTACTCATTGTTTTACCTAATTCAGTTCAAGGTGCGATTCATAAGCAAACATTTAGCCTGGGGTATTGAAATATATGACTGTGAATGCTTTGCCACTAGACTGCTGTCTTCAGGAGTTTCAAGAGGAAAGGCGAGGACTAGCTTGCCTCTTTTGAGAGTGGCCAGAGTAAGCACTTGGCTGCAGGGAAAAAAGTTTGCTTTTAATTTCCAAAGTGGACCCAAGATGATAGGGTCTCATGGAACAAAATCTTTGCTTTGATGCAAGGAACCAGTGGTATATAGCGGTCTTCCAAGTTACTTAGCAACAGTTGACAAGGTGTGGCTTCTTGACTGGTGCCAACTGTTTCCAATATGCCCTTGTATAAAGCCACCTCTGACATCCTATAGAAAGTCTCTTTCCTCTGCCTCAGCCTGCTGAGGATTGCACAAAACACAGGTAGATGTGAGCTGCATGTGCACACTCCAGTCTCACTTAACAGTGCAACACCTGCACTCTCAAAACATAGACATTTCCCTAATGGGCTATAAAATGTGCTATTTGGGCAGTTAATTTTGAAATGTTATTAAACTAATAGGCACTTGGCAATGTACCTCTTTCACATAGATACACCCAAGAGTCAGACGTTTCTGGTTGATTGGATGGCTTTCCAGACTTGTGATTGTCATATTTTATAGCTTTTCCTCCTCCAGAAGGCTTTACCAAATCAGTTTTCCAGAAAGCACACCTCTAGGAGCTACTAGGAGGCAGAGTGAGTGAAGAGTGGCCTGAGTGCCCAGGGACAGACTGTGCAGTGAACTCTTGTCCAGGTCTTTGGGGCAGAAGTGGAAGGGAAAAGAAAGATAATGTTCCTTTTGTTTACTTAGAAGGTCCAAGAGTTGTAGAAAGCACAGATCTCGTTTGTGTGTGCACGGGCATACATTCTGATGGCCTGGACTCACAGGCCACAGAATCAAGCAAACACGCATGTGACACGCTGAGCCTTCAGGCCTGGAAATCCCGTGGGCACCAGTGGGGATGGCTTTGCAGGCCCTGGAACGCCAGGGTCCTCCGCTGCAGGGGTGCAGGCTGGGTGAGAAAACGGTGCAAGCTGCGTCTACACACTGCTCTTCATATTTTGGCGCTTCATGTGAAGTTGGAAGATGCTTAAATGAAACAGCCTCCAAGCCACTTTCTGGCCTACATCCCTAGACTGCCGCTGTGAAGTTAACTCTTTTCAGAGATTGCAAAAATTTAATACCAGCAAAAGAAACCAAGTTACCAGGTCCCCTTAAGGCACACGAAGGGACATTTATCATAGCCTCTCCCTTCCCTCCACTCCCTATCTACACAAAATTGTGTGCGTGTGTGTGTGTGTGTGTGTGTGTGTGTGTAATTCTATCCCTGCTTGCAGAGCCCGCTGGCTATAAAGCCCAGGGAGGAGGCCTGTAAGGAGACCCATACTTTGCGAGCGCGCGGCTGGGAGGCGGGCTCAGGGCGGGGCAGAGCGCGGGGACCGCCCGGGCACCGGGCGCAGCCAACGAGCGGACGGGGAGGGCGGGCCCGCGAGGGCTGAGCGGCGCGGGCTGTCACAGGCGCCCGAAGCGCGCTGCAGGTGGCAACTTGGAGGTGCCGCCACCGCAGCTGCGGGAGGAGCCCGGGTCTGGCGGCCCCTTCCAGCCTCCAGGAGCTCTTTCCCGCCGCCGAGCCCGAGACTGGACCCCGGAGAATTCGAAGGAAAGAGCCCCTGCGGAGGGACCTGTGAGCAGCCCTACCTCTCTCTGCCCTTGCGCTACTTTTTTTCTCCAAGGAAGGTTGTGCCTGCGGGCTGCGAACAAGCTCCGGGAGGGGCCCCAAAGGAAGGCTTCGGTGACTCAGGTGAGCGCCTTTCTCTTCTTGGCAGCCGGGCGTAGGCCGGGAGCGCCGCCTAGCCCCGTGGGCAGGGGCGCGGGTGCGGGCCGCCTGCCCTTGGCTCGAGGTCGATGGGGGAGAAAGCGAGGAAGGGGCGAGGCTGGCCCGACCGGGGGCTGCCTGGCCGGGTCCGCCCGGAGGCGACAGGGACTCTCAGACGGGCACCTGGAGACTAGGGACGAGCAGAGAGGTGCTTTGAGGGGGACAGAGGGCTTGCGCCCGGTTTAAGCTGACCGGGATCGACCGCCTGCGCGCTGTGTTGGAGCTGCCGCGGAAGCCGGGCGCGGCGCCTCTGCGAACCCCAGAGCTAGTGCGCGGGGCCCGGCGAGCGCACCAGTCTTCGGTTCCTCGGAGCCCAAGGCCCTGGAGGACGTCATCCCTCTCCGCTCGGGCAACTCCTCCTCCGCCCCCTCTTGCCTCCACCCCTCCGCGCCGGCCGTTTAGCCTATTCCGAGACTCTGTGCTTTTGCCAGCGCGCGCTAGTTGCTGCTGTCACTCCCCTCCCCGCCCTCGCCGGAGTTGGAGCGACCTGGGGTCTGGCTCCCCGGTCCCGGCAGCCTAGTTGTGGGCTGGACGCGAGTGGGGCTGGCCAGTTCTTTGCGAGGAGGGCAGGAGTGAGCGCGGGCTCTCTCTCTAGTGCTCCCTCCGAATCCGTCCCCGCCCCCCTGCAGCTCGAACCGCTAGCCCAGAGAGCGGAGTCTCAGAAGCTAGACCTTGCTCGCCCTGGGGAAACGCGGGGGAGGGGGGGGCCTTCCGGGAAGGTGCGAACCTCGCAGATGAGGCCAGAGCCTCCGCCTCCATCTCAGCGTTTCAGCCCCTGCTTTCCTGCTTTCAAGTGGACAGTGGCTCTGACCTCCGCATTCCGGCTTGTGGCGTGGGGGGCGCTAGCGGCAGTGTGTGTGTGTGTGTGTGTGTGTGTGTGTGTGTGGTGTGTAAGGATGAGCGAGTGCGATCCTCCGGGAGGCAGAGGCGCAGGAGCCAGTTCCCCCAGCCCGGCGGAGCCGCAGGGACCGCCTCCCCTCGCCGCCAGCTGCGCGCAGCTGCACCCCGGCAACTCCGCGCTGCCGGCTCCTCTCCTCCAGCTCCAGCTCCCGGTACCCCCACGACCAACGCGGAATCCCAGGATTAAAATCATCTGGCCAAAGGGTGCGGGTGGGGGATCGAGGCGTTCCCGAGGCGAATGAGGCTGTTTTTCAAAATCCGGGAGGCGCCCCTCGCCCGGCGTTGCATCTTCCCGTGGCTCGGCTGTAAGGACCTGCGGTGGAGGCTTGGCGGAGGCGGGCCCGCGCTCCAGAGAGAGCGTCACGTCACCCGAGAAGGCGACGCTGGGGGCTGCTGAGCCTCCCAACTCCCTTTGGCGCGTCCTGCTCAGAAGCCGGGGAGCTCCTGGCCGGCGGCTGGCGGGGAAGCGCGGCGCGGGAGGTGGGGTGGCCTGGCTGGTGCTGCGGGAGGGCGCCCCGGGCGCGTCAGGGGCTGCGTGCCGCGGCTGGAGGGCGCGCCGGGAGCTGCGGCGGGCTCGGGGCACCCGAGTGGCGCTGGAAGTTGAGCCGGGGTCCGCAGGGCTCGGTGACCGCCCTGGCGCCGCCGCTGCGGATTCGGGAGCAGCAACCACGCGGCGCGTTCGGCCGCCCCCTCGGCCCGCCGGCCGCGTCTTTCGCTTTCCCTCTGCAGAAGTGAAGCCGCCGCCTGGGCTCGCTCGGGCTGGCGACCTTTGCGCCAGAAAAGCCTGAGGTGCTGGAGGCGAAATCCTCCCGGGAGCGAAGGGCGGCGTCCACAAGACAAGGAAAGGGAAGACGCCGGGCTCTGGCGGGTAGCGCAGTAGCGGGAGGGCGGCGCTGAGCGCCAAGGATCCCGGAGGCGAGGCGAGGCCAGGCGGACCCAACCCAGCCAGGAGGTGCTGCCCCCGCCCTTGGGGCTCTCTCACAGGCACCTGGTGTTAGTTACAGACCCCCGCCCCCGCCAGTCCGCAACTCCCTCGTAATTCCCTCTGAAGTGCGATGGATTAAGACTGGGCCGCGAGAGGGCTGGAAGCCACTAAATGAATGAAAGTAGAAACGATGGTAAATCCCAAATCTAACTGTGGTTTAAATCTAAATTCCACGTGATTAGAAACAGATTCTAACCCGGTAGAGCAGGGTCTATGTGGGATCTCCTATATCGCATTCAAATAATGGCAGTTACCGACGGGCCCCGCAAGACTTGCCCCTCCCAGGCTGTAATTGTGCTGCTTTGCGGCGTAGGAGCGGGGTGGGCTCCAGTGTGCCCATATCGTTACACATAATCTAGAACAAGGAAAGAGTCAAGTTCAGGTCGGTTCTTAAATGACCTTGGGAGTCTCCGTCTTCACTTTCCCTTACTGGCCATAGGCAGTTCCCAGTTGGATCAATTACAGTTCAGACTTAGTGACACCAAGGGGTCAAAGAGCCTCTCTTGTTAACTATTAACATTAGTTAATAGTCTTCTTAGAATGTGTAGTACCTTAGGAAAACGTTCTCAGTACTGAGGAGCAGAGGTATAAAACCGAGTTTGCAGCTAGGCTATGACCTCTCAATCCCAATAATGGAAATACAGCTCTTAGTGGAATGTTAAGTTATTGAGGGCAGGGCTCTTTCTCATTCTTTTATTCCCAGAGTCTGGCATTTAGTAGGTGTTCAACAAATGTTTGTGTAGACCAGGGCTTATAATTAAAGACACTGCACTGAAAATACATTTAATAATTTTTAGGTCAATCATTATTAAAATCAGAATATTAAACTATATATCCCAAAGAGTTTAAAAATAGAATTAAACCATGCACACTGGTCCTCATGAGTTGTGTTTTTAAACTCTTTGGGATTGGTGAAATCACTTCAAATAAGAAGGCACTTAAGATATTGGAAATTTAGAAGTTACAGAGTGGTAGAGTTGCATGGTTAAAGTCCCTTTATAACAGTCTCTGGTTGAATACCTAGAGAAACTGGGATCTCACTACTTTCAGAAGTGTTTGATTCCATTTTAGAGAAATTTTGTATTTAAATGTTAGGAACACGGGGATGAACATGCCATGGTTCACATCTGCCCATATGAAGCTCACATCCTAGTTGGTAGGCCAAAAAGGAAGGAAGCGTTATGATTTTGAGGCTATTGTGTAGATACATGAGAAAGTTAAGGGATCTCAGCAAAGTGACCTCGCACTTTGAACAGCAACAGCAAGGGAACTTCACAGAGGATGGGTCCTGTGGTCTGAATTTGAAGAAAAGTTCTCCTGGAGCACTGCGTAAACAGACTAATGAGAAGTCCGCGGAAGGTCAGCCTGCATAGCTTTCCCTTCCTTCCAGTTCCACCTTCTGAGCTATAACACCCTGCCTTCTCTCTCTTCTACACACCCACCATTTTTCTACTTAAGAGCAGTTTCCATCTCTCTCTGTTTCTTCTTTTCTCCAGGCCAAAGAGCCACAGATTCTTCATGCTACCTCCAATCCCAAATTACCTATTCTCACAATACACTGAACATTGGCATGCTTTCCTCTTGAGGAATTAGGGAGGGAGAAGCAAAAACTCAAGCAGGGCAAGATTTTTGTAGGATTTTAAGTGAGGGAAGTTGGCTGTGAATGGTTTATTAAAAAGATCCAGGAAGTGAGATAAGTCACAGTCCACTCTGGGCAACTACTTCCTTATCTGTAAGGAGAATAGTAATTTTCACCTACCACACTGTGAGAATTAATTTGTGACTTCAGAGTTATCTGAGTTACTTGGAAGCAAAGTGTGAGACCTAGCACATGGGAACATAGAATTTTCCAGTGCAGAGCTGGTTAATCAAGAATAGCAAGAAGCACAATTAGTAAGGAAATATGACTTTCATTGGAGAACTGCTAAAGAGGCTAGAGATTTTAAAAGGTATTGAAACCCGCTATTTATATTAAAGATTAAAAAATAAATATGGCTATTAGAAAATGTGTATGATTGGTCATTTTGTCAGGGAGTAGAGAAAACTGGAATGTAATACTCAAAGTAGCCACCAGATCACTGAAGAGATGAAAATAATTTGTTTTGTTTTCATGCAGTTCAGTAGTATGTGAGGTTTTTATTTGGGAGGATTTGGTGTCACGATGATGTCTTGTGAAAAAGCAGGGCTGATTGATGTCTAGTGTGCATTCTGAAGTGCTAAGGGTCTCCTAGCCCAAAACTAATGCAAGCACCAATGTTCCAGTGGGACTGTGGGAAGAATGCCAGATGTGGGAGCTAAAAGGACACTGTCTTGGAATCCTAAATAATGAGAGAGTGAGCAGCAAGTTGAAAGCAGCGACGAGACAGGGGAAGGGCACTGAATATAATTGGGGCTGATTGGGTGCGATTTCAGTCAAGCAGCATAAATGAAGATCAGAATGGAGAAAAGACATGAATGGACAAAAAAAAAAAAGCATGGTAGAACTTACATTGGGGACTTTGAAATAAAAAGAGAGAGAAAGCTACCATTTCTTTGTGTGGTGGGAAAACAAGGGTGAATAAGAACTTGGACACCTCCCTTCTGAAGTCAGCTCATTGTATAAGATCTCTGAGCCACCAAATCCTCATCAGTGAAATGGGGATAGGAATGCTTTATGGTGAGAAGTCAACAGAAGAACATATCAAACACCTAGAATATGACCTGGCTTTTAGGTGAGCTGCTCTGGCAACAAGCTACTGGTTTTCTAGAACCAAGAGTGTTGGTTGGCTGGATGCATTATTGCCACATCTTTATTTTAACTCTTAGCCTTCATTAGAAATCTAGTCTCACATTTGAAACTGGCAAGGGGATACTTTACCCAGTTATTCCCCAGTCATCTCAAACTGAATATGTTTAAAAATTTCATTCATCAATTTCATACTTTCCTCCCTTACCGTAGGACCACCATGTCCTGAGTCACCTGTGTGGGAGACCTGGTCTTCATTTTTTTACACCTTTCTCTTCTCACGTTGCTCCCTGACAGACACACACCACGGAAACGTCAGGGTCCCCGTGGTGTGGTGGTAACTCCCACTGCCACTTCCTTTCTATCAGATCCCCACCAGTCCTGGCTCTGGCTCTTGCTACCTCCTGCTTGGATTGTTATGGTAATTATCCCAGCTCACTCTCATTCTGCCTTCCTAACTTCTGCTTCCAGTTCAGTTCTTTTACAGTGCTCCTTTGGTTGTATCACTCCCTGCTGCAAACCTCAAGCCACTTCTGTTTCCTAAAGTATGAGTGAAAACTCCTTTTGATTTGTATTCAAAGCCCTGTGTTTGCTCTCCTGTATCTAAGTGTTCAGATCTCCCGAGGCCCCAACAGGAAACCCATGGCAACTCTCCCCAGTTCCTATGCATGCCTTTAGGTTTGATTTCTCTGTCTTTCGCTCACCCTATTTCTTTCAACTGAAATGCCCTTCCTCCCCTTTCTTCACCTTGAAATCCTGCACTCAAACACCACCTCCCTTGTGATGTTTTTCTCGATAATTCTCAGAAGAGATCTCTCTCTCTCATCTTTCCTTCTGTAGCTCTTTGCTCCTTCTGCTCTCGTGGCACTTCTCATGTATTTATTCTTTGGTGTGTTTTACTGATTGAGAGCTGTGACTTCATCCTATTCACCTTTGTATTCCCCAGTAAGTTTTGTCCGGAGTGGGGGCTCCACGGTAACTTGTCACTGAGAGGATGACTGTCTAGAGACATCTGAGGAGAGTTTATGACAGAAGAAGAGAAGAATGTTGTTCCAATCCCATGTCAAGTCAGTATGAGGAAGAAGTAGCCAGGCCTTGATGAGGTCTTTCAAGACAAAGTGGAAAAACAGGCAATTATCTGGAAACTTCAAAAACCACCCTCTACCCACATTGGCCTAATTTCATGAATAATTTATGCCTTGGTAGCTGGAAGAATCTGTAAAATTGGCATTCTTCATTATAGTGATGAGATTATAGTCATGTGAGCTAGACAGAGATTTCAAAAGTAGAATAGAATGTGGAGAGTCTAGCTGATAGTGATTGGGCTGAAGGAAAAATGAGATATGCTGGGCAAGATGCCCATAAAGTACTGAATGCATTCCTAAATACATGAGCGAGGCCAGACACCGTGGCTCACACCTGTAATCCCAACAATTTCAGAGGCTGAGGTGGGATGATCATTTGAGGCCAAAGACCAGCCTGGGCAACAAATTGAGATGTTGTCTCCACAAAAAATTAAAAATTAGCCAGGCATGTTGGCACAGGGCTGTAGTCCTAGCTTCTTGAGAGGCTGAGGCAGGAGGAACAGTTGAACCCAGGAGCTGAAGGCTGCAGTGAGCTATGATTGTGTGCCACTGCACTCCAGCCTGGGTGACAGAGCAAGACCCTTTCTTAAAAAAAAAGTTTATTCATACTTTTAGAAGATTCAATTTCTTATGGTCTCATACATTTTTTTTTATTAAAAATGAAAACATTGCCTATAATCCCAGCGCTTTGGGAGGCTGAGATGGGTGAATCACTAGAGGCCAGGAGTTAGAGGCAAGCCTGGCCAACATGGTGAAACCCTGACTCCCCGACTCTACTAAAAAATAAAAAAATTAGCCTGGTGTGGTGGCTCATGCCTGTGATCCCAGTTACTTGGGAGGCTGAGGCATGAGAATCACTTGAACTTGGGAGGCAGAGGTTGCAGTGAGCCAAGATTGCACCACTGCAGTCCAGCCTGGGTGGCAGAGTAAGACCGTCTTAAAAAAAAAAAAGAATGAAAAGATAAAGCCATGTCATTCCTCATGTGTATACTATATATTTGGGGTCAGGTGAAGAAATAAATTATTATAAGAAGATGACCAGCTTCCATATTTCAGGAATGAAAATGCTTCCAGACTATTGAATATACAATAGCCTTCAAATTGAGAGGATAAATTCACCCTCCTCAAATAGTTGTAAATAGTCCATTGCTCACTAGGAATGAGCAAAAAGAAAAATAAACAGGCATGATCAAGTACCGAGGTTTTGAATAGTTAGGAATTAGATACTTTCACGTAGTGTTAGAATTAGGTACTGAAACCTCCTGAGTTATGAGAAATTGAATGGCTCTGAATGATTAAGAGCTGCTGTATCTATGTTGTATGGATTTTGACACATGGTATTTATAAAATTTACACAAATATGTTACAAAATGGAAAAGATGTTGGCTATCCACTATGTGCAAACATTTGGTCACACGTGTGTGATTCATATCAAAATGCTGTTCCATACCCAGCTCATCTGCAGCTTACTAAGCCTCTCTTGGCCTCAGCTTTCTCACTGGCAAATAGAAATAACAGAATTCCCTGCATCACATACAGGATGAAAAAAATTTAATGACGTCAGCTACGTGACTGTAGTTTATGAGTGAAAAAGTGAGACCGAATATTTTAGTTACTGGTCTGATAGCTAAAAAAAAAAAAAAAAAAAAAAAAAATCAGCATTATGCCATACAAATCTCTCTGTCTCTGTAACTCCTTCAGTATAAAAACAAACATGGAATGTTCACAGGAACAAATTCAAATACAAACAAATGTTTAATCAGAGACTCATATTCACCTTTAAGTAAAAAACATACTTCTTTCCCCCTAATAGTCACAGCATTCTGCAGAGCTAAAGAAGGAGACCAGGAGTCTGTGGGAGCAAAGATCATTTTGTGAAGCTAGAGGTCCAATTTAAAAGCAGTTGCTGCTACAAATTAAAACATATTTGCATTCTGCCTAAAATAGTTGTCTCTTTGAACGTTGGGTGCCTTTTTTAGGTTGCTTTGTGAATAATATGCACAAAATGAAAATGTTAAAAAAAACATGTAGCCTGCAAACCCTAAAGAGCAGAATAAACATGGTGATACAATATAAAATGAGCAAGATTGCCTTACTATTTAGCTCACTGCATACTGGGATGCGTAGCAACTGCTAGACTCACCCTGCTGCAGTTTCAGTACCAGTAGGTACTAGCTGGCTATCTGGCGACAAGTCACCTAAGTTTGTTGAGTCTTCATTTCTTCTGCAAAACAAGCTTAGTAATACACATCTAGCAGAGTGGTTGTAAGAACAAGAAATAATATTTAGAAAATGGCTAGCGTATTGTAAGTGCCCAAACAAGTGTACCAGTATCTTTTTGTCATATAATGCATACCTTGTTAACATTTAATTCAGTCTGAAAGTCCATATTTAATGGATCACGTTTTACTCTCAACATTTATGTTTCAAGCCCTTCTTGGCCCTGACTGTGTTTATTTACTTTTTGATGATTTAAAAAATAAATTTTAGTCCTGAGTATATTTAAATGTAATTTTCTTTTGCCCTTTTTCATGTTTAAAAAAAAAAGTAACCAAAGCAAAATGCAGTTAGGAAGATAAACCTGATAATCCTACTGCAAAATGTTTCTGCATTTTGAAATCAAGTAGAAATTAATATTTTGTTGATCTACCTCCTCTGTATCTGTATCATTCAAGCAGAAAAAGTAATGACTATCATAGATATTTAGCCTTGCTTATTCTAAAGTAATCCATGAGAAATTAATTTATACTTTTTATTCTTGAAGTGATCTACATTGATCATTTAATTACCAAAATAATTAGGAAAAACTGTTACACTTTCATGTTTTCAAATGGACAGGGATGATCTGCTTTCTTTTTTCTTTTGTGAGACAGGGTCTTGCTCTGTCACCCAGGCTGGAGTGCAGTGGCACAATCACAGCTCACTGCAGCCTTGACCTCCCAGGCCCAAGTGATTCTCCTGCCTCAGCCTCCCGAATAGCTGAGACCACAGGCACATGCCACCATATCTCGCTATTTTTTTTCTTACTTTTGTAGAGATGAGGTCTTGCTGTATTTCCCAGGCTGGTCTGGAACTCCTGGGCTCAAGCAATTCTCCAGCCTTGGCCTCCCAAAGTGCTGGGTTTACAGGCATGAACCTGCTTTGATCTGGTTTTTAAAAGAGCACTTTAGTTCATAGTGGATACAAATGTAACCCATGTTTCCTGAATTATAGTAACTACACAGCTTAATAACTTTAATAAAACTGTACTTCTTTGACTCAGTCACCACTCACAAAATAGTCATTCTAACCATAGTCAGATTTCTCCCAACTGGGTTTAGGGATCACTGGAGATCTCTCCCCTGCTTGCAAAACTGAATCCTCTCTGAGCCACTTAGACTAAGCAATTTTTACTTGCTCCGATTTTGGCCACTACAGTGACGCCTAACATCAAATATCTGAAAGGATGCTACTAAACCCATTGTGGCCAGCACCCAGCAGAGAGTCACTAGGACTGCCGGGAAGTGAGTGATGTGTTCTCCTGCTTCCCTGAGGTCTGGAGGCAATAGAGGTTCTGGACCATTGACACCTGTGGCCTCATGAGGTCCAGCTGGCATATGTAAATGTTTAGACAAGGGTTACCAACTTGTAAGCTCAAGAAATTTTAAAATTGATCAAATAGGCAATGGGGAACCATTGAAGGATCTTATTGCAAAGGAGTAATATGGAGAGATTAGATAGGGAAAGGTTACTCTGACTATGGGTGGGGAAAGTTTGATGGCCTAAGAGTACAGAAAACCTTGGCGCCAAGGTTTGTACCTTGATTTCCTTTTCTCTTTACCTGGGTTCTTTCCCAAAAGACTCCTTACTTTTTCTCTAATAGTTAGATATTGGAATATCAAAAGCTAAAAATATATAGATCTTATTTTTAAAAAGGTCAGATGGCATATTTTTAAAAGATCGGATGATGTAGATACTTTCTTTCACAAAATGTATGAGTCCTGGGGAATATTGTCATGTTACAACATCATCTACATTATTATAAAGGATGAGTAATTTGTACTATTCTTAGCTATTATTTGCTTCCTTTGAAAACATATTTTAGATAGAAGAGAATTAGGTAATGCAACAGTGAGTAATATGGCTGAAGTGTATGTGTGACCCAGTTGCCAAATATTTTCACTAAGTGAAAAAGTATCATGACGTTTTGTTTTGTGTCTGGTACTTTAATAGATGAGTATACTCTTTCCTTTCAGGTTACTCCACGTGTATTTTTCTTTAAGTGTAGCATTGGTCTCTGTAGTATACAGTTAGAACATAACTAAGTGTGTTTCAGGAAAAGTAAGCAGCAATGTCATTTTCCAGATTGTGGGTTCATCGTCACTTAATTTCCCTGGATGATAGTTTATTCATCTTTGTGATAGAGTTACAGCTGCTTCAGCTTTCAAATCTACAATCCTGAAGCATTGTCATAGATTAAAAACCTTTTTTTTTTAAACTTGATAACATAGCATACACTTCATGATTGTTTTCTTAGCTCAGGGTTGTTGAAACACAATTTCGACATGAAAAAATGGAAATATCACTTTACACAGGTTTTGCTATGGAAAAATACTAAAGAATTCTTTAATAATAATATTGTTATTGTTAGCTCAGGTAATATAGTTTTTCATCTCTGGATAATTGATCACATTGATCTAATAACAATCTATTGCTTTTCTGAATTAACTCAGTACTTTCACTGTTTACCGTGTTACCTGGAATCTCATTTTATTATTTTCCTTTCCTTTTACGCATCATCATGGATTTGGATGAATTCAAAGAGGTTCTGGGTAATCTTTTCAAAGCATAACAAGAGGATTTATCTAGATGGCTCCCATTAAAATAAATAAAAAATAATACATGGCTGAAGTATAGTACATATCTTAAAAACACTTTCTCTTGACCTCCATTTGGCATAAGGAAAGGGGGTGTTTGTTAAATTTGATTAGCTGTTAGTCTAGAGAAAGATAAAAGTCCACTAGACCTGGCTGGAATATCGCAAGTGGCACATTCCTGCCTGACTCTGACCTGCTTATATAATGCTTCAAGGAACAGCTGAGCTGAATCATGAATGGCTGAATGGCTTTTTGTGGAAGGTGCAGTTAACTTTGTATCTGGAAATGAGTTGATATGGGAAAAAGTGTCTGACCCACAAAATTATTTCTCTGGCTAAAAGTATAATGTTAGTAAGACTAAGGAAAAGGATTAATAATAGAAAAAAAACATAAAAAAGAAAAGAGCCATTTTCATACATTAGACTTCACTGGGCTGCATATGGATGGAAGTGAGTGCTCTGTACCAGGGACTCAACAGAACAAGTTGCACTGTGTTCACAAAAAACTAATCAGAGTGAAATGTGCTCTTCTTCTTTTCTGCCTACTGCTTCTGAACTTCATCCTAACCCCCACCTTCCCTGCCCCCACCCCAACCTCTCTTAATAGTCAAGAGCCCCATTCTTGTGGAGTTGTCCTTGTATTATACATACATCACACAGTAGGGGTTCAGTAGATACAAATCATTACAGTGTGGTGTTGTAAAATAGAACACATAATAATTGTATTTTCAAAAAAGTTTTAGTGGCTGAGTTAACTAGGGTAATATTTTAAACATATCTTATTTAACAGCAAATACCCTGTTTGGTGTTAAAGGTGTAATCAAACTGTATATTGAAGTTGCAGAGAGAGGTTCAATAGGAACCTATTACAACTTTAACACCAAACAGGATGTTTGTGAGCACATGCATTCTACTAGGGCTGAAAATACCAAGTTCTGTTCTAAACACATTATTTTTTTGATGGTGGGATGGTTTTGCTGTTGTAGAGACAAGATGAATTTGTCCGTATGGGGTTGCTTGTTGGAGATTTATGGTGTAGTTTTTTTTTACCACTTTTCATTGACTTTCGTCTGTTCACAAAGATACACATTGAATTCAGAAATTTGTTTTTCACCAATGACCTACTAAAGTATCAGTTTGCACATGATATGAGAAGGAGCATCAAAGATGTGGGGAAGCCAAGGTCAATGACCTCCAAATGTTTAGAAGCCTTTTGTTTTTCCACTGAAATCCCGTGGGGAGAAACTTGGTCTCAGTTCTGTGTGCTCTTTAGACGTAGGTTGAGCAATGTCGCTAAGCTATTCTCCTTCTTTAGTCCATGGTCTTACATTAACTTTTTTACATTTCCCGCATAAGGAATGCATGTTTATCTCATATTTTGGGAGGTATTGGCACTCTCTTTCTGAATATTTTTCAAAGCAGAAGACAAGCAATGATCAAAGAGTAGTTTATGAATGTTGTAGATTTTGTTTCTAAGAGCATAGGAATGCTTCTTTTCTTCAGTCTCTGGCTTTTTTAGCCTTAGGGTGAAAAGACTAGAGTGATAAAAGGCAGAGACCTACTTTCTGAATATAGGCCTTCCCCATTTTACAGCTGAGTCATTTTTTGAAAAGTGTATTTGTAAGTAGTTGTTTGGAATTTTGAATTATTTGCCCGGAGAGAAGAGATTAAAAATTGTGTTTAGGTTTCCAGGCTAGTCCAGACAACTATATTAAACCTATGTTATGAACAGATTTTGGAACTGCAGTATTAATATTACTTATGGGACCTTGGAACAGGAAGCCAAATGGTACCTCCCTAGATGGATAGCCTACTGTGAAAAATTTTGGATGAGTATATAGTGCTTTGCAACTTCCTTCTTGAATCCCTCATCTGTCTTCTAGTGCCCATTTCTTTGGACATACTATCCTAAGTCAAACTGTTTTGCTCATAGTTAGGCTTTCTTACTTTCCAAAATATACTCCTTGCTCCAAATTTATTACATTCTCTTTCTCAAATAAAACTACATTTTTTTGTTCTTCTGATCAAGTAATAGATAGGAAATTAGTGTGATTGAATTAATTATATTTGCAGAAAGGATTGCTGACCCTATAATCCTTCCTTGTTATTTGCGTTTAAAAAATAGAATGACTTGGGCCGGGCGCGGTGGCTCACGCCTGTAATCCCAGCACTTTGGGAGGCCGAGGCGGGCGGATCGCGAGGTCAGGAGATCGAGACCATCCCGGCTAAAACGGTGAAACCCCGTCTCTACTAAAAATACAAAAAATTAGCCGGGTGTGGTGGCTGGCGCCTGTGGTCCCAGCTGCTTGGGAGGCTGAGGCAGGAGAATGGCGTGAACCTGGGAGGCGGAGCTTGCAGTGAGCGGAGATGGCACCACTGCACTCCAGCCTGGGCGACAGAGTGAGACTCCGTCTCAAAAAAAAAAAAAAAATAATAATAATAGAATGACTTGTAACTCAAATCAAATACAGGTTGTTGTATTTTCTTCAGTTTGATATTCATTTATCATCTTTTATAAGCAAGGTACTGTTACACTATGAGAATTTAAATGTGAATAAAATATGGTGCTATCATTTTATAGGGAGGCCAGTATATAAAAACAATATAAAGTGTGATAATGATGAATGGTGAAAGAGAATTTTATGAAAATACCAAATCTTATACATCACTGGAGGGAAGAAGGTAAATTGATACAATAATATTGAAAAACAGTTAGGCATTATCTTTTAAAGATATGCATACTGTCCAACACAGGAGTTTTGCATTTCATTATATATTATAGATAAACTCTTGCACGTATACACAAGAAATGTTTCAAAATTCTCCATAATAGCAAGAAATTGGAAACAACACAAATGTCTATGGACAAGAGAAGATAACTGAAGTATGGCATGTTCACTAAATGAGATACCATACAACCACAAAAATGAACCATAGCTATCAACCAACCACATGATGAATCTTTAATATTGTTGATTTTTTTACATTGCAGAAGATTACATGATATAATAGCATTTTTATAAGGCTAAGAAACTGAAAAACATAACAATATTGTTTAGAAAAATGTGTAGGAAGGCAGGAGGACTGCAGAGTAGAGGCAACCACATTGGTGACGTTCTCATTGTTAAGTGAGAGTTCACAGGTGTTCATTTTGTTATTATGCTTCATCTCTTACATATGTATATGTATTTTAAGCAGTTGTTTGGAATTTTGAAAAAATAAAAACCTAAGGAGTTTATTATGCAATATTATTTATATAATATGTATGCATATGGATATAATATATATAATATTGCATAATAAAAACACTTGTATTGCATCATAAAAACACTTTAGGTGCATTTTTTTAGTGATCGCTCCAGTTCTGGGGAATCATCAAAGAGGAAGCAGTTGATTTTGACTGGGAGACTGGGAAGGATTCACAAGGGAGGCTGAGTTCACCCTGGACTTGAAGGAAAAGTAGGGTTGTGGGGGTCAGGCAATGTTGAGTGCTGGAAAATGGAGAAAGAGTGCAGCAGGCATACACGTAGTGGGCTTGAGATGTAGAACAGTTGGAGTGATTCACGGGCGGGCTGTGCAGGAGCCGGGGTAACAGCTGAATTTGGGAGAGGTGAGGGAAGGGTGGTGCTGTCATTGTTCTATATTTTTGTGGAAGGCAACTATAATCCTCCTGCAAAACCCATGAGATTACCAAGGGAGATTGCTGAGAATGAAAGGAGTAGCACCTGGAGAAATCCAGGGAAACCAGAAGAGAACAGAAGACCTTCCTTCTGGAAGACCCCCAGAAGGAAGGGTTGAGGTTCTGGAGGAGAACCTGAGGGCACAGAACTAGGACTTCCCAGTTGGAGGGGATTTCAGGCCTGTGAAAGGTGGGATTTCATGATACAGATAGGGGTTGTCCTTCAAGAAAAAAGGAGTACTAAGAAGCCATGCTCTCTTTCTGTTTCTCTCTCTGTGTTAAAAATTTTCTTTTTGTATGCATATAGATCACAGTTACCTAAAAGGAAAACAGCTTTTGGGTGACTTATTGTGACAGAAGAAAAAGAAGAGACAGAGAAAAAGAACTACCATTTACTGAGGGCCTACTATGTGCCAATATTCTGCCCTGAGGGCTGGAAATATCTTCATTTCTGGCCTTTCCCACAACTTCTGGAGTATCTAATGTTAAGAGATAAAAACAATCACACTCTTTATTTTCGAATGTACGGTGATGTTATTTTTGTATAGTCACCTTCTAGTGTTCTCAAATAGTAGGTCTTACTCATTCTAAGTAGTTTTTTTGTACCCATTAGCCATCCCCACCTCCCCCATGTATCAAAACATCTCATATACCCAGTAAATGTGTACATCTTCTATGTACCCACAAAAATTAAAAATTAAAATAAAGAGATAAAACCAAGGTTCACAGAGGGTGAGTCACTCACCCAAGCCAAAGTCGATTCATAAAAGACAGACTACCTCTGTGAAATCACAGTTTCTCTCCTTGCTCCATGCTTCTCAAAAAAAAGGAGAAGAAAAAGGAAAATATAAGAAGCAGTTTAAAAAAAAAGTCTGAATTAGATACACTGAGAATTTCAATTTTGTGCTTTTTTTTTCTCTGATATCTTTAGCATTTTTAAAGCTCAGTTCTTTTCTCTTGATGTTTAACCATCTTAGTCTTGATGGGAGGTTCTAACACCTTATTGGTTGCTTCCTTTAGGGTACAGACTGTCCACTCAGTTAGCTATGTTCTAGCAGGTGTCTCTGGAGAATGTACTTAAATAAAATTTTTGCAGTAACTAGCCTTGTCCCCTGGCCATGTTCATACTCTCTTCATACACATAACCTGACCCTGACATAGCTACAGATTTGTCTTTTCTCACTGATTTTACTAATGTATAATTATTTTCTTTTTATTAAAATCATAATCATGCTTTTAGTTACTATTTATTCCTGGAAACTGCATATTAAAATAATTATTTTTATCTTGCTGACACTAAAGTTACAACTCACACATTTCGTAATCATAGCGCATTAATGTTAACTCCAGAGTTTCCTGCCTCTGGTTTCTCAGTGAAGCTGGAAGTGGGGTTTTTTCCTAAGAATCAGGGGAGTACAGAAGGGGTTTGAGAATGGATAAAGTTTGCAACAACTTCAGAGGGCAGAGGTACAAAAGAGCCAATGAGGGAGCACAAAGAGGATTTCTAAAGCAGCAGAGAAGGCCTTCATGAGGTTAGAAAAACCCATCTCTTGTAGAAGTGGCCATGAGCATGGCTCCATTTCCTCCTGCTTTGCGGAGAGACTCCAGAGCAGGAATGAGACACTAATTCTGATTCTACTTGAATGTAGGAGGTATTGGGAGACAAAAGAAGCTCATCTATAAACATTTTCCATGAATCAAGCAGAAACTTGGGTTTTAAAGGCAAGTACAATTCAGATATGCATCTGATCATGTAAGGGAAGTTATTCATTTTGAAAATAATTCTGAGATTCATTATAAGGTGATGAAGATTTATGGATCAAAGTGGTGGAAAAGTAAGGTGAACAATTAATAATTCTGTACAACTATTGCATACAGAGAAAGGGACTATAATTCTAGCCTCCTACACCTGTGGACTATTCCAACATTGCTCTTGGGTAAAGACCAGAATTCTTCCCTTGGCCACATGGTTTGCTCCCATCCATTTCTGCAGCCTCATCTTGTATCATTTGCCCTTCTGCTGTGTGTTCTAGATTATTAGTTCTCAACTGTTTTGGTCTCAGGACCTCTATACATCCTCAAAGATAACTGAAAACTGCAAAGAACTTTTTATACATGTTATCTATTGATATTTACTGCCTCAGAAATTACAACTGAGAACGTTTTTGATATTTATTTTTAATTCACTTAAAAATAACAATAATAAATCCATTTCATGTTAACATAAATATTTTTATGAAGGTTAACTGTGTTTCCCAAAACAAAAATAGCTTCGGGTAAAGGCTGTCATTGCAAATTTATTTAATGCCTAGCTTAGCAGAAGAGAATGGATTCTCATGTCTACTCCTGCATTAGAAACTGAGGGTGAGATATCACACATCATGTAGCTTGTAGAAATTTCTACTCTAAGCTTATGGGAGAATGAAAGTGAAAAGGCAAATAAGGTCTCAGTATAACCAGGAAAGTGGCTTTGACCTCACGGGTCCCTGAAAGGATCTTAGGGACTTCCCAGTCCCTGGCTCCTACTTCAAGAATCATCTACCCTAAACCCATGGGCCTTTGTTTGGTTGGAGGGGTCAATAGGGTGACTGATGGGGATAACGGGAAATAGGGCTAGGAATTTAGGTTGAGACTATAGCATACCTTGTCGCATTTGGACATTCCTCGTCTCCTGAGAAGGAACTGAGCATTACTGCCAAGAGGCAGGCAACAGTTGGAGATGTTCGAAAGTTCACTCTGAATTGACACGGCTTTGTGTTTCTCAAAGGTCTTTTATGGGCATCATTTTTGTTACTGTAACTCTATAAAAAAGCCAGGACATTTATTATTTCTTCCCTCAAGAAAACAAATGTCTAGTGGCTTGGTCAAGGTCACTCACTTCCTTAAGAGATGACTGAACTCCTACCTCATACTCCCTAAGTCCCTCCTCTCTGCAAGTGTGTCCTCTCACTCAAAGATCAACTCACCATAAAAGAGACCCATGGATGCCAGGGACTAGTGATGAAATGTACAGGCAGAAGTTGTTTGGAAACATGCTGGGCACAGTGGCTCATGCCTGTAATCCTAGCACTTTGGGAGGCTGAGGCGGATAATCACCTGAGGTCATGAGTTTGAGACCAGCCTGGCCAACATGGTGAAACCTCGTCTCTACTAAAAATACAAAAATTAGCTGGATGTGGTGGTGCACACCTGTAGTCCCAGCTACTCAGGAGACTGAGGCATGAGAATTGCTTGAACCCTGGAGGCGGAGATTACAGTGAGCCAAGATTGTGCCACTGCACTCTAGTCTGGGCAACAGAATGAGACTCCGTCTCAAAAAACAAAACAAAAATGTGTTTGAAAACAGATATTTATGCTTACCTCCATGACAGTAACTCATTTATGCACCAATATATTCCTTTTTTTCTGCATCTTTAGCAAGTAAAAATAGTTAATTACAAGAGAGGATTAACTGTGCTCTTCCTGGGTTCTCTTCGGCCAATACAAATACAGTCTGCATATCTGCAGTGAGATGAACATTCACCATTCATTATCAGGACTAAGGAGAGTAGGTTAAGAAACAAAATGCTATCTGAAGCTCAAGTTGTTAAACTTTTAAAATATTCAAAGGACATCAAGAACACCTGGCATGGACGCTTTTCCAGGATTCGCATAGAACGGGATGCCACAGGCAAGGACAGATCCCCTGAGGCTGTGGAATGAGTGGGGACATCCCCGCCCATCTCTGGTCTTGGTAGGCATTTCTGTCATGATTTCTTCCAGTGTCTTTTAGGCAACTACTCTCATCCTACTATCTGCTGAGAATAAGACAAAATTTCTTGAATTAATGCTAGGCAGCTTTTTATTCTATTACAAATTGCAGTCTTTTAACACTTTACACCAACTGTTGACTTCCATTCATGCTTTCCTTTCAAGATTGGGTCTACACAGGGTGGCCAAATAGTTCCAAAACCATTCTGATAGTAGTGGTTTTTTTTTTTTTTGCCCTAATTGTGGCAAAATACAAGTGTCATAAAATTTACCATCTTAACTATTTTAAGTGTACAGTTCGGTAGAATTACATGTGTATATATTTTTATGGATTGAGAACTTAACAATTTATTTATTTGTTTTAGATACAGGCTTTTTCTTTGTCACCCAGGCAGGAGTACAGTGGTGTGATCATGGCTCACTGCAGCCTCAAAATCCTGGGCTCAAGTGATCCTCACACATCAGCTTCCCGAGTATAAGAAGTACCCTGTCTCTACTAAAGTACAGGTGTACTACAGGTGCACACCACCATGCCTGGCTAATTTTTAAAAATTTTTTGTAGAGACAGTGTCTCACTATGTTGCTCAGGCTGGTCTCAAACTCCTGGGCTCATGTGATCCTCCCACCTCAGCCTCCTAAAATGTTGGGATTACAGGCGTGAGCCACTGCACCTGGCCAAATTTTATTTATTGTGCTACTCTCTAATGAAGCTTTTCTTGGTATGCATGTCATAAAAGTTCAAAATAAATAGTCTCGGCCTCATTAGTGTATGTTGTTTTACAACTAATCTCCAGAACTCACTTCATCTTGCGAAACTGAAACTCTACACATTAACCAACAGCTCTCCATTTTCCTTTCCCACAGCCTCTGGCAACCACCATTCCACTTTCTGTCTGTATGAATTTTACTACTCTGTATACCTCATGTAAGTGTCTGACTTGTTTCACTTAGCATAGTGTCTTCAAGCTTCATCCATTCTGTGGCATGTGTCAGTATGTCCTTCCTTTTGAAGGCTGAGTAATACTCCATTGTACGTACATACCACATTTTGTTTGTCCATTCATCCATCAATGGACACGTGTAGTTTCTGCCTTTTGACTATTACAAATAATTCTACTGTGTACATGTGCATGCAAATATTTCTTTGAGACCCTGCTTTCAGTTATTTTGAGTTGACAGTAGCATTTGATGGAACTGATTAGTAGTGTACATCTGTAAGAAAGAGGCCCAGGAGGCCTGAGTGGACCTGAGGATCACAGAATTCCTCCAGCATGACCTTGACAAAGCCTGGTTTTCCAAGGTGACTGCTCATGTGGAAAGCTTATGACAGATGAGCTATTTTACATGAAAGCTCAGTTTGGGAGTTCCATCTACTTGACAATATGTTCTATGTGATTTTATGCTGCAAAATTTCTTCCCTGATAGAGCAATTATCATGGTTTGTAAGATTAAAAAACAATGCATCCTAGAAATTTAATGACATGTTAATTATTTTTCCTGGGCCTCTATAAAAAGATAATAATAACTTATTTCTTTTTGGTATCTTCTTTGAAGAATGCAAATTCTATTCTGTGGTTCTGACTGGTAGCACAACTAAACTGGGTTATAATTTATATTCTTTGTGAGTGTGTAATTAGAATTGTTTTAGTCAAATGCTTGTTGGAATGTGTAAATCACTTTATACTAGATTTTCTGATTATTATTTTGAGTCAGCCTAAGTCTATACCTTGCAGAAGTCCCCCCATCCCCATTCTAGTCCAGACTTGTTTTATTTTTATGATCCTGTATGTTTATACAAATCTTTCCTGTTATCTTTCTGGAAACATCTATTGCATATTCAAATGTGGTTTGGGTGTATATCTCTTATTTGCATCTGTTAATGAAAATGTTCATGAGAGATCACTTTGGATGTCTCATGAATTATCTACCCTGTTTTTCTACAGAAACTTTCTCCTTAACTCCCACTGTATTGGCAGTGGGGTGGCTTCTAGAAAGGAGGGAAGTGTCATTCTCGTGCTCAGAATGGGATAAGGTAGCATCAGTTGTTGAACAATGTCTAAAGTATTTTTTTCTCTCTCTTTTTTGCTCACCCTTCTTGTCTCACTTGGAACATGGAATATGGACCTGCCAATCATCTGGAAATACGTTACCTTTGCTTGTTGGGACGTGGATAATGTGGGTGAGTCCTGAAATCTGTGTTTAAGCTGTTGACTTCTCTTTGTTTGGGGAAGAAGAAAACTGTCAGATGAATCGTTTGATGGGAAACTATCTTCAGCATCCCAGTGCCTGTGAGCACACTGCCCAGGCACCTCCAGTTAGACTCAGTCCTCCTGCATCAGAGAGGGAAAGCTCCTGAGGTGTCCTTTCAGCAGCACCCAAACTCAAATGAAACGAAGATGAATCATATTCAATGGCAAAAGTTGCTATTTAGACTTTAGCTGTTGTTTTTTTTTTGGGTTTATACCACATTTAATAATGCTTCTTTATGACAAAGCAACTTGAAGATATCCCACATGTCTTGACACTGTGTTTTCTAAGACTCTTGTTCAGTTGTTTCTATAAATCACACACCTCTTATCTTCATATTTACCATTTGTGGCAGATGCACATGTATGTATTTTTGTGATACTGAAATTGTTTCTAATATAAGTCCATTGGAAATTGTACGTTGTTGATGTGTTGATATAAAATGAGTCATGCATCTTGACATGACTTCCCTGCTCAATTAGTCCTTAGTAGGTGATGTCAAAACTCAAAATAGCAAAACTGTTAAATATTAAATTCTAACTTTGTTCTTCCAAAGCTGAGCAATAATGATGTACTGGACCCTCCGTGGTTTTGCATGCAGGGCCAGGCCTGGGAAGGAGGGTTGTGGTCTGCTGGTAGATTTCTTGCTATAGAATGCAGAATAGACAGCAGGAAGATTTTGAATACAAAAAAATGTTTTTCAATACATATTTTTCTAGTTCTCAAGGATGTGGTAAGAAAGAGTCTAGGTAAAGCGTTTGATTGGTATGATATTATAAAGAGGCTGGTCTAGGATTATCTTCTATACTTTTCTTAAAGGGTTTAGCATGGCTGATTTAAAAAAAGAAATAAGTTGAGGCATACCTCCATAGGAAAATTATTGTCTTGATTATCAGTTACAGTTTCATCCTGAGCCTCTCTCTCAATAAATTTGAAACTGCCATGTCACTGTCTTAGCTGGTGGAGGTAGCAGGATTTCACTTGCTTGGAGCAAACACATTTGTTGTTGCAATCTGTTATTTCTGAAATTTCTAAAAATGTATTGAATGTTAGCATGAAATTTGGCATTGGTGTTTGTAAGATTTTCTATTCTGGTGTAAGTAATTTGGGAATCTTTATCTTAGATGATTTAGTTTCCCATAAATATCCTTAGGAATATGTGTCATTTGAGTTTAATCTGTTGAGCCGTGAGCTGTTGATTCGACACAATTATCACCTAATCAGCTGTTTTGCTTATTGAGTTATGTTATGATTCTTTAGTTCCACATCTAAAAATCTCCCTTTGGGATTCACATGGTGTGTTTTCTTCTGTGTGCACTTTTGGGTCTTCTCATCTCCCCTCTCCTCTTAGGAAACAATAAGTACCTGGATATTTACCCTGAAAAATAATCTAATTTTCTCTTCCAGTAATAATTGGTAGCCAGAGCCTACCCCCTTTAAATTGATTATGAGCCAGGTCTTGTGAATTTTCCATCTGTCTGGGACCTTGAAAGCCTTCTGAAGATAACACTTTATTTGTGAGATGATCAGGAAATCCTCAGAAATCTCTCATCCTAAAAATAGCGAAGTGCAAGAACAACAGGGTTTTACTCAATTATTTTCTCCTCCCCAACTCTGTTGCAGTGTATGATGTGCGTGCTCATGTGCCTCTCCCTCTCTTTTTCCGGACTCTTTCTGTTGAGGGGTCTTCTCATTTGGGGATTGTTTGGTTTTCTTATTTGTTTTTTTGCATGTATACGTTGCTAGCTGTATGGCATAATGCCTACTGGTTTGGTCAGTAAGGGATTGCTTTCTTAACAACAACAACAACACATCTGGTGTGCCCGTCACACTGTCATGGCTTACTTTCTGGGGTGCACAGAGTCGCAGCATCATCACCACCTTCCTTCCACCACCATCCCGATTGCTTTGTCTCCACCAGGCACTCAATTATGGACTTTCCAGGAGTCTCATCTAATTTTCCTACAACCTGATGATACAGGAACCTTTTTCATTGTCTAATATTGTGGATGAACAGACTGCAGCACAGCTAAACCTGCCAGAGGCCACTGAGCAGTAGAAGAAGGGGTCTGTTTTTCATCCAGGAGTCTGATTCTGGAGTCATATCCATTGAAATATTTTCACCAGACACATTTCCTTTTAGCCAGTTTAACATACTTTTGGACTCTTCCTGGCCCTTCAAAGGTAGAATTTTGGTGCATCCCAGATAATGTTTTGCCATGCACATCTGAATTTGTCTTTTATCTGGCAGTTACGTAAAGTTCTTTCATGAGTCAAAACTGACAGTTCCGTGGTGGCAAGGTTGGGGAACAGGGGGGATTATATTAAAGAAATATATGATATTTCTGTCTCTAGATAAGTGAAGAACTTTGCACCTGATGGTATAAACATATTTTAATGGAATGGATGGTAACCTAGGAGTAAAAGTCAAACTGTGTAGAATCTAACTTTTTTCTAAATCCAGACAAACCCTTGTACCTGCAAATTTTATTTAGATTTTCAGCTCTTGTTATTGAGTGTTGGGGCTTCAAAATCTAATTGTGAGTCCTTCTCTAATAGGTAATTCCTGCTTTATTAGTCAGGGTAATATGGCCTTTCTCAAAAGCAGAGGGACATGAAAAGCAGAGAATTATCTTGGTCAGCTCGTCTTGCTTGCCTCTTTCAAGGAACTCGACTGTCAAGTGTAGACACTCATAGAGCCTCGCCGTGGAAGGGCTCAGCCAGAATGAGGCTGTTTTCCATCGCCTGACACTGGGCAGATCCTCATCATATCTTTCCTGAGTTTTGTGACAGCTTGCTAAAGACTTCTCCCAAAACATCTTTATCCCATCTTCTATCTGACTCCAGAGAGACAGGTCCAAGCTATAACTCTGACCATGCCTCGCTCTTGCTTTCGACATTCCAGTGGCTTCACATGGCTTCTAGTAGTTCCTCTCCACGGTAGTATTCAACAACCTGGTGACTGTTGATCATATGTGGGTGTCACGAGTAATGTGTTACTAATAATAAATCTGGTACTACAGTTTAAAAATTATTTTTCAGTAAAATAGACTGGATTCACGTTTACCATGATAGCAATGTTATTCACCCTTTTTTTCCTGTATTATTTCTTTGTAGGGGGTTGAGGGAGAGAGAGAGAGACGGAGAGAGAGAGAGAGACAGAGAGAGAGAGAGAGAGAGAGAGAGAGAGAGAATGACGCCATGGTGGGCAGGTGTTAGGGACTGTGTAAATTCATCAGCCTTGCTTATTTATCCCATTTCCTAATGGTTTCTGGTACACAGCTAATAACTGAGGTTCTCAAGAGCTTCTGTAGTACTTGTGAGTTATGATTTTTACCAGTTATTAATTTTGTCTAGTAATTTTACTAATGGACAATTTCTAGATAAGAAGGAGGGCAAGGATAGATGAAGAAAGCTCAAATATTTATATTGTATTAATGATGCTATGAACATTCTTACTTATGACAAATAGTTATGACCACCAAATAAATAGAAAAATGATACTAAAATTAAAATGTGCAAGAAGATAAGTCATACGAATAAAGGGTTAAAGTTTGTACATTTCCTTTATTTCAATAATAATAAGTAACATGTATACTCATCAATAGTACATTGTTGTTTGCCTTTTAATATTATCTATGTAAGGGAGGCCTAAACAAAAAGAATGATTCTTTTTTTCAAAATAGAATGAGATGTTCAAAAAATTTTATGTGTTGATAATTTTTCTTCTGAAACAGATGATTTCATGTTTAATAGATGTCATTACTCACATGCTCATGTAAAGATGTTATCGATATAACCCACCTGCCCTCCCAAAATGTCTGTGTTGCTGCTCTTTGCTTTATTTTCCCAAATTATTTTGGTGGAGGTGAGGATTTGGAAAAATCTGGAAGTATATGTTGCATGGAAAGGTCATTGGCCTTATGTCTCAATCTTAAAAAAATTGGCCAAGAACCAAGCTCCATAGGATGAAGTGCAAGTTTTTCCCTGATGCTATTACTGCCTACTGGATGCATCTGTCATTTTCACTTTTGCTGTCACTTTCATCCCCTGCTTGTCACCCCCACATGCCCATTGGTGTGTGTGCCATTAGCGTCCCTGGAAGCCTCAAGCATCTGTGATTTTTTTCATCCTCCTCCTTCTGCCTCCAACTCCTTACTTCGTCTTTACCTAGCTTGTCTTTTACACACAGCTCCTACAAGAAGTCAATTCTGATAACCTCCTGCCTCCGAACCCCTCCTGGTACTCTTACAGCATCTGGTGTGTGCCTTTCTCACACAACTTCGCATATTATGGGAGTGATGAATGTACTTGTATTACCTGCCTTCATTGTTTTCTAAAATCAGAAAGAGGTTGGACCTAGTGTCTCACACCTTGTAATCCTAGCACTTTGGAAGGCCGAGGTGGGAGACCACTTGAGTCCAGGAGTTTGAGACCAGCCTGGGCAACATAGAAAGACCTAACAATAAAAAATAAAAACAAAAATACTAAAAATTAAAGAGAACTACTAAAAATAAAATAAAATAAACATCAGCCAGGTGTGGTGGTGTGTACTTGTAGCCCCAGCTGCTTGGGAGGCTGGGGCAGTAGTATTGCTTGAGCCTGGGAGATTTAGGCTGCAGTGAGCCATGAGTGCACCACTGCACTCCAGCCTGGGCAGCAGACTCCATCTAAAAAAAATAAAGAAAAATAAAATCAGAAAGAACTGGGACCTGATCTCTTAGTGATGTCTGTGTACCTAACACTTGAAATTTGGTAGGCTGTCATAGATTGTGTTTCTTAAGATGTCGGCTGTGAGATGAACATGGGTGGCCAAGGTGTTGATTGAGCTCATTACTAAGGAAGAAAGCAGGGCTGGGCAGAGGGAGAAGTTGGGCTGGTTGTAGTCCCAGCAGAGGCCTCAACCTACCTTACCTGGGGAGTACTGGAGTGGGGATGACTTCCAAGTTGTTTCTAATTAGAGTAAGAGGGCTGGAGCATTTCTTCCCCCACAGAGACTAGTCATTTTGGATGTTGGCCCTCCCCAGGAGGAGGTGTGACCTGAGGTAAGCAGTTGTCTTCGGCAGAGGCAATCCCCACAGATGGTTGACAGCTAAGGGCCACCTGCTGGCAGCACTTTTAGCAGCTAGAGGATTATAAATCCTTTATTCCTGTAAGGGGATCTGGGAGGTATATCATAGTGTCCACCATATGGGCGTAACTTTTTTGTGAAATTAGCTGAAAAAAAGCAAAATGCCTGTGGCTTTGGGAAATTAGGGGATAAGGAGAGGAAATGAAACATGGGCTATTTCAATCTGCTTTATTAATAGAAATGGTTTTTAAGGCCGGGCACAGTAGCTCACACCTATAATCCCAGTACTTTGGGAGGCCAAGGTGGGCAGATCACTTGAGGCCAGAAGTTCGAGACCAGCCTGGCCAACATGGTGAAACCCCTTCTCTACTAAAAATACAAAAATTATCTGGGAATAGTGGTGCACATCTGTAATCCCAGCTACTCGGGTGGCTGAGACACAAGAATCACTTGAACTCGGAAGGCGGAGGTTGCAGTGAGCCAAGATTGTGCCACTGCACTCCAGCCCAGGTGACAGAGCAAGACTCTGTCAAAAAAAAGAGAAAGAAATGGTTTTTAATAAAATGGATTTCTCTCTGAATAAAAAGGTATGACTTTTAAAGACCCCTGAAATTTTAGTGAAGGCTTCCAACTCTAAAAGCAGCAAATGGCAAATATTTAAATTTCTGCTACTTATTCTGTAAACATTTACTGAGTGCCCAAAAAGGGGACAGCACCACTGTTGCTGCTATGGGATCATTAAAAAAAAAAGAGTAAGTCAAATACCAAGGAGATTTCAAGCCATTGGTGGGTAAGGACATTTAAACTATTGATCATAATACAAAGCAGAATGAAAGAATGATTCTAATACTATTACAAGCAGAGTATACTAGAAAAGATGCATTACATCAAACTTGGCTGAGTGGAAGTTACATGTGTATTTATGTGTATGTGTGGGCATGTGTATGCATGTATGTATATGTGTATGTCTGTGTGTGTGTGCACGTGTGTGTGTGTGTGGACACTTCTGGAAGGAGATATCAAATGAGCTAAGCTTTGAACTTCCAGAGATTTGAGTTTGACCCTTCCAGGAAATGTTAACTTTTACTTTTCTTACCCAAATAATATCTCATTCAACTTTTTTTTTAAATTTTAATTTTGAGACAAGGCCTCACTTTGTTACCCAGGCTGGAGTGCAGTGGCGTGATTGATCATAGTTCACTGCAGCCTCAGCCTCCCACCTCAGTCTCCCAAGTAGCTAGGACTATAAGCACGTACCACCATGCCAGGCTATTTTTTCCTTTTTATAGATATAGGGTCTTACTATGTTGCCCAGGCTGGTCTCAAACTCCTAGGGTCTAGTGATCCTCCTGCCTTGGCCTCCCAAAGTGCTGAGATTAGGCGTGAGCCACCATGCCCAGCCTTCTTCAAATTTTATAGCTCCTGCAGTTGCTGACTTATATCCATTGAAAGGAGAGGCACTCCTGGCAAAACCCGTAATTGCCCAAAATCAGAATTATCACTCTTCCTCTTTATTCCACTCCCAGACTCTAAAAGTACAATGACCGTCAAGACTTGCAGGTTGGTTCCTGTAGCTGAGCAAGGTTCCAAAACACGGGAACATGCTTCCGTTCCAGGGCTGAGCCTGCAGCCTTGTCCAAGTCTTGCCTTCTGACATTGTCCTCTAAGAACCTCCCATGATTTGGGTTGGAGGCGGGCCTTAGCTCATTTCCACCCAGTCCAAAAGAAAGTGACTTTGTTCATTTTCCTCTCACTTAGAGAGGCTTCCCTTCCTTTTAATGACTCCTATGTATATGCACGTCCTTTGTTTTTTCTACCTTATCTTTAATTATTGCTCAGATGATAACAGTCCTGATGAATAAGACATTAAGTCTCCCTTTCAAAGTATTAATGAAAAGGAAAAAAAATTGAAGCATACTGAATTACAACAGCAAGGTTCTAAATTATGCTTATGAGGCAGTGTTGATGATAGGGAAGTAGTTAAACATTACTTTGCTTAGAAAGAAATTGTTCTCAGGACCAATACTGAGTGTCAGCAAAATGAAAAACAATTGATTCATGAAGTTCTTTCTTCCCTGGCATATAGAGAATGAGATTATTAGCTAGAGAAATTTATTCTAAAATCTATTTTAGTCTGTAGCTTTCCTTATCAACCATTTTCCTGTCAGTCCTAAAGTCCTATATTTAAAAATCTTTAAACATCGGTTACCTATCCTCTTCTTCTGGACTTGTCACCCTAGGTATCAAGGGAGGAGGTGAGGTGAGGTGCAGTGGTTCATGCCTGTAATCCCAGCACTTTGAGAGGCTGAGGCAGGAGGATTGCTTGAGGCCATGAGGTCAAGACCTGCCTAGGCAACAAAGTGAAACCTCGTCTTTACAGGGGAAAGAAAAAGTTAGACGGGCATGGTGGCACATGCCTGTAGTCCCAGCTACTCAGGAGGCTGAGATGGGAAGATCGCTTGAGCCCAGGAGTTTGAGGCTACGGTGAGCTATGATGCATACCAGCCTGGGCAACAGAATGAGACCTGTCTCAGTCAATCAATCAATGAGTGAGAGAGAGCAGAAGACAGAAGGACTGTAAATCTGTGGAGTCCCTATTGATCCTTCCAAGTGGATTAGCATCACCTTCCTGGTATTGTGCCACAAGTAGGCACAAGGTGCTCAGCTTCATCTTTTAGGGAAACAATTTGTATATAAGCTTTGCTATGATTAATACTGGCAGGAGGGATGGAAAACGTGCAGCATTTAGGGGAAAATGAGTTAGTGTGTATACTACAGGACATGCTGCTAGTTCCCCCACACCCCATGTGAAAAACTAATTGAAACACTTGATGTTATTGTAGCAGAAGGTCAAACTTCTTTACCATCAAAATGAGAACTTGGTATGAAAATATACAGAGTTTAAGGACCAATTTTACATGAAAGCTGCGGACAGGCATTGAAAAATCCTACTTAACATAATTTGTTTAATTTGTCCGATCTTTATTTTAGGCAATAAATGGCTGGAGAACCTGAAGCCACAGGTCCTCTATACTAGCTTCATTTCTTTTCAAAAAATCACCTCCGTCATCAAAGAAAATCAACCACTCCGAAGTGCTATTCTTCTTTATCCCTGTTAGTTTTGCTTTTATAAATCATTTATGATAATGGAGTTACAGTTTAATTTAGTAATTAGTTTGCAAAGGAAAAACATTCAGCTTGCATATGGAAAGGATGAGGAAAACATCAAAGAAAATTTGTTTTTCATAATCATTTTAGTGTAACAGATGTAAATACCTACTTAAGAATGGAACTGGATTTCTGGGATAGTTCTAACTGCCTTCATGCTTATCTCACCCCTGATACAACCAGTTTCTTGGACTTTCTGGGGGAAATTTATGTGAGGTCAATGATTCGTACTTGTTCAAAGGTTACTCTGCTGCGTAATTCAGCTGTCAGCAGAAGTTTGTCTTGCCTGGCCCAAGATTTTGTGGAAATCTGAAGGAAAAAAACAACAACACACACTACAAGGTTTTATTACACAGTGAACTGACAGATCCCTGCAGGCTATGTCAGCAGAAGCATGGGGCAAGAGTTCTTGCTGCTGGTCTGAACTTTGCACTTCCAGCAGGTTGGGTTGCAAAGCCAGCCCTGGGATAGCACAGGGGGAGGCAACTTAGCAGCATTGGAGGGAGGTAGGGGTGGTTTTATCCTACAGCAATGACTGATCACCTAAGTTTGATGGTGTTATCTCTGAAGCCTTATCTCCTTCTCTAGTTACAGTCCATTAAGAGTCTCAAGACTTAGAGCCTATTTTTAACTGCAGGTCCTGCTTAACCATAATTGAACATGTGATTTGTTCAGTTCAGAAGCCCTTCCCCCTCCCAACGTCTTCAAATGCCTGCATATTCCTATATATCTGAATCATGGAAAGCAAAGAGCAAAATATCCATGTATTTTGGATATTTTGCCATTTGTTAGTGCTCTGGTGTTTTTTAAGAGCTGTTGTTGTTGTTTGACAACAATGTATCTCTAACTGGAATGCCATGAATTAGCTGAGTACTATGTGCCCTTTACAGCATGAGAGCATTAACACGGTTAAAACATTTTTAGAAGTATCCAGAGAAGATTTTATCTTCCATGCCTTTTACACCTCCGCCCCAACTGAAATTTAATGTTTGCATTGGAATTCAGGGCCTTCTAGCTCTTGACTCTGCAGCGGCAGCTTGGTAACTACTTCTTCTCTGTAGTAAATGTTAATGGTACTCTGTATTCATTTTAATGGTTTTAATGATTAGAAAGAACATTGGTTTTGTTGGTACTGTAGATTTTAAGGATATATTTTTAAAACGAAAGGATGAGTGCCTTTTTTGGTTTTGATTGTAATTGTAATGTTTTTTTCTTCCCTTTGCTTTTTTAAATCTCTCCCAATCTTGGACAAGGGGCTCCACCTAGTGTAAGTTTTAGGTTAAAAAATAATATGGATGTAAGTAGTATAGAAGGGGCAAAAATTAGTTGAATATACTCTTTTTTTATGATGAGACTGTAAAGCAAAAGACTGATATTTTATAAAGTGCTTTTATGGTTCAGATCATTCATGTGATTTATACAGACATTCCTTCTGATTCTCTCATTTCTCCACAGATTCTTATTTTTATCTACTTTTTAAAAAGGCAAAATTACATCTCTTATGTGTCCAAATATAATTTTAGGTTGTAAACATTACCTTTGCCTGTGGTGAATGAATTTAGATCCAATTTTCTAGCAGTATGACAAGAGAAGAATCTTAAATGAGACAGTTTGCCATGCCTCAACCCTTGGTAAACTTAAGAAAGTTACTGCCTGAAATTTTTTTCTTTCTTTTTGTAAACAGGTGCTTAAATTTTAGATCAATGATTTTATTTAATAATTTTAAGAACATCATCTAACTACATTTTGAAAGTTTTTATATTGAATCCAGCCTTAAGATTCAGAATTGTTTACTTAGCAGCCACTAAGTGGAGTGTACTACAGTTGATGGTACAACTTTTTACAGCTTTGAAAATATCACTGTATCACGGTATTCAATTTTTAAATATGTTTTTCTTATAGAGGAGAGTTTCTGGTGCTTATATCTGTTGCCCGTGAGTTCCAAGAAGAGAATATAAATACGTCTCTAAAGGACTGTATGAATCCATGCAGTGCTATAAAGAAATACCTGAGACTAGGTAATTTGTAAAGAAAGGGATTTAATTGGCTCATCATTCTGCAGGCTGTACAGGAAGCATAGTGGCTTCTGCTAGGCTTCTGGGAGCCTCAGAAAACTTACAACCATGGCGGAAGGCAAAGCGGGAGCAGGCACAGTCATATGGCAAAAGCAGGAGCAAGAGATAGAGCAAGGGGGAAGGTGCAACATACTTTCAAACAACCAGCACTTGTGAGAGCTCATTCACTATCACGAGAACAGCACTAAGGGGATGATGTTAACCCTTTCATGAGAAACAAATGCATGATCCAGTCACCTCCTACCAGGCCCCACCTCCAACACTGGGGATTACCATTCGACATGAGATTTGGGTGGGGACACAGATCTAAACCATATCAGGGACTAAATACTGGTCTGAGGTGCCTAAACAGGAAAATGCCCTACCTTGATGATGACATCAACAGCCAAGGGATACAGAGAATTGAGACGTTTCCTTAAGAAATGTGTCCCCTCAAATATTTGGCTTTTCTGATGTGAAGAGTTTGCTCTCACTTTGGCCCATCGCCATTACAATGGGAGTAATATTTCCTGTGTGCCTACCTCAGGACAGGTGTTGGGCATACATGATGTATTTAATTCTCCTAACATTATGTGAATTAGGGACTCCTGAATCTATTTCATAGATTAGGAAACTGACACATGGAAAAATCAAATGATTTATCTAGGTTGTGTCAGAATTTGAACTCAGATCTCTGTTCCATAATACATGTTTGTTTGTTCTCCATAGTACATGTTTGTTCTTCTGCATCGTATTCTGCATGTCAAACTTCCAAAATCCTCATGGCATGAACTCTTCTTTCCTTCTCCAGTTAATCACTGTTCTTATTCAAGATTTAAAATGTGCTAGATTCCAAGGGAGTTGATGCTGTCCGTGTCCTCAAGAAACTTTCAGTTTAACCGAAGAGACTGAGCACAAGTGTATTTTTAATGATCCTATATTCCCTGGTGCATTTAGTTAAGGCCACATACATGGTATACTCCTAGAGAGAATAGCTGCAACAAGGCAGTGATAGTGTTAATTGACAAGGCAGAATTCTAAAGGCAAGGACATCTGCTTTTCTGCCTCTTCTTCTCCAGCAATGAGAGCCTTCCTTCTGGAATGCAGGTGATACAATGAAACCATGGAGTATTATCTAATGTTGAATTCTAATACTGTATTATCTAATATGGAGGTTCTCAGACTTTTGAGGGTTGACACCGTTTTTCACTACTGAGAATCCACAAAGAACTTTTGCTTAGGTAGATTATACCTATTGATATTTACCATTTTGAACATGAAAACTAATAATATTTTAAAATATTTATTAATTCATTTAAAAATAACATTAGTAAACCATTACATGTTAACATAAACGAATGACATACTTTTATGAAAAGTAATTACATTTTCCAAAATAGAACAATTTAATGAGTAGAATGGCATTGTTTTACATTTTTATAAGTCTCTTTAATGTCTGACTTAATAGAAGACAAGTGTATTCTCATCTGCTTCTGCATTCAATCTGTTACGATACACTGTTTTGTAGTATAGTAAGAAAATGCACAGAAAATCCAACTTCACTCAGAAATGTTGCTGGAAAAGGGAAGAGTATCTCAATTAGTCTTTTCGGGCAATTCTTTGACCTTGCTGTTTCAGATAAGGGTTTCAAGGAACCCCCAGGGGTTCCTGGGCCTCAGTTGGAGAACTGCTGGTATAAGTAAGATGAGGCCTACTTTCAAGTCTCAGCTCTTTTATTTCCCAGATCTGAAGCCCTGAGAAGTTACTTCATCTTTGACAGAACTGCTACAGGAATTAGAAACATTGTGCATGCAGGATCTGGGACAGAGAGAGCACTCAAACACGTGGTGGAGATGCCCATGGTGATGAGCTGCTGCTGCTACTGCTGTGGTTTCCATGGCTGGTGCTACTCTCCTGGTCTTGAGTGGTGTGAAGAGCAGCTTCCAGAGTTGGAAAATGAAGTCACACCCCACTTGGGGGTGTCTAGGAGTAAGACTGTGTGGAAGACAGTGATACCATAAATTGACAAGACAGTATCCATCTTTCCTAGGTTATTTGACTTCTGCTGTTCCCTTCCAGAATGAGGCTGATTTGCAGGATTTGCAAAATCTTCCTAAATTCTGAATTCACTACACTTAGAGAACCATTTATAGTGGTTATTATAACAAAATAGAACAAAGGTGGGTTTTATATTGTATATTCATCTCTTACAAAATTCATTGTTTAATGTATAATGAATAATTGCAAATTTTCCTAAAATAAACAGTAGAATACAGTTACCATGGGATTGGGAGAAAATAAAAACCCAGAAATTCTGAGAAGGTTTTACAAATACATTGTAAAACCTCAGAATTTTCGGATGAATACATTGTAATGTAATGCACTAATGGGATGTAGTCAGATCTCAGCAGGACACTGGAGGCTGCTCCTAAGGGAGTGTCCTGAAGCCAAGTCATATCATAGAGAGATGAATTTGGATATTCTGGGTTAGAAAAATCTGAGGTTATGAGACAGATCCAGAATAAGGGTCACTGATCTGAGAAGCAGAATGACTAAGGAGCAAAAACCAAAAGGCACTTGAGGAGGGTCTGGTGGCATGAGGGGGAGATTAGGAACAAATGGTAGATTGAAGCTAGACCCAGATTGAGGTGAGGCAAGGGTGTGAAACAATTTGGTCCAAGCCAGTCTTATAGACTATTCCTTTTCTTCCTTTTCCTTCTTTTCAGAGATGGGGGTGTCGCAAAGTTGCCCAGGCTGGCTTTGAACTCCTAGACTCAAAGCAATCCTCCTGCCTCAGCCTCCTGAGTAGCTGGGATAGACTATGCTTTTATCTATCATGTTGATTATTTATGTGGAGAGCTGGGAGAGGAGATTTCAAAATGCTGGAAAATAAACTCCTTAAAAATAATTTTTAAAATATATTTAAAAGGCTTATGGAAAAATACCTCATTATTAAAACGCTATGAAAATGACCTCACGAAAAGAATCTTCTTATTGCATTGTCAGAAGGATGATGTAATGTTTTTATTTTAAAAGAACATTTTAGCCACAGGAATAAAACTGCCACAGGATATTTATCATTTAGAGGAAGAAAAAGAAAAACAACAGAAAATGTTTCTCAACTTTGCTTGGGATGAGCAGCCATAAAGGTGGATTCTTTTCTCTTTATAACCTCAGCAATATCAGGTAAAACTAGTATTGCCAACAAGTATGAGTGTCTACGGCTGAGACACATTTTTGTGTCTTGGTGTTTATCTGCAAGTTTCAGAAACTCATAGGAGACCTGCTTAAGAAGACCCTGCTAATCATAATGTGGTTAGACCCTGGGCGTCCTACTTAGCTGTTACTTTTGGTGGGTCACACCCAGCTTCTGAAGGCCTCAGTCTACTTTTGTAATATAGGAAATAAGGTTAGATAAGTGGTTCTCAAAGCCTGGTCCACTGACCAGCACGTCAGCCTTACCTGGGACTTGTTAGAAATCCATTCCTTGGCCCCAGGACCTACAGAAGCATAGACTGCAGGGGTGGGACCCAGAAATCAGTGTTCTGCCATGCCCTCTGATGTGATCGCTAGGAACACTTCTAGCTTCAATGATCTAAGATTCTCAGAAGTCATATGGCTCATTCTGGCCTTCAGGTAAGTGGTTTTCTGGACCAATCCGAACAGAGAAATATTCAGAGGATGGACACTATGTGAGGTGGCTCATTCCATTGTTTAAGCATCTCAGGAAGCTCTTATACCTCATTGTTTAAACACAAATAAATTTAGAGCAGTGAATTTTAAATTGCTTTTTGGATTACAGTTACCTTAAAGACTTAAAAACGGTTATAAAGATTCCCCAGAGAATGTGGGGATGGAGTGGAAGATGGGAGCCACCTACTGGAATATACATTAAATTAATATACAATTTTTGGAGGATTACAGATTACCCCCAATAGTATTCCATGATCCCCATGGACCTGCTTAAGAAGCACCGATTTAGAAATTTTTTGGTGGACAGTTAAGGAAAATAAGCACATGTCCAGGAATTCTGAAATGGAGAATCGGTCAGTAAATTTACTACAGTTGCCTTTTTTTAAAAATCAAGTATGTAGTATGTATCAAACACTTACTGATGGGGAAGGCACTGTTTGAGCTGCTGGGGTGGGATGCATCCTACTCTCTGAGCTTTCACACAATTACTGCAGAAGTGGGCACATCAGATAACAAATAAGCAACAGATTCCTTCTGCCAGGAAATGTTCCCAAAAGACATGGCACGTGAGATGGCCCCTAGGGTAGACCTCAAGGTGGAGAGGAGGTACAGGAGCTCCTGCTTGCTGAGAGGATGGCATAAGAAGGGGCTGGAAAATGGAAGGCTGTCCAGGAGACAGTGTATTCCTGGCTTCTGGGGAGGGCGTGCACAGCCCAGACTGATGGAGGAGCAGTCAGTGTGGAATCTGTGGCTCCTGCTAAGCTTTCTTCCAGGGCTACATATAAATCTCTTGAAGGAGATGAAGTGGAATCTTTCCTTCTGCACTTATTTTAACATGGACAGTTGTCAATTCTCTGCTTTAGCTCCAAGGATTCTCTTGGAAACAAAGCATTTCTTTCAATGGAGGGTATTGGATCTTAAACAATTAGGCTGGTTCTCTTTACAGAGCAAGTTATAACCATTTGCCCAGAAGTCAATGCCCAGAATTTTGAGCTATATTTTTACTTCAACATTAGAGAAGCCAAAAGCTGGGTCATTTTTAGAGATCTAACAATGAATACATTGCATATTCTCTATGTGCCTAGTGTGGATTGATTAATTCTGTATACTTAGTAGTTTCTCATAAGGCATTGCCTTATAGTCTTTTAACAAGATTTTTATTAATTCTTGCGGGAAAGATAATTTTCTCCTTATTTTCCGTATGTTTCCTATTACAATTTCAATAGTTTTGTCTTGATAATCTTATGTAATCCAACATCATGTCCTGGTTGTTTAATTCCAGAAGAAATAGGGCTGTGTGAAAGTGGTTTTCCAACTTGATCAAATCTTCATCCTTAGTATTCACTGCTAGACTAGATTAAGGCTTCAGTACTGCCAAATGCTGCTTAAATTCACAGTGAGGGGAGCAAACAATTTAGAAAGCTGGTTTTTTAGTCTGCCTTCTAAAAGGTTGGGTGAAGGGAAAATGATGATATTGCCTAGTCTGAAGCTGGAAGATACACAATCTTAGGAATTTAGGGTGACATAATTAAAAGTTAAATTACCCTTCTTGAAATTACCAATTAAATCAATTTTTATGAAAACTACATGTTATTTTTTTCCGTATATTTTATTACAATGCAAGGCCTTCAGAGAAAAAGTATTTTCTTATGTACCTCTTAAAATGAGGTCACACAGGATAAAATATTCAATAACTTTACTTTGTGTGCATTAAATGTAATTGAGAGGTTTACCAGATTGGTAATGTACCAATGGTGGGTAACAGATATTTAAAATTTTGCGGGGGTGTTGCGGGAAGTCAGGGACCCCGAATGGAGGGACCGGCTGAAGCCATGGCAGAAGAACATGGATTGTGAAGATTTCATGGACATTTATTAGTTCCCCAAATTAATACTTTTATAATTTCTTATGCCTGTCTTTACTGCAGTCTGTAAACATAAATTGTGAAGATTTCATGGACACTTATCACTTCCCCAGTCAATACCCTTGTGATTTCCTATGCCTGTCTTTACTTTAATCTCTTAATCCTGTCAGCTGAGGAGGATGTATGTTGCCTCAGGACCCTGTGATAATTGCGTTAACTGCACAAATTGTAGAGCATGTGTGTTTGAACAATATGAAATCTGGGCACCTTGAAAAAAGAACAGGATAACAGCAATATTCAGGGAACAAGAGAGATCACCTTAAACTCTGACCGCCGGTGAGCCGGGCGGAACAGAGCCATATTTCTCTTCTTTCAAAAGCAAATGGGAGAAATATCGCTGAATTGTTTTTCTCAGCAAAGAACATCCCTGAGAAAGAGAATGCGCCCCTGAAGGTGGGCCTCTAAAATGGCCCCCTTGGGTGTGGCCATTTTCTATGGTTGAGACCTTAGGGATGAAATAAGGCCCAGTCTCCCATAGTGCTCCCAGGCTTATTAGGACGAGGAAATTCCCGCCTAATAAATTTTGGTCAGACCGGTTGCTCTCAAACCCTGTCTCCTGATAAGATGTTTTCAATGACAATGGTGCCTGAAACTTCATTAGCAATTTTAATTTCGCCCTGGTCCCATGGTCCTGTGATCTCGCCCTGCCTCCATTTGCCTTGTGATATCCTATCACCTTGTGAAGCACGTGATCTCTGTGACCCACACCCTATTCGTACACTCCCTCCCCTTCTGAAAATCTGTAATAAAAACTTGCTGGTTTTACGGCTCAGGGGGCATCTTGGAACCTACCAAAATGTGATGTCTCCCTCGGACGCCCAGCTTTAAAATTTCTCTTTTGTACTCTCTCCCTTTATTTCTCAAACCGGCTGTTGCTTAGGGAAAATGGAACATACATGAAATATCAGGGGTGAATTTTGCCCGATATCTGGCTGAATTTCCCCCGATACAGGGACAGGGGGGTGGGGGTGAGGTGGGTGGGAATTATGCATCGGAACCGTGTCTACGCAATGCTAAAAAAGAACAGTAAAAGGTCTATGGTTTTGTCAGTGGTTCTGATCATTACAATCAACTGGGCCCCATTGATTAAGCTAGTATCTCTGCAGATTGGGCCCTGGCACTGGTTTTTAAAGCCTTCTGAATGACTCTCAAGCATAGCACTGCCCTACATGATACCTGCATAGCTGTCATGTTCGGGCAGTGATGTGACTGATGGAAAGATGCTGACAGATACAGCCGAAAGATACAAAGTTGTTTTCTTTTTTAATTGCAATTGATTTGAAGACATCCAGAGACTACGACAATAAAGCAAGATATAACACAGCACTTGTCTAGAGATCTGACTTTCCAGGCCCCCACAGGTCCCTAAGATGATGCACAGTTGCAGTTGGTAACACCCATGTGAAGTGAGGACCTCCCAGGTGCAGGTAGAATCACTGGCCACTCTGACCTGAGCTGTCCAGACTTCTGTCTCACCACCGGATGTCCCAACCCCTCTGCCTCTGTTATGGGAAGCCTGGCTCCATATTTGCTGCTCACATGGTGTAAGTAGCTGGCACAACCCTCCCTCCTCTGCACAGTCCTGGGTATGTGCTACAAGACTGCAAAGGAACTCCTGGGAGAATCCCTTAGCCAGCCTAGCCAGGATTCCCAGGGTGTATGGTCTATTCCTGCCACAGCCAGTTAGCAGTTTATCTGACTTTTATTTTGCGGTGGCTCACACCTGTAGTCCCAGCACTTTGGGAAGCCAAGGCAGGTGGATCATGAGGTCAGGAGTTCGAAACCAGCCTGACCAACATGGTGAAACCCTGTCTCTCCTAAAAGTACAAAAATTAGCCAGGCATGGTGGCATACACCTGTAATCCCAGCTACTCAGGAGGCTGAGGCAGGAGAATCACCTCAACCCGCGAGGTGGAGGTTGCAGTGAGCCAAGATCATGCCACTGCACTCCCGCCTGGGTGACAGAGCGAGACTCTGTCTCAAAAGAATAAAAATTTAAAAATTAACAAAATAATAAAGACTTGAATGACTTTTCTAATTGCAAGTTTTTGTAGCATAACTTTTTAGGTAAATTACTTATTATAATAGTTGATTAGCTCATTGTTTTTTTCTGTTTTTAAGAGTCAAGATGCTGAAGAAATTTCACCATGGTCTAAAGCATTTTTTTGTAAGTCCAAACCATGCTTAGCTTAGAGTTTCTTTATAGGAAAGAAATCTAGAAAGTCCCTCAGACAACAGTTGACCCAGCAGTTGCTTGGCAATTATTTCATTTTTCTGGGAAGGGTAGTGACTATAAAGGATTACATCACATATCTATTTAATAGTGTTCTCTTTCCTGAAAATGGTAGATTGAAATATTTTGAAAGTTTTTGTTGATTTCACTTTACTTTTACTCTTGACATTTCTTGTTTATCCTTTACTGAGGGGTCGGAATAAAGTGAGATTCTCATATGTTTTACAAAAGAAAAATGACACATCCAAAATTTTAGCAATTGTTGCTGTGCTCTTTGAAATTTTATATTCTAATATTTCTTCCACTTTTCTTCCTCCAAGAAAATATCTTCCCTTGCTAGAATCTGAATGTTTGTATTTCCCCAAAATTCATATGTTGAAATCCTAACACCTGCAGTGATACTATTAGAAGATGGGACCTTTTACGAGGTAATTAGGTCATGAGGGTGGAGCCCCCATAAATGAGATTAGTGCCTTTATAAAGTGGGCCCAAGGGAACCCCCTCACCCCTTGCACTGTATGTGGACACAGTGAGAAGGCACCACCTGTGAACCAGGAAATGAGCCCTCACCAGACACCAAATCTGATGGCGCTTGCTCTTGGACTTCCCATCCACCAAAACTGTGAGAAATAAATTTCTGTTGTTTATAGGTTACCCAGTTTGTGGCATTTTGTCATAGCAGCCCAAACAGACTGAGACATTTCTCTTAAGCTTGAAAAGTGAGGCATTGAAGTGTGCAGATTCCATGAATATTTACGAATGGAAAAGAGTAGAGAGAAGATAATATATAGATTGTGTTTTCATTTTGGATATTTAATTGATTCTTTTCTTCCTCTGTCTCTCTTTAAGACATCTTTTTACTTTTAATTTTATTTTTAAAATATAGTACAGCAAATTTGATCTTCATGTCTGTACTTCTGTATGTACAGATTTGTGAGATCACCAGCACAATCAGGATACAGAGCAGTTCCATCACCATAAAAAACTCCCATGTGCTACCCCTTCGTAGTCATACCCATCCCCCACCCCAGCCTCTGGCAGCCACTGATCTCTTCTCCATCACTAGAGTTTTATGTTTTCTAGGGTGTCAAACAAATGGAATTACTTGTATGACATTATATGCAACCTTATGAGACTGACTTCTTTCATTCAGGTAGCACCTTTGAGATTCATGCAAGTTGTTGCATGTATCAATTATGTTTCTTTTTATTGCTGAGTATTGTTTCATTATAGGCATATACTGAAGTGTATTTGCCCATTCCTCAGTGAAAGACATTTAGATCGTTTCCAACTTTTGGCAATTATTAATAGACCTGCTATAAATGTTCATGTGCAACATGTGTGTTTGTGTGTGTGTGTGTGTGTGAACATAGTGTTCACTTCTCTAGGGTAAATGCCCAGGAGTATAGGATTGCTGGGTCTTATGGTGAGAACTTTGTAAGAAACTGCCAAATTTGCAAAGTAGCTCTACCATTTTGCATCCTCGACAGCAGTGTATGAGAGTCCCAGGTGCTCTGCATCCTCGCCACTGCTTGGTATTGTCCATACTTTTTCTTAAGCCATTCTAATACACATACAGTGGCCCAGGATTGGATTTTAAAGGAGGAAAGGAACAGACCCTTGGTACTATCTGAGCTACTGATTACTCTGCAGAGTCAGAGGTGCACTGGGACCTCAAACAGAACTGCTCTCCTTGGGAACCTCTGATATAGGCAGCTCAGAGGTCCCTGTCCTGGACAAGCTTCGAAAGCCCAAAGCGAAGGGGATGGGGAAAGAGATGAACAGGATCAGAGGCCGCTTCAAAAGAATGGAGCAGTGTGTATTGTCCTTCTTCTTTCTCCCATTTTCTCCTTCCTCCTTCGCCCTCAGTGGAAAATAAATGGATGTTTCTCCTTTTATTTCCGATTCAAATTTTAATTTTCACTCCAATTCAAATGTGGAAATTGCTCCTTTTAATTTAAATTGCTTTCTATCCCGAAAAGGACAAAACACAATTTTACTCCACTGAACAGTGATGGAAGGAAAAAGTTCTAGCAAGAAGAAGTTGAAATAATCAAAGGATCTCTGTGTGTTTGTCTAGATCACTGTGCCACCAGCTATGAATCTGATTAATGTCCTTGAAGCATCAGAAAGTCACTCTCCTGCCAGGAGTCCTCATTTAAAACAGCAGCAGACCCCAAAAAAGTGTGCATAAAATTATGAGGACTGGCGTAACTTTTTCTTTTTCAAAATATTGGAATAAAAATATTGGCAAAATTTAGAATTTAGAAAATTGATAATTAAAGCATAGGTATGGGAAGACTGGGGTATATATAAACAATGGAAAGGTTTCTCTTCTTTTCAAACATTTTCTTTTTATAACAGATTTGGATAAGACTACACTGAGATAAAGACTCATCTAAACACAATTAAGTGTGCCTAATGGAGCACCATATCTTCATATGTTTTATAGCCACATGATCAAAAAAGATATATTAAATTACTTGCTTTATTGCTATATTTTTCCATTGTCAGGTCATAATCACCTTGAGTTAAGAGATAAATAACTGCATATTATTATAAAACAAATACCATCCTTAATCATCTTTTACAAGAGATTCAAGTAGTTTAGTAATTTTTTAGGGGTGGGGGTGGTGGGGAGTGTTACCTGGGGAGTGTTGACAGAGAAAGAAGTCTGATATGGTTTGCTGAATATTTTCATGGTTTCCTGTAATCATTAGCATTTATAAGAATACACTGTGTAATGAGTTGACACCATAAAATTAGCTTTGAATTCTCCTCAATGGAAAGAGGAAATTACGGTAAACTCTTTTTATGTCTTTAGTTGTAATAAATCCCCAGTATCATGTGCCTACTCATTTAATTATTTGTGGGAACATAGTGTGCCTACATCCCTCTAAGTGCAATGTAGTACAAGTATTGAAATACACTTTCAAATTAAATACACTTTCTCATCTACAGAGTAATCATTTTTTTTTTATTGAACTGAGAAGTCATAAATCCTTGGGTGCCTGGAAATACATCTGTAATAACTGGCCCTACTCTTTATTGTCTTCAGAAATAAAATCATCATATTTATTAATGCAAGTCTCAAGATTTTACTTAGATGCAATTGCTTTTTTCAACTCATCATAAAGCCTAGACAAACAGGAAACTGTTGCTTTAATTACAGTGGAGAGATAACCTTTAGTTCTTGGAGGCACAGTCCAGGTAATGGACTCTTGGTGTTTGCTCACCACCAAAGCCTTTGTGACCTTGGGCAATATACTTCACCTCTAACACTGTACTTTTCTCATTTGAAAAATGAACATGGGACTAATAATTTGTTGAATAAATGAATGGATGGATGTACTGTTTCTACTTTTCCTCTCAAGATTTATGTGTATATATATATATACACATATTTACATACACATAATACACATAAATATATACACATATTTATGTGTATATATATGACATTTAAAATATTTTTAAATATGTATTGTGTTTAATATGTATTTAAGTATATGTAGTTTGTGTATTAAAACGTTGTTTTAGTGTTATAATAATATACCAGTTTTAGGTTACTCATTTATAATTAGGAAAAGGCCATTTCCACACTATTAAGGGCATGTTTAAAAAATTCCTATTCATATAATTTTGTTGTTTTGAGTTCTATCTTCAGGATACTGGTTCTAAAATTGGAATTCCCAAGTCCCAGGCTGGAATCAATATTCTGGCTCTTACTGACTATTGTGTGGTTGTTTTCCAAGTTTATTGCACTCATTTACAGGAATGTATATGACTCCTTGCAACTTCTGCCAGTGTTAGATTTATTATTTTAATTTGTGTTTCCTAGCTCAGTAGGTATGAGGTAGTACCTTATATTTATTTAAAATTGTGTTGCCTTCATTGTCTGTGATGCTGAATATTGTTTTAAAGTGTGCCATGTTAGCGTTCTTTTGCGTGATCTGATCTGCATTTTACTCTTGTCTAAGTTGAGGTTAGGTATTATCTTAAGGGATTTAAGGTTATTTCTAAAAGGTTTACATTCCTAATATGAGAAGCATTATTGTCATAATTGTATCTGTTTTTATCATCATCTTAGTCCTTATTTTCATGTCATACCAAATTATTTCATTTCATTAAATTAGAGCCATATAATAGATGAATCAAACAAACAAACTCTAGCTGCTCTCTGGAATTAAAATTCTGTTATTCTTTTAACACTTTGTTGGTTGTTGTGACACTATTTGGAAATCATTGTGAATGTCATGTAAGTAACAGAAGCATGAAGGGCAAGAAGGAATTTTATGGCTATTTGTGGTCTATGCTACCAGTGTGCCTTCCCTGGGATAGTCTTCCAAATACAGTAGTGCCCCATTATCCTTGGGGGATGCATTCCAAGACCCCCAGTGGATGCCTGAAACCTCAGATAGTACTGAACCCTGTATATACTCTTTTTCCTATACATACATACCTATGATAAAGTTTAGTTTATAAATTAGGCACAGTAAGAGATTAAGAGTAACTAATAATCAGAACAATTATAACAATATATTCTAATAAGAGTTATGTGAACATGGTCTCTCTCTCTCAAAATAATATTTTCAGACCACAGTTGACCATGGGTCAACTGTGCAAAACTAACGTGCAAAAGCTAAATGTAAAAGAACGTGCAAAAGCTAAACTTTTAGTAAAAGCTAAAAGATGAGAGGGGACTGCTGTCTAACGCCCACGGTCATTTGATTAACTTCTGCCCTTCCCTGCTTCTTCCTGAATATTCCTATTTCCACAAAGCTGCCTAAGATTTTTCTCCTTACAAATTGATTTTTGGCAGATATAGTAACTTATACGAGTTAATTTCCATGCCCAAGATATACATTTGCACCTATTTTAGTAAATTTTGTAAACATGGCAAACTAAAATATGTAATTTATTCATAATTACTCAGGATCTTTTAATATGTTAGGGTCTTACTGCTTATTCATGCACAGGTACAGGGTGAAAGAACTGTGAGGTTTCTGAACAGATTAAAAACTGATGACTATAATTACCTGGGACCCTTAGGGCTCAAATACTGAGTCTGTTTTTCCAACACCTGCCTGTAAATGTGTTATGTTGTCAGGCTTCATAGAGCAAACCGAATAATCAAGCTGCCAAATAGTTATCTTTTGAAATAACTTAAATTACAATACATGAACTCCTATTTATCTTAAATAATACCACACACAGAAAATCACAATATAAGTTTGGCACTGTAGCTCATGCCTGTAGTCCCAGCAATTCAGGAGGCTGAGCCAGGAGGATCACTTGAACCTAGGAGTTTGAGACCAGCCTGGGCAACATAGTGGGATCTCATCTCTACAAAAAAAAAAAAAAAAATAGTCATGTATGGTGGTGCACATCTGTGGTCCCAGCTACTCGGGAGGCTAAGGTAGGAGGATCACTTAAGCCTAGAAGGTCAAGGCTGCAGTTAGCCATGATTATGCCACTGCACTCCAACCTGCATGACAGAGCAAGACCCTATTTCAAAAAAAAAAAAAACAAAAAAGAAAAAGAAAATCACAGTATAATACATTGCTTTAAAAGAAATCATTTAGACTATTTACTTATAATATCTGCCTCTTGAATCTTTCAGCTTCTCTGTCTACTGTCTAGTGTGGCTTGGTCAAATAAATGCCCTTTTAAAAAGTCTGACATATGCCAAAATATAGAATTTTGCTGTAACTGAATTATTGAAGTAAGGAACAAATTTTACTATCTATTGGCTTAATTTCTGGATGTATCAATTAGGACCATCACATCATAGGAAGCAGAGGCACATTTAGCTGTGAGTTTTGGAGAATGGAATGCAGGGAATTTTATAGAGGGGTATGAAAAAAGAAACTGACATTGGTGTTGAGCCCCAAGGGCTAGTAATGGTGGGAAGTTGTTACTGCCCCTAGGGCTGAAATGGTAAGGGGAGGTAATAGTGTTAACTGAGCCCACTAAGAGCTGACTTCGTAGAAGGTCATTTAACAAGAGCTGCCCTTGCCGAGGGATGAGGCCACTGGCAGAGGGATGAAGCCACTGGCAGAAACATGACACCCAAGCAGGGAGGAAGCCTGGGAGAAATACCCCCGCTTCTCAGGCTAATTCTTTAGTCTTCATAGTGTCTCCCATTGGCCAAAGCCAACCCACACCAGAGGGTCAGAGAGCCTGAGTGATGCAGTTCATGAAGTGGACCATCCCCCTAACTCCATAGCACAGTGCCTAGCAAAGAAAGGTAGGAGATAGATCTGGGGACCTAATGGCATAAAATAAGCATAATAGAATTTTTAGGTTCTCTTTGAGGAAATCGCTTGGTTAACACGTTCAGAAGAGCAGCATTCAATAGAATCTTTTAAATAGATCTGGACTTGCATTGCTTGTTTTAAATTACTTGTTGGCCAGCCTGGCCAACATGGCAAAACCCCGTCTCTACTAAAAATACAAAAATTAGCCAGGCATGATGGTGCATGCCTGTAGTCTCAGCTACTCCGGAGTCTGGGGCAGGAGAATTGCCTGAACCCAGGAGTCAGAGTTACTAGTGAGCCCAGATCGCACTACGGCACTCCAGCCTGGGCGACTCAAAAACAAAAAACAACAACCAAAAAAACCATAAATATTTAAGATCTTAAGATCCTTATGTCTTATTCGAGTAGCAGTAACAAGTAGAGACACGATCACACATTAGCAATTGTTTTAGCACAGCTAAAACTCAACATCCACTTCTTGTAGCTTAGAAACACAGATTCCAATCAGAAAAATTGGAAGAACTCAAAGAGAGCAAAAGCTAAACTTCAACTGCAGAAGCTAGGCATGTTTATTTTCCTTTTTCTTTTAAATTTCAGTTTCTGAGTCTTCTTTCTTGAAAAGTATCAGACAATTCCTGAAGGGATTAAAAAGATCATTATGTTAATTTTTGGGAAACTGTACCTCCTCTACACAAGGCAACCATTGACTGAGACAGTAAGAGTCACACAGTCCTGCAATCCAATTTTCTGAGTCATCGTCTCATGCTGTATATTCATTTTTTTATTTAAGACAGTCTTCTCTTTGAAGCTGTATGCCTTTCGTTTCAATTTGCTACAGATTTTCACTTTGAATCAGATGAAATAATTTGATACTTTGGGATGTCTCACCATTGATGGTTGTAAGTTATTTTCATGTTATTTGTTGATTATAGTGGTAAAATTCTTCCCTTTGCAATAAAAAGAAGCATCAATTTTACTCAGAGAAGGTAACTAACATTTATTGAACATCTATTACGTGGCACAATCCTTTTATCTTTTTGTTTAGTCTTTTCTTCATACCTCATTTTATTCTACAAAGAATTTGGGGATAATTTTTGTCAATGGGTAACAAGCTTTAGAGCACCTATATACTGTAGGTACCACTAAATTCACATTACAGTTGAGGAAAAGGTTGGGAAAACTTAAGTAACTTTATAAAACTATGAAATGACCCATCTATTTATGTTAAAGCTTACTGTCTCCTTAATAAATACTAGATGATCTGCTAATGTTAAACTGAAACCATGAAAGCAACAAAATATGACTTTCACCACACATATTGAATGTTTCCAGATTACACTTGCTTCAGACGGGTTACGTTCTGTTGTAGCAAATCCATGCAAGGAATGTTGGATCTGCAGCATAGGCCCTAGCTGATCCTTAGGGATTTAATCTCAGAGGTAAAGGACCCAGCTATTGGCTGTCTTGGCTGTGCTCTTATATCCAGTGGCATTATGGGTAGAGAACCCATACATCAAAGGTGGAGCCCAGGTCAGAAACATGTTGGAGAAGCATTTAAGAATTATTTTCTAGGCCAGGCACAGAGGCTCACACCTGTAATCCTAGCACTTTGGGAGGCAGGCGGGTCATCTGAGGTTGAGGGTTCGAGACCAGCCTGACCAACATGGAGAAACCCTGTCTCTACTAAAAATACAAAATTAGCTTGGTGTGGTGGCGCATGCCTGTAATCCCAGCTACTCGGGAGGCTGAGGCAGGAGAATCGCATGAACCCGGGAGGCAGAGGTTGCGGTGAGCCGAGATCATGCCGTTGCACTCCAGCCTGGACAACAAGAGTGAAACTCCGAAAACAAATAAAAAAAATTATTTTCTAGACCCACGTCCCTTTAAATGGCTAACTTGAAAGTTTCAAAGGCATTTATCATCTGAAAAAAAAATATAGCTCTTCAATTTTAAGATGCTGTATGATTACCCCATCAATTTAATAACAGCATTTAAGGGGAAAAACACTATTGCATTAAATATATGAATCATTTTCACATCCTGATTTCAGACATGTTGACGTATTTGCAGAAAAGTACATGCTAGAAATGAGGAAATAAGAAGTTGCTCCTGGCATAATTTTCTGGAAGTAAACTTTTCCCCTTGCAGTCAGTTGAATCCAGATAATGTTCTGAAAAGAAAAAGGAAGGAAAACAATCAAAGCCTGTTGATTTTGAATTGTGCTACTCTTAATGACCTGTATAGACTGTGGTTCCGGTTAAAGAGTCATGACTGGGGCTGTGGGCTTTCTGGACAGGGAAGAGCTCTTGAATTAGGTAGACATGGATTAAAATTTGGACTCAGCCATGGGGTCACTGAACTTCTCCAGACTTCCTCTATGCAGTGAGTAGCAGAATGCCTATTTCACGAGGCCTTTGTGAAGTTTTGAAAACTACCATCTGTTGAGTACCTTGCCTAGTATCTGGCGGGCGGTAGGGACAGTTACTGTGTTCTATGACAGTTGTCTGACTGTCTCAGCCACCCTACCTGACAGTTAAAATAGTATAGTAAAAATAGTCACAGCATATTATTTTCCTGACTCATCTCTTCAGCTGCGTCTCAGAAATTCCAGAATCTTTCCAACGTTCTCCCACCTCTTTTCACCAACTTTTCCCCCACAGTGATGAGGGCTGATTCATCCGCAGGGTCCCTTCCATCACCCTATGGTAGCTGTTTCCCCAGCCCCTGCTGTGAAGTGATGTCTGCAGTGGCTCCTGAAAGTGGCTGCCCCCACTCCCGGGCATGCCTCACTGCCTCTGCTGACGCTCCAGCTTCTTAAGTTTGCACTGACACTATGTGACAGCCCCTGTCATTCCATGGGATATTTAAATTTTTATGAGAGGTTAAAATATTTACAGTGAAAATGACCACATAGATTCTACTTATAGCTCAGTCATAAACAATTTGTGTAGAATCAATAAGTCACTTAGCCATAGGGGACTCAGTTTCTTCCTTTCCAAAGTGGGAGCTAGAATAGCTCATTGCGTGAGTCCTTTCTAGCACTCATGTTCTCTGTGTTAAAATCATCATGGACCTTGTAAAAAATACCAAGTTTCATTTGTAATATTTAGAAAACATTAGTTTTAGAATATCCTTAAACATATACTGTTTAGCATTTAAAAAGTAAACATCTGTTTAACGTTGGGAGAAATTAAATTGTAGGCTCCAGATGTGGTTCAATTCTCTGTGGAGATAAATATTTAAATCACAGATCTCTAAGCAGCCTTGAGGCAGCTGCCAAGTTCTTGGTCCTCCCCCCACCCCATCTTCTTTCCTTTACCTGTTTTCTTCTAAGATGAGGATTGTGTGAAGCAGGCCCAGCTGCTCCGTTGTCTTCTCCTCTCCTGTGTTGGGCAGCTTTCTAGCCTGGTGTCATGTTACAGCCTCCTCACTGCATTTCCCAAGATATACCAGCAAAACGGAGTGACCAGGGAGCCCCACTGCCTTGAGATTCAATTTGAGAAAAAGCCTCTGTGGTCTTTGAATTCTAAATCTACTCGGGCTTTCTACTAAGATACCATAAAACAAATGTTTCTAGTTCGATGTAAAACGGAACATCCCAAACCTTTATTTATGTTCCTTTTCATCCTTTTGTGTGAAACCACAACATCTTAATCTTTTTTGTTTGTTTGTTTTTAAGACAGGGTCTCCCTCTGACACCCAGGCTGGAGAGCAGCGGTACAGTCATAGCTCACTGCAGCCTCAAACTCCTGGGCTCAAGCCATCCTCCTGCCTCAGCTTCCCAAGTAACTGGGACTACAGTGCATGCCACCAGGCTGAGCTAATTTTTTCATCTTTTTGTAGAGATAGAGTCTCGCTATGTTGCCCAGGATGGCCTTGAACTCCTGGGCTCAAGCAATCCACCCATCTCGGCCTCCTAAAGTGCTGGGATTACAGGTGTGAGCCACCATGCCTGGCCTTAATCATTAAAAAGTTTCATTTCTGTGTTTTGAAGACCTAAACTATGTTTGATGGAATAAGGCAGAACTAAACTGTGGAGTGGGTATGGCTGTTGGAGAAGGCTCACATTCACCTTTTCCCCTTGGAGTAACTGTATTTGGTTCTTATATGTTGAGATATTAAGGGTTTAGAGAGGTTTGAGTTTGTTTGTTTTGCATTTCTTTATTTTATTTCTAACTCTTACCCATCCTACTTACTTACATAAACAAAAAATATTGAAAATGATAACGTATTTACCTTCACATTATTCTCTAGAGTCTCTAGTATCTTAAAATTTAGTTTAACAGACTGTTTTTGTAACTGAAATTAAACTCACTGGTGTACCTTATATTAGACACTATAAGGGTAAACTCCCAAAAGTAAAATGCTCAAAAATAAGATATGAAAAGATAAATTTAGCAAAACCAGATTCTCCAAAAGTAATAATAATATTCTTATTTTTCATAATTATATTGCTATCATTCATTAAACACTGGTTACATTTTAGACTTCATCCACTACATGTTTATGTAAATAATGCTACATTTTTCTTCATTTGGTTGTGTCACACCACAAAGACTTGGTGGATTTTTTGAAAATTAGAAAAATCTGATTTCAAATATTGGCTATTAAGCTTCCTCCAAATTCACTTTGTGTGGCCAATCACAGACCCTCAGAGAGTCACTTAGTCTCCAGAGAGGCAGAAACTGAGATACAATAAGAGGCTGCCATGGCCACTGATGTGGAGGGACAGGTCATGCTAAGAAGGCTATGCTGCAAACACAAATGCTGGTGTGAGTAGCAGCCCCAGAATGGACGTTATGAGGCCAGGTTCTGCAAGGGGTTTACATTTATTTTTAGGTGAGTTGCTTCTTGCGTGGACTACTCTATGTGATATGTGCTGGAGGGAGACGAAGCAGGAAGTTTTAACAACAGTTAATGAATCTCTTGAGCAATGCCGGAAAAGCTAGGCAGCATTTTGTGTGTATTTGTGAATACATATGCATAAGTGTGGGCATTTATGCATATGTGTGTCTATACATATGTCTGCATGAGCATGTATCTATATATATATGTGTGTATGAATATGTGTTGATACTAATGGATATATGATTGTATATGTGCGTGTGCATATATATGTATACTTATCTATATATGTATACATATTTGCATGTGAATATGTATATATACATGTGTGCCTATATGTGCATATGAGTCTGTATCTATATATTTGTGAGTGCATCTATACATGTGTGTCTATATACATGTATGTATATGTATCTATATATGTGTCTATACACATGGCATGAGTATGTGTCTATACCTGTGTGCCTATACACATGTGTATGAGTATGTATCTATACATGTGTGTCTATACATATTTGTATGGGTGTGTGTCTGTGTGCTTGAGTGTGTATCTGTGTGTATAAGTGTATCTATACACATGTCTATACATATGTGTGTATGAGTGTATCTACCCCATTTTTGTGTATCTATACATGAGAGTATATGTATACATATGTATTTATCCATAAATGAGTGTCTGTTTCTATACAGAAGTGTGTACTTATCTTAGACGTTTAGAGCATGGGCAATGGAGCCAGGAGAGAGCCAGCCATCTTTCATCATAATTGTATGACCTTGTGGAAATTTCTTAAGCTCTTTTTCTCTCAATCACCTTACCCTTAAATTGGGATTAATAGTAATTCATGCCTTATAGGTTGCACTGAGGGTCATATTTTAAAATGTTGATAAAACTCTGGCTTATAAGCAACCAACAGTGTCAGTCTTCGTGATCATCATCTTCACCGTCATCTCTAATCCTCACATCCTAAGGTAATTGAGGCTGAGAGAGTGAAACATTCCCATCTAGAGACATTGGTTACAGTATGTGGTAGGTCCAGGATTCTAGCCTAGCTCAGACTTTCTGTTGCCCAGAAGTCTCTGTCAGATTGGTAATATCTTTCTTGTCTTTCTACAGTCCTGGAAAAAATAAGTTTATCAGCTCTGGCTATGACCTATAGACAAGGTCACTCATCATCATGAGAGAATGGGAGTAACTTGTATGGCTTTGGATCTCTAGTTCAGAAAGGAAGAGCTTGGGCTTTGGAGCCTGGCAGGACTGAATTTGAGCTCCTGAAGCATCACTGGATGACTTGGGCCTGATTTATGTTGATTTGTTGTTTTTATCTTGGTCCTTTGGGTGTTTTTAGGACCTCAGAGGTACAAAATTAGATTACTAATAATCTTTGGTTAATGATATGTATTCATCGGTGTTTCCTCTTTACTTATCTATTAGACATCTTAAATAAGAAGCACCTATGAACCACCTGCCAAAACAACAGCTAGGATTTCGACGATAACCTTCATCTCACCATTTGGCAATTTCCTTGTCTTATCCTCTCTCTCCACCTAACAGAGACAGCATCCTGTCTGGCATGTAAAGTATGCCTTTACTTTCCTGTTTATGCAATCTTATTACACTCTGAAAAGAAAATTTTAAATTTTAATTGTGTTTAAGTTTTTAAAAAGGACATCTTGTTGTATATAATTCTCTGAGATTTTTTATTGTGAAGTTTCATCTACATTGTGATATGCTGTAATAACATCTGTTTTGTTCTATTGTTTAATATTCCAGTGTGTAAAACATACTGCAGTTTATTTTTACAATGTCTTCTTGATAAGCATGTGGGTGTCTTCACGATTTTGCTATTGTGGAGGGAGCTGTTTCAGCACTGTTGAAGGTAACTGTAACTCCTATGCACATGTGCCAGTTTCTCTTGGGTGGGAATAGAATTGCTGGGTAGTAGGGCGTATGAATGTTCAACATCAGGAGACAGTACCAAATTGTTTTCCAAAGTGGTTGCCCAGTTTTTCACTCTCATTAGAATGTGGATTCACATTCCTTCCAACACCTGGAATTGTGAGACTTTTTCATTTTTTGCTAAGTGAATGGGTATAAAATTGAGGCTCTTTATTGCATTATGTTCTCTCTCACTGGGGTTTAATTTACATTTATCTGACTACTAATGGTGCTGACCACCACTTCTCATGCTTATGGGCATGATGTGCTTTCCCTGCCACAAAATGTCTATTCTTATCCTTTGATCATTTTTCTGTAAGATTGTCATCTTCTTATTGGTTTGCAGGAGATGTGGGGCAAATTTCTTGGTTTCATCCATTTTCATTTCTGGGTTTTTCTACTAAAAACTGAAAAGCAGAGCTTTCAAATCAGAGAAAAACTAGAGGACAATTAGCATAGCAAAGCCATGAATAACAAACATTTTAAGAGGCATCATGCATTAAAGAAGAATTCCACATTTCCCTAGTTGAATTTACATGTGGATTTTGTTTAAATATGTATCCAATGCAGAGTTATAATCACTAACAGTAACAATTTCTTGATCATTTTGAGATCTTTTTTTATCTGTAAAAATGGGGATGTGGATAATACAATGTTCACTGAGTTGACTTAGGATTAAATTAATGTTTACAAATGGAACTGTAAGTGCTGGCATACAGCATAATAGACAACCAAAAAAATGTTGTTTTTTGCTCTCTCTGGGCCCTGTCCCACCCCGCCACCCCCCCAACCCTGGAGCCTCCTATCAGTGGACTGGCTTGGTTGGAACTGGCCCTCTTTGCTTAGTACAGATTGCTGCTTATCGGTGTGGCCAGTGTAGTCCTACTAGTATTGTTGAACTTTAGAGAATAAAGCAAGTTAAATGAGCTCAGACTCCTTTGAAGGAAATATGAAGAAAGAAAGTACAAGGGGAGAATTTCAATGCAGTCTTTGGCAAAATTAAAAGCAAAAATCAGTATAATTATCCTGTTGATCTCAGTAGCCCTATCTGTAGATGTTCAAAATGTGTATTAATATGACAATTGTGAAAGATAAGGATAACAATATATACATAACTAAACTGAAAATTCAATATCAAGCAAAATGATGATGCTCAGAAGCCAGTGGTCATAGGTGGCCCCATGACACTTTAGGTTTTCTGTTTCTCTGCTGCTGGGATCTACAGCACTTTGCAGAATGCTGCACAGTCATGCGGAGAAGCTACACTGGGAACCAGGGGAAATATTAGAAGAAGAATCTGAAGGACACTATAAAATACTGTGCAGTTATTGCTTCCTGCCCCGGCTTGATTTTTGGAGTGTTGAATTTAAGGAGAGAATCTGGATGTGATAGAAAGCAATTGCTTTTACCTTTCCGGGATCTTTCTGTGTTTCACAGAGAATATTCCTGGAGGAATAGAAGCCGGAGAGTCAATGCTACAGTAACTTTGAAATTGCTGCACTGCAGCATGCCATCTTTCATCTGTCTCTATCTGTGCTCAAAGTCTCTCTTAGGATTTGGAGGTAAAATTTTCGGATTGCTAACATTAATGTATGCTTGTGAGAAGTGGCCATTGTTAGTGATTATAACTCTACATTGGATACATATTTAAACAAAATCCACATGTAAATTCAACTAGGGAAATGTGGAATTCTTCTTTCGTGCATGATGCCTCTTAAAATGTTTGTTATTTATGTCTTTGCTACGCTAATTGTTCTCTAGTTTTTCTCTGATTTGAAAGCTCTGCTTTTCAGTTTTTAGTAGAAAAATCCAGAAATGAAAATGGATGAAGTCTAGCTACAGCATATCTCACCTTTCCCTTTGTCCTTCTTACTTAGTACATGCCAGCCTGACCAATTCGTCAGAAAGTCTTTGCTCTGGGGACATTCACTTGAGGAGTTTGGAAACAGCTTTCAGTTGTGATGGCAACTTCAATTTAGGGGATGGTTAAAAGTGTGAATGCTCTCCAAAGACAAGAATGCCGTGTACTTATGCTTAGACTTTGCAATCCACAAGTTGTAATTCACTTTCCTTTGTGCCAAGAATTACACAGAAGTATAGTGAAATATAATTTCAGTTTATTTTGTAAGTAATTGTAAAAACAACTGGCCACGCAACTTCATTGAAACATGGATGTTACTTAAACCTCAGAGGCATGGGGCTGCCCACAAGCCCAGCTCAGGAACCTATTTAAGGCTTCAGAGTCTTACGTATGGGTCTCTTAGTGGGTTTGCCTGTCTTCTGTTGATCCTTGGGAAAATATATTTCAACAATAAGTGGTATTAGAAGTGGCTAATTAGCAAGGTTTGTAAACATAAGCAGTAGTAAATAAACTCAGAGAGGTATTTCATTAGGCTCTTTTGTTGAAACCTTTTGATCTTGATATGTATTTAGCTAAGGGGGTTCTTAATGTTTCAGAAGGGACTGTTTCTTATCTGTGTCACCTGCCTCATCCTGAGGGACGAGGGTCAATGTCTGGACAGGAACCCAACCCCTTTCCTGCCAACTACTAAGTTGCTGATATCTTTTATTTATTTATTTTTCTGACATTAACTTTCAAAAACAATCCTACTATTTGGGAAAAGTAACTTGTAGTAAGATATTTTAAGTATTATTCCTATTTTATAGCATATTACATTTTCTTTAAGTGTCTAATTTTCCTTTAAATGTCTAATTTTTCGATAATTCTAGAAACTTTAACAAAACTATATAAAAATTACTTTCCATAATGGAAATTACAGAGAAGATGAGCCTCCCTTAACAGAGCTGTTTGACTTTACAATAAACTTTGATAGAATATGCCTTTTAGCAGCAAACTGGTAAGAAATTACTGAAAATCAAAATTATACGTATGGATGTTATTCATATTTGTAGTTGTATTCAGATCTTAAGTGTAAAGATATTGTTTAGTTTGTTTTGTGCTGCTATAAAGGAATATCTGAGGCTGGATAATTTATAAAGAAGAGAGGCTTATTTGGCTCACAGTTCTGCAGGCTGTATTAGATGCTTTTTTTTTGAGACGGAGTCTCACTCTGTCACCAAGGCTGCAGTGCAATGGCACCATGTTGGCTCACTGCAACCTCCGTCTCCTGGGTTCAAGCAATTCTCCTGCCTCAGCTTCCCAAGTAGCTGGGATTACAGGTACCCACCACCACGCCTGGCTACTTTTTATATTTTTAGTAGAGATGGGGTTTCACCATGTTGGCCAGGCTGGTCTCGAACTCCTGACCTCAGGTGATCCACCCACCTCGGCCTCCCAAAGTGCTGGGATTACAGGCATGAGCCACAGCACCGGGCCAACTAGATGTATTTTCTTCTGGTGAGGCCTCAGGAAGCTTACAATGATGGAGGAAGTCGAAGAGGGTGCAGGGGTGTCACATGGCAAGAGAAGGAGCAAGAGAAAAAGAAAGGAAGTACCAGCTGTTTTTAACAATCAGATCTCATGGTAACAAACAGGGGCGAGAATTCATTACCATGAGGGCAGCACCAAGCCATTCATGAGGGATCCACCCTCATGACCCCAACACCTCCCACTAGGCCCCACCTCCAACACTGGAGATCACATTTCAACCTGAGATCTGGAGGGCACACACATCCAAGCTATATCAGCTATTGAGGATATTTTATAGGTAAGGATATTAAGACCAAGAAAGATTGCGAATTACTCACAATTAAACAGCAAGTGGCAGAACAAACAGGGAACTAAGAACAGAAACCAGTTTTCATGGCTGAGAACCACCCTCCCAAGAACTGCCATTCCTTACTTCATAAACCATGATGTAACCCTAGTTAGTAGTGGGCACATGCTCATATCCAGTGGTAAAGCTTGCAGAAGTGATGGTACAGGAAGTGATGAAGGGCTCCTCAAGTTAGACAGAAGAGGCTAGAAATGATGTAATTGCTGTGAGAGCTGTGTCAGGGTCCCAGGTTTGGTGATTGGCTTGGAGGGCTCTTATAGGACTCAGCATATGGTCATACTCACAGCCAAGTTCTATTACAGGGAAATGATACCAAGCTAAGAGAAAAGGTGCACAGGGGCAAAGTCTTGGGGGAACCAGGCACAAGCTGCCAAGGTCCTCTCCCAGAATAGTCATAAGGGATATGCTTAATTCTATAGCAACAAACTGTGATGACACGTGATATGTTGGGAAGCTCATTAGAGACTCAGGGCCCAGGACTTTTACAGGGAGCAGGTCACATAGGCAGAGCCTCTGCCTGGTATGTATCAAAATTTCAGATTCCAAGAAGGAAAGCAGGAGTGTGCAGCATCAACCACATTGTTTAGCATGAGGAGGGGAAACATTCTAAGTTCTGGATATACGGACTCTGAGATGACAGAGGGAATCAAATTAGGAAGATTACACTTAAAAAAAAACTGATTCTACTAAAATAGAAAAATAATAAATAAATAAATAAATAAAATCAGGTTGAGGTAGGTCTAATAAGGTTGAAAATAGAAAAAAAAAAAAAAACTGATTCTAGCCAGGCTCAGGTAGCATGTGCTGATAGTCTCAGTTACTCTAGAGGCTGAGGTTGGAGGATCATTTGAGTCCAGGAGTTCAAGGCCAGTCTGGGCAATGTAGCAAGACCCCATTTCTAAACAAGAAAAAAATCTGACTGTAATATAAGGTTCATATCCATGGTACATCTAGTGTAATCACTAGCGAATTAAAGTAAATTATATGATTAGAGAAATAGAATAGAGAGGGAATTTTGACTTTGTATTAGCTGTGAAGGACACACTGTTAAGAGATAATCTTAACATGAAAATATTAATATTATTAAAAGGTGGTGCGTGCCTGTAGTCCCAGCTGTTTGGGAGGCTGACGCAGGAGAATCGCTTGAACCCGGGAGGTGGAGGTTGCAGTGAGCCGAGATCGTGCCATTGCACTCCAGCCTGGGCAACAGAGCCAGATTCCGTCTCAAAAAAAAAAAAAAAGGTATATATATTAGGTAAATTTTTTGAAGTACCTGAATTCACAACTGCTCATTGAAGTTAGGTAATTCTTCGTCTGAGCTCTCTAACCTATTCTTGACTTTTTAAAAACATAAGTAGTTAATTTTTTCTTATTTGTGTAAGCATAATGTGACTGTAATAATATTTATAATAAAAAATCTCTAGAGGTTTGTTTTCTACATGGGATGAGGGTCCTGATGGGTATAGAAGTAGGAAAGGAACATAGGAAATGGTGTCTGCTGAAGTGCTGAGGTGCCTGCTAGTCTTTGAACCAACCCAGTGAACTGATGTGTGTACCTAGACTTCTAAACATTCTAACATAAAACCTCTTCCCCACTGATGATCTACATATATGAGTAAATGTTAGCTACCTAGGGATATCCCTACCCTGTCTCTAGCCATAGTGGCTTCTAAGAGTCCATATTTATAGTTACATTTCCTCCGTATAGCTACTGAATTATTCTAGTCCTATTTATTGGAGGTATATGATTGCTTTTGATTGGCAATATTACCATTTTACTTAGCCAAGGCAATTTTTTAAAATTCCTCATGTGTTTTGTTTTCTAATGAAGCTGTTCTCTTACTTCTGTGGGTAGAAAATATAGTAACAGGTTTGAGATGACTTTGAATTGCGTCTGTGTGTGGGCCAAGTGGTGATGCAGTAGTATTGTAGTTAGATGAAGAAAACTGCTTCATAAATATGCATTCTGGAGATGACATTCTTATGTTACACAAATTGGATGTGTCAGGATTTTAAATGTCACCCTTGCATTTAATGCAAGAAGTTCCTGACTTGCACTTTCTTGACTTTCCTTAGACGTGACCGTAGAAACTTACTTTCTTCCTTGCTGCCAAAGAGTGAGACATCCTTTATTTCCCTCTTCTGCACCCTCCTGGCTCCCCCTTATTCCTTTTATGCCCAGCTCTCAACATCTCTCTAAATACCAGGGCTCTCAGCAGCAAGAAGTGGGGAGAGGGCATGGGTGTCCTTCTTTCCACCTGGATTCACAAAGCAGAAGAGCTGACAGATACAGTGGCTCATGCCTGTAATCCCAGCACTTTGGGAGGCCAAGGTGGGAGGATTGCTTGAGGCCAGGAGTTTGAGATAAGCCTGGGCAACATAGCAAGACCCGGTCTTTACAAAATTTTAAAAAATTACCTGAGTGTGGTGGTGTCCACCTGTATTCCCAGCTACTTGGGATACTGAGGCAGGAGGATTGCTTGAGCCCAGGAGTTCAAGGCTGCGGTGAGCCACGATGACACCATTGCACTGCAGCCTGGGCAACAGAGTGAGACCCTGTCTCTAAAAAACAAAACCAAAACCAAAACAACAAAAACAGAAACAAACTCAGAAGTTCAAATAAGAAAATCAACTTCTCTCTCTTCCATGTGACTGTTTTGTTTGTTGTTAGTTGTTTAAATTCACATCCCACTTTATTCTAAAACAAAGGCACTCTAGGTAGGCATCCCAATTATTCCAGTAGCATAAATAGTTGACGATGTCAGGATGCAAAGAAAATATGGGAAGCAAAATTAAAGCCAAGGAAAAATAAGTAGGGTAAATGTATATTTTTAATGTCTTTTACAGTTGACAAAGGTGGGTTGGGAATTTGGCTCTTAGATTCCTAGCAGTGAAAGTGAAGAGGAAAACATGAACGTGAAGATATGAAATATCTGTAACATAAAACCCCAAGTTTTCCTAGTACTAAAACCTAAGACAAGTTTCTTCCATGGATGTTCTTAACTGGTAATGTAAAAAGCAACAACTTAGATAGCATCCTTTTCACATGTAGAGTGGGAGACTCCCAAGCCTACTGGTGAGACTGTCGTCTGACTCTGACCTCATCAATATATGGTTATTTACGTAGTGCACAAACCTAAGCAAGGACAAGCAGTTCTGAAAGGGCTAATGATTCCAAGTACGCAGGTCTAGCCAAGAGTGAAATGCAGGAAATTGTGAGGAACAGGCAGTCCCTATATCCTTCAGGCAATTACTTTCATGGATATATTTTTCCCAACTGGGCTTTTGAGAAGAATTATCCAACCCAGAGTCTTGGCTTATAGTCTCTGACTGAAACTTGGAGTGCAGTGTTGCCAACATATTTGGGAATGGAGGAAGGGTGGAGTTATTTTGCCCTGATGAAATGTAAGGACATATCCCTCAATGGATAGCCACTGTGGTTTCTCTCAGAGATGAAATGAAGGAGGATCAACCAGCAGGGATAAAAATCTTTCTCCAAAAATAACTCTGGATCCACTTTAAACCAATGTGGGATATGATTCTAACTCAGGTCGCTTAACCTTTATAGCAGTAATTTGTAAACGTTTAAAATTTGGGTTAGGACTCATGAAACCAACCCACTGCCTAGAAATGAAATGCCATGAAAGCCTATTGTGCTATCCCCACTGGAGAAGTCTTAAACTGTGTCACGCTGAGTACAATTAATCACCTATGAGCAACAAATCCTTAGGAGCCTTGCATTTGGTACAGAATAGGCTGAAAAAAATAAACTCTAAAGATGATGCTTAAATCTTGGTCACATTCCTTTCCATTTCAAAATAGAGACAAGAGAACCTATAGAACATTTTGGGTTCCTTTCTCTAAAGAATAATTTTCTAATAGGCAGGCCAATGTATTTGAAAATAGAATTTAATTCAACATTAACTAATGGTTCAAAGTGAGGATATTATTTAGAGCCAATATTTGTTTCTGATACTTCTTGGAATGCTTTCAAATGTGTTCACAACTACTTTTGGCATAGTACATGGCTTCAGAATGCCAGTTTTTCACTTTAACCTTCAAAGTATGCTAGTGTAATAGAGAAGCCCATTTCAAAATTTCAAAGCAATGCACATAATTATAATTCTCCATGTGTAGTGGACTTATATTCAGAAAGAAAAAAATGTCTCTAAATACTTGGCATTTGATAAGAAAAAAATTACAGACATTTGATACAATGAAAACTATTTTATTTCAAAGATTACAAAGTTAGATGGAAAATGCTGATAAGAGCTTGCTTTCCATAATGACTTTAGTCTGCTCCTTAACCTCTGACATCTCTTGCCACATCTCCGTTGCCAGGCAACAGCAGAGAAATAAAACCTGTGTGAGTAAAGGAAGTTCCCAACATAAGAATGGGGAGTGGGGGAGGGATAGCATTAGGAGATATACCTAATATAAATGATGAGTTAATGGGTGCAGCACACCAACATGGCACATGTCTACATATGTAACAAACCTGCACGTTGTGCACATGTACCCTAGAACTTAAAGTATAATAAAAATAAAATTAAATAAAGTAAAATAAAATAAAAGAAAAGAAAAAGAAAAAGAATGGGCTGTATTCTAGAAGCTGGTGAGCCAGTTGTTTAGAAATTTAAACACAGTTTTTATGTTAAAAATATTATAAATGGTAGTTTAGTACCCAAGACAGCCATTGCAAGCCTAGTTAACTCATAATTCCCTTTAAGTAATGAAAAGCAACACCTTTCCTCTTCAGTATAACTTGATTCTCTTGTGCAAAATGCCATATTCCAGGAAATGAGAAAATGCCACTGAACAGCCAAAATAGATGTTATAAAGCCCTTGTGTTACAGCATGTCCTTCTTACTCAGAGGGAAAGTCAGATGAAGCCACAGACCATGTATTCTCATTCTAAATATAATTTTAAAGCTTACCTATTTGATTTGAGGGGTGACAGAGGATGGTAAAAGGAGGCCTGCAGAAAAAATAAAGATGTGATCGCTGACAGCCTAAAGGCAGGATAGGATAGAGGAGGCAGACCAATCAAAGCACAGTTGTCTGTCGCCTTTTCCAATAAGGTAGGCAGTGCTGCTTACCTGTAGACCTCCTGAGAGCATCACTGTGTAATATCTCCTTGTAAGAATTACAATAACCATCCCATAGCTGACAAAATAGTGCTTTTTAACAAAACTCAGAAGTGTGCATTTTAGAAAACTTGATACATAAATAGCTAACATTTAAAAGAAAACAGCATTGACTACACATTTGAAAGGAGTATGCATTCAGCTCCAAGCAAAGTTCATCGAGCTAGAGTAACAAAAATCCGAGCGTTCTGCAAAGCCAAAGTTTACTATTAAAATACAAACTAATTATACCTACACTTTATAAGATGTTGCCATGGAGAAATATATTATGAATTCCAATTAGGAATGCCGGAAAAACCACTACCCACCTGAAGGCATGGAGAAGTAGCTGTAGAAAGCTGTCTGCCCTTAGCAGAGGTACATAGAAAAAGAGATATTTTCCATGTAAGAGAGAGTCATGCCTCTATGTCAGTCACCAGCGTGTTACCAACAGGGCAGTAAAAGGCATTTGCCCTTAAGGAGACCATGAATTTGTACCTTTCTCATCCTTCCTCTCATCCCTCTCTCATCCCTGAGGTGATCACTCATGTGGCTGCTCATTCACAATGGGGGTATCTCTAATTAGGGGGACTACTTTATATATTACACCTCAGCAACATTTTAATCTAATTGTTCATGAGCCCTGCTGACTCTTAATTACTGTTTTAGTCATGTACACAGCAGCGACAGTAATTCCAAATTAAAAGGTGAGTGATTGGTATTAAGCATTGGATTAAGTTTGTATAATAAATACCAATACTTGCTAAATATACTGGAGCCAGCTGACCACCTCTTTAAGATGCAGCCATCTAACTAAAAATGTTCTATTTACCAAAAGGGAGTTTAATGTTACTGTTTTGTTTTGTTATTTCTTCCTTTAGATTGCCTCTGTATCTGCAGGAATAATTTTGAGTGCTCCTGTTCAGATGACTGAAAATTGTTCTAAAATGCTAGGCAGTCCTGTTGAAGGAAACATTGTCCAATCAAACCTACAGATTGTAATCAAGAGGAATTTTGTAAGATTATATTGATAGAAATGTTCCTTAGAGACTGCATAACCAGCATTAAATCAATCTTCAAATAGTTTCTTAAGTTTTAATGAAAGTTTTGGGTTTCCTTCCCTAATTATTCAGCTTGAGCTTTTTATAGAATTTCTTGAGTTCAGAACATATTAGGGCCATGTGAGGGCTCTTCCAGTATCTGGTGAGAAGTGATTAGCACACAACAAAACATATCCTGCAACAACTTCTAAATTCGGAAAGTTAGGGGTCTGAAACTATGGGCCTTAGGAACAAAATATTTAACCTGCTTCCTCCATTCCAGAGCCAGTGAATGTTTTGAATATCTATTGCTAGGAGGATGCCTTGGGGAAAGTTACTGGAACTTCCTTAGTTTCTTCTCATGTTGACAAATAATCAGTATCACCCACAGACGTGTTGCATTTAATTAGGTCTTGCGTGTACTCTGTGGGGCCCCTAGCAATGTGGCTATACCTCTGGGAAATGGAGATCCTTATTTCACATTTAGTGTTTCAAAAGGATTCTTTGATGTGTCAACAAAGCCTTTGCTTTCTCTCATACTTTTTTTTTTTTTTTTTTTTTACTATCCAGAGGAATTGGTAGAAACCATAGAGAAGAGAGAAGGGAAGCTCTTGGGGAATGGATGGAGATGGTACTCTCTTGAGGACTAATGGTCTTCACTTTTCACTTATGCGCCACCTAAACAACACTGAAAACCTACGTACTGCATGCACATTTTTAAGTTCACACCTAAAATTTTTATCTTAAATTTAAATGATTATATAGCATGTAATTTCAGATATTATATATCAGTTATACTTTTTATGACCAAACATCACTTTTATGTTATCTTTTAAATACTGTAGCAATTTTCTATCCATCATCATATATTTCAGAAGCACAAGAACAAACTTTTCTCTTACAGATATTTTGCATCATTTCTTTTCCTACATAAACTTCTGTTTCCATTCTACTTCCTCCTCAAAATATTACCCTAATGTAATATTTTTATGCTTGAAAATATTTTATTGGTTACCATCTGCAACAAAATGGGTATATAAATTTAAATTTAATTTTTCATTCTATGTGACTATAATATTCTCAGTTTTAAAAAATATTCTCTGGATTAAGTGATTGTTACAATGATTAGAAGTACACACTTAGACATAAATGACACAAACATATTACATATTATGACAAATAATTATTACACATAAAAAGTAAAGTGTTATTGGAAAATAATCTCTTAGTAATACAGGCAGAGCATTTTTTTCCCCACTAGCTCATGTATCTGTTGATAAATATTACATATTGCTAAAATGAAACAGGGTTTAGCAACCCCTCCCTTCCTTCCTTCCTTTCTTCCTTCCTTCCTTCTTTCCTTCCTTCCTTCCTTGCCTATCTCTTCTCCTTTCTTTCTCTTTTTCTCTTTCTCTTTCTCACTTTCTGAGATAAGCACAAATAAACTCGAGGTACAAACCTACAAAACTGGATGGATAGAAATGGAAGGAGAACCATATGACAGCGTACAGCCTCCAATTTGAATTAATTTATGAGTTACTTCATATTCTCCTTCTTCAATTTGATTGAAAGGAGAAACTTAAAATGTATCTACCTCAGTGGCTAACAATTTGTTAATCAGTCATTGAAGTAATTCTAATTATTGAAAAAAATTGTTTTCTCGAAGTCAGCACCAATCTCTTAGACAGTTTCTTCTTTCTGCCCACTAGAGGTGTTGTGTCCTGGGACAGTGCACTGTCTGCCTTGGGGATGGGGCCGGTTTGCGTTTGTATTGCCAAGTGGAAGGAAGAGGCTTGTGAGAAAAGAAAGGCTGCAGATACAGCCACTTTCTTCAGCAGAGCTGTGTGAGGATCCAGAAGCTGAGGCTCTAAAAACTGAGTCTCCACCGGGCAAGGCGGCTCACTCCTGTAATCCCAGCACTTTTGGGGGCCAAGGCCAGCAGATCACTTGATGTCAGGAGTTTGAGGCCAGCCTGGCCAATATGGCGAAACCCTGTGTCTACTAAAAATGCACAAATTAACCGTGAGTGGTAGTGTGTGCCTGTAATCCCAACTACTCGGGAGGCTGAGGCAGGAGAATTGCTTGAACCCGGGAGGCAGAGGTTGCAGTGAGCCGTTGGCGCCACTGCACTCTCAAGCCTGGGCATGAGAGTGAGACTCCATCTCCAAAAAAATAAAATTAGAATGGAATGGAATGGAATAGAATAGAATAGAATAGAATAGAATAGAATAGAATAGAATAGAATAGAATAGAATAGAATAGAATGGAATAGAAAAGAAAAGAAAGGTCAGGTAGTGTGATGCTTCCAGCTTTGTTCCTTTGGCTTAGGATTGACTTGGCGATGCAGACTCTTTTTTGGTTCCATATGAACTTTAAAGTAGTTTTTTCCAATTCTGTGAAGAAAGTCATTGGTAGCTTGATGGGGATGGCATTGAATCTATAAATTACCTTGGGCAGTATGGCCATTTTCACGGTATTAATTCTTCCTACTCATGACCATGGAATGTTCTTCCATTTGTTTGTATCCTCTTTTATTTCATTAAGCAGTGGTTTGTAGTTCTCCTTGAAGAGGTCCTTCGCGTCCCTTGTAAGTTGGATTCCTAGGTATTTTATTCTCTTTGAAGCAATTGTGAATGGGAGTTCACTCATGATTTGGCTCTCTGTTTGTTATTGGTGTATAAGAATGCTTGTGATTTTTGCACATTGATTTTGTATCCTGAGACTTTGCTGAAGTTGCCTATCAGCTTAAGGAGATTTTGGGCTGAGATGATGGGGTTTTCTAGATATACAATCATGTCATCTGCAATCAGGGACAATTTGACTTCCTCTTTTCCTAATTGAATACCCTTTATTTCCTTCTCCTGCCTGATTGTCCTGGCCAGAACTTCCAACACCATGTTGAATAGGAGTGGTGAGAGAGGGCATCCCTGTCTTGTGCCAGTTTTCAAAGGGAATGCTTCCAGTTTTTGCCCATTCAGTATGATATTGGCTGTGGGTTTGTCATAGATAGCTCTTATTATTTTGAGATACGTCCCATCAATACCTAATTTATTGAGAGTTTTTAGCATGAAGTTCTGTTGAATTTTGTCAAAGGCCTTTTCTGCATCTATTGAGATAATCATGGATTAAGAAAATGTGGCACATATACACCATGGAACACTATGCAGCCATAAAAAGTGATGAGTTCATGTCTTTTGCAGGGACATGGGTGAAGCTGGAAACCATTATTCTCAGATTCTCAGCAAACTATCGCAAGGACAAAAAACCAAACACTGCATGTTCTCACTCATAGATGGGAATTGAACAATGAGAACACATGGACACAGGAAGGGGAACATCACACACCGGGGCCTGTTGTGGGGTGGGGGGAGGGGGGAGGGGGGAGGGATAACAATAACATTAGGAGATATACCTAATGTTAAATGACGAGTTAATGGGTGCAGCACACCAACATGGCACATGTATACATATGTAACTAACCTGCACGTTGTGCACATGTACCCTAAAACTTAAAGTATAATTAAAAAAAAAAAAAGAAAAGAGAAGAAAACCTGAGTCTCTCTTTTATTCTTTTTTGGAGACGGAGTCTTGCTCTGTTGCCCAGGCTGGAGTGCAATGGCACGATCTTGGCTCTCTACAACCTCCACCTCCCGGGTTCAAGTGATTCTTCTGCCTCAGCCTCACGAGTATCTGGGATTACAGGCACACACTGCCATGCCCGGCTAAGTTTTGTATGTATTTTTTTTTTTTTTTTAGTAGAGATGGGGTTTTGCCATGTTGACCAGGCTGGTCTCGAACTCCTGGCCTCAAGTGATCCACCTGCCTTGGCCTCCCAAAGTGCTGGGATTACAGGTGCGAGCCACCGTGGCCAGCCCAAAAACCCTGAGTCTCTTCAAACTAGACAATTGCCAGCATATGCCTTTGAGAGAAGCTGTGTGCTCCCAGGGGCATGCGTGCTCCAGTCTGAAGATCATTATTGTAAATAATAAATATTTTGCTATGTGGCCGTTTATTTTGAGGGAAAAGTTCTCATTATGAATTTAGTTGCCCTACAGATGCTACCATTATATTTAAAAAGCCGAATCAGGTAGAGTTCTGGTATCTGTGTGCCACCTTGCATTGTCCAGTATCTCCCCCAACCCACTCAATACACAAGCCTTCATCGAGCTTGTGAGTAGCTGCAGGGAACTGGGGTCCTGTTGGTGGCAGGGAGTCCAGTAGGAGTGGGAGGAGTTGGGGAAGGAAGTGAGAAGTTTGATTTCCTTGGGCACTGAGATGAAAAGCTGAGGTGATACAGTTGACCTATCTCAACTTCCTGACCCATTTTGTAGGTGTTTATTGATAAATGAGCTCATCTTCCTTCTGATTTCTGAGAAGGAGAAGCCCTCAGTTCAAGGGCATTACCTCCGCCTGTGCCTTGATCCCCTCTCCTCCAGAAATCTGCCCTGTGACCCACCATCGGCTCCATAATCCCAACCTTTCCATCTCTGTGATTCCTTTCCCTGTAGTTATGATTATGCTCAAGTCTGTCTTATCCTTCAGAAACAAAGCAAACACAAAAACCCCTTTTCCTTGATTAATTTCTTGCTAGCATCCTATCTTTCTCCTTCCCTTTCCTATTTCCTCGTCTCTAACATGGCAGAGATAATAGAGTTATTGAGGGAATTAAATGAAATAATACCTGCAAAACATACAAAGCCCTATCTTTACCTGTAAGACATCAGTAAAACATAGCAATTATTATTATTAGTAGTAGTATCTATAGTCATTTATATTTAAATATCTCCATTTCTTTAAATCTTTCACTCCTTGATACACAGAATTATTAATATTTATCCCCAAAACTCAACTGAAATCGCCCTGGTGAGGCCGCTTGTGACTACATTCTAAATCTAGTGGACTCTTCTGAGCCCTTCTTTTTGTACAAGACTTAGTTAGATCTGCTGTCTCTCTTTTCGATACTTCCTTGTTGGTCTTCCTCAAGACAGCGCTTGTTCAACCTTTACCTGTTGGTGTTTCCTAGGGCTTCATCTTTGACCCAAGTTGTTCTTTTTCACCATACTGCTTTGGGATGAGTCTTAACTTCTCCCTAGTCTCAACCTCTCCTGAGCTGCAGGCAAATATTTTACGGATTGTTAGAAATATGAATTAGATGCCTCATGAGCAACTCAGCCTTAAGCTGTACACAACAGAATTTATCATTTATCTTGTACTCTTTCAGTCTTTCCAACAACATATTTCTCCCCAATCCCTTCTCCTTTATCAAAAAATGGCACCACCCCCAGTTGGGTGCCATTACCAGCAGTTACCTAAGCTAGAAAGCAGGATTCAGGGCAGACTCCTCCTTTCCTAGTCAGACTGTTGGTGCAGTCAGCACTAGTGCATTGAGTGGAGGCTATGTGTCAAGTAATGGGACGTCAAGTCCTGTCAGTTTTTTCCTCCTGCATATTCCTCAATCCATCTTGCTTTTTCCCACCTCTACTATTATTGCCCTAAGAATAATTTATTCATATAATAATGATAATAACTTCTTTGTTACTATTAATATTATTATTTCTTGCTTAAAGAATGGCAAGACTCTCCTACTTGGTCTTCCTGCCACTAACCAGTCTTACATTTCTCCAGTCTTTTCTCCAGAATGCTGTCAAAGTGGTAGCTCCAAAATACAAATAGAACTGTGTTGCTCCCCTGACTACAATCCATTGCCCACAGGGTAAAACTCAAGGACTTATCTCAATGTGCATAATTGTCAATCACTTGGGCCTTACCTGCTTCTCTTCAAAATGTTCCCGTCCTCTCTTCTTACATATTCCCCATACTAATGACTATTTCAAGGATCCTGTGGCTTTTCTAATCCATTTGATCCTTCTGTCTGGAATCCCTTCCCCTCATCCTCTGCCCATCCGTCTGGTAAGACTCAGCTCAGGCTAGGTTAGGTGCTCCCATACTACCTGAGCTTATTTCCAGCAAAGCATTCCCTGCATTAAAAGAAAGGATTGGTTCATGTAGCAGTTGTCCCACTAGACAAGAAACATGTCCATTTCTCCCTCCAAAGCAGAGACCCACACTTTTATTTCATCTCTGTGTTACTGCTACTTAATACTGTACATTACTAAGTCACGCAGTAAGTGCTCAATAAACATCCGAAGAAGGCTGGATGGGAATACAGAGAAAGTATCAGAGGGCTCTGATGGGATCTGCAGCAGTGTGGGGGGATGAGACATCCTCAGGGGCTTCGTGGAGAGAGAGGGTCTGAGCTAGTGGCTGTCACATACAGGCTGTTCATGTTCACTGTCATCATTGTCAATACTTCCATATCATCACCACCACCATGGTTAACATTGATTGGGTTCTGACAATGCGCCAGGCACTATTACATTCTTTAGATAGCTGATTTTGTTTAACCTTCATTTCTAGCTTTACGAGGTTGGTACCCTGACCCATCCCCTTTATAAATATCAAAAAACTTACAGAAAAGTAACTTTAACTTGTTCTAGGTCACACAGCTCATAATTGGTTGAGGGAGAAATGGAACCAAGTCATATGACTAATGCTTCTCTTTTCTAAGCTACTTACGATCCCTACTCTCATTGTTTAACTCCTGACCATCCTACAAGTTACCACTCAATGTGGACACAGAGCAACAAAGCAAGTTATATTTTTTAATCTTTTTTTTTACCTTTAAACTTTTTATTTTGAAATAGTTTTAGACATACAGAGGAGTTATAAACTCAGCACAGAGTTCCTATATATACCACATTCAGCTATCCCTAATGTTAGCATCTTATAAATACACAGCACAATGGCCAAAACTATGAAACCAACATTGGTAACACACTATTAACAAAATGCAGACTTTGTTCAGATCTCGCAATTTTTCCACTGATGTCCTTTTTCTGTTCCAGGACCCAATCTGGGATTCCACTTTGCATACTAGTTGACTCATTAGGATCTCCTTGGTCTCCCATCCATGGCGGTTCTTCAGTTTTCACCTGTCTTTCATGACTTTGACACTTTTGAAGAGTATCTCATCATTTCGTAGAATGTCCCTTAATTTGGATTTGTCTCATGTTTCCCCATGGTTAGATTGAGGGTATGCATCTTGGGAAAGAATCTACAGTGGTAACGTGCCCTCTGTCATATCGGGGGCACATGATATCTATGTGTCTTGTTACTGATGATGTTAGTGTTGATCACTTGGTTAAGGTGGCGTCTACTGGCTTTCTCTACTGTACTGTTAACATGTTTCCCTTTGCGATAATAAGTATTTGCGGGGAGAAACTTTGAAACTATGCAGCTTAAATTTCCAACCACTAACGTTAGCATTCATCAGTGGATCTTCTCTGTAGCAATTATTACTGTGGTTTTCTAATGGTGATTTTTCTATTTTCTTCATTCATACTACAACTATTAATTGGAATTAGTCTATAAGGAAGAGTTGTTTCTTTTCCTCCTTTTATTTTTTGGTTCATTTATTTTTAGGAGTATGGACTCATGGGTATTTACTAGATTCCTTGTGTTATAATCCAATACCTTCATTTCATATTTTTGTTCAAATTCTTCAATCTTGGCCATTAGGAGCTCTTTCAGGCTGTCTCCTGTGTCCTTTCTATATCCCCCTGTCCCCTTTTTAAAGCATTTCTTTACTTTCTGGCACCAAAAGGATGCTCCAGGCTGAGAAATGAAGCAAATTTAAAAAATTAATTACAACTGGCCAGGCGCGGTGGCTCACGCCTATAATCCCAGCACTTTGGGAGGCCGAGGCGGGCGGATCACGAGGTCAGGAGATCTTGACCATCCTGGCTAATACGGTGAAACCCCGTCTCTACTGAAAATACAAGACATTAGCCGGGCGTAGTGGCGGGCGCCTGTAGTCCCAGCTACTCGGGAGGCTGAGGCAGGAGAATGGCGTGAACCTGGGAGGCGGAGCTTGCAGTGAGCCGCGATCGCGCCACTGCACTCCAGCCTGGGCGACAGAGCGAGACTCCATCTCAAAATAAATAAATAAATAAATAAATAAATAAATAAATAAATAAATAAATAAATAATTACAACTATGAATCATATGAGAAAATTAAAATTTCTCATTGGACATGTCATGCAGCCGATCACTAGTCTTTTAGAAGCCTGGTGCTTCTCATAAAGGATTTGCCTCATGTGACCATAAGGAAGCCACAGAGGGTAGTAAGTCCTTCGTTCTCCCCACCCCCCAAAATAAAGCCTTGGAAGTTACCAGGTAGAGTATGGAATGTTACATTCCAGTCACATAACAATACTTGCCATTTAATTTCCTCTCAATAAATGTGCAAATGTTCCCTTTCCTGATCAATGTACCTGAACAAATGTCGGTTTTCAGAACGGTGCGGCAAATGGTGCAGCAGGCATCCTGCGGTGTTCTCTAGGAATTTTAGGATCTGCATGCTCAATTCCCCTATCTAGAAGAACTTGTACTTTACCTGAGGCTTTGACTTAGTTCATAACCAGTTGTCTCTTCCTGCAAAGTGAATTAAGTTTGAAAAAGTTAAAATTAAAAAGTTGCTCTTATCAAGCTGATTGTACTGCCAAAATAGTTTAGACTTTATGTATCTCTGAGGAAGCTTGTTCTTAAAAAAAAACTTTATGGTAGGGATGAGAGTTCTTCACTCTTAAAGTTGCTGAATCTAGATTAGTGTCAATTATGGCTGTTCTTCACCCATCACTCATCAGGCTGTTGCTATGCCATTAATCAAAGGAACCCATCTAATTTTAGGTTTAGCTTTAATCAGCTCTTGTGCTATTTCCATTTTTATATCATCCTTTTATACAAACACCTTAGATTACTTTCAGCATTTTTGTAAGTCATAGTTGCAGAAAAACCTAATCCAGCAAACGAATTTTGAGAGGACTTGTAGGAAAACAAAATCATATTGGGAATGGTCGTATTGTGTAAGGTCAATAGAGGCATATTTTCACATCTGGATGGTGTCATAGTAACTGAGCCAAAGATCAAAATACAATGAAAAGAAAAATCATATAAAGGAAGGCTAAATAACATGCTCATTCTACAGAGTGCATAAAGGCAAAAATTTTAAATGTAGTAACCAAGGTCATAGTATAGGTATGGTAATAACAACTTTTTTCTAGTCCTACTAGGAAAACTGTCAATTATGTGGTAGATGAAAAAGATTTTATTTGGATTATGTACTGAGAATCTGAGATAGTAATTAAACCATCCATAATTTTGTTTAGCTTTCGTAGGATTTTTTTCTAAGGAGGTAACCCAGTAAATGTTGTATGATTGATATGAACTGCAAGAGGGTTTCAAATTACATCAAATAATCATGAGTTTATAAAAAACATCCATAAGTTTATTTGTGGAATGATTATTCGGAACTCAGAAGATATTTTCGTTTAGAAAGACTGTTTCACTTCTTGGTGTCCAAGGTGATTGGATAAGAGCCTAATTAATCCATGACATGCTTAAAGTATGGACAAACTATAGTGTTTCCATTACAAAAAATTGCCATTTTTTGTATTGCTGCTATGACGCTCTGCCTTTAGCATCCTATCTCTAGTGGCTATTGAGTTAGCTGGGTGTTCACAGCTCCAGTGTAAGATTTCTCTGTCCTTGCAAGGCGGGTGGAGAAGTAAGGACTTCTCCCTTTGTCTTTTTGCCTTTGCAAAAAGTCTGTGTTCCAAGTTAAGAAATCTGAGAAATTTCCCTCCTCCATTTATTTGTAAAGAGGGCTTTTAATAAGTCAAGACTTAATGATATAAGAACATTTCATTGTCGAAACCTTTATCATCTGTGTTCTTAGTCTGCAACTTTGGTGTAACTGTTCAACTGTATAAAAGTAAAACTGTAGCCAAATATTTTGAAGATCAAAATGTCCTCTCCAGAAAAAAAAATTGTTTATTCATCTTTATAAGGAGCACATGCCAAATTATTCTTTTTTTGAGATCTTATACAGAAATGGTCCTGGACACTTCACTTTAGCACCAATCACTTAATTAATTCCAGACACTATGTAATGTTGGCAAGGAAAATACTCATAATATTCAAAAAACTCATACTTGATGTAGTCTAATTGAATTACAACACTGCTGTTAAAGACTAAGTACACTTGTAGAATATGAATGTTTGTCCTGTTATGTCCTCGTCTAGAGAATGACTCTTAGGAAAATTAAAGTAATGTATTTTTACTTAAGTATTAATAATAGTAGCTAACTGGTATGTGCCTACTATGTGTTAGGCACAATTGGAGGAGCTTAATATATTTGATGCTGAAAGAACCCCATGAAGTGGGTAATGTAGTCATTTCCATTTTGCAGTGAAGACACTGAGGCCTTGAAGGTTAAGAAACTTACTTCACAGCCAGCAACCTCCAGATCCTGGTTTAAACTCAACTCTGACTGACCAGGCTCATCTCTTAACACCCAGACCATGCACCTTCTACATACCTAAATAAATATATCATCATTCTGCATACTATAGGCGTACACTCTCCACAAAAGTATAATGGTGTCTGGATACCAATGTCCCTATCTGTCACCCATTTCCAAGTGTTTGTTAGGCTCATTTCTGCTTCCCATTTAAAAGGGTCTCATAATTGTTCCTCTGGGAATTGGGATACATTTGCAAATCCCTGATCTTAGTGGTTTGGGTCCAGACTCCAATAAGTCCTCATATCTGTCAGAGTGTTCTGTTTCTGCATTGATGAAAAGAAACTCAACCATTAAATGATGATTTTTTTAAACAAATGTATCAGAGTGCATTCATTCAAAGGAATGTTGTCTTCTGGCAAGTAAAAATCCATGCAGATAAGCTCAGTTCTATCATTTACCTGGTTGTGACCTCAGAGAAGTCACTTACCTTATCTTCTGTAAGATGGGTATAAGAGATTGGCAGGTTTCCTGAAACGTAAGTGACAGAATGTATGTCAAATACTTGCAAAGTGCCTGGCACATACTAAGTGCTCAATAAATTAGTTGCTATTGTGAATGAAGATGATTCTGTTGTTCAAAATCTTGTTGGAACTACTTTTTGAAGTCCCTTCCAAACTAGTACATTAAACTATTCTAAAGAATTTAGTTGAGTTTGTTTATAGTTAAAACTCAGGGTTTTGTTTTGTTTATTTTGGTGCTCAGTGGATCTGACCCCATTGACCCCCTTATTTATTAGCCCAGTGCAAAATCATTTTGGCTCCTTCCAAAAACCAATCCATCTCCAATATCATGAGTATTTGCAATTTTTTAAGTGATTCCAAATGAGGCCTGTATTCTTGAGAGAACTTCTCAAGTAAATGCTATAAAAATGTTTTGAGTGCCTGGGCACAGTAGCTCACACCTGTAATCCCAGCACTTTGGGAGGCCGACAGGGGTGGATCATTTGAGGTCAGAGTTCAAGACCAGCCTGGCCAACCTGGCGAAACCCCATCTCTACTAAAAATACAAAAATTAGCCATGTGGTAGTGGCACACGCCTGTAATTCCAGCTACTCGGGAGGCTGAGGTGGGAGAATTGCTTGAGCCTGGGAGGCGGAGGGTTGGGGTGGGCCGAGATTGTGCCACTGCACTCCAGTCTGGGCAAGAGAGTGAGACCCTGTCTCAAAAAACAAAAACAAAACAAAAAAACAAGTGTTTTGAGCCATTTTTAAACTTTTTTGAATTGTGTGTGCTACAAGACAGGAAAAAAACATGTTAGGAAAAGCCCACATGTCGATATCTATTTTTATATGCTTTTTTAAATATCTGAGGCCTGTTACCTCAGAGCAGATGCCATTTCCTGCACTTAGCCCTTTCCATCAGGCAATATTATCAAGTCTGCAGACCCAGCAGACTAATCAGAATTCCTGGCTGCTTCGTCCCAGCATTTCTAGGAAATGGATCTATAAGCTCAGCACACCTCCCAGCAGTCGAGAGCCACCTCCTTTACTTTATCAAATGGGCTGGTTCTCCAAGGGCCTTCCTGCTCAGCTTTTGCAGCTATGTGTCCACAGAGGTGAGAGGAAGGAGGGAGACCCCCGGGGCCCCCCAGCTGTGCTGGCAGAGAGAGAGTGGCCATGTGGTATTATTGTGAGCCCCCGTCATCACCGTGACACACCATTATATGGCATTGAGAGCTTACTGAGTGCTTTTTTCATGAATTATTTCATTTAATCCTCTCAATGATCCTTGAAGCAGGTTTAGTCACTCAGTTTATAAATGAGAGAGCAGATGAGGCAATGCAATCCAAGCCAAGGTCAGAGAGCTGGGAGGGAGGAGCGGGGCAGAGGGCAGGTCTGTGGACTCCATGTTTCCTGCTCTGTTCCCCACAATGGTCCATGGACAGACAGAAAAACTCATTGTCTCTTGGGGTTTCCCTCAGTCCATCACAGATCGCTGTACAAATGTCGCTTATTTTTCTGCCCTCTAACTTTCCTAATGAGATTAATCACTGGCATCCAGGGAGCAAATGTGAATCAGTATCAAAGTTTAGAGTCTGATCCTCTGAATTGAAGAATAGTTGAGTCATTCTCCCGCCTCTTGTGGCAGCATTTCAACACCAAATGTTCCTACTCCAGCAGCACCGCTAGGGAAAATTAAGGTTTTGGTTCCTGGAAGATAAAGTGTCGTCAGCAGCTCTGGCTAGTCCCCTACCCAGAGTAGCTGCTCAATCCATGTTTGCAAAGGATATTGATAAATATTTGAGTGTCCATTGCAAGCTTCACTTAAATGTCCAAGATCTGAAAAGCCTTGTTGATTTTCTGTCTTTTTGTTTGCTTTTTCCTTTGTATCTAGCAGAAGTAGTGAGCCCCTGGCTACCAACTGTGGAGGCTGAAACCTAACCATTATGTACTGTCCTGATTCCAATAATGACAGTCCATCAACATTTATTTATTGCAAATATTCACTGAGCGTCTCTTACATGCCAGGCAGTGTGCAGGTTGGGGACACAGTGGTGAGTAGAAGCAACCCAAGTTCCCTATTGGGACTTGCATCTAGTGAAGGGAGACAATGGTTCATGGAATCGCCACACACACAAACGCATAGGTGCAATGTTTGAAGCAGAGGGACTGATGCTACCAGAACCCTTGCTGAGGATGTGTGATCTAGTTAAGGAAGCTGAAAAAGAGGAATGGAAAGATGGCTGGGCCGACGGGAGTGGAGGAAGGGAACACTTACAGCATCGAGGCTGCATTTGAGAGTGTTGTCTTCACCTGAGAACAATGGGATTGGAAAGTTCTAGGCAGGGGTGAGAGCATCACCTTTGTATCTCTGAGTGCTCACTCATGTCCCGGGAAGCTGGATTAGAAACCTGAGAAGAGACTATTTCAGGATAGGATGTTGGTGTGGAGTTGGGGAGATGTGGACAGAGCCCAGAGATTATTTAAGGTGAAGTACAAAGGGCTTGGTAATAGATCTGACAAGAGGGTTTGGGAGAGAGAGTAAGGTGTCCAGGAGATGCCTGGGTTTCTAATTTGCATGACTGGGGATTTGTGGTTTCATTCACTAAGCTCTCTACTACCTTGTGCTAGGACATTTTTCAGCTCCTTTTAGGGCTAACGTGCCATGCTACTTATTCTGAAAAATACAAATGTGAGTAAAAGAGACCCACTGCCCTCACAGAGCTTACAATCTAGTGGGTCAGTACAGGGGGATTGGTTAAGATACACCTCTACCAACTCACTGTCTCCTTATGTTTTCTTGAAGTATGGAGGTTGCATAAATTTGGCAATGGTCAACACACATGAATGCCCTCTCCAGAGAGTGACTAGGGGATGGGAGGTCCTGGAACTTGGGTGCCCTGGTGGAGGCAGAGGTTGGGGATAAGGAGATCGATGAAGGAATGACCTGGCGATGTTTGAAAGGGCACTATGGATCACTGAAGAAAGCTTAATGCAGACCAAATGGAAAAACACAGCACAGGCTTCAAGCCTGAAATGACAGAATCTAACACTCATCTTTAGTGGGCATGTGAAGCGCAATCAAAAGAAGTGAGCCATGTCATGGGAGCAAGTGGGATGACAGTGATTTGTGAGGACGAAGGGTGGATTGCGACGTCTTCTCTTCCAACAGCCCCGTAAAAGTATTCACTGCTTGATGGTGGCTAAATCTTTATAAATATCACCATGGCAACCATTGATATGAGAAATAATGTTAGCCTGGACACTTCTGCTTCAGATGCTCTGACATTTTGCACTGCAGTGGTCACTGCCATTGTTTGTACACATGAGCAAAGAGGGCCCTGCTTGAATCCTGTCACATTTTCTTTTGTCCTCAGAATATAAATGCTTATTAAATTGCCCCTGGTGTTAACAATGGCCCAGTGGCATTTGGGGAGGGGTGGCTTTACCATTCTTCCCTCTCATCTCTGGGTGTGTGGTGGAAGAGGAGCCCTACTGGTGTCACCAGGGTTGGCTCAGGAGTAAGGAATGGGGTTTTCCTTAGGGTGATTGGGAGTTGCTGCCTAAATTAGTTCCATGGTTGGAGGGAACCAGTGTATGTTGCATATAACTATGTCACATTTTTATCATATATCCACCATTCCCTTAGATTTAGTTTCTTCCTTCCAAATCTCCTTCCTGTGTCTAATCCCAATCCTGGGCAAGCTAATTCTTCAATTTTATACTTGTATCCTTCTGATAATCCTTCCAAAAGAGTCCCATATTTTATAATCTCTGAGCTTTTTAAAATTCTTTCATTCAACACACATAGATTGAATGCCTTCTCCATGCCAGGCACTGTTCCAGGTGGCTGGACCCCTGTTTTTGTGGGACTTATGTCTGGAATGACAGAAGACAGACAATAAACATGATAAATAAGGAAATGATATGCCATGTTAGGTCATGGGAAAAAAGGAGAGTGGGATAAGAGAATAGGTGCTGGGGTAGCCCCGTCACAGTTTTGCTTTTACTGTGTATATTTAAGGTGTGCAGGGCAGGCCTCTCTGAGAGGCGACGGGAGCAAAGACTTGAAGTAGGCAAGAGCATTAGTATTTCCTAGAGAAGAGCTGATTCCAAAGCTGACGGTGAGAGTGCACCTGGTTGTGTGAGGAACAGCAAGCACAGAGTGCCTGGAGTGGGACGGGGAGTGTGGCTGGCAGATATGTTCAGAACGGTGGGGCTGGTTGGGGTGAGGGCAGATAACACGGCCCCCAGAGGCTTTGAACAAGAGTGACGTGATCTGGCTTATGTTTTACCAGGCTGACAGTATCTTCTGTTTGGAGAATCACTATAGGGGTCTCAGGGTGGCAGCAGAGACAGATGTGCTGAGGTGTTGCAGGAACCCAGACAGGAGATGGTGATGGTTTGCACCAGGGTGCCAGAGGCAGGTGCAGTGAGAAGTGGCTGATTCTGGGTATGTCCTGAAGGTAGAGCCAGCGGGATCTACTGATGGATGAGAGCATTCGCCTTTGCCCTTTTTCTCAAACTCTTAACTTGTAGACTGCTCTTCTTGGTCAAATGGATACATGTTTATACAATGACCCCATTTTGGGCACAGCTTTTTGAAATTAATTTCCCTTTTCTGTAGAGGAAATTCCAAGGGAACCTTATGTAATTGTGTAGGGGCAGTTTAGCATCATGGTTAAGAGCATGGACTCTACAATAAAATTGCCTGGTTCTACTACTCACCAAATATGAGGCCTGAGACAAGCTACTCAACCTCTCATTTGCCTCAGTTTTTTTAATCACTTGTAAAATATGGATAATTATAGTTCCTACCTCATAGAATTGTGAGGAACAAAGAGATAATGTGCACAGAAACCCCTTAAAACACTGTGTGGCACACAGCAGAGGTAAATACAAGTTAACAATAATAATTATAATTTTATTAGCGGTTGCCTTACAGTCTTTTAGTAGCTTCTTAGACTATAAACAACCTGCATATTCTTTCTAAATTAGTGACTTTTTGGAAGACTTTTTCTGTTCTTTAATGTGTCCATAGTAGTAGAAATAGTCTTTTCTTAACTCTGTTTCTCTTCTTTGTAGCCAATGCAATGTGTTCTCATTGGAGTATATTATTGTACTCTAAAGTTACTGCTCTGAAAGTCAAAACTGTTGAATATTGGCAATTTCATATGATTTAACTGAATATCTGTGTGTATGTATTTATTTGACTGTCTACTTAGAGGCTTTAGAGGACTAGCTCAGAAGTCAGACTACCCGAGCTTGTGTCCTGGCTCTGATAGTAAAACCTGTGTAACGTCGGGCACCTTATTGAAACAGCTTCTGCCTCATTGACCTCTTTTGAAAATAAGGGTAATAATAGATTCTACCTTGGAGGGTTCTGGTGATGGTGAAAGTTATTTAACTGGAACAATAGCTTGTAAAACAGTTCCTCATACAAGATAAATGCTCAGTAAATTTTAGCTCTTAGTGAAAACAGATCCCTGGGCCAGGCATCGTGATGTACCAGTATCCCAATGCCTGAACACACCTGGGGAAAATCGCTAGATCCAATTCATAAAACGTCAGGTTATAGTCACTTAGACACAATTTCCTACTGGCTCCTCTAATTTTTCAAATATTTTTATCTGTTTCATCAAAAAGTACCTGCTGGAACCTTCTATTATTCATCATCTGAGATAACCACAAGTACGCGTGTGTAACTTCTACACATTACACAGAAACTTGGAATAAAACCACAAATGATATTTTTTTCTTTTGGGTGTTTGAAGAGTTGTTGAAATTCTAGTCACGATATTTAACGTGTGATGAGTTCTTTATGCCTGTTGTGAAATATGCCAGCATTTTATTGACACATTACTATGAACTGGGTAGCCAGCTACAGTAATAGGTTTCCCCTAGGTTGTGAGAATCAACAAATCTGATGGCAGGCACTGCCAAGCAAACCCAGCCTGTTCAAAATTGACTCACTTCGTAGAGAATGGGCACATGCACATGTCATCCAGTGGCTTCTACAAGGACTTCAGGTAATTTTTTAAAGATATAAATAAGTGCTTGTTATCAATGTTTATTTTTATAGCCTCTCTCTTTTGAGGAATTCTTAACATTCAATTTAAGTATGTGCTTTAGTCTTCTTTTACCTGTTTCTCAACTCCATTTACTCCTAAAAGTCACTTGGGGAATGCTGAAAGATACTGCTGCCTGGGTCCCACTCTCCAGAGGTTCTTATCTAATTGGTTTGGGATACAGCTTAAGCATCAATATTTAAAATTTTTTAAATATAAACTTTCAATTATGAAACCTTTCAAATGTACACGAAACAGAGAGAATTGTATAAGTCCACATGTACCTATCACCCAGCTGTGATAATTCACTTCAGTGCCTTAAAAATTTTGTTTTGTTGAGATAGGGTCTTGCTCTGTTGCCCAGGCTGGAGTACAGTGGCACTATCACAACTCACTGCAGCCTCAATCTCCCAGGCTCAAGTGATCCTCCCACCTTAGCCTCCTGAGTACCTGGGACCACAGGCATGCTCCACTACGCCAGGCTAATTGTAAAATTTTTTGTTGGGGTCTCAATATATTGCCCAAGCTGGACTCAAACTCCTGGGCTCAAGTGATCCACCCGCCTCGGCCTCCCAAAGTGCTGGGATTACAGGAGCGAGCCACCGTGCCCAGCCTTCAGCGGATGTTTTTTAAAAAATCCCCCCACGTGATTCTGCTAATGTGCAGCTGTGGTTGAGAACCACCCGTCTGTGCTAGTAAAACAGAAAATGGAGGGAATATTTCAATGAATATTGATATCACATCAAGAGAAGTGGAAATTTGCTGAAGGTTATACAACGATTTTCAGATATTACTTGGTGCTCTGTTCATCAAGCTATAATGGCATTCAGGAGGATGGCATGTACTCACTGCACGCCTGTTTGATTCTGTTAAACAGTGGGATAATTTGGGAATAGGCATTGAGACACCCAGGAAAAATTCCAAAATAGACTTAATGATTTCCCATTCAGAGTATTTATACCTTGACTCCAAAAGCAATATCATGCCCAGCTACTTATGTTAATTCACCAAAGCTTGGCTCAGAGGTAAAGAAAGGTTTGATTAGAGAGGTTGAGGACTTGTATAAATCTAAGCAGATTAGAGTTGATGGATCTGAGAAGACGTGGGAGGGGAAGAGGTGGTGGAAACTGTCATGAGATTTATGGAGAAAAAGCAGGGAACCAGTGACAAATTAATCTCAACCTATAATTGAGAAGTTGTTGGGGATTCAAAGACCATGTACATATGTACATGAGTGTTCCTTCATGAAGTCAGTGCTTGAGTTGCTACCTCAAACAGGGTAGGCAAGCCCTGGTTCCAGAGTGGCAAACATTTGGAACACAATTTCATCTCCCAGTTGGACAGGAATTTATAGCTGATTTTGCCCAAGTGCCCTCCTGATAGAAGAAGCCTTCTGGGGCATTACTAACAGATGTCATCTGGTATCTCCTTAAACATTCTAACTGGAAACTCACTGTTTATAAAACAGCCTGGCCCATATTAGAATGATGGTCCTCTTTTATTGAGCTGAAATCTCATCCTTTAATGAAAGAAAATATTTCTAAACATATATGGATGTAAAACCAGATTTAAGTTTATAGGGCTCATCAAGTATAAAACCAAAATAACCTTAATAAATTGATAGGAGAAATGCAAGGCCTGAACACTAAAATTAACAACACACTAATTTAAAACGATAAATGATATTGTTTTTCTGAAATAAAATTCCTCATGTTGTGCTTTAGAAGGATGGAGCCTCTGGTCAGTTTCCTTATTTAATTTGGTTCACTAAGTTTTACTAAGCAGCCCAGGGAATGCTTGTTTGCCTAAGTATGGTATACCAAAATGTATTGAAATTCTCTATTTGCAGGGTTTAAGATAGTCAGATCTCAAAGTTAACTAAAACTGCCGGCAATTAGTCCTCAATTTCCCATTTTAATGAGACATCCCTTGGCAACTTTGTAAAAACTTGGAAATTAAGGTCAGAGTTGCAGTGTTACTGCAATCTTTAATAAATAGGCATCTAATCCAATTATTGCTGGAATTGGGAACAGGACAATCCTTTATTGTTATTTATTACTATACTTACTGCTAATGAACTGCTGCTGCAGACTGATGCATGCAATGACAGGATCCAAGCAATAACTCCTGCAAACTGTGAATCGTGTAGTGTAGATTATCTTCAGTTCAGCTCTCGTATATGTCTGAGTGGGCTGTTTTTCCACCCGTTTTCGGTTCCAACTTCTATGAAACATCTATCTGAACGCACTTTGTCACCTGTGGGATTTTTGGTATGGACTGGTCGCCTAGATCAATGGTTCTCAAGATTTGGTGTGATTTATAATCACCTGGGGAACTTGTTAAAAATGGCTGCTCCCTGGACCCCACCCCAGAGCTTCCGACTCAGTTAAGGCTGGACCCCAAAATTTGCATCATTCACAAGTACTTTGAATGATTCTGATATCAATGGTGTGCATCTGGTAGTTTTATTCTTTTTAAGATTTTTATTGACACAGAAATGTAAAACTTAGAAAACTGTTCACAAATAAGCCAGTTTGAGAAACTCTGGTATCCTCAGATTTGTATCATTTACAAATGAGTCAGCCTTGGATATCAGACAAATCCCTAATAAACATCTTGCATAGGAAAGTGTTAGTAGCCAAGGCTTTCTTTCAAATGGCTTTGACCTATTGAACAAATTTATTTTAAGGGACAAAGATATTCTAGATGATGTTCTCAGTGATTCCCAGAGCATTCTGGAAGCTGTGGACTACAGTGGAATGACATTTTCAGGTTGTACCCTCACTGTTGAAATCTGCAAGCCAGTGAGACAGTTGGAAAGGGGAAAAAAAACATGCTGGAAAACAGGAATTAAATTAAGAAACAAAGCTAATGCTTTTTCCTTAGAGTAGTTATTGCTGTATGTTTATTAGTTTATAAAGTTAACCATCACACATTTTCCTAAAGAGGAGATAGCATTAACAAGTTAATAAGCCCGACTTCTGAATGTGTCTTACTATCTATTATTTCTTCCTCTGTTAATTTTTGTTGATAGCTTCTGGGGTGAAACATAATAGCTGATTAGGATTACTTACAGCTTTACAGGGGATGGACAGGCTTGCTGGCATTTATTTTGTCTTTTGGGGGAAAAGTGATTAAAATGTTAAGTGTCTTAGCATATAATTCAATAGTGATCATGTGGTTGAGAGCTGAATTTAATATTACAGATTAACAACTTCCATTCTTTATATTCTAGCATTCATATTTTACCATTCCATATTTATACTAAAATCCTAAATAGAAAACATTCTCAGTGGATTTTTTATTTTTACTTAAGAACAGAATCATTGAGCATTTACATTTAATGAAGAATTGATCACTAGAATAACCCTTACAATTTTATCGTTTAAAAGTACTGAGACTTATTTCTAAAATTTACTGGAAATGGAGAAAGTAAAAAAATCAATAAGGATATGTTTTAATACAATAAAACTTACATACTATGTATGGGTCCACCTTTAAGTCTATTCTTTATATAAGAATACAAAGATAAAAAAGGCAAATATGGAATTCTGATGAATAGGAATGATTTTAAATGGTGTTAGCATGCCTAAACTTGCTCCATCTTATGTATACTTTTCATACATTTTGTGCTACATTTATACTTATCAATACTTTATTTCGTTTTGCATCTGTGCCTTGCATGTAGACAGACCCCTGAAATGGGGTATACAAACTCAATATGAAGAGAGCATCTGGAAGCCTTAATGAGCTGTAAACTTAAAGCTATTCTTAGAACCTAGAAACTCTTCAATGAATTTTTATTTCAGAAGAATAAGCTTGTTGCTTTTGAATTATGCATTCATCCCTGTATTTCTCTTATTTATGGTCCCCAGTAACGCTGTGGCTGAAGACTTTATATCCTGATTTCAAGAACTTGATATGCAATTCAGGTGCCTGACATTATTCTGAGCATAAAATAAACCTCAACTAGTTATTGCCAGTGTTGTCAACATTTCACTAAGGCAGCAGATCAGGTTGAATAAATGAGGCCAAATGAGTGTGAATGTCTATTAGGGTGGCATTTGTAGGGTTTGCTCAAGCGTCAATATTTCTTCAATTTTCATGTTTGAGAGCAAAGTTCAGATAAGTTTAACCAGACTGATTCTCTATTATTTCTTTCTGGAGTCTCATCCATAAGGCTGACAACATGGCTGTCAATACAACTGCAAATTCTGTCCTTGTCTTGGCTATCAGGTTGGAATTATCATTGCTGTTCAGGTAGCAGAATACCAGTTACTCATTCACTCAAGAAGTCAGTACTCTATTGACATTTGTGGTGGAATAGAGGTTCATGGGGGATCCAATCTCTTCAGCTTGGGATGAATTTACACACATATCTTACCTGAAGTAAGCTGCACCCTTTTCTCTGCACCTTTTCTCTGGCTAGAATTCTTGATAGCTGGTGACCTTCAGTGATATAAATTATATAGAGTAATTTCAGGAAGTCCATAAATAAGATTAGCGTAGAGAAAGCCCAAGTTAAGGTAGTGGAGATCAGAATGGGCATCCTAAGACCTAGGCTAGAGTCATGGAATCTTTCCTGACTTTCCATGGATTGTTTCAGTATTTGCATAACACTCTCTTTAGTACTGTGTGGACATAGTAAATTAAGAATCTGAAGAACTGAGTTCTCATGCCAAATTGGCACTAATTCTAGGACTGTGTAAACGGCATTTACTGGACCCAAGAACTACTTTTCTATAACTTATTGAAACAGCACCACAAGGGGGGTTACATTGACAAGAATAAAGAATTCTCTGGGGCTATAGTGGCTTTATTTTTGGTAGTGAGAGGGAAAAGGAGAGAAGTTAGTATTCTAAGAAAGCAAGCAAATTCAATCATAATTGTATCTTCACCTTGCTTTCTACTTTATGTTCCTTCTCCTTTCTGTGTGGAAGAGCTCATTATTTCCTGATGAGAGCTAAATAGTAGGGTTTTCATTATTGCTTTTACTTAGTAAGAGGTGATACATCTTTTAGTTTTATAGGCCCCTAATATTATTGAACCATACAGAATTTTGGAATCAGTCCCTTTTATACATGAGGAAGCCGAATCCCTGAAGAAAAGTGACAGCTTAGTTCATTATTCAATGTCCATTCATTCAGTTAGCAAAAATGTGAAGTGCTTGGCTTGCAATGTGCCCAGTGAGGCACTGTGGGGAGACAGAGAGGACTAAGAGAGGATCCTGCATGGGATTCACAAGAAAGAATGAAGAGATCGCTATTATCAAGATGCAGGCAAGTTGCTGAGGGAGCTATGCAGCTATGCACCCCTCATGAATTTGACGTTTCTTTTTCTCCCTGTCTGTGCTAGGGGGAAAAAAATAATAGAGGAGAGACTTGGTTAAATCCAGAGGATTCCAAAGTAATTGCTTCCAAGATTTCCTATCAAACTATGCAGCAGTATGGTTTTTACTCCAAATTTTCAATTCGTGGAATATTACCATAATTAGGGTTTTGTTTGTTTGTTTGTTGTTGTAGTTTTTTGAGACGAGTCTCTCTCTGTTGCCCAGGCTAGAGTGCAGTGGTGAGATCTCGGCTCACTGCAACCTCTACCTCTCAGGTTCAAGCAATTCTCTGCCTCAGCCTCCTGAGTAGCTGGGATTACAGGCGCCCACCACTATGCCCAGCTAATTTTTGTGTTTTTAGTAGAGACGGGGTTTCACCATCTTGGCCAGGCTGGTCTTGAACTCCTGACCTCGTGATCCACCGGCCTCAGCCTCCCAAAGTGCTGGGATTACAGGCATGAGCCACTGCGCCTGGCTTAGATAGGTATTTCTAATTAAAAAAATACTTAGTTGTCTAACATTTTTCTCCCAAGAAAATTGCCATTCAGACACTATTGCTGATTTTCATCACCACAAAGATTAAGATTCATGAGTCATAAGAAAAAGTTTGCTTTCAATTTTAAAGAATAGCAAAAATACTGCAACAAAATGAATGAAAATATGGAGCCATCTGTGTCTTGAATGATAATGCCAAATGAGTGTTTATTGTAAACAATACAATTTATTCAAGTCCACTTTCAATGGAGTGCTTTAGTGTACATGCAAAAAAGGAAAATGAATTCTTTCTTCATTCACAGACCTTATGTGCTACACACACACACACACACACACACACACACACACACACACACACAGAGTCATACAGGTGCGTATGTGATATGTGCATATATGTCTCTAATACTCATACGCAACACTTTCTGACAGGAAATGCAGTTAATTCCCAAACATCCACTATTGGAACTGTCACCTTTATCTGTCACCTGAAAGACAATTCAGGCCCTCATTACCTCTGGTAACTGTCTTAATACCATAGTCTCCTCCGAACACCAACCTGGTATTTGCCCATCTGTTCTAGTCTTTGCAGAGCCATAAGATTAGTTTTCTTAAAACATTACTTAAGTCACACTTTCTTGCTCAAAATTTCCCAAAGCTACACATCTATAGAATATAGTCCCATAAACTCCATAGCAACATAGTAACTATAATTTTCCAACCTTCTCCCTCTTCAACATGAAAAAACCCTTCCACTCCAGCCAAGGAAATCAAATACCATCCTCCTTTCCTACCAAAGTCTTCCCTATTCTAGAAACCTGCGCCAAGTCTCCCCACGTCTCCGGGCCTCACTGACAGATCAGGCCCACTAATCTTTCCCAGAGGCACGTGTTCTGTATCTTGTCTTTGGCACCCAGTAGCAAATGCAATATTTTTGTGAATCCATTTTTTTCCCTCTTTTAATGAGTCCCTGAGCTCCTGGAGGGGCAACCGGATGATTTGGAGAAGGCTCTATTTTAAAAAAATTAATAACGTACAACATGAAAGGGATCTGATGTACAACACGAGGACTAGAGCTAAGAAGTGTCTTGTATTCAGGATTTTGCTAAATGAGTATATTATAGCTACTCTTGCCACAAGTAGAGGGGTGTTGGGGGAAATGCATAACTATGTGAGTTGATAGATATGCTAATGTGTTCCACTATAATAACCATTTTACTATATATGTATCTTATGTTGTATGCCTTAAATATACATACAATTTATTTTAAAAATTAAAAAAATTTAATATTTTATTTTCAATTTTTGTGGGTACATAGTATGTATATATGTTTATGGGGTACATGAGATGTTTTGATACAGGCATGCAATGTGTAATAATCACATCATGGAAAACAGGAAATCTATCCTTCAAGCATTATCATTGGTGTTACAATTCAATTATACTTTATTTTAAAATGTACAATCAAATTATTTTGACTATAGTCACCCTGTTGTGCTATCAGATGCTATGTCTTATTCACTCTATTCTTTTTGTGCCCATAAAAATATTTCTTAAATATCTTGGTTAGTCGGTTAGATCTTAAGATATTGTGAGATGACCAGGAGTTACTTCTTTCACTTACAAGTCAGTGAGCCACCTCCGCTCTTTAAAATCAAGGTAAATTTCGGTGGAAAGCTTTATAGATACTGGAGAGGACGGAGTAGCTGAGTTGCTGAAAAATGGGCGACTTCTCTTATCAAGCATTAATTCAGATCTTCTCTATTAACATGACTTGAAGACACCACCAACTTGATTTTATTTTCTTTCCAAAAAGAAAAAAAAAATACTGCAGTCCCTAGCCAATAAATAACTCACCTGAAGGTCAGGAACACCCTCTCCCTCCTTTCTCACAGGGGATGTCTGGGAGGGGAGAGGGGTCTGGAGAGGCCAGGCCATCATCTAAGTGGGAATAAAGGGCTAAAGCTATTGGCATTGGCAGCTGTCTCCAGGCGTCGTCCGCGGAGCCTGACCCTGCGCCAGGACGGAGGAGGCTGTGCCCATGTAACTGTCCTGAAGTACTGCGGTGGCCCCCTCCCCCGCGGCTGGGAGGGCAGGCAGGACGAGGTTGGCTTTCCTCGCACGGTCTCTGGGCGTGGGCCCCCGCCGCAGCTCCGCGGAGCCTCGGTGTCTCCTGCAACAGGGGGCGGGGGGAACAGCGGCGAGCAGCCCTGGGCTGCGGCTTCCTCCCCACGCCCGAGTCTCCTGCGCACCGCCGCCGAGGACGCGCGCCCGAGCCTAGTCCCCACGCCGCGGCGCGCCCGGGCTCCCTGCTGATCCCAGGTAACTTTTCCGCCTCTCGGAGTGGGGGACTGCGAGGGGGTCTCGGCTTTACGAGGTGCGGAGGAAGAGCCCGAGGCCTGGGGCGAGGCGCGCGGGACAGTGGGGCTGACGCGTGGCTTCGGCGCCGCGCGGTCTCCCGAATCCCGAGCCCCGCGCCCGGCGCGGCCGGGGTCCCCAACCGCCCTCCCGCTCGCCGGGACCCCCACCGGGCCGAGCCTGCGCGCCGCGCCCCCCGCCCGCTCCGCCCGCCGCGGCGCAGTAGTGGCTGGGCCGGCGCGCAGAGCCTGAGCCCCGGCCTCCGGCCTGGGGGCCTCCCTGGGATCCCTGGCCGAAGGGGCGACTCGGTCCCCGCGTCCCTTCTCCGCCAATTTGCACAAATCCCCCGCCCGGGGCGCCATGTTTTAAGTTGCCCCTCGGGCTGGGGGCGAGCGCGGGCCGGCCCCTCCCCCGGGGAGGTGCGGGGGACAGGGGGCGACACTGCGGCGCCGCCCGGGCGGGTGGCGGCTGGCGGGCCGCGGGAGGGGCCCTGCGCTCAGCGCGCGGCGGCAGCGGGCTCGTCCCGGGTGCAGGCGCGGGCGGGCGCAGCGCGGGGCCGATAAGGTGCGCTCCGCACAAAGCATCCCCGCTGGGCAGGGGGGCCGGCCGCTTTTATATAACTTGCCTCGTTCCCCAAACTGGGGCAGCGGCCCCCGGCCGGTGGGGGAGGAGGAGGGAGCGTCCAAGCGGGGTTGCCCTGGGCCTGGGCACCTGCCGGGGCCCCTCGCCTCTGGCACCCGGGCGCGGGAGCACGGGCGGGCCGGGGGCGCCTGGGTCGGCCTGCCGTGGCCCGGGGGCTCGGGGCGGCGCGACTCACCTGGCGCCCTCGGGGCCGCGATTCTCCTCGGGAGGTGTCTGCGAAGGCGGCTCTGCCGCGGTGGGGGTGGGGAGGCTAGGGCTTCGGACCGCTGGAGTTGGGGTCGCAGCCAGTTCCTGGCGAGTGTTTCCTGGCTGCTGCCGCAGGGGCTTGCTTTTTCGGATTTCCCCTCTAATCTCGCCGGACTTCTTCCCCTTCCCCCCCACGCCCGCCAAGTTCATGGCTTCTGCAATGCGGTGGGTGTGGTTACCTAGTAAATTGTAACTGTGGTCCCTTGCAATGAGAGTATTCTTTTCAATTTTCTTTTTATATTACGGATCTGAAGTTTTCTAGGGTTTTTCCGTTAGTTGCAGCCCAGGGTTAAAGTTGGTAGAGATTGTTGCGGAACAGAACAAATAGAATGATAAAGGAAACATGTGGTGTTAATTACTTGTGGAGGTTGGGCTGGGAGGTCCTGAGAGGGCCGGGCAGTCCTGCTAATGCAGTGCTTCCATTGCGTGTTTAAGTTGTTTCAGCTTTTTTACATTAGTCTCGCGGAATTGCTTTTGCAGATACCCTGCCTGTCCTTTTTGTTGAGGGGGGGTGGGGAGTGGGGCACAGTGAGAATTTTAGGCTGCCTGAGGTGGCCAGGTGTGCTGGAGTTTGTCTTGGTAGCATTAACTTCTATAGTACAGGAAGCGTCACACCAAGTGCTTAAAAACATTGTTTTTGAAATTTACCTTGATTTTTAAAGTCTCAAGGAAACAAAAATGATAAAATTCTGCTTATGTCTGTGAGCCATGGACGTAGTCCCAATTACAGCAAATTAAGCAGAAAAGCCCTATTAAGAAAAGAGAGCAGCACATCAAGCTCCAGTGAACTCTGGGGACTGAGAGGTGATTTCTGTCTTGGCTCAGAGTGAGTGTTTAAAAAATGCATGTTAATTTTGGTATCAAACTTTAAAAACTTTAGTTGGAGTAACAAAATTAATGTGAGAGGGAATAAATACTAAATTGGAGAAGCGTGACTTCAATTTGTTAATTTGCAAGGCATTGATAGCTGAATGCTGAATACTGTCTCATTTGCATTATGGTTTTCTGGTGGTTTAGAAAAGCAAAATATCAGATGCACAACTTACTGCATCAAGTTTATTTAGTTAATACACTTTAGCCAAAATAAGTTTTTCAAAACAGAACATGTTTTGTGAATAATTCATCCATAACAAGAAGAGTAGCCACTTTAATTTGTAAACCGCTTTTAGCTGAAGGATTCAGGAGCTGTAGGTCAAATGTCAGTGTCTCAATGAAATATTTGCGTTTAATTTTTAAGACATTTCTTCTGCATGAATGCGATTTAGGTTAAAAGCAATTTTTTATCAGTTCATGTACACTGCTTGGACTTTGGACAACTTTGTGTTGAAATAAAAGATCAGGATTTTTTTTAACTTGATCGGATGCAATTTTATTTATAATTGTTTTTTAAAAACTGGTTGGTCAAATGTATTAAAGGGCCACCTAGGTAGAAGAGAGGCAACTATCCATGTACTGAGAGATGTGATGCTGTTATCTTGTGAATCTTTTCTGGACTTATATAGTATATTAGATTAAGTGTGGCAGGAACTTGCTGTAAAAGTATTTTCTTCCGTGTTGTATGATGTGCATTCATCTTTTAAGTTAGTGCTTTCCCTAAAATTCACAAATTAGAATTCATGTCCACTCCAGTAAAATAGAACTCCAAGAGTAGACTGAAGAATAAATGTTTCCTTTCTGTGAGAATTTGAGTATATATAATGAAGAGAGAGACTTTTTTTTTTTTTTTTTTTTTTTTTGAGATGGAGTCCTTCTGTGTCACCCAGGCTGGAGTGCAATGGCACGGTCTCCGCTCACTGCAACCTCCGACTCCTGGGTTCAAGCAATTCTTTTGCCTCAACCTCCCGAGTAGCTGGGATTATAGGCGACCACCACCACACCCTGCTAGCTTTTTTTTTTTTTTTTTTGAGACGGAGTCTCGCTCTGTCGCCCAGGCTGGAGTGCAGTGGTGCGATCTCGGCTCACTGCAAGCTCCGCCTCCCGGGTTCACGCCATTCTCCTGCCTCAGCCTCCCGAGTAGCTGGGACTACAGGCGCCCGCCACCACGCCCGGCTAATTTTTTTGTATTTTTGGTAGAGAAGGGGTTTCACTGTGTTAGCCAGGATGGTCTCGATCTCCTGACCTCGTGATCCACCCGTCTCGGCCTCCCAAAGTGCTGGGATTACAGGCGTGAGCCACCGCGCCCGGCGGAGAGAGGGTTCTTGAGTAATCTACCCTGGCCGTCTTTAATTCCCATAGTCTCCCCTAAGTACCCCATCAGTTTTCCGTGAAATATAGACTCACCATTGAAACCTATGAATCAAATTTATCTTTAGCACCACTTCAGTTAGAGAGATCCTTAATCGTGCAATCGCTGCATCTATTTCTTTCAAACGGCTAGCTAGCTGCTGATTTGTTGGGAATTCATCAGGCACTCAGCCCGGGAGGGTTCTGCTGTTATTTGATTTGCCTTGGCTGTGGGGAATTCTGTGCTCAGAAGCAAGGACTGGAGCAGTGAAGTCATTGTCCTGCCTGGTGTTGTGACATCACTATGGCTCAAAGGAAACAAGGGTGGGGCAGGCAAAACCAGACCATCTGAAGCATCTTGCTGGCTTTAAAACTTTGCCTGATCAATCAATGAGACTCCTTTCTCAAGTTGAACTGCATTGCGAGGTATTGTTTGGAGAATTGAAAGGTGTAAATGAATATAAGACTGCATGGGAAAATGTGTCTCCAAGAGTAAGGAAGGAGACGTTTTTTGTTTGTTTGTTTTTTGTGAAATAGTAGAAAGCACTGAATATTCCTTTTGTAGAGAAAACTGTAATTTTTTAGAAGGGCCATTTACAAAATTAAAGAACAAGAAAAATGAGTATATTTTTATTTATATATTGAGGCAACATATTTCTTACTGTTCTTTGTACTAAAACAGCATTCTTTTTAAATTCTTGATTTAGGTTATTAGTAATGTCTTTTAAAAAAAGTATGTGGTCTCTCTAAAGATGCAATTTACTTATTGGGTAGGCAATGTTCTCATTTATTTTTAAGTGATGTGATTGCAGTTGGCAATAGGAAAAAATGGAAAAAGGTGTTTCATAAGTAGAAGATATCTGCAGTGATTTGGAGTAATTGATTTCCATTTCCATTTTTGTTTTATGTACTAATTATTTTATAATTTAGCATTTTAATCCTAATTTAGAATTCTAGTGCAGAGATGATCAGAGACATATTTCACCCAAATTAGTGTTGAATAAATGATAAGACTGAAATTCGGAAGCAATAAAGTATATTTCATGTTTTCCTTTCTGAATTTATAGTAATATCAGCATAAAAAATGAAGAACCACAGAATGGCTGCAGATGTTCCTTGTCTTTTCCATGACTGACATTTTTCATGTGAGTGTATTATGTATGTAGGAGCTCTGGGCAGTTCTTTCTTAACTATGTAGCAATTCCAGAGCACAGTTTCAAAGCATAAAGAAGAAACAAATTGGGAAGAATGGCACAAGAAGACAAGTTGAAATTAGATGCCAGAACTGCAGATTACTTGGTTGAAATGTCTTTGGTGTTGCATTTTTAGTCCTTGCGATGATTGGTTAAATTGCATACTTTGGAATTGTAAGCTTCTATTAGCACCAATTCTTTTGTAATTTGCAGTACAGAGAAAAAGCTGACAACTTAATTTTTAGATTGCTGACATTTTGATACATTGTTCTTATAACCCTGCCTTACAAACTAAAAACAGAGAGAGAGAGAGAGAGAGAGAGAAAGCAGAAAGGTCTATATTAGACCTAGAAAACAAATGTAATATTTAACCTGCCTTGAGTATATATTTTTCTCTCCAGTTATATTGGGTGGGTGCTTGATGAGGATAGGGAGTTATTTCTCTTCAGGTTTCTTTCCCAAACCAAGTAAAGGTCTAGACACTTAAAGCATTCAGTAAATACTTACGAAATTGTATAAAAAATGGGGCCATTTGTAACTTACGCTTTACTACCAAAAAAAAAAAAAAAAAAAAAAATCTTGGAGAAAGCTTAAAAAGCACTGCTGCTTTATTTAAAAATGAGAATTACCAGACTCATGTATGTAGTCATTATTTTTAATGGCGTGGTCCTCTTCATAACAAGGTTGTTACCTCTGTCTGTAGCTCAAATTGGTAGATCCTAGAGGTTTTGCCATATCAGGGAAGAGAATTCTGCAGGTACCAAGAGAAAAGAAGAATGGTTTCTTTGAGGGAAGAACTGCAGGGAGTCGGTTTCCTTTCCTGCCAGCTCTAATTGGTGTCATGGAGGACATCAGTGTGGAGGGTGTCCTCTGAAGAGGGGAGGGATCAAATGGTAGGGTGACAAAAGCTGAAAAGGATTAGTGCTGGGAGATGATATTGATCTCCTAGCATTCAACTAAAGAGAGGAAAACTATTTTCTGTTTTAGCTCTCTCTTCTTTGGTCATTTTTGTACATGCCTGTGTTTACATCCTCAAATAGCGAGTTTCTTTGTATTTGATTCAAGCCCCAAATTTCATCATTTCTAAAAGAAAGTTATTTTTTCACATTTAACATCTCTGAAATTGGGATATGTCTTACATGGCTCTCAGCCATGTTGCAGAGAAAAAGCTGGCAACTTAATTCATTGTTTGTGAATATGCATCAAAAATTGGACATTGGATGTTAGTGGATTGGAGAAAATCCTGGAGACAGTAATGGAGCACTCTTAAGTGATACATTTCTAGTGCTCGTGGTGACCCAAGTTGATATTGTGTGGAAAAGCATAGACAGCAGTAACTCTTAGTTGACGTGCAATTTGGTAGAGTTGGATTCTGAATATGTAAGAATTTTTGGGAACACCTTGGCCAATCTATTTTGTTTATATTTTCTTTATGCGTTGAATAACTCAATCAGAGTTCTTTAGATAAGAAGAAAATGAAAATTCCAGTTTCTAAAAATGTGTGAGTCATAGCTTAATTGGCAGAGTGCTATACAACATGATGTTATCTCTTATAATCAGTGTCATGAATCTTATGAAATATGGTTTATCATTTGGCTATGCAATTTTTTGAAATGTACTTTATAATATGTAATGCTTATTTTACACTGTCCATTCTGTGTATCAGTGATTGTTTTTCTATGTATTATTGATTGTTTCCTATAAAAGGATCCTTTTATAGGGAAAATCTATTGAAAATTCTTCATTTCCCATTTTGACTTTCCATTTTGGCCTTGGGAAGATGACTGGATTTTGATAGAGACTCTCAATTAGTCATTGAGAAGACATTCCAGATAGGACATTCCAGAAGTCAAGAGACCTGCCTTTAGCTGGAATATAGCCTGTATGCTGGGGAGTAATGGGAGGTGCATCTAAGTAGGGAGTGTGAGGCCTGATTGTGGAAGGTTTTTGGATATGAGACTAAGGGATATTTGGGGCTTTGCTAGGTAGTGGGGAGTTATTGAAAGTGGTTGAGTAGGGAAGAAGAATATTTTTTCTGGTGATAAGTGTAGGATGAGTTGGAAGAATAGGAATCTGGAGACAGATGGTCTTTAGTTAATGGAGTTATCCAAAATTTTGCAGAAATTGAATGTGATGTTTTTTTCTCTCAATGATTGATATTTTGGCAATTCATTCCATCTTTTTGTGGGAGTATTTAACTGAGGATTAAATACTACTTTTGGATTGTTTAAGGTAGAAAATGAGATATACGAAATATGGGAAGATTTTCCTTATCCTTTCAATGAATGTATCTCAGTTATTTGAGATATTAAAAATAATACATTCTCACTTTAAAATATAGTCTAACAATACAGAAAAACCAAAAAAGGCAATGTCATTATCTACCTTTCTGAATGTATTACGTATCAGAGTGGAATAGGACACACCTGGGTTGGGCTCTCGGCCTTGCTATTTAATAACTATGTGGCATGGTTCTTTTAACTTCCTAGAGCCTGTTTGCTCGTTTATAAAATGGGCATAATGCTTATATCTGAAGGATATGAGGATTAAATGATGTAATACATGCAAACACTGAGCACAGTATCTGGTATATCACAAGTGCTTCATAAATAGCAGTAGCATCATTTTGTACATATACAGACTCATATGTAGATTACATAATATTTTACATGAATAGACTTCTGTCTTAAATACTTCTATGTAACCATTTTTTGTTTGTTTGTTTCGTTTGTTTGTTTTTTGAGAACAGAGTCTCACTCTGTTGCCCAGGCTGGAGTGCAGTGGCACGATATCAGCTCACAGCAACCTCTGCCTCCCGGGTTCAAGTGAGCCTCCCAGGTTCAAGCGAGTCTCCTGCCTCAGCCTCCCAAGTAGCTGGGATTATAGGCAACCGCCACCCTGCCCAGCTATTTTTTTTTTTTTTGAATTTTTAGTAGACATGGGGTTTTACCACGTTGGCAAGGCTGGTCTCGAATGATCCTGACCTCAAATGATCTGCCCGCCTTGGCCTCCCAAAGTGCTGGGATTACAGGTGTGAGCCACCGCACCAGGCCAAATTTTTTTTTTTTTTAAATGTAACAGTATGTCTCGGAGGAGCTTTTTCATGCATGCAAATCTATACCCACATCATTATTTTTAATGGTAAATAAATATTTTCTTTTGGTCTTGTGCAATATTGATAAAGGATCATTACCTTAATGATGGTGTTGATGTGAAGCCTTGTTGTCCAGCCCCTCTGCCTCCTTCTGCTTGCTGCCTACACTTCATGACTCTCTTCTAATATACACATCAGGAGGCTTGTGGTAAAACAGGATATTTAAAAAAATTAAAATCTCTGATGATTATTATGTATATCTCAATGTTGTGTGTGAATATTGAGTTCTAACAAACTAAAACAAGCAAATTTTCACCATAGATTTCCTGACTTTTTTAAATTTAGATTTTAATGTCATCTCTTTATAGAGGGGCGAGCTCATCCAGCAAAGCCTAACCTGAGTTCCTGGGTGCCCATCATTCTCCCATGTGCCTCTTGGCATGCCTCGAGGGACAGCAGATGCAGCAGTCTGGACCTGAACTAGACTCTCCAGAATCAAAATATCCAGGGTCTGGGATAGTTTAGTAGGTGTACGGGGTCACTGGGCTCCCAGAGATGGAAAATATTAAGCTTCCTTTGATCTCTCTCTGAGTTCCCAACCCTTCCTTCGTCCTCAACAACAGAATGGTAACAAATGTCATATTCCATTCACAGATTTTATGCCACCTCGTCAGGGATGTGGGCTGCTCTGTTATGTTATTCACAATCCCATGATTTTGACTGATCTTGGATTTACTTGGAATCCAGTCTTCATTCACCAATTTGGGGAGAATAGCTTTATGATCCTGAAGGTGGTGCTAGCTGGAATGGTGCACCCAGGCTTCTGTGAGATGATGCCATCGGGGCATCTAGAGGTCTCAGGCTGGCCCGGACAGTTGCATATTTCTACGTAATTTTTTCCTAGAGTTACTAACATCCCAGAGATATAGGGAGTTTTGGGTAGTTTCATTACAGAGAATTATTCTTGATGAATTTTGGTGTTTTATACCATTTTGTGCTACTCAGTGACAACTTTTATTAACTTTAGAAGGAATATGCTTACTGGCTAAGTATAAGACTTGGAAAATAGAGATTGACTAGGTTGTCTGCTCAAGAAGTCTGGAAAACTTTTCCTCTGAATTCTTGAAATGAGAGCAGTAATTCATTGGGGGGAGTTATATTGTAGAACAGGGGTCCCCAACCTTTTTAGCACCAAGGACCTCCATTTTGCTTACCTCCTGCTGTGTGGCCCTGTCCTTGGCACAGAGGTTGGGGTTTCATGGAAGACAGTTTTTCCATGGACGGGGGTTGTGGGGGATGGTTTCAGGAAGAAACTGTTCCACTTCACATCATCAGATTCTCAGAAGGAATGCACAACCTAGATCCCTCACGTGTGCGGTTCACATTCTCACATTCTCACTCAAGAATGTGAATCAAATGCCACTTCTGATCTGACAGGAGGCGGAGATCAGGTGGTAATGCTGACTCACCCACCGCTCACCACCACTGTCCTTGGCCCAGTGGTGGGGAATCCTTGTTGCAGAATAAAGAAAATACAAAGAGCTAGAGAAGATACAGATGGAAACATCTGCTAACCTTGAGCTAGGTAACTGTGGGAGGAGTACTCTATTTCTCTAGGCAAGGTTCCCCAGAGTGAACAGATGACGATGCTGCCTACCTCCAGGTTGAAATGAGATCTGTGTTTGAAGACATCTAGAACCAGTCTAATGAGAGTATACACATAGTACATGTTTTCTCATTTCAGTAGTATATGCTGTTGTCCTCTTTGCTTGTTTTTAGGGACATGTCTTAGTAATTGTAAGATCCAAAGATGACCCTCAGGATGAGTGTAGAATTTTGTGACATTCCACCACAAAACCCGTAATCCAAAAGATGGCCCTCTATGAGAATGCAGAATTTTTTGAGTATGAAACTCCAGATAACAGTAGAGGTTTGCAAAGAATGAGACACAGTGGTTATACAACAGAATTACCTGATGAGTTTATTAAAAAGGAATTTTTGGGGACCAATCCACGGATTATCATCTAATAGATCTGCAGTTGGATCCAGACCTCCTTATGTCCCGACAAGTACTTTGGTGAAATCTGATCCAGGTGGTCCCAGGACCACATTTTGAGACACACTGTCTTAACGACTTTTGTCTTAATGACTTTCCAGCTTCTTCACTATTGTCAAATGAGCGTTTAACCTGGAAAGAAGATATAATATAAATAAATAGTACTAAGGTTGAAGAAAATGTTTAGCATAGAGCAAAGAAACCTGGCCTTGGACTCAGAATGCTTGGGTTTCTTTTTTTCTTTCTTTTTTCTTTTTTTTGAGACGGAGTCTCGCTCTGTCACCCAGGCTGGAGTGCAGTGGCGAGATCTCGGCTCACTGCCAGCTCCGCCTCCCAGGTTCATGCCATTCTCCTGCCTCAGACTCCCAAGGAGCTGGGACTACAGGCGCCCGCCACCACGCCTTGCTAATTTTTTGTATTTTAGTGGAGACGGGGTTTCACTGTGTTAGCCAGGCTGGTCTCGATCTCCTGACTTTGCGATCTGCCCATCTCAGCCTCCCAAAGTGCTGGGATTACAGGCGTCAGCCACGGCGCCCGGCCTTGGGTTTCTTTATGGCTGGTCCATAACTTCTGTGGCCCTAGGAAATTATGTAAAATTTAAAAGGTTAAGGAAGTAGGATAAAAGGTTAGTTTTCTTATCTATTAAATAGGGATAATGATAATTATGTAGCATAATGGTCAGAATGGTTGAGTAAGAATCTAAGTGAAAGTACGTAGCTCTTAATATGTCTTCAGTTGGGGTTAATTTTCTTGCTTTGTGATCGGTAATAGAGTAAAATGGCCTTGAAGAAGAGATGCTTCTATGAGTAAATGTGATCCTGCTGGTCAAAATCATACTGAGCTATGTGGGTCTTACAGATACTTTTAAGATATTATGAAGTTCTTCACTTATATATGTGAAACTTGAGATGATTAAAAGCTTTCTTTACAAATGTTGCTATGTTTAGTGACATTCATATCAATGGTAAATGGTCAGACTACATTATAATTTATTAGCATTTTTTCCTATGCTCATATCCGAGAAGGACACACACACTCACATAATCCACATAGGGGGACAACAAAACAAAAGTCACTGTATATCACATTTGAATTGCATCAGTTTCTTAGACTCCGGAGATAAATTCAAGAAGGAACTTCAGTCTTTGGAGCTGTAGTTGCCATTCAGCCTCAAGGTCTTAAGCTTTTCTGACAGCATGGCCGTGTCTTGGCGCAAAGAGGCAGCAAGCCCGACAAATTGTGTAACCATTTTCAGACGTTGGCTTTTTTCCCCCTCATTGAACCTCCCCCAGTTGTCATCAAAAATTGCGATTTTGGAGTTACCTCTGAGAGGGTTTTCACATTAAGACAAGACATGTGAAAAGATCTTTGACAAAGGGTGAATATACATATATTAATAAATTAAATTTCATTTCTTTTTTTTTGCCCAGTGTCCAGTAAAATGTTCCTCTAAAACATTTAATGGCTTTATTGACTTACCATCATACCTCTTATTTCTCCATGCTCTTATTTAAGAGTTGGATTCCAGCTTGATCTCCTTGTCTGAGTCTTCTCCTGACTAGAACTGTAAAGCATTTTATTCGGTCATATTAGAGTGTGTAAGGGCCTTCGTGCTGCTCAGATCAAGGACAATCCCCTAGGCGCCTTATCTCAGTGAATGCTTTATTGACCCCCAAGATGAATCCAGGTCTTCTCTACTCAAACCAGCTTCTGAATGATCTCTTCTCCAAATATTCTAGTTCAAGCATCTCCCAGCATAAAGAACCAAGCAAAATTAAACCAACCCATCTTTTGACCTGGTTTCCTCCTTAAGCTTACTGCCAGTGTTTCTTCCCAGCTGCTTGGTTGTCAAACGCATGTCTTTGAAATTAAGATTTGTCCAGGCAGGATACTCATTTGGCACCAGTGATAGTTAAAAGACTCATCAAAGTACTGAGATACACACTGAAAGTGAAAAGACGAGACTGATGGCATGTGCCAAAATGTGACTCTTTGAGCCTTTGTAAAGTTTTGTTCCTTTCTCTGTTCTTTTATCTGTTTGTTTTTTCCACAAATACTTACGGAATGCTTGTTATGAACCTGGCACCGTGCTCAGTGCTGGGGTTACAGTGGTGAACAATCAGGTTTTACTCCCCTGGAAACTGTATTTTAAACAAGGGGATGAGTAGTAAACAAGATTTCAAATACCAGTGAACACTGAGCATAATCAGAGCCCAGAGACTTGGCATGTGGAATGCTCCTGTAGATACTATCATTTAGGGGATGTTTAACATTTTACCAAGTCTTTCTTTTTGTTTGCACCCCTTCTCTGCAAGTGTGGTGTCAATTCTAGATTGTAAGTGGAACCAGGCAGGGACCATGTCTAATCATCTTTGTGTCTTTGAGCCTGGTACAGTGCCTCACACACGGCAGGCCCTAGTTAACTGCTAAACAGATAGTTCTTACTCTTACCACTCTTTTTTCTTGTACCTTGCCTTTCCTTGTAATAGTGTTTTGACTTAAAATACACATTCTCTTCTTTCTTTTCTAAGCTCAGTTTCTTCTACTGCTCCACTGACATGTGGACTCACCTCAAGCTAATGAAGCTGAAACTTCAGGACTTCTTCCTTACAGAATCATGTTCCAAAGTTTGCACCAAAGTTTGACTTTTATAACCTTTTTCTTTCTTCCTTTTTTTTTTTTTTTTTTTTTGAGACAGGGTCTTGTTCTGTTGTATAGGCTGGAGTGCAGTGGCGGCATGATCTTGGCTCACCGCAACCTCTACCTCCACCTCCCAGGTTCAAGTGATTCTCGTGCCTCAGCCTCCTGAGTAGCTGGGATTACAGGCATGCACCACCACACCTGGCTAATTTTTGTATTTTTAGTAGAGACAGGGTTTTACCATGTTGGCCAGGCTGGTCTTGAACTCCTGGCCTCAAGTGATCTGCCCACCTCATCCTCCCAAAATGCTGGGATCCCAGGTGTGAACCACTGTGCCCAACCTATAGTCTTTTTTCTTAAAGGTTTCCCAATTGCAAGAGCTTTGGCACTTAAAAAACCTGGATCTATCTCTGATCCTAACCCATGTTAAACTGCCCCTTTTCTGAATTTTGACTGCAATTCTGGCTAACCAAAATCCAGAATTTGGCTGTGACAACTCCTCCTCTTTTGAAGTATCTCATGGTCACACATGAGAAACACATCCAAAGGCTTGAATTTGTGATTTGACTAAAACACATCAGTGAACCTCTCAGAAACATACACTCATCTACAAATGTGCAGAACAGCCATCTCTTCTTTTTTCAGAACTATTGTGAAGATCAAATGGTGTAATTGATGTGAAAGCACTTTTCAAACTGTAAGATGCATGAGAAAATAATGGACACTGTTGTCAGGGAGTAGAGCTGGAAAGCATTCAGGGGAAGGAATGTCTGATTTCCTTAATGCTCTGCTCTGCAGCCTGTGCCTCCGTCCGTCTGCCTAACAGTGGAGTATATCTTGAGTACATACATATTTCCAGCACTACCCAGGCACCCAGCAAAATGAATGTCACCGCCCATTTTTGCGGGGCTTCCTGTCACCCTGAGCACAGACATAATTAATTGTTGCCTCCCAAGTGCTGTGATGGGGAATTGGGGCATGAAAGGCACACAAAGGAAGCTCACCTACCAGCTGTGGGTGTGTGGCTTTGGACGGAGAGGGAGTGGTGTCCAACCTGAGACCTAAAGATGACCAGGAGCCATGCGGTGGAGAAGGGGGAGAGCTGGATAGAGTCTGGAGTCGGCTGGACAGGAGGGTGTCGGAGGTGACTGACCAGCGTGTACAGAGGCCAGGAGGAAAGAGGGAGACATTCGTGTGGCTGACGAGTAAGATGGGCTCCGAGGGCAGTGGGAGAGATGAGTCTTAGGGGCAGCTGGGGTCAGAGTTCAGGGCCCTGTGCACCATGTCATCCTGAGGGTGAGGCAGAGCCAGTGAGGGGTGTTACCTTGTTGGAAGACGTGGTCAGATGTACTTTTAATATGGCTTTTTTAGTAATCTAGGGAGTTTACTTTTTTGAAGGACAATATATCATTATGGTAAAAATGAGTGTTTTTTGAAGGAATACATGAATGACTCAGTGAACTCCTTAACAGTTTCTGGCACCATAGCAGTCTAGCTTTATGCTTATAGGACACATGTTTAAACTTAGAAACTTCACTTTTTTTCTATAAAATAAAAGTCACAGTTAATATCACAATATATCAATCTATACAGCAACCCCAAATATAAGTACTTTGCACATAAGTACCCAATAAATGGTGCTAATGTTACTATCCAGGGAAGAATTGAGGATGATCTGAACTAAGGAAGTGGTAGAAGAGATGGAGAAAAATGAATACTTTGAAAAATGTTTAGGAGGTAGAATTTTGAGACTTAGTGACATGTTGGGTATGGTGGGAGGTGAGGGAGAGGGGAATGGCCCCACTTGCTGTTCCCTGAGATACACACACACACACACACACACACACACACACATATATGAGTTGATGGTGGGGTTGGTGATGGCATGGTCAGGAGTTTGTCCTGAAGTTCCTGTGGGACATTTCAGAACCCATGTCTAGTAGCCTTCATGTATCAGCCAGCAAGCCAGAGAGGTCCAGCTCAAAGATCAAGACTCAGAATCCTCCAGATAGGAAGGTAATGAAAGCCATAGAAGCTGAGGTCACTAGAGAGAGGGCAGAGTAAAGAGAATCTGCAAGGGAGAAGTAGAAGAGGAAAAGGTCTATGGAGCTGGGGCAATGTGATTTGGAAAGAGGTAGTGTTCACTGTGGTTCTTGAACATTTAAATGACACGAGAGCTGCAATGCTCCCTTTGCATTTAGCCACGCTGATGTTGGTGAGTTCGCCATGAGGAGCTTGGAGGAGGAGTACCAGTTTTCCAAGCTTGTGCACTGATTCTTTCACCTCTGCTTCCCTTTCATCTTCAACCCCCTGTGTTCTGAGGGTGGAAGCCAGGCTGCAGTGGGCTAGGGCTGAGAGGAGGGCGGTGCGCACAGAGGGGGGACCTGGTGCTCAGGAAGAAACCAAAGCACAGATGTCTTTGCCACTGTAGGTTAGGTAAGATATATATATATATATGTATGTATTTGATGTAATTTTTATCCACCGTGTTTTATTTTTTAAAGAAGTATATTGAGAGGCAAAGGTGACATTGTTGGAAATGTTTACCTCCTATGTAGCTGAGGGGCTGTATTTAAAATTGTGACAGGCAGCTCAGCTTAAAGCACTAAACATAGATTTGCAGTATTTTCTTTTATGCAGCCCTTTTCTGTAGATCATAAAAGGCTCTAATGTGTCGTTTCGGAGCAGTGCCAGGGCAGTGATGACAGCTGTTTAATTCCCTTAATATGCTCTCTTTCTTCTCATGATCATGGAAATGATTCCACCAGTGGTAGCATATTCTTGATCACAGATGAGCAGAAATAGTGCAGCTGTATTGACCATTACTCAAAGGTAAGCAGTAAGCTTCAGTTCAATCCAATGGTTAATTAAGAAACTAGAGGATGGGCCAGGTGCGGTAGCTCATGTCTGTAATCCCAGCACTTTGGGAAGCCAAGGCGGGTGGATCACTTGAGGTCAGGAGTTCAAGACCAGCCTGGCCAACATGGTGAAACCCCATCTCTACTAAAAATACAAAAATTAGCCAGACGTGATGGTGGGTACCTGTAATCCCAGCTACTTGGGAGGCTGAGGCATGGGAATCACTTGAGCCTGGGAGGCCTAGGCTGCGGTGGGCTGAGATCACACCACTCTACTCCAGCCTGGGTGACAGAGTGAGACTGTCTCAAAACAAAAAACAAAGAAAAGAAGCTAGTGGATGCAGGAATGGGGTTGAAAATTATTTTACAAAAATATTATGAAATATTTCTGATACACAAAAGGGTTGATTGAAAAGATGATGACCTATATACACAGCCTGCACAAAATGTGACCCCAGCTGGGCTCAGGGTCTGTAATCCCAGCACTTTGGGAGGCCAAGGCAGGAGGATCACTTGAGCTCAGGAGTTTGAGACCAGCTTGAGCAAAATAGTGAGACCCCACCTCTACAAAAATTTTTTAAAAAAATTAGCCAGGCGTGGTGGTGTGTGCCTGTAGTTCCAGCTACTACTGGGGAGGCTGAGGTGGGAGGATTCCTTGAGCCTGGGAAGTCAAGGCTGCAGTGAGCTATGATTGCACCACTGCACTCCACGCTTGGGTGACAGAGCAAGATCCTGTCTCAAATAAATAAAATAAAAACAACCCTAAATTGCTAAATCCCCTGCATTCTCTGCATGTGCACCTCTCTCCCTCTTAGAAGAGGCGACTCTTCTGGATTTGTGTTTCTCATAACCATACGTGTCTTTCTTCCTTCCCACATCACTATTTCTAGCATTACTAAACTATTTGTGGTATTGTTTTTAATGTTTATATTTTTTAAAATAGTATACTGTGCACATCCTTCTGTAGCTTTTTGTTGTTGTCTAACAGTCAGATTGAGATCCGTGTATGTTGATATCTGTAGTATTCTATGGTGTGTTTCTTATTAGTTGAAGACTGGACGCTTTATGCAAGGTTTGTGGCTTCCTCACTGAACCTTGAACTGAGTCATGCTTCTCCCTTCTCCCTCAGAGGCATTGGACTTGCCGAGCCCTCGGCCTGGAACATTCTTCCTCTGCGTTTTCACAGCTGGCTCCCATGCCTTTCTTCATCCTTTGCCGCTTAGTGTAGCCTTGCACAGACCTCCTCCCAACCCCCACAACATCCTACAAAACCTGCTCCTCTTCCCTGATTACTTTTCTTCATATCACTACACATTTTATGTTTTCGTGTTTCTCCCTCAACCAGAATATCAGCTTCATGGCAACAGGATTTTTATCCATTTTGTTCACTGCCATAGACCCAACTTTTAGAACACTGCTCAGCACTTCTGTAGGTGCTCAGTAAATCCTCAAATGAAAGAGTCGTTTAAAATATAATGTGAAAAAATCCCACGAATTTATGAGGGAAAATTGCAGCTCAGTCTTTAACATTTTATTTAGCAGGTATGGTTTTATTAAGATTGATTTAACTTTAAATTGTAAATATAACTTCAAAATGTGAGACTCCGTGATGAGAAGAGCTTGCCTGTGCTGACTGCAGGAGCTTCTTGGGATACGAGAGAATCAGTGTGTGCTGGACTAAGACCTTACCCCACCGAGCAATGAGAGTCATGCTGCTCAGGGTGATGGTTGTGTTTTGGTCATTTTCAATTAACTTGGACTTGGGATTCTTTATGCTTTTTGGGATAATTTCTCCCCCTTAAGAATGAACACTTCCACGTTGTTAATACTTTCCCTGATATACCATCTGGCCTGCCCCTTTGTTCCCTTTCAATTTTAGCACAGTCTAAGGTAAACAGTTTTTTTTTTTTTTTTAACCAATGAATATTCTATTGTCTTGTAATTTGGAAAATAATTCGTACTCCTCTCATTTTCACTGTCTCTATTCAGTGCTGGGAAAATCAAAGTGCAGTTGGTTTTTAATTCTGAGCTCTTCAGTTAAGCACCAAGTAGATAAGCGAGAGTTTGATTAGGTGTGCATGCTAATTAAAGAAACACGAATGATAATTTTTCATTTGGACCACTGTAGGAAATTATTCTGAAGTATAAAGATAGATATTGGTGGTTTTCTATTGGCAACATCATTTATAACTTAGTTTTGAAGAATTTCTCATTCACAAGAAAGCTTCCATTGCTGGCTTATTTCTATTTTTTTAATTGAAAATTGAATTTTTCTCCAGTCAGAGAATCTGTATGCATTTTGGTAGGGCAGAGATCTGGGGAGAATCTGTCTACATGTTAGGAGGGCAGAGATTTTTCTTTAGCTCCAGGTACTCAGTAGGTATTGGTGAAATCGAATGGTCTCTCTTCATTTTTAAATTTATATTCAGTTACAGTCCTTTCTTCCTGATGTCAGTGGAAACTTGTTCTTGGAGGAGGCACTCGGATCAGTGCAATGATTTGAATGTGTCTCGTTGATAAAGGGAAGTTGATTGAGTGGTAAAGAAGATGTCAACTTAGATATTTTCTAATAAGTGAAGGTGTGGGGACATCTGGACCCTCCATCATCATTTCTTGTGAACTACCTCAGTGATGATCCACGTGAATTAAGTTTGACCAAGAAATACAGGCGCTTCTCCTCTTTGGCTCCATCTGTATTTGATTTCACTGATTTTAGGATGTCTGATAATAACTGTTCTCAATTGGATGTTATTACTCTTTAGCATGGACAGTCAGGATTATGTCTCAGGCCTGGAACAGCAAATTGGATGTTTTGAAGCTCTTTTTAAAGAGTCTCTAATGACATAGATAATTGTTTTTATGGTTTTCTGTAAAATGGAATTGCCTGATAGAGCTGTCTCGTTTCTTGGTGGCCTTTTATCTGATACTGCAAAGAGACTGAGGTGGCAAATTTCTCAGTAGAAATACCAGCATCATTACCATCCTTATAAGCACTAAATTTGCATTGGTTGTTTCTCCAATAGAAGACATCTTCTCAGATGGAAGTACAAGGGTTCCTGCAATTATTTTTATGCATCTGCCTGATAAAACAAGTTGTTTGAATGGTGGAGAAGAATATCTCAATATCAATTTAGATATTCACTAACAATGGAAAGAGAATGCATTCTCTAATATCATTTTCTTCATAACTCCAAGTTCTGAGAAGATATTTGTTAATTCTCATTTCATATATTACATAATAACTATGCATATGTATTATAATATGTCTATAATAATCATATGTGTTATAATCATTGTGGAAGTTTTAGATCAGATTTGGGATATGCAGTGTTATCATTATAAATTTATATAATCTCTACATATAATCCCAGCTCAGTAACTTACTAATATTGCAGCCATAGGCAAGTTCTTTAGTATCACTTAATGTCAGTGTCATCCCCTGTAAAGTGTGCATAGTAATACTAGCCTCATTGGATTTATGTGATGTTTATGTGCATATTAGTGCATATAGAAAATGGGAATTGTAGGAAAGCTGGCCTCATTGTGTTACTGTGTGTTATTAATATTACTATTCTTTGTAGAGTTTGTTTCAAAATCCCAGTGCTGGCGTCTGTGAGCGCTTTCCTAGGGCCATGGCACGCCTCTTGGATAACTCCTGGTTGCTTTGGCTGTCTGGGCACCACACTGACCAGCTCAGAGCGGGTGGCTGCTGGGCTGTCAGGGGCCTGCTCTACTTGGGTCCAGCTTGGAGCAAATGTAAGAAAGGTCATCAGGGATCAGGGTAGAGGGGACTTTTGTCACTTAGCTTCTCTCACTTTTGCCTGTCGTTTTAGATTGAATAAATTGAAATATGGCATGTCTGTGTTAAAACTGGGTTTTCTGCCACGAATGAATGATTAGAAATGAAGAACTGAAATAAGTTCAATCAAGAGGTTTGAGCTCACAGTGGGAGCTTTTATTGTGTGCATCTTTCATTTCAGACCAGCCCCTCCCCCACTTGCTTTGGAGAACTGCTCCTCACTCCTTTGTGGGGATGACTTGGGGCTGTCAACACAAGGAGCCATCTGTTCCCTGGCTAAATGATAGGCAGGTGACCCAGACCTGGCCAGTGCACTGCTGCATTCCCTTTTGCATGTGATCCACGCTAGCTCCACACATTCTCCACTAGAAACATTCCCCATGGATGGAGAAAAGGTGGCCCTAACTTTTTGAGTGGTTAAGATAGAAGAATTTGGCCTTCTTGCTTGGCCCGGAGAGCAAGATGCCAAGAAGAGAGATTGAATTACGTTTTAGCGAAGTGGAATCCCTTGAGATCTCTGGCACAGCCTTATTTCCTGCAGATGACCAATGGAAATGGCCAAAAGGATTTTCTGTTTATATTATAGTAGGAAAGCAACTGTTAGCTGTGTACTATAGTAGTTAAGAGTCCAGACCAGGTGCAATGGCTCACGCCTGTAATCCCAGCACTTTGGGAGGCCGAGATGGGTGGATCATTTGAGGTCAGGAGTTCGAGACCAGCCTGGCCAACATGGTGAAACCCTGTCTCTACTAAAAATACAAAAAATTAGCCAGGCGTGGTGGCAGGTGCCTGTAATCCCAGCTACTTGGGAGGCTGCGGCGGGAGACTTGGTTAAACCCGGGAGGCGGAGGTTGCAGGAAGCCGAGATTGCGCCGCTGCACTCCAGCCTGGACAACAGAGTGAAACTCCATCTCAGGAAAACAAAAAACAAAAAACAACAACAACAAAAAAAAAAATGAAAAGAGTCCGGCCAGTTACTCTGTATGACCAGAGAAAAGTTAAATAACATCTCTGTGCCTCTATTTATTCAGTTGGGAATAATAATAGTACCCACGTCAAAGGTTTGTTGTGAGAATTAAATGAATTATTATTTGTAGGGCACCCCTAACACACACATATATACACACACATATATATGTATATATAAACACATACATAGAAATATTCATAGAAATCATATATATATAGTCATTTAAATATCTACTTGTAGAGCATTATATATAGAGATCTATTACTTTTGGAATTTTTTTTTAAAAAAGGTTTTTAAAACAAGTAGAAAGGACATGATCTTGGACAGTTCTCAAAAACAAGTGTATACCAGTAGGTGTTAATTTTTTTTTTAAACAGAGTTTTACTCTTATTGCCCAGGCTGGAGTGCAGTGGTGCAATCTCGGTTCACCACATCCTCCGTCTCTATGGTTCAAGTGATTCTCCTGCCTCAGCCTCCCAGGTAGCTGGGATTACAGGTATGTGCCACCATGCCTGGCTAATTTTGTATTTTTAGTAGAGATGGGGTTTCTCCATGTTGATCACTCCTGACCTCAGGTGATCCGCCCGCTTTGGTTTCCCAAAGTCCTGGGATAACAGGCGTGAGCCACCATACCAGACCAATAGATATTAAAATTTTTTAAGTTGGGTATATTTTAAAACTTCAAATGAGGAAAAATTAAATTTTATTTTTCAACAAGATTGTATGTAAATTTTTATATCAGATTTATAGTATTAATGTTTCTAATTTGGAGTGTTGGTTTATTGTTTCAATTGACAGAAGCCCAATTTAAGCTAGTTTGAAGAAGAAAAGAAACAAAGGAAGACTTGGGGAAACAAAAGAATTGGAAGGGGCCCACTCTTGAAAAGCTTCTATTCAGAAACCATTATGGATGATTTGAGTAGCCATGTCTAGCATCATTTGATGTTCAATAATTCTGTCCTACCAATCTGTGAAATCTGGAAATCACTGTTTTCAGGGACTTTGTGGCCCTTGTGTGATGCTTACTGCATGTATGTCTGTTCTAATGGGAGATTTTAATGGGAATTAGTCATTTTGCATATCCCTGTTTGCTAAACTTGTGATGCGTTTGATACTAGGTCCTTGAATTATTTTCATTGCTAAAATATTTTTTATGTACTCTCTACATATAATACCAGCTCAGTCACTTTTAACTAGTATTGCAGCCATGTTGCAAAAAAAAAATTTTAGCAATAAAAGTAATATCATTTTCCGTTTATTCACTTATTCATCAAATATTTCTTGAGCACCTATCATATGCCAGGCACTTTTCTACCTAGCAGTAAGCTGCATTGTAGTACAATTAAAAACTTGTCTGTTATTTTGTATCTGTTGCTTTGGTTTATCATTTTTCATTGTTTAAGATTTGCCCTCAACCAGAATGGCTTCCAAGAGCAACTTCAGTTATTCATTTTTTTCAACTCCTTAAATGTAGACATTGGTCAAAAACATTCAGTGTGTTCTCTGAAGGCTTTCAACTCTCATGAAATTTTATGGCATGAAGACTAATGCCTGTATTTGTATATTTTTAAGCTGAGTAGAAAAAGATGAAATTTCTACAGGCTGTAAGAGATACTCTATTGGGATGCCTTATATGACAAATAACATTTTTCATTTAGATCACAATTTATTCTATAGATACAGATTGACTTTATTATGATGACTATCATGGAAGTTTAAAAATAGATTTGGCGGCCAGGCTTAGCGGCTCACATCTGTAATCCCAGTACTTTGGGAGGCCGAGACAGGCAGATCACTTGAGGTCAGGAGCTTGAGACCAGCCTGGCCAGCATGGTGAAACTCCATCTCTACTAAAAATACAAAACAAACAAACAAACAAAAAAATTTAGCTGAGCATGGTGGCGGGTGCCTGTAATCCCAGCTACTCGGGAGGCTGAGGCAGAAGAATTGCTTGAACCTGGGAGGCGGAGGTTGCAGTGAACCGAGATTGCATCACTGCACTCCAACCTGGGCAACAGAGTGAGACTCCAGCTCTAAAAAATAAATAAATAAATAAATAAATAACGATTTGGCATTGGAAGAAAATACATGTCTGTTCTAAAGATAACCCTTTTGCTTGTTGTAAACATCGTTTTGAGGTGTGTTGATAGTTTTTAATTGCATTATTGCTACAAGTTAAAATTTTAACTGTATAATTAAGGTTTTTATTATGGCTAGTGTTGAGATTATCAATATTTTATGACCAAGTGAATTTCAATAATATTTCAAGTGCCCACTGAGTTAGTCATTTTACATTTATTCACTTATTCATCAAATGTTTCTTGAACACCTATTATATGCCAGGCACTTTTCTATCTAGCAGTGAGCAAAAATCCCAGAAAATCCCTGCCCATGTAGAACTTATATTCTAGTGGGATCTTTTGTTATCTCTAAGCCTGTAACATCTGTGTTAGGTAGATATTGTCTCCTCAGTTTATAGAGGAGGGAACTAAAGTTTGAGGAGTTAAATGATTTGTCCAACAACATATGGAGAGTAAATGCAGGTTGGAATTTGAACCTGAGACTGTCTCATTCCAAAGCCATTTTGTCAATACAAATACTGTACTCATTCTAAATTTCAAGCATTTCTTATGATATCCTCACTGTTTAGCCAGCCATGCTCATCGTGGTGCTGTTTCTTTAATAAATGATTGAGTATCAGTGACACACGTGACCCTGACAAATTCCTGGCATTTGGTACTAAGCTAGATAATGTTGGGGGTTAACTTGATGAGCTGAATGTTAGCCTACTCTGGACCTGAACTGTAATCTTCCAGTGGACATTACTAGGCATGCGCCATTCACCCAAGAAAAACTGAAGTGAATCCTAGATAGGATCCTTTTTTTGTGTGTGCTCAGGTGAGTGCCTTAATGACGTATATTCAGAGTTAGCTAACAATGTAGATAAAATGCTTACAAAGCAAATCATTGTCATGTAGTTTCTATACCAGACTAGTTATTGAAAATGCTTCTGTTTGAATAATAAAATGGGACTGTGGCTTACAGATGGTTCTCTGTGTAGTTAAAATCCTGAAGCATTTAGGAACCATTTTATGCATTGTTTTGACCAGGGACAAGGATTTCAGTTAATATTGATAATTATTCATAATATTTTATCTTCTGCCTAAGGAGTGGTGTGTGGGTTATGGAGCACATCTCTTTCTGCGTTTGTTTTTTATGCCACCTATACTGAGTTTATGTTTTGGCAAATATTTACTCAGAAGGCAAATTATGCATTCTTAAAGGTTTCTTGTATTAAAACTGAAAGGCCCTTTGGAAGTTATCTTATTCAGTGCTTCCATTTACAAGTAATAAAATGGAAGTTCAGGGTGACCAGAGGCCTGCCTAAGGCCATGGGCCTTGTGGGTGGGAGTTGAGGTCTCCCTGGCAGTGCCTCTGTTCTGCTGATTTAATGATCCCCTCATGATAGCAGGAGTTTATGACATGTTTTAATTTTTTTGTGGTTGCCCCTTTTTATTTTTATGTTTTGTTTTCATTGTCTGCCTTTTGTAAGTCCTGAATAGAAGCCCTAGCCTCATCCTTTTTTTTTTTTTTTTTTATTTTGGGAAAGTAGGGGAGGCGAGCATGGGTGATACAACTTGGAAGGAAAAAGACCAAAATTAATTAGTGCAGCATTTTCTATTTGTGTTCTCCCAAATAATAGATTGTTACTAAGAGTGTTACTCTGTGTAACATAGTGAAAAGCTGGTTCAAGGTTTTGCTACTTGTTTTATTATTAGATCCTCATATGGAAAATATATTATTATACTTTGTTATTTTCTAGCCAGAACATTTTAAATCACAGGGGAGGTGCTTAACTACCCTAGCTCTGGTCCCTTCTCTAAAATGAAGCAGGCAGCTTGATTGTCTCTTCTAGATTAATACACTATGACTCAGAAACATGTCCAACTTATACAGCTCAGAAATAAATCTGGTGACCTAGTTTATTTGGCCTTGATTATTTTCTCCTTGATTTGAAGCATATTTCTTTTTGGGGCATCTCTCATTTGACATCTTTGAAACTCGAAATTGTTGTCGATTACTGTATATTGCTTTTATTACGAAGTCCCTGGAAGTGTAGCAGAGAACCATGGACAAGCTCCTTGGGTTGCGTCAAAAAGCAAAACAGTTCCATTCCTGAGAATCAGTTGCTGCTTTAATGCCTGCAGACATTTTAGGTTTGAGTTGTCCTAGCCAACATTTGTACAGTGCTGTGCAGATAAGGATATTCGTCATTCTAGTGATTTCCTTGAAAACTGAACAGTGTAAATCTGTGGGATAACTACTAGAGGAAAAGTTATCAGTAACTACTCAGCTAAATCCGCAAATGTAGGAAAGAGAAATATATCCTTTCTAAGGAAAAACAAAGACTGTCCTGCACGCTGGGTGGATCAGTGATTATGTAGCGGTTGAAAGCAAGATTTGTCCCGGTCCCCTCTGGCAGAGGCTCTGTAGTCACTCGGTGAGAAAATGCCAGAAGAGGCATCCCTCCACATGTAGCTCTGCAGTGCCCCTTAGGGACTCCTGGGCTGGGGTACACAGCCAATGGATTTGCATCCTCTTTTGAAAAAGGAGTTCAGCAGTTTGAAAGGCACCAACTTCTGCTCTAAACAGATCTTTGGCACTTGACTGGTTGTGGTAGAGTGATTCTTGGGTCTTGGTGATAACTGAGTGACTATTTTCTTTGAGAATTTTGGACAAGGAGAAAAATAGGAAGCAATCCGGATAGACTGGGGAGTAACTGAGGTCCAAGATGTGTAGAGGGACAGCACTGAAGGACAAGGAGTATAGTCGCGATGGGTTTCCCATACTCTCCTGTAAGATTAGCAGTTTGACAGCCTTCCTGAGCACACGCAGGGGCGTCTTCTCTGTACCCATGAACAGGGATACATGCAGTACCCGGCAACAAGGACAGTTTTTGCTACAAGTGTGATGCACGCCTTCACAAAAAACAGCTATTGAAGATTTGTTGTTGTTTCACTCGTCGTTTTCTTCTCCTGAAAGCTTAGGATGAGTCATTTTCCCTGCAGTTTTTCTGTCTTATCAGTCCTGTAATTTCATCATAATAATTCACCCTGGGATGTCACTTGACACACGATCTGAGATGACGTCTTTGCCGAGCAGATTGACTGTTAATTTGCCAAACAGACGGATTCAGACACTTTTTAGTGAGCTCCTGTTTACTCCTGTTACGTTTGAGAGATTTGTATCAAAAGAAAAAGCCCAAATCTTTTAATTTGCGTACTCCTTTTTATCTGCAAATACTTGTCCATGTAAAAGGATGTTCATTGCGGTCCCATTCTTAAGCAGCGAGAGTCTGGGGGCCCTGTGTGCCTGTCAGGAGGGGACTGACCTCACCAATCTCTACATCCCACGGTGGACACCCAGTCCTGTGCTGAATACAAGGAGGTCATTTTAGCCATCTAGTAAACTGTTAAGAAATAGTATAAAATACATTATTCTTTCATTTGTTTATTCAACAAAGACTTTCTGATTGCCTGTGGTTAAGTCCCAGGCATTCTTCTAGGACTGAAGATGGAAGAGAAGCAAGCAGATACAAACCCCTGCTGTTCTGGAGCTTCTATTGCACAGGCGAGAAACAGAAAATAATCAAGACGTGAATACAGCACAGAGGAGATCAGACAGGAGTTATGGGGCAGAATGAAGTGGGGCAAGGATCAGGAAGGGTGAGAGGATTTTAGGGAGTAGTTAGGGCAAGCTTTGGAGAGAGGTGCATTTGAACACTGTCCTGAAGGGCGTGTGAGGGAGTACACGGGGTGGGAGGTGGGTGGCGGTCTGAGGAAGAATATTACAGTGCGAGGCTCTAGGGTGGGAGTGGCAGGGAAGCCAGTGTGGTTGGAGCAGAGAGAGGGAGGGTTGGAGGTGGCGAGGATCCAGAAGAAACGGGGCCATGGGTGGCAGGGCCGTGTGGACCCTTGAAAGGCCATGGTCTCCCTGAGGGGGCCTGATGTGTGCATCCCCTGACCTGACCTTAAATTAAGAGAGGAGCTCTATAGGATGAGTAAGGAATAAATAGACCTTGTGGGGATGGAGAGAGGAGACGGAGCAGGGAGACCCCTTAGGAGCCCATTATGTCATCTAGCTAAGGGATGCTGGTGACAATATCTAGAGCCAGGACGCCAGTTAAGCTCTTCAAAGACTGAGCATAGGTATAGAAGAGTTCCAAGGACCAAGCCCTGTGGTCCTCCAGTGTCCACAGACCAGAGTGGTGGTCAGTGGGGGAGGAGGAAAGCCAGGAGCTGGTGCTGGAATCCTAAGGGAGAAAAGCGTCTGGTGGTGGCGGGGAGGGAGGGATGACCCGGCCACATGCTGCTGATGGGAAAACATCAAGTGGAACTCTGTGGATAAGATGCTTCCTGGCCAGGTGCAGTGGCTCACACCTATAATCTCAACACTTTGGGAGGTCGAGGGAGGAAGATTGCTTGAGGTCAGGAGTTCGAGACTAGCCTGGCCAACGTGGTGAAACCCTGTCTCTACTATAAATACAAAAAGGTTAGCCAGGTGCACTGGTTCATGCCTGTAGTCCCAGCTACTCGGAAAGCTGAGGTGGAGAATCGCTTGAACCTGGAAGGCAGAGGTTGCCGTGAGCCAAGATCATGCCACTGCATTCCAGCCTGGGTAACAGAGTGAGACTCCATCTCAAAAAGAAAAAAACATAATAAATGTCCTTTTTATTTATTTTTTAAGGGGAGGGGTTGTATACATATTTGTGCTGGAATATGATTAGAACATTTCTGGGGAGATACCCAGAAAACTTGACATTGTTTCTTCTGTGGAGGTGTCCTGGGGCAGGCTCCAGGAACGTAAGCGGGAGACCTTTTCAGTCTAACAATCAGAATTAACTTTAATGGGACCCTTCTGATCCCTCACCCTGTCAGACTCTCAGGTTTGCGGTTGCTGCATCCTCTGATTTGTTCATTCATCCATTGACAAATATTGAGTGCCTCCTATGTGCCAGAGACTGCTTGAAACGTTCAGTGATAGACGCATGAACAGAACCGACAAGACGATGTTGCTCTGCCCTCAGAGCAGCACCTAGTCCTCCTCCCTGACAGCTAATCCCTGCTGGGTTTAGGAAGAACATTCACATGCATCTGTGAGACTCGACTAAGATATTGTTGACTTGCAATCTGGCTTAAGACTTTATAGACAATCTTTGAAACTTAACTGTGATTTATAATACAATTTCTGTGGAAAATGGAATTTTTGGCATGCAACCATTTTACAAGTAATGTTTTGGAATATAATTAACTGGCAAATTGAGGCCTTTCCATACTCTGGTTTTAACTGTTCTGATCAGCAGATTTTGTGTGCAGTTATCAACTGTTAGTGATCTCTGCTAATACAAATATATAGTGGGCTAAATGTATATATTTTAACTGCTGGGTTAAAAAAACCAAGTCTGTCTTGTTAATTATTTTGCTTAGGCCAATCCTGCAATGAATTTACATTCCCTGTATTCATACCAGCTGATATCCACGACAGTCATATAGCTGTGGCTGTGGAAAAAGGAAATGCTGGAAGTTCACAGTGGTTAACATTTTTGCCTTCAGCGGACGTGATAGTGTTACAAACACTGTCCATTAAAGATGGTTTTAAAGCCCCTTTTTCTACTGGAAGGAACAGACTTCAGCTTACTGGGAAATTCACTTGGAGAACAACTGATAATGTCAGGAACCAGTATGAGTATTACTCTCTCCTTAACCATTTGGTTTCTGGGTTAAGAAATCCTCTCACTGGGAAATAGCACGTAAGGAGAACAAGAATCCCTATAATCGAGATAAATAATGAGCGTCCCCTTGCTTTTGTCTAAGCTGGGCATTTTTAAATCCTGCCAATTAGATGAGCCCTTGGAAAGTTCCTAGTAATGGCCAGGTGTCAACCACCCAGGAGGAGCACATCCGTAGTGGAAATGAGGTGTGAGTTTCGGGAGTATCTGCCCCTGGACTTGGGGCTCTGGATGTGGTGCTTGGATCAAGGGCATCTGCGGCACCTGGGCTTTTGTTGGTAAAACTATCTTTCTACCCTAAGGACTCCACATCGGCTATCAGCTGTTAGCATGTCTAACTTTCTATGGGCACTTACTTGCGTTTGGTTCATTATATTAGCAGCTTTTATAGTCAGGGAAATGATGACTTCCTGAGGTTGAGTGAGGAGGATCTGTGTGCACAGGCTTCCCTCTCCCATTGCAGCAGGTCCTCCTCTATTGAGAAAAACCTATTTCTGTGCATTTGCTTCCTGTGAACACCTAGGCTGGAATGAGAGGGGTGGTGGATAGTGCTCTGTGTTTTGAAAATGTTTTCATTTTCTAAAAATCAGACTTCATTTTGTTTTAAAGAGTTACTCCAATTTAAAGCTTGCTGCTTCCTCTTATTTTTTGACTTACAACTGTGTTTCACTTTCACGCTATCTTTTCTGGCATTGTTGACCTTAAGGATTTTGAGACAGGAGGGGGAGATTTTTGCCTGTTCTTTCTTACTTCCTTTTTGCTGTGCTATTTCAGTTAATCCTGGTGATGGTGCCTGGGAAGAAGAATTATGTAAAAGACCAAGAGAGTTGTTGTAACTGGTTCAATACTGATGTTCTCTGCAATTCTGAATCAGGAAGTTTCTAGTATTGCTTTCTACTTCCCTGTTTTTTATGCTTAGACTCAATTCCTTTCCCATATGACTGATGCAGAGTTCATTTCAAAGCAAACCTTACTTGTGGAACAGACTTGTTCATAGCAAATGGTTGAAGAATTCATATTTGCTACCCAAGCTGAATACCAAACAATGTTATTTCAGCAACACCATCTTGAAGAAGACTTTTTAGGGAATGCTACAAAGCAAAAAAACTCTCAGTAGCACCCCGCAGTGTACATGGTGGCAGCTGGAGAGTCTAATTATAGACTGGGAAGCCCCTTAGGAATTACAGAAAGTGTTAGGAAAGGCTTGCGGTAAGTGACAGCTGTTTGCTGTGGGCACCAAGGAGCCAAAGTGCATATAGAATAAAAATAAAATGTCCTCTCCAGCATATGTTGGTTTTAGACACTTGTGAAAAGCACCCCACTTACTGTTAGTAATAATAGATAGATGGCCAGTCACTGATACAGTGTTGGCTCAAAAAGCTCTGCAAGGGAGAACACACATTTATTTTATAGGTCAGAATTGTGTTTTAAAAATATTTGACTATTCAGCATATGTTGATTTAAAGATAGCTTGGGAAATAAACATTATATACCTGTAATTTGGAAAAAGAGAATATTATGGGTGCAGCTGTACCCTGTCAGCACTAATGGATTCTAGGGCCAAGGAAATCCCACCTTCTTGTCAGAAACATATGGAGTGAGAAACATTTCGTCTATTTTTTTTAAACCTCCAGCATCCAAGTAATACCAAGGAAGCGATAATGATTCCTCTAAGTGAATACATTTCTGAGACTTAGCATTTTTCATAAGAGGTTCATTTGAAAATATATTGTTTCTCTGTAACTTTCATTAATGTTTTGACATTTCTTGATAAAAATAAAGCAGATACACACATTTAGTATCCAATGTGCGTAAGGTGGTGTTTGTGGACTTGTCTTGTAAAAAGGAGAAAACTACTTTGGAAATAATTATTTGCTGGTGGATTATAATATTTATGTACAAATAGAGGAAGAAAGTATATTCCAAGAGCAATCCAGTCATATAACCTGTATTTTTACCACTTATGCAATGTGATGTCTTATTTTGGTTATGGTTTTAAATTACATATAAAATGTTGGAGAACATTTTGTGCCATTTGTGATTGGCATCACATATAAAAACATATATGAACTTAACGTTTTGCATTGCTTTATCCTGTGAAGGGAAGATGAACTTTGCACTATAATCAGTGGTGAGGACTATGCTATATTAACAGCTGCTCTAGTGTTCTGTTTCAATTAAGTTAGGGCAGGAAGGAGGAACAAGTGTTTCATACTGAAGTAATCACTGCATAAGGGTTGATGTCAGCTATGTTGCTGTTCACAGTTGTAATTTAATACACAAGACATACTGGGGAAAATCCTCATTTTCTTCCACTTTTGTAACCTTATAATTATGCTTTGGCCTCTGTAGTAACATGACCAAAGTCATTATTACTTTTTTAATTGACATGGACTTCAAGTTTTAGAATGCAGCTTTGGCTTTGCTATATCATATTTTATCATCAGACTTCTGGTAGGACATACATTAAAATTATCTTGATTTTCTGTCCTGGATGAGCCATAATGACTATAAGAGACAATATTCTGTATATCCTGGGTTTTGTAATCTGAAATATAAATAAGTAGGGGCTAATGTCTGAGTACTTAAGATATGCCAGATCCTGTATAAATTATGTGAATTTTCTTACTAAATCCTCATAAGCTGGTGAGAAAGGAATGTTAACTATCCCCATTTTGCTGATATGATTAATATCACCACTTAACTAAGCCAAGGCTCAGAAAAGTTAAGTTACTTACCCAAAGTTACCCAGCTAATTCATTGTGGAGTCAGTTGAGCCCAAGTAGTGTGACTGTAGGAGATAGACTCTTACCCTCTAGGTTTTACTGTGTCTCTATAATAGGCGAAGACCAATGGACAGTGTGCACAGTTTCCTGGCCTAGTCACAGAGGAGATGCTCCATGAGTGTGTAAATGAGAGAAAAGTCTTTCCATTTTCTGCACTGTCACCTTCTCTTTAACCTTGCTATCCTACCCTTTCCTTTTTTCTAGGTACTTCAAATTTGGCACAAACATAACTGGCTTTCTCTTTTCTCTACATAGTAGATTTGTGGTCCTCTCCAGCTCAGTTGATTAGCGTAGGTTAGGTTACGCTGCTGTAGCAACGCTCAAATCTCTGAGGCTTCAAAGAGCAAATTCACTTCTTGCATGAGCTATGTGTGCACTGTTGTTTGGCAAGAAGCTTTTACTCATAGGAATAATGGAGGGACCCAGGCTGATAAGGAAGTGTGATCCTACTATGTGCCTGGAAAGAGGAGAATCAGAAAAACTTGGGAGAGAGAATGACAAACGACTGCAGCTGCATTCCCTAACCACAGGGATCGAACATACCATCCACCAGATGCCCAAGCACCCTCATGCATGCTGTTTTCCTCATCCTGCTATATTCTATGGATTCTAATCTCTGCAGAAACTGCTTACTGATGCTTCTTTAGTGGTGGATCCAGCATTTACATATAGGCAGGGCTTAGCTAGGTAGGCTGTTGGGAAGTAGGGAACTAGAGGATTTATCCTAAGTCTACGTTTGCAGAGCCAGCCACTTGAAATTTTGACGATGATAATGATGATTTTAGGGTACCTTATGGTAGGAGCTGGAACTAATGGAGCTACTGGGGAGGGCTAAAGCTCCCCATCCTCCCTGCCTTCCAAAACTCCTCTCCATTTCTAGGATATTATAATTATTCAACCCCTCATCTTCTTTCTGCTGGGTCATCAAAACGCATTCCTCAATGGTCCTCCTTTATTTACTTTTGACCTCAGGTCTGTTCCCTAATCCATTCTCCATTCTCTAGCCAGTGTGGTGTGTCTGAAACACCAATCTACCTTTATTGTGCTCACCCTGAAAATCTTGAACTCGTTCTCCATTGCTCCTAATGTGCATTGATGAGTTCCCTTTGCGGTCAGATCGCTCGTGACCTCTTGAGCCTCCTGTCTTACCATCACCAGCCCCCACCCAAACAAAGACACTCTTTCTTCACCTTGCTGTATTCTTTGGATATCAGATTTCACTTTCTCTTGGAAGGAAACCCTGATCTCCCCAGTCAAGGTTGAGTGCCCATTCTCTATGTCTTCTAGCATCCAGTTCTCTATGTCCTGTAGCATCCAGGCCTTTTTAATGGCATTTCTCAGCTGTCTTAGAACTGTTTACTTGGGTGTGTTTTCTCTAAATTATAAGGTTTTTGAGGATGGGAATTTATATCCATGTCTTTTTTGTTCATCATTATGTCCCCAGCATTAGCATACTGTGCTGTGTTCATTACAGGAACAAGCAGCTGGGTGGTCTGATCCAGTCTAATTGTCCTCTGATTCTTCTTCCAAATCCATACCTGTTTTCTTACATTGCTGAACTTGACCAGAAAGAAAATTCTAATGCTACCTGATCTCCTTGTCTTATTGAAAGCGATTTTGAAGTAGTTATTCTCAAATATTACTTTACTCTGGAAGCCTTTTGAAACTGCGAATCTGTACCAGCTTAATTTTTGTGCATTCTTAATCTCCATCCAGGTGGTTCTCTGAATTTTGTTTTCATCCCTGTCTCTGGCACACATCTCTGTCTGTATGCGTCTGGAAGGTTGCAGTATTGAGGAACTAAGCACTGGGGATCACCTCTCTGTCTGTATGCGTCTGGAAGGTTGCAGTATTGAGGAACTAAGCACTGGGGATCACCTCTCTGTCTGTATGCGTCTGGAAGGTTGCAGTATTGAGGAACTAAGCACTGGGGATCACCTCTCTGAAAATTACTCTTAAATTAACATTTTATATGGTAAATGTAAAAAATAAGAGACCCTAAAAAGCTTCAGTTTGGTATTGTGAAATATGGATTCAATATTTGACCAAAAATCATGTTGATTTTGTTAGACTTATTATGAAAAAACCAATCTGGGCCAAAGAAGGGAGAACCCAAGTTTTGATCCTTTGCCCTTAAGGGAAAATTGGGTCTACATACAAAAAAAAAAAAAAAAAAAAAAAAAAAAAAACCAAAATACCTCCACAGCTATTAAAGAAAGGGTGAGACTTGGGACCTTTAACCATCTCTGCTTGCTTCTTCAAGTCAATTTTTCAAGGGAGATATTGGAGAGAAATCAAATTAATTCACTTTAATTTCATGTACTTTGTTTTTTCCTCCTGTCTCGGTGCTGGAAGTCTCAGGCAGATCAAACTGACCAGAATTTCACTGCAGGCAGGAAGAAGTGGGAGGCCTGTGGATGATAATCTGTTGTCTGCCTCTGGTTAATTGAGAATGAAGGTCTTAGGTCAAACAAATGACTTTGTTCTTTGCTCTTTCACTGCATAACAGGTATTCCAGAGTTTCTGGAATACCCACTGGTTGAGGAGCTCAGTTATTTCCCACTTGAATAAAGGGACAGTACACAGGTACCGTGTAGTTATTTCAAAGTCTCCTCTTTTGTTTTTTTAACTGATTGCCTACAATGAATTTTTATTCCTCCTTTATTCCTCTCCTAAATAAGTAGGCAGATAGAGCTAGCTTTTAAGGTAAAAATATTGATGTAGACTTAATGATTTTACCAGATAAAATTTGAGGGTGATGGGGTATACTTTAAAATAAAACAACTAGATTATTCATTGAATATATGCTGAAGAAATATGCGAACTATGTGCTAGGCATTAGGATAGAAAGCTAAAAACTGCTGCTCTCTGCTGAGGAAGAGCCCATGGTCAGGCTGGGCAGTGGCTACACAGTGCCGCAGACGTTCCAAGAATGCGGCGCAGGATAATATATAGACCACTGGAATGGAACTGATAGTCCAGAAATAAAGCCACACATTTGTGGTTCCCATACATACCCCACTGACCTTCACTGCTGAACTACTGGTTTGTTCTGATTTTTCAGATTGTGCATTCAGGATGCTAAATGATTTTGAAAACAATTACCCAGCCCTGCCTGTCAGTCTCCTACACGTTTGTTTTTTTATCTCAGCTGAGATCATAGGGCTATTAGGTAAATGTTACGTGGCTCCACCTACCATACTCCAGCCCAGATTGGGGATCTACAGCTGCCTGGGGATGGGGCTTGGTTTTATGTAAGGGATGATGCTATACCAGGGTCCTTAGGGAAGAAAGTTGGGACTTCCTGGCTCACTCATCATGCAGACTTCCCATTACTAAGTGTAGTGAGTCAAACTGTGTCCCTCCCTGGACTACATGTCATGGGCCTATTAGCAGACCAGAAATCCTTCAGATGCAGGTGTTGCCTGAGTCATTGATACTAGTTTTATAACAAAATCACAGTACGTACAAAGTCATATCCCATTAACATCTTTCTTCAAATGAAAAGCTCTTTCTCAGAGGTACGAGCCCTCAAGTGTTAAACTAATTCTGCAATACCAGCTTTCCCTGATCTCCATATTAAATTACTGCATCTGTAATATGGGGTGAGTGTGTGTTCTAGGAGTATGGGTTCTTCCCAACCTGGCTCTAGTTTGGTGGTTAGTTGTAAGTCACTCATTTGCATGTGTTTAGCTATTTTAATGATTGTCATGTGTAACTTGTTCAGTGGTAAAGATCAAAAGTAGTAAAATTGCAAACAAGATAACAAAGTCTCCTATTTTCCTATCCTTGGGACCTAGCACATAGTATATGCATACTACTGAATGATAGATTCAATGAGTGAATGATTATAAAGAAAATTATACACCCAAACAAAGCAGAATGGTAGCAAAAACAACATATACCCTATTGGTAGGAATTTACTTAAGGTGATTTGGCAAAGGTAAGCAGAACAATTTGACTCTGATTTCACGGTTTCTTTGTGTGAAGCCAGTGCCTTTGGTTTGAGCAGATGCAGTTTGGGGCTAGCTGACTTACCTTTTGATCTCCTTCGATTCCTTTTAGATTAGTGTGATTCTAAAGTACCAAACCGTGAAATAGGAAGATTAATGTTTTTACTCCCATTTAAATTGCAAACCTTTTATTCTTCCTACCACGTTTAACTCTATTCTCTCAGGACCTTGCTACCCATAGGCAGCCGCTGACACCTCTGATGAGCTAGTTGGTGTTCCCCAGGAATGGACACCTTAGTGTGGTCCTTTAAGATGCAATTCTCCAACTCAAGAAAATGAATACTCACCTCCAAGGTTGAGAGGGTGTTGTTTGGGCCAGGTGAGGTCCTGAGCCCTCCTCTGCCATGGGGGCTGGCCACCTTGTGTTCTTTGGTTTATTTTCTCTTCTCAGAAATCCTGAAAGGAGCTCTTTTCTGTTAAAAACATCTTCTTAGGCAAGACCAAACCAGTTTGAATGTTTATGAACAATTTCTCAGCATTATGCCAGTGTCCGATGATGAAAACTGTTGGCTTTATTACCTTCAAGGGTGTTTTCCCTACTGGCCTCTGAAGCTGGCCTCTGCTGCGTTGGTCTTGTAACACTTCCATGAGAGACTGCTCAGCACTCCCAGGCAGATGGCATTGATTAGAAATCTCTAAAGATTGTCTTTGTTCTCACAATTAAGCAGAGTTTGCTGCCTTTTAAAATGTTTATGTATAATCTGTGCTTAACTGGCCTGGGTGTTGCTACCAGACTTAAGTAATGGACACATCAAATAGCTGGTATTCTTACTAGATTCTTTTTTTTTTTTTTTTTTTTTTGAGATGGAGTCTCGCTCTCTTGCCCAGGCTGGAGTGCAGTGGTGCTATCTCGGCTCACTGCAACCTCCACCTCCCAGGTTCAAGTGATTCTCCTGCCTCAGCCTCCTGAGTAGCTGGGATTACAGATGCCTGCCTCCATGCCCGGCTAATTTTTTGTATTTTTAGTAGAGACGGGGTTTCACCATGTTGGCCAGGATGGTCTCGATCTCCTGACCTTGTGATCCACCCACCTCGGCCTCCCAAAGCACTGGAATTACAGGCATGAACCACCGTGTCCAGCCTCTTACTAGATTCTTATACATAAGAAGCAGATACATGGTGATAAGGAATGAGTAAATGTGTTTGGAAAATAGGACAGGAATACTTTGCAAAAGTTTTGGCATTAGACAGAGATAGTTCAGTGGAAAATATGTCTTCTTTTGGGTTGTACAGTGTTAATATAAAAATTATACTAATAGTAAATCATTCCCTTTTGTCCCCATCACCAGGGGAAAACACAGCTTGGAAAGTAAAGAAGATTTTTTGTTATTGTTTTATCATGCCGTTTAGAAGCTAAATGAAGAAGACAAAGTATTTATAGTATCAGATAAGAAGTTGCTCTGGTAATTATTATTTTATACTTGTAGTTCCTTGATGCCCAGAAAATTTATTTTCATTGTCTTTCTGGCTAACCAAGGGCATCACTGTCCCCCATAACCTTTGTCTGAACTCCTTGTCCCTTATCTCCCTCCTGAGAAAGTCCTGGGGTAAGTAATTATCTCCCAAGCTCAGATTTTCAGTGGAGTTCATGTAAGCACGTTACTGGAAATGACAAGTGCACAAAAGTGATAGATGCTACTGTTATTTTTCTGACAGAGTGGCAAGGAGAGAGTTCAACCTGTTCCTTAATTTGGTTTATTCATTATGATTTTATTAGCACTCGTGATCTTAAGGCCTAGAAAGCTCTAAAGGAGGAGGTAATATTTCATAAGTTTTAAGGAACTTGGTCCAAATCATCATTTGATTTTAACAAGCTGTTCATTTTCTTTTTTTAATACTGGAATAAATTCTAGCCAGGAGATAGTATCAAAAGGAATAGCTCTACTGGTTTAAAAAAGATGGCCCATTTATTGAATGTCTCCAATGTGTGTTGTGCTATATTAATGCTATGTAGTCAACAATGTTAAGGTTAGGTATTTTATCTACATTTTTCAACTGAAACAAATTGATTTTTAGAGAGTTTACGTAACTTACTCAAATTCACACAGTTGGTAGGGGACACAGCTAACTCTGAACATAATCTGTTAGATGTCATCACTTTTGTAGGAGATTGGTGACTGATACCAATTGGCAACAGTGATTAATAAATGGCATTTATTAATGTCTGAATATCTTAATGTGTTTTTGGCTTTTATTGTTAATCCTTTTTGAAAAAGACAAGGCTCATATCAAGTTGCTTACTGCTAATTATAAACTAGGTAGTTTATATTATGCTTCCTGGATATAACATCCGTGTTTTAAATATCGATTGATTGCTCTGTATGTGTGTGTGTTTGTGTTTGTGTGTGTGTTTTAATGTGTTCTCTTTAGTTTTAAGACAAGCAGAAGTCTGCCTATAGCAGACCCTCATTCATAAGGAAGATAAAATAAGGAACATTAGGGTCAGGATTTAGGATGGATGGGTCATTCTCCAAAGTGCTTTTCTGAATAATAAAGACATGTTTGCCTGTTTCATTTTACACGCACACTTAATAGGTAGTAGGGCTAGAATTCTAGCCCATGTCTGTCTGACATCAGTGACTATGCACTTTTCACTAGGTTGGACTGTCCTTATAAAAAATGATTCTAATAATTTCAGTAAGTTTGTTTATCATAGTGTCATTTTGCCCAGAAATTACCTATAATACAAAGCACAACTTAAAACTATCTTTTTAAGGATATAGCAGTTGGGTGCCCTCATTCAGCAAACATAATCTAATGAGGACCTGCTAAGTGCCTGACACTTAGGATTTAAGGGCCTGGAATCCCAAAGCTGAGTTCATACATTCAGCAGATACTCTTTGAGCACCCACTACATGCCATGCACTATTCTAGATGCCTGGGATACAACAGAGGGGATATGATAACTAAAAATCCCCCACTTCCTGGGGCTTAGAGCCTCTGATGGGAGGAGACAGTAAAAACCAAAGTAAGCAGCTGAAGTAGGTAGCGTATTGGACTAGTGATGGGTATTAGGGAGAAAAGGGGGCAGGAAACGGGGACAGAGCCAGGAGGGGTAGACAGGGAAGGCCTCGCTGAGAAGGAGAATCTGAGCAAAGACTTGAACACAGTGGGTGAATAAGCCAAGGAAGACATATGTTCCAGGCAAGAATAGCAAATGTAGAGGCCTCGGGTGGGAGGAGTGGTGGGGAGGACGCTGAGAAGGGAACAGAAGTAGATGATGAGGGCGTTGGAGTAGCGCTCTTTCAGGCCAGCGTATCCAGACAGTGGAGCTTACTCTAAGGGAAATGCAGAGTCATTGGAGGATTTTGAGCCAAGACGTGACATGTTTTTATTTATATTGTAAAAGGATCAACCTGGCTGTTGTGTGAAAAACACAGTACAGAGAGTGCAGAGGTAGGGAGACCAGTTGGGAGGTACACTGGAGTAACTGGGCAAGCAGTTACTGGATGGTGAGGTGGTAGGCGAGGAGAAGGCGTGATGGCTAGTGGTGGAAGTAATGTGGCGGGGTAGGCTGGGGCAGAGGTGAGGGTGTGGCAGGGAGGGGTGGAGGTGAAGTTACGGCTAGTAGTGTTGGAAGTGAAGGTATGCAGAGAAGGGGTGGAGATGAAGGTATGGTAGGGAGGGTAAGAGGTGAAGGTGTGGAGGGTGGGGATGGAGGTGAAGGTGTGGAGGGTAGGGGTGGAGGTGAAGGTGTGGAAGGTAGGGGTGGAGGTGAAGGTGTGGAGGGAAGGGGTGGAGGTGAAGGTGTAGAGGGAAGGGGTGGAGGTGAAGGTGTGGAGGGAAGGGGTGGAGGTGAAGGTGTGGAGGGAAGGGGTGGAGGTGAAGGTGTGGATGGTAGGGGTGGAGGTGAAGGTGTGGAGGGAAGGGGTGGAGGTGAAGGAGTGGAGAGTAGGGGTGGAGGTGAAGGTGTGGATGGTAGGGGTGGAGGTGAAGGTGTGGACCATAGAGGTGGAGGTGAAGGTGTGGAGAGTAGGGGTGGAGGTGAAGGTATGGTGGGGAGGGTAAGAGCTGAAGGTGTGGAGGGTAGGGGTGGAGGTGAAAGTGTGGAGGGTAGGGGTGGAGATGAAGGTGTGGAGGGCAGAGGAGGAGATGTAGGTGTGGGGAGGCAGGGGTTTAGGTGGAGGTCTGGTGAAGGGGGACAGAGGCGAAAGCGTGGAGGTGATGAGATGATCACATTCTGGAGATATTCTGAAGGTAGAGCCACAGGATTTGCTGAAGGACCATGTGGTGCATGAGGAAAAGTTACTTCTTGATGTTTTTGTTGGTTTGTATTTTCTTTGGCGTCAGACTCTGGGAGGATGGATTGATTGACTGTTCTGGAAGACTCAGGGATGCCCTGGTTTGGGGAGAAACTTCAAGTGTTCACTTTTGGACATCATAGGTTTGATGTAGACTTTTAGTCAACAGAAAAGAAAATCCCGCACTTGTCCTTAAGACTCTTAGGTCTGGTGGCAGAATGACAGATGCATGGTCATAGGGATACATATGCCTGCACTGGATGGAGGAGACCGTTTCATGGGGCAGAGGGAACTTGGGCAAGACTGCTGAGTGAAGGTGGTGTTGGAGCGAGCTTTGAAGTATAGGGTTAAGGAGTGCTTGGGGAAATGGGTGGACTGGGGGCTTCTAAACACAGAAGCAGCACAGCACGTTCAAGGGCACTGGAGACTTAGAAGCTCACTCAGCACCTGGAGCACTGCAGGTCATTGGGTCATTCATGACTGTTGAAGCTCGTGTGGTGAGGATGAAGATGAGGCTTGGGAATCAGGAGTAGCGGAGGACACCTGTGGTTGCCTTTACTGTTGTATGAAGGAGAAGTCAGTGATGGGGGACAACTGAAAATACTTCATTTCTTAGAAAGAAATAGCTTGTCGATTCCACAGCTGCCAGGACCCAGCTGGAGAGGAATGCCAGTAGAAAACAATAGAGCAGATGCTCATCTGTGGCCCTATTTGGTTACTCTTTTATACTCTTTTTCCAACCAGTGTTTCTCAAGCTGTAAAAATGCTGGGTTCCTAGTCCCTAGTTGTGCTAAAGTATATCATAGACTGAATTTGGTGAATGGCCCTTGAAATCCCTTTGGACTCACTGCCGGTCCCACTCCTGTGTGACTCTGAAAAGCTCAACAGGGCTGTCTGGGTGAAAAGAAAAGAATACAGTGAAGATATTATGAGAAGATAATTGGACAGATTTTCTTGACATTCAGGATTGAGTATATAAGAGATTTGATCTAAAATAAAATTTCTCAGGTTCTAGAAATTACCTGGGGAAAAAATTAAAAAAAAAATCTGTTAGATGACCAAGACCCCAACTCAGGGTGAGTGTTCAGCAAGGTTTTGTGGAGTTGAACTGAAAGTCCTGGGTAAGGTCTGGATAGGTGTCCAGATTGGAGTTGTCACTAAGGCTGAAACTGAAGGTAGCTGGGAATTATCATTAGCAAAGTTCTATTGTTCCCCCTTTCCTGTGCAGGCTTCTCTCTTTTTCTCTCCTATTCTCCTCAATGGCAAGCCTATTCCAATTAAAGGGAGGCACTTCTTTGGAAAGAAGAGGAAATAAGATGTTTTCAGCAATAATCATTACTAATATAGGTGGAGAATATCCTTACCACATATGATTACCTAATATTCTTCTCAAGAGAGATTGAGCATGACTGAGATGGAAAAATATCTCCATTGTGAAATATAGCTTGAAATGAGTAGTGCATCTTATTAACCTTAAGATCTTAAAATTCAAGAGTGTAGTCAGCATATACCTTCCAAATAAACCAGAAAAACAAAATGGCATATCCATCTATGAAACACAGAAAGCATTAAAATTGCTGTACCAACTTTGTCATAGTAATCAAAATATGCACGAATTGATAGCCTTGACTAGGGAATGGTCTTTTGTTTTCTACTTGTCATTTCTGTCTTCAAATGCAGCTATTCAGTAGCTTTGAGGTGGAGAGGGGCCAGTGGTTGGCAAACTTTAGTTTGTGGAAGAATCACCTGTGTGCTTATTAAAAGTGCAGATAATGCGATCTCACCACTCTCATTCCAGGCTGCATTTTAGAATCCTACAGTAGCTTTTAAAAATGACCTGTGCCTGGAGCCTTCCATCAGAGACACTGTTTGAATTGGTGGACGTGGAACCCAGGCATGTGTGCTGTGGAGATTCTGTACACCTGCACTTAACATGTTTTTTTCGGGCACTCCGGATGCTCCTGCTCCAAGTGGTCTGAGTTTCATCCTCTGCAGACCTTAATTCTTCACTGATTTGCTCCATTTGCTAAATAGTGGCATCCAGTTACGTTAATGTAGGATGAATAGTTAGGTGTATTTCAGATGTATTAAATTATATTATAATTAACTTTTTCTATAAAAAACTAAGTTAAGACAGTAGAATGGCCACCTAGCCAAAAGAGTATTTTAAAAAAAGTGATAAATATAATTTGACTACTATTCATCTCTAAGAAGAAATACTTTCTTGGTTTGATTTCTCCTAATCATAAAAATAGTACTTTTGTAGAAAATCTAAAAAAGTGAGTCAACCATCCAGAGGTGATCACTCTTTGACATTTTGACTTATCACTTAAGTCTCTCTTTTCATGGTGGGTCTGGATGTGGAAAACCGTGGGCTTGATCTGCAGCCTCGCCAGGGTTAGTAGCTAGTGTTACCCTCTCCAGCTGTCTGGCGTCTGATGGTGGCTCACCTCTTCCCTCCAAAAGAACTACCTCCCTTTCTCAGGGAATAGTTTGATCTGTCTTCCTCTGTATCCTCATTTTTTCCTATTTTAGGTCAGAAACTCAAGTGGGGGCCCAGGAAGCTCTCATCTAGCCCCAAACTTGTGACACTTTCCAGGACAGACAGAGCTCCCTGGGAAAATGTGTTGGGACCAATGTTGTCCACTCTTCCCAGTCTCTGTTTCGCTTCGAGCGGCACCCCTCCTTTTCAGCTTCTCCTCTTCTGGACCTGGTTCCATGCATGTTTGAGGAACCCTCTGAACAGAAGAGTTTAAAATAAGGCATCAGTGTGGCTTCTTTACTTAACCACATATAAAGCTTCCACTTAGACAGATTTACTTTGTGTTCATTTTAAATAGACGAGCTAAAGGATTTAAAACTAATTTCATTGTGAAAACTACAGTAGTTAAAAAAATTATCAATATACAAAGTGAAGCAGGGTTTGCTGTGATTAAACCTTAGAAAAATACCTAGACACAAAGAACCTATAAAAAATTTTAAAAGATGAACTGCATTTCAGCCTTTCAGGTTTTTTTTTTTTCCAAATTTATTTCTGAGTTAGTCTCCTTTGAACTGGAAATATGTGGATTCAAAAATTGAAAGAGCTATTTATTGGCTTTGTTGCCCAATGGAGACAAAGAATTTAAAATGGAACATCACACCTGTAGCTGTTCTGTCACTTTTGTCCATTGTGTGGGACATTCAACTCCCGTAGTCAGAATATCAGAAGGCAGCCCCAACCACAGGGCCGTCCTTTTATCTGCTGAGCCACCTCAGAGGCAGGAGGCAGGAGGCAGGAGGCAGGAGGCAGGAGGGAAGATGGCGACTGAGCCAGCTGTCTCTTAACGCTTTCATAACAGAGTATTTGAGGCATAAATGGGGAGCCCTTTCAGTGCTACAGGCCCACAGTGAACAGCCCTGGAGTAAGGAATCCTCTCATCAGCACCTTCAGAGAACTTGATGAGGCACTGCTTTCAGGCGACTCATTTGTGTGCCAGGGAGACCTTTGAAAGAACATTCTTTATAGTCTCCATCCATTGCTGGTGAAGAGATAAAAGTGGATGCATTACAGTAAAAACAGAATAATTAAACACTTGGCCTCACATTTGTATTGAAGGATGAAAAAAAATGCCAACAGTCTGTCAGACTCTCCAAGAATGCCAGAAGAGTCCTCCATTTCCTCCCTCTGTAAGAATTGTGATAAATTCTATTGTGAACACTTAGTTAATTAATTGTGGGGCAACAAAGTCAATGATATAGAACTGTGGGGAAAACCAAATTCCATTAATTTGGCTTTGGGCTACAGAAATGGCCTAGAAAATGTTGAGATCGAAAGGAGTGGGTAACTGATCAAGTTTAGCATATTCTATATGAGGGAGAGTTGAAAGCTATTAATTGGTGTTCGTTTCTGTTTAGTGCAGTATACCATAAAACAGCCAAGGGGCTTTAGGGGTCAGATTGAATTAGATCCCATTTCCCAAGATATCATTTGTAGACTTGTGACTTAGGACACATTTAGGTTAAATGAAGCTGATACATTCATTCATTCATTCATTCATTCATTCATTTAAATACTTAATGACCCCCAGTCTGCTGATAATGGTTACTTGGTAGGATTTTATAAGTATTAAATAGAAACAATAATAGAATACCTGGAATTTTTCTATGTATTTTATTTCTTTTCTGTAGCGATAGAATTGGCTTTTTATCATATTTCTTTATTGATTTGATCAAACATTATTCATGCTGTGTGAGTCTTCAGTACTCACCTCCTGGCACTCCTTTAAAAGGCAAGATACAAATATTTACAGGCAGCTTGTCTTCCTGGATCCCTAAAAGTTCCTACTCCCCCTCCTTTGTTTTCTTTCTTGTTCTCACCACACGTTCTTACAGTGACTAGTTTTGGGGACCTGCATGAAGCTTACCATTAGGAGGTAACCACAGAGATAAAAGCCTTGAGACATGTGTGCAGTTACAGAAAATGTCCAGGGCAGCTCCTTGTTCTGCTGTTCGTTTGAATTTACAGGGCTCCTAGAAATAAGTACTGTACTGTACTGTTACATTCATGAGATGCAGAAACACAGACTGTTCATTCATTCATTATTTGTTTAGGGCTTATTTGTATGTAAAATTCTCCTGGACAGACAGGGAATTAGAAGCACGGATTATTTGTGCCCAGGTCATTTTGAGACAGCCATTTTTGTTGTTCTCTCTGTCCTTCACCCCGTGGTACTGGCACCTACAAAGCGAAACCTGAATCGTGGATTCTTGGCCAAATATCCCCAGATAGCAGACAGTATATTGCCCCCTCGCTAAGGCATAAAGTTGGAGTTTTTTGCCATAACCTTTTCCCTATTTTTAAAATTAGTGTTTCTGTGAAAGAGAGACCCATTTCAGAAGGAGTTGGAGAGCTCTTATTTGGTGGTGGATGACTGTACAAAGAGTCTGACTCTGTTTTAATTTATTCACTCTCTGTGGTTCACACCTCCTTTCTCACAGATGCAGAGTCAGATGTTGGGGAATAGAAAAATATGCTCCTGAATTAAGGTGCCAAAGATATCTTTTTGCTAATAAGTTCTTCTCTGAATAGAATTGGCGAAGAATATAGATAAAATATGCTACCTTTTTCTCTCTCCTCTTTTGATTTTAGCAAAGGAATGCTTGGAAATTTTAAACAGGGTTGGACATTTATATCTTGAAAGGTACTGACTTCTTATCAATTTGAGGTTTCCCACTAATAACAGCTTCAAAATCGTAACTGATTAAAATGTAGGCTCAGTCTGTTTTAAAGCTTAAAGCCGCCATAGTGGAAAGTTATGAGTTATTGAGCCTCGAAAAGCAGACTCAGTGCCATTCATGTTTTCTGTAGAAACAACAGTGAGCGTTTATTTTTTGTTTCCCAGGAATAAATGTCAACCTGTGACAGAATGACAGGATCTTAAAGATTCACACTAGATTAACTTTTTCAGCAAAGGAAGACACTAGTGTTGTAATGCCATATATATATATATATATACACACACATAGTAAGTATGTAGTAGGGAATATAGTCTTTAAAACAAAGTTTTTTTTTTATTTTGAGACAGAGTCTTGCTCTGTCGCCCAGGCTTGAGTGCAGTGGTGCGATCTGGGCTCACTGCAAGCTCCGCCTCCCAGGTTCACGCCATTGTCCTGCCTCAGCCTTCCAAGTAGCTGGGACTACAGGCGCCCGCCACCACGCCCGGCTAATTTTTTTGTATTTTTTTTGGTAGAGATACGGTTTCACTGTGTTAGCCAGGATGGTCTTGATCTCCTGACCTCGTGATCCACCCACATTGGCCCCTCAAAGTGCTGGGATTACAGGTATGAGCCACCGCACCCAGCCAAAACAAAGTATAATTTTACAAAAATTTGAATTGATTAATATTTGACTTACAGTGAGTAAAAGGATAAGGTGGCATATTGGCAACATGCAACTGTAGGTGATCCCATAAAGCAATACCTTTGATAAATTGCCCAGTTCTGAAAGAGGAATAGGAGGTGAAGAGTAGTACCGCATACCAATGTACATGACTTGTGTGGGATAAACAGCTCTGTTATTGGAGGCAGAACTCAGATTTAATTCTTGATGCTGTGCTCCTTATCCTGTGACTTAGGCGAGTTGTTCACTAACCTGGCTGAACCCCTGTCCTGTTGGGGTGAGCTGAGCATGTAGAGAGCAGGAGGGAGGTGACTAACTAACATCCCCACCTGTGTCTTCCGAGTGACTAGCTTCCTTTATGTTCTCAGGCGTCATCCCTGTTTAACTAAAAAGTAATCACACCATCACACATGGCTTATAGAGAATTATTTCTGTCAAACTCATGAAGATCCTGTGCATTTTAGACACAACTTTCCTTTTAGGGAACCATTAGGGAGGATATGATCAGATTTGTTTAAAGTTTAGTTAAGAAGCAAATATGCAGTATTTAAATTATGCCTGGCACATTGAGGGCACAATGGCAGTTTCTTCTTCACAAAGGGTGATTTACGGTTAACAGAAAATGGAGAAAATAGTTGCTATATTTAGTTTATTCGCTCACTCTTTCCAGGATTCGGTTTAACATAAGGGCTGAATACTTTTGCTCTTATGTATATCATTGATGCTCTGAAATGTCCACTTTGATTTGATTTTTTTGCTTAAAACCTCAAGGATGCTGTTGTGAGGGTGCCTTTGCTAAGGGAAATGATGTCATCAGTTCTGAAGTCCATTTTCTTTTTTTTTTTTTTTTTGAGATGGAGTCTCGCTCTTGTTACCCAGGCAGGAGTTCAGTGGTGCTATCTCGGCTCACTGCAACCTCCACCTCCCAGGTTCAAGTGATTCTCATTACTCAGCCTCCCAAGTAGCTGGGATTACAGGTGCCCGTGACCACACCCAGGTGATATTTGTATTTTTAGTAGAGATGGGGTTTCACCATGTTGGCCAGGCTAGTCTTGAACTTCTTACCTCAGGTGATCCACCCGCCTCAGCCTCCCAAAGTGTTGGAATTACAGGCGTGAGCCACGGCGCCCAGCCGTCTGAACTCCATTTTAATGATAGGGAACACTAATGAACTGCTATAAGCACAGCTATCAGGAAGCTCAATTGGAATATTTGTGTTAACTCCTGGAAAAATTTTTTTTAGCAGTTTTGTATCTTGGGAACAAGTATTTCTGCTGTGTTTAGAACAATATGTGAAAATGCTTGTCAAGTGAAAAAGTTTAAGTATGTTCTGGGAAACACTGCCCTGTGCTTAGTGAGGTGGTTCTAAGTCCAACCCAGGGCAAGGCAGGATTCACGTGTAGACTAATAGCACTAACAGAATTCTTGTACAGACCACATAGAAACTTTAATAGCAAGTTTCTGATAATGGCAGCATCAGTGATAGTCACGTTAAAATTTTACGGAGACTAAAATTCTCTGCCAAATTATGTCGAAACAAATGTGTAAGTACAGATGTCATTTATCCATTAGTTGGGTTCTCAGATGAAGTCTAGAAGCACATTCTCTACTCAAGAGTCCAAACATATTCATGTTAATCTGTTTTAAATTTGCTTTTTTGGAAGACTGGAGCTGTCACTTAAACCACAGGAATATATCCATTATAAATGAAGGCAGGCATTACTTTTCACCTGAACTGGATGATTTTTAGAAGTATTGCTGATGATATCGGGTTCATGAATGATTTCCCGTGTTAAAGGTGATGGAGCATCCAGTCTAGAAGAATAATTGTTGAAACTTGACGCTTGTTTGTTGGTAGTCTCCCTGCCTTAGGGCCTATTGGAAACAATATTTTTGCCACTAGGGATCCCTGTGTTTTAAGAGACCTAACACTTGTGGGAGCTTTGTCCTACCAGCTTCGTACATTTCTCATCTCTCACCAAAGCTGCAGTGAGAGCTTCTGATGGGTGCTGGACAGGCACCACTTACCTTCGTTCCCTCACCTGCTACCTTGCTCTGGCATTTTCCCTCACCTGGACTGTTGCCATCCCCTAGTCACTGGGTCCCCTGCTCCTACTTGCACCTGCACTCAGAAGCCAGAATGACCTTTTAAAAGCATCCATAAGACCCTATCATTCCTCACCTCAGAATGCTCCACTGCATTTAAAATAAAATCCAGCTCTGCAAACCCATGGGATCTGACCCCTCCTCATATCTACCTTATCTTGTACCCCTCTTCCTCACACCCCCTGCATTCCAGCTACCCTGGCCTTCTTTTCATTCCTTGCCCAAGCCTGGGCAATCATCTTCCTCACAGGCTTTATCGCCACTGTGCGTATCTGCATATGGCAGATTCTTCTTGATATTTCAACACTGGTTAAATTTTTCCTTCTTGGAGAAGCCTTCCCTAACCATCCAGTCTAGAGCAGCCAGCTATTTCCTTTAAGTGGGTTATTTAACAGCATCTATCTCTGACACTTTTTATTTCTTTTCCTCCTCCAATTAGAATGTAGGCTCCACTACAGCAGAGACCTTGTTCATCTTTATCTGATGTATCCCTAGGCCTCAAAACAGCTGTTCAGGAAATGTTTGTTAAAGGAATGTATTAATGAATGAAGCAATGATGTAGCCAGTATTTCTAAGTTAATTGATAAGTTTCCAACATAAAGCAAAAAAGCCTTGTCAGTGTGTACAGCCATGTCACTGCTGAATGTACACTTTCCTTTAAAATAGCAAAACGAAATCTTAGATAATCAGGCCTCCTTTGCTGAACCTCTGAAGTTCAGGAATCCTAGTCTGGGAACTTCCTTGCTTTTGACAGAGTGTTCACAGTGCAGAGATCCTAGAACAGAATTTGAATTGGTTCTTCTGCCACTCCCTCAATAGACTTAATTTGCAAGTAGTTTTGCCCCCAGGGGAACCCTGCCTCTCCTATTAATACTGTCACTGAACTCTATTAAAGTTCTCTGCTAACATAGGTCCCCTTCCTTGAGTAGGGGCATCAGCTGCTTCCTTTGCTTATTAAAATGTATTTGGGTACATGTGGGATCAACCAAAGATTCTTGGTGTTTCAGAAGCATAGGCAAATTTATGCGCTGGCATTTGGTACCTGTTGGATTTGGAAACATGAACATATAGTGGTAAGGTGGATGCTTCCATAGTCACCATATCTCTCTCTATATATTCTAAACTATATTTGTTGATTTTTCTGCTCACGCATAGAAGATCTAAACATTTTTGAACTTAAAAGCTAAAAGCTTACTGCAGATAAACCAGATTTTCCCAATCTATTAAGTGTTTTTTTCAACTTTTTCAGGTTATCTGTGTAAAGTATTGCTTCAGTGAACTAAATAAAACCTTTATAGACTCAAATAGTTAATGAAGCCTTCAGCCTGACCCACACAGTGGTGGGAGAGGTCTGTGCTTGCTACAGGGCTGGCGGCTGCCTGCCCTCAGACCTTTATGCCCTTGGGCCTTGTCAGTAGGATCAGGTAGTATCTGTCTTCACTTCGCAACATTTCTTTAGATTTCTTGCTGTGAATATAACAGTGTCTTTGGTTCTCAGGAATCCTAGAATTTTGGAATTTTAGAACAGAAAGGGAAGCCACGTTCTGTTAAGGTCACAGAGCATATGGCAGAGTTGGGCGCGGAACCCACTTTTCCTGCCCCGTCACAGTGCCTCCCTGCGCTCTTATTTATTCCTGATTTCCCTTGTATCTTTCTGAAGTAGCCTGTGATGTTTGTGTCTAAAGTTTAAAACTAGTTGTCTTGAGACTGAAAGTTAGTGATTTTTTTTTTTTTTAATCAGACAAGTGTTCTTTCCTGTGAAAATCCTTTCTGTCCCCACAGACTTGGTTAAAGCCCCCTCTCTGGGCTGTGTTCTCAACACCCTGGGCATGGTGCTTGGCTTGCTTCTTGAGGTAACCTGTCTGAATGTGCATTCCTTGAAGCAGGGGACTGGGGCCTGTGGCCTTACTGTTTCATTTAGTTTTTTTTTTTTTTTTTTTAAGTTTCCAATACTGATTTGTAAATGTGCAATTCTGTTATGAAATCTTTGTCTCCATATTGATGAATCTTGGTAACCCTTTGCAGATTTACAGTGGCCATTGTGAGATTAATTTTTGAATTATTATGTCTTCATAAAAATCCTGACTTTCTGCTTCTTACATAATCTTAAAAAGTCAGTCAGCTCCACAGGAGCTGGTGTATTGGCCTTCAAGATTTGAACTTAGCATGGCCAAAAAGCTTGTTTTTTACAAACCATCAGAATTGTCCCTGCATCTCAACCCTTTATTGTCAACTTTTTGAAGATATTTAATAATGACCAGTCCTGAATTTTACCATTTGGTACTTTGAGGAGTAACTTGTCCCGGCTGCCCCTTCAGGGCCTGTGTGGTCTCTGAGTTTGGCCTAGCTTTGAGCTGAAACAATGGAGAAGCCCAGTTAATGCTTTCTGAGGTTCCCATGTCTGCCAGATGATCCCTGAGTAACAAGATGATGTCTCCTTAGCGAGGGTCAGGCGGCCTTGCAGGACCTGCCTGTGTCCGTCTCGCTCTCAATCCCTTTTCCTCACCTCTCATCACTCTCACGCACCCCTTCCTTCCTGCTACATCAGACCATGTAACCTCACGCAAGTAAGTGCATGCGATCCTCCATGCTGTTCTGCTTTTGCTTGATTGGAATCCTCTGCCTAGAACTTTTTCCATTCTTTCTTTTACTGTTTCTTTTTTTTTTTGGGTGGGGGGAGGGTGGATGGAGTTTCACTCTTGTCACCCAGGCTGGAGTGCAATGGCATCATCTCAGCTCACTGCAACCTCTGCCTCCCCGGTTCAAGCGATTCTCCTGCCTCAGCCTCCCGAGTAGGTGGGGTTACAGGTGCCCACCGCATACACAGCTAATTTTTGTACTTTTAGTAGAGATGGGGTTTCGCCATGTTGGCCAGGCTGGTCTTGAACTCCTGACCTCAGAGGATCCACCCGACTTGGCCTTCCAAAGTGTTGGGATTACAGGCGTGAGCCACTGCACCCAGCCTCTTCTACTGTTTCTTTAAACACAACTCAGGAGGTGATATTGCCAAGAGTGAGGTGGATTGGAGTTAGGCATAGGGAGGGAAGTGCTGTCCCAGTCCCAGCATGAGCCTCTGGACAGATGGAGGCCACCTGCTGCAATGGGGAGGACAGGAGTCAAGCAGATTGGGGGGTTGGCAGCAGGCAGGGGGTGGTGCAGAGATCAAAGGTTTGGATGGAAAAATGTTCGGTTTTAGGTGCTTCTGAGATATCCAGGTAAAGAAGTGAGAAGAAGAGTTGTATTTATGGATCTGAAGCTCAGTGAGAGGTCACAAAATTTGGAATTGTCATTGTATTTGAAATGAAGTGGATGAGCTCTCCAAGAAAGAGAATTTAAAGAGTGAGATGGATTTGTAAAGAATTGTGAAGTTTAGAAATAGAATATGAGAAATGGGATATGCAGAGACAAGTGGAAATGAGGAAGAGTAGCCAGAAAAGATAGAAGGAAACCAAGAGGGTGTCAAACCTGGAGAACTGAAAGATGAGGAGGGGTGCCACCTAGGATTGACTGGCTTGTGGGGAGGTCATGGTCACCTTAGCGAAGTTACTAGAATTATGAGGAATATACTGAAGTGTGAGTGAGTGGGAGGATGTGGTGACAGCATGAGAAGAAAATTCCTTCCAGAAGCTTGGCACCACAGAAAAGTAGAGAGGTAGGGCCCTACTAGAGGGAGTAGGAGAGTGGAAAGTGAGACCAACAGCAGGTTGTTTTGGTTTCTTTTTGGGATTTTCTTTTTGGATGGATGATACTAGGGCATTTTTTTTTCATGCAAATAGAAAAAATTCAGTAGAAGGGCCAAAGAATATTACTGTCTTCTAGTTTGCTAGCAACTGATGGTTTTTAGCAGACTGGTGGATAGTACTCTATAGTCACAAATACTTATGTTAAGTAAGACCCACTTCTCCTATAAATTTACACTTGAAATATAAAAGAAAAAAAGGTTGATGTTAAAAAGTTTGTCCATTTGAGTCCTATATACTCGTTAGACAGGTAAATGGTACGAAGACGTTTTCTTTTATGAAATGCTTTGTTATTCTGTAGGAATCCTGTCTTACACATAAATGACAGAAATTTATATTAAGCATTTTCCTTCACTAAATCTTTAGTTTGTGTCTTTTCATAAAATGCCACTGAATTTTTATGTCAGCAAGAGAGGTAGATAAATTTGAATACAGAAACTAATTTAGCAGTCATTTAGTTAGGAGATGGAGATTTTAGAGCTGCCACTTCTAAAAGTGGAAAAGATGAGGATTAACTGACTTTTTTTTCTTGCTTCTGTGGAATAAAAAATTAGAGCTGAAAAGGAACAAAGCCCAAAATGCATGGCAATGACCGTCTTTTTATAGGTGAATTAGATTGGGGATTGTGAAGATGATTTCATTCACACCTGCACATGCATCCTTTGAAGCTCATTACCATTTCTTTTGGTGTTCATTTAATAAATATATTCCTGAGAGAGGGATATTGAAATATGATTTACGTTTCTTTAAAAAAAAATTAAGGACTCCTCTTGCCATCTGCCTAGCATACTTATGAATGTCCTTACCCCAACTTTTAGGATTTGGAGTTTCCAGGAATCCAAACCTTTAAAGCCTGAGCAAAACACAATTTTAAGGTAAATTTAGTATAAGGAAAGGACAGTTTCAGTCAAAACTAAGCATAAATACATTTTGTCTCACTTTCTGTTTGGGATTTCAAGTGATGATGTTTGCTTCCAGTAACCCAAATAATTGGCAGATAGTTTCGTGCAAAGTGAACCTATCAGAAGAGAAGGGAACCTTGGAAAACAATAGTCTTTAGTTAGTTGGAAAGGGAAAGCTGTGATTTTAAATGGCAGCACCATCCTAGAAAGCAAGGAATGAGTATAAGAAAAAGAACCAAAGCAATGTAAATATCTTGAAAATCTAGTTTAAAAGAAATGTTTTGGCATTTGGGTTTAAGAGTGAAGGAGAACACTAAAAGCTTATTAAAATAACGAGTTAAAGTTAGGCATATTATATTGTATTGTATTTATTTTTTTGAGACCGAGTCTCTCTGTGTCACCCAGGCTGGAGTGCAGTGGTGCAATCTCGGCTCACTGCAAATTCTGCCTCCTAGGTTCAAGCAATTCTTGTGCCTCAGCCTTCCTAGTAGCTAGGATTACAGGCAAGCACCACCACGCCTGGTTAATTTTTGTATTTTTAGTAGAGACAGGGTTTTACCATGTTGTTCAGGCTGGTCCTGAACTCCTTACCTCAAGTGATCCACCCGCCTCGGCCTCCCAAAGTCCTGGGATTACAGGTGTAAGCCACTGCGCCCAGCCAGACATATTGTATTTAGATGTTGATATTAGTTTGCCATTAAAAATCAGGTTATTGCTTGCTTACATTGGTATATGGGTGGGGAAGAGGAAACAAGTTTTGAAATAGAATTTGCTGATCTAGGCCATCCATACTGGTTTATTTGTAGGAATAATAAGAGCTTATGTCCTTTGAGAAATGTGGAATTAGATATTGATTCTAGTGAGATTCCAGCATTAAAAAAGACGTACATTTTAAAGTTTTATTACTTTATCTCTCAGTAGCCTTGACAGTTTTATTTTATTAAAAGTGGCCAAAATGGCAACAATTTGCATTTATTATATTATGCCTATAGTGCTGGAAAATTAATATACCTAGGAAATATATGACAAGGGCATAGTAGATGATTTTGAGGTATGAGCTGCTGTGAGTTGTGTGATATACAACAGGTAAGGTATTATATGGTACAGTCATAGATGGTAATGGTACATTATTTTATTCTTTAGATTGTTGGTAGGTGGTTGTTGGGCTCTATCCATTTTACATTTTTATTTAGCTTGTGTACTGCTGGCTCTCTGCTTTGGTGATGGTCCTGGATTTAAGACAAAAGCAGGTGCAAAACGGTTTCCCGACTAGGCTGATAACACTAAAATCATGGGATATTCATTTGCTCAGGAAATAGAATAAGCAATTTCCTGAGCAAATGAACACAAGCTAAAGTTGTTGATTTCTGCCTTACGTCACAGTCCAGAGTAGGTGGGTCATGGTCCATGAGGTCATCCAGAGACCCGTGCTGGAAGGGGTGGCTCTGTCATTCCCCTGAATGTGACATGTCCAGGACTGGGTTTAAGACCTGCACATCCAGCCAGTGGGAAAGGGAAATCTAGGGTGAGTGGCTTTGTCTTTATGAAGATGACCTAAACATTGAGTGCATTTTTCTTCTGTTGTCTCCTTGGTCCAGTCTTAATCCACAGCCACAGCTCATTGTAGTCTCAGGCTGGGTGCAGAGGCACCTGCTAGATCTGAAAGCTTAGTTACCAAAAGAAGATGAAGAAAATGGATTCCAGAGAGCATATTTCCGGCACAGACTAGGAGCTCCTTGAGATGGGGGGTAGTGGTTACAACAGATGAATCTCTGTTTCTAAACCACAAGCAGTGCTTGGCTTATATTTGGTACTCAGTAAGTGTTTGGTGGGTTGAATTGACTATTAAAGCTAATCCTTTCCCTTCCAAAAGATGGAGTTTGATCAGAAGCTCTAAATTCTGCAGCCCTCCACAACCTTTCCTCCTCCTCTACTGTTTTCTCTATATATTTATGCCACTTTCCAGGATAAGCATACAAAAGAAAATATAATATTTACTTTTAAGATTTGCTCGAAAATCTAAAATGTATTATAACAGGAAAAAAGAAAGTCTGTTCATTTTATTTGCATCACTACCTTTCTCTGTATTCAGACTCGATATTTATATATGCTTTGGGCAACTAAGCACATGCCAAATTGATATGTCTCTTTTATTCAACAGAAAGAATATCTGGTGATTGTGAAAGTAACCCTAAATAGAAAACCCAGATATAGCATTTAGTTTATAACCTAGATTGGTATTTGTGATGCTCCCTTTTCTTCAAATTATTAAACATATTTTTATATATATTGTGAAGATAGGAACTAAGAGTTACTAGTTTTATTTTTGCACAATTCTATATTATACCAATTATATAATTTGCCTAAAGCACTACACTAGTCCTTTGCTCATACTTTTACTATAAAATTATAATTAGGAAGGGAAATTGTATGACAATAATGAGATATTTGTACTTGAGATACTTACTCCATATACCTAAGGTAAGTAATTGCTTAAAATGACATGGGATCTACTTGGCGTAATAGCAGCTCTCTTGCTGCTTAGAGCAAAAATCTGCTTTAAAAACATTGTGGCATATCTTATTAGTAGGAGAAAAAAATGTAATAGCAAGAAATAAGTTATTTAGGTATTATCACGTTCAGTGTCCTCATTTGGCACATGTGGAAACTGAGGCACGAAATCCTGAAACATCTTGACTTGCAATCTTTGGGAAGATGTTCATATTTTAGAAGGTCTTTTTAAAGGATGTATCAGCAGATTATTATATATTAAGATCTGTTGTTTGAGTTCCCTATGAGATATGAGATAAATTTACCTTTCAACACTCAATGGAAATAGGGGGAAGCCAGGAAGAAGATGAGAATTAACTTGGGAGGGAAGGAGAGGTGATCCTGCCTGTGCCCCTGCAGCTATGGCCAGTGGGACAGATCCCGAGTCCCTGAAGAAGCTGCTGTTGTAGCTCAGTTGCTAACTCAAAGAGGGATAACTGGATTAAGAGAAATCACATGGGAAAGGCATTTGTTCCTTGAAGTATCTGTAGATTCAGGGGGTTGGGAGGGCCCCTGTATAGAGATAGGAAGGGGGAGGGAAATGAGAAAGAATGTCTGCTTCCGTTATTAAATCATCCTTCCAAGGGATTGAAATATATATGCAGGTGATACAGCAAATTTTTTTAATTGAATGTAAGATATTTAATTATTATGACATTTCTTTAATGTCATTTAACAATCCGTTGTGGCAAAAATCTAATAGGAATAAAGCCTGTGATCATTACAGATCAACTTTTCCTCCTAGATAAATGTTAGTTTTGAGTGCCTGGTGGGCACCCATCTCAGTGGTGAAGTTGACAAGTCATCTGTCCAGTGTGTGGAATAGGATGGGGTTTGGTAGCATCTCCCTCTCTGTGGTTCTCTTGAGCCTTTCACGGTGAGCATCCTAGTTTTCTTGCAGAGGGAAGGTAGTGGCACGGAGTGACCTGCTCTTCCCTTTTTTCTGCTTGCAGAACAATCAACCATGACGACCGAATCTGGATCAGACTCGGAATCCAAGCCGGACCAGGAGGCCGAGCCCCAGGAGGCGGCGGGGGCGCAGGGGCGCGCGGGGGCGCCCGTGCCGGAGCCGCCCAAGGAGGAGCAGCAGCAGGCCCTGGAGCAGTTCGCCGCCGCTGCAGCGCACAGCACCCCGGTGCGGAGGGAGGTGAGCCCAGGCCAGAAAACTAATGACGCAGTGTTTGCTGAGCTGCTCCAGGATCGGCTTTAACCTTGGTCTCTTAGCCCTAGAGGCAGCTATGAGGGGTCATCTGCTGTTCCCCTTCTAGCCCCAGGCAGATGAAAATGTATGCTATTTTAAGGCTTTCAGTGAATGACATTCCACAACCTTGCTTGGTAACTCCTTCTTTTAATTAAAACACTGAAACTCACTGAAGTCCAGACTGGAGATTATTGGTCCTATCTGGATTTAGAGGAAAGATAGACACCAAACTGAGAGCTTTAATTATGCTTGTGGTTGCTTTTTCTTTCAAGTCTAAGGGCTAGAGTGAGTTTGCATTTCCCCAGGCATCACCCTGGCCCTAATATTGCAGATCTGCTTTTATTATTATTATTATTATTATTATCATCATCATCATCATTATTATTATACTTTAAGCTCTGGGACACATGTGCAGAACGTGCAGGTTTGTTACATAGGTATACACGTGCCATGGTGGTTTGCTGCACCCATCAATCCATCATCTACATTAGGTATTTCTCCTAATGCTATCCCTCCCCTAGCCCCCCAGTCCCCGACAGGCCCCAGTGTGTGATGTTCCCCTCCCTACGTCCATGTGTTCTCATTGTTCGACTCCCACTTATGAGTGAGAACATGCGGTGTTTGGTTTTCTGTTCCTGTGTTAGTTTGCTAAGAATGATGGTTTCCATCCATGTCCTGAAAAGGACATGAACTCATCCTTTTTTATAGCTGCATAGTATTCCATGGTTTCTTAGTGGATCTTCAGGTAGGTCTTTCCCTCCCTATACACATCTACATTTTCAACTCTTTTTCCCTGTACATGTTTGAGTAGTCAGGAATAATGCATTACTTTTAAAAGTTTTAAAGTATGGTTTTACATGTGGGCCTTGAATAAGTCCATATTTAAATGTCTTTTGTCTTAAAACTTCAAACTTGGAATCAAAATGTTTTAGAGTGCCGATTTGTATGTGGTAAAGCAATCTGGAGTCCCCACAAGTGATTGGCCTCTTATATGTCAGAAGTGTTTCAAACTAGAAATTCTAAGATGTTGAGATAAGAGATATAATCAGCATATTAGTGAAAATCTTTGGAAGTCACAGCATTAAACTGTATATTTGCAACCTGATTATTTTATTTCTTTACCTAGAGTATTTGCAGGTTTGCCTTTTTTTTTTTTCAATTTTATACTTATTAAAAATTTGAGGCCGGGCTCAGTGGCTCATGCCTGTAATCCCAGGACTTTTGGGAGGCTTAGGAGGGCGGATCACCTGAGGTCAGGAGTTTGAGACAGCCGGGCCCAATACAAAAATTAGCTGAGTGTGGTGGTGCACGTCTGTAATCCCAGCTGTTAGGGAGGCTGAGGCACGAGAATCACTTGAACCCAGGAAGTGGAGATTTCAGTGAGCCGAGATTACACCACTGCCCTCCAGACTGGGCGACAGAGCAAGACTCTGTCTCAAAAAAAAAAAAAATTTGAGGTAAAATATACAAATAAAACTTACTATCTTTTTTAAGTGTACAGTTCAGTGGTAATAAGTACATTTATATTTTTATATAAAAAATATATATATTATATTTTGTATATATGTATATTTTTTAAAAATTCCCTTCATCACTCCTCCTCCCTACCATCCTCCCTATCCTTCCCAGCCTCACGTAATCACCATTCTACTCCCCATCTTCATGAGATTCCATTTTAGCCCCCACATATGAGTGAGAAGATGCAGTATTTGTCTTTTGGTGCTTGGCTTATTTCACTTAACGTAACAGCCTGTAGTTCCATCCGTGTTGGTGCAGATGACAAGATTTCATTCCTTTTTTATGGCTGAATAATATTTCATTGGGTGTATATACCACTTTCTAAAAATTCATTCTTCTGTTGATGGGCACTTAGGTTGATTTCATATTTTGGCTGCTATGAATAGTGCTGCAGTAAACACTGGAGTGCAGATGGCTTTTCTATATATTGATTTCCTTTCTTCTGGACATATATCCAGTAATGGAATTGCTGGATCATATGATAGTTCTATTTTTAGTTTTCAAGGAACCTCCATACTGTTTTTCACAGTGGCTGTATGAATTTACATTTCCACTAGCAGTTTATGAGGATTCTCCTTTCCCCACATCCTTGCCAGCATCTATTACTGCCTGTCTTTTTGATATATGCCATTTTAACTGGGGTGAGATGATATCTCAATTGTGGTCTTGATTTGCATTTCTCTGATAATTAGTGATATTGAGCATTTTTTCATATACCTGTTGGCCATTTGTGTGTCTTCTTTTGAGAAATATCTGTTCAGATCTTTTGTCAATTTTTAAATCTCATTTCTCTTGCTATTGAGTTGTTTGAGTTCCTTAGATATTGTGGTTAATAATCCCTTGTCAGGTAGACACTTTGCAAATTTTTTCTACTATCCTGTAGGCTCTTTGTTAATTTTTTCCTTTGTGGTACAGTAGTTTTTTGGCTGCATGTAATCCCATTTGTCTATTTTTGTTTTGATTACCTATGCTTTTGAAGTCTTATACACAAAAAAAACTTTGCTCAGACCAACCTCCTGGAGCATTTCCTCAGTGTTTTCTTCTAGTGGTTTCATAGTTACAGGTCTTACATTTTTAATTCTTTAATCCATTTTTATTTGATTTCTGTGGATGGTGAGAAATAGGGGTCTAATTTCATTGGTCTCATACAGTTATCCAGTTTTCCCTACACCCTTTACTGAAAGGACTGTTCTCTATTGAATGTTCTTGGCACCTTTGTCAAAGATGAGTTGGCTGTATGTGAGGATTTATATCTGGATTCTCTATTCTGTTCCATTGGTTTATGTATCTATTTTTATGCCAGTACCATGCTGTTTTGATTATTATAGCTTTGTAGTAAATTTTGAAGTCAGGTAGTATGATACCTCCAGCTTTGTTCTTTTTAGTCAGGATGACTTTGGCTATTCGGGGTCTTTTGTAGTTCCATGTAAATTTGAGGACATTTTTTCTAATTCTGTGAAGAGTGTCATAGGTATTTTGTTACATTCAATTTACATTGAATTTGTAAATTACTTTGGGTAGTATTGCCATTTTAACAGTATTAAGTCTTCTAATCCATGAGCATGGAATATCTTTCCATTTTTTGCATTCTCTTCAATTTCTTTCATCAGAGTTTTATAGTTTTCCTTACACCGATCTTTCACTTCTTTGGTTAGATTGCTTCCTAGGTATTTTATATTTTGTAGCTATTGTAAATAGGATTGCTTCTTGATATCTTTTTCAGATAGTTTACCATTGACAAATTTAAACACTACTGATTTTTGTATGTTGATAAATTCTACAATTTCACTGAATTCATCTATCAGTTCTCACAGTTTTTTGGTGGAGTCTTTAGGGTTTTCTAGGTATAAAATTATGTCTTCTGTGAACAAGACTAAGTTGACTTCTTTCTTTTCAGTTTGGATGCCCTTTATTTCTTTCTTTTGCCCAATTGTGCCAGCCAGGACTTCCAGTATTATGTTGTATAATACTGAAAGTGGGCATCCTTTACTTGTTCTAGTCCTTAGAGGAAAGGCCTTCAGTTTTTCACAATTCAATACAATGCTAATTTGGGTTTTTCATATATGGTGTGTATTATTTCGGGGTATGTTCTTCTATACTGATTTTGATGAGGATTTTTAATCATAAAGACATGTTGAATTTTATCAAATGCTTTTTTGACATCTATTGAAATAATCATATGGTTTTTGTTCTTGATTCTGTTAATGTGATGTATCATGTTTATTGATTTTTGTATGTTTAACCATCTGCATCCCTAGGATGAATCACATTTAATCATGGTGAATGATCTTTTCAGTCCCCTTTTTAATGTATTGTTGAATTCGGTTTGCTAGTATTTCACTGAGGATTTTTGCATTAATGTTCATCAGTGATATTGGCCTGTAGGTTTTGTTTGTGTTGTATCTTTGTCTGCTTTTGGTATCAGAGTAATATTGACCTTGTAGCATGAGTTTGGAAGTATTCCCTCCTCTCCAATTTTTTTTTTTTGAAGAGTTTAAGTAGGATCAGTATTAGTTTTCTTTACATGTTTGATAGAATTCAAATGAAGCCTTCAGGTCTTGGGCTTTTTTTGATAGAAGACTTTTTATTATAGCTTTGATCTCATTACTCATGACTATTTTGTTGAGGTTTTCTGTTTCTTCATAGTTCATTCTTGGTGAGTTGTATGTGTCTAGAAATTTATCCGTTTCTTCTGGGTTTTCCAATCTGTTGCCATATAGTTGTTCATAATAGTCGCTAATGAGTCTTCATATTTCTTAGGTCCCAGTTGCTATGTCTCCTTTTTCATGTCTGATTTTATTTACTTGGATTTTCTCTCTTTTTCTTAGTCTAGCTAAAGGTTTGTCTATTTTGTTTATCTGTTCAAAAAACCAACTCATTGTTTTGTTGATCTTCTGTATTTTTTTTTTATCTCAATTTCATTTATTTCTGCTCTGATCATCATCATTTCTTTTTTTCCTAATTTGGGGTTTGGTTCATTCCTGCTTTTCTAGTCCCTTGAGGTGCATCGTTGAGTTATTTATTTGAAGGCTTTTTACTTTTTTGATATAGACGTTTATTGCTCTCCACTTCCCTCTTAGTACTGCTTTTGTTATAGCCCACAGATTTTTTATCTTGTATTTACATTTTCACTTGTGTTTTGATAATTTTTTTTTTAACTTCTTAGTTTCTTCACTGACTCGTTGGTCATTCAGGGCATGTTGTTTAATTTCCATGTGTTTGTGTATTTTCTGAGGTTCCTCTTACTGATTTCTAGTTTTATTCCATTGTGGTCAGGAAAGATACTTGATATGATTTTTTTTTTCTGTTTTTTTTTTTTTTTTTTTTTTTTTTTTTTTTTTTGAGTTTGTTTGGACTTGTTTTATAGCCTAAGACATGGTCTGTTCTGGACAGTGTTCCATGTGCTGATGAAAAGAATGTATTCTGCAGCAGTTGGGTGAAATGTGTAAATGTTGGTTAGGCCTGTTAGATCTAGTGTGTAGTTTAACTCCACTGTTTCTTTGTTGATTTTCTGTCTGGATGTTCTGTCCCTTACTGAGAGTGGAGTGTTGAAGTCCCCTACCATTATTGTACTGCCGTCTGTTTCTCCCTTTAGATTTACGAATGTTTTATATACTTGGGAACTCTGGTGTTAGGTGCATAGATATTTGTAATTGTTTCATCTTCTTGCTGAATTGTCCCCTTTATCATTATGTAGTGACCTGCTTTTTCTCATTTTAGTCTTAGATTTGTTAGTCTCTCTTATATAAGTATAGCTACATCTGCTCTTTTTTTGGCTTCTAGTTGTATAGAATGGTTTTTTTTTCCACCTTTTTACTTTCAGTCTGTGTGGGTGAAGTGAATTTCTTGAAGCTAACATATAGTTGGTTCTTGTTTTTATATCCATTTACCTACTTTAGGCCTTTTAATTGGAGAATTGAGACCATTTACATTCAGTGTTATTGATAAGGACTTATTACTGCTGTTTTGCTGCCTGTTTCTGGTTGAAACTCCTCTTGTTCTTTTTTACATGGTTTTCCTTTGTGGCTAAGTGATTTTCTCTGGTAATGTGTTTTAATATGTTGCTTTTTATTTTTAGTGGATCTATTATAGGTTTTTGTGTTGTGGTTACTATGAGGCTTACCAGAAACATCTTATAGATACAGCAAGTTATTTTAAACAAATGACAACTTATCTTAGATCACAAATTTAAAAACAGAAACAAAGGCTAAAAAAAACTACACATACACACATGCACGCACATACACACACACCCCAATTCTATACTTTAACTCCATCCCCATTACATTTTGACTTAGTTGTCTCAATTTGCATATTTTAATATTACCTATCCCTTCACTGGTTGCTGTAGGTATTATTGTTTTTGATAGGTTGTCTTTTGGGCTTCATACTAGAGTTATGATTGTGGTAGTACTAGTAGTACATTGTACACTGCAAGTACAGTAAGTACAGTAATAGAGTATTCTGGGTTTATCCATGTACTTGATTTTACCACTAGGTTTGATACATTGAAAGGTTCATTTTTATTTTTTGCACATTAGTGGTTTTTTATTTCAGATTGAAGAACTCTCTTTAGCATTTCTTTTAAGATGGGTCTGGTGGTGGTGAATTCTCTCTGCTTTTGTTCTTTCGGGAAAGATTTGATCTCTCCTTTATATTTGAATGATAATTTTGTTGGATGCAATATTCTTAGATGACAGTTTTTTTCTTTGAGCACTTTAAAAATGTCAGTCCACTCTTTCCTGGCCTGTGTGGGTTTTCTGTTGAGAATTCTGTTACCAGGCAATTTGGAGCTCCTTTACCTGTTATTTGTTTCTTTTTCTCTTGCTGCTTTTAGGGTTCTGTCTTTGTTCTTGAGCTTTGAGAGTTTATTGCTTTGTGGTATTCTTATTTAGGTTGAATCTGTGTGATGTTCTCAGACTTCCCTGTACTTGAATATTTATATCTTTCACGAGTTTTGGAAAGTTTCCTGTGATTATTTCTTTGAATATGCTTTCTACCCTTTGCTCTTGCTGAGCTGCCTCCTGAATACCAATAATTCTTAGGTTTGGTCTTTTGAGGTAATTTTCTGTACCTTGTATGCACTCTGTTCCTTTTTGTTCATTTTTCTTTTTTCTCTGTGTCTTTTCAAATAGCTGGTCTTTGAGCTCACTGAATCTTTCCTGTGCTTTGTTCATTCTACTAAGAGCCTCTAATGAGTTCTTCAGTTTATCAAATGTATTTCTCAGTTCTGAGATTTCTGTTTGATTTCTTAAAAGTATTTCAATCTCTTCATCAAATTTATCTGATAAATTTCTGAATTGCTTTTCATTTTTATCTTGAGCTCATGAGTTTCCTTAAAATTGTTATTTTGAATTCTTAGCTCACAAATCGCCATCTTGTAGGGTTGGATTTTCCCTTGTCTTTTTGGGGAGGTCCTGTTTGCTATTGTTTCTTGTGGGTGGGTGTCTGTGTCTTTGTATAGAAGGATTAGTTTTAAATTGCAGTTTTCTCTGTCTGGCTTGTTTTGTTTTTTATTGGATATGTTTGCTTAGAAATTTTTTACCGCTAGGCCTCTGCCACCTCTTTGGCGCTAGGTGGCCTTTAAGCCCAGATCACCTTGGCTCTCGTAAGCGATGGGAGTGCCGCTTGTCCTGAATGAGGGATTATCCTGGCAATGTGGGATGGCTGACTAGGAGTTTGTGCCCAAGGGATCTGTGGAATGTGCCTTCTCCAGTGTGGTGCTGCTGAACAGCCACTCTGATTCAGTGTCTCCTTTGGCCAAGTTACAGAGCAGAGTGTCCAGGACTGGGGTGGTGGTCCCATCTCCCGGCTTTTTCTCCGCCTGTCCTCGGGGATATTTCTCCCTTCAGAGAGTCACATCACTTCCTTCCCATGGGTTAAGGCAAGGGCAGGTCTCCTGCAGGGAATCCCAGGAAGGTGGGAAAGCTGGTTGGCCACCTCAGTCTCACTTTTCCAGTATCATTTTTCTACGAGTTGGGGGAAGATTTTCTGCACTTTTATTGCCGGGCAGAATCAAGGGGAGGGGCATCATGACTATGGAAGTCCAATTCTTACACCATCTGCATGGAGTTTTTCTACTTTTCTGTGGCCTCAGGATCTGTCTCGTCCTCATATTTGAGTTCCAGGTTGTTGCTGGTGAAAATCTTGTGCTGTATATTTGTTTTAGGTTTTCTGTGGAGGGATGGGAGGAGGGAAACCAGCTTGCTTCTGTGCCACCACTTTAAAATGAATGTCACAAGTTCTGCTTTAAACAATATTAATAAATAACAATTATTTTCACTCTATAAATAGCTGCTCTGTCTCATCTCAGATGCTTTGTGATGGAGAGCAGGGAGATCCCATCCCAGCTTAGTAGACAAACCTAAGGAACTGTTGTAGCCATCATGGTTTTCTTTTACCTTTTCTTTTTGTGGAGGAATGATGATGATAGTGTCTGGCTTTCTTTTTGTTTATTTTGTTTTTTTTAATCTTCAAACATTTAAAATTACTAAAGTAAATGTTTGCTTTTTCTTCCTTCTTTCCTCTTTACTCTGAAATGAAATAACATGAAAATGGGAGATAATTATAGAAAAGTATGAATATCTATACCTAGACATGATTAAATATACTTTATTTATCTTCTGCAGTCAGATACAAAACAAGAGAAATGACACTAAGAGGGAGAGATGACTGGCTGCAAAAGGCAGAGACCTTGAAGTCCTGTCTCTTCTAGTCATTGTTTTACCATCTTCGGAGAACTCACGCAAGTCCCCAAGCCTCACTTGGTCTACAAAATGAAGAGTTCAGAAAAGATAATTTCTGAGATTCTTCCACAAAATTCTTTGATTCAGGCTAGGAAGCTATCTGTTGGAAGTAAAATGAAGCTGATTTTGGTACATAGTAACGATTAGAACATGGGTTTGGCTAGATTTGAATTCCATTCAAATCCATTGAATTTATGCCTCAAGAGTTTCTTAGGCTCCCCATGTCTCTCTCTCCTTATATGCAAATGAGGGTAATAATACCCATACCATAGAGCTGTGAGGATTAAAAGAGATTGAGAATTAGCTAAAATCCGATATTTAAAATTAGAACGCATCATATGACTATGATTGACATTTCATTTGAGGTACTTAGTCTGCTATTTTTGAGTTCTTAAAGTTTTTTTAAAAAATGTATGTAAGGGCCTTAGTGTTGGGTTCATGTTTCCAGTGTTCCCAGAAACAATGCCTATCCTTTGAAAGTTGGTGCCTTAAGATGCCTCTGGAATTGACATTTAAAGTAACCCAGAAGCTTGTTCTCATACAGATATTTTTATTTTAGTAAAGGAAAAGCGACATTGTATCTTCCCTGTTACATAGAAAATGTTGATTTCAGGTAAAATTTAAATAAAAATGTATTAATAGCTTCTAATGACCTTTGCCTATGAAGAGACAAAAATAAAACTTAAATGTTCATAATTTGTGTAAGTTATAAAGCACTTAATGAATATGTTATTGTTGTTGATATACAATACCAAAGTAACCAAACTTCTCTGTCAATTACCTCAAGGCCAAACTTAATGACAATTTTATGATTTTCTTGCACTTACTATTTTAATACTTTGCTATAGAAAGACAGTGATTAAAAAAGTAGGACTGAGTTGCCAGAGCAGGTTTTCTTTAGTTTATTTACTTTTTTTTTTTTAAGCTAAAACTTGCCTTCTCAACTGTTTTGGCCTTTAGAATTGGCTATTCAGTTTTTTGTTGCTTTCTTTTCATAAGCTCAGCAGATTGGTCTCTTTCAATTCTTAAGAAGTTCTCAAGACTTTGCCTTGAAATCCTGGGCAAGATAGAATTGGAGGAGAGTACTGTATTAGCAATCTTTTGGATGGAAAACAAGATAGAAAATGAAGATAAAGCAGAAATCTGTACCTAAAACCCAAAATAAATATACCCAAATATCTTTGTAATTATATTAGTGTTATAAAAATGTAGAGGCTAATAGAAAAATTAAGATGATAAACCATCAATATTGTTTTTACTTTTCGAGCCCCTGAAAAGTAAGGGCTGATAGTATGTACACGGGAAAGGAAATGCCATGCTTATTTCAAAGCCCTAAACAGAATTCTGGTGCATGTCTTCCTTTGGACTGTCAGCACATATTTGCAGACTAGTGGCAGTGGTGGCGCAGCCCAAGGATCGAATTTGCAGTACTACCATTGGTGGCCATTTAATAGGTAGAAGATGGATGTACAGAGAGAATAGTTGGAGATCTGTGTGCACATTTCCAAAGAGATTGGTATACGGGAGAATGTTACTGTTACTTAAGATGTCCTCTGCAGTTTTATAACTAGCCTGGACTAGTCTGTTATGGTTTGAAAGCAGATTAAAGCTATTGGACAGATTTGATATGTTCTTACACTGGTTCATTACAGTGAAGGGAAGCAGACATAGGGGATTACTTTGTGATGAATTTCAGTTCTGCTGACTTCATTGAATTGATTGAGAGCTAAATTAAACATTTTAACAGTTGTAAAAGTACTGAAAAGATTAATACTTGAAGCTCTCCAGGTCTTAGAGTTTATCAGATATCTTGTATATGTAGGGATGAGGCAGCTGTATAACAAGTTGTAGAGTATAGAAGGATCTGGTGAATTAAGAAAATAGAACATGTAAGATGAAATCTAAACAGTATATTTTAGAGGCCTATACTATCCAATCCTTTTTAAAAAGTCAGGAGTCAATTATTCATTGTTTGCTTAATGAAATCTTGATAGCATTTGCTAACTCAGTGGTTCTAAAGTAAGTCCTGGAGTTAAAATGAAATAAGGCCTTATTGATACATTTAAATGGCAAACAGTATTTAGGCAAATATTATAAATATCTGTATATTTATATCTATTCCTAATATCCTAATTCAATACCTCTCCTCTATGAAATAGAAAGCAGTTTTGTGCTATTGCATGAGCAATGCAATATTTATTTCCCACCTTGCAATGAAAACTGTTGATTGTTTGCTCTTCACAGGTCACTGACAAGGAACAGGAGTTTGCTGCCAGGGCTGCAAAACAGCTCGAATATCAGCAATTAGAAGACGATAAACTTTCTCAGAAATCATCTAGCAGTAAACTCTCTCGGTCTCCATTAAAGATTGTCAAAAAGCCTAAAAGCATGCAGTGCAAAGTGATACTTCTCGATGGATCAGAATATACCTGTGATGTAGAGGTAAGTGTGTGTCTTAAGACTTTTCTGTCCTAGATATTGAGAGCTGGGGAATGTTGGTATAAAATATACAAGATGCCTCTTTATTTTTCTAGGACTCTGGAAAATTACTCAAACCCAGTCTCTAAATATAAAATTATTTCCCTAGTCTGTAACAGGGGATCAGATTAAAAATATGTATAATGTCCCAAAATGTTACAATCAAAAGTAAACTGTGACCTTATATTTTTTAAAAGACAAAGTCTCCAACAATATGGTAGGAACAAAAAAAATTTTGAAAGCTTTAAAAATAGACTTTAATATCCTGACTGCGAGCTATTATTTACATGAATTTTATCCTTTTTTGCATAATTTATGGCCATGTCACTTGTTACTTGGTAGAAAACTTACAAATTCTGTACATAGGGGTGGTGGGATAATTTGAAAATGTCCATGACCTTTTCTTGCTTGGAGAATGAGTAATTTTTAAAAGACACGTTGTGGTGGGCATTGTAGTTTCGGTGTAAAAGGGTATACCCTTTGTTTTTCTTTGTAAAGAAAACAGATTCCTCTCAGAGAAAGGGCGGTTGAATGCCTTTTGTCAGAGATGTTTGTCAAGACCAAATTAGCAGTTGAGAACACAACCTGTCTGGAACTGCAGAGACAGCTGACTGTTGAGTTCTCTGAGTATCAGGGAGGATTCACGCAGGGCATGAATTCAGGCTCTATGAGCAGGTCTGTGTGTGCACCAAGATGGAATGGCTTGCACTTTTAGCAAGGTTTCAGATGCCATGTCTTCATTCAAAGAGCTCATTCTTCCTGCCTCCAGCTCCTGCCCTTGTCATAAAGAGGGCAGGGTATCACACACATCTCCAAGCCAGCCCCTCTCCCCCTTCATTCCACTGTGCTTTCAGAGTCCACCCTTTCCTCAGGCTTGTGCTGAGACTCTGTCCCAGGCAGCACAGGCAGTGCACACATGTGTGTCCTCACATATTTCTCTTCCTCGTCCCTCATGACAGCTAATACCAAGCCCACCTATTTCCCATGTTCCCATTTACTCTGCTTCCTCTGTCTCCCAACCCCCATATCATTCCTGTTATGTTTTTATAATGTGCTCATGCACCCAGTGTTTTTCTTGGAACAGAAGATTCAAATCCATTTCACGCTGAATTCATTTAGGATGGGGATGAGAGGTAGGTTACTAAATTGTTACAGATTGCAGGAACATAGAAAAAAGTCTATATGGTTTTTGAAAATAAAGTCTTACATCAAAAATTATTTAGTCTGTTGTATACCAATTTATAGAAAATTTAGTCATCCAGTATCCTTATAAACATGGATGGGCTGCTGCAGGAATCCCCAAGGACCGTGCACAAAACTATTTCTTGCCTTTTTCTGGCTTTGATTTTGTTTCATTTCTTAGGCCAGCGTGTCCAATTACTCATCTAGATCTGAATTCTGGAAATAGGCAGCTCCAGTAATATACTTCTAGCTGGGTTTTACTATGAAACTTATGGAACTTTTGTAACCTTGAGAAATACTGTATTTCTTCAGTGTAGATGCATTTTCTGGAAAAATTGATCCAAGTCAAGAGAAACTTTTCCTCTTAACTTTGAGGAGAGTCTTTCTATTTTTTGCATTTATGTAATGGAATAAATAGGGTAAACTGGCAGTCTTCGAGTCCTAGCTATCAGAGTCTTCCAAGAGTCTAGAAGAAAGTTTATAGTGTTTCACATAGAGAGGATAATGCCTTAGGGCTGACCGAGGTACAAGTATTGTTGAACATTTTGTCAGATTTAATTTATGTCTGTGCTTCAGATTCATTACTGATAATCACTGTGGTTACAAATTTTTTATTTTTTACTTACCTTTCTTTTAATGTCACTGTGAACATTCTGAGTGGCACAGCAAACTTGGCCAGTTATTTTCTTCTATAATAAATTATTTTTATACATTTGACAGATTCTTAAGAGCAACTTTTTTCTGGGATATAAAAACTTTTGCTGGTAGAATTTTTTTCAGTTTCACCACAGACATTGATATCAGAAAATACATGTTCACGGCTGACATCTTTGTGAAGAAGATGGAGAAATTTGGACATGGTAAAGTTCAGTGGATTAATTTGTAACCGATTGGTTGAATGAGAAAAATGTATTGTAAATCAAGCAGAGTGATTCTCAAGGAGGCAATGAGGTGCTAGTTGAAAAATAAAAAACATGTTACAATGGCTCTTGCGTTTTGATATAAACAATGGAAAGTAAAGTTTGGCTGGTGAGCTACACACGGGGCATACTAGGTAAACAGAGAAGGGGAAGCATAGGCCAGGGAAGGTGTGCTTCAGTGTTGGCTCTCCTTGAAACTGAATCTGTATCAAAGACTTGACGAAGGCACAGAAACACAGCTGAACAATTATTTTTAAGCAATGTAGAGCTTTAAAGCCTATATTGCTTATTTAAAGAGATTGATGCCCCAAGTGTCAGACTCCAGTTTTATTATGAAATGGACAGTGTGGGACGCTGAAGCAAAGCAGGAAAGCTAACATTTAGCAGGAGTGGAGGTAAAACTTTACTCTGATAAAAGGGATCAAGTACAAAATGGAAATGTGTTTGCGAGAGGGGCAGTCAGCCTTGGTAACAATTTGAGTAAAACTCATCTTCAGCTTTAAGTTCATTACAAACTCATCGTGAACCAACAGTGTGTTACAGTTGTCAAAACCATTTTGTAATCACAGGCTGTTTCCGTGGAAGCATAGTGTTAGGTTTGCAGAAGGCAGCGAGCCATCCTGTTTCCTGCGTTGCACAGATCCAGCCTTCAGGGCTGTGTTTCAATCACATGCGATAAATGCTCTGAAGCCACCGGACTGGGGAGGGCTAATGGTAACCCATGTGGTTTCAAGGAACTTCCTTAAAGTTTCTGAACCTAGGTTTCCTCAACAGAAAGATGAAGGTGAAAATACTTGCCTCGAAAGGCATTGTTGAGAAGATTAGAGCAACTAATTTATTTGAACACTTTCTGGGATGTGGCATATTCTTAATAAATGGTCCCTGTTTAATAATGATAATACGAACAATGGACTTTGACTTGAGCATATTCAGCGAGAATTATAGGATGGTGAATGATCTGGAAGCTTTCATATGAGGAATGGTTAGAGAAATAGGATGTGTTAAATATGAAAAAATAAGATTGGTGGAGGATAGGAAAGCTATTCTCAGTTAATTGGAAAGGTGGAGACTGAAGGGTTATCATAACTTTTATGTATAAAAAGAAAAACTAAGGTAGCAGTTATAGGAAGTCAGATTGTAAGTTAAAAGGAAAATAATGTCTTTAATGATCGCTGTCAACCTTGTGATGATGTACGCACTGCCTGGGAGGGTTCCCGTAGAAACTGTAGGTGCAATTATGGAAGCCACTGATTCCTCAGATGCTGCCTCAGACCATATCACATCCAATGCCCCTTCCTACTACCACTCATGGACAGAAGAGACATGCAGACACAAAGAAACCAGACTGAAAGAGGTGGAATTGTTTCCCTAATCCCTCTCTCCAATATGTGTAGTTACAGATGAATTAAGAATGAAGGCGATGATAACAGATGAAACTTTTTTTTTTGCATTTAATAAGGCATCAAAAAGAGCATTTTATTTTCATAAAATTGTGATGTTTTTCTCCATGGCATATTGAATGCCTTCATCACGTCAACTTAAAATCATTAAGGCTCAACTGTGCCATGACGGTAGCATGAGAATTTATAGTCACCTGTAAAAGACTCCCTGGCAACACACCTCCACACACACACATGTGCACACACAAGGCTACAGTGGGAGAGACCCATCGACCCAGAAAGCAAGATAGAAGGAGTAGTTATCTGAGAGCAATGACTAAACACTTACTGCCTGTTTGATCCCCAACATCTCCCCACCGATGTTTCTATGCTAGCCTTTTCAGATCGTGCTTTCTCTAACTTCCTTCTAGCAGTTGGCTTAGATCATTGTAGTGTTCAGTGCTTTTCCATTTGAGAGATTTTTTTTTTTTTTTAGACAGAGTCTGACTCTGTTGCCCAGGCTGGAGTGCAGTGGCGCGATCTCGGCTCACTGCAAGCTCCGCCTCCCATGTTCACGCCATTCTCCTGCCTCAGCCTCCTGAGTAGCTGGGACTACAGGCGCCCACCACCACGCCCGGCTAATTTTTTGTATTTTTAGTAGAGACAGGGTTTCACCACGTTAGCCAAGATGGTCTCGATCTCCTGACCTCGTGATCCACCCGTCTCGGCCTCCCAAAGTGCTGGGATTACAGGTGTGAGCCACCACACCCGGCTGAGAGACTTTCCTCACTAATTTTTTTTCAAACTCAGTCTTGATTATTTAAAATATAAGAAAAGATCTTATTATAGCGAACTTGATATATATTTTTGAGAAATATTTACACTCTGCCAGATTTTCATGTATGCCAACAAAATCACTATGTGATTCTCCTCTTGTTGTACTGTTAGAGAATGCAAACAATGTCCTTCAGCCAGTTTGTTATTGTTGTTGATGCTTATTTCTCAAACTACATTTTAAAAGAGAAAATAAATAAAAATATCTCTGTTCCATGCAATGGAGGTAACAGTCCTCTCACTCATCTCATTTATTTTCATTTTGCTGCTTCCATGTTTGGCAGACTGATTGGAGTCTCACTGATTAGTGTACAGTGTATTCGTAGTGACTATCGAATTAGGACTTTGCTTTCTCTATTTGGGCACCATTCTAATCTAGTATGATTTTGTTTTAGGAAAATAAGTCAAGCTTGATCTCAAATTTCGGTCCATATTTCATAAGATAGGTTTGCTGCTGCATCTATCAAATGTTTAAGCCATTGTGTGGTGCAGTTTGGTTTGTTTCCCCAAAAAGCCCTGTTGGTGGAGGTGTCCAGAACATTACTCTAAGAGTGGTAGGTGTTACTCAAAGGGCCCTGCCATGTTTCTCTCCTCATGTGAAAGTCAGTTTATTTAGCCCCTAAATATTGCCAATTCAATAATGAGGGCAATTTACTGCTTATAGGACCCAGGTACATCCATGCTGGGCTAGTATTCCAGGGAAACATGCCAGCGAATGGGCCACACTGGAGAGAGATTTGCCTCCAGATTGGGGCAAATCAATGAGAGCAATTTAAATGCAGCCATAACACATAAAAATCTGGCCCCTAGATTACTTAGAGCTTGTCTAGTGGCCTGTAGTGGAATGGGCTCAGTAACTGAGGACAATTTAGATCCCTCCAGGATAGGCCTGGAATCTGAAGTACAGAAACGGTCATCTTGACTCCAACAAGCATTGTTTGAGACCATCCAGAGATGCTTGTAAGGGACCAGAGAGGATAAGGAAATTTATGGAAGTATGTTTCTAAGATGCTTTTGTTACCTTCTAACTATTGGTCAGTAAGGGACGGTTAAAAACTTGCCTAATACTCTGTCTTGCCTGTGATTCAGTTAATTGTGTAAATCTTACACTGTTTTATGCTGTACTTATTGAGATTCAACATCGTAGCCTTCCAACTTCTATAGGTTACATGATTAAATTTTTTCCAACCCCTTTAGAAGTGCTTGACCAGAGAGCAAATAGAATTGCCATAATGTAGAAAGTTAGAGTACCTTTTGCTTTTCTTGAATTACAAGAATATTAATTGTAAACCATAAAAATAAGGACTGTTTTAAACCAATACAGGTATTGTTCATTCACCAAACACATAAATCACAGAGCTTTTGATTCCACGTAGCTCTGTAAGTTTCCAGTTTAACCTATAACATGCCACCCTCCTCCATGGATCTCTGCTCAACTGAAGAACTTACATCAAACCATCCATCGCGTGCTGTAACCAAATGGCCCCATCCAGCAGCAGCAGTAATTTCCTGCTTGAAGAATGATGCCTCTAGGACTCTGGAGGATGGAAGGACTTTAATTAACGTTGTTTCCTAGTGTGATAGCTCTTTGGTGCAACCATAGGAACAGTTACATACAGGGACTGTTAACATGCAATGTCTCATTTACACAATTACCATTAAATCTTACGGTATTGACATTTGTCTCAATAAGGTTTCATTAAAACAGACTGTTTACTAAAACTGTTAAATCCATTTTCCTGGTTTTCATTTTTAAAAAGTAATAAACTTTAATAGTCCATCATGAGTGTAGACAAGGCCTAATAAATATTCTAAACAATATAAATATTAAAAATGTGAGTGTATATATCAAGAAATATAAACAGTAGGAGTCCTATTTCATCATACTGTAGGCTGTGTTTTGGAAGCTGAGTGACTTTGGAACTTGAGTGCCTACGTGCGTTCGATGGTCGATGCTCTATGTGAGATAAAATCCACTAAGGCATTCTTTTTGCTAACTCCCAGTCACTCCCAGTTGTCACATTGTGTGAAGGCCTAACAGGATTCATTTCCCAAATGTTAGTATTCTGACATCGTGATGCTGAAGCCCTAGGTTTGCCTTTTCGTGCAAAGCTAACTCCTTTGAGTCTTCAGGCTTCCAGTGTGTTTTATGGCCACTTTGTGTTGCTGATGTCATGAAATGGACTTTCCTTCCCTATGCCCAGGCAGAGGGACTCACAGGTAAACGCTCTGCTCCATCGTCTTGCCTGTTTCAGAGGACAGTATCTTATCTCTGGATTTTGTACAATACTATGGTTAATTTTTCACATAGTAGATATACATGACTTACTGGTTTAATGCGGAAAGCAGTCTTCCAAGTCTGAAAATATTCCAAGTTTTCTAGTTTTCACCATCCTGTGACTAAGATTTCACGTGATACTTCATATTTTTATCTCCAGTTGACTTGCTTGAAGTTCACCTCTGTCAGAATCTTCCCTAGCATGATTCCCGAGAGTTTTCCCATGAGCTGTGGAAGAAGTCCTTTAAATTTCCTTACTCTGCGTGTGGCTTTAGTGCCACAGAGCCCTGTGAGATGGTGACTTGGCCACTCAGAATTGCCACTGACACCTTTCCCTGGGTTCAGATGGCGGTGCTGCCCTTTCAACTGCTTCTTCAGAAAGAAAGCAAGCTTTCCCTAATTCCCCATAGCATACTTGAGTACAGCCTTTAAGGACAGACAGTATAACAGAAAGCACACCGGCTACATCATGTAGCCTTTGTAGGAGTCGTAGAGCTCCTGATCAATGTCTTCCTGCCTGACGCCCACTCTGCTCCTGCATGGCAGGTACCAGCTCACACCTACTGTAGGATGCTACCCTTTCTACTCCTCAGAGTCCAGGCCCCCAGTCAGCTCTAACCTCAGGGAGAAAAGGAAGCTTCCCACTTTAGTCCAAGGCATTCCTTATTTACTTCCTCAGGAAAAGAGTCTTTCCAGCATGGTAGACTTCAGCCAACTCCTTGGGTGGCTACAGTGGCCTCCCATCTGCACAGGTTTATCTGGTGCCCCATGACCCCAGTACAGGACTGTCTGCTACCAATGCGCTTTACCCGACTTCTTTCTAGAAGTAGATCTATACTTATAATTTCCAAAAATCCCTTAAGGTGTAGTTTCTATCAGGTACACCTTTAGCTTGTCTGAGCCTACTTCCTCAGCAGTTCAACGAGGTAGGAGACAAGGTTATTTTCATTGTCCCTTCCGGACATAAGTCTGTTTGACTGTATGGCAGAGGCAATCTCACATCTAACCTTAAGCCTTTGCCTCATTTGGTCTTCATTAAAATCTTTGCATTTTCTAGAATGCATTGATCAATTTGTGCATTATAAGCACTGAACTATTTTTTTTAACAAGAGTGAATCCTTTGGGTTTTAATTATTATTTGTCTTAATGCATGTTGGTTTTTCTTCTTTACAATTTTAATCCATAAAACATGTTACCACATTGTGTACAAAAGATACCAAAGAGCTGTACTCATTTTGCAGGGACTTTAATGTAAAGTTTTGCTTGGGCGCTTGTTACATTCCAGGCACTGAAGACCAAATGAGCCAAAGGCTTGAGCTTATGTGTGAGATTGTCTTCACCATAAAGTCAAACAATTTTATATCTGGAAGGGACATTGGGAATGACCTTTTCTCCTGCTTTGTTTCACTGGTGAGGAAATAGGCACAGGGAAGCTAACAGTGTGTCTGAGGACACACAGAGAAAGGCTAGAACCCAGATCTCCTGCTCTCTGTTTCAGAGGTCTCTGCACTACAGAATTAAAACATGCAAAGTCAGCCAGACACGGTGGCTCACGTCTATAATCCCAGCACTTTGGGAGGCCAAGGCGGGTAGATCACGAGGTCAGGAGTTCAAGACCAGCCTGGCCAACATGGTGAAACGCTGTCTCTATTAAAAATACAAAAATTAGCTGTGCATGGTGGCGCATTCATGTAATCCCAGCTACTTGGGAGGCTGAGGCAGGAGACTTGCTTGAACCGGGACCCGGGAGGCAGAGGTTGCAGTGAGCCAAGATTGCGCCAGTGCACTCCAGCCTGGGTTACAGAGCAAGACTCCATCTCAAAAAAAAAAAAAAAAAATTCATTCTACAACAGCAGAAGGAACGATCCAAAGTATAGTATTTGTCTCCAGCGTGGACTTGTGTTTTAGTAGTGTCACAGGATCTTTCGGACGTTCCTTTTCCAGCCGGAAGCCTCTAGGGCGGGTGGCGCCTATGCTTGATTTTTGCTCAGGCCCATTGGGCTCATTCCGCCCACTCGACTTGCAGGCTGCAGTTGGCTCATGCTACTGGCCCAGATCCCACACCTGTCAAGGGCAAGCCAGGTGTGGAGTGATGATCGGTGCATGAGCAAGCAAGTGCGGGGTCCAGCCACTACACACAGCCAGGCATACACACAGCCAGGCATGCTGGCTGCTATGGCGGGGCAGACAGCTCCAGGCACTGGCACAGGCACCAGCTCTGGGCAAGCCTGCGGCTGGATCGGATGCACTGGAAACAACTTCTGCTGTGGGTACCCATGTCTGGACAAGGGGAACGCAGTGACACCCGGAAGCTTGGAGATGCCAGAAACCACAGACCCCCCAAAGAGGATGTCACAGCCCTGGCTCAGGGAGGCTCTAGGTCTGGGCTCCCAGAAGGGGTGCAGCCCTTCTCTCCTTCTTGTCACCCCCAGTGTGGCGAGGAATAGGGATGGGGTGTTTCAGCCCTGTGTGTGTTACAGCTTTTTCAGTTATGCTTTTCAGCAGTTCCTGAGTTCTTGTTCCATGTGCAGGAAGAATGAGGTACGTGGGCAACTGGATGGGGAGCAGGACAAAGAGGTGCTTTATTGAGTGACAGTACAGCTTTCAGGAGACCTGAAGTGGGTAGCTCTTTTTCCTCTTTTTGTTTTTTGTTTTTTGTTTGTTTGTTTGTTTGTTTGTTTTTTGTTTTTTGTTTTTTGAGATGGAGTCTCTCTGTCGCCCAGGCTGAAGTGCAATGGCATGATCTCAGCTCACTGAAATCTCCACCTCCCAGGTTCAAGCGATTCTCCTGCCTCAGCTTCCCAAGTAGCTGGGATTACAGGCACATGCCACCACGCCTGGCTAATTGTTTTTGTATTTTTAGTAGAGAGGGGGTTTTGCCATGTTGGCCAGGCTGATCTCGAACTCCTGACCTCAGATGATCTGCCCGCCTCTGCGGGTAGCTCTTTTCACAGGCAGGTTATCCCAATGGGTGCAGCTGTCAGCGGAGAGCAGTCCTGGAGTGGGTAGCTCCTGTCTGCAGGCCGGTCATCCTGTCGAGTGTGCAGCCCTCAGAGGAGAGGAGACTGCCATGGGCAGCTCCTGTCCCCTAGCAGGTCATCCCAAAGTCTGTGAGTCTGGCTGAGTCTAGTTTTTATGGGCTTCAGAAGGGAGGAAGTACGTGCTGACTGGCCCACCAGCAGCCATGGGCAGGCCTGGAAAAAGCACCGTAAGTTATCACTCAGGGGGCCGCGGACTCCACCTGGAACTGAGAGCCTGGCCCACATGTTTCAGACCATCCCTAGCTGGAGGGTGGGACTTCACCAGGGACCCACCCCTTTCTGCCAGGAGCCTGCCGGCCTCCTGTCACCATCTACATGTCATCCAGGGTGCCCAGGCTATTTGTGCTGAGGGGCACCTGCAGGCCTGTGCCAAGCTGCCCTCAGTGTCCCCCTTAGCCTCCTTCCCATGCTTGTTGGCACAAAGTCTGGAGGGGTCCGAGGCAGCAGGGGACTTGAGTGTCAGCACCACCTCAAGTGCATGTACACCTGCCTGGGTCATGACAGCCCAGGCTCAGCCACAACTTTGCTCTGAAATTGGAGTGGGTGCCCAGAACAAGGAGAAGCCAGGCAGTGGGAGCAGGCACTTACAAGCCTGTAGGGGCAGGGGGGTTCCTGTACCCCTGAGAGTGCAGGGATGCCCAAATCCACAGCTGCAGCTGGGCAGGAAGGTGAGGCTCCCACCTGTTCCTGGCTCCTGCCGGCTCTGTGGAGCGTGCAGTCTTGGCCGCGCCTCCCCTGCTACAGCTGGTGTCATGGCAGCGGCCACTCCAGTCAGGCCACCACTGCCATCGATAGGAAGAAAAAGGAAACAGAAGGAGAAGGATCTACTTCACAGTTTATGAAGCTGAGAAAATTAAGTTTCTGATTACCTCCTGTATTTGTAATTCTGTACACTTTTGACTTCAAAATTGGTGAATTTTTCTAATTTAACTTATATATGTAGTTTTTGGGTAGATAGATGGAAGAGAGGCTACTAAAGTCTTTACCTACTATTCACTTTCTCCTATTTTCTTCACTTGCCGTCTTCTTGTGGCTGGAAGTCTTTGAAATCTTGAAGTGCATCTGCAGTGGACGCTGTAGTGGGTATCCCGTTTTAATAAACAGGGCAGCTTGGCTCTAGGCCTGCAGTGGATTAATCAGGAGAAAAGGGGCTCAGATCCTGTTGAAGAGAAACAGGTTTAGTCAGTGGGCAGAGTATCATCCCCTTAAGTTTTCTTAAACCTAATTTCTAAAAATGACTGCTAAAGCTCTGGTTTATACTCTCATGATTATACTGTCCCATGAAATAAGCTACTATGTAAAGAATAAAGCTTCGAAGCAATGCATTTTGAGTGAGAAGAGGAAAATAGCTGGAAAGATATAACATAGGAAGTCTTCAGAGTGGTGTATGGAACAAGTTTCAAGGCTCGACAAAGCTCTTTGCCTTCATATAGAATGATTATAAGCAAGTTCTATAGTTATCACATCATCTAGCTTAAAGTGGAAAAGTGAGTCAAACCTGGGGACCCTAACCTTCCCTTCTGGAGAGAAACAAGTTGCACCATCTAGTGATTCTTTTTCAATTTTCCTGATCAATTGCCAGTTTGTTTCATAATTACAGCATTTCCCCCGTGAAAGGCAGGTTATAATTTTCAGGATTGTAGCTTATCTCCCCTTAGTTAGCATTTCAATTCATGCCTTCCTTTTTGTGGAAGTACTGCTGGCCCTTCAGGAAGTTTAGGAAGCAGGCTGCTGTCATCAGCCACAAGATTAGAAATCTTTTCATAGGTGGATAATATCCTAGGAAAAGTTTCTACATGATGGATAGTCACTTGAGTTTTTGATCATCTCTTTTTTGGTTAACTTCCATTTCAAAGGAGGATGTCTTTTAACTTTGTCTCCATATTCTGAGGCTTATCAACAGCATCTATGAGCACTTTTTGACACAGAGTTGAGGTCTGGTGAAAACACAAGTTCTTAGAGTTGAAGGAGAACACAAAGTCTAGTTCAGCCCTGTAAAATGTGTATGTGATGTGTGTGGCGTGTTGCGTGCATGATTTCCAACAAAATGTGGAAGTAGGTTCAGGGAAGAATGAAATATAGTATGCTGTTGAAGGCCCTGTCGTGGAGACATGATGAAATATTTACTAAGAACCAGCATTCATACAACTACTGACACGCACACTGGCTGATGCAGTCTGAACAGGAAGCGTACACTGGCAGTAATTAGTTTCAGGATTTGGCTAACACAAATGCCCTACAGTCCAGTGTCTGATTGGCATGTGGAGAGAGGTAACACTTTTTTGACTTTTATCACAAAAGGAATATGGTGCTATTCGTTTGAAAAAAGTTTTTAAGTTAAAAGGAGATATTAAAATGCAGTGAAATACCTTTTGTGGTTTTACTATTTTTATGATATTGTTAATTTTTTGCAGCAGAGGAGTAAGGGAAAATCTGGCATTGTTGTATTTCAGTCCAATGTTGTTTGCTGTTTGGAAATGGCAATTACATAATTCAGTGGGAAATGGAAAAAATGATAATGAAATATAGAGAGGAAAATGCTCTGCCTAAAGGTTACATACTGATATTTGATAGTTTTTTTCCTACTTTTTTTTTTTTGTTGGTGGTGGTAATACATATGGATCACTCACCCCCAGACTGTTAAAAATGTGTGCTTAAAACTCAGAATGTAGATACCCTAACAGTTGAATATCTGAATATCTACAGGAATTTCATGAATTAAATGAGACTGGAGGATTGTTAATATGGTAGAAAAGTTCTCCCATTCCACTCCATAAAGAATTGATTTTTGAACTTAAGAATATTAAATTTTAGGAGGCAGCACATCAACTATTCATCCCCAGAAGTCCTCAGTTGTCTTATCTGTGAAGTGGAGCTCACAGGGTTGTTGTGAGTGATAGAGAGAGTGAATGTTATGTCTGCAGGTGCCAGGGACCTTTTTTGGGTCTGCAGTGGCTGGCAAATTTGAAAGGTTCTTTAAAGTTATGGAATTTCCACCCCATAAAACATATATTCCCTTCTAAGCCTTTGTCTTTAGGAATATAAATATAAAATACCATACAGATTGGTGGGTTTTTAACATGAAAATAGGATCAGAACCTTCATACTATTTAGAGATTTACTTTTATCGCCTAATAATATATAAGACACCGAAAAATATTTCTTAAATCTGAGAATGTAAATGTCTATGTAAATGTGCCTCTCAATTTCTCATTTTTGTTTATTTGTTGTTTAACCTGGAAAGAATAGTATTTGTGTTTTCCCATCAGCTACTCATTAATTTGGCAGTTCTGGAAGTGCTGAACAATTTTATTAAATAAGAATAGGAAGCAACAATTGTGCTTAAGATTGTTTTAAAAACCCACCTACCTAGAAACTGGTAGAATTGAGAAGGTGAGCCGGAAAATGTGGGAAACTTGCTTTTTTTCTCACACTGTCCTGTTTGAACCTGCTGAGATTAGACAGAAGATGTAGCTAAGGTTCTGTTGCTGTTGTGTCAGAAATCAGTAGGTGTTTAACAAGCCTGAATATATTTTGAAAGTAATTACACACACGCCACTTGTGACTTTCAGTGCTTGTCTCTTATCCTGAATGGACTCACATTTTATAGGGAACAAGTAGGTATAGTGTTCCTTGGCTTCAGTAATGAACTCACTCAAATAATGTGGGAAAGTCTATTAAAGAAAGGATCTGAGGAAGTCAACCCTCTTTTTCTTCATCTCTAGTCCCTCGGGACGTTGGCAGAGGACATTCTTTCTAGTTCTGCTATGTCTTCTGATTTCTTACTTAGTAACTCTGAGTGGTGCATTTGAAGAGACTTCATATTGAATTTGATTTCAAGTACCTTTAAAATTACGAGTTATTCTATATTTGCCCTTCCATAGCAAGTATAGGATAAGGTTCTTTTTTGTCTCCTATCATATTTGGAGTTCTATGTTAGTCTGGGTTTTAAAAAAATGACTAGGGACTCAATAGTAGCAGCTGGGAGGAAGGAAAGAGATGGAAAGCGACCCAGCTCACTCATTTTCATGTTGGGACACATCCTCTACTGTCATAGAGGACTTTCTCTTTTGCCCTGAAGAAATTGGGAGTAGCTGTTTGAGGCACGTTTCCTGGATTCTTCTTTCTTTTTTAGGGGCCAGATTTTGAAACAGGGCTGATGTGTAGAAAGCCTGACCACAGATCTTTGGCTGGCTGTAAATACCTTCTTAGGAGTAAAGATTCCTCAGTGGTGGTTCAGATTGTGCATAATGGGTAAGCAGGTCCCCAGTCACCTTGTGGCAGGTAGATATTAATTGTTAGAAAATGTTAGCTGACTATCCCTGTAGAGGTATTTAAGGCAACATAAAATCAAGTAGTATTCACATATTTTAATTTAGTTTAATTCTTTAAATTTCCGGAATAGTTCTAACTATGTGCGTGATATTTATGTAACATTGCTTAGCACTTTCATTGTTGGGGCAGATGAAGAGATGTGAGAGCAAGTGTTGAGTATGTTTGAAACACCATGGGCAGGAAATGAGCTGGAGTGGAAAGCCCTGGGACCCATGGGCAGGAAATGAGCTGGAGTGGAAAGCCCTGGAGTGGAAGGATCGGTTTAGTGTGCTCACAAGGTTGGATATTGTTCTATTGGTATATTGGTTTTCTCTTGTGGCAAAACATCGCGTAAACATAGTGGCCTAAAACAGCACCCGATACACATAGTAGCCTACAACCGCATGTGTTTATCATCTCACGTTTTGCATAGGCCAGGAGTCCAGTGTATGTCAGTTGGTCCGGTGTTCAGGGTCTCAGAAAGCAGAAATCATGTTGTTCACTGACTGCATCCTCATGGAGACACTGGGCTAGGAACAGATCAGCTTCATACTCCTTAGGGTTGTCGGCATAATTCATTTCCCTGTGGTTGTGCAACTGAAGTCCTTACTGTCTTGCTGGCTGTTGTCCAGGAACCGCTCTCAGCTACAGAGTCCACTCTCGAATCCTTCCCATGAGGCTCCTGTAGCACAGCAACATAGAACCTCCCTCACCATGATTTGTCTTCTCAGGAATCTCTGACCTCACCATCGGCAACCAGCTAGAGAAAAGGGCTCACATGATTAGGTCAAACCCGCATGGATAATGTCCTGGTCTTAAGGTCAGCTGTGCCCTCCAGCATCACCTCATCACAGGAGTAGGATCTACTTTATTCACAGTTTCAGGGATGGTGCAGGCATATACACCAGGGAGGAAGGAAAGCTTGAGCCATCTTAGAATTCTGCCTGTCACAATAGGGGATGAGTGCTTCTGAGGAGCTTTATGTAGGGGAGTTATTTGGCTCATTCATGTTTTAAAATGTTCTTCTGTTGGCTAAATAGCAATTGGAGGCTAAGAGAATAGAACAGGGACACTAGTCAGCTCTATTGTAAAGAACCAGGCAGGAGATGCTGAGAACCAGAACCAAGGCAATTGGCAATGAGGTAGAGAGAAGAGAGTAGATTTTAAGGAACTATCCTGAAAAGGAGCAGGCCTGATCAATTGGATATATTAGGGGGATGTGGGTAGTGGTAAGAGCCAGTAACTGATAATGACTTCGAGATTTGTGGACTAAGTGATTGCATAGAGAGTTGTACTACCAATGGATGTAGAATACAAGAGAAAAAGTTTATGGGGGAAGACAGTGAATTTAACTTAGATGCGTTGAATTTAAAGTGCCTGGAATATGAAAGTAGCAATCTACTATTGCAACTGGGTATACTGTTTGTCATTTGCAAGAGATGTCAATTTGGTAGACTTTGTGGGAGCCATTATCTTTTATATGAATTCAAACCTGGCAGTGAATGAGGTTATGCAGGTAGTGAGCGAATGAGCAAGAAGAAAAGAGCCTTAATAACAGAGCTCTGGGGGATACTAACCTTTGAAGTAGGGAGTGGGGACAGCTTTGACAAATCCCCCACCCTCGGGTTCTTCCCCACACCGAACCTGTTTTCCATTTTTGCCCTGTTCCAGCTTATGAGCTGGGAGTACCTGATCCTTTGGGGAAATTGCAGTAGTGATTGTGACCGTATGAGGGTCCATCAAACAGTTCAAAAACAGAGAGTGCGTAGAAAAGCATCCTGATATAATTTTCTAAGTGCCATGCAAGGACTAGAAAACAGGAAGTGGAAGGTTGCATAAGGTACCATTGTGGAGAAATAATTGAGTGTTGTCATGCTCTTTGATTGATTCTTGTGCCTTCTTTCAGTTCATTGCCAGTTCTCCTTTTATTTATTTAATTTGGCTTTTTGCTGTCTTTCATACATTAGAATTTCAGCTGTACAAAGTGGTAAGAACCATAACATTACATGTTTATGAGGACCGACTGATGTCTGATTCTCCTTTGAACAACTTAAGATGAATATTAGAAGTAGCTTTACATCAGCATACTGCATAATTGTGATTTTTAAGGTACCATTATTAAAAAATGTGAAGAGTGGTGTGATTCAGAAAGTTCTCTTAAATGTTTATCTGAAATTAGAAAAAAATAAACCCTTTAAGTGTAGCCTCCAGCATTTTTCTAGTTTGGGGCTGTAATAATACCCTGCTCTTACCTTCTGGCCCTGGCAGGAGGCATCTGGTGCTGAACTATTGGTCTCACTCCCTCTCTGCACAGCAGAGAGGCAAAGGATTCTTTTTTTCTCTTCCATTTTGTGGCTTGTTATCGACCAGCCAATGCACCTTAAGCTTTTTATTTATTTGTTCTGTAAGGGGTCACAGACTTCCAGTTGTGGGAGTTTTTTGTTGGAACAAATAACATTTCCATCAATAAAGTTAGCTTCCTAGAACTTGCTGTCATGATTTCCCTTGTCAGATTGCTATTGTGGATATTTTCTTTCTGTATAAATAGAATTTAGGATCTTCCTGTTGCTTCTCTTGCAAGACTGACCTATTTTGTTAGCATTGCCTAGTGACTGTTTCCTATAATCTAGGTCAAGGATAAGTCTACCATAGGCAAATCAAAATGACCAGATTAGATATTAATTCATGAAATGCTTTGATTGGTGCAGGTTTCTTCTTGTCAATAAACAAGATATCTTTGTTGTATAAGAATGTATCTGTTCAGCATGACAGACAGCTGTGTTTAACATGTATGTACATTTGGAGTCCTTTTCTAATAAGCACATGAGAAAATTCTAAGTCCTATTTGCACTTAGGAATGCACCTCATTTTCCCTGCTGCTGCTTATAGACATAAGTGATGGTTTGCAGACGCACAGGCAGCATAAGGAATTGGTTCTTGTTATGGTGTTTGGAAAACTGGAAGGAATACAGAGACTTGTTATTTTTTATGGAATGCCATGGTGACAGCAAATAAAGTCACTAAAGAGGCACCACATTCCTTAGGGAAATGCCATTAGACTGAGCTTGTAAAACACATGAATGGTTTTAAATGATTACCCCAAGCAAAATGCTCCAGTTAATGTCTCCAGTTATTCCTTTAGAAAAAATACTGCCCAGACGTCACGACTTACAAAACTTTCTTTAATAGTATGATGACTGCAAATTCCTCATGATAGGGGGGAAAAAAATAAAACACCACCACCAGAACTGGAAATGTAATATTTCAAAAGTGAATTTTACTTTAACTTGGGGTTTCTATTATTTAAACCCCACCGTGTTCTAGCAAGGACTTAGGCTGTTTTACATAAATGCACCCAGTATAACAAAGAGAAAATAAATATGTAGAAAGCGGACCAAGAGAAAATGAGAGTAGGAAGCCAAGCATGAGGTTAATCCACAAAATGCATGTTCTGAGATCTCTAACAGGCACAGAGGAGGAAGCCTCAACCCGGTGTCCATGCCACAAAAACAACTTGGTAGGTGAAAAGAAGTGAGTTTATTCCAGGGCCAGTTTAAGATTAAACTCTCTACTGCAGCTCTCTGATAGCTTATTCAAGGAGTGGACTATGAACAGCCATCAGAAACATCTCACTGATTGTTCTTCCTCTCAAGCAAACCTTTAATAACCATTAAGTAATGATTCATCAGTTTGAGATTATGCTCCTCATTATGTATGTGAGATGCAACTTGTTGTGATGTTTAGTACACATAACACATCCACATACACACACGTACAAATACATATCTATGTGTATATATATATCACATTTTTTAGACACAGGAGTTTTGGTATGGATAAAACTGGAGAATATGGCATGGACATGGGGCCAAAATGGACTTCCTAGTTCCTTCCCTAACAAGTTTAGATGGTGGGAGTATCACAGAAGATGGGATGTGCCTGCAGTGTGCTGTTTCCCAGACATCACCCTGAAGGATCATTACTGAGAGAACCCAAATGAGAGGCCACTCATGTGTAGCAGCCATGAACCCACTGATCCAGTCAGCAGAGAAAAGCAGCCAGTGATTATCCTCAGCAAACTAATGTAGGAACAGAAAACCAAATGCTGCACAATCTCATTTATAAGTAGGAGCTAAACACTGGGCATACATGGACACAAAAATAGGGACAATAGACACTGGAAACTCCAAAATGAGGGAGAGAGGAGCAGGGAAAGGACTGAAAATGACCTATTGGATACTATGCTCACTGCCTGGGCAACAAGATCAACTGTACCCCAAACCTCAGCATCATGCAATATCCCAATATAACACATCTGCACATGTGCCCCAACTCTAAAATAAAAGTTTAAAAATAAAAGAGAAATTTAAAAGTCATCTTCTAGAGATAATTTTGTATAGTCTGCAGTCTTTCCTTCCTTATGATTCTATGATAATAGTTTATTTTAGAAAAAAAGGATACATTTTGATTGCATTCATTTGATATGTGCATCATGTATAATCAAATGCATAAGTATGTCTGTTACACACTGATATTATTAGCAGAAGAGAAATCAGAATATCCCAGGAATATATAATTTCTGAATTTATTTCCGTAAGAGGATTGCAGCTTAAAACATTCTCATTCAGTAGATACAGATTAAGAACTTCCTTTATATAACCAGAAATTTTCATTTTAATTAATGAAAGATTTAAAAATACATTTATTTTCTCTTTTTATCCTCAAAAAGATCTAAAACAGCTACCAAGGTTATAGTTAAGTTATGGGTATGCCCAACACTCAGTTAGAAAACTTAAACAAAAAGCAAAAGTCAAAAATTAATAATTCATAATAAATCTGATAAGGCCTTCAAAAAAAAAAAGAGACCAATGGACATTAGGCTCTCAATACACAAATTAATTGGCTTCCTACTAGAAGCCAATGAATGGGATCCAGATGGTTACAATATCTAGGCAATATTTCAGAGCTATATATTCGTTGGTTTCTTTTCGAAATGGGGTCTTACTTTGTTGCCCAGGCTGTACTCCAATTCCTGGGACCAGGCAATCCTCTTTCCTCAGCCGCTTGAGTCGTTGGGACTAAAGGCATGCTCTACCATGCCTGAACTCAGAGCTGTATTTTAAAATATCAGAACTAGAGATGATGGGCATCTTCTCCTGAGAGGTGAGGGCTTGACTAGAACATATTCACAAAGAGAATATCACCCTCCTGCAAGGATGTGGTTCATGGAAGTGCCTGAGGTTAAAATATACCTCAAAAATTTGGATCTAGGCCATTTTAGAGACAAAGGCATACTCAAGATCCCAAAACTGTACTTTATAGAGCATGACTTCAATAATTTTAACCCATGAAAATTTTAAAGCACTCATAGGACATTTAAGCTTGAGCAATGTAATTTTTTCTCTAGTCTTCAAGATAACCTCAAAGCAAAATACGTGCCCAGTTATGTCAATTAGTTCATTTCGTTTATAGGATTATTAACTGTTAGTCCGCTAAATATGGTGACTGCTACAAAAATATCAATTTCAGTTTTAGAACAGTCTTTTTAGGTACAAGACCAATTACATATTTAATAGTTAATGCTTCCAAACTGTTATTCATGTGTTTTTTTCTATAGTTAGATAGGGCGAGAGAATATTTTTCCTAGTTATCCAGGAGTTTGAATTTAAGAAGGGAATCCAAGACACATCCCCATACCATGCCCAGAACTGCTGTCTGCATTCATCAGATGATCACACCCACTAATCAGATGGTGTCCAGATCCAGGTGTGTTGATAACTGGGCGATTCGAGTGGCCTAATACAGTTTAGCCAAGACCTCTCCTTAGAAACCATGATCCATCATGTATTTTTCTATATTGTGAAGGATAAAATGTGTATCAAATCAAAGTAATAGAGTAAAACCACAGTTTAAGACCACTTACTCCTTGGGGAAAATTTGAGAAGTTTATCGGGAAGTTAACCTTTATATGATGTTTGAGGTGGAACATTAAAAAACAGGTTTTTCATTTGTGGGAATAAAGTATTCTCTTTTTACAAGAATGGGGGTAAAAATTCAACACTGTAGTTCTAGCCAGAGAAGATTATACCTGCATGGTAGAGAAATATAAACAAATTGGTCATGAACAAATTTCAAAGATTAGAGCAGTTGTTCAAGAGTCTTAAAGCAGGAAATGAACCCCAGATGCATTTATTTAGCTTGATTTTCTTTGATATTTTTAAAAAAATGTTTCTGCTCGATGCCCGGCACTGTAAGAATACAGTGGTGAGTGGATATAGCTTACAGGTAGGCTACCCCGACCACAACTCAAATTCTAATACAAACAAAAATAAAAGTGCCCCCCTGACAGTGGCAACGCAGGAGCTATGAAAACAGCTTCCCTGAGATGTAACCTAGTCCTGCAGTTCAGGGGTGGAATCCTGAGGAAGGGGTGCTTGAGTGGTGGAGAGAAGGACGAACGGGTAGAAGGCTTCGGGGCGTGGAGGTGTGTGTACAGTCTCCTCTTTGCAGGAGAGAGCCTCACAGGGAGCGAGGTGAGGTAGCAGGGAAGTCACAGAGGCAGGCAAGCCTGGGAGGCCCCTGCAGGGTCTTTCCACAGTTAGGCTTTTGCTGTCTGTGTACCAGAAGCATCTCTCACTACTGAATCTGATAGCTAAACCGTGATGTTGTCATATAGCTTTCTTCTCCCTGAGATCTGTGTGTGTGTGTTTTTTTCTTTTTCAATGGTAAAAACAGAAGTTAAAATAAGTGATACAGTCTCAGGGATGACCTCCCTAAATTTTCACTTCACTGCCTACTGTGCCATCCGAGATCACTTGTTCCACCAGATGAAAGCAAGGAGAGCTGGTTTATAGGATCAGCAAGACTTCCAAAAAAGCAGGGGAGCAGAGCTTCCCGAGCCCCTCAGTCCTGAACCTTACTCAAGTTCAGCCCCGAGGGCAGATAAGCTCCAGGAAAGACAATTGCTTTATCACAAGCAGAGAAAAAACAGTGCAGTCTAAACATGTATGGAATCTTTTACTTTTGCTTGAATAGAATGTTTGCGATTTTCCTACAGATAAAAGAACGGTAGAGTTGTTGCTTACAGGAAAAGGCTGTACCTATCTTGAAGCCATGTTGAGAGTGCGGTTTGCCTTATGGTTTCAGTTTTTATGTGATTGTTATTTACTACCATTTGCAAATGCTACTCATATGTTTTACAGATTGTAACCACAGAACTTAAAGGAATAGTCATCTGAGATTCGGGAAGGAGCAGTGACTACCATTCCCTGCAGGTTGCTGAGCCACGGGATCGCTGCAGTGAGCGCGCCTCCCTGCTGCTCCAGCTTCTCACTGGGCTGAGCCCAGAAGACAGGGCCTGCCGTGTCTGGTTCTCGAATTAGACCAGGCCTCCCATCTTCTTAGCAGGGTTCAGCAGCTTCCTCCTTACCCCTGTCACAGGAGTGGGAACGGCTGGGCAAAGAGGATTAGCACTGGCTTTCTGGGATTGTGGGTTCACGCAGTATTAAGCCAGGATGCCCTGATAGAGGAATGTTAGAAAACAATACTGACCTTTGATGTGTAGACCCAACTATACCCCTCAGTGGCTCAAACAGGGTATTACATGTATCAGAAACAAAAACCAAAAAGTATACAGAATCAAAATATTTAATGATTGAGAAGGTTTTTTCTTCCCCTATCTACTGGACTTTAAATACTCATCTAAAATATGATATGCGCAAGTGCAGACAAGACTGAATGAAGCATCATTTACAGTGTGAGCATGTCCTGTTTTTTTAACCACTTATTTACATTTCATTACAGGTCTTACATAGATTATAAGATCATTTTAATTTAAACACATATTTAACTGGTGAAATGATATATCATTACATCTTTAAATATGCTGGTGGTTTATGTAATACCTTGATATTCTTTCTCTTTCTATTTATTCTCAGCCTTGCCCTACTAATATAGGCTTAAACAGTTGATGGACAGGAAAGGACACAGATTCACTTAGTACATAGTTTTTTAAAGCAATGACAATATTATTCTCATGTTTTTTGATTATCAGTGTCTTACAGAATTGAAAAGTGACAGTGCTACAAATTCATACTCATTAAATTCATATTATTGAAAGTGGTGTTTTTATTGTCTATATTTGAGTTGCATATAGCTCTTCATTTGACCAAATGAATTATAAATCACAATTCAAGTTTTGTTTGTTTAGGGGTTTTTTTGAGAATTCTTACAAAAGAAGTTAAGTACTTCCTCTCACAGGAAAATTCTCAAAGTTTCACGTCATTCAGAATTAGCTAATATGATTATTTTACGTGATTCAGGTTTAAGTACGTGTCTGTTTCAAACATTCCTCCTTCTTAGACTTCCTTTTCTGCGTTCATTTTGCATGCGTTGGCTTAGTGACCTGAATCCACAGCAGGAAATGTTGTCTGACAGTTTGCTGCCAACATCTCGTATGTGTGATGTGAAACTCTTTGCAAAAAATCAAGCCCAATGTTTCTGCTAGCCAAGAAGAAGCGTGCTTCACTGGAAAGCCATCATCTACCACAGTGCACATCTCTGAGTGCAAAAGTCTGGTTTCAAGTAGAGACGGAAATTACAACAAATGAAGGCAGGAACCAATTAAAAAAAAAAAAGCACCTTTAAAGAAAGGTAGATGGGCTTAATATGTAGGGAGGTACTTTTGTCATGTATGTACTTGAAGTGTTTGCGCACTGAATCTAAGTCAAAACATAGGTCAACTCTACTGCATGTGAACAGCCCAATCTAGTTTGGACATTGCTATATGGCTTACAATGCATAATACCAAAATGTGCCAGTATACCCAATATGTATTTAAAACTGTTCTGGGAGTGTGTGTTTGAAAAGAAAAATTGAATGTAGACTCAGTTTACTAATATCAATACTATTTTTGAATAATTTCCCAGTTTTACCTATGTAAAGAGAAGGGATTTTTTTTTTTCGTAAGAGTAATGGTATGATTTGTTTTCTATGATTTCATTGTAGAATAAATAGGATTTTAATAGTACATCAGTCTCTATTCCAAATTCAGCATTAGAAACCTTAAATTTATCAGGCTCCTTATGAAAAAGGCCTAATAATAATCACCCGCATTTATTGTTGATGCTTCCCATGAGTTAGGCAATGTGCTTTCCAGTGTTTTATCTTAATACAACAATCCTTTGCATAAGTACCAGTATTATTTCCATTTTATAATGAAAACAATGAAGCTCAGAGAGGTTTAAATAACTTGTCTAACATTACAGAGCTGATTAGTTGTAGAACCAGAGTCCAGCCTTGGGACTGTCTAATATACTGCACTTGAATAATGGGAAGACAAACTTTCAGTGGGTAGGAATATCCAACTTAAAGGTGTTTAAATAATGCCAGATGAATTCTCATCTCTAGATAATTTAGACCTGGAAATTAAACACACATGTTCACTATTTTGTTTATAAATTTACCAAGACCAGGAAGTAGTTTCATATTCCTATTTTAACAGAAGGCTCCAGATCATTATTGCTAACTTGATTAAATGAGAATGTGATAGAACAATTATTGATTGACTGATGAATGTTTGAAAGTAGTTACCCTCATGGTTTTCTGAAGAGCTGATTGCTCATGAATTTAAAGAAAGGACTGACAATATATGTGCCATCTAGAGAGAAGAAATGTGATCTCTGCCTCTCATGTCAGCCCTCTATGAATATGCTGCCTGGACCACATTTGGGATTAGTACATAGGCTGAAAGATCCCATTAAGTCCTGCCTCTTGAGAATGGATTCTGGCAGTAGTGATGTGGATAATGGACTTTCCATGCTTATTAAACGTGGCATTGCATGTACACTTGAGACAGCCCAAAAAGGCAGGAGATTCACATAGGATAGCTGGTGCCTTGTCTTTCTTCTTAGGGCTTCCCAGCTCCAGCCCTTTCTAAGGCTTTATGGACTCTGTTGTCCCAGACCAGACACCATCATCTTTTGTTCCTGGGTTTGACCACGGCGCTTTGGCATTTTCCAAGTATGGATTAAAAAAAAAAAAAAAAAACAAGGAAACAAAAAAAAAACACACTCTCCGCTTAAATTTCAAGGCAATGTTATAGAGTATTTTTCTATCAAGAATTCGTTAGAAAAAAAGGAAGCCCAGGAAAGGTGACTTACACAGAGTCCAGGTGTCTGATTTGGGCTCAAGCTGTGGCCCAGAGAGTTTGCCGAACTCTTTAGAGTCTCCATCCTTGAGGTAAATGGTAGTGCAGTCATTTAGAAATAAAGACAAGTTCAAGTGACCTTTAAATGTGAGGAAAATGAAAAGGCATTCAGTGAGGAAAAATGCAATTAGGGCAGGAAGCATGGGGGGAAAAAGATGACATTTTGTTAGATTCGTCCAAAATAATGTGAGAAGAAATTCTTTCTTGAAATTCTTGTCAGTAGCACTTCTTAGACACATAGATCGAATGCCTGCTGTGTTCAGGACACTGTACCAGGGCAGTAAAAAGGACAAGCAGTTTTCCATCCTCAGGGAGCAGAAATAGGAGTTCACAAAATACTATACTCATGAAGAAATATAACTTCCAAAAGAAAATCAGGGGTCTATTTGAGGAAGATAGGTGATGGAGAGAATGAAGTACTTACGGTGTAGACAGCCCCTCAAATAAGGATACAGAAGCATCAGTTTTGCTGGAAATTTTCAATATTGTAGCTCTCCATATTTTCATGTATTAACATGAGTGGGTTTGAGCCTAAGCCAGCATAGGCAGGAGGCTTTTTTATTTTCATTTTTCAACGTTATTGTCTAAAGAAATGCATGCATGCATCCTGAAGAGCCTTGCCAATGCACACACCTTCTGATGCAGGAACCCCATTCCTTCCTGAGCAGCAGGGACTGCTGCTTAGCTCCAGTTCTCATGCAAAACAACTTGCTCTCCTCATTCTCTTCATGATTGTACAGCTTCAGATAGATAACTGTACCCTGTCTTCCAAGGCTAAAAGACAGTTTTTGACTTGACAGATTTCTCTAATTTCAGCTGTGCCAGAAGAGGGCTTCACTCAGGCTGATTCATAGCTTTGTAAGACTGAAGAAAAAAACCCAAACACATTTTATTGTAGTCCAGTGCTGAGACTTGGCGCAATTTGTGCCTTCCTGCTTTTGCACTCATTGTCTTGGGCACAGACTAAGAGATGATTTATAGGGATTCAGGAATGGAGGCAATGCCCATTTTGGAGAAAGCTGTGCCAAGGAGAGCTGTCCTCCCTGGCCTCAGTGCCAGGTGTTTGTACCCGTCAGTCACCCCAGTCACCTGCTAGGGAAGATGTGAATGCTCCTGCTCTATTAGAAAAGGGGAGATCAAGACATTTATTAACCTACTAAGGGTCATTCTTTAGTAATGTGACAGGATCTTGAGTAAAAGTGTATTTTAACTATACAAAGGGAAACTGTCTCCGTTTTTTAAAAACACACACACACACACACACACAACAAATTTTTAAACATTTCTGGTTTTCTTATATTGTATTCATAGCTTTAAATGGAAGTTAGTGTTTTTGCGTTTCTTTCGAGAGTTTAGTGGTTTTTCTCATTTGTGTCATTTTATTTTAGCATTTGGCCAGTTTATCATTTCCTGAGAACTTTTATTTTTCAAGAAAATGTGTTGGAATGAATGTCTTCAGATTTTAAGCCTGGGGCAGCATAGAAAGACCCCATCTCTACAGAAGAATTTTTATAAGATTTGCCGGAAATGATGCTACATGCTTATATGCTAACTGGGAGACTGGGGTGGGAGGATTGCTTGAGCCCAGGAGGTCAAGGCTGCAGTGAGCTGTGATTGCACCACTGCACTCCAGGGTGACAGAGTGAGACCCTGCCTCTAAAAAAAAAAAAAGGATTTTAGGCACTTGTGTCTGTGTAAACCAATTTTACTGTAATGCAACTATGAATATTGGCCTAGACGAAATCCGAAAAAGCTATATACTTCCTCCCAAAAAAGTAAAATATTTTTAGAGTCCTCATATTTAAAAATTTATAAGTTGCAAACATATTTTAATTTAAAGTGACTGTTCAGCCATACCAGCATACCAGCATGCATTACCTGGGTATATTTAAAAAATGCAGATGTCAGCCAGGCGTGGTGGCTCATGCCTGTATCTCAGCACTTTGGGAGGCCGAGGTGGATGGATCACTTGAGGTCAGGGAGTTCGAGTGACCATGTCTCTACTAAAAGTGTCAAAACCATGTCTCTACTAAAATTACAAAAATTAGCTAGACGTGGTGGCGGGCAGGTGTAATCCCAGCTACTTGGGAGGCTGAAGCAAGAGAATCACTTGGACCCGGGAGGCAGAGGTTGCAGTGAGCCGAGATCACGCCACTGGACTCCAGCCGGGGCAACAGAGTGAGACTCCGTCAAAGCAAAACAAAAAGCAGTTGCCTTGGCCCAACTTCAGAAATTCCAATTTAATTGACCTGAGATAGGGGCCTGGACATTGACATGTTTTAAGTGCCCCCAGGATCCACTGTTGAAAACCACTAGTTTAAAACATTGCTTCGGTGTCATTGCTTACGGCTTGCTAGTGAGAAAAATACTTTTGTAAAGTTTCATCAAGTTACTGTTTTAATCTCTCAATGGCATTTGACAAAGAAAGAGGCCCTGTGAAAGATGACATGCAGGAGGCCCAATGCCATTGCAAATGTCTTTACGGTCAGGGATATGAAGTGAGTGCCCAGAGACACAGCTGGGATGTAAGGCAGAATATAGAAAGTGCTGCCATAAAGTGCCACAAAGTCCAAAGGAGAGAGAAATCACATTTGTCTGGGAAGACAGGAAATGCTTCAGAGAGTTGGCACTGGGGAAACCCCTTGAAGGATGAGAGGACTTAACAGGCAAAGCAGAACATGTGGGACATTGAGAGCATCATTATGGGTAATGCCTGAGATGGATTGAAACACATCAGAACTGTTTAACTCAGTGAGCTCATCATGATAGTATGAAGCCAAAAGATCTAATTGGTGACTTTGGGTGATGCTAGGGAGCCAACTCATCATCTTGAAAATGGATAAAGGGAGAGAAACAAGCATTTATCTTCATTTTCATAATTAAACTGTGTCACTGGGTAAACAAATAGTTTTGACAAAAGGAAATACCTCTTTATAAACATGCTCCAGTTAATAAATGAAGAAGGAATGATTCGGATTAGAATATCACCATTTTGCAGTCTGGAATGAATGATACAGGGCAATGGTCATCAGTGACTGCTAATGTCACACATGTAAAAAAAAAATCAGGCAGTCACGTAGTGCTTCCTAATGAAGTATCATTTATGGAAAACAAACCGGAACCTGACGAAGTTTCTAGATGTAACTCCCACTTCAGGGGCGATTCAGGAGACTGGGAGAGCTGGTAAATTACACCATAAAGATGCAAACAGGAGAATCTACACTGAAAGAACTCCACAGGCAAATGACATAGTTTCTTAGGCAAGTTAATTTCAAGGGGAAAACCAAGATAAGTGGAGAATTATCAGGTTAAGTTTTGAATTTTCTAAAATGTCGATTCAATGAAAATTTTAAGTTTGTATTTACTCATGATAAAAGTAAAATCATTTGGAGGTTAACTTTTTTTTTTACTAACCTTTTTAATTAATTATTTTATTAACAATTTAAACTAAGAATGTATTTTTGTCTTTCTCTTTTTAGTTAGTAGATGTATGTTTTTGGAGCAGTTTTAGGTTTATAGAAAAACTTGAGCAGAAAGCACAGAGTTCCTATATACCCCCTCACACTCTTCCCCTCACCCCCCCCAGTTTCTCTATTTTTATTTTTTGCTATTTCTTACAGGAAGGATCCCCTATTTTTAACATTTTGCATTAGTGTGGCACATTTGTTACAACTGATGAGCCAATATTGACACATTATTGTTGACTAAGGTCCATAGTTTACATTACAGTTTGTTCTTTGTGCTGTTCATCCTGGGGGTTTTGACAAATACATAATGTCATGCGTTCACCATTTCATGATCATACAGATAACGGACTGTTTCACTGTCCCCCACATCCCCTGTTAGCCGCCTATTCATCCCTCCCCACCCCCAAACCCTTAGCAACCATTGGTCTTTTTGCCTTTAGTTTTGCCTTTTTCCCTTAGTTTTGCCTTTTCCAGGATGATATGTACAGTAGTCCCCCCCATTATCTGCAGTCTCACTTCCCCATTCTGTTTTCCACGGTTTCACTTACCCACAGTCACAGTCTGAAAACAGGTGAGTTCAGTACAATAAGATATTTTGAGGGAGAGATAGAGACTACACTCACATAACTTTTATTACAGTATATTTTGTAATTATTCTATCTTACTATCACTTATTGTTAATCTCTTACTGTGCCTATTTTATAAATTAAACTTTATCATAAGTATATATGTATAGGAAGAAACAGAATATGTAGCATTCACTACTATCTGTGGTTTTAGGCATCCATTAGGGGCCTTGGAACGTAAAATCCCATGGACAATGGGAGACTGATGTCGTTGGAATCACACAGTATGCATCCTTTTCAGATGAACTTCTTTCACCTAGCAGTATGCATTTAAGGTTCTTTCATATCTTGATAGCTCATTTTTTCTTTTATCAATGAACATTATTCCGTTATCTGGATGCACCACAGTTTGTGTCTTCATTCACATAAAGAAGAACTTCTTGGTTGCTTCCAAGTTTTGGCAATTATGAATAAAACTGTTATAAACATTTGTGTGCAAGTTTTTGAGTGGACATACGTTTTCAACTCATTTAGGTAGATACCAAGGAGCATGATTGTTGAATACTGCAAGAATAGGTTTAGTTTTGTAAGAAACTGCCAAACTGTCTTGAGTGGCTCTACCATTTTGCATTCTTGTCAGCAATGAATAAGAGTTTCTGTTGCTCCACATCATCACCAGCACTTGGTGTTTTTATTGTTCTGGATTTTAGCCATTATAACATACGTTTGGAGGTATCTCGCTGTTGTTTTAATTTGCAGTTCTCTAATGATGTTTGATTTGGAACATCTTTTCATACGCTTATTTGCTATCTGTATATCTTTGGTAAGGTGTAAGTTCAGATATTTTGCCCATTTTTAAATTGGATTGTTTTCTTACTGTGTTTTAAGAGTTCTTTGTATATCTTGGGTACCAGTTCTTTATCAGATACGTGTTTTGCAAATATTTTCAGCCAGTCTCTGGCTTCCCTTTTCATTCTCTTTAAGTTCTCTTTTGACAAACATCTCCTAACACCTAACAATTTCAAGAATCAATTTAGAAAATTTTTTAATTAAAGAAAAAATGTAAAAAGTCATGAAACTTGTTTAAGTTGCTTGGAGATATGCCATTTTTAGGACATTTCATTTAAAACTTTCTTGATTGTTGGACTCAGTATGTCCATTTACTCTATCAGAAACAGAAATGCAATTTGTCAGGGGAAATTTTAAGAAGAGGGCAAGCCACCGTTGGTTTGTTACTCTAGGAAAGTAAAATCACATTTTGGGGATGATATCATACTGAATAGTATATACAAACTGAATGCTTTTGAGTCAGAAATAACCACTCATAAATAATTGTAAGACCAAAATATCAGTCTTTTCTGATTAGGTAATTATTCATTAGTTTAGAATACCTCTATCCATTTTTTTAAAAAATATACTCAGTTCTTGACTCATAGTATAGCATGTAACCACACCCAATGATTTGATCACTTAAAGAACAACATGTCTTTTGGAACCATAATAAACATCATTTCTCCAAAATTTCCAGTCTGATTGATTGTTGAGATTTAGTCATATATGGTAAACATGATTACCTGCAGGCACATGCAGATATCAATAAGTAGAATTAGTTGACTTGAAAAGTTGAATAATATGCTAGAAAAAAAAATCATCTGGGTTAGAAGAATCAAGACATTTTTAGAGTTGGGAGAGAAGGGATCCAGTCCAGGGCTGGAAAATAAGTTTCATGTCATGTCCCACCTCCATCCGTTGGCAGCATCTTTCTCATCATGACGTGTAGAAGGATGCTGATGCCCGATCTGGGTGCAATGGGAGAGAGTGCCTCAATCCATTAGTGGTTTGCAAAGGGAAGCCCAGTTAGAGCCTCAAGCCCATAAACATCTTGCTCAGTAGAATCTTACATCCCCACTCAAGGATGAGAAAATGGAGGCCCGAATAACTTAAAAGCCTTTTCCATAGTCATCCAGCTGGCTGGTGGCCATGCTGATATTTAGCAGGTAAGAATTTCATTGCTTCCATCCCATGATATAACCATCTACAGCTGATACCAGACAACTGGTCTTAGCTCTAAGGATTAGAAAAAAAAAATCTTCAGTGTGGACTAGTATGTTATTGTCTTTAAAACCAGTGTTTAAAATATGTTTAAAATATTCAGTAAGAAAAGATCTGGTCTATTTAAGAGAAGGATGGGACTCATTAATAGAAATCAAATTGCGAGGAACCAGAAAAGTGAGAGCCAGGTAGCATTAACAGTCTGTGTTTGAGCTAACCCATGCCTCTTGTTAGGCAAAGGAAAGAACACAGCAGCCAGAAAGTGGCGAATTGGAACTGTAACCAGGGCGCCTGCAGCATATTCAGAAACGATTCCTCCGTTGAGAAATGGCTGTGGTCTCTTGCGTCAGAAAATGTAGGAGGCATAGGGTCCAGTGAAGCCTTGTAGAGAAAAGTTTTTGTATTTGCATTTGTTTTGGTTTTTGTTTACACATAGAGAAAGTATTTGGCCAGACACTGATATGTATTTTTCTACGTTGTGTGTATGTAGGTAAAAAAAAAAAAAAAAAAAAAAAAGTAGTCTAGCTAAAGCAATTAGGTAGTAAGCAGGCATCTAATATCTAAAGAGTGGGACATGTTAATTATAAAGCTGCTTATTGGCACCACCAGGAGTTGGATATGTGCTCCTATAGAAAACACGCATAATAATCTGCTCTACATTAGTTATTCTACTGTTTGTCAGCCACCAGGCTATAATAATAGCTGACATCTATGGAATGCTTAATATATGCCACCACTAGGCCACATTTGAATACATTATTTGATTTTAATGTCATCCATTCCAAAGAAGTAAGTAGTGTCATACCCATTTTACATAGCTGCAAGGGACATCCTGAAGATTCAAGCACAGGTTTACTTGATTCTAAAGCTACTTCCCAGGTCATCACATAAGTCTGCCTCTCTCATCCAACTGCTTTGAACCTCTGTTCTTACCTGTGAACTAGAGATCATACCAATAGAAGCATCAGAAGAACCAATTTTTGTGAAAACTTCATAATTTGTGAAGGCTTATTCAGAAATAATATGCTGTTATTTATAAATATTATTCAGAAATAATATGCTGTTATTTATAAACAAATGATTTAAACCAGCAAGCAGGCGCTTCATTGTCGAAATATTTATTCATAGCCGATGAGCAATGTTATTATGTAGTTTTGCTAACGAGTAATTTATTTTCATAATACTTTATGGAACTGTTTTTTCCAAATACATCATCGATTATTTAGCTAGCTATGATTTAGGCCTTACTTTTCTACCATAAATTTGCCTTTTCTCCTAAATAGTCATGCTTGAGGGGACTGCGTAATTGCTTTCAGCATAATTACAGCTGCACTATAACACAACACACGACTCACAGGTCTTTTGAATGCTTATTATTTTGGCATAGACATAGTTGATCAATTTTCATATTTCTCATTGGTATTACATTAACTCTTAAAGACAAATATGCTTAATGTATTAGATGTAAAATGTTAGTAGCGCACAAACAAAAAACTCATTTAGTTTATTTGTTGTCAGTTAATTCGTCACAGACTTCATGACTATGTTTAAAGGCCTTTGAAGGATTAGGTGAAAAAATGATACGTCACAATAAATTAAGCTGATGAATTTTTTTTCCAAATGACCATCTTTTTCTCCAGATGCTGGCTTGATGGTCAGAAATATAACTCATATATCCCTATTTTGTATTTATATATGATAACTCAAGTATTCTTTAAACTGAATATTTTGTTATGTTTAATAAGGATTTGCTCTAAAAAAGTTAAGAGAAAAACTCTGTATAAACTGAAATTTGTGACAAAAGAAAAACAAAACAAAAATAATGAAATTTGTTTAATGGATTTTAGAAAGTGGTCCTTAGAATTTCTAACTAAGGATTTGGGATAGGTTTTAAGTGAGAGTCTGCCTAAGACAAGGAGCAGGGTTAATTCTTCTCAGGCTCAGAAGTTTATCTCATAGAGCTGCGGTCCCCAACCTTTTTGGCACCAGGGACCAGTTTCATGGAAGACCATTTTTTTTCTATGGACTGGGGTGGAGGATGGTTTTGGGATGAAACTGATCCACCTCACATCATCAGGCATTAGATTCTCATAAGGAGCGCGCAACCTAGATCCTTTGCACGCACAGTTCACAATAGGGTTCGAACTCCTATGAGAATGAAATTCTGCCACTGATCTGACAGGAGGCGGAGCTCAGGTTGGCAATGCTTGCTCGCCTGCCACCCACCTCTTGCTGTGCAGCCCTCTTCCTAACAGACCATGGACCAGTAACCGTCCATGGCCCAGGGGCTGAGGACTCCTGATCTAGATAATTGAGTTAGGGCACTCTGCATTATGGCTTTTGTTGGTTTGTTATGTACTCTTTCACTGTCAGAATTTTTATGTTTCACATATTTAGGCTTCCAAGCATCACATTATTTTCCCCAGTTGCTTCCATTTAGAAATCACCCACTGGTCACCTGTACATACTAAGTAGCGCTGTTGATACTTTGCTTTTGTTTATTTGTGGGGTGGGCTTTTGTAGGTTGAAGCCTTCGCCCTCCCCTGCCATTTTTTAGCCATTTTTGCACTTAAACAGGAGATGGCAATGTGATCACACTGTTGGTCACTCCCTAAAGTTACACCAAGCAATGTTTTAAATATTACCTGGTTTTATCTCTGATATTTGGGAGAACTTTCTTTGTGTTGTATTGACTTGCTTTGCTATTCTGTTTTCTGTAGAAACGCTCCAGAGGACAAGTGCTGTTTGATAAAGTGTGTGAACACTTGAACTTGCTAGAGAAAGACTACTTTGGGCTTACGTATCGAGATGCTGAAAACCAGAAGGTGAGTGATCAAAAGCAATGCAAAATAAGATGGCTTGAACTGCTCATTACTGCCAGAAAGTGAACTGAAACTGAATGGGTGGATCACTTTCTCCACCTCCCTTCATTCTCCCACACTTTCTACTTTGAGTCTGTAAATGCTGTTAATCATCTATTCCTTGATGAAGGAAATCACTGACAGCTTCCTTTAATCTTGAATATTCTGGTAACAGTAAATGAAGCCTTGTTTTTCATGCTTGAATTATTTGTGGTTCCTGGAAAGCATTTTATGTGGTTCCTTTTGCCGGGGTGGGGTTGGGGGGAGTAATGTGTTTCAGTAGATTATTTGAACCAATGAAAATCAATTGATATTTATGTAAAAATCATGCTCATATCCCAAAATTCTATGACGATATTATGATTGTAACCCATAAACTGTCAGGGCAGTTCACCATTGCTGCTGTCCTATTTTTCATTTATCTTTTTATGCTTTCATAATGTTTCTGAATCAGAATATGAGGGGGATTGTGTGCTGACCTGACACTTGTCTAATATGTTTAGTAGATGTTTTATGTTTAATGCAATACCTCTGTAGACTGTGTTCAGGGCTGTATCTCCTTAATCCACGCAACTACCTGAGAAATACAGAAAAGGAAATCGTTTCCATTGCATTGACACTGGAAGCTGAGTCAGAAATTTTGCTCATAGTTGTTACTCATTTTGGTGTTGTGCCATAAATCATCCTTAATACCTCCTGAATTCTCCAGACAATGCCTCACTTCATTATTAAACATCTGATTTTACCAATGAGGAAAATCGGAAATCACAGGCAACTATTGATTTGTTAGGGAAGCTTCCTAGGTAGATGCCTAAGGATCTTTTATTGCAGAAGTCTCTAATGTGGAACTGAATGGCTAGGATATCAGTGTATCCAGTTACATATATTTTTAATTTATCCTAGTAACTTGTCTGAACATAGACTCTTCTGTCTTTTCCCCTCTTTTTCTGTGCTAGCTTGAATCCCTGAAGGCAATGGTTATAAAAGAAAAAGACTTTTGTCAGGCCCAAACTGCATACATGTGCATTTTCTCATTAGACCAGTGCCTGGGCCCTTGGAGGGCTTGGCAGAGGGGCACCAGATGTGGGGGAAGGACCACAGTAAGGGAAGCCTTCCCACGACCACTAACTCCGCACTGCATTTAGGGAGAGTCTGTACCTAATCAACATTAAGTCATTTTTATTCTCCTCTGATTCAAATTCAAAATGTCATTTCCTTTTCAGAATTGGTTGGACCCTGCTAAGGAAATAAAAAAACAGGTTCGAAGTAAGTTCTTTTGGATTATTTTTTGTGGAAATGTGAAGGTTTTCAGAGAGCAAGTTGTCTGAATTGGTAGCCCATACCTAAGTGGCTAGTGTGAATACAAGCTTTTCTTATCTCAAATTTGATCTGGCAATTCCGATAGTATTCATTTTGTAGTTGTCACAACTTGGAGTTAAAGGGACCGTGATGCTTGGCCTGTTTCTCTGCCTGTGAATGGATGTCAAGTATATGATTTAATCAACTGATGTTAGAATTGGCAATTAACCATTTAAAACTTCCAAACTGAATTATTAATGTTCCAACAGTCACAAAAGTATGAAAGGCCAGATGAAAGTCATAATCATTTCATAGCTTTGAAAAGGAATAACAAGTCAAACTGAGGTTTACTGTCTGGTAACAACCTCTTTTCCTGGTCCCCTGAAGGCAATTTGAAAAATACGTATTTTAATGGACCAAACAATTGCATGAGCAAGTCACAAATTTAAAATACAAGTAGCTAATAAGTCTTAAACAGTTGCTAAATTTTACTAATGATTAAATGCAAATTAAAATGACACATTTTTCACCTATTCAGATTAACAAAGAATTAGGGTTTAATAATAAACTATAGCACTTATTTACTCAATTGGTAGAGTAAGTTGGTTCAATCATTTCAGAGGGCAATTGTCAATATTAAAATTTAAGCTGTACTTTTTGACCCTTAATTTCACTTGTGGAAATTTATTCAGCATATCTATTAATGAGGAAAATGTGCATTTGTATAGCAAATGAAGTTTCATTATATTACTATTTACAGTAGCAGAAAACTAGAAGCACCTTAATTATCCATGTATAAAGAAATTATTAAGTCAATCATGGAAGAGCCATATAAATACATCTTAGCTCTCTTTAGTGGAAATCAGTTTGCAAAATATTATCTATAGCATAATCACGTTTGTTTTTAAAAAATTATGTCTGTATAGATGCATGGAAAACTTTTGGAAGGCAGGAAGGTTTTAATAGTAATTACTCCAGCAGTATCATCCAGTGTCGGGGTTGAGAAGGAGGAGTTTTTAAAATTTTTTTACCCTTTCCGATAGCTCTTACTTTTGCCGCAAACATGGATACTAATTTAAAATAACTACGTTTTTATTCATATTTTTGTCAGTAAAGTCTAAATTCTTCCAAACAACTAATTCTAGTTAAAGAACACATTTAAGAGCAGTTTATTAATAAGAACATCATTCCCATTTCAATAAGTAAAACTTTTCAACAGTTTACTATTAAAAGAGCAAGCAAATACTTCTCAGTGCCTTTGAAAGTCGTGAGCTATCAAAATAATACCCCAAGTACTAATAAAACATAATCACTAGTGAGCAGTTTGGAAATGGTTCAATACTAGGTAATATCCCAGAAAGACAAAAGTATAACCATACTTCTAGATATAAGAGAGTCGGGTGATTATTTATACAATTAAGACATCTTTACCGTATGTTTGAGGGAAATTTGATGTATCCACTACCCAGAAACTTGATAACAAATTAGGTTAATAGAAACAGTTAATTGAGATGGAAACCAGGGATAGCTGTAGTTGTGATAAATAGGTGAAAACACTACTTATTTTTTGTTCTGAGGAATCCTAAGAAAAAAATTAAGATAAATATTTTTCTAAGGAGTATTAAAGAGTTACTAAAATAGACATGCTGAATATATATCCTAACATTTTGTGTGCATAAAGTTCTCTTATTCATCTAATTAATGGAATACTGAGCTGATTAATAATTGCAAAGTACTTTGAAAATATATAAAATGTTCAAGGATAAGTCATAATACCATGACAGGAAAGGCTGTATAAACTAATTTTCTTTTTTGTTATTAATAGGATTCATTTTTTCTTTAACTTCCCATTTATAGTGTCTTCTACCATCCTTTCAAAGAGAAGAAAGCTAAAGGGACAAGACAATCAAAACAAGAGTTTTAAAAGATTTTTTTATCATGCAGATTAGGCAGTGTATATGACTTTGCCATAAAGAAAACTGACAGTCTTGCAGATAAAGGAGATAAGGAAAGTTGGAATTTCTTTAAAAATGGAATTCGAGGCCGGGCGCGGTGGCTCACGCCTGTAATCCCAGCACTTTGGGAGGCCGAGACGGGCGGATCACGAGGTCAGGAGATCGAGACCATCCTGGCTGACACGGTGAAACCCCGTCTCTACTAAAAATACAAAAATTAGCCGGGCATGGTGGCGTGCGCCTGTAGTCCCAGCTACTCGGGAGGCTGAGGCAGGAGAATGGCGTGAACCCGGGAGGCGGAGCTTGCAGTGAGTCGAGATCGCGCCACTGCGCTCCAGCCTGGGCGACAGAGCGAAACTCCGTGTCAAAAAAAAAAAAAAAAAAAAATTGGAATTCGATATTTTTACCTGTATTCTTTGTTGTTTCCCATCCACTAAAATGCCCTCTTGCCACAAAATTTTACATTCAACCAAGGCAGAGAAGTATTACCTTATCTAATGTAATTATTGTACCATCATCTCCACTTCCAAAATATAAATGATAAAAGGATGTTTCCATGCTTTTTATGCTGTGGGCTCACAGTATTCCTTTAGAATGAGATCTCTAAGAAAATGGAAACCGAGCTAACAAATATCTTAAGTCCAAATTTATGATAAATAGAAAATTCTAAAACTTCATGCCTGTAATCCCAGTTCTTTGGGAGGCCAAGACAGGAGGACCACTTGAAGCCAGAAGTTCAAGCCCAGCCTAGGCAACATAATGAGACCCTGTTTCTATTTTTTTAAAAAATTGTTTTAATTAGCTGAGCGCAGAGACACATGCCTGTAGTTAGTTAGTCCTGGCTACTAGGGAGGCTGAGGGGGTTGGATCACTTGAGCCCAGGAGTTCAAGGCTGCAGTGAGCTGTGATTGTGCCACTGCACTCCAGTCTGGGTGTCAGAGTGAGACCCTGCTTCTAAAAAACAAAATTTTGAAACTGAAGAGTTCTTATGAAAAAAATTCTTATTCCAGTCATCTTTTAAGCATGCAGGATCTTAAAATTTCTAAATAGACTATATTTTGTGATTTTAAGTATGTTTATGATACAGTAATTTTATGACATAGAGCATATATCGCACTTTTATGATATAAATGCAGTATATTAGAAATTTTAAGATTTGTCTGGCATAAAAGACTAACATTAGAAATTTTTCATAAGAATGAACTATCATCAGTGTTATAATTTTCTATTTATCATAAATTTGTAACTTAAAATTCCACATCAGCATTATAGAAATATTCATTTTAATGTGTTCAAGCTGTTTCATTTCCTCTTTCTAACTAGGGCCCTCATTTGAGCAGATGTAGAGTTGCAAACTTATTTATTGCGTAAGCACTTCCTTCTCAGTGGATTTGTTTCTGTCATATTCTTTATGGGGATATGTATTTGAGCTTTAATCTGCCTCTCTCCTTAATTTCTAGTGTTATGCCCCATTTAACTGGACTTTTTTTTCTTTATTGGGGTGTAGATTGTATTATAGTTTCTGTACACTTTCCCATTGTTTCAAAATACTGTCCTGAAAGATGTGTTTTTTGTGTGTTATAACCTTAGGGAAGTAGATTCCTTAGTAGCAGTAGTGATTTTCAAAATGTGGTTCCAAAGCCCATTTTTATTATTAGAAACATAAGGAAGCTTATTCAAGCCATCGATTCCTAGGCCATACTCCAAATCTCTGGAATAAAAATCTCTGGGGTGGAGCCTGGGAATTGGCATTTTTAACAAGTACCTCAGGTATTTCTTCGGCTCACTATAGGTTGAAACTTGCTTTCCTAGAATGAGGATTTTTGCATTAAATGTCTTTTCTGTATTTTTTATTACTTATTAGTGTCTAACTTGGATATTTATTATAAGATTGTATAATTACATTGCTAAACTATTCATTGGATTCAGGGCCTGCTTTGAAGTGAATAAAAATTATAAAAGAGCAATAAATCCATTTCCCATAACTAATCCATTAGTTTTAATTCCACTTGCTTGGGGGAAAGCCAGATCTCATTATGAACCTTACCACTGGCAAGCGTTGAAGGGATCTATTTTAATAGGAAGTGAATAGGAATCAATAAGAAAATAAAACCAAATCAGAATATTTTTGGAAAAGCAGAAGTACTTTTTTGAGAACAGTGGGAAAAACAATTACGAAAATGTGTTTGACTGACAGATATATTTTGAATGGTTTAAAAATGATATTAAGTTCCCACTAATGCCTGGTCCTATGGTAAATCCTTTATAGGGCACCTCAGGTAGAGTTCCTGCCATGTGGAATCTTAAATGTGATGTCAATGGTAGTGTTAAGAATTAACTATAACTAATACATGGATGGATCTATGCCATTTATGACAGAATGTAAGAAACTGATGAAGCTAAGTATTGCCTCAGATGCAAGAGAACAGTTCAGAGAAAGGAGCTAGGAAATACAGTACTGTACCTTCTTCTGAATGTTTGGGAAGGGCTCATGGAGCAATGGAGTTTCCAGAAGTCATTTAATGGAGAGACAGGGAGATTTGGAAGTCTTGGGAGAGTATTGGAAGCATAAGGGGTGGACTGTGAAGTCAGAATCCTAGAGTAAGGGCAAGTCGGTGGCCGCTGGGTGAGGCATGGGTGAAAGACCTCCAGGGTGGAAGCCTGGGGGACTGGGAGGAATTTTTCAGTAAACCATTCGAAATACAAGCAGGACCTAGGCTCTAGTGTACCTCTTGGGTAGAGGGAACAAATATGAACAGCACCACAGAGAAGAGATACCCAGACTTTGGTAAGTTACTGCATTTGAAGGCCGGAAGAACAGAGTGAATACAGTAATGATCACATAGTAAATGTGGAAAAAAAGAAAAGGGTATTTTCCATGTTTATATTGATAAACCATATACAATTAGAGTTAGTGTTAATGAGATGTGGAGCTTAGTTAAGGCTTCATAATGTTTCAAGGATATGTGTTGACAATACAGAGAGTAGATACTTGTGAGCTGACTCCTGGTTGACCCTTTTCAGTGCTGGAGAGGCCTTGAGTAGAGGCCACAGGATAAAGATTGCAAAGCATAAAGAGGATCTGGCTAAGTCTCAGGCTGAGGAGGTGCAGGTGCAAAATTTGGCAATATGCAGAAAATACATTCAAGTACCTATTTCATCAAAAATTTCCCTGAGCAAGAAAATAATTTTCAACAGCCCACAGAGCAGCCCACTTACTAGAACACTGTTCACTGCAACAAACCTTTCCCATAAAATAAACGTATGTTGAATAGTCCCTTGACATTTATTATAATTGGATATGACCTGTAATAACAGAGCAGAAAGGACAAAGAAAATGGGAATTATGATTGTGGTGTTGATCTGTGAGCTATGCAGAAATTCGCAGCAATAAATCCAGCCACTCCCAGACTTATCTGATTGAAGATTATTCGTGTCACTCATGTTTTTTCCTTCTTCCAAGTGCTTGCTTACCTTTGATTCTGAAAAGGGTAGGAAGTTTGATCAGTTTCCATACTAGTTAAAAGTACCAATAAAGGATTTGATTGGGAAGAAGATTAGAAGTTAGACAAGGTTTCAGACTTATCTGTAGATTTCATGTGACCAAGGTTTCCCAGTTTTCCATTAATGGTCAAAAGTTGCCTGGGTGTTAATGCTTGGAGTTAAGGCAGTTCTGGCCATCGATTAGAGTCATAAGAATTTCTCAAGGTTTTACTCTAATTTTTTTCCATCCTTGCAGGTGGTGCTTGGCACTTTTCATTTAATGTGAAATTTTATCCACCAGACCCTGCCCAACTATCTGAAGATATCACCAGGTATTTGAAAGTTGGCTATGCAAAAGACAAGCATATTGGGAGAGTTGTGCTTCTCTTAAATGCTCCGGAAAGAGCGTGCTTACATCTGGTAGCCTTACAATCATCCACGCTCAAATGGCAAACAAAAGGCAAATGAACGAGAGCAAACATCTGATGAGATTTGCCAGTTCCTATCTTTTCACTGTTGAATCTTTGGTGCCAGGCTGATATTCCCTCTGCTTGACCCTGGTGGGAAAACTTGCAGAACTGAGATACTGTCATCCACCTACCATAGTCAAATTGGATGGAATTCAGCCTTGTATGATATAGCAGCTCTTAGTTTTTCTGCTTTAATACTTAGAGTAAAAATGTCCTTGGATGCTTGTGCTTTTTATATAACCAACACATACACACACACATAAATTTAAGTGTTTAATTTCTATGTCCTGTATATACAAGGAAAATGATTAATTTGTTTTCTAGAAAGAAGATATTAAGCAAGAAATCAAAACATTAAAATATTTCAGTTTGGTAACAGCTTTGAGTGTGAAAGGGGATCTCATTATAAAGCTGTACTGGATGTCTTAGTCTGGGCTGCTGTAACAAAATACTATAAAGTGGGTGGTTGATTGATAAACAATAGAAACTTATTTCTCACCATTCTGGAGACTAGAAGTTTGAGATCAGGGTGCCCGCAGGTCAGGTCCTGGTGAGGATCTGCTTCTGGGTTGCAGAATGCTGACTTCTTACTGTGTCCTCATGTGGTGAAAGGGTGAGGGGGTCTCTCTCTCTCCAGCCTTTCTTGTAAGGGCACTAATCCCATTCATGAGGGCTCCACCCTAATCACTTCCCAGAGACCCCCACCTTGTGATCCCATCACCTTGAGGGTAGGATTCGAACATATGGATTTGGAGGGGAGGAGACACAGACACTCAGTTCATTGTTCTGGTGTGCTCTGACCTTCTAGGCTTCTCTCCATTCACCTTAGAACCCCTACTCTCTTGCTCAGCTCCGTAGTAAGTTTATGACCAGTCAAAGCAATTTTGTGCAGTGTATGCAGAATTTTCTGTGTAAGCTTTGCATTCTTTTTGGAGGGCTTTACAGAAAAGGGAAATTACTCAAAACAACTTCAATCACTTGCTACAGTTAAAAATAATTTCACCAGACATATTAAGAGAAGGGTAAAAATTAGTTCCAGAGGATTTTTTATATTGCAATAAATCAGAGAAAAGTTATAATTTCTTATTTAAAGATAGTTTTTAGTTGCTATTGAAGAACTGTTTTATTTTGGCTAATTTGTGGTTTTAGAGCCCACATATACCTGGATTTGAAAATGTAGTTCATGGTGGGCCAGGCACGGTGGCGCACGCCTGTAATCCCAGCACTTTGGGAGGCCGAGGCAGGTGGATCATGAGGTCAGGAGATCAAGACCATCCTGGCTAACACGGTGAAACCCTGTCTCCACTAAAAATACAAAAAATTAGCCGGGCATCGTGGCGGGCGCCTGAAGTCCCAGCTACTCAGGAGGCTGAGGCAGGAGAATGGCGTGAACCTGGGAGGCGGAGCTTGCAGTGAGCCGAGATCGCGCCACTGCACTCCAGCCTGGGCAACAGAGTGAGACTCCGTCTCAAAAAAAAAAAAAAAAAAAAAAAGAAAGAAAATGTAGTGCATGGTTTCTTTCTGTTGACTCATGTAATATTTGTAGAGCTGAGGCTGTTAAATGTTTAAGGATTTTTTTGTCATAATTACATGGATTTATGTCACTTGCCTAAAATCATATTTAGAGGGGACCTTTAAACTTTCTCATAGTCCTCTGCTTCCATAGATGAACAGTTCATTTCTTATATACAAGGTACCAGGTGTGCTTTGTTCTATCCATATACTAGGCTGTGCTTGGGATTATTAAAACTCATCAATGTTAACACTTACCTTGGGGTCTTTGGCAGTTAGTAATTTATCTGTAAGTCTCAAAAGCAAAATAACGGAGAAGACAAATCAACATATTTTTATGTAGGTCATATTTTTATGATATGGCAAAATTATATGGAAAATGTTAATTTCTCCAGTTTAAAACTGTTTATTTATGGGGACAAGATTCTCGAATTTTAAGGTAGGAATTCTTTATATCTTAGATAGATTTTAAGAAGCTATCTAAATTCTAAAAATGAGAACTGAAAACAGGAGAAATTGTGTTATTATAAAGAGACTACCTCATTAAGAATGCAGGAAATTGAGAGTGAAGTTTATAATGACATAGCTATTGAGTTACCTGAAATCTGTTTTGCTCGTATAGTAAGACCTGTCACCTTAATATCAAAATACTTCCATAAGGCTAATTGGGGCCTAATAATCACACAGTCATGTCACTTAACAATGCGGATACATTCTGAGAAATGCATCTTTAGATGATTTTGTTGTTGTGTGAACATCTTAAGAGTGGACTTGCACAAAGCTAAATGGTAGAGCCTGCTAGTCATCTAGGCTCTAGGATAAAGCCCATGGCTCCTAGGCTAGAAACCTGTAGAGCATGTGACTATACTGAATACTGTGGGAAATTATAACACAATGGTAAGTATTTGTGTATCTAAACATAGAAAACGTACAATAAAAATATAATATAAAAGATTTTTCTTAATGGTACACCTGTGTAGGCCACTTACCATGAATGGCGCGTGCAGGACGGGAAGTTGCTCTGAATGAGTCAGTGAGTGAGTGAAGAGTGAATGGGAAGGCCCAGGACATTACTGTACACTACTGTGGGCTTTATAAACACTGTATACTTAGGCCACATTAAATTTATTTTTAAAAATTTCTTTCTTCAATAATAAATTAACCTTAGCTTACTGTAATTTTTTTACTTTTTAAACTTTTTGACTCTTGTAACACTTAGCTTAAAACACACATCATACAGCTGCACAAAAATATTTTCTTTCTTTATATCCTTATTCTGTGAGTTTTTTTCTATTTTTAAAATTTATAATTTGTTTTTACTTTTAAAACTCTTTTGTTAAAAACTTAAGACATAAACACATATATTATTAGCCTAGGCCTACACAGGGTCAAGATCATCAGTATCACTGTCACCGCCTACACATCCTGTCCCACTGGAAGGTCTTCAGGGACAGTAACACACATGAAGCTGTCATCTCCTAGGATAACAGTGTCTTCTTCTGATACCTCTGAAGCACCTGCCAGAGGCTGTTTTACAGTTAACTTTTTATTTTTACAAATAGAAGGAGTACACTCTAAAATAATGATAAAAAGTATAGCATAGTGAATACATAAACTAGTAACGTAGTCACTTGTTATCAAGTATTAAGTTCTGCACATGATTGTATGTGCTAGTCTTTTATACATGTAGGTTTGTTTACACCAGCACCACCACAAAGGCGTGAGTAATGTGTTAGGCTATGACATTAAGATAGCTATGACGTCACTAAGCAATAGGAATTTTTTAGCTCCATTATAATCTCATGGGACCACCATCTTATATGTGGTCCATCATTGACTGCAACATCGTTTTGTGGCACATAACTGTACTTAAGAACATTTTTACATTATAATTCCCCCACCCAAGGATTTCAGGAACTGTATTGGGGACTGTTCATTTGACTTTAAAAGTTATTTTAAAAGATGTTAGAAGAATATGTCTTTAAGTTTCTTTTAGACTGTGCTTTATTAATAAAACCCTATTATGAACGTCGACTTGCTTCTAAATGCCTTTAAATACTGTCTTTTGTAACCAAATATTTTTCCCTTCTATCTAGAACAAGTATGTATGAAGTAAATATCAAAATATATAGACGCTAGAAAATTTATCCTAGAGAGGCTGTTCTACAGGGAGAAATTATTTGCCCACGATTTTTACCAAGCGACCTCCTTTTCCTGTATCCTCATGCTGCCTTCGTTGTGTTGTGCTTTTGGTTCCTGGAAGGTACTACCTCTGCTTGCAGTTGCGAGATGACATCGTGTCCGGAAGGCTGCCCTGCTCCTTTGTTACCCTGGCCTTGCTGGGCTCCTACACTGTCCAGTCAGAGCTCGGAGACTATGACCCAGATGAATGTGGGAGCGATTACATTAGTGAGTTCCGCTTTGCACCAAACCACACTAAAGAACTGGAAGACAAAGTGATCGAGCTGCACAAGAGCCACAGGTTAGAGGCAGAAAGGTGTTCATTTAAGTTGTGCCTTGATGGGAGAGTGTCCCGCACACAACCCACCTCTTCCCAGTACTGATTTCAGTCCATTAACGGCGAGACGTGAGCATAGTGTGGGTCCATGCACAGTAAAATTCTGAGATGGGCAAGCTCTCACTCAGAGCATCCAGGTGTTCGTTTGTAGTGCTTTCTTGCAAAGCCCTTTTTCTTGTTATTCTTTTCTCATGTATCTGCTGGTGCCTCCATAGGACTTCTTATGAGATAGCATGGAACTAAGTGGGAAATATTGCAGCCTACCAGGGAAGGGAAAAGCATCATTGTAACATATTTTTCTTCTCATCAGAGGAATGACGCCAGCAGAAGCAGAGATGCATTTCTTGGAAAATGCCAAAAAATTATCAATGTATGGGGTAGATTTACATCATGCTAAGGTATGCATCTTTTTAAACCCTAAACTTTCAATTTAATATTATGTAACTTGATGTTGTTATTACTGTAAGCTGGTGATTTTTACTTCAGTTAATGTAAATGAAACCTCTGAGAATTCAAATCTCTGCTTGTCTTTTAAGCCCTACTCCACGATACAACAAATGTAGCTTTCTGATATTTACTGAGGGGTTTGCTCTTTGTGTCTCAAACTTGCATTACTCCTGGGCACAGCCTTCTGAAAGCCCGTGATAGGCAAAGCCTCTGATTGCCTTTTGATGCAGTTAGAAACCTACCTTGACATAACAGACTTTTACTTCACCCTGCCTCCCCATCACAGTCGTATTTCCCACTCTGTGCCGTCACATAACCTTTGCTCCCATCAGACTCTGTTTCTACGCTTTCCCTGACTATGTCCGTCTCTGGACTATCCTCCTCTTTCCTATCTGTCTGTCCGAACTCAGCCGATTGTCCAAGACTCAAGCATCACATTCATTAAGTGCCAGACACTGTGTGTGGCCCTACCTTCATACATACCAGGCAGTCAGTAAATTCATATTGAATTTAAGAAGTCTACCTCTAAAGTTTAGGCACTCTGACAAATAATCAGAGCTCTGAAATAAGGTTGTTGTTTTAAAGTTCACCTAGGCTAAGGTTTGCTTCGTTGACTGGTGATCGATGAAATGTTAAAGGTGTATCTTGGGAATGGAGTCTTGGGTACAAAGAATTTGGGTTGAGACTGTAGGAGGGTTACAGTCGTGAGGATACACAGAGCAGCTTTGACTCTGTGTCATGCTTTTCCTGGAATCTTCGTACTTTTCAGTAGTGGTAGAATGAAGATAGGACTACTAGTCTTTTTAAACAGCCCAGAATAAAAGTCTTGTGGAAATACAAGGAAGCTTTTATGAAAACTTTTATTAGCAAAACATGTAAAATGTGTTAGGATCCTAGGTTTGGATTCTGATGCATTAGCAGTGTTAAAAAGGTCAATGTTAAGGTCAGAGGTTGTTTCTTCTGACTGGGTCCAACAGGATGACATTGTTCCTGTTTAGGGATGTGTGTTTGACTTTTATGGACAGAGTTAGTCACCGATTTCATGGTCTGAGACTCACAGAATGTGCAGTTACAGGTTTCCAGGCCAACGAGTGTCTTAAACAGTCAGGTTTAGGGCCTGGAAATGAAGAGAATTTCAGCTGGCTCCATTCGAGCAAACACCTCAGCACCCCTGCGGACCCATTGCAGGGAGCTCTGTGATCTGTAGGTTCTGTTGATACTGGAAGTTGGGCTGCACTTTGGTTAGCTTTTGGAGAGCAGACTAATCCACAGGGATTTGGGGAGAATAGTGGCCCTTGAATCTGTGCAGGTTTGATTGGTTTTGCCGCGGATCACTCTGCACGTCATGCAGGATGAGCTCTCCAAGGCCTGAGCACTAGCAAAATCTCTGTGACTTGGCGGAGGTTCACACCAGGGATGTGCTGTTATGTTGAATGCCAAGCTCTTTGACATTTGTGTATAATTACAACAGCAGGTGTAGCTCTGTTTACTTGCCAGTTCATTATTACACTTTTTCACCTATTTTGCACTCAGATAACAAAGATGTTTTCTATTATATGTTAGGTACAAGGTAGAGTGAGAATTTCAAAATGAAAATAAGAACAGACATTAAGATTTTTAAATTTCTCTTAGTGTTTCCCCCTAAGAGGCTAAAAGATAAGGAAACAAGAAGGAAATGAAGGGAGCCTGAGAATTTGAGTGAATCTGAAGCTATTTTTGAGTTACATCACACACTTTGATTCTCTTACTGCCCAGAAATAAATAAATAAATAAGTAAATAAAAGATTAGGATATGCATTTCAGGAAGTGCACCTCAGGATGTATCAGTGTTTCTATCAGTAAATATAAAATCACTTAACATTGCTATAGCTACAGAATTAAAATAGATGGCTGCCTTTTCATTTAATAATGTGATTTCAAATTATGCCAATTAAAAAGAAAGAATTAAGCAAGCGCAACTGTAGCATTATAGGAATTTTTCTGAATATTAAGTATAACAGATAATTCAGTTATAGACTCCATTTTCCCATGCAGCCAAACTCCATCATTTGAAGAAGCAAATTTACTGAAACAAATTGGAACTAATCTCCGGTTATGAGCGAGATGCCTCGCTTCTGTTGACGGTGTGAAAGACCCTGAGCTTTACAATCCATTTAAAAATTCTGATCTGGAATCCTGTATGAAGAATAAATACCCATATTACACAAAGGTCCTATGTTTTGGAAAACCCAAATGCTTTGTTTTTTCTTTGTACATCTGTCTCTGCTTGTTTGTCACTTAATGTGCATCTTGATAGGCTTTGTCAGAGTCATTTATTTTATGTAAGATTCTGAAATGTAGATATAAGTCCATATAGGATATACCACAGAGCAGGATGGCAAAGTTCAAACACTGATGTTGAATTAAAGAAATCGTATGCCCCTTTATTTTCATGATGACAGAGACTATTTGGGTACACCCCAGTGCTCCTTGCTAAAGGGAGTGCACATGTATTTATTGATAGTGGAATGCACATGTCCTTAAGAAATCCTGTTGTCATAACTTTTAAAACCAAAGATTTCTCAGGCCCAGCAAGGTGGCTCACACCTGTAATCCTAGCACTCTGAGACAGGGGGATTGCTTGAGCCCAGGTGTTCGAGACCTGATAGAATAAATGTAGCAGAACCCGATCTCTACCAAAAAAAAAAAAAATGTCGAGTGTGGTGGCACGTGCCTGTGGTTCCAGCTACTCAGGAGGCTGAGGGAGGAGGGTTGCTTGAGCCCCTGGAGGTGGAGGGTGCAGTGAGCCAAGATGGCACCACTGCGCTCCATCCTGGGCAACAGAGGGAGACCCTGCCTCAAAAAAAAAAAGAAAAAAAAAAAGATTTCTCAAACTAACCTCAATACTGTGGGCTGTGGCAGAAAATTTGAGATGAAAAGTATCATTTTTTTTTGCCGTGCGATTAATGAAATGGAGACTTGCATCCAATTTAAAACTGCACTCGTTTGTGCCGTTTTCATTTTTCATTAACCTCTATTTCAACAAATGTGTAATGGCTTCATGCATGCAAGGTAGGCAGTGCGCTGGCCGTGAGATTACAAAGATAAACAGAGCTCCTGCTCTCAACCAGCTTTTGTCTCCAGGAGAAGGAAGACAAGTGGTAGTTTATTTCAGTGCCATTTGCTAAGGGTGTACTAGAGATAACAGTTTGATTTGGGGACACAGAGAGGTGTGTTTTGGAGGGGACAAGAAGAGGAGGCATCGGAGCCTTCTTCATCTTCCTCATGAAGGGAGCTACTGTTTTCTTAAAATTCAAAGAATTAACGGGTGATTAAAATTTTTATTAAAAGTTTTATTGTTATCTAATAATGGAAAAGGTTTCGAATGTCCTTTCCCTCAGTAGGTTAAAGGTACACTTCCTAAAGTCCTGTTCTATAGTTACCAAAAAGAAAATGAGTCAAAGAGCAGTGATTCTGGCAGTGCGTCCTCGTTCCTGCACTCTGCCGATGGCGTAAGGTGGTCATCTCTGAGTGGTGGCGCAGACAGATTGGCTGGTTTTAAAGGATCAGTAATGCCAGCTGTGTGTCAGCATCAGGTTACAGCTCTTTAAATCACTCTTTCAAATTAAAGTCCTAGATAAATGGTGGGCAGTTTCCAGTCTTTGAGTTCTCCTCAAATTTTATTATATTGTAATATCCTGCCATCAAATATTTCCACTCCTGCAGAGTAATTCAGTGTGTCATGGAGTGATACGTTTCCAAAGTAAAATATTTCATTTTAAACCAATTATGCTTTGTTGGCAAACTTACATGTCCCAGAGATGGACCAGTATATGTATTTCTGATTCTGGAAATTTCCATCTCCTGCCTTGCATTGACAGCAGACCTGGGCATAGCTTCCAATGGATGCTCAGCTCATGACCCTTTCTGTCCCCTGCTTCCAACAATCAGTGGGACCAGGGGTGGACTCTGACCTCACTTACAATCCTGCCTGTGTCCTGTCTTTTTCCTTCATTCATGGCCACCACAAATGTTCGTTTTACCCTGACTTAAAGCATGGGGAAAGACTGTATGTGGTACATCTCCTAAGCTTGATACAACGTCTCTGATGACCTCTGGACATCACACATCCATAGGAAATTACCTAAACATGAAATGTGCAAGTAGCAAAAGGAAATTGCAGTTCTAGGATGATCTCAGGTTTGTTTCTTAAAAAAAAAACTATACACATATTTAAAAAGTATTTATATTTATATATGTGAGCCATATTGCTAAGTGTGATTACCACTGGGCAGTGTGTTTGTGTGGAGGGAAGGGCGGTTGTTGGGGAAAATACATTCTTACATTTTTTTATTCATTCATACTTTTAAAAAAACTATTTCGTATTTAAATTTTACTCTGACAATAATGGTATATAAAAAATATCGGGGCTCTTTTTAAAGGAACAACAACCAAAACCCTCATAGGAAAAGACAGGGTCCATCTTGTTAGCATACGTGTTGGTTAAGAGTGCTGCCTCTGGAACCAGGCTGTGTTCAGCTGGAACTCTGTACCTATTTTCTCATCTGTAAAATGGGAATAATAATAGTGACCATCTCAATTACAGTGAATATTAAAAGAGTTAATATATGTAAAGCAGAGCAGTGCCTGGCAATTGACAAGTGAGAACTGTGGCTACTATTATTACCGTTATTAACATACCTTCATGAGCTGGGCCCTCTTGGTGTGCAGTATTTACTTTGTAAGTCTGAGACACCTGGGAGAGCAGATTTTATTCTAACAAACCTCTCCATAGTGATAAACATCTTCACCAAAAGGCTAATGTTTAATGGTAATGTTTTAAAAATGGCTGCATCATTTTGCATAAGTAAACCAGCCATTTATAGTTTCTGTCGTGGATGCTTAAATACTTTACCCAGCAGAAAATGGAAATAAGTTAGATACTGATCTGTTGTTTCTTGCTTTTATTTTCCAGGACTCAGAAGGGGTAGAAATTATGTTAGGAGTTTGTGCAAGTGGTCTGTTGATATATCGCGACCGGCTGCGAATAAACAGATTTGCCTGGCCCAAGGTTCTAAAGATTTCATACAAACGGAACAACTTTTACATTAAGATCCGGCCGGGAGAGGTAAGTATACCCACATTTGCCTGTGCGTTGGGAGGAAAGATCCCTGATAGCAAGCAAGCATTTAAATTATCTGCTTATGAGTTCTGAGCATTGTGGGACACAGTGAATGACATCTAAGTGCCTGAGAGAGTTTATTGTAGGTTTGCCCAATAAACAGTAATAAATATTCTCTTCTTTATTATATTGTTCCAATATTTCCTACTGCATACGTTAATTGGAGGGTTTTTAAAAACATATTTTAATATAAAATCCAGTCTCGGCCGGGTGCGGTGGCTCACGCCTATAATCCCAGCACTTTGGGAGGCCGGGGGCGGGGTGGGGGCGTGGATCACAAGGTCAGGAGATCGAGACCATCCTGGCTAACACGGTGAAATGCCATCTCTACTAAATATACAAAAAATTAGCCGGGCGTAGTGGCAGGTGCCTATATTCCCAGCTACTCGGGAGGCTGAGGCAGGAGAATGGCGTGAACCCAGGGGGCGGAGCTTGCAGTGAGCCGAGATCGTGCCACTGCACTCCAGCCTGAGCAACAGAGCGAGACTCCGTCTCAAAAAAAAAAAAATTCCAGTATCATTAATAATTTTGTGTATATTTCAAGCAGTAATGGATAAATCTCTTCCTCCACATGCTGTTGTTATTTCTCCATGCTCTTTCTGTTTGTCCTGCAAATCTGGTTGTACTTTAAAGTGAACAGTTTAGAGGTCCTGTACTTCAAGGTACAAGGAATATTAGAACAAAGGACAATTAGTGTGAATTATATCAATGTTCTATAGCTCAATATATGTTTGTTTGTTTGTTTGTTTGTTTTAAGTCAGAGAAGCTAATGAGACAATCAGAATTGTTAACTAGTCCTTACTCCTTGGACAACAGCCTCCATGATCAACTTACGTTTATATCTTCCTTAGTGGTTTGTACATAATAGTAACACATATCTACTCTTATTTACTTAAGAGATAGTTAATAAATACCTCAAATTTCTAATTGGTATGGTTAGTATAACAGAGGCAGTCAAAGCTCAAAGATTCTAGCATACTTATATCTCTGAACATTTTCTGATATGATATAGAATTATCTCTTATCTTCAAAATCTACTTCTCTACTGGAGTTTCTTGGTGGAAAATGCAATTTAAAAAATCAGAATATCGGCTGGGCATGGTGTCTCATGCCTGTAATCCCAGAACTTTGGGAGGCCAAGGGTGGGAGAATCACCTGGGCCCAAGGATTTAAGGCTGCAGTGAGTTTGATCACACCACTGTACCCCAGCCTGGGTGACAGAGCAAAGACCCTGTCTCAAAAATAACAAAAAAATTGAAACATAAAGCATGTAATGATGTTTAGTATGAACATAACATCATACCTATCTATGATAACTGAAATAATCTGTAAGCTTTTCATGTAAATAACTAAAATTATAGTGTTTTAAAAATATTTCCTAAAGATTGTATATTAAACTTATAGCCAATAGATAGTCATTTGACTTCATTGAACATTTGTTAAGTGAGCACCTATTTATTGTCAGACATTAGAAATCTAAAGACAAATATGACCTTGTTCCTTGTTAAGGGATTTTCTATTTAGCAGAAAAACGGACTCATATACTTTGATTGTAACAGCATGATGCAAATGAGATGATATTCTGTAGACATGGAGTGAGCATAGTATTGTGAGATGCCAGAGGGGAGAGCTAGAGAAATGAATCAGTGGACAACTAGTAAGTCATGGGAGGTTTTAAATCAGGATGTGACACAACTAGGTGAATATTTTGGAATGATACATTTCTTAATGAAATTCAACGACTTAGAAACATGATGTGATAAGACCTAAACTAGGGCAGAGGCTGTGGGAATAGACGGGAGGGAACAAATGCAAGAGAGAGGTTTCAGAGGCAGAAGCAGCAGGTCGTAGAGACAGGATAGAGGAAGTAATTAAAAGAGGGAAAAGTCCAGGATAATCAAAGGTTTTCAGTTTGCATGATTGAAGCCAATGGAGATGACATTCGGCAGGAGGGAAAAGGGGGAAAATTTCAGAAAAACAACTGAAATCCCTTTGAAACAGATTTTCAGGGAGTAACTCTTGCATAGGAAGGAGTTGAACAGAGTTATCAACTGTATATATTTTATTCAAGGCCTTAGACATGGAATAAATTACTCAAAGAGCAAGGCAAGTTAGAGAAAGAAAAGGCCCAAAACTAGAACTCTGGATAATACCACTATTTGAGAAAGGGCCAAGGAGCTGAAGAAATGACAGCCAGAGAAATAAAAGAAGAAACAGGCTGATGGATGACCAGGAGATGAGTTTCAGAGGAAAGTGGTTAGCTAGCAGTATCATATGTTACAGAAAGGGCACGCAGGATGTGGACTAACAAAAGTGTGTTGAACTTAACAGTCAGGCCCCATGATGACATTTCAGAGTTCAGAAGGGCAACAGGAGCACCTGCCAGGTGTGTTGAGGTCAGGAGTAGGTAGCAGAGGCAGCAGGTCGTGGCTTCTGCTTCCTAAAGTTTAGCAGTGAGGAGTGAGATGGGGTTGTGGTGCTGGCATAAGCAGGCTCAGAGAGAGCTGGTTTTTCACTCCTCTTCTCTCTGCTTTTACAATCCTATTTACAGCCTGAGAAAAGTGAGTGAGAAGAAATTGGAGACACACAGACTCTGAAGAAGTTGAAAGAAATTGATATAAAACACAGAGAAATAGATATTAATAAACTATTAATACCTATTCAGGTAGTCTAGGAGCCTGCATCATCCTTGCCTACAGAGGTTGGCAGAGACTCTTCCCAGCTTCTTGCAGCAGAGTGCAAGCTGACTCTTCCATATAACCCCTGGCATTGGCGTAATATGTGCATATTAGTTGCAGGATGAATAAATGGATGATGATTTAGTCACAAGCCACACTATGTCTGTCTTGGCTGAGTCCCTTAGACAGTAGTGATTTTTACAAACACCACTGCACATGAACATCCAGAGTGAATAAGAAGTTGGGAAAGGCAATTGCGGTTGAAGCATTTGTGATGTGTTTCCCACTTCCCCTAATCATCCTCAACAAACAAGAAATAGAGGTCAAACATGATTGTATCTCACATGCCATGCATATGACCCCTCACCTCGGTTCTTTGCCATATAAATGATTTTTGCTATTGATTATAGCAGTAGTACCCATTGTGTGCTCTTTGGGGAAGCCTTTACTGTTTAAGATGATTGCCCTCTGGTGGTCTGATGTGTACCTTCTTCAGAATGTGAAAACCTGTGCATCTGCAGTAATAAAGTATATTATGCAGGAAATGAGATGAGTATTTCACCTCGAAAAATCAAATGGCTGATAAGGCATCATCTGAAGTGTACATGCTGAAAAATATGAAAATATGTTCCCCCAATCTCTGATCTTACGTATGATATAGAGAGACGTTAGCATTTAACACGATAATCCATAGCGGAACACACAAATAAAATCAGCAATCTCTGACACCAAGTTATCAACTACCTAAGAAATACACATATTTCCTGCCCAGGTATTAGGAGAAAAGTCTCATTTCTAAGAATGCTGTAGACTATATTTGTAAACATTTTGTTCATTTCTGTACCTTGCAGTTGAAGTCATTGTGTCATTGAGAAACCATGAAAATAAAAGTTTAAAAGTGATATCAGGGCAAATTGATTTCTGGAAGAAATCAAAAAAACCCCTTTTCGTGTTTGGTTTTCAGTTGTATCATAAGATACACACTTATTCAGAAGACATTTTACTGTATGCATAAAGTGGCTATTTATACCTGCAGCATTTTAAAGACACATTTTTGAAATTAACAAATGAATCTGTATAGCATGAATTATGCATATAGCAATTGATCTAGTAAGTAAATTTTTAAAATTCTGGTGGCATCATGATTCTGTAATTTATTTACAGGGCTTCTGTTATTTATAATTTTAAACTTTACTCTTCAATGTATTTTTTTTTATTTAGTTTGAACAATTTGAAAGCACCATTGGGTTTAAGCTGCCAAACCATCGAGCTGCCAAGCGTTTATGGAAAGTATGTGTTGAGCATCATACATTTTTCAGGTAGGAAGAGATTATTTTGTTTTTTCCCTAAGGAATAATTATAATCACTTATACTGAAAAAGATTGTCAATAAAAAATATGGAATTTTATTCTTTCTATCCCTTCAAGTTCATTGTCACCATATTTCTTGATAAGAAATCCTAAGAGAACTAGAAAAAGACTAAATTTGAAGGATTTTCCCTAATTTGTCATGTACTTACATGTCCCAAACCCCCCTTCTTTAGTATCTTTAGTGTGTTTACATTATTTTTAGGGTGTCCACTTCAAATATCCAATCCATTCCTTACTATTTCAATTCCTTACTATTTCAGTGATTTCTCAATACCCTGAATCCCTTTACCTACCTATGCATGGTACGAGACCCATCAAATTAGGCACCCAACACCAAATTGTCACTCTTCTTCTTCACTAATATCAAACTATTTAGTAGCTGTTTGGGCTTATAGAACCATAGACTGTCCACTTTGCGTGGAATGTTAAAAATTCATCTAGTTCAGTACAACCCTCATTTGCATATATCCTCTCTACAATATCCCTAGTTGATATATACTATATGCATTCTTTTATGAAATCAGATTTATTTAACTGCAAGTTGTGCGTTAAATGTTTAGCATGCAAAACACATGACCTCTCAGAGTAAAAAGTTTAAAAAGCACTCTCAATATTGGACTTAATAGTCTTTCTGCTGTTTTTCTTTATTCTCTTTAGACTACTGTTACCAGAAGCACCTCCCAAGAAATTCCTAACCTTGGGTTCCAAGTTTCGTTATAGTGGCAGGACACAAGCGCAAACGAGAAGAGCCAGTGCGTTGATAGATCGCCCAGCACCTTACTTTGAACGCTCATCCAGCAAACGTTATACCATGTCTCGCAGCTTGGATGGAGGTAGGCATCGCTTACTGGCCCTTAATAACCTAGTACCTACCCCAAAAAGAATGTGAAACTGTCATGAGCTTTCAGTAAGTATAGATATTCCTGGATATTGTATGTTGAAAAGCAGTTGTTGCTTATTGACTGAATGGCACATTTTTAAGTCTCCCCCAGCGAAATGAAAGTCCCTTTGTCAGTCTAACATCTGCAGGTTTATGTAAAATTACATAAAAGAATGGCACTTCGGGAATGAAGAAAATAGCTTTCATAAGCTGACACCCTGAATTTGGAGAAAGATGCTCTCATTCTAAATATAGTAGTCACATACTCTGTGATTTGATTCTCTTGCCAACAGGTCTTAAAGGATTGGTAGGTTTAAGACCATTTGTTTTATAAATCTATAAGTTAAATTTATTTCTGTTTCTAAAAAATCTTTATGAATAAAGTGTGACCTTTATCAGTCAGTTGATAATAGCTGGTAGAAAGGATGACATTCAAATAACAGAGCACAGGGTTGTAAGTTAAATTCTCCTAGTTGTGCTAATTACTACCCCAGATGGACTGGGAGAACAGTGCTAGGTAGGGGTTCTGTACTGCCAAGTTAAATTAGTCAAATGGAGAGATGATCATTCAAACTACCTTTTTAGGGGATAACACAACAGTGAATTTTTAGTAGGGTTTTGTTTTATCGAACAGTTTCTTGATTGCTCTCTGAAGTAATATGGAGGTACACTTTCTGCTGCAAGGCGTGCCCGCTGTAACAATACTCTGGAACTGAATCATGTCTAGGTCTCTGTCTTCTCATTTGGAGCACCTGGAGATTTGTTGTTTTTAATAGAAGATCTTATCCTGTGCAAATAAAAAGAATTAGGAGTTTCTGGTATGCAAGTATGGTTTAAATAATAAGGAAAAACATAAATAAAAATAAACAAAAGTTACAAGTGCATGGTACCATCTCCTTTCCTACCTTTTTTGCCACTGTTCCCCTGAGAGTCTCAGCTCTGCCTTCCCCATTTCACTAGCCGGGTGATTGATGGGGAGAGGTGCTCCTTGAATCTCCCAACTAAAAACAACTGTCTTTTTCTAATGGAATACTTTATGAACAGTTTATAGAAGAAATCAAAATGGCATTATTAGTGCTATATTATGTATGTTACTAGCGAGGTGGAAACTGTACTCTTGTGGCATGGGTAAATCCAGATTGAAGTCCAGGCTCTGCTGCCCTCTGTCTCTGCGGTGGTTGACAAATGATTTCAGCTCTCCAGGTCTGTTTTAGTCATCTGTATAATAGGAATAAGGCCGCCTTTGACGGGGCTGTTGTGAAAAGCAAGATATATGTGAAAGCACTCTTGTTACATAGGTAATTATCTCAATAATCATATTGATAATTACTCTTTTTTCACATTTTTTTAAAATTTCAGTAGCTTTTGAGATACAAGCAGTCGGTTTTTGGCCACATGGCTGAATTGTATAGTAGTGAAGTCTGAGATTTTAGTGCACCTGTCACCTGAGTAGTGCACATTGTACCCAATATGTAGTTTTTTATCCGTCACCACCACCCCCGCCACTGTCTGCCTTCTGAGTCTCCAGTGTCCATTATATTACTCTGTGCCTTTGCATACCCATAGCTTAGCTCCCACTTATACATGAGAACGTATGGTATTTGGCTTTTCATTCCTCAGTTACTTCATGTAGAATAATGACCTTCAGCTCCATCCAAGTCACTTCAAAATACATGATTTCATTCATTTTTATGACTGAGTAGTATTCCATGATGTATATATACCACATTTTATATTCATAATTATTCTTACAGGCTTTTGTGAGCTAGCCTAGGAAGTTAATTGCCATTGTGTGTCTTCTAAGAGTTTCCAGAATACCGAACTTAGAGCCAGCCCTTTTGAATAAAATAATTACCAGGACTGTTTCGAGCTGAATTAAGATATTGAAATATCGATGTTAACATTGAAGCTTTTCTTTCTGGTTTATCCTATTGACTCTTGTTTCTCCTTTAGAGTGTCTCTATTACCTATTTCTATATGTTATCAGTATTTGAGGAACTTTGTAGAATCGCACTTTTTTTTTCCTGAATATCATCCACTTTGTTCAGTGACGTGCACCCCAGGGAACACATTTGTTGTGAATGTTGTTTTCCTTATGACCTTTAGTGTGATAATGACTGCTGAGAAGACAGAAGACAATTGTGAAATCAGTGTACTAATGTCATGCTGTCTCTTTCTCCCTGCCCAAAAGTGATGTTAGTATGTGTTGTCTCTCACTCCTTGCGGTCCTGCCAGCTCTAGTATGTTTTCTGCTGCTGTTGAGCTGGGTGGCACAGCTGCATGTTGCAACATAAACTGCTTTTTTGCAAGGTTGCATCTCACAGAGAATGGCCTAACTGGTCCATTAGGAAGTTGTGTCTCATATGAGCTTTTTCAACGGTGTAAAGAGATATAAAATGTCTTAGTGAAGATATTTTAGTGACATAGTTTAGCTATCGAAAGCATTTCAGAGAGGATTTCATTTCAGAATCCTTTCTTTTATTTACGTTTTTAAATTCCTAAAATAATAATGTAGATATTTTGTCTGTGATTAGTTACTGTGTATTTGAAAAGCAACATTTATAAGTTTTAATAAATTTTATATCTAAAACCTAAAATAATGAGTACCAACTTTTAAAACTTAATTAAGCATCTTTTCACTAAGACGTTTTAGCTGGGATGAAAGGCTCTGTCTTATTCTCTTGAGTTTGCATGTTTTGCATTTGCATGAATTTCATTTAGCAACATTCATTGTGTTTTCCCAAAATATTAGAGATGAGTAAATGTATATGCATATTATGGTAGTCTGTTTAAAATGCAGTAGAAATGAAAACATTTCTGTACTTTAGGTGAATGGAATTGCCATCTGATTTTTATAATCTCTACCAAGATGGTTAATATTTGTTATTACCCATGGAGCTTTTATACTGTAAGAGTGATAGACTTTTCAACATTAATAATAATAATATGAAAACCAATTCAGTGCTCCTTGGTGAATGGCACTTCCAAAGAGCCAAGTGTATTAGAGCAATTGTGTACTGCAAAGACTGCTGTTAGGTGTGGAATTGGCCACTACGAGACTGGTGCCAGTGCCAGCCAATGGTGATAATATGCCCAGCGGCAGCCTCGCCTCATGACCCTCCACTCACCTCCACACTTACACACATCCTCAGCAGAGAGTCTGAGGATAGATGAAATTCCAAGACATGAGCATTTCACGAATTTTAAAGCACTCATATAGGAAATACAGGAAGGTCATGCTCTCATGAAGGTCCCTGCAGCACTGATTTGTTTTTTCAAGGCAAACCTGGTATTTTGTGTTGGTATTTTTTTTTTCAGTAAAGATATAGTTGGTATTGTTCATGTGTCTTCTGACCTAACTATTTTGGATTTTATTTCTTTAATTGTATTTGCTTTTAGCATCAGTGAATGAAAACCATGAAATATACATGAAGGATTCTATGTCTGCTGCAGAGGTTGGTACTGGCCAGTACGCCACAACAAAAGGCATCTCTCAGACCAACTTGATCACCACTGTGACTCCGGAGAAGAAGGCTGAGGAGGAGCGGGACGAGGAAGAGGACAAACGGAGGAAGGGGGAAGAAGTCACGCCCATCTCGGCCATCCGGCACGAGGGAAAGGTATAGCTCCCAGACTGCCTGCAAGAGCTTGCTCCAGCTTTTAAGAATGACTAAATGATGCTGAGGCTGTAAACCAGGAATGTGCTCAGATTTAGGATAAATCATATGTCAGCACTGGTCACATTCATATGTCAATTTTTAAATTATGATTGCTGTTTCAACATTTTTTCTCTGAAAGGTTCATTCATAGCTCTTTGAAAATTTTTATTTTAATAACTTGTGTGCTATGTAAGACTTTCAATAGCTGTCCTGTATGTGTATCTTAAAAATACTTTTGGTGGCGTATTACACTTTTCTGTTTGGGCTCACATTTCAGAACTGTCACTAAAGCTGTTTTCTTTGTTTCTGGCCCCATTCTCCTACCCAAGTACAGCATATTTTTCTAGATATACAATTATCATATTGCCATTCTTCTGACTGTAAGTACATGGAGTGACCACAGCCTACATATTTATACTTACGCCTAATCAGCAGAGTAGTGACTGGCCATGTTTTGAAAAGGGATCTTAAGGCAGAAAGTTGCAACAGGAGATAAAAAGGGAATTTGGCAGCAGCTTCTTCTTTCAGTGTTGAATTCATTAAACTTTGTAACATTGTTTCACCCCAAATTAAATATCTTTTTTAACACCATTTTTAAACACTATGTTTTTTTCTGGTGATCCAGCACTACAAAGCAACTTTTCAGAAAAATAATTTAAAAGTCAAAAAACCCTTCAGGAGGCTTATACCTAATAATAAGGGAAAAACAGAGTGGCTCCTGGCCTGTACAGAGCATAGAGTAAGAGGAAATAGCAGAATGAAAATGCTCATAATAACCCATGGGTTATCCTAAAATTTGAGTAAATTTGATTCACGAGTGATCTTTTGTACATGGGCTCTTCAAATAGAGATGGAGAATCACTACCCCGAATTCTATGGAAAGTGTTCCTTTTGATGAGAATTTAGCAGTGACATCTTAACATAGACAAATAATTTTTGTAGTTATGCTAAAATATTACAAATGGCCCAATCCATCATCTTTTATTTTTTGGGATAAGATTATTTATTTGGCAAACACAAAATTAAGCAGAGAGTAGGAAATAATGGCAGGGATATTTCGATAACTTTTGCTGTTAAAATGTGCTTTGTTCTAAATTTTGTTTTTACACTCTTCCTGTCTGTTCAGTCAAGGAAGGCTTTAAAGGGGACAGAAAAGAATATAATCCACCCAAAAAACAAATATGTGGTTCTTCTTCTTAGTTATTCTAACATTTTATAAACTCGCCATGCCAACATAAGATTCCCATGGATGTATAAGTATTGAAGAAGTGACACATCAATGTAAGTGATTTTTAGTTTTGCTCCCAAGATAAGGCCGGACATTTTCACTTTATTTGCTTTTAAAAGACCACCAGTTTGTTTATATAAAACGTAGCACTAAGCTGTCCTCACTTGGTGCCATTTGTGATGTGGGAAAAGACAAAGGACACTACCAGCCTCATAGCCTGAGTCTCTGAGAAGCCAGCACTCTGGGCAGAATGTCTTCAGGAAGTCTGTAGCTGAAATCTGGTGCTCATATAGGTGTGGGCTGGCTTGGTTTCCCCAGTGCAAAGCTGTCTTCTAGAAATGACTTTAATAATCAGCATGGAAGGTTAAACCTTAATTTTATCCTTCTCCTTCTTCAAAAAGTAACGCAGAGGGTACTTACTTTTCAACCAAAATGAAAGTGTATTACTGAAAATAGTTCTTGAAAGGCTGGTCCCCTAGGTTGCCTGGGAAGGAGGCACGTTTCCCAGGCTGGGATCCCCTGGGTCATGGGGCTGCCTCACCTCCATGCTGGAGGACAGTTGTCTTCATGCAGAAGTTAATGTGTAGCAGCTACATTATTCTTAGTTGAATGAGATTTGTGCAGGTTCCTGTTTAAAGTGCCGTCTTTAATGTCAAATGCAAATGTGTGGGAAAAGACATACTTCTCTCATCGTAAAAAGAGACCCTTCAAAGGCCGAAGAGCTACGATTTTATTTGTGCATTTTCTTTCCCTCATGCCTCAGATGTAACTTTATTTGTGCATTTTCTTTCTGTCGCTATATTTACCACTTCTCCCCAAGTCAGGATTGCATAACCACACAAGGCAGGCTGGGTAATTTCCATGCTGTCAGGCCACTGGGCAAAACACACACATACACACACGCAGTGACACAGACATCAGCAGAAGTCTAATTACTTTCAGGCTTGGATTTCCCGGCCTGCAGCAGCTGCTGTACCTGCCCAGGTCCTGCTTGGGGCTTGCGTGCTTTCCTTCCTCCCCTTCTTGTCCAGCAACCCCTCCGCCACCTGCAGAGGAAACTGGCCCTGGTCGTGGAGACTTCCAGGACCCAGAGAGGAGGAGAAGCAGATTCACTTGCCCCATAAAAGCTTGAGCTCACCAGGGGAGCACCTGTGGAAAACCCTGCTTTTATCATTATATTAAGGACTCAAACCAAAGATCTAAATATGCCCTTTATCTGCTAAGAAAAATCAGAAGGCTGGGAAATTATATCTTTCTGTTATTATGCATCATAAATAATAGAAAGTAAATACTGGCAAAGCATGTTACAAGAAAACACATTGTTTTTGCTAGTTAGCTTGTTGAAATCACTTCAGTTGAAGTTCCACTAATATCCTAAATAAAGGAGCCAAAATAGAGCTTTCAAGGGAACTTCAGTTCTTTTCTGAGGAGTGAGATATTCAGAAATGCTAACTGTCGAATCCCTGATTGTAACTACTTATCAGATAGGAGTGGGGCCAGAAACTTCTTGATTTGGAATGTAAACTCCTTGTTTTGGATGTAATTGAATAACCAGGGAAAGGACTAATGCTAGAGATTGGTTTTTTTTTTTTAATCAAAATCTGGATTGGATTTCATCTTCATTTTTAATCTAGCTGAACTATAGTAACAGCTCTGCTACCTGGAAATCAGGAGAAGGCTATTGAAAGTCTTCATGTTAAGTTATCAGATTTACTTATGTTTGCTCCCCAAAACCTGAAACTTTCTAGAGTTGTTAGTCTAAAGGGAAATTTTTTGACCATGTGAAATGTGTAGACTTTGGGATTGCCCACAAATACCTTCTGTTCTGAGTTTTTAAAGAATTCCACCTGTATGTGATAGTCTCATGGGAGAAATGTAGCCGTTCGTGGCAACAGTGGCATGCAGCTTGAATACTTTAACATTCATGAGCAACCCTAGTGCTAAAATTTTTGTTTTACAATTTTATATTGATACCCATAAGAAAATTAACTAATTGCAGTTTTCTTTTTGTCCTTTTGCACCTCTGTTTGCTGCTTTCTGTCTCTTTCTGTCTCTTTCACATCAGTCACCTGGGCTTGGCACTGACTCATGTCCCTTGTCACCCCCATCCACCCATTGTGCCCCCACATCTCCCACAGAGCTCCGTAGGAGGTGTAAGGAGAATGACTGCAAACTGCCAGGTTATGAGCCGTCCAGAGCTGAGCACCTGCCTGGAGAGCCCGCCTTGGACTCTGATGGCCCAGGGAGGCCTTACCTAGGGGATCAAGATGTGGCTTTTAGCTACAGACAGCAAACTGGCAAGGGGACCACCCTGTTCTCCTTCTCCTTGCAGCTCCCTGAGTCATTCCCCTCCCTCCTAGATGATGATGGATACCTCTCTTTCCCCAACCTTTCTGAAACCAACCTCCTGCCCCAGAGCTTGCAGCATTACCTCCCGATCCGCTCACCGTCCCTTGTGCCCTGTTTCCTCTTCATCTTTTTCTTTCTGCTGTCTGCCTCCTTCTCAGTGCCATACGCTCTCACTCTCTCCTTCCCTCTGGCTCTGTGCCTCTGCTACCTGGAGCCCAAGGCGGCCTCCTTGAGCGCCTCCCTAGACAATGACCCGAGTGACAGTTCAGAGGAAGAGGTGTGTACCTCGGCATAGAACACGCTTCCCCTTCGTGTTCCGTGCTTGAGTCCGAAACAGTGTTAGCTGGCTGCTGCCATAGTGGTCCTACTTTCAGAGCCTCATTTATTGTCTGTGCCAATATGTTGAGGTTTCTGTGTGTTGGGGAGTCCAACCTGGGCCCCAGGGTTAGGCACAACACCATGTGGATGTAGCAGTCTGAGCCCAACCCGGAATCGTTCTGCTACCCACTGAGTTCTACGTGGGATGAAAGACTCAGCCAGAAGTCAATTTTATATAACCCGTCAGCTGTGTAAAAGATCAGGGCTAAGCTAAAGGTTCTGATCAGTTATGGTTTAATAAGGTAAATCACATATAAGACAGATGATGAGTAGTTTTCAACTTAAATGACAGTCAAGGAGAGGTGGAAGAGTGCATCCCCGGAGGGGATGTATCATCATCACCTGGGTAGCTTTCTAAAGTTGCAAAGGTATCTCCTCCCTGGAGATCCTGAAATGTCCCCACCACCCTCTGCTCATCATTGCCAGACAGTCATTGTTACTCACAGAGAGGTCAGTCAATCAGATCCCGCATTGTATTGTGTCAGAGCAGTTTAAAGCACCCACATGACATCAGCCATTGGTAAGGGCAGAAACAAGCCCAGAAGCAACGGCATGCAGTGCAGCAGTGTTCAGACACAATCAGAAAAGGACTAAATTGAAGTTTTCAAACAATGTAAAGGCAGGCTGAAATTTCACCATGCTAGCAATGCCAATGCAGATAATATGACAGCGATTCTTTCAACTGCAGTATGAGTCTCAAAATCCCCCCATTTTCACAGTGTGCTGAGGCTGGGCCTCTATGGCTGCCAGCCAGACATGGACATAGTGGGCGAAAGACCCTGAACTATCAGCCTCCATCCTTGAAGGCATGCTGCTGCAGGGCAGGCTCCTGTCCCCGACTCGAGCAATTGGGCGAGCTGACATGGTAGCCAGTAGTTTTTCCTGTTAATTGTTCTCCTTTCCCACTGCCACACAGCCCAGTGAACAGCCCAGCAGTTTCTCTTTCTCCAGGCTTCAAATAGAGTGCAGGGAAGAATAATAGAAGCTGCCACCAGAGGCCCTGGCTGCTGTCATGCGCGCCCCTCCCCACTCCTCTCCCCAGGCTCCCTGCAGCCCTCCTGTTCCCACAGAACAAGAGCTGTTGTGATAGGAAAAAAGCAAAATACGCTTAGCATTTTTTTTTAAAGTCACAAAGTCAAGGCAATGCTAAAAAAGGAAAGAAAGTCTAAATCTGTGCTCAGCTAGAAAGTCATAATTTGAGCTGCACCTGTGAGTATATAGTATTATATGTTGAGGGTGTGCGAGTATCTATATTTAGTGGAATTATGACCATTTCTTTGCAGCAGAAGGAAAAAAATGTGAATGGTCTCACAGGTGTTTTAAGTAAAAGTCTACACTTTTAATAGATTTTGCATAAGAGACATTTTCAAGGTTCTTGAGTTATATATAACGATTTGCTCCAACTGATATATAAATAACTTTTTATACATGGAAAATATTTTGAGAACTACTTGAAATCCTAGGCTTTAATATCACTATTTCTCATATTGGCAATATTATCAAATAGTGTTGGACTAGAACATATTACAGTTAAGAACACAATATTGTCTACAAATACAATGTTATTATTTATTAGCTGATTTCTAACATGGAGATATATTTTTCCTTTAACAGTCGAGTTAGTCATCAAGCTAACATAAGGCAGAAAAGATTGCTGTTTTATGCTTTTCTAAATTCAAAATAAATATTTCAACTTTTATATAGCAAACCACACAGATCTTGTGCCTAATCCAGGGTATACATCTTGTTGTAATCAGTGCATGAGAATTAATGTTAAACTTGGGCATGTCTGCATTACATTGGCAAAACAAATCACAGCAGTTAATTGTTACAAGCTAGCGAACGTGTGATTGGAGCTTCCCAGTCATAACTGTCCTTGTTATTGCAAACCTCCAAAACCATGAATTAGCACTGACCACTGGAGTCTTCATCACCCTTCTCCGCAGCCCTAGTCAGCCTATATGATAGCTCTCCTGCCATCAGACTCTGTAACTAGCCATCTGTTCAGTGTTGTCTCTTGAAGTGTTAAGAGCTGTGCATTCTAGTTCAGGCTGAGCTAGAGAACTCATATTGAGGTCATTCTGGTCTGTTTTATTTAAATTGCCATTTGCTTACATGGCCTGATTTAATCTCTAGGCCTCAAGCACTGTGGCAGCTACACTGAGTGACTTCTTAACATACAATTCAGCCTTGTCACTTTCGTTTTGCCAAGTCACTACTAATTAATTCTTTTTAAATATTGTATCATCATTGCTTACTTTTTTAACATGTTATGGTGGCTTATTTCCAGCCTTTCTAAGAGTGAAATCCAGTATAAAAAGGCTTCAATATTTCACATTATAAAGCTGTTGACCAGTCATGTTTTTTCTTTTGTACTTTCAGAATGGTCAAATAAGGGGCAGGATATCAAAATATCCTATCAAGAAACATGAGATGAACTTACCTCCCCAAACCATAAAATGCAATTACATGTGTATTTCTGAGTAATTTTTTGATAATACAAAGAAAAATAGAGATAAGTTCAAATAAAGAGGAAGAAAAATTAACTGATTTATAACATTTTAAATTACATAAACAGTATTATATGATAGTTTATGATATGTTATATATTTGCAGTTTTATGTAGTCATCATACATTATAGAAATACCAGTTGCTATAAAAACTGTTTTATTCAGCCTTATTCATTTATTGACTCTTGATCAGGCACTATACTACTGACTGACTGACTAAATGCTAAGTAGGAATTCAAGAAATTTTATATGTGGACTATGCTATTTGTGTATGGCTGAGAAAAATAGGAATAATTATATAATATAATTGTTATAGGCATTTTTTTTTTTTTTTTTTAGCTCTGAGTGTGTCAGGCATTATATAGAGCACTTACTATCCATTACCCAATACAGTTAGGGCTGTTATTTTCCCCATTTTATGGGAAGGAAACTGAGATTAAAATATGAAAAGTGCCCAATGTGCCACAGGTTTGAACAGAAAGGATTTGAGCTCATGTTCATCTGACGTTAAACCTTTCCCTCTTAACGACCACTGTCCCCTAATGCTAAAATGCTTGCAAGTTACTGAAGTAAATTTTAAAACCACAAGGGAAATAAGCTAAATAGGAGGAGAAGCACTTTCAAAAATTTTAGAAGTGTTTGACACAGCTAATTAGAACACTAAATGCAAGTCATTCGAGCTGGGCGCGCGGTGGCTTACCCCTGTAATCCCAATACTTTAGGGGGCCGAGGCAGGCGGATCACTTGAGGTCAGGAGTTTGAGACCAGCCTGGCCAACATGGTGAAACCCTGCCTCTACTAAAAGTACAAAAATTAGCCAGGCATGGTGGCATGCACCTATAGTCCCAGCTAGGACTATAGGGAGTCCTCCCTAGTCCCACTAGGGAGGCTGAGGTGTGAGAATCACTTGAACCCAGGAGGCGGAGGTTGCAGTGAGCCAAGATTGTGCTACTGTGCTCCAGCCAGGGTGACAGAGCGAGACCCTGTCTAAAAAAATAAAACACTAAGTGCAAGTCATTCTTATTTATTCTTGAAAGCCTAAGATCTTTGAGTTATTCTGTACACCTGAACAAATAACTGGTCTCTCTTACTAATTCAAACTGGCCTTTCCCAGGGCTGTCACTCGGTACAGCCATACTAATCCCATAACAACAATCACCTTTATATGAAAATTAACAGCCACCTCCTGCCCCCAGTTGTTAACCAAGCCGGTCAGGTCATGAAAATGGGTCAACACGCTTTCCTTACCAACCTACAGAAAATTATTTTCCACTTAGACTTGGTAGCAAGGGTGCCAGAATGGTGTCCTCAGGTACATGTGCTGAGCATGTGTTCAGCCTCCCTTTCTTTTAGGAGTACGTAACATGAAACATGTGGCTAGTGCCAAGAAATCAGCATAGCCAGAGTTTAGTTTTGTCAGTGGAAACAACACTGTCCCAGTTGCCCCTTCCTGACATTTCTTGTTCTTTGTAGTGGGAGGTTATTTTAAGAACCAGATTCACCATCATAGACTCGCCTCCCATTTTCATTTTTGTTTTCAAAATATTAATCACAGATATTTGATCAAGGGAACTTTATTAATGATTAGTTGATATCTGTGGAGGGAAAGTCAGTTAATATTAGGGCATTTAGATGTCCACAGCTCTACTCTACTCGAGAGAAAACAGTTTTTAAGCCATAAACCCCTGTGAAACAGATTAAAAACCAGTCCTGAAATTACTGTTCTCATTCTCCTCAAAACCTAGGCTCTGTCAAATGCTGTGCTTTGTTTTATTTGTTTCTAAGTAGATGTTTCTCTCTTTCTCTTTCTCTGTCTATTGTTTTAACAATTCTTCTTCTTATTTGCTTCATTTGAATGGTATTTTTGGAGCAAGATGTTCAAATACATACTTTAATATACTTCTTTATATTGGAGGGTGGGGCAAAATAAACATAACATTTAGTCTTAAAAAATACCTAGTTAGCGACGCTACTTGAAAATTGAGTTATGTTTTTCCCATAAAAAATATATGCCTGTGAGTCACTGGCATGTGCCTTTTATAATTGACAGGTAATGCAGACAGCCTGATGGCCCTAGATGGATATAAATTATCATAATGGTATAAATGAGAGGCTGAAAGTCCAGTGACTGTTACAGTAGCTTTTTCTGTAAATTGACATTTTCATTTACCTTTCAAATATGAAATATTACTAGAATAAAATATATATAAACATCAATTTTATTTGCATTAAACATTTTAAGGAGATGTTGCTTGAGGTTTTTAGTTAAAAGTTGGAGGAAGGGTGTGGGGATGACAAATCGGTTTCCCTGAGACATAGAACCAGACAGGTCAGTGTGGCTCCCCAGCTCCTGCAGGCTGAGTGTGCCTCAGGTATTCCTATGAGTTGGCTCTGTTGATGACACCTAGCTCTGGCCCTTCTGTTGCTTTGCTTGAACTTGTGTTCTTGTGAGAAGGTAGTGTGACACAGAGAAATCACAGAGAAAGAAAATGACCTGTCTGACCTGTGCCAGAGCGTGTTTAACCAGATGGTTTACTTTCTGTCCCTGCCTTCCTCCTGGAACCTGATCACTTCTGTGGTCAACAGACTGACAGTGAGCGCACGGACACCGCAGCCGACGGGGAGACCACTGCCACTGAGGTTGGTATTTTGGCTGAGAGTGGCTGGTAGTGGCATACCGAAAATGCCTTGTGGGGTGGCTCTGTGTTTAAGAACTCCACATATGAGCTGTTGTAATGGAGATCAGTTCTAACTTTAACAGTTGGAGTTAAATATGTATTTTGTTGTCTAGACCAGTGGTTCTTAAACTCTGGCCTACATCAGAATTACCTGGAGGATTCCAGCCTCATGTTTCTCATTCAGAAGAGCTGGGGGTGGACTTGAGGATTTATATTTCTAACAAGTTCCCAGGCGATATTGACTCTGCACATCTTAGGACATATTTTGAGAACCACTTGCCTAGACTGATAATACATTTTTTTTTTTTTTAGAAAAAAATTCTATCTCAAATGAGAGGCTACAGATGTATAATAGAATGAATGGGAAGAAGGTCACAATTAACTAGTATTTTGGCTTGATACAGATATATTTTTAATTCCCCAATGGTGAAATAATTATTGTTAAAATAAGACTTACCTGACTCATTTTTGTAGCCTTTGACTGTAGCCTCGGTCACTCATAAGAAATGAATTTTTAAATTACTGTTAGTACTTTATTTTTAAAAAATATAATCACATTAAACAGTGATAGAAGATATACTGTTATTTCTCCTTTTTTCTTTAGGGTTAAAGAAACACATTAAATGTGTGTGTGTGGCTTATATTGTTTTTCAAATCTTCTCTACCATTAAGTAGTTAAAATATCTTTAAAAATAATATCTGTACTAATGGAAGTCAAGACATTTATTGATGTTAATTCGGCTACTTTTTACTAGCAGAATTTAGTTTTTACTTTGTAATAATGTTTATTTTAGGTTGTTTATATGTTTTTTTTTGCATCATCCTATTATAATAATATTTTCTAGTTTGGTATTTAGAAAAAACTAAAAATATTGTAAGTGGTATCTGTATATCACTTAATTGAAAATATCTTCAGAAAAAATCTTTTGCGATGGCGTTTTATTAGGTTTCTTCCTTTAGAAATGCCAGAGTTCAATCCAAAGCTTGAAAATCATAAGTTTTTAACATTAAAGATGATATTGTTAAAACTATTATGCAGATTCTTTTAAGCAATCATATATAAATCTATTACAAGTTGGTAATTTTCTTTGCCAACTATAACAAAGCTACACCTTGATTTTATAAGAGTTAGTTACATGTAGCCACAGGGTAGTACATCCAGTAAATTTCATTGGAATCTTAATGTGTGCTATAAATGAAAAATATTTTAATAATAATACCTTAAACTTCTACAGTAGTTTTAAAATGTATTATGTAACATTTAAAGCATGCAAGGGAGTACCTATAACATAGGTAGGCTTTGAAGCTTAAAAATAAAATGAAGAGCTGTGAACCCCCTATGCACTGAAGAATGGGTGTGTCACCAGCACATTAGCACTGTGTTTAAATTTCCTGTTTGCCCCGTGATACTGATGAAACTCTGTCCCATCTATAGGTGGCCAGCACAACAGTGGTCAGTGTAGAATATGAAGAGTAAGCAGTCTTGTCCCATTGGCAAATAAGAAGAGGGAGACCTAGATAGACTAAATGATTTTCTTAAGGCACCTGACTCAGTGTGATCCTTTTCTCACCTAGAATTTCATTCTGGGTCTCCTCTTCTAGCACAAGGGCATAAAGCCCCAGTCCTGAGTCCAAGAGCCATAGTGAGAGACACAGCTTTGCTGCTACATGCACATGTGGCTTGGCCTGCTTACTAATTACTGATACTCAGAAAGCAGTCCAGGGATTAGACCACTCCTTGAAATTAGAAAAATCAGGAGAATGAGGTGGCTTTGGGATAACTGTATTTTTTCAAATTTCAAAAATTGTCCCATCTAAAACCTTTAAAAGAAATCATGCTGTTGTTAATAGTAGCTGACTTCTTTTAAAAAAAAAAAAAAACTTTCTTAGTTGCCCCATATTTGTCTTCTCCCCTCCCAAATTTGTTTTTAACTATATACATTCAAGAAAATTGGCTGGGCGTGGTGGCTCACTCCTGTAATCCCAGCACTTTGGGAGGCTGAGGCGGGCAGATCACTTGAGGTCAGGAGTTCAAGACTAGCCTGGTGAACATGGTGAAACCCTGTCTCTACTAAAAATACAAAAAATTAGCTAGGCATGGTGGCAGGCGCCTGTAATCCCAGCTACCTGGGAGGCTGAGGCAGGAGAATTGCTTGAACCCAGGAGGTGGAGGTTGCAGTGAGCCGAGATCACGCCATTGCACTCCAGCCTGGACAACAAAGCGAGACTCTGTCTCAAAAAAAAAAAAAAAAAAGAAAAAAGAAAAGAAAATCAAGGTCTCAAGAAACTTTAAAATGTGGGAACCTCTGTGTAAAATTCTTCATATTCTTTGAGCATGGGTTCTCTGGTCTACAAATTGGGAATCATAATCACTAACCTCATAGGGCGGGATTCATACACTACATGTGAGCTCTCATTATTGTGTCATCATAGCTATTCTTACAAATTTTAATTTTAATCTGGCTCCCCCCACTTCCTGAACTATTTCTAATGTTCATCAAGAACAACCTGCCACACCCTTGCTGTCACCTTCTCAACCACGTGTGTCTGCTGGTCAAAATGCCAAAGACCCACCAGGCAAGAATTCTTCCACTCCTATATTCCTATATTCTTATTAAGCTTCCTAATTGTGTGTGAGAATGTTGTGGTTTGTGTATAAGAAAGAAGTGGCATCCATATGCAAGAGCGTACACGTGCCCACATTTAGCAAGTCTATGTAGACCATAGTTCTTCAATCTTAGAGTAAATTGCATGTAAGACTTTATTTCCCACTCTTTCTTGATGCTGGCAGTCGGACCAGGAGGAAGATGCAGAGCTCAAGGCACAGGTAGAAAATTAAAAATAAAACAAACAACAACAACAACAAAACAACAGTGTGTGATAAGTCATTGTTTGTCTACAGCGTTCAGATCTTTCAGCATGCTCTGTAGCTGGTTACCATGTTGTTGGTGCAGTGTGTAGGTTGGCATTTGTTCCCTTGACAACTGTGTCCTTTACTTTTCCCTTTCTTCTCCACTTTTTTCAGAATAGTCTGATTAAACGAATAAAGGGTGAAAATGTGTATGTCAAACATAGTAATCTTATGTTAGAGGTTGGTATTGGTATATACCAGTGCATGTCTGTGTGTGTTGTTTTTCTTTTAGTGTAATACCTGTGGGCTCGTATTGTGATGCATGAACTGTGTGCTCATCCATTAATAAGTGGGGATGACTTCTCAGCTTCTGATTTGTTATTCGCTCCTAGATATAGATCCCTTTTCCTGTGTGTATATTTATTTTAATTCTCTCAGGATACATGTGAATTGTACTCTTTATAGTTTGCCTTCTAAAATTCTTTTGGTATCCATGTTTGTGTGAACTAGATTTTTTTTTCTGTTTCCTTTCCATGGGAAAATCACATTTTCACCAGAGTGTTTGTGGTAGTGCCATGAGCCTTGATCAAAATTTTGTTTTATTTTGACTACTAATAAGATTGACATTACTTTTAAAGCAAACAAAAGAGCTGAAAGGAACACAAATGTAAAACATTGACTGTTGGATACTTTATGTTCTGAATATAGGAGCTAGAAAAAACTCAAGATGACCTGATGAAACATCAAACCAACATTAGCGAGCTGAAAAGAACCTTCTTAGAAACCTCAACAGACACTGCCGTAACGAATGAATGGGAGAAGAGGCTTTCCACCTCCCCCGTGCGACTGGCCGCCAGGCAGGAGGATGCCCCCATGATCGAACCACTTGTCCCTGAAGAGGTCAGTAGTCAGGTTTGTGGTCAGACTCGTATTCTGTTTACCCGCCTTCCTTCTCTACAGGGTGTGGAATTGCATTTGACAGTCTTCTGGGTAGAAAATCTCTCTTCCTACCTATGTTTAACCTGAGCTGAGATGCTCAGTGCTCCAACAGAAAACTGCAAAATAAAATGGTTAAAGTGGCTGAGGAGTGAGTAATAGCATCAGATGGTTCTTAGGGCGGGAAGCCACAGGGAGACTATCGTGAAAAATCAGCTGATTCTGACCATAAACCTAGATTTATAGCTGAGAGAAATCAGGGTATTCTCTTCATGCATTGACACTTTTTCCGCATATGCTTTCTACTTTTGCTTGAGGCCCATTGAGATTGTTTGACTAAATGGTAACCTGAAGTTGATAGCATTTCAGGACAATTTTACTCTGAGATATTACACCAGGCTTTTATTGATATAACAAGAGTTTTATTTGATTTTTATTTATAACTGATTATCTTAATTGATTTATATTACGTTTTTTGTTTTTTGTTTTTAAGACAGTGTCTTGCTGTGTCACCCAGGCTGGAGTGCAGTGGGGTGATCTTGTCTCACTGTAGCCTCCGCCTCCCAGGTTCAAGTGATTCTCCTGCCTTGGCCTCCCAAGTAGCTGGGACTATAGATGCCCTTCACCACACCGGGCTAATTTTTGTATTTTTAATAGAGACGGGGTTTTGCCATGTTGGCCGGGCTTAAGACCACTTAAGTTTTCCCACTTAAGACCAAACTCCAGGTCTTAAGTGATCCACCCACCTTGGCCTCCCAAAGTGTTGGGATTACAGGCGTGAGCCATCGCACCTGGCCAAATTTATAATCGGTTCCTAGTAGATGTTTTATGGGGAAAGTAGTGGCCAGAAATTTTTTTTTTTAAGTAAGGTTATTTCACACTCTTTGGCTGTACATTTAAAGAGATTTTTTTTTTTTTTTGAGACATAGTTTTTTTTGTTTTTGTTTGTTTGTTTGTTTGTTTTTGAGATGGTGTTTCTCTCTGTCGCCCATGCTGAAGTGCAGTGGTGTGACCTCCGCCTCCTGGGTTTAAGTGATCCTCCTGCCTCAGCCTCCTGGGTAGCTGGGACTACAAGCAGGCACCACCACACTTGGCTAATTTTTTTGTATTTTTAATAGAAGTGGGATTTCAACATGTTGGTCAGGCTGATCTCAAACTCCTGACCTCAAAAGATTCACCACCTCAGCCTCCCAAGGAAGCTCTTTTTAAATGTACAACCAAAGACTCTGAGGATTCAGCTGGTGTTACTTCAGGGCTCCCATTGTGTGGGAACCAAAAATTACTGTAGTGCTAACTTGACTGTCTACTGTTAGACATCATGTTGCTTTATCTCTGTTTCAACAAAAGTAGTTTTTGAAAACTGCATCTTTTTTAGCATTGTATTGGTTAACCTTTTCTGTAAGACCACTTTATGGGGAAATATCTGTTCAGGAAGCTGACACAGAATGGAACATTAAAACTTAGGCTTTGGTGAGAGAAAAATTCTTTAAACAGTGGTCTATATGCAGTGCTTAAGTCCTTGCAGTAAAAATAAGAATTCAATTACACTTATTGTTGATCATGTTCTAAACCTTTGAAAGCTGTTTATCAAAAGTAATCAAGAACTCATTATCACTATGTTCATGACAATCCCAAACCTAGCTAATAAGAAATAGGTCTATATCCATTTGAATGACTTAAAAAGGACCCTTTTATGCAGAATAAGTGAAAAGTACGACTACCACCATATTCTTGTACCATTACACTTCAGTTCCATTCAAACTACTGAGTTTCAAGAGACAAATTTCACATTGATTGATTTAAATATAATAGTCCTTACAATATTCAGTTATGCTCTCATGAATTTTATTGTAATTGGTTAAGTTTGGCTTATCCTATTTCTACTACCTCTTTTGGAAATAATTTACTGGCTCTAAAGATATCAGATACTGGATTAAGTTACAAAAACACAAACTAAATAGCCAACCCAAACAAAACAAAACAGAGCAAAACTAAATGCTAAGTGATCGCCACTTTGAATGAAAGTTTAGGGAACAACTTAGAGAATTTAAAGGGTGGTGCTGATAAACAAGGGAACTTCATAAGTCCAGGCTATTAGACTAGTAAGATATGTTTTTTTTACATTTATAATACCCTAAACATTAGAGAATTAACATTTGATAAGCCCAAGGATGTTAATAATTTAAGGAGTACTTTGAATATACTGAACTTTCCCTGGATATTAATGCTTTTTCTGTGTTAGTGCAGAAAAACTGGAGAACGCCAGGAAAGGATTTTTTCAGCATAATTAAGGAAGAAAAACATGCCCTCTGCAGAATGGCAAAGCAGTTTGGTTATTTAAACTGGAGAAGAGCAAAGGCTGGCATACTCACTGCTTTCAGCGTCTGCAGGGTTGTTTTGTAGTCCCTCAGTGCTCCGTCACACTGTGAATGGAGACATAGCAGAAAGAGCTTGACTAGATATAGAGAACTTGTTAGAAACAGGGCTGATTAACCCTGCTTATCAAAGGAGCCCTGAAAAGCATCTCAAAGGAGCTTCAAGTCCCAGGGGAAAAGGGATCTCTTTAGGTGTCAGGGTGCTGTGCTCCCCATGGCAGCAGGGCCAGGCAGAGTGGCCTGTCCTCTCTTCTACTCTTCTCCAGGACCTCATAGTCATCGATGACATCAAGTTTATACTCCAATTGAGGGCCCTGTAGGTAGCCTTCAGAACAAACCAGAAAGTTCTTTTGCTCTAAATTATTGCCTATTTCTATATTAAAACCATGGCTTCTGTTATTTTTGTGTGTGAAAAGCACAAAAGATAATTTTATCCTTTTTTTAATTGTTTGTATGTTATGCACATAGAAAACATACTGGTTTATAAATATATAACCAAACGATTTTTATTTTGGAGGGGATATTTTTTAAAATAAGTTACTAATTTGATATTACTCTATTTTATAATAAAGCCTACTTCAATTAAACAGTAGTCAACCAGTTTAGAAAGAAATCCAGTTACTTCCAAATGGAAATATTTAACTCAATTTTTAAAATTGACATCTCTAATAAAGTAGTGGTTATTTTGTGTCAGAATCAGAAAGAAACTTAGATTTGGTGACCCCAAACTTATGACTTCCCAAAGCTTAGTTGTTGTTGTTTTTTTTTTTTTTTTGGTCTCAGTGACAAAATGGTACTTTGAAGAAAAAAACTAAAGATTTCTTGAGTTTTAATGTTACCATCTTTTTTCTTTATACTGTTGTATCTATAGTAGTTAAATTGTTATAATAATTATTTCTATAAAATGCTACCAATTTATGAACAATTCAAAGAAAATTATAGTTAGAATTATATACAGCAAGCTAATAATGATGTTATGTTCTGAGAATTTTATGTTTGTTTCCTATATAAAATGGAAAATTTGATTGCCGATTGTTTCAAGTTTCAGATATTTGAGTTAACAGCAGACAAGTAGCAAGGATGCCCCAAAGCAGCAAATAATATCTAAATCTCATTTGCTTTAGAAAATAGGCAAATAAACCCACACACAGGGCCCACCAAACATAGGAAGGGTAGACATGTGGTATGTACAGCGTGCCAGGTACATCCTCTGTCCACAGACCTTTCCCATGACAGACTTTCATGATGCATCTAAGCCTTGTCCATGTTAGAGTTATATTCCTTAGTGGTTACTTGAATACCAAAAGTTTCCAAATCACAGTAAAAAAGCAGTATCTGCTAGTATGTATTCTGCGCCGATATTGTCCTCTCTTTCATATGAGTGATAGTTTTACAGGCGTGTTCACTGTACAGTAATTCCTTGAGCTAGATGATTACTATAGTCAGTTCCCATGATTTGCAAATTCTGTATTTGCAAATTTACCCATTCCCTAAATTTTATTTGTAGAAACCTTTAATCACCCAACAGGAAATGACACTGTTATGAATTTTGTGCGCCAGTATAGGGCCTTGTTTTCCAATTATGATATTAAGATTAATAACTTATAATGTTTAAGTAACTAAATGAAATGGTTGGGCTATATATCTGACTATATCCTAACCCCTGATAAAAGTGAATTTTTAGATCACCTTTTCTTTATCAGTACCTCTTCACTTCTCTATTAACTAGGCTAACTGTATTGGGAGGTTGACCATATACAGAATTACATTTTAAAATCTCCCTATGTTACCTGTTTATGTTATTGGACATACACAGTTTGGAATGTAGACACTGTTAATATTTTCAATTATAAGACAGAGGCATTTTTTAAATTAGTTGGTTTCAGACACCAGGATATGCTGAAAACCACTGTTTCGCTGGGGGTTTTGTGAAGCTTTTATCTTAGGAATAATATTTAGCTCAGTGATTATAATTAGAGACCTAGCACTGTTATTCTGAAAAGTACCTATAATTTTGACCTTTCCTTCCTGTTTCTCATTTCTGTTTGCAAAAGAGGCTATGATTAAAAGCAAAAAAAAAAGGAAAAGAAACAAAATCCACATTTAATGATTCCACATGGTACATTTTATCTTTTCCAATACCGTCCTCCAAAATGCAGTGGGATAGAGATTTTTGTTGTTGTTGGGTTTTTTTTTTTCCTCCTCTGAAAATGGCTTGTTTCTCATTAGAAAGAGTCATTTGAGAATGATACTATCAAAATCTGTCAGGGTAGGTCCTGCAGAATATTCCAGATGTTCCCCTACAATCTCTTGCAAACAAATGATTAAATGTAGTACTGGTAGATTTTTAGACAAAAAGAAATTTTAAATAGCTCTCATAAAATTACATTGTTTGTAATGATAAGATGTATTTTAAAAGTTCCATTCTTCTAGAAACCTTGAACTTTCCATCGTTATTTTTCAGTTAATCTTCCAGAATATCCTTTCTGTCCCTGCTCTGTGAAGTTGAACGCTTGGTTCAACTTAGGCTTGGTAGCTAATGTATTGCCACCTGAATTGTGCCTATTTAATACTAGAGAAAAAAATAAAAAGAAGTTAAAAAGCAAAAACCTAATTCCTAACATGAAATACTTAATATTTCTTAATTTTTTATGTTAAAGTATGAATTGATATACTTAATTTTCCAGCAAGATATTTTGAAATTGACTTTAAAAAATTATTAACCATGTTATAAAAGTTCAAATAAAGCCATTGAGTATTTTTTCTTTATTTGTGGGCAATAAATCAATCCATCTAAGTATAACTGGGTTTATTTAAATTAGTGGCTAATGCAGTGACATTGTATGCATTTCACTACTCTGTAACAGGCAGCACCTAAATGGGGAATACAATAAGATACTTGTCAGAAATAGAAATTTTAAATTTTTAAAAATTTCTTAATGTTTTATTTTAAATACCCACTTTTTGATACCAACATAAACATGGTTTAAATGCCAAGAACGAATACCTTTATATTGTTCTTGTATGCTCTGTGTTTGTAGAAATGAAGAACATTTGAGTTATATAAACACCAAAGTTAACCCCAAAGTTTCAGAAAATCTGAGCTCTTTGGAAAAAACTAAATTTTGAGGTAGTTTCAGATCATTTTTCAAATGCATAAACAATAATTTACTCCTTCAGGAAGAAAATGAATGAATATTATGAGAATATATGAGATGATAGATAGATAGAGATAATACAATGAAAGAACTCCCTTCCTAACTTGCCTTTTTGGAAACTGTCTACTTCCTCTTCTCCAACCCAACCCCCTTTATTCAAACAGACCAAAGAAGAAACAGAGATTTCTGAAAAAGTTATATTTTTGCAGCAAGGAAGCGCTCCATTCCTTGAGTCTCAGGTAAAAACCAAACATAAAGGATTTTCCAGAAGAAATTGGTCTTCAGACTTCAGTGTCATTAAAATGCTCTTAGTTTTTATTTTCCCTTTAACATTTATCTTGTTTAAAACCAAGGTAGGTACATAATTTTGATTTAGATTCTGGGGAAGGGAAAATTGAATTTTCTTAATATTTTAGTTATCAGTTATGCATCATTTCTTCATGGCTTCTAATCCAAGCTGATTTTTCTCTGTATGTTGTCATTGACTTACTTTCTGATAATAATCTTGCTGAAATGTTGTTTTACTGCCTGTTTTTACCTGTAGAGTCGTGCTAATTTAGATGAAGTTGACTGATTTTGAAAGTTCTGAATTCTTATTGGTTTCCCCACTAGCCAAGTGTGATAAAGAAAATGCAGGAAGGAGACTCTGCTGACTCTGTGGTTACTTCTCGTCAAATAATTTTCCAGAAAACTGTCCCATCAACCCTAGAGGTTATTCTTTCAATTCATTTCATTTAATCTAGCAACAACATGTAGATCAATCTGTAGTGGTATTTTTAAAGGCACACGTATTTCTAGATTTAAGTTTTCAGGCTGTAAAAAACAGAAAAGTTTCTAGAAAACATTCTAGTTTAAAATGTAAACCAGGGCACTCACCTGCTCCTGGTTTGATATCTCTTCCCTCTGTAATCTGTGAAGCTATTAACCTACCTGGTCATATTGTATTATGCCTCCCTGAATACAAAAGTTTCTTAGCTTTCCTTTCTTTTGCCTTATTGGAACTAACACTAAAGAAAGTGAGAGAGAAACTCCTGAGACAGTGAACTTCAGTTGTAAATAAGATTGGAGCGGGCACAATGGCATGTGCCTGTAGTCCCAGCTCCTGGGGAGGCTGAGATGGGAGGATCACTTGAGCCCAGGGGTTCGAGGCCGACCTGGGCAACATAGGGAGACCCCATCTTTTAAAAAAAAAATGTAAGACTCGAACACTGTACAGATCACTGTAAGAGGCTCTAATAGTGTCCTATTTGTGGGAAATATTTCATTACAATGCCTTGAACACAGTCACACTCAATATTTATTGAATAATAAGTGCTATTATGGATTCATTTCCCTGTATAAAGAAATACAATTTACAAATATGGAAAATATTTACATAAATTTGTAGAATGTTGGGAAGCTCTCTGTGATAACAGTATATGAAGTATAGATTATATTTAACGAGGAAAACTTTTATCCCCACACATGTAAAGCTAAGTAACTTATAGAGCAACATCAATAATGTTATTTAATCTTGAAATATAAAATGATCCAAAATTTATCATAAGAGCAAATCTGTTCTTCAAAAAATTTACTGCAAAGTATGTTCCAGTTTAAAGAAGTTGCAACTCTACCTACCGAATGTATTCTGAGCTGAAGTTTATAGTTTATCATTTCAGAGGAGAAGAGATTGCAGCCATAATTATTAGATAATAACATGAGCACTGTATGGTCCCATCACAGACCTGCATGTAGCAGTTGCCCTGATTTTCTTAAAGGATTCTTATTTTAGAAATGAGATACCATCAGAATTTCTAATTTAGCTTTTATATTTCAAATATAGGGCACAGAGGATTGGGTTATTGTAGACAGAATACCAACTGAGGTAGTTGATGGTGATTTGAAAAAGATTGTGACTTACAAGGTGGTGACCGTGAGCAGTAAAACTGGTGATCTCCCAGCTGACATGTTAAAATCTGGCACTATTAAAATGCAAAGCTTCGAAGAATTGGCTCGAGAAATGCAACTGAAAGAAGACAGCAAACAGAAAATATACACTCTAGGAAAATCCTATGACACTGTCTCCGGGAGAATTGTTACTATGACTGGGAAAGCTAAAGAGGGTGAGAAAGTGGAGCAGCCCTCCACTACAGAAGCACTTCAGAAAATGGAGAAAGAAATACCAGAGTCCATGAAGATCATTCCCGGCCTGGCAGAATATGAGGTCCTGGAAACCCTCGCTGATGAGAAATCCAAGAGAGGACCAGAGGTCCAGACGACACAGCGGAAATTGTCCGAATCCCTGGCCCCCATCAAGGAGGCCGAGTCTCGCCGGCAGAGTCCTGAAGAAGATGACCTCAAGAAGGCTCCACAGCTGGAGAAGGATGTGGCCGTCCTCCCTGGCCTGGAAGGCAGACGCTTCAGCAAAACAGAGCAAGTGCCCGAGAGTGAGGTCTTAAAAGTGGGCCTCTTTGGTCCCCGAAGGAAGAGCCTGTCCGAATGGAGATATTCCCAGGAACCAGCCTTTACCGTTGCTACTGCCCATTACGTTACTGAGTCATCCGCCTCCCGAGTAGTGGTAACCAGTGTCACTCATTGGGGCCACAGTTTGCAATTCCAGCATGACAGTTTTTGAGGCAGTCCCCTTCCACCCCAAACCTTTCCGTTTCTCTTGCTGCTTGGCTTTATGTTGAGAGCAGCCAACCCAGCTTCTTAATTTTTTTTCATGGTTAAATCAATACCGCAGTGCAAAGTCAGCATTAAAACACTTTCCATTTTATTTCCAGCTCCCTGTTCCCAAGATGTGATAGTGCTGCTGTGGCTTGCAATGAAGGGGAAAAAATATATATATCTGCTTAAATCGGCGCCACCCTGATCCTAATAACCGTCTCTGCTTTACCAAACAAGAGCACCTGGTTTTCTATTTTATTTCCCATTCTTTTCGTTTCCAAACTCTGAGATTCCTTCGTTCTTCCTCCTCCCTGTCTCCTCTGCCTACGATTTTGTCTAACAAGCTGTGAATGTTTATGTGCCTGAGTTTGTGTCTCTCTTTTGTGCTTGACTCTGCCTCTCTTTGTTCACTCAGACTAAGCAGTCTTCTGGGGAAAAGCTCATGGATGGCTCTGAAATCTTCAGTTTATTAGAGTCTGCGCGAAAACCAACAGAATTCATAGGAGGGGTTACTTCTACTTCTCAAAGCTGGGTTCAGGTGGCCATTTGTTTTCGTCCTTGGTGTTTCTGAATGTGCCCATGTGCCTTTCCTTACCCTTTTTTTGGGCGTGAGTGTGTGGTTGCATCCAGCTGGCTTTGCCTTCAACATCTCAAAGGTGTCTTCACTTATTGTCCTTTGTGTCTGCTTGGCATATCTGTCACATGCCTTTAGTTGCATCTCAAGAATGTACTTCACTATTCGAAAGGCGATCATATTGAGAAATTTTAATAGAATTAAATATCTAAAAGCATTATGTCTCACCAGTTGAGTCTAAGAAAGCAGCCAAAACCAACGTGAATGCGCTGCAATGCTTTGGTTTTTGTTTTGTTAATTGCACTTTATCCTGCCTTCCGTTTGTTTTGCGGATGTCCTGAAGCAGCAGCGCAGGTTCAAGTGCATGCACCAGGGGCAGGGGCAGGCATCAGAGATTTCAGTGGGAGAAATGAAAGCTAATTTATATTTTTCGTCAGTGTTTCTGGTTATAAGCACTTGCTGCTGGCTTTAGACATCCTGGCGAGTGGCAGCTTTAGTTATTTTCTGACCTTTGGTTTATGGATGGTCACACTGATGCCACAATCTCTTCCCATGCAGAAAATGGAAACCAAGACGGAGTCCAGTGGAATAGAGACGGAACCCACCGTGCACCACCTGCCGCTTAGCACTGAGAAGGTGGTGCAGGAGACCGTGTTGGTGGAGGAGCGGCGTGTGGTGCACGCGAGTGGGGATGCTTCTTACTCGGCGGGAGACAGCGGGGATGCTGCAGCACAGCCCGCATTCACAGGCATTAAAGGGAAAGAGGGCTCTGCCTTGACGGAGGGGGCTAAAGAGGAAGGAGGGGAGGAGGTCGCTAAAGCTGTCCTGGAACAGGAAGAGACAGCCGCTGCTTCCCGTGAGCGACAAGAGGAGCAGAGTGCAGCCATCCACATTTCAGAAACTTTGGAACAAAAACCTCATTTTGAGGTAACTAGTAGTAAATGTTACTTTTATCACTAAAATAAAACTGATATAGGATGCCTGGAAATTTAGATCAGCATAAAGGTGGAGCTAAGTTTAATTTTCTGCCTCTCCCATGTATAGTGTATTTCTCCTCTCATTTCCTTCTTTCATACCTAGTAGGAGTCTCCACACTGATTTCCAGCTTTGGTGTCACATGCAAACATATCTCTTAATTATTAATAATATGGCACCAGGAAATGGTTTCTACTCTCACTGAAATTATTATAATTGGCAGTAAAATTGGGAAATGCAAAGTTGGCCAAGATATTAGAAAATGTGATACATTTATTTCTTATCAGTGCACTTTTCCAGAAGCACCAAAACCATGTTTACCCGGGTCCTAAATGCCAGAACTTTATTCTTTATCCTCTTTTATTGAGATTCCTGAAGTATTTGGGGAGTTAATGTCTCATTATTAGTTTCTTCTTTCTAAGAAGTTATTAAATAGAAAACTTTTTTTTATTGCCTTCAAAATGTTTTGCTTTACTTGGAGCATTTCATATAAAAGTGCTATGAGAGTCCAGGAGACTGACATGTGCATGTTGTATGCCTCATTCCCCAGCTTACTCTCTACATAAACATTTATAGCATACTAACCTGTGCTTATAACCACCAAGAGAGGAAAAGGAAGAAAACAATGTGTTCATGCAAACTATAACAGCCACTCTGCTTACTCCCCTTTGGCACAGTCCTCAACGGTGAAGACGGAAACCATCAGTTTTGGCAGTGTTTCACCGGGAGGAGTAAAGCTAGAAATTTCCACGAAGGAAGTGCCAGTAGTTCACACCGAAACCAAAACCATCACATATGAATCATCACAGGTGAGATATTCTGTGAAGACCAGAGCCCTGGCTGCTTATTTCACCCCTCTATGGCCTAGTGTGTTTACATAGAACTGCACGATATTTAATTCATGAGACTTAGAGGATCCAGCAGCCAGACCATTTCTATTAAAAGTGATGCAATAATGGTCATTTTATTAGTGATCAGGGAGCAGCAGATGACTTAACCAAGTCTTTATGTGTCTTGAAGTGTAGAAAAAGGCTCAGAAACCTGTTTCCCTAGCCACAGAGAAAGAAAAATATTCACTCACCCATCCACCACTCACATTTCTGAAACCTTAGTTTTTTTAATGACAGTTACCTGTGGTTGCACTTAGTACTTATTCTTGGGAGCAGCGCTCAGACTCTGAAGAGCATAATGATTGCATAATAGGAGATAGTGAAATTGTCGTAATGCCTTAAATAACGTAGCCAACTTCTGAAGAGCAGATGTGAGCACCTGGATGAGGGGTCTATGCCTCTGCTGCTTTAGGTCGATCCAGGCACAGATCTGGAGCCAGGCGTGCTGATGAGTGCACAGACGATCACATCTGAAACCACCAGTACCACCACCACTACGCACATCACCAAAGTAAGTGGAGTGAGAACCGAGAAGAGGATTCCTTGAGAGCGAGCTGGAGGAAGGTGCTTGTTCAGAACTCCTCACAGGTTGGGCTGCACAAGCACAAGGTGGCTTGAAGCTCAGGACGCCGGGATAGCTGCAAGGGGAGCTTTTACAGCCCCTAGATTTACGATGCACTTGTCCTCACGTGCGAGTTCCCCTTTAGGAATATACATTCTGATATCCTAAGCTTAATGCTTACTCCAGTGCTTGGCATGTGGTAGTGTTCCAGAAACATGGGCCATCCAGACCCAAGGGCCTCCATTCCGTCCTCACCTCTGGAATTAAAAATGTGAAATAAGTGCCATAGAACTCTAATTTCAATTCTCGAAGAGTGAATGATGTCAGCATCTTCGGCCATTTCCCCCTACTGAACCATGATGGTTTCTCCCAGTGAGTAAATTCATAAAGCTTCTCTACGTGTCTTGCAGACTGTGAAAGGGGGCATTTCAGAGACAAGAATTGAGAAGCGAATAGTCATCACGGGGGATGCAGACATTGACCATGACCAGGTAGTGTGTGTGAGACGGTAAATACCCTGGCAGAGAAACAAAGAAAAACCTGTTGGTCCTACAGTTTCAATGCTATTCCTCTAGTCCAGCATGTATTCCGAAGAAAATTCCGAATTAACTTTCCAATATATGATTTATGATTCCTTTTGTAATCATTGTACCTCATTTGTAAATTGTGGATATAGATCTAGCTCATAAGTCTCCACCTCACCACTGATCATGCATGTTCCACCTCCTTTTTGTTTCTGCCCTTCTGTGATTTCCCGGGGATAGGCGCTGGCTCAGGCAATTAAAGAGGCCAAAGAGCAGCACCCTGACATGTCAGTGACCAAAGTAGTGGTCCATAAAGAGACAGAGATCACACCAGAAGATGGAGAGGATTGACCAGAGGTAAGAGGTGATGCCGATTCTCTAGGCTTGCCTAGGCTGGCATGAGGCATGGGGCACTTCCCTCTCATCCTTCACCTGATCCCTCCTTTCCTCTGTTCTCTCACTGGCATTTGTTGGGCTGGTTACCAAGAGGATGGAGAATTGGTTTATGGGTTTGTCTCACATTTGGAGCTTCCATTCTTGTGGAGTTTTTGCATGCACTGCCAGTTAGAGGATAAAGGAAGAGCAGAGTCTATGCTTCTATGCTTGTGTGGTCTTCCTGGTGTTCCCTTTTATTCCATGGCCTGCACTCTTTGATTATCCAAATTTGTAATGGCAAATTTGATTTTACTTGCCATGTGGCCTAATTGGAACAAAGGCAGTTTTGCTCTGAGAGGCTCAATTTGTGTGTTCCAAATACTAGGGAAATAATATATACCCCTTTCTCCTTCTGATGGCAACATTATCCCGTCGTAAGCTTTCTCTTCAACTGTGTTTGATTGTAACCTGTTTATGCTTTTGTCTTTAGTTTTGTTTTTTTAATTTGAAAGCTGAGCACTCACTTTCTTTTTGGATGTCTTATATTTCCTGTATTCTTTGGGATGATTTTTCTCCCTAGCGTAGCACTGTCTCAGAAGGAGGCAAAAAAAATGCAGTCTTGTGGTCCTGTAGAAAGCACATACCTTTCCAGTGACTGTTTGGCCAGCATCATGAGCAGACTATATCATCTATGTGAGCACAGACTTGTCATGCATAGTCACCTGCCATGCAAGATCTCATGGGGCCATGAGCGTTTCTGAGAGGGCTTTGAATGCTGAATGCAGCAGTCGAGCGACTTGCACAACTTGGTGATGTGATAAAATGTTTAAGAGATTTCATATATTAGTAAGTTTTCTAACATCGGTTTAAGAAACAAATTGATGAGTGGCATCTCTTAAAAGAGAAATATAAAAAATACTCATTTTACTCAAATGAATAATATATTTTGGACGATAGCAAAAAAAATAAAACAGATTTCTTCCATGAGCTTCAGCCACTTGGGCGTTGTTGTAATTACTTAAGAGAAAGCATGTAATTGGCAGTGACTTAACGCTGGAATGTCATGGCATCTTGTCCAAACGAGCATTCTAACTTCCAGGATACTTTTTTTGTGTCCTTGATCTGAGAAAATCTTTCAGTTGTTTTCAAATGAGTAACTAATCAAATGTCTTTTTTGCAGGAATAACTTAGCTTGCACATGAATGCAGTCATGCAAACCGTTAGGAAAACCAGAGCCTATATGGAGTTCCCTCTTCTAACCCAACTGACTTGTATCTGTCCGTGGAAAATTTCAGTCCAGAAGAATTGACCTTGACCATTAATAAAGACACTGGCAGAGAGATCTTCCCATAATAAAGCAATCTGATTCAGCATCACTAAACCGATAATGCATGAAGCAACGATAAAATTACAAAAGAGCAGCATTTTTAATTTTCACAAAATGTCTCAGTTTTCAGCTATACCTGCACGTTCATAACCAACAATATAAACCGTGGTCTCATGTAACACATAAACAATTCATGCCTTTCATAGTTTATTATTATTAAAGTCTAAACAAAATTGCAATTTCTTAGGTAACCTTATATTTACAATAAATGAAGATTACCCTCAAATGCTAGAAGCTGTCTAGGTCCGTCCGGTGTGTCAGATTTTCCTCAGATTAGATGTGCCAATAACCAAGTTTATTCAGTAAACAACTTGTACTTGTTTCATCTGGTTTTATTACTCTCACCCATAAACAGTAATGACTCTCTGACCCTCTGGAAATATGTAATGCTTCCAATCTTGCTTTGTGTATCTCATTTAATTTGTTATAAGGTAGTACTGATTTTAGCATATTAATGCGATTTCTTCCTTGTTGTTTGCTTTGGTCTGTGTTCAATCCAGAGAGCTTAAATTGTCATTATTTTGGGAAGAAAACCTGTATTTTTGTTAGTTTACAATATTATGAAATTTCACTTCAGGAGAAACTGCTGGGCTTCCTGTGGCTTTGTTTTCTTAGTTACTTTTTCCGTGCCGTGTATTTTTTAATTGATTTTTCTTCTTTTACTTGAAAAGAAAGTGTTTTATTTTCAAATCTGGTCCATATTTACATTCTAGTTCAGAGCCAAGCCTTAAACTGTACAGAATTTCCACTGTAATTAAAACTATTTAGTGTTAGTTATAAATAGCCTTCAAAAAGAGAGATTCTCCATTACACGATCACCTGCATCACAGCCCATGGTGAATGTATGTTTCTGCATAGCGAAATAAAAATGGCAAATGCACTGAAAGCTCTAAGTTTGTATGTTTAATAATTTCAGTATTGTATGTGTTTAGTCCAGAAGTAATATTTGCATGACATCAAAGGCCTTATTCAGCTGCACGGTAGAGATATCCTGTCTTTACAAGATTGAAAAAAAAAAACCCCACAGAGTATACAGTATGCAGTGTCTGTACCCTTTGAGGGATTGAAGATGGGAACAAAGCAGATATATTTAAATATTTGGTTGCCTAAGAAGGCTTTAAAAAATACATCATTGAATCTCATCCTCAAAGTTTTAGGTTTTTTTTTTAATAAGAGACAAGGCTGTGCTATGAAACAGGGTTGCTCAGCCTGCAATCTCATGACCTGTTTTAACAATCACTGTCCCCGTCATCCATTTCCTTCGTTATATCCATCTCTTCCCAGCACATCCATTGCTCTGTTAAGTCAATGTCGACCCTAGTTGTTTTAAAAAATCAACATGGAGTCTGGAGTGTGAATTTGAAGTTGCTTCTAACTTACAAATGAGTGTTACACGTTCCTTCCATTAAGTGCTTTTTTTTTTTTTTTTTTTTTTTTTTTTAGTCTTTCTTACTGCTTCAAATTAACCGGTATGGAAGTTTCTGCCTTGGGTTGCCATAGAGGTGGCCCTGTATTTTAATGGGCATTTACTCATGAAGTAAAATTGGACTGTTCCATTTAAAAAAAAAAAAATTGTGACAGGCCATCGGTGCATGTAAAATTGTGTTCTCAGAAATGACATTTGTTTTGACAAATAGTTTCTTATCAGAGCTGTGTAAGCTCTGAAGGAGGGTGACAGAAGGACCTGATCCTCCCCCATGAGTGTGGCTATTAACACACGCATGCATGCACGCATATGCTCTGCTCAGGAAATGGGGATGGGACAGCAGAAAGACTGGCTCCGAGGGGCTTTGTCGTGCCCTATCTCGACATCACTCCACTGTTGCTGGTACAGAACACCGTCATGTGGTTTAATGCCACAAAATTTCAGGGACACTAAAAGACATCTAACTTGATAACAAGAGGTCAATTCTAAGAATAAACCTTACAAAGAAGTAGCTATGAATAAAAACAACATTCATATGGGTGTTCTGTTCATCCTATTACATGAGTCAGAAACCTGGGAGACTTGGGCACCAGTGTCTTTCTTGCCCATCATTTTCCCAGCCTGCCAATAACATTTCTTCACAGTCTCTTTAATCTAGCCAAGGCAGTGTACCTAGATTATTCCAGTAGCTCACTGACTCATGTTCTCACATCACTTCAGTCCCTTACACTGTAGCTTGCAATCTTTCAAGAAATACAAATGTAATCTTCTCATCCTTGTGCTTAAAATGTGTTTTTGGCTTTCTATCGCTTGTAGTATAAAGACCTTAATTTTTTTTTCTTCAACTTTTAGATTCAGAGGGCACATGGGCAAGTTTGTTGCATGGGTATATTGCATGATGCTGAGGTTTGGGGTATGATTTAACCCAGCACCTAGGTAACGAGCATAGTACCCAATAGACAGTTTTTCAACCCTTGCCTGCCTCCCCCATCTCGTAGTCTGCAGTGTCTATTGTTCCCATCTTTGTGTCCACGTGTGCCTAATGTTTAGTTCCCACTTATACATGAGAACATGCAGCATTTGGTTTTCTGAATCTGTATTAGCTCGCTTAACAATAATGGCCTCCAGCTGCATCCATGTTGCTGCACAAGATGTGATTTTGTTCTTTTTTATGGCTGTGTAGTATTCCATGGTGTGTATGCAGCACATTTTCTATCCAATCCACCATGGGTAGACACACCTGGGTTGATACCATGTCTTTACAATTGTGAATAGTGCTGTGATGAACGTATGCATGCATGGGTCTTTATGGTAGAATGATTTATATTCCTTTGGGCATATACCCAGGAATGGGATTGTTGGGTTGAATGGTAGTTCTATTTTTAGTTCTTTGAGAAATCTGCAAACTGCTTTCTACAGTGACTGAACTAATTTACCTTCCCACCAACAGTGTATAAGTGTTCCCTTTTCTCCACAGCCCACCACGATTCTGGTTTTTGTTTTGTTTTGTTTTTGTTTGTTTGTTTTGAGACGGAGTCTTACACTGTCACCCAAGCTGGAGTGCAGTGGCACCATCTCGGCTCACTGCAACGTCTGCCTCCCGGGTTCAAGTAAGTCTCCTGCCTCAGGTTTCTGAGTAGCTGGGATTACAGGTGCGTACCACTCATGCTGGGCTAATTTTTGTATTTTTAGTAGAGACGGGGTTCCACCACATTGGCCAGGCTGGTCTCGAACTCCTGACCTCAGGTGACCCGGCTGCCTTGGCCTCCCAAAGTGCTGAGATTACAAGAGTGAGCCACTGCGCCTGACCTTTTTTTTTTTTTTTTTTTTTTTTTTTTTTTTTTTTTTTTTACTTTTTAATAGCCATTCTGAATGGTGTGAGGTGGTATCTCATTATGGTTTTGATTTGCATTTCTCTGATGACTAGTGATGTTGAGAATTTTTTCATACGTTTATTAGCCACTTGTATGTCTTCTTTTGAGAATTGTCTGTTCATGTCCTTTGCCCACTTCTTAATGGGGTTATTTTTTGCTTGTGGGTTTATTTAAGTTCTTTATAGATTCTGGACATTAGTCCTTTGTCAGATGCATAGTCTGTGAATATTTTCTCCCATTCTGTAGATTGCCTGTTTACTCTGTTGGTAGTTTCTTTTGCTGTGCAGAAGGTCTTTAATTAGGTCCAACTTGCCAATATTTGTTTTTGTGGCAATTGCTTTTGAGGACTTAGCCATAAATTCTTTGCCAAGAAAGGCTTCAATTCTTCTAACCTGGCCCGAAGCCTTGCATGGACTGGCTGCTCCCCACCTACTTCTCCAGCCACAGATGCAACAGTGTGTCTGCTTACTCTGTGATCCCTGTCCGCCTCCACCACACTGGTGAAGTGCTGGAACTATTCTCAGCCCTGTTTTACTGGGCCCCAAATTTTGTTATAGGTTTGAGCTCAAATGTTCCCTTCCTGATTTTACAGATCAGCTTTCCCTATTATACACTCTCAAAGCAACATTTTTAGTAGAAAATTTCATGATTGTCATTTTTATTTATCTGCCCAATTCTTTGAATGAATCTCTTCTGCGTGCCATGGGTCTCACAGATGGCCCACATCCAAGCATAGTGCCTCCATAAGTGGTGCTCAATATTTGTATGAATGAATGAACACATTGATAAAGGTTACTTTGCTAAGATAAATTTGAAACATCAGTTTTTTTCCGAGTTTTCTCTGAAGCCCAGCAAGTGTGGGGGAGTGGCTCCCCATGGAAACAGTTCCTATTTCAGGTCCCTCAACAGCTCTCATGATTATGCCATTGTCATTGAGTCAGTCACTGGGAATCACCCCCTCAGCAAATGATGGTCTCTCCCAGAGATCTGCCATTCATTAGATATGACGGGTTGGGTTCAGCTCTCTGATTAGAAGGGGTTACACATTATTTCACATGTACTGATGTCAGCCTCAGTTCAGTTGACATCCGGTCAAGGTCTGTTATTGTTGAGCTCTAAACTTTAAGTATATTTGAAAGTGGTCTTGGAAGCTGGAGTTGCCCTATTTCAAAGAGTCGAATAGTAAATTTCACTAGATACACCATTTGTAGATAATGGAAGTCTTAACCACTTCATAATATCTTTCTTTCTCAAGTTCATTAATTATTCAGTCTTGGCATAGCAGAGGTAAGAGAGTAAGTAATACAGGCTTAAAACCCTGGGGTTAGTTTCAACTCCTTTATTTCCTTTGCAGTGTGAAAGATCCATTACATGTAACCTTCCTTTACCATCCTACTTTAAGCCCTCATATCTCTCACCTGGACTGTTGATCAGCTGCTAACTGGTCTCTAGGTTCCATTCATCTACTACTACCACCCCACCCCAATGCCCCCTGCTCCCCACACCCCAAGTTCTTTAGGCTGCTCATTTGTCATTCTTAAAGGTGCCATCATGACACAACTAAAAAATCCTTTGGGGATATCCCTCACTCATTCCCTAAGGCTCAATTCTGAACTCCTAAACTTGAGTTAAAACTACGTATCGGCCAGGTGCGGTGGCTCACGCCTGTAATCCCAGCACTTTGGGAGGCCGAGGCAGGCAGGTCACGAGGTCAGGAGACCGAGACTATCCTGGCTAACACAGTGAAACCCCGTCTCTACTAAAAATACAAAAAAATTAGCCGGGCATGGTGGCGGGCACCTGTAGTCCCAGCTACTCGGGAGGCTGAGGCAGGAGAATGGCGTGAACCTGGGAGGCGGAGCTTGCAGTGAGCCGAGATCGCACCACTGCACTCCAGCCTGGGCGACAAAGCAAGACTCCGTCTCAAAACAACAACAACAACAACATTAAAACTACATATCCTGTATCCCACCTTTCTTTCTGCCACATTATACAAGATGAACTTTATACTTGTATTAACATGAGATATACCAATGGTCATAGCAGCATTATTTACAGTAAATGGTGAAAACAGCCCAACAGATGAATGGCTAAACAAACTGAGATATATACACGCAATGGAATCTTATTCAGCCATAACAGAGAATTAAGTTTTTTTTGTTTTGTTGGTTTTGAGATGGAGTCTCACTGTTGTCCAGGCTGGAGTGCAGTGGCACGATCTCGGCTCACTGCAACCTCCACCTCCTGGGTTCAAGTGATTTTCCTGCCACAGCCTCTCAAGTAGCTGGGATTACAGGTGCGCACCACCACACCAGCTAATTTTTGTATTTTTAGTAGACACAGGGTTTTATAATGTTGGCCAGGCAGGTCTCGAACTCCTGACCTCAGCTGATCCACCTGCCTCGACCTCCCAAAGTGCTGGGAGCCTCCCAAGTGCTGGGAGCTTCCCAAGTGCTGGGATTACAGGTGTGAGCCAACACTTCTGGCCCAGAATGAAGTTCTTACAGGTGCTACAACAAGGATTGCCCTTGAAAACTTAACCAAGTGAAATAAGCCAGACGCAAAAGGGCAAATACTATATGGTTCCTCTTATATGAGGTACCTAGAGTAGTCAGATTCAAAGAGAAAGATCATGGTTGCCAGGGGCTTCTGGGAGGGAAGAATGGGGAGTTATTGTTTAATGGGCACAAAGAGTCTTGGACAATGGAAAAATTTAGGAAATAGTAGTGATGGTTATACAACATTGTGAAGGTACTTAATGCCACTGAAGTATACACTTAAAAATAGTTAAAGTGACAGACTTCGTGTAATATTTTACCATAATAAAAAATACATTTGTCATCTCAACAAAGAGCTTTCCAAAAGTTCTTACTATCAAGATCAATGCTGGCCAGCCCCACCATGTGCTCCATGGTCCCATCCAGCTTGATGTTCTTATGAGCATCAGAGAAAAGCCTCTTTTGTGGAAGGTACGACCAAGAGAAAAAAAGACTATGCAAGATGGATTTTTTTTAAAAAAAGGAAAAACTCTTACGAATAGCCTCAGATCAGAGAGGACACCACATCCATGAAAAAAGACCAGAGAGCTACAGAGGAACATTCAGAGAAGAAAGAGCTTTTACAAATTGAAACATATTGGCAGAAATGAAAAATTCAGCAGAATGTTTGGGAATTTGGGGAAATCTAAAAATGCAGCAGAAAAAAAAAATGGAAAAGAAATGCAAGAAAAGATAAAAGCAAAGCACTCTAGAAGAAGCATACAAATAACTGGAGTTCCAGAGAGTGAAATGTTCATCACCATTATCAAAGTTCCCAGCTTTGAAATCGTGGGTTGGTTTCCGAGTGGCAATAGAGCATACCCTTTCCTTACACTGCTAAGTTCATGCTGGCTGCCCAAAAAATGTTTGTTTAGGGAAAGCTATGTAGGTGGTAAAACTAAAAGGCAAAGGAATGACTAATGCAAAAGTCAGAATGGTAGTTACTTCTAAATCAGGGAAGGAGGGTTGTGATAAGGGAGGTTCCCACTGGGCTTTCTGAGGGTGCTAGGCAGGAATGTTCCTTAGGTTAGTTACTGTTCTTTCACCTCTATGCAAACATTTTTTCTGTACTGTGTTTAACTTCAAAAATACATATTTTTAAGCCCTCGTCTTTTATTGTTGAGACAGGGTCTCACTGGAGTGCAGGCTGGAGTGCGGTAGCGCGATTAGGCTCACTACAGCCTCAATTTCCTGGGCTCACGTGACCCTCCCATCTCAGCCTCCTGAGTAGCTGGAACTGCAGGAACATGCCACCCCACTTGGCTAGTTTTTGCATTTTTCACAGAGACAGGATTTCGCCATGTTGCCCAGGCTGGTCTCAACCCCCTGGCTCAAGCGATCCTCCTGCCTCAGCCTCCCTAAGTGCTGGGTTTATAGGTGTGAGCCACTATACTCGGCCTTCTTTTACTTTTATGAGAGGAAATATGTCCCAGGACTAAAGAAACTTGGACTAAGAAGTCCTGGTTAAAGCGTGAACGCATCGATGATTAGATTTGAGATCTTAAAAAAAATAATTGACTTCTTTTATATATATATATATATATATATTTATATATATTTTATTATACTTTAAGTTCTAGGAGGAGAACATCACACACCAGGGCCTGTTGTGGGGTCGGGGGAGTGGGGAGGGATAGCATTAGGAGATATACCTAATGTAAATGACGAGTTAATGGGTGTAGCACACCAATTGACTTCATTTCTCTGAGTCTCAGTTCACTTATTCATAATGAAGAAGTTGTACTAGCTGATCCCCAAATGTTCCATCGAGTTTCATGTTCCGTGATGCCAGCTAAGCTATAACTGAAAATGATGGCCTAGGAAGTAGGCCTTTTCTGTCCGCAGGCCTCTCACCACAAGGTTATTAGTGATGCTCAAAAATCAGAGAAGGTTCAAGCTCAAAAGAATCTTTAGGACCATGGAGTTCAGGCAGCTCACAAAAGCAGTCCTTTAACATTGCCTTTGCCCCGTGGAAAGGTTCTAACTTAGAATCCTAAAGTGGAATGGAAATGGGTTTCTGAATACAGACACACACACACACAGAATAGCCTCTCAAGTTTCTTTGAGATAAATGTAATCTGTTAGAGACTGGCCTGTACTGCAAGTTTAGAAATATTGTTTCCATATTACAAGTTTAAGGAAAAGTTTATCTGCCAAAATAATAACATGGATTTCTAGAGCACCCCATACCATAAGGAGGAGCCAGAATATTTTCCAGCTGAATTCCAGTCTTACTCATTTTCCTTGAATGATACTGAAATCTAAATTATCCTTGAACACAAACAATGACAAAGAAATACAAATGTTCATGCAGTGTAATTTTCAACAATCAAATTGGCCAATCTGATTCTAATTCTAAGCTTTGCTGAGGATGCCAAGCAGAAGCCACGTGAGCACACTGCTGGTGAGTCTAAGTTGGTGATTTGGAGTAGGATTGATACCAATATAGAGTTAAATTGTGCAAAGTTCTCAGCCCAGCAAATCCAACTCCTGGAATTTTTCCTAAAGACACAGAGGTAGACAGCAGTTAATGTACAAGGATGAATAGCTCAATGTTGCTCATAAAAACCAAAAAGTTTTAAGTGGTCTAAATAGCAAAATGGAAATCTGTAAATAAATCATGGCATTACATAAAATAGAATACAGTGCAACCAAAAATTGTACAGTAAGCCAGGCGTGGTGGCTCATGCCTGTAATCTCAGCACTTCGGGAGGCCAAGGTGGGCAGATCACTTGAGGCCAGCAGTTCAAGACCAGCCTGGCCAACATGGCAAAACCCCGTCTCTACTAAAAATATAAAAATTAGCCGGGCATAGTGGCGGGCGCCTGTAATCCCAGTTAATTGGGAGGCTGAGGCAGGGGAATCACTTGAACCTGGGAGGCAGAGGTTGCAGTGAGCCGAGATCACGCCACTGCACTACAGTCTGGGTGACAGAGTGAGACTCTGTCTCAAAAAAAAAAAAAAAAAAAAAATTGTAGAATACCAGCCTGATAGAGGAAATCATCTTAATATGTTAAGTGAAAAAGTGAATAAATGAGCTTATACATTATGGTGCTAATTAGGGACAAAGCTTATCTCTGCACAGAAAATACCTGGGAAGATGTATACCAAAATGGTAGCAGTGATTTTTCTCTGAGGAGAGAGTGTATAGTGATTTTTTTCTTCTTTGAGCTGTTCTATTTTTGTAAACTCTTGTTCTAGGCAAAGTTTCTTCAAATGTCTATCACCATTATTATATTTTTTTAAAAAAAGAGTTTAAGAAATAATGTCAATAATTTTATCTAAGAACTGAGACTAATGGTGAGTGAGAGATACGTAAATGAGAAGAAAATTGGAAAATTGACTTTTTCCAGAACTTCAGTTATTATTACAATCTGCAAATGTTACAAATGCTTTTGTTAAATGCTTACTTCCTTAGTCACCTTCTAATTAGAATGGTGATAGATTAGTTTCTATTACAGACAATGAAGTTAGTAACACTTGATGCTAGATCTTTACAGATGTAGATGCTTCTCCTTGGATGCACGTTAGCAGTTTAGTCTGCATTTGCTTTTTAAGGGTGTTATTTCGTATACCATGTAAGTAATTTTGTGTCACTGTAGTATAATTGAAAATTTTCTATGTTTGCTGAACTTTTACCTCCCTCTACATAAAGCTATCACTGGCCCTGTTTCTGTTTGATCAACCATGGCCTTAAAAAAGCAAACAAAAACCATAGACTCTGAAGGCAGCAATCCTGTGCTTTGCCACTTACTAGCTCTGATACCTCAGGCCAATTATCTAGACACTCTGAGCCTCAGTTTACCCGCAGTTATAAAGGGAAGCACAGCCAGCTACACAGGTGGTTGTAGTTGTGATGAAACCCTTCAGCCATATGAGAAAGTATATGAGCAAGTAGGACATTCTTCGTAAAATGTGGAATGGTAGTTTGATGTAATAACAGTATTTTTCCTTCTCTCTCCTCAACACTGTGCATCATTTATCTATATATGAGAACTCAAAATGGTTTATCTCAAGAATAGCAATTGCCCCTGTTTAAGAAAAAGTAGCCCTAAGCTTGAGGAAGTTCCGTTCAGAAGCTGCAAAATCCTTTTCTTGGGATGTAATTCAAGTGATATGACTGTATCTAGGATCCTTCCCTGTAGCAGGGTCAATATTCACTTTATACAGGGACAAAAAAGAAATGTATGATTACTTATACGTAGGTGGTTCATGCTTTTCTATGGTGAGAGTTTAATATTGTCAGTGAAATGGTGAATCTGAGATGGCTGGCACAATGCCTGGCCATATTAAACAGGTAGTAAATGTGCACTGTTTATAAATCCAAAACCTAAATATGCAAGATCCTATGATTATTGCATTGCATATTGAAAGGTGTATATATATAAGGGATTGCATATATTTGTAGGTTAGAAATAATGATTTTCTATATAAGGGTTTATAATTACTTTAACACATTTTGTATGTGTTTGTAACTGAAATAACAAAAAGTCGGAATTTTCCAAGGAGGCACCAATAATAATCAGAAATAGTGTAATGATGCCCAAAAAAAGGGCTTCAGCGTTCATTTGTTGTAATCACCCTAAATAGGCCTTAAATGTGGGCTCTTCATAAAGCCTTAAAATAAACTAATGTGCAAAAGAATGAATCATGGCCACTTATAAAGATGTTCATAAAGAAGAACGTGGGAGAACAAAAAATCAACATGCAATATAATGAGCTAGCAGGTATAATAGTGGTGAGTGGAAATTAGGAGCCTGGAGGAGAAAGAGCCTCTCCTAGGTGGGATGGAAGAAGTGACATTGGAAGTGATGCTTGAAAGATATATAGTGGTCACCAGACACCAAAGGAGGTGGCGGGGTGGGGATCAAGACTCTCAGAAAATAGAAGCATCTCCTGCATAGGTCAGGTGCCCTTTGCCTTCCAAACAGCCATCTACTGCCGGTTCTGTCCCCTACTCTGATAACTGGGAACCTTAACCTACGTGAGCATTGAATGAAGACAAGCAGGGCTGTAAGGGAAGTGTCCCAAGAGTAAGAACATGAGTGCAGATGGCTGGGTACCAACTTGTGGTTGCAACTCCTGCTGCCAGAAGGAGCAGAGCCTTGGGTCTGAAGTCAACACTTTAATGAGAAGATTGGCCTGGAGGCAGAGGAAGGATTTCGGTGAATTGGGGCAGGTGATTGGGGTAGGGGGGAATCTTATCTCTAGTGATGGTAACAGAAAAACAAATCATAGAATGCAAATCACCCTTGGGGAGTAGCTTAGGATACCCTGCAAGAAGATTGGGAGGACTGGATTTCTTAACTAGTAGTCTGCCCCACTGTGTAATTCTAGATTTATATCATATTAGTGGCAATGTTTTCATGTAAGGAGAGTTTTAAAATAGAAGAGCTGTTTCTTGAAGTACAATGGAATAATAAGTGAAACTATGTGAAAAGATAGAACTTATAATTAAATGGATTTTTTTGTATTCAAATTCTCCATTAGCAGAAGTGGTTGGGATAGAGTATTTTGATTAGTTTAAACCATATATTTCCTACATGAGTTACAAATGTTTAAAGACTGACAATACCATGTCATATTCTAAGTGCAATAACACTATAAATAATTTCTTCTTTGATGATTCAGAACACCCAGGATCTTTCCATGTATGGCAGCCTTCATGTGAGTTCTCTTCTCACCATACAATGTTGTGGATACAGAAGGGAAGGAATTGGATTTGGATGAGTACTGAGCACCGATCACAGGACAGAGCCTCAAAGTTGCTTTTTGGAATAAATTTCTTATAGTAGCCTGTTCATCATATGACCTTCTCATACAAGTGGAATATAAAATGCAGTTCAGGCTGGGTGCAGTGGCTCACACTTGTAATCCTACCACTTTGGAAGGCCGAGGCAAGTGGATCACTTGAGGTCACTAGTTTGAAACCAGCCTGGGCAACATGGTGAAACTTTATCTCTACAAAAAAATATAAAAATTAACCAGGCATGATAGGGCATAACTGTAGTCCCAGCTACTTGGGGAACTGAGGTGGGAGAATCCCTTCAGCCCAGGAAGTTGAGGCTGCAGTGAGCTGTGATTGCGTTGCCGCACTCCAACCTGGGTGACGGAGCAAGAATCTGTCTCAAAAATAAATAAACAAAATGTAGTTCCTGTGCAAACATTAAGTACTTTGAATTTTTAAGAACTTGGATTTAAGGCAAAGGAAAGTTTCCTGCGAAAAGAAATAGGGTTGACTGATTGGAGCAGGACATCGCCTCCCTTGTGTCCCCAGATTATCAGGCGCATCTTGGGGAGCTGGCCAGCCTGGGATGTCACTGGCAGTGATTGAGATGTTGTCACTCAGATCTTAAAATAATGAGACTTTGCTTAGCCTCGAAGGTGTCCTAAGACAGGGCAGGAGGAGTGAAGGCAAGCATCGCTTCCCTGTGTAGGAATGATTTCTCAGGCTGCTTCTAGTCATTTCTGGGAAAGGAAGAGTTTTCTACCTATCAATGCCAGGGGTAGTAGACAGTGGAGAAAGGTGGGCACATTGGGATCTAGGGGCAACTGGAGCAGGAGGCACCAAGAAGCACAGTCAGGTCTGCACCTGGAGTTCCCTGGAGGGAATTGCAGAGGTTAGAGTGAGCCAGGCACCAGGCGACAGTCACAGGTGAGCACACATGCATACTGCAGGTCAGAGCTGCACAAAGGCTTGGTTCCAGGCAGGCATGAGGCAGGAGGGCCGAGAGCAACATCAGGCTTGACTGGCTAAATCCAGGAGCTTACCAAGAACTTGCAGCTCTGGATATAGGTGACTTTTAAAAAACATGGTATGAACTTGTTTGTCATTCCCCTTCCTCCTAAAGATAAACTAGTAGTGAGTGGGAGATGAAGGGGAGACAGAAATCTACTTGAGCATGCTGGTCAGTTGGGTACCCATTAATTAAGGATTGGTGATAAATGAATGTTATTTAAGAACTCATGACTAATATCTAGCTGTCATTCGGTTTCAATAGGCTATGAAATGCCTGCTGTGCCCAGAATGACTCCCGCAGAAATTTTTGACAAGCACTATGTGTTAAAAGGAATAAATACCTGACTTCAGTTCTTTTAGACATGAAAAAAGAAAAATGCTATTGCCTCTTACAAGGCCATGCATGAGTAGTGGTGACTTTTTTTTCTTTCTTTTTTTTTTTTTTTTTTTAAGAGTCTTGCTCTGCCACCCAGGCTGGAGTGCAGTGACATGATCTCGGCTCACTGCAAACTCCGCCACCCGGGTTCAAGCGATTCTCCTGCCTCAGCCTCCCGAGTAGCTGGGATTACAGACGCATGCCACCACACCTGGCTAATTTTTGTATTTTTTGTAAAGATGGGGTTTCACCACGTTGGCCAGGCTGATCTCAAACTCCTGACCTCAAGTGATCCGCCCGCCTCGTCCTCCCAAAGTGCTGAGATTACAGGTGTGAGCCACCACACCCAGCCAATAGTGGTGACTTTTAACCTCTCCCATCCAAAACTCCTCCCAACCTCTCATATTTTGCTCATTTCACCCCTTGGCTTACAGCTCCAGCCCCATCCCCAGTGCCATCACCCCACTCTAGGATGGCTTTTCAGGGAGCTCCTCCATTCTTGCTGGTTTCCCTTAACCCTATTTGTAAAGTGTTTCCTCCGATGTTGTCAGCCATCCCCAACACAAAAGTGTTCCATTTGTTCCTGCAAGAACACTCAACCTGTATAGCCACTTATTAGCTTTGTGATGTGAGGCAAGTTATTTAATATCTTCTTTCAAATCCACAAGGTGGGAGAATTTGTAAAATGGTCATTTAAACCATGTGAAAATGATGGTATATGACCAGCTCTGACCTACAAAAATATCAGTCTAGCTCTGACCTGCAAAAATATCAGCCTCCTATGCTGTGAGAATTAAATGTAAAGCAATTCAAGTAGCACCTGACAAGTTGTAAGCTATTATTCATTTCTACTATGACATTCAGACTGTGAATTACATCTTTGCCCAAGGCCCAAGGATAGCAAATGGACCTGTGCTGCCTCCACCTCCACCCATTCCCAAGAAGCCACTATTCCTTTATTGTAGGGCTCTTTTTCACTGAGCCCACGGGCCAATTGACACCCTTGGAGGATAAGAATCCCTGTCTCCCAACCTCATGTCCTACTCTTCTGGTCTCAAGAAATTTCCACGCTCCCTGTCCAGCTAGTCTATCAAAAGGGTCTCTCCTCTCTCTTGCGGTAAGGCACTGTGTGCTCCTGGCATTTTTCCACGGAATTTTTTTCATATAAATATTCTACATGGTGGTAAGGTCTTAGGTCACTGTTAATGCTTAGTGGCACTGCACTTACCTTTGGGTTAAGTGAGGTTTTCTGGACTTCTCTGGTGACTCAAGAACCTTTGTGTAATTTTGGTTTTTTGGAAGATATGTTCTGCATTTCAAACTCTCTACAAATCAACGTATCCTGCAGGTCTTATGGGCAGGGAAAAGGGAGGTGGTGAGCTCCCTGATTGGCTGAATATGACCCAAACAGGGCTAAAGAATAGCTTAATCTGTCTGTGGAAGTTATGTTTTGGCGGTGGGGGGGTGGGGGTGGGGGCAGTGGTTCCATGGATGAGTGTACTCAATAAAACATGCCCATGCAGCTGCTTGTCCTCCAACTGTCTTCACTCTAACAGTAGCCCAGCCTTTGCCACTCAGTTGTTTCAAATCTGCCCTTAATCTGTGAGCTGTCACTTCTAAATATCACAACTTCCCAAAGGTCATTCCTTAGTCTCTGAATTCACTCATAAACCTTCTGACTCCTGCCCTTCAATACTAGGTCCCAGCACAGTTGAATTAAATCTGCAACATATTTATGAAAATGAAATATTACAGAACTCAAGCCTATCTGTAACTTTGAAGAATTGAGGCAAGATAATAAAGATATAACATCCCTCCCCTCTTCTGAAATAATATGCTGAAGTACAAACTACATTATTTTTTAAAAATAAGGCCAGTGGCCGGGCACAGTGGCTGACACCTGTAATCCCAGCACTTTGGGAGGCCGAGGTGGGCGGATCACCTGAGGTCAGGAGTTTGAGACCAGCCTGGCCAACATGGCAAAACCCCGTCTCTACTAAAAATACAAAAATTATCCAGGCGAGGTACTGCAGGCCTGTAGTCCCAGCTACTCGGGAGGCTGAGGCAGGAGAATCGTTTGAACCTGGGAGTTGGAGGTTGCAGTGAGCCAAGACTGTACCACTGCACTCCTGCCTGGGTGACAGAGTGACACTCCATTTCAAAATAATAAATAATAACAATAATAATTAGGCCTGGTGTGGTGGCTCACATCTGTAATTCCAGCACATTGGGAGACCAAGGCAGGAAGATCAATTGAAACTGGTAGTGAGACCCTGTTACTACCGGTGAAAAAAAAATTAGCTGGGCATGATGGTGCTGCCTTTAGTCCTAGCTATTCGGGAGGCTAAGGGAAGATGATCACTTGAGCCCAGTTCAAGGTTATACTGAGCTATGATCAAAAGAATAGTATTAATGAGGCCCACCTTTCTCTGCTTTTCCTGAGTCTATTGCCAAAAGAAAAAACAGTTTCCAGTCATGGACACGATGGAGGCTTTTGTTTGCATGCCACAAACATCCTTTACAGTCCTGCTATTGTGGCAGAATGCATGGCTTCCCTATCATGTCAGCAAAATATGTTAGGAATTAGCACACAACCAGAAAAGCACCCAATTTATGTAGCAAATTAATTTAAAGTGGAAACATTTTCTGCACTGTTACTAAGGGGTATAAACCCAACCACCCCATCTAGGGTTAGGTGAAAGGAGGAGAGTAACAGCAAATATGATTCAGGCTGAAGATAGGGTTATTTGGCTGGTTCTAGGAATGAGAAGCTAATAAAACAATTCACTCAAGTAGCTTTTTGTGTGTGTCTACTAAAATTAACTCAGTTGCCCCTCCATCAACTTCATTTTGCATACACAGTTGGATAATTGCGTATTTAACATTTTGATTCATTTTTACACTGAGAAAGTTTGTGCATATTTTCAAACTATATCCTGAATGCAAACTTAGCATACTATTTAAAGGATATATCATTTTGCATATATAAGGTATTCCAAAGAGTGGTGACATTTTCTTTTTCTAACTCAAAGAAGAGAAGATACTAGCCCTGGATTTTAGAGCCTCTTCAGGTTCCTTCTCATCTAACCCAGGTTTAGCCCACTCAAATATCACATGCATTCTAAATTTAAATGCTGCCAGATTTGTATAACATCTCACTTCTCAGTGTATTTGCAGCAATGTTGCAAGACATCGCTCTATTCCAGAGATCATTTTGCTCGGCTTTCAACAGTTTTTTAAAGAGGCTTGAATTTTTCTGGGGACGTGCTACCTAGGTTGATTTCAGAGGAGTTGTCCACGAATGTTGAGCAGCCAAATGATACAAGGCATTTGGGGACCAGAAGGACACTGAGCTAGCTGCCTCCCAACTAAATGAGAAGGTGCTGCCTACATTCCAACCCAAGTCTGCTGTTTCATAAAGCTGACTTTCAAATTCCCCCTGCTTATGATTTGTGGTGACTTTTTCAATTAGCCTCGACTGCTGGATGAATGCTGCTCCAGATGTGGGGCTCAACTCTGATAATCCCTTGAAGAGCACAAACAGCAAGAAGCTATTAATCAGCAAATCACAAAATTCTAATCACCAGGGCTTGACTTTAGACGATGGGCTGCTTCAGCCCCGTAGCCCAAGACCTGAACTATGAAGAGCCACCCTTTCTACCGAGCTCTAGAGAAGCCTCAAATCCATCCACATCTTGGCCTGTCTCCATCAAGTGGATTTTAGCGTGGGAGGCAGTGCAGTCTGGATTGGGGGCAGGAAATGACTCTGGGCTTGAATCCTAAAGGATCTCCAGTAGAAAATCACATCTATACAAATAATGGCCCCTGAAAATATGTTGATATTATTGGGCCTTTGAAATGCCTTCAGTGTGGTCTATTATTTTATGAGCAGCATTTGCCACAACTCGTTCTACCCCCGTGAAGTCCAAACTTTTCATTGTGGCATTCAAAGCCACTTATAGCCGAATCTATCTACCTTTCCACTTCAATTCCAGAGACTTCCCAGCTCAACCCCTAGCTTGGAGTGTAGACACTGTTGGGCCCTCATCCCTCAATGCGAAGCCCATATTCACACTTGAGGGCATGTGTTCAGGATGAGCCCTCTGTGTTAGAGCTTCCAGACCGTTTAAAATTAATAGCCCATGAAAGTGGTCCTTTCGTATTCATAGGTTCTGTATCTACAGATCCAACCAACCATAGATCAAAATGTAGTTAGGCCTATAATGGTTGTGTCTGTAACTGAACATGTAGAGACGTTTTTTTCTTGTCATTATATCATTAGAAATTGCAAATATATAATTATGATAATTTTGCATGGCAAAAGGGGAAAAAAAGAAAGCATTTTAAGATATCTGTGGGTTTTTGTGAAAAATTACTTTATATAATTATGCTAAAATATAAAGACTATATCATGGAATATAATTATGATTTTAAAATAATATTTTAAGTAGAATATTCTAAAATATTAATGATCAATTTAACATGGTTCTTGTTTTTATTTTTAAAATATCTGTTTTTAATGCTTGACATGGTTCCACATTATTCCTGAACAATAAATTTTAGTGATTATTTCTTAAAATTCTGATAGTCTCCAATGATGAGGAACTTTTTCTTTAAACAACTAGGTAATAAAAATTTAAAAACCATTGATTCTGTGATCATTCGAAATGTATAATGTAGCTGATTATTATATTTAAATATTCTAACAACTCTCATATTGATGAATATATTTTTTTAAATTCTGGAGATAATGTTAATGGGTTTTTTAATTTAATTGAACTTTTTAATGTCAGTTATTTCAAAATTTATTCATTCGTACAAAAAATGTTATTGATCTTTTATTATTTGTCAAGTTGTACTCTAGGTACCAGTGATTCAGCCATGAACAATTGTAACAATGCCGCAGCCCTGCCCCCATGGAGCTTACTCCTAGTCAGGGGAGACAAATGATTAACAAAATAAGTAAATATTTAGTAATCAATATGCTAAATAGTATGTTAAGTACTATTTAAATATACTTAATATACTAGATAAAGTAAGTGATATGGAGTAAAATAAAGTAATGATAGGAGATACTGAGCAATGACAGTGCTGGCCAATTTTGAATAGTGTGGTCAGGGAAAGACCTTAGCAAGGTGATATTTGAACAAAGACCTAAAAAAGAAGAGCGAATGAGCCAAGTGGATACATGGAAGAAGAACGTTCCCAGCAGAAGTATGAAGCCTATGCATGGCCCAAGGCAGGAGTGTGTCCCACTTGTTAAGAAACATCATGGTCGCTGGGCGCAGGGGCTCACGCCTGTAATCCCAGCACTTTGGGAGGCTGAAGCGGACAGATCACGAGGTCATGAGTTAAAGAACAACCCGACCAAGATGGTGAAACCCTGTCTCTACTAAAAATACAAAAAAGTAGCTGAGTGTGGCGGCCCACGCCTGTAATACTAGCTACTCGGGAGGCTGAGGCAGGAGAATCGCTTGAATCCTGGAGGCAGAGGTTGCAGTGAACCGAGATCGTGCCACTGCACTCCAGCCTGGGTGACAGAGCGAGGCTCCATCTTAAAAAAAAAAAAAAAAAGAAAAAAGAAAAAAAAGAAACATCATAGCCATTGTACATTAAGCAGAATGACCATGGTGGGCACTAGTGTGATATGCAATGAGAGAAATCACAGAGGTCAGATGATGCAGAGCTTTGAAGGCCATTGCGAGAACATTCTAAACAAGATGGGAAGCTGACACAGGGTTGATAGCAGAGGAGTAATAAACCACAATACGTTTTTACATTTTAAAGGGTGCCTTCTGTGCTGTGTTGAGGACAGACTGTAGTGTGGAGAGTGCTGCAGCAGAGAGAGAACTCTTGGGAGGCTCTTACAATCATTTAAGCTAGAGACAATAGACTAAGAGGGTCAGTATTCCACAACGCACCTTCTGGAGCACACAGGTGCCTTGCCACACCAGTCGGGAACTTCTGCTCTGCAAAGTCCAAAGACTAAGCTAAAGGTAGGTACCTAGGGACCTATAAGTGTTTCCATTCCACATTTTAATTTGCGTGTGTCTCAAGGATCCTGAATCAAAGTGCCCCAGTTCCAGTACCCAAACTAGAACTCTTGAGCCCAATGTAATTGAAATTTGCTGATTATCTTTCCTCACGGCCTTAGACTGGTCTGTTCATTCTCAAGGACAAGCAACAACATTAGGCTCTGACACAGGCACAGCTGTGTTCTCATCCCGACAAAGCATAGACTTGGCCGTTCTATCTGCCCTCCCTGCATTCGCACTTGTCCCACCTGGAAAAAAATTTTTCCTGCATCCTCCTCTGTGTGGTCCTCCCTATTCATACCAGCAAGACCTTTAGTCGACAGTTTTTGTCAGCCCAGAGCCTAAGATAAATAAAATATGATAAAGATATGAGTGCATTATGTGACTGGGTCAAAAAGAGGTGAGGACACCAAGAGTCCACTGTTATTCTCCAAAGCCTTGGTCCCCCAACCCTGACCCAAATTCATCTCCAGCTTGACTTCAGTTCCTATGACCCACCACCCATGCCAACCTATCCACACAAGAAGGTTGGGACCTGTCCCAATCCTTTGCCTACATTTATGCTATAGTAAATGAGGTGTTGTTCTCTATGTACTGACTGATGTGCCACAACTCTGTGACTTTATTCATGCTGCTCCCTCTGCCTGGACCCTCTGTCCCATTTTCTTCAACAGATTGACTTTCACTCATTCTTCAGGGCTTAGCCCAGGCATCATGGCCAAGTGTCCATGGCTAACCTCCCCAAGCAAACTGTCCCTTTGCATTTCTCTACTGTTAGACATCCAACATTATATTAAAAGTATTACTGTCTGTCCTACCAGAATTGAAGTTTTTGTGGTCAGAGATATCTTATCTACTAAATTCCTAAGTCCTGCTGCACTTAGCTCAATAAATGTTTGCAGAACTCAGCCTCCCCTAACTTGTAAAGCTTATTCAACAACTTCAAATAGTCCGAAGTGATTTTTTCCTTGTCTGAATTCCAATCTGAACCAAATGACTTAAAACTTAAGTATTCTCTAATTTTTAAATTATTCTGTTTGTTTTTCATCTACTGCTCAAATAGATTTAAGTTTCATGTACATTGGGACTATGTCATGTGTTTCAATATATAATGTATCAAGTACATCTGGGATAGCAGTAAGCAATACTATAAATGCAAAAAACTACAGATTGTTTTATAAACTCTACTTTAACTTTCATTCTGCTAAATGAGGAAAGTTGACTAGCTTCTCTGCTTCAGAGAGTGATTATGAACATTATTTAGTAAATATTCAAGACTACATTTGAATTATTTGCATGATATATGATTTACATCACAATGAGATTTTGTATTCTTAAATATCATATTCTTAAATGTTATATTCATATCATATTCATGTTCTTTACAACAAGCAAAGAGAAATCCACAAAGATAATATAGAGTGAATCCCAAAGGAAATGAAATCAATATGTTTGATCACACTTTTCTTTTTTTTTATTTTATTATTATTATACTTTAAGTTTTAGGGTACATGTGCACAATGTGTAGGTTAGTTACATATGTATACATGTGCCATGCTGGTGTGCTGCACCCATTAGCTCGTCATTTAGCATTAGGTATATCTCCTAAAGCTATCCCTCCCCTCTCCCCCACCCCACAACAAGGCTGTGAATCTTTGAAGCTTCAATGCTGGAATTGCTATAAAAGCCAATTTTTAGGTATTTACATGTTCCACGTTAATATATGAAAACATAATATATAATAAAATTAATGTTATCCATATTTTGTTTTTTGCTTTTCTTGTTTTGGACACAAAAATCAGCTTACTTAGTAATTCAAAGAGGAGAAATAGTTGCAATTTTTCAGGTGTTCTTGTCTAACAACATTTGGAAATTTATCATATGCATTATCTTAGTTCACTTGAGCTGCAATAACAAAATGCTATAGACTGGGAGGTTTATAAACAGCAGAACTTTATTTCTCAGTTTTGGAGACAGAGAAGTCCAAGATCAAGGTGCTGGCACATTCCTGTGTCATAGGTAGCTGTCTTTTTGCTGTAGGCTCACAGGGTGGAAGGACTGAGGAAGCTTTCTGGGGCCTCTTTTACAGGCACTTAATCCCTTTCATGAGGACAAGAATCCCATACATGACTTAATCACCTCCCCCTCAAAAGGCCCTACCCCCAATACCATTACCTTTAGCATTAGCATTTCAACATATGAACTTGGGGATACAAAAATATTCAGTCCATAACATATGCCTAATGATAGTATGGGGGAAATGCTTAAAATATGATTTAGTGCATTTTATTGTTATGAAATATTATTGCTTTTTTTTCTTTTTTTTTTGAGATGGGAGTTTTGCTCTTGTCGCCCAGGCTGAAGTGCAATGTCATGATCTCAGCTCACTGCAACTTCCGCCTCCCAGGTTCAAGCGATTCTCCTGTCTCAGCCTCCTGAGTAACTGAGATTACAGGTGCCCACCACGATGCCCAGCTAATTTTTTGTATTTTTAGTAGAGATGGGGTTTTGCCATGTTGGCCAGGCTGTTCTTGAACTCCTGACCTCAGGTGATCCACCTGCCTCAGCATCCCAAAGTGCTAGGATTACAGGCGTGAGCCACCAAGCCCTACCTATTATTGCTTTTTTAAAATAGAATCAGAATGATAACAATACATTTTCTAATCTAGAGATAAGTGCAAACTCTTAGCAGCCAGTAGAGTTTTGAATAAGACTCATTTAGGTAGCTATTTTTAGATGCTTTATTACTATATCTAAATTTATATTTAACAACTGCCCCGTCAAATCTCTATACATGTTTCATTTCGCATACTTAATACCAAGAACTTTAAAAATTTAAAAATAACAATTATAGAAGAGTTTTATAACAAGAAAACTTACCCTGGAAACACTTTTGTAGTGGCTAAAGAGCAATCAGCATATTTACTCATAATTCTAGCATATTTTTGTAAAACCATCCTTCCAAGTGACTATACTTTTTTTGTTTTTGTTTTTTTGAGACAGAGTCTTGCTCTGTTGCCCAGGCTGGAGTGCAGTGGCACAATTTCTGCTCAATGCAGCCTCTGCCTCCTGGGCTCAAATGATTCTCCTGCCTACCCTTCCATCTAGCCAGGACCACAGGTGTGTAGCACCATGACTGCGCCACTGCATTCCAGCCTAGCCAACAGAGCGAGACCCTGTCCTCCATAAAAATTTATTGGTAGACACAACTGAGACAAGACACTTTGGGTCCTCAATTATTTTAAGAGCGTGAAAAGGTCCTGAAAACACAAAGTGGCTTAGGACATATTTTACTTGGCTATTTTTTGTAGAGACATGGTCTCACTTTTTTGCCTAGGCTGGTCTTGAACTGCTGGGCTCAAGTGAGCCTTTCACCTTGGCCTCCCAAAGTGCTAGGATTACAGGCATGAGCCACTGTGCTGGGCAAGTTAATATATTTTTTAAGCAAAAGTTTTAGTCACACTTCTGAATAATCTGTTATGTTAATGCAAAATATGTGTCATTCTGGCAGTTTATTTTCTATCATTATAATAAAATATTTTAAATAACCATTTCTTTAAATCTACTCCTAAGGAAGAGATCAATAGAAATAAATATTTCCCAAGTTCAGTTCTAAAATATTCTTTTAAAATGCTCTGAGATTTTTTTTTTCATGGCCTGTCTGAAGAGTGAATACATGGAATTCTGGAATTCTGGATATGATGCTAGATCTTAGGTAGTTCCAGCCCTGTTATAGCAGCTACTGGAGCTGTCCATGGTGTTCTGTCACAAAGTTCAGAGTATGTCCTAAGCCAGACACTTTGCTTTCAGAATCTTTTCACACTCTTGAAATAACTGAGGACCCAAAGAGAGGGATCTTGTCTCCGTTGTATCTACCAATAATTTTTTGTGGAGGACAAGGTCTTGCTCTGTTGCACAAGTCTTCCACTGGACCTTTTTAATTCATATCTCTTTGTTTCTGTTCTATCTCTCTATCATTAGCTTTGCTAACCGGAGATGCATCATACACCTTCCTTCAGCCTATACTTACATTCTCTGCCCTGTGAATGTCTAACTTCCAAATACCCTTTCCTCTGGTGAGCTTCTGAGCAAAGGCCAGCACTATTGTCAGAGCATTGCTATTAACATAGAGGCTGTGCATGTGGCTACACTAGAATTATGGTCTAACAAGGGCAAGGAGACCAACCGTGTACTGGATAAGCCCTGTCCAATGGAACCTTTGCATGATGGAAATCTTTTATATCTGTGCTGTCAGGTAGAGCAGCCATGAGTCACAAGTGGCTATTGTGTACTTGAAATGTGGCTACTGCAGCTGAGGAACTGCATTTTAAATTTTATTTAGTTTTAATTCATTTAAATTTAAATAGCTCTATGTGGGTACCATATTGGACAACAAAGTCATAGACTCTACTTGAAATAGCTCCTTTAATTTGAGGATCAAGTGAAGTCATTGTTAATGATGTCACTGTGTAGACATTGGTACTGCTCTTCAGCACAGGAGTCTTTTCCATTTTCTGGGCACACAGAGGAGGACACTTCCCAGCTCTCTTGCAGGGAGGCAGGGTCATGTGACTATGACCATGTGATGCAGCTCACTTCCGGGCAAACATTTAACTGCAGTACATGACGCTCCTTTTTTCATTCTGCCATGGTAATGAGAATGTTCCAGACCATGGAGTCTCTGTGATCCTGGGTCCAGAAGGACTGTAGAACAGAGCCCCCCACTCCATTACAACCCACACTGGACATGAATGTGAGTAAGAAATAAACTACGTGGCGAGCCACAGGAAATTCAGGATTCCTCTATTACTGCAGCATAACCTAGACTTCCTGGCTGATAAGAGTCCACACAGAATCACCTGAGCAGATTGTTAAATCTACATATCTAGAGTCCATCCCAGGTTGGGAACTCGGCATCAGTATTTTTGGTTCAAAACAAAATAAAACAAAAAATCTCTCCAGGTGCTTTGAATGCATACTAACCTGGTTAAGAAGCAGTGCTGAAATACAATGTCATTGTTACTACAGATAGTATAGAAATGAGTCCAAGAGCGATAATGCTAAATTTTGCAAAGCCACTTGACTGCTACGAGAGGGAGATGAAACGTGACCTGTGCTCTTTCCCCGGGCTGTGCTTCCTTTCCTCTTGTTCTAAGTGCTGGGGATGGTGGGAGAGAACAGATTGATACGTCCTGGACTCCAAATTGAATTTGTTAATGCTTTTATCCTTATTATAATACTTTCACACACAGTGATTAGTTCCACAAAAGCCTGTTTAATCCAAAAAGTAGTATTAAGAGTGGCATATACTGTAGAATAGCCTAGGAATCTAACTTCTACTTAAAAATATTGTTTCAATCAGTAAATGTATTCCAAGTTTGAATAATATGTGTAAAAACAAGTTTTAAAAGTTAAAAAAAAAATCCATTTTTATTGGATAATAGGCTGTGGAAAATAGGATCAGCATTGCATATTGCTCGATTAGCATAGCAGGTTGTTAGTAACAACTACTCCACTGACCATATAATGTCTGCCTTGAAATGTCTTTATTCATCTTTTAAAGTGATGAGCCTTGGATGTTGGTTATTTCATTTATCCAGCAAATGTTGATAAAGTATCTGTCATATACCAGCCACTGTGATATGCACTGGGTACAGAGTGGTGAATAAAATAAACAAAATACCTGTCTTTGTGGAGCTTCCAGTTTAATAGGAGATGTAAACAATAAGCAAATACACTATTAAATATACAATTACCAATTGTGTTGATTTCCTCAAAATTAATACATAAATTTAATGTAATTTCATTTATAATTCCAACTTTTTTGAGATAATTCTGTAATGTGCTGATAATGTATATATGGAAGAATAAAAGACAAGACAAAGATTAGCCAAGAAAAGGGGATGAACAAGTACAGTGGTGGGGGGTAGATTACTGTAGGCATCAGTTTGAGTCCTTTGATGGGGGAGTGGGTAGTGCCTGTAAAATATGAAAGGGAGCAAGCAAGGCTGAGCAGGGAGAGCTTCAATCCTGATCATACCTCACATGTGTGAAAGGAGAGGGAGGAAGGGTCCCTGAGGGCCATGTACCTATGATGAAGTCCTGGCCAACCTAGTCAAGAGCCCTGGAGCAAAAACTTTGCCTTTGGAGGAGTCCCGCCCTGGGTAGAAATGGCCAGGCCCCAATGCTTCTGCCATGCCAGTCATTTGCTGGGGGCTGCCCAGCTCCAACTTTGCAGGGCTGTCAGCTCACTGGGGTCCATGCAGTGAAAGGCCAGTTTTTCTGATCAGTGCTGAGGCCCCAGGCTGTACAGTAGCACATAGAATAAAGCTACTGTCTTCAAAACAGCCTGGTATTGGAATAAGAAAAGAAAAAAGATCATGAGATAGAATAAGGAGCCAAAAATAAATAAACAAATAAATGACTTCAGCGTCAGTAAATGAGAATTACTTTGTGGAAAAAAGTTTAATTCAATGGAGGAAAAGGTTTATTTGATAAATGGTGCTGACATAAATGCCTGTCTTTTTGGAAGAAAATAAAAGTGGGTATCTCCATCTTAACCATAGACAAAAATTTATGCCAGATGCACCAAACACTTAATTATACTTAATAAAATATAAAAACCTTACAAGAAACTATGAAATTCTGTCTATGTAATCCAGCAGTAAAGATCATAAATTATTCAAGGCTGGAAATCCAGAACCTATTTAAAAAAAGGGCTGTGGAATATTCAAAACTTTACTAGAGAAAAGATACCATAAACAAAGGCATGAGACCAATGACAAATCAGGAAAATCATTTAACTGAATAAATGATTAAAAATCTTTCAAGCATTTAGAGCACTGGCTTACAATATTGTTCAGCCATAACAAAGAGTTTGATTTCTGTGAGCCAGGAATGAAAATCAGTTATGTGTTTTACAGCCAAAAGGACATCTACTGTTTATATTTTCCATGTGGGTTCAGTGAAGAAATGCATATATAGGGATACATTTGATGGACTGAAATCTTAAATGATCTGTGAGGAAAGCTATGTTGACTTTCTTCACTTCGCAATTCTGTTGAACACAAGAAAGTTGGGGAAAAATATGACTGTCCTGCAGTGAAATGCTCCCCCTCCACAGGCACACCTGGCATTGTAACTCTTTTATGTATAATGGGGTTTCTGCATTATACTGTATCCCGGGAGAATGAATGCTTGCGGATGCCTGCTAGAAATTTCAAAGCCCTCTGGGAAAGTCTTATCTCGCCCTGGAAGGTGAGGTCATTTTCCATTTCAGGGATACATGAAAGAAGTTAGTCCTCAAGAAATTAAGTCTACAAAGGCAGGCCTCAAGTAGGTCAGGAAAGGCTCTCTCTCTCTTTCTCTTTTCTTTCCTTTTCTTTTTCTTTCTTTCCTTCTTTGCTTTCTTTTTTCTTTCTTTTTCTCTTCTTTTCTTCTTTCTTTCTTTCTTTCCCTCTTTCTTCTTTTGTTGAGGTTTTCTTCCCTCAATTATGGATACCAATGAGTGTAGATGTCTTTGAAGTGGGCTTGTTTGGTAGATAATAAGATGGTCTCAGATAATAGACCTGAAAGGGTCTTAAATACTAAGCCACCAACAGAAGATGCATAAGCTATATTTACCAGGCTTTACTAAGACAGATATTTAAGTGTCACGGGTCTCTGTACCTTCTTCCCATTTGTTTTCCCAAAGCTTTGGTAAACATCTGCCTTGTCCCTGCTGGGTAAAGCCACTGTGAACCATATGAGAATGCCTGGATGTGGTGATGAGCATCTGCCCTGGTGGCCAAACGTGGATAATCTTCTATTGTTGAAAAGAAGTGGCGATTTCCTCATAATACTTTGCAATAACAACCTAGAGCCTAATGCTTTATCCCTCTGAAAAAATCCCAATAATTGCCTATATATCTGTGATCCATTAGTTTATCCAGTCCATTGGTAAAGCTATTTATAATTTCCATTTCTACTGTCTCTGCCTCCTAGGATAACACATCCATAATTTTACTATTTCTTAAAGCAGGACTACATTTATTTGTCCTCAGTTTGCTTTTTCAAGCTTCAAGGGATACTCCCTTACCCTAGGATGACAAAATTTAGTGGATAAATATTTGGTGAGTTCTTTTTGATCTATATAAAACAAGTGTGTGTACACATATATACATAAGTATATATGCACATATATATCCTCAACATAACATTTTCATATTGAATTGTACATTGTTGTGGTTGTAGTTTAAGCTTTTTAAATATAGTATTCCTCACCTCATTCTCAACCCCCTTATCTTTAACATTTTATATTGTCCTACTCTTTAACCTGATATAGTCAGATACACTGAATTCTAAGACCATCAAAATGTATTTGAAATAAATTTGTTTGAAAACATTCCTGTAATAAATAAGCTTAGTTATCAGAAATACTCTGAACATCAACATGTAACAATAATTTTCATTAGATTTTTCTTTCTTTAAAATGTGAAAGAGAAATATATCTTATCCATATCTGTGATGACTGCAACAACAATAGAAATGGTAGCTTAAATTCCATATTTATAGGGACATATGAATATTCTTGTATTAGTCACATGATTTATGAATAGTATATTCTGTTGGGGTTAAAAGAATGTGGAGCCTAAAGGCACAATTACATTTTAATTCTAATTTCTTTCAAGGGGTTTTCATTTACATTACAAGTTTGTCATCTGCGGAGACAAGGCAGCTCTTGTCTGGGAAGTGTCTGGTTTTAATTTGGTATGTTATAAACTGTAAGGCAAGGTGGGAATGGATAGAAAACTGGATCAGGAATTGTTAAAACCTGTGGTGAGTAGCATTATGCCGTGGCCGGGCTTTGCAGCCCCAAATCAGCTTTGATCTGGGCTCTGCCATTTGACAAACAATTCACTGTACTTGGGCAAATCACATCCCCTCTCTAAACCTTAAGCAACCTTATTTGTGAATTGAGGGCTGTGGGGAGAGTTCAGGGAGAGTAGCCAGAGAAGCACTTGCATGACCAGCGTGCACAGCGGGTTCTCTTCTCAGTGACAATTGTCCTGGCTCTACCACGAGCTCTGAGATGCCACGTTAGTCACAACCTGTAAAGGCGTCAATTTCTTTATTTGCTAAAAGGTTAGTTTGCGGAAATTCTAAATTCCCTTTTAATATTGCATTTTATACTCATACCTGAAAGGGACTTGTGTTCACCATAGCCGTCTCCTCTTGTTTCAGTTTAGCCATTCTCCACTAAGTCCTCCATGGCCACCACGCAGCCACACCTTCAGACACCAAGACAAGTCCTCCTTCTCCGTGTCCCACAGTGCCTTGTCTCCTGAGATGACAAGCTCCTTGGCACCAGAGATGGTATCTTTCTCATCTTTGCCTCCTCGGAGATACAGTACACTATACACTGTACAGTGCATAGTACACAGTAAGTGCTAAACAAGCGTCATTTGACTGACTGAATGAATGAATGAATAGGCACAGGGAGATAGGTGAATGGATAAGGTACTAGTTTACTATGGCTGCCTTAACAGGTACCATAAAATGCACGGCTTAAAACAACAGAGGCTTATTGTCTCACGTTTCTGGAGTCTAAACATCTGAAATGAAGCCATTGGCAGGATTGTGCACCCTTGGAAACCTGGAGTGGAGAATCTTTCCTGTCTCTTCCTGGCTTCTGGTGGTGGCCGGCAATCCTTGGTATTCCACACTATATGGCTGCAATGCTTCTATCTCTGTGTCCCTTGTCACATGGCTTTCTCTCCTTTTGTGTATGTATGTGTGTGTGTGTGTGTGTGTGTGTGTGTGTGGTGTGGTGTGTGTGTGTCTTTCCTTCTTATGAGGACAACAGTCATATTGGATTAAGGGTTGATCCTATGACAGACGACCTCACCTTAACTAATTTCATCTGTAACTGCCCTACCCAAAGTCACATCCACAGGCACTGGGCATCCCCAAAAGAGAATGACAAGATTCTCTCCTTGATCAAATTCTAGCCAGACTCCCCTGAACTGTCTTCTCAAGTAGGCCTTGGCTTTTGGATTTCTGCGTTCATCTCTGAATTTGTCCAGTTTTAGCAAGAATCCTGCTTAGTCAGTTTAGTTGGAGTCCCCCATTGATCACCCTCAATATCTGATCAGAACCCTCATCCTCCGCCGTCCCCCAGGTGATGGTTGATTACACTGGTCTCCTTCAGCAAAAATGTTGTTAGGTCAGTTTAACAAAGAATTGCCCTACCTGTTAGTAATTTTTTATCCACTGACTTCCAAACTGCTCCTTGGGTGTAAATTCCCACGTTACCTTATTATATTGAGTTAAGTCCAATTTTTCTTCCCTATCCTGAAACCCCATTGTAGTAGCCTCCCTTGAATAAAGTCTGCCTAACTCAGATGGTTGCAGAGCAAAAAGCGTAATCATCTTCAACAAAATCTTTCTGCAGCCCAGATAGAATTTAATGTTCCAATATATTTAAAGTCTTTAAAAAGTAAAGATTAAAAACTAAGGGAGAGAAACTAAAGTGGAATGAGGTAGAAGCCAGAAACTTCAGAGATGTTTACTCTAAGTCTCTTAGAGTAGAAATCTTAGCATAGAATTAGGGAAAAGACAGTAAAGAATCCGCTGTAGGCTGTCCCAGTGATATGGGTCTCTAATAAAGTCTCCTGTGGAATGATCCTCCAGCTGGAGGTGGAAGACTCACTGCACACTTTCTTCTCCACCTACAACTTGAGCCTTCAGTTATAGGACTCAGTTCTAGCATGTCTTTGAAAGTTCAGTCCTTGGCCGGGTGTGAGTCTTCATGCCTATAATCCTAGCAGTTTGGGAGGCTGAGGCAGGAGGATACTTTTAGCCCAGGAGTTCGAGACCAGCCTGGGCAACATAGGGAGACCCAGTCTCTTAAAAAATAAAATAAAATAAAATAAAATAAAATAAAATAAAATAAAATAAAATAAAATAATAAACTTCGCCCCTTTATCAGATGTCACTGAAGTTACAGGCAATGGAAATGAAGTAGAATGGGCTGAGTGTGGTGGCTCATGCCTGTAATCCCAGCACTTTGGGAGGCCGAGGTGGGCAGATCACCTGAGATCAGGAGTTCGAGAGCAGCCTGGCCAATATGGTGAAACTCCATCTCTATTAAAAATACAAAAAAAAAATCTGGGCATGATGGTGGGCACCTGTAATCCCAGCTACTTGGGAGGCTGAGGCAGGAGAATTGCTTGAACCCAGCAGGCGGAGGTTGCAGTGAGCTGAGATCATGCCGTTGCACTCCAGGCTGGGCGATAAGAGAGAAACTCCATCTCAAAAAATAAAATAATAAAATAAAAAGTAGAATGACCGACCTCTAACCCACTTCCTATTTAAGTACTATAATACACATTATTATGAAATACCGATTTGTCCTTGTTTTTAACTTGCTACATTATTTTATACTGGATAGGAGCTGTGCTGGTAATTTTCTTTCTCCTTTAAAGCTCTGTCCTTAAATTACACATGCACAAATGTAATTTTATTCTTTATTCAGTTTTCCCTTGATCTTTATATGCATTCAGAATCTAGGTCAAAATGCAATAGGAGAGTGTGCAATGCACAAGAGAGGAGCAAAGGCAGACACAGCTGGGGATGGAGGTGAAACTGGCAGGCACCTTCTTCCATGCTACCTCCATCTGCCTTTTGTAATAGTAGGGTAAGGGAGCTCTAGACATGGAACTGTATGTTATTTCTTCCATATTAGTGTTTTTGGAAGTATCAAAAACGCAGATGGATAATTCATAGTTAGCAAAGTGATAATCTGCTGCATGGATCAGTACAGAAGTTTCTCCAACTTGGCCCTGACCACAGATTTGAGAGTGCAAACGTGCTGCTCCCTCAACTTCTCATGCCCCCTGAGGCAAGGCCCTCCTAAGAGTCTCTATTCTACTCCAGTCTCACACTGAAACTCCTTCTAGTATTAAGAAGTCTATTATTCTTTAAAAATTAGTTAAATGTAAAATATGCTCAGAAATATACAAACCTTATTATTTTGTCTAACTAAAATAAACAAGTAAACTATATTTATTTTTATTTTACTTTAAGTTCCAGGATACATGTGCAGAGTGTGTAGGTTTGTTACATAGGTACACATGTGCCATGGTGGCTTGCTGCACCTATCAACCCGTCATCTAGGTTTTAAGACCTGCATGCATTAGGTATTTGTCCTAATGCTCTCCCTCCCTTTGCTCCCCACCCCCAACAGGCCCTGGTATGTGTTGTTCCCCTCCCTGTGTCCATGTATTCTCATTCTTCAGCTCCTACTTATGAGTGAAAACATGTGGTGTTTGGTTTTCTGTTTCTATGTTAGTTTGCTGAGAGTGATGGCTTCCAGCTTCATCCATGTCCCTGCAAAAGACACGATCTCATTCTTTTTATGGCTGTATAGTATTCCATGGTGTATATCTACCACATTTTCTTTATCCAGTCTATCATCGATGGGCATTTGGGTTGGTTCCACGTCTTTGCTATTGTAAATAGTGCTGCAGTAGACATATGTGTGCATGTGTCAGGAAACAATAGATGTTGGCAAGGCTGTGAAGAAATAGGAATGCTTTTACACTGTCAGTGGGAGTGTAAATTAGTTCAACCATTGTGGAAGACAGTGTGGTAATTCCTCAAGGATCTAGAACCAGAAATGCCATTTGACCCAGCAATCCCATTACTGGGTATATACCCAAAAGATTATAGATCATTCTACTATAAAAACTATATGTTTTTAAAACTAGTGAAATGTTTCCCAATGTGTGCTATTGTTTGAACTTAGAAAACAGAGGCATTCATCAGTACAAGCCTTTGCCAAACAATTTTAAAAGGGCTTTAAAATAAACAATGTATGTATCACATCACATACACATCACATCAGGAAGGCTTCCACATCGCTTCCACGATGTCTCTTGGTTCTGTGTACTTCACCCTGTCTCCACCTCCACCATCCTATGTTACTCACTGGGAAGTTTTTCAACAGCCTCCCAGCTGGTCACCTTGTGTCCTCTTTTGGTCTTCACCAGTCATTGCATACAAGGCGATCTTTAGAAGGTCAAATCTGATCAAGACAACTGCCATACTCCTGCTTCTTCTCCCTTCTCCTTTCTCACAAAAATGTGTGTGTGGAGTCTGATAAGGTGGTATGGACTGAAGAGGGAAAGCATTTAAGTTCCATCTTTTTCCTCCTCAAATGCTGCCTAAACATCACTGGGTTTATAGGGACCTTAATTTCATCCTCATCATTCTATGAACAAATGTTTGCCTTAGCACTGTATGAACATTTATACGAATGCCCTTTAGGATTCTTTTTAGTCCAAGATTTCCATGAAAAAAGAGACATATTACAGTAGGTCCTATGAAAAATATTCTATGATACATACCATGTATCTTAAATTCTAAGATGCATTTTTCATATGCTTAAAATCTCTGCAGTCAAGATGTGTATTACAACTGATGATGGATCCTAGCTTAACCAGCAACACTTTTCCTTTCTTAAATTTTCATAAGATCATTGTTCGTCCCGCAGTCCAGGATATCTTAATTAAAATACAATACGTGTTCCTTGGAGCACCAGTAAAAGTCTTATTTTGCCATTATAAACTTGTCACTCTTGTGCATTTCTTTTTAAATACACAATCAAGTCAACAACTATGTATTGAGCACCAACCAGCAACTATAAATTTTCATACAGTGCTAAGGCAAACATTTGTGCATAGCATGATGGAGATGAAATACACAATCAAATCAACAGCTATGTATTGAGCACCAACCATGCATAAGACACTGGGTTAGTTACTACTGGAGATAAAACATCATTTATTCATTCATTCAGCAGGCAAATATTCAATACTTATTATATGCCAGGTTTTGTTTCATACACGAGGTGCATTGTGATTTAGACAGATAACATCTCTATCTTGGTGGAGCTTATGTTCTAGTATAGTAGAGAGTAAAAAGCTATAAAACATAAATGTAGCAAGGATGGATTGTAAATGTTGTTATGCCCACTTTTTGATGGGTTATTTGTTTTTTATTGTAAATTTGCTTAAGTTCCTTGTAGATTCTGGATATTAGACCTTTGTCAAATGGGTAGATTGCAAAAATTTTTTCCCATTCTGTAGGTTGCCTGTTCACTTTGATGATAGTTTCTTTTGCTGTGCAGAAACTCTTTAGTTTAATTAGACCCCATTTGTCAATTTTGGCTTTTGTTGCAATTGCTTTTGGTGTTTTTGTCATGAAGTCTTTGCCCATGCCTATGTCCTGAATGGTATTGGCTAGGGTTTACTTCCAGGGTATAAGGTTTTGGGTTTTACATTTAAGTCTTTAATACATCTTGAGCTAAATTTTGTATAAGGTGTAAGGAAGGTGTCCAGTTTCAGTTTTTTGCATATGGCTAGCCAGTTTTCTCAGCACCATTTATTAAATAGGGAATCCTTTATGAACAGACACTTCTCAAAAGAAGACATTTATGTGGCCAACAAACATATGAAAAAAAGCTGTACATCAATGATCATTAGATAAATGCAAATCAAAACCACAATGAGATATCATCTCATGCCAGTCAGAATGACAATTATTAAAAAGTCAAGAAACAATAGATGCTGGTGAGGCTGTGGAGAAATAGAAATGCTTTTACACTGTTGGTGGGAATGTAAATTAGTTCAACCATTGTGGAAGACAGTGTGGTGATTCCTCAAGGATCTAGAACCCAGAAATACCATTTGACCCAGCAATCCTGTTACTGGGTAAATACCCAAAGAAATATAAATCATTCTACTGTAAATATACATGCACATGTATGTTTATTGCAGCACCATTTACAGTAGCAAAGACATGGAACCAACCCAAATGCCCATCAATGATAGACTGGATAAAGAAAATGTGGTACAAATACACCGTGGAATACTATGCAGCCATAAAAAAGAATAAGATCATGTCTTTTGCAGGGACATGGATGAAGCTGGAAGCCATCATCCTCAGCAAACTAACACAAAACAGAAAATCAAACACCGTATGTTCTCACTCATAGGCAGGAGTTGAACAATGAGAACACATGGACACAGGGGAACCACACACAACAGGGCCTAGTGGTGGGTGGGGGCAAGGGGAGGGAGAGCATTAGGACAAATACCTAATGCATGCAGGGCTTAAAACCTAGACAATGGGTTGATAGGTGCAGCAAACCACCATGGTACATGTATGCCCATGTAACAAACCTGCATTTTCTGCACATATATCCTGGAACTTAAAGTAAAATGAAATAAAATATTGTTATGAAGGAAATTTATATTAAAATTTAAAATACAAAGTTTTATTGATCAATTATTTTTCTGTCTTTCCTATCTCTGAACACATTTCCTCAATGTTCCAGAGCATTTATGGATAAATCTTTGAAGGCCCTGTTCCTAGAAATACTTCAGTACAAGCTGAAGCTCAGAAATCTGGGTGTTTGCTCTAAAAACAAATCTACTTCCTACCATTGCTGTTTTCTTTTAGCCACTGATTACTCTGCAAAGATGTGTAATTCTGGATGATTTGCAGACATACTTCTAATGGTTTTACAATGTAAGTATGGGAATCAAATAAGAAGCTGATAACTTATGACTTACCTTTTTTATTCTTCTACATTACATCTTAGATACCAGAACATATCTAGATTATATAATACCTTTACATTTAAGGCAAATGTGAATCGTGTCTTACTTACAAAAGGTCTTTTTGTGTTACTTTATCCGAGACGATGCACAATGACTTGCGGTCTTTAAATGACTATCTCCTAAACTCTCCTTATGAGGATTCTCTGCGATTGTTTTATTGTCGTAAAATACACATAACATAAATTTTACCATTTTGGCCATTTTTAAGTTCAGTGGCATTAAATTCACTCCCTTTCTCTGCAACCATCACCTCCGTCCATCTCCACAACTTTTTCATCATCCCAAATTAAAACATAATACCCATTAAACACTAACTTCCCATTCCCTCCTACCCACAGTTCTTGGCAAGCACTGTTTTACTTTCTCTATGAGTTTGGCTTCTCTAGATACCTCACATAGGTGGAATCAAATAGTATTTGTCCTTTTGTGACTAGCTTATCTTACTTAGCATAGCATCTTAAAGGTTCATCCATGTTGTAGCATGTGTTAGAATTCCCTTCCTTTTTAAAGCTGGTTAATATTCTGTTGTATGTATACACATTTTGTTTACCCATTCATCCATCAGTGGACACTTGGATTGCTTCCACTTTTCACTGTTGTGAAGAATGCTCTTATGAAGATGAGTGTACAAGTATCTTTTCAAGACCCTGCTTTCAATTCTTTTGATGAAAATTCTGTTTTTAATTTGTTGAGGAACTATTGTACTGTTTTCTATAATGGCCACACCATTTTACCTTCCCACCACCAGTGCATAAGGGTTCTAGCTTCTGTGCATCCTTGCCAATACTTGTTATTTTCTGTTTTTTAAAAACGATAGTTATCCTAATGGGTGTGAAATGATATCTTATTATGGTTTGAATTTGTATTTTCCTAATGATTAGTGATGTTGAGCATCTTTTCATGTGCTTATTGGCCATTTGTATATCTTCTTTGAAGAAACGTATATTTAAGTCCTTTGCCCATTTTTAAATCAGGTTTTGTGTTTGTTCTGAGTTGTAGGAGATCTTCACAGACTCTAGGTATTAACCCATTAAGAGATACATAATTTGCAAATGTTTTCTCTTTCTGTCCATTGCCTTTTCATTTTATCAATAGTGACTTTTGAGGCACCAAATTTTTTATTTTGATATAGTCCAATTTATCTATTCTTTTGTTATAATTGCCTGTGCTGTTGGTATCATATTCAAGAAACTGTTGCCAAATGCAATGTCATAAAGCTTTCCCCCTATGTTTTCCTCATAGAGTTTTATAGTTTCAGCTCTTATATTTATGCCTTTAATCCATTTTGAGTTAATTTTTGTACATGGTGTAAAGTAAGGGTCTGACTTCATTCTTTTACAAATTGATACCTGATTTTCTCAAAACTATTAACGAATGGTTAGCAAATGGAAAGACGTTTTCCCAATTGAATGGTCTTATCACCCTTCATTTAACTGTATATATGAAAGTTAATTTCTGGGCTGGCTATTCTATTCCACTTATCTGTATGTGTGTCTTTATGCCACTACCACACTGTTTTGATCACTGTAGCTTTATAGTAAGTTTTGAAATCAGGACGTGTTAGACCTCCAACTTTGTTCTTCCTTTTCAATATTGTTTTGGCTATTCAGGTTCCCTGTGGTTCCTTATAAATTTTAGGGTGGATTTTTTTTGTTTCTGCAAAAAAGGTCATTAGAATTTTGACAGGAATTGCATTGAATCTGTAGATCACTTTGAGCAGCGTGGACATTTTGACATTTTAAGTATTCCAATCCATGAACTCTGAATGTCTTTCTATTTATTTTTGTCTTCAATTTATTTCAGCAATGTTTTATAGTTTTCAGTATACAAGTCTTCTGCCTCCTAAGTTTTATTTATTCCTAAGTATTTTACTCTTTTTGATACTATTGTAAGTGGAATTGTTTTCTTGGTTTCCTTTTAGATCACTCAGTGTTATTGTATAGCTTATTTACCTGCAAGTTTTAAAGAAATTGTCTTAAGTAGGTTAGTTCAACTTCCCACCTCCTACCCCATGTCTCCAGTCCTGCTGGGTTGTAAAGACAGCATACAGTTGAAGAGGTAGTTCTTAATATGAAGTGATTTCTAATGTAATTATGTCATATTTTATAGATTATTTTCTTTACCAACCCCCACTTTCTGTTATGCTTTTTTATCTATTGGAAGAAATAGGTGCAAAGACACTATAAAAATACACATTTGAGCCTTTCTTTTTTCTTTATTTCTTCCTTTCTGTTTTTTTTTTTTTTTTTGTGGGGGGTCATGGTTGGGGCGCACGGGGAGACAGGGTCTGGCTTTGTCTCCCAGGCTGGAATGCAGTGGTGTGATCACAGCTCACTGCAGCCCTCTGATCCTTTCTAATTCCATCCTTGGGCTACACACAAATGACTATTTAGTGGTATTTCCTATATGAATTTAAGCTCCAGTAAATCATTTCCACTCCCTGTGTCTGATTCTTCATCTATGAAAAGCATTCTGCTTACTCTTTTAGTGGAGGTCGGGGGAAGGCAAGATGGGGAGGTGCAGTTTCTACCTAACTGGAAACTTAAACAAAGGATGACATTTTTCACTTACACCTGTCATTGGAAATTATAAACTGTTCTTCCAGCCCAAGACTAGGCAAGTCTTCGAAGGAAGTGGTTGTAGTACTGCCTCTGGTATCAAGCTAAGAGACATTATCTTGGAATGCTAACCTGAATATGTGAAGAAATTTTCATTTCCAAGAGTCCAGAGAGGCTCTCAAATACATTTTTCTTTTTTCACTTTAATGTGATTTTCTTTTAATCTTGACATATGTACTACAGATAAAATCTTGCATAATTTGATATTTTTATTTGGACTATAACCTCTAGGTGACTGTCAGTATTAGTAAAGGAATGATTCAGTGCAGGAATATTGCTCAGCTAATCTTGTGACATTTTGAGCATGAGTTGTCATTTTTCTGGCATGGTTTGTTATTGAACAAATTAGATTTCCTAAGAACACGGTGGCCATTACTTTTTCTGATGTAATGAAACACTCGGTTAACTTGTTTTAGGTCGCCTTGCAAATCTGCACTACATTACTTTCATTTTCCTCAAATCTCACAAATCATTTGGTCTGAGAGCTTGAATGAGAATTCTCCAAAGTAAACTTGAAAGCTTCAAGGTCCCACAGCAATATTCTCCAAGAGACTACTTGGCCACATCTGCAGAGGGCTGAGGTTTTGGGTGGGCTTCACAGTCTCTAAGGCCTCCTGTGTCCTATGGCCTTGGTGAAGGCTCTTATGTGGTTCTCAAGAAGCCCATGTTTTAAGAAGTCCACCTTTTATTTCAAGATTCAGCACTACCACTGAGGAAGGAGCATGACAAGCAAAATTTATTTGGATAATTCAGTAAATGACATATTTGATTTGGAAGCATAGTTTGTCAGAATGCAGGAAACAAGGGAATGACAAGGCAGCATCATGTGCAGGTAAATAGCAACGTACTCCCTGAGCCCTGCAACACACAGTGGGTGAAATCAGCCAGGCACATGAGTAGATTACCACACTGTTTACATCTTCAGAGTTTGGTCCTGCCCCCAAGTCTCTGATCCTTGCACACACCAGGAGGGAGAACCTTTGCTAGACACAGTGGGGCAGTGAATTATACTCCATTTTGGCTATCAACAGGGAAAGGGCCTGTCCTTGGATGACTGACCCCTCTCTTTGATTCTAACTGGTGGTTGCTTGTGGGTTTTCATTTGTTTGTTTGTTTTTTTACCTTCTTCCTCTGATGCCTCATCTGCCTCAGGGAGAAGAGGCACAAGAATGTGGAATATGTGACCCATGTACATGAAGATATTCCTGGTTCACTCAAAAGTACGATTTTGAGAAGCCCACCTAGAGGTAAAGATAACCACAGTTATTTTACAAGGCAAGCTATTGTGTTTCAAAATAATTTCTATACAGAAATTATCACATTAGAGCCTGCCAGATTATTCCTTAAAATCCATAAATATTATAAATGCTATATAAAATGAAGTGGAGATCACTTTATAGCAAGAACAATTACTACAATCAGATCTATTAAGAATAGTCTTCAATGACTCATATTGGGACTGATTTAGTCAATTAGTACTCAGTCGTGCTTACCTGATCAAAAGAAGGATCCTTGCATAAAGTTATTTTCTTTTTGGCTATCAGAATTCAAGAATTAAACTGTAATAGTGAGTAATGAGGGAACTTTTAAAGCAACACAGACCAATAAAAAATTTGCTTGAAGTAGTGACCAACAAAAAAATTATTCCTAATTGTAAAAATGTAGAAAGCATGTGTATACAAGGTAACGATGGAAAAAAATCTAGTCAAATTGGGAAAAGAGTAAAAGATAGGTGAATTTGGAAGAATTCTTATTTTTGAGTTTTACCTAGACTGGCCTCACTAGTGCTATAGCAGCTTTTTCCAGAGGCAAAAATTACATTTAGCCATTGAGTGAAAAAGGCAGTGAGACTGTTTGAACGTATCTTCCAAAGAGCATGTGTTGGAAACTTAATCTCCATTTCAATACTACTGAGAGGTGGGACATTTAAGAGGTGATTAGGTTCTGAGGGCTCTGCACTCATGAATAGATCAATGCCATTATTAGGGGAGTGGGCTAGTTATTGTATGAGTGGATTCCTGGTAAAAGGATGAATTCAGCTCCCTTTCCTCTTGCTTTCTCTCACATGCTCTCTTGCCCTTCCATCTTCTACCATGGGATGACACAGTCAGAAGGCCCTTGAAAGATGCAGACCCTCAACTTTGGACTTCCCAGCCTCTAGAACTGTAAGAAATAAATCTCTGTTCTTTGCAAATTACTTGATCTCAGGTATTCTGTTAAGATAGGTGGTATTGTCCAGCATCTCCTTAATATGCAACCCATGGGCTTCCTCACACTGTTGGGTCTCTGGGGCAGAATCCTCAATGAGCCATTTGGATTAAAAAGCCCTGGAGTATAGCCTGGCTTGCGATCTGATAATGTAGATAATTTCTCATGGAAATTTTGGTAGAGACTAAATCCCCAGAAGTGCTTAAGTTGAGAAAGAAGGTGTTTGATATCCAAGGTGCATTTAAACAAAAGACCCAAGCCTAATGTGGAAGGTGTTCTTTCCCTCATTGGAGTCCAGGGGACACCCTGCAGACATAATGTAATTACACAGACATGCATCCTTTACCATGTTGCAGACCCACCTCTGATATTGGTAAAGCAATAATGCTGATATCAGGAAGAGCAGTAAGGCTTTCTCAGCTGATACAGCAATTTAAGGTTTGCACTCCATATCTGACACTGCCATAAGTACTAGAAATACAAAGATGAGTACAATAGTTTTGTGTTCCAGGAGGTCATATCTCCTGGGGGAGATAAACATAGAATACAATATAGGATGTATTGGATAAAAAGTAAAAGAATAATGATTGAAGTAAATAAGAATAAAGTGCAGCAGTGATCATGGATGGGTACAGAGGGGATCAGGAAAAAAATTATAAAGGAAGACATGCTTGATGTAGATCTTGAAAGATGAGTAGAGATTTTTCCAAACACCTGAAAAAGAAGAGCCACAAGGAAACACAGCATGTTTGGAAAAGTCTGAGGAATTCTGTGTTGCTGGAGCATAAGCTTAATAGTCCAAGAAGCGAGAAGGAGAGGCCCTCTGGGGATAAGGGGAAGCAACCAGAATTGGAAAGCCTGGCAGGCTGTGCCAAGGCATTTGTACTTTATCTTACATGTGATGGAGAGCCATTCAAGCCTTTTGAGCAGGGGGAAAAGATTATTATATTTGCATTTTAAAAGTTGATGGTGGTGTGGTGTGTGAAAAATGAAGTGGAAACAAGCAAAACTAGCATCAGGGAGGCCAACTGGGAAACTAAACACAGTGACCCATTTCAGTGATAAGGAGGCCTGTTTGTGGGGTGGAACTGAGAAGATAAATTATGAAAGACCTCAAGGAAGCATATCATCAATTTTCAGGATATGAGAGACCACTGCAACAAATAATACTTTGAATGGAATGCACGAGTGTAGTCGGGGGGAGGGAGTTGGAAGCCAGTGGACAGAGGAAGAACTACAAAGTTAACTCAGGAAATTTGATTCGGCTTTCACACTTTCCACTCTGTCCACAGCTGCTCCTCTGCTTCCCTTCCCTCCCAGCTGCTCTGCCAAGGTATCAGTCCTCATTATCTACTGCCTCCCTGAAGCATCTGACACCATGAAAATCTCCCTGCTGGAAATATTTTCTCTCCTTAGCAGCCATGACACCACACTCTATTGGTTTCTTTCCCTTTTATTTGGGTGCTGCTTATGATTTTTTATTAGCTCATTTTTCTCTGCCTAGTTCCTTCAGATTTATCCTAGACCTCTTTCTCTACTTACATATTTACCATGCAATCCCATTCATTTCCATGTCTCTAATATCCATGTTCATGCCAGGGACCTCAAAATATGTATTCCCAGGAAAGATCTGTCTTCAGAATCTTATTTCTATATGTGAGACTACCTACTTGATCTTCTCTTTTGATATCCCATAGGTACCTCAACTAAACATAGCAAAAACCTCAAAATGATTATCACCACCTCTGTCTAGCTCACACTTGTTCCTTTCCCTCTCTTTCTCATGGGTGTAAGACACATTCTTTACCACATATCTGGAAACCATCCTTGACTCATCGTTGTGCCTTAGCAACCACATCTGATCAATCACAAAGTCCTCTTCATTCTACTTATGAATTGCCTCCAAAATCCATCTATTTTCTCTCCATTCTTACTGCTGCTATTACAGGACAGGTCATTGCTGTCTAAAATCCTATATGACTGCACCTGATCTCTTTGACTACCATCCTGTGATAGATTACCTATAGACTCTCTTACATGCTGGTTCTTCTTCCTGAAACGTTATTATTACACCTTCTCCCACCAACTTTGATATTTCCAACTACTATTCATTCCCCTAGTTTTAGCTCATTCATTACTTTTTGCTAGGAACCTTTCTCGACCCTCTCCTCCCTACTTAGTTGTCACTCAAATGAGTTCCCACAATACTCTGTTTAAAAAGTTTTACTCTCTTGCTATGCTTACATCATAAAGATGGCCTATCTCATTCCTTGCTGTATCGCCAGTGCCTAACACAGTGACTCCATGCTTAATAAATATTTATGGAATGAACACATAAATATATTCAAGTAATTTTATTGAAATATAACATGCATAAAGAAAAGAGCATAGAGAAGCACACGTCCCAACAAATGAAATATCACAAAGTAAACTCATGGGTGTAAACCAATTCAAAGATAGAACACCCCAGAAGCCCTTCGTATAACCAACCCCAATTATTAACCGCCTCCTCTTTTCCAAAGGTCATTTTTACTCTGTCTATCATAATAGCTGAGTTTTGCCTGTCTTTGAAATCAATATAAATATAAATATACTCTTTTGCATATGGTCTTCTCACTAAATGTTTGTGAGATTGATCCATGTTATTGCATATAACAGTTCTTTCATTTTCATTGCTATCTTGGTTTATCACTGCATGAATATGCCATAATTTACCAAAATTTGTTCATTCCACTTTTAAATATCAATAAAGTTGTTTTCGATGTGAGACTATTATATATAATATTGCTATGAACATTTATTTATATGCTGTTTATATTTCTGAACATATATATGCATTTCTGTGTGGTATATACCTAGGAATAGAATTGGCAAGACATAGTGAATGTGAACTTCCAAATATAATGAAAATTGCTAAACAGATTTCCAAAGTTATATCATTTTACACTTCCAGCAGTTAATGAGATTTCCAGTTGCTCCACATTTTTGCCAACACTTTCTGCTAGTATTTTTTCTCTTCTATTTTAAAAAAATTAGCCCTTGCGATGTGTATTGTATATAATGTTATTTTGAAGCCAGGCAAAGTGGCTCATGCCTGAAATCCTAGCAACTTGGGAGGCTGAAACAGGAGGATGGATCACTTGAGCCCAGGAGTTAAGGACAAGCCTGGGAAACATAGAGAGCATCCATTTCTAAAATATTTTATATATTTTTTAAATTTGCCAGGCATGGTGGCATGTGCTTGTAGTTCTAGCAGGCTGAGGTGGGAGTATCAATTGAGCCCAGGAGTTTGAGGCTGCATTGAGCTATGACAGCGCCACTGCACTCCAGCCTGGGAGGAAGAGCAAACTTGTTTCCCCCCACTTATTTAATTGTTTACTTATAAACTCCTATTTTAGGTTCAGGCATACATGTGCAGGTTTGTTATACAGGTAAATTGTGTGTCACAGGGGATTGGTGTACAGTTTATTTTGTCACAGGTAAAAAACATAGTACCCAGTAGATAGTTTTTCAATCCTCACCCTCCTTCCACAATGCACCCTCATGTAGTGTCTATTGTTCCCTTGTTTGTGTCCATGTGTACCAGTGTTTAGCTCCCACTTACAAGTGAGAACATGTGGTATCTGGTTTTCCGTTCCTGTGTTAGTTCGCTTAGGATAATGGCTTCCAGCTTCATCCATGCTGCTACAGAGGACATGATCTTTTTATGGCTGTGTAGTATTCCATTGTGTACATGTACCATATTTTCTTTATCCAGTCTACCATTGATGGACATTTAAGTTGATTTCATGTCTCTGCTATTGTGAATAGGGCTTCAATGAACAGAAACGTGCATGTGTATTTATGGTAGAATTACTTATATTATTTTGGGTATATACCCAATAATGAGGCTGCTGGCTTGAATAGTAATTCTGTTTTAGGTTCTTTGAGAAATTGTCAAACTACTTTCTACAATGGTTGAGCTAAGTTAAATTCCCACCAGCAGTGTATAACCTTTTCTCTGCAACCTCACCAGCATCTGTTATCTTTTGATGTTTTATAATAGCCATTATGGCTGTTGTGAGATGGTATCTTATTGTAGTTTTGAGATGGTGTCTCATTGCGGTTTTGATTTGCATTTCTCTAATGATTAGTGATGTTGAGGATTTTTCCATATATTTCTTGGCCACGTGTATATCTTCTTTTGAAAAGTGTCCATTCATGTCCTTTGCCTACTTTTTAATGGAGTTGTTTATTTTTTGCTTTATATTTTAAGTTCCTTACACATTTTGGATATTAGACCTTTGTTGGATCCATAGTTTGCAAATATTTTCTTCTATCCTGTAGGCTGTCTCTTTACTCTGTTGATAGTTTCTTTTGCTGTGAAGAAGCTCTTTAGTTTAATTAGATCCCATTTGTTGATTTTTATTTTTGTTGCAATTGCTTTTGGTGTCTTCATCATAAAATCTTTGCCAGGGCCTATGTCCAGAATTGTATTTCCCAGATTTCCTTCTAGGGTTTTTATAGTTTTAAGTTTTACATTTAAGTCTTTAATCCATCTTGAATTGATTTTTGTATATGGTATAAGGAAGGGGTTCAGTTTCAATTTTCTCTATATGGCTAGCCAATTATCCCAGCACTGTATATTTAATAGAAAGTTTTGTCTTCATTGTTTGTTTTTGTTGCCTTTGTCAAAGATAAGATGATTGTAGAGTTGTAGGTATGTGGCATTATTTCTGGGCTCTTTATTGTGTTCCATTTGTCTGTGTGTATGTTTTCATATCAGTACCACGCTGTTTTGTTTACTGTGGCCCTGTGGTATAGTTTGAAGTCAGGTAGAGTGATGCCTCCAGCTTTGTTGTGAATAGGGCTGCGATGCTTTTGCTTGCTTTTTTTTTCTTGCTTATGATTGCTTTGGCTATTCGGGCTCTTTTTTGGTTTCACATGAATTTTAGAATAGTTTTTTAAAAAGATTCTGTGAAGAATGTCATTGGTAGTGTGATAGGAGTAGCATTGAGTCTGTAAATTGCTTTGGGCAATATAGCCATTTTAACAACATTGATACTTCCTATACACAGGCATGGGATGTTTTTCCATTTGTTTGTGTCAGCTCTGATTTCTTTCAGCTGTGTTTTGTAATTCTTGTTGTAGACATCTTCCACCTCCTTGGTTAACTGTATTCCTAGGAATTTGATTCTTTTTGGTGCCTATTGTGAATGAGATTACATTCTTGATTTGGCTCTCAGCTTGGATATTTTTGGTGTATAGAAATGTTACTGATTTTTGTACATTGATTTTGTATCCTGAATCTTTGCTGAAGTTGTTTATCAGACCTAGGAGCTTTTGGGTAGAGACTATGTGGTTTTCTAGATATAGAATAGTATCATCTGCAAACAGAGATAGGTTAAATTCCTCTCCTCCTATGTGGATAACTCATTTCTTTCTCTTGCCTGATTTCTCTGGGTAGGATTTCTAGTACTTATGTTGAATAGAAGTGGTAAGAGAAGGCATCTTTGTCTTATTCTGGTTCTCAAAAGGATTGTTTTCAGCTTTTGCCTATTGAGCATGTTGTTGTTGGCTGTGGGTTTATCGTAATTGGCCCTCATTATTTTTAGGCATGCTCCTTCAGTGCCTACATCATTGAGGGTTTTTAACATGAAGCAATATTTAATTTTATCAAAGGCCTTTTCTACGTCTATTGAGATAATCATGTGGTTTTTGTTTTCAGTTCTGTTTATGTGATAAATCACATTTGTTGATTTGTGTTTATGAACCCAGCTTGCATTCCAGGGTAAAGCCTACTTGATTGTGGTGGGTTATTTTTTTGATGCGCTGCTGGATTTGGTTTGCTAGTATTTTGTTAAGGATTTATGCATCAATGTTCATCAAGAATATTTGCCTGAAGTTTTGATTTTTTTTTGTTGTGTTTCTGCCAGGTTTTGATATCAGAATGATGCTGTCTTCATACAATGAGTTATGGAGGAGTCCCTCCTCCTCATTTTTTTGGAATATTTCATTAGAAATGGTACCAGCTCTTTTTTGTACATCTGGTAGAATTTAGCTGTGAATCCATCTGGTCCTGGGCTCTTTCTGGTTGGTAGGCTTTTTATTATTGATTCAGCTTTGGAACTCATGATTGGTCTGTTGAAGGTTTCAATGTCTTCCTGGCTTAATCTTGGGAGGTTGCATGTTTCCAGGAATTTATTTGTTTATTGTAGGTTTTTTAGCTTGTGTACATAGAGTTGTTCATAGTAGTCTCTGAGAGGTTTTTTTTTTTTTTGTATTTGTGTGGAGTCAGTGGCAATGTTCCCTTTGTCATTTTTTTATTGTGTTTATTTACTTGGGTCTTCTTTTTTTCTTTGTTAGTCTAGATAGCAGTCTATCAATCTTATTTATTCTTTCATGTTACAAATATCTGCATTCATTGCTCTTTTATGTGGTGTTTCATGACTCAATTTCCTTCAGTTCAGATTTTGTTTTTTGCTTGTCTTCTGCTAGCTTTGGTGTTGGTTTGCTCTTGTTTTTCTAGTTCCTGTATGTGTGATGTTAGGTTCTTATTTTGAGATCTTTCTACCTTTTTGTTGTGGCCATTTAGCACTATAAACTTTTCTCTTAACACTGGTTTAGCTGTGTCCCAGAGATTCTGTTATGTTGTGTCTTTGTTCTCATTAGTTTGAAGGAATTTCTTGATTTCTGTCTGAATTTCATTGTTTACCATTCAGGAACAGGTTGTTTAATTTCCATGTAATTGTATGGTTTTGAGCAGTCTTCTTAGTATTGACTTCTATTTTTATTGCACTATGGTCCAAAAGTGTAGTTGGTATGATTTCAGTTTTTCTGAATTTGCTGAGAATTGTTTTATGGACAATTGTGTGGTCGATTTTAGAGTGTGTGCTCTAAAATCAATGTAGATGTGAAGAATATATATTCTGTGTAGATGTATGAACACCATTGACAATCAGGAAAATGCAGACTAAAAGCATAATAACTTTTTTTCAGTCACAGTGTGTAGATGAGAATATATATTCATTGCTTTTGGGCAGAGAGTTTTGTAGATATCTGTTAGATCCATTTGGTCAAGTGTTGAGTTTGGGTCCTGAGTATCTTTGTTAGTTTTCGGCCTTGATGATCTGTCTAATATTATCAATGTGGTGTTGAAGTCTCCTACTATTATTCTGTGATTATCTAAGTCTCTTCATAGGTCTCTAAGAACTCACTTTATTAATCTGGCTCCTGTGTTGGGTGCATATCTATTTAAGATAGATAGGTCTTCTTCTTGAATTGAACCCTTTACCATTATGTAATGTCCTTCTTTGTCTTTCTGTTGTTGTTGTTATTGTTGTTGTTGTTGATTTAAAATCTGTTTTGCCTGAAATTAGAATAGCAACCTCTGATTTTTTCTGTTTTCCATTGCTTGGTAGATTTTTCTCCATCCCTTTACTTTGAGCCCATGTGTGTCATTGCATGTGAGATGGGTCTCTTGAAGACAGCACACAGTTGGGTCTTGCTTCTTTATCCAACTTGCCACTCTGTGCCTTTCTTTTTCTTTTTTTTTTTTTTTTTTGACAATCTCACTCTTTTGCCTAGGCTGGAGTACAGTGTACTATCTCAGCTCACTGCAACCTCTGTCTCCCCAGCTCAAGTGATACTCCTGCCTCACCCTTTCAAGTAGCTAAGACCACAAGTGTGTGCCACCACACCCAGCTAATTTTTGTATTTTTTGTAGAGGTAGGGTTTTGCCATGTTGCCCAGGCTGGTCTCAAACTCCTGGGCTCAAGTAGTCTCCCCAACTTGGCCTCCCAAAGTGCTGGGATTACAGGTGTGAGCCACCATGCCTGGCCCACTCTGTCTTTTTTTGTTTGTTTGTTTTGTTTTTGAGACTGAGTCTCATTCTGTCACCCAGGCTGGAGTGCAGTGGTGCAATCACGGCTCACTGCAACTGCTGCCTCCTGGGTTCAAGTGATTCTCCTGCCTCAGCCTCCTGAGTAGCTGAGATTACAGGTGTGTGCCATCATGCCCGGCTAATTTTTGTATTTTTAGTAGAGATGGGGTTTCACCATGTTGGTCAGGCTGGTCTCGAACTCCTGACCTCGTGATCCACATGCCTCAGCCTTCCAAAGTGTTGAGATTATAGGAATGAGCCACTGCACCTGGCCCACACTCTGCCTTTTAATTGGAACATATAGCCCACCTTCATTCAAACTTAATATTGATATGTATGAATTTGAACCTGTTATGTTCTTAGTTGATTATTATGCAAACTTTATTGTGTAGTTGCTTTACAGTGTCAATGGTCTATGTGCTTAAGTGTGTCTTTGTGGTGGCCAGTAATGGTCTTTTATTTCCAAAGTTAGCACTCCCTTAAGGACCTCTTTTAAGGCAGGTCTGGTGGTAATGAATTCCCTTAGCATTTGCTTGTCTGAAAAGAATCTTATTTCTCCTTCACTTATGAAGCTTAGTTTGGCTGGATATGAAATTCTGGGCTCGAATTTCTTTTCTTTATGAATGCTGATTATAGGCCCCCAATCTCTTCTGGCTTGTAAAATTTCTGCTGAAAGCTCTGCTGTTTCCTGATGGAGTTCCTGTTGTAGATGAGCTGACCCTTCTCTCTAGCTGCCTTTAGATTTTTTTCTTTCATTTCTACCTTGAAGAATCTGAAGACTATGTGTCTTGGGGATGGTCATCTTGTATAGTGTCTTGCAGGGGTTGTCTGCATTTCCTGAAATTGAATGTTGGCCTCTCTAGCAAGGCTGGGGAAATTTTCATGGATGATATTTTCAAACATGGTTTTCCAAGTTGCTTGCAGAAAGAGACTTTGACTGAAAAAAAAGTTATTATGGTTTTAGTTTGCATTTCTGATTATTAGTGGTGTTCAATATTTTCATGTGTCTATTGGCCATTTAGGTTTGTACTCATTCAAGTCCCTAATTTTTCCTATTTTTCTTTTGGGATGTTTTTCCACAATTTATCAAAGCTAAATATATACATATGTATTCCTGATTCAAGATCACTGTTACACATATACCATACAGATACACACATGCACACATCCACACTCTGTGGCTTATTTTTAAACTCACAGTGGTGCATTTTTAATGAATAAATTTCCTAATTTAAATACAGTCCAATTTATTCAACTTTTATGAGCATTTTTATTGTCCTCTTTAAGAAGCCTTTTCCTGTATCATATTATAATTTTTATTATATTTTCCTTTCATATTGAAGCCTACAATTCACCTAGAATTGATTTTTGTGTATGGTGTGGTGTAGGAGTTAAGATTCATTTTGTGAATTTGGATACCCAATTGTCCCAACATCTTTCATTGAAGAGCATTCTTCCTTCACTGGTCAGCAGTGTCATCTTTTTCATAAATCAATTATCTGTATAATTACAGGGCTGACTGCAGATTCTCTACTCTGTTCTTCTAGTATATTTGGCTATGCTTGCAGACAATACTCTTAATTACCATAGCTTTATAATAAACCATGTTGACCAGTAGAGTAAGTCATATTGTTTTTTTTCTTTTTTCAAGAGAAAAACTTGACCCTTTGAACAGAAGGAGAATATAATATTGTATCTCTTTCATAATCAAAATACATAAAATTATGTATTCAATTTTTCATGGAGTTGCAGAAGTTTGGTTTCTTTAAGCAAAAAAATAAAAATAACTATTAGTTTGGAAAAAAATGTTCATAGAAAAGAACTCTGCTAGCATTTTTTATTGGGATTGGATTGAATCTATAGATCAATTTGGTGAAAATTGACTTCTTTAACACATTAATATGGATTCCAAGGCTTAAATTTAGTAATTCAAGTTTTTAATTCATTTTTATGTTATGCCCTTACCATTCATTTAGGTCTCAATAACTTTTTTTAGTTTTAGATGAAATGGTGTTGCATATCTTTCATTTGACTTATTTCTAAATATTTGATATGCTTAATATTTTAAATTAAATCATTTAAAATTAAGTTTTCTAATTGTTTACTGCAGGTATAGAGGGATGCTTTTGGGTACCTGTTGATTTTGCTAAATTCTAATAGTTTATCTGTATATTATTTTGGATTTTCAACATGTATAATTATGTCATCTGCAAATAGCATTTTTATTTTGTATTCTATTCATTATAACTTTTCTTTCTTTTATTTGTTTGTTTGTTTGCTTTTTTTTGCCTTACTGTACTGGCTAGGACACATTACAATGTTGATTATACAGGGTGAGAGTGGGCAACCTTGTCTCATTCCCCGTTTCAGGAAGAAAGTTTTCTTTCATCCACAAAGGATGATGTTTACTAGAAAGATTTTAATACTTTTTGTTAGAAAGGAAGTTCCATTCTATTACTAATTTATAAAAAAAAATTATCTTGGATGTTGAATTTTATCAAATGCATATTTCTACATCTTTTCATATAATCATATGAGTTTTCTTCTTTATCACAATAATGGAATAAATTCTAATCATTGCTTATTGGATGTTAAAACAACTTTATATTCTTGGAATAAATCCAACTTGTTTGTGATGCATTGTCATTTTTACGTAGTTGGATTTGATTTACTATTTTTTTTGTTTAGAATTTGTACATCGATATTTATGAGAGGTATTGACTATACACATTCTTTTATTTCATTTAAACTTCTCTATAGCAGCATGTGTTAATACATTTGCATCACTATAAAGGAATACTTAAGGCTGGGTAATTTATAAAGAAAAGAGATTTAATAAGCTCTTGGTTCTGAAGGCTGTACAGGAAGTGTGGTGCCAGCATCTGCTTCTGGTGAGGGCCTCAGAAACTTACCATCATGGTGGAAGGTGAAGGGGGACCAGGTGTGTCACATGGAAAGAGTGGGAGTAAGCAGGGAGGAGGTGCCACACTCTTTTAAACAACCAGATCTCACATGAACTCAGAGCATGAACTCACCAATTATTGTGAGGATGGCACCAAGTCATTCATGAAGGATCTGCCCCAGTGATCCAATACCTCCCACTAGACCCCACCTCCAACATTGAAGGTCGCATTTCAACATTAGATTTGGAGGGGACACACATCCCCCACCATATCATAGCAACAATAATTTAATGCTTCTCAATAAGATTCTCTTTGTACAAATAAAAATTTTGTCACCCAAATCCAAAAAAGAGAGACCTAAGATCTCAATGATTATGTATTCATCTCTAAGTGATGTTAACTGCTTTCCTAGCTCATTTATAATCCCACCTGAATATTCTATAATAGAAAAACTAGATTGTAAAGTTAATCACCATGCAAATTCTGTATATAACATAATACAGAAAAGGAAGATGGTAAATGTTTAAAATATGCAAATTAATACTTAAGAAGCAAGGATGAAAATATGCTTAGCTGCTACAATCCTCATTTCTATTAATGGCTGTGAGACTGTATTTGATACTTATAACTTTTTTCTGCTTCTCATTTCATGTTTTCTGGGCCTTCAGCCAGCACCTAAGCTAGCTGTAAATTTTTACTTAGTGCATTAATTCAAAGTTTTATTTCTGAAAGTCCTGAGTTCATACTGATTCTGTCTTTGCCGAGTTGCAGTAGATACACGTTAATTTGTATTAATGAACAAGAAAGTGGTAAGAGGTGTGCAGAAAAAAATCTTCTCACATCTAGACATTATTTTCTGATACCATTTCATAAAGTAAACCAAATTCTCACTTACTAGATAATTAGAACCAAATTCCTCAGCTAGTTTCTGTTAGTCTAGAGACATGAGGAGCCCAAAAGGGCCAGATGGTAGTCTCAACTTCCACTTCAGTATATCTATTATTGTGTCTCCTGGTGGAAGCATTTCTCCCTTCAGAACTAAGACCTTTAAAACAGCAAAAGCAAACCTTTAGAAATTAAAAGCAAACATTCTGTAGTGGATTATTAGATGTGAGAGTGAGAGGAGCCATTTTCACATCTACCTCTTTATTTCCAGACCATAGATTAGGGCACTTGGTGAAATGGCATCTTATATTGGTTGCTGCCTCAAAGCATATTCTGTAGGCTATTGTCCAATTTCATAAAATGTTGTCTCTTCACTGGCAGCATACTAATCTTCCTGAAGCTATCCAAGATCTCCCTCAGACTAGATGCTTCTCAGTAATAGGGTGCATGGTAAGACCAGTGAATTGCACGGCATGAGTTCATTACTGCTGTGAATTGCTTTTTTTTTTTTTATCAGAAGCAATATTGTGTGGGATACTTTGGTGATGAATAAGTTGTTTCCTGTATCAGTGAGAAATATTTTGGGTGGAAAAATTGTGAGCAAGGAAGGTAAATCCAGATCCAAAATGAATGGTATGCCATTGCAGATTAATTACTACTATTATCAGGATTAAAAGAGTTTAATATAAACAACCTACTATCAAGTGGTTAGTTGGTCTTCCTTGGAAAGACATCACATTGTCAGTCATCATACTGTTGGCAATGGTGTTAGGTTAGGCACCTGGGATGGTGTTACCAAGATCAGACTTAATGAAGGGATACGTGCTTAATGAGCTAATTCATAACCTCCATCCCTTTTGCCATGTATTTTGTACAAGAGCCTATTCATTAGGAACAAGGGTGGCTAGAAAAATGTGAAAACTTATACCCACAGAATGGGTCATTTTGTCAACCTGACTATTGAGATCTTTATCTGCAGAGGAAAAAAAGTAGCTTTACAATGGAAAGATGAGGCTGACCAACTGCCAAACTGATCAAACAGTATTACTAATCATGAGCAATCTGACATTGTGTGCTCTGAGGTAGTGCACTATGAACTACAGAGCATTACCCAAGAAATATCCTTGCCAAAAATGTTTCCCCTGAATCTAATTAAGCCTTTAGATCTAATTTACAATTTACAGGAATACAGGGGATAAAGGGAAAAGGAGATTGACAACAAAAGGAAACAATCAGACAAATGAAGAGTGTGGAATGATTTACAAGATAACTGCTCTTATGTCTTCCCAAAGACGATGTCATTGAAAAAAAAGAAAAGTGAGATGTTGTTCAGGCTTAAAAGAGATTTTAAAAATATAACAATCAAATGCAACTCATGACCATTGCCTAGATCCTAGATATGTTTTTAAAAGGAAAAAAAATGATATTTGGAGGCAATTGGAGAAATTTGGTTATGGACTGGATATTAGATGATATTACAAAGTTATTGTGAAGCTTCTTAGAAGTTGTAATGGTATTGTAGTTATGAAAAGCATAAAAAAAGTACTTAGGGATTAAGTTTCATGCTACTTGCAACTCCCTTACAAGCAACTCCCTTGTTTATTCATTTCAAATAAAACAAAACCCATCCATATAGATAGATAGACACACAGAAAGATAACAGTATGGCAAATGTTAACACCTGTTGAATATAGGTGGTGGGTATATGTGAGGTATTTTAAATTACTTCAAAAATTCCATATGAGTAAGAAGTACGATAAAATGGGCTGGTTAAAGATGAAAATTGGAACAAACTTTCAAAATATATTCTGAAAATTTCTAGTAAAAGACAGTTAAAATACAGAAAATTTTATGGAATCTGCTAAAAACTATTCGAATTTAGAAATGAGTTCAGCAAGGTTTCAAAATACAAGATCAATATAAAATATCAATTCTATTTTTATATGTTAATGGTAAACACATCAAAACTGAAAGCAAGAGAACAAATCCATATACAGTAGTATAAAAATGAACAAAGTACTTAGGTATAAATTTAACAAAACAAGTGCAAAATTCATACACTGGAAAGTAAAAAACATAGTTGAAAGAAATTAAATAAGATTTAAATAAATGAAAAGGCATTCAATATTCATGACTCAGAAAACTTAATATTGTTAAGACAACATGACCTACATTGATCTACAGATTTAACTTAATTTTCCTATCAAAATCCCGGCTATTTTTCCTGCAGAAATTGACAAACTGATTCTAAAATTTATGTGGAAATGTAAGGAATACCGAAGAGCCAAAACAATATTGAAAAAGAACAGAGTTGGAGGACTCATGCCTCCTGATTTCAAACTTTACTACAGTAGCTAATCAAGACAATGTGTTATTGCGTTAAATAAGCAAACCCAAAATGGCCCCTGTATGTTGACCCCTGTATTGTTTACTTTTTCACAGCAGGATAGGACTTTTAGCTCAAAGCCCTCTGTGCTATTCTTACACATCCAATTTCTTTGAAGATAGCAAAAATAAACATATTTTTAGGTATGTAGAGTCTGCCTGCTTTATGTAACTTGTGAAACTGCATCCAGCACCTACTAACCATAGGCAAGACAAACTCTGTAGTGGTAAAAGACCCCAAACCATTGCTACCCCTTGGAGCTCTCTGACTTAGTGTCTCCCTACCTTGCTGCTGAGCAACATAGAAGTCCTTTCTTCAATTTTTCTCTTTTTCTGGACCTTGCCCTGTCCCCCTACTGCATGGTGATATTGTTCCACTGTTTGGAAAGTTTGCTCTGAGGCACTTCTGCTCACATGCAACCCTTTCAGTCACCACCCAATAAAACTTGATGTACAGTACTGCCTTCTTGTGGTCTTTTAGTTTCCTCGATTGGTCCCCAAATTCTTGAATTCAGCACAATCTGGCATAAGAATAAACATATAGATTATGGGAATAAAATTAAGGGCCCAGAAATAAACTTTTATATTTATAGTCTGTTAATTTTTGACAAGGGTACCAAGAAAATTCAATGGTAAAGAATCATCTGTATTGGTTCATTTTCACATTGCTATAAAGAACTATCTGAGACTGGGTAATTTATAAAGAAAAGAGGTTTAATTGGCTCATGGTTCTGCAGGCTGTACAAGAAGCATGATGCTTCTGCTCAGCTTCTACCCAGCCCATTTTATCATACTTTTTAATCAAGGAAAGTTTCAAATATATGGAATTTTTAAAGTAATTTAAAATACCTCACATATACCCACCACCTATATTCAACAGGTGTTAACATTTGCCATATTGTTTATCTATCCGTGTGTCTATCTATCTATACAGATGGGTTTTGTTTTATTTGAAACAAATAAACAAGGGAGTTGATGTTTCTGCTCAGCTTCTGGGGAGGCCTCAGGAAACTTACAATCATGGCAGAAGGCAAAGGGGAAAGCAGACATATTACATGGCCAGAGCAGGAGCAAGAGAGAGAGAGTGGGAAGGTGCCCCACACTTTTAAATGACCAGCTCTCACAAGAACTCAGTCAGTATGGTGAGAACAGCACCAAGAGGATGGTGCTATACCATTTATGAGAAACCCACCCCCATGATCTAATCACCTCCCATTAGGCCCCACCTTCAACATTGGGGATTACATTTCAACATGAGATTTGGGTGAGGACACATGTCCAAACTATAGCAAGTGTTTTCAACAAATGGTGTTAGTACAACTGGATATTCATATCCAAAGAATAAAGTTGAAACCCCAATCTCATACCACACACAAAAATTAACTTCAAATGATCATTATCCTCAATGTAAAAGCTAAACATATACAACTCTTAGAAAAAAACATAGGAGTTAATTTCAGTGACCTCGAGTTAGGCAATGATTTCTTAGATGAGACATCAAAAGCACAAGAGATAAAAGAAAATATAATAAGTTAGATTTCATCAAAACATTTGTTCTGCAAACAGTACCATCAAGAAAGTGAAAAGAATGGGAGAAAATATTTTCAAGTCATATTTCTGATAAGGGACTTATAGCTAAGCTATTAAAAGAACTGTTACAACTTAATAATAAAAAGACAAATAGTACAATTTTTTAATGACCACAGGATTTGAATCAATATTTCTTCAAATGTCAAATATTCAATATACAAATGGTATGTAAATTGCCAACAAATGCCTGAAAGATGCTCAACAACTTTCTGATGGTTAATTTTATGTGACAATTTTGCTAGTCCATGATACCCAATTTTTGATCAGACACCAGTCTAGATGTTGCTGTGAAGACATTTTTTAAATATAACTAATGTTTAAATTAGTAGAATGAATACTTTGAAGTATCCTCCATAATGTGTGTGAACCTTATCCAATCAGCTGAAGGCCTTAAAAGAAAAGACTGAGGTCTCCTGAAGAAAAAGAGATTTTTGCCTTCAAACTGCCTTTGGACTCAAGAATGCAACATCGACTTTTCCCTGTTCTTTAGTCTGCCATCATGTCCTGCAGATTTCAGACCAAGATAGGCAGATGATAGAGAGAAAAATAGATAGATAGATGATAGATAGATAGATAGATAGATAGATAGATAGATAGATAGATAGACATAAATACAGATGCATAGATATATGTGCACATACACACTGTCTATTTGTTCTATCTTTCTGGAGAACCTGGAACATATTTTGATACCAAGAATGAAGTGGTTCCAGAGAAACAGAATCTTCATGATGAGTTTTCATACTGGGGTTTCTGGAATTGGTTCTCTAGTCCGATTAGGTTTAAAGATGCTAATGACACTATTTCCCATAGTAAAAAGAACACTGATAGTCCATGGCATTATGTGGCAATGGAGATAAACAAAATATCACCATTGGATATTCCTGATCAAATATGTATAAGGGGCAAGGTCCTAGGTGGCCATGTGTTGGATACCTTAGAGCATTTTTGTCAAACTGATGAGTATGAGATTGGCTGGTTGCTCCAATTGGACTGAACAAAATGGGGGAAAGAAAGTTTGAGATGAGGATTCAAATTCCTAGCTCAAGCACTACATAAATGACCTGAAAATTTCTATGTCTGCCGTACAAGCAACCCTTATGACCTGCAGCCACAGAACTGAGACTGCTGAATATCAAACTGAGTCTCATCCTGTGAGTGTCTAAATTACAATGCAAATTAAATTCTCAAGTTTATAGAGTGTCTGCTGTAAAGTGAAGGCTTTTGTGGGGAAAGAATTGGATCCTAAACACTGGAAAGGGGCTTACGGGAAAATCCTGATGAAGCTTGTGACGTTGAACCCCCTACATTCTGATTAGTCCTCTTTGTCAGTAGAAGCAGCAATTCCATCCCCATCTGAAGAGATTAACCTTGCTTTTCCTGAAGAAACTGTATAGACCCCCTGAAGGTAATTGCATTGCAAGACACTGCTGATTCCTCAGGGCCTACCCGCATCACCCCTCTTGGCTTCTAAACTTATAATGAGACTCAAGTCCCAGCAGGCTCCTAAACCAGAAGTCCAAAGTGTCACCCATGAGCAGGTGCGCTAATAAGAACTACACAATTTTTTCCAATTTATAAAGGCAGAAATCTGGGAAATATGTGTGGTGAAGGATCTTAAAGGTGTAGGATAATCATGGAAGGAACATAATGTGGCATCAGGCTGGTATGTATCCACTAAGCAGAGAGTCTGGATTCAATGTTGTAGTTCAAGGAATTAGAAAGAGCTCCAAGAGTTTGATTGGTTGGTGACTGAAGTATGAACTGAAAGGTAAGCCTACCCTAAATGAAGTTGAAATGCCAGAACTGCCTTGATACACTGTAAAGGAAGGTATCCAAGGCTTAAGGAGATTGGGATGTGGACTTATCATTTAAAACCTGTTTATGCACCTTGGAAGGGTCCAGAAGACACAACTTTCACCAACACTGTGAGAAATAAATTTGTGAGTGAAGCCCCAACATCTTTGAAGACCTTTGTGATTCATCTTCTCTGTAGGTCAGAAACTACGGTGGGGGCCAGCTGCCTCTGAACTGGGAAACCTAATTGCAATGAATATAATTGGATCCCAAGGTGACAGGGACCAAGTGGTGCCCTTAATTAGCAGAGGCGGAGATATATGGAAGTCATTTTAAGTATATATTTTCATTGTTTATTTTTATCATATGCTTTGACTACTAAAAAGAAAAATTAAAACTAATAACAATGGAAGATATTCTGAAATTGTGAAGATTAAAACCAAACTCAAGTTCAAGTCGTATTTGAATATGATAATCTGAATTTTGCCACCATTAAAAAGTACTATGTCAACACAAAAAGAAAGGAATCCTGTTATTAATAAAGATCAAATCGTAGCAGATTTCAACATTAGCGATTTAAAACATTATCCAAGATGTGAATAACATTTAACTGAACTGTATTCTTATTTATTTTTCTTTTCTGAAACACCTATTTTTGTTATACTTTATAGATGGTATTTTTTCAAATAGTTAAGGAAAGGTAGAAAATAAAAAGCAAACCTGTGCAGCTCCTCACTCCACCAATATCCACTTCATTGATAAATACTTTTAATTATTGCTCATTTTAGTTCTTAGAGGTTAACAATATTAAATCCAATAGTACATTTATACTTCTATTTCTTGATGTATCAATTTTTATAAACAGGGTCTACTGAGTTCCCATGTTGAAAGTTGAAGGAATGGCTCAATTTTCACTGGCTTCTAACTTTTCTCCTCTTCCAAATTTTATTCGTGCTGTTATTTTGGTTGTTGCATTTCTGCTTGTGTTTTCCTTTATAACAATGAATAATAAACATCAAATATATTTGTGATCCACTGATTTAAGCAGAAACTTTTAATTGGTTTAATATCATTATTGTCTACCCACCTGAAAAATAGACAACTTAAAATCAAGGAATACAAAGCCAATATTACCATAAGCATTTATTTTTAAAAAACCATATGAGATGCATAGCAGCCTGACAATGAAGTCTCAATTGCATTTGCATAGCTGTTTTATGTATTGCTAGAAAATTCATAGCCAAGAAGGAATGTAAAATTGAGTAATTTTGGTATTAAATGAATGATGTTTTAAAATTGTTTTAATTTTACATATTTTTACAGCTATTTGTTTCATACCTGAGAAAAAGTTAAGGCAACCTGAATAAATGAGGAAGTCTTGAAGGTCGATGTGACACTGTGGTGCCAGTATTAATTAGCATTTCTAAGATGTGGTAATGACATCCAAACAGCTAATGAAAAACGTTGTATGCATGCCCCTGCTCCTCACATCTGTGAACCAGATTACTAAGAAAAAAAGCTGGTTTTATTCAGAATGGTGGTGTCTTTTCTCCTCCCAGGAAACAAATGGTTCTGGAAGGTGGGTGTTTCCAGGCAAAATGGACTTTTCCTGCTTTGCTTTTCTCTACTTGAGACACAGAAAGAAATTCAATCAGAAGCGTGAATTCTGCTTTCCCAGGAGGCTCTATGCTAACAGTTTTCAAACTTTACTTGAGAAATGGTCCCGAGGAACAAAAGCACCTAGAAGCAGTCATGGCACGTGTTTCCATGGCAATATCATACTGAATGGGCAAAAACTGGAAGCATTCCCTTTGAAAACTGGCACAAGACAGGGATGCCCTCTCTCACCGCTCCTATTCAACATAGTGTTGGAAGTTCTGGCCAGGGCAATCAGGCAGGAGAAGGAAATAAAGGGTATTCAATTAGGAAAAGAGGAAGTCAAATTGTCCCTGTTTGCAGACGACATGATTGTTTATCTAGAAAACCCCATCGTCTCAGCCCAAAATCTCCTTAAGCTGATAAGCAACTTCAGCAAAGTCTCAGGATACAAAATCAATGTACAAAAATCACAAGCATTCTTATACACCAACAACAGACAAACAGAGAGCCAAATCATGGGTGAACTCCCATTCACAATTGCTTCAAAGAGAATAAAATACCTAGGAATCCAACTTACAAGGGATGTGAAGGACCTCTTCAAGGAGAACTACAAACCACTGCTCAAGGAAATAAAAGAGGACACGAACAAATGGAAGAACATTCCATGCTCATGGGTAGGAAGAATCAATATCGTGAAAATGGCCATACTGCCCAAGGTAATTTACAGATTCAATGCCATCCCCATCAAGCTACCAATGACTTTCTTCACAGAATTGGAAAAAACTACTTTAAAGTTCATATGGAACCAAAAAAGAGCCCGCATTGCCAAGTCAATCCTAAGCCAAAAGAACAAAGCTGGAGGCATCACACTACCTGACTTCAAACTATACTACAAGGCTACAGTAACCAAAACAGCATGGTACTGGTACCAAAACAGAGATATAGATCAATGGAACAGAACAGAGCCCTCAGAAATAATGCCGCATATCTACAACTATCTGATCTTTGACAAACCTGAGAAAAACAAGCAATGGGGAAAGGATTCCCTATTTAATAAATGGTGCCGGGAAAACTGGCTAGCCATATGCAGAAAGCTGAAACTGGATCCCTTCCTTACACCTTATACAAAAATCAATTCAAGATGGATTAAAGATTTAAACGTTAGACCTAAAACCATAAAAACCCTAGAAGAAAACCTAGGCATTACCATTCAGGACATAGGCGTGGGCAAGGACTTCATGTCCAAAACACCAAAAGCAATGGCAACAAAAGCCAAAATTGACAAATGGGATCTAATTAAACTAAAGAGCTTCTGCACAGCAAAAGAAACTACCATCAGAGTGAACAGGCAACCTACAACACGGGAGAAAATTTTCGCAACCTACTCATCTGACAAAGGGCTAATATCCAGAATCTACAATGAACTCAAACAAATTTACAAGAAAAAAACAAACAACCCCATCAAAAAGTGGGCGAAGGACATGAACAGACACTTCTCAAAAGAAGACATTTATGCAGCCAAAAAACACACGAAGAAATGCTCATCATCACTGGCCATCAGAGAAATGCAAATCAAAACCACTATGAGATATCATCTCACACCAGTTAGAATGGCAATCATTAAAAAGTCAGGAAACAACAGGTGCTGGAGAGGATGTGGAGAAATAGGAACACTTTTACACTGTTGGTGGGACTGTAAACTAGTTCAACCCTTGTGGAAGTCAGTGTGGCGATTCCTCAGGGATCTAGAACTAGAAATACCATTTAACCCAGCCATCCCATTACTGGGTATATACCCATTACTGGGTATATACCCAAAGGACTATAAATCATGCTGCTATAAAGACACATGCACACGTATGTTTATTGCGGCACTATTCACAATAGCAAAGACTTGGAACCAACCCAAATGTCCAACAATGATAGACTGGATTAAGAAAATGTGGCACATATACACCATGGAATACTATGCAGCCATAAAAAATGATGAGTTCATATCCTTTGTAGGGACATGGATGAAACTGGAAACCATCATTCTCAGTAAACTATCGCAAGAACAAAAAACCAAACACCGCATATTCTCACTCATAGGTGGGAATTGAACAATGAGATCACATGGACACAGGAAGGGGAATATCACACTCTGGGGACTGTGGTGGGGTCGGGGGAGGGGGGAGGGATAGCATTGGGAGATATACCTAATGCTAGATGACACATTAGTGGGTGCAGCGCACCAGCATGGCACATGTATACATATGTAACTAACCTGCACAATGTGCACATGTACCCTAAAACTTAGAGTATAATAAAAAAAAAATAAATAAAATAAAATAAAATAAAATAAAATAAAATAAAATAAAATAAAGGGATAATCTGGCAAAGCGTGCTTCACTTAACTGGGATACCACGAGCATAGGAGAAAAAGTTACACCTGGCCCTCCCTTCTCCTCCGTCTTCATCTTCACTCTGCTTTATGACTTAGTCCTGTACTACAGCCATGCCATCTCTAATAATCAGTGTTTCATTTACCCATTCCTCATGCCTTAGTTTCTAATTCACTAAATTATTATCCTTTCTGATTTTAAATCTATTAGTAAATTGTGCTTCAAAAGATACAAAAGTGCGTGTACTTTCTACAGTCAGTGAAACAACACAAAAACAAGAAAACCCTGGTAAGTTCTGTCCCCAACTCCTCCCATCCACCCGCCCTTGGGGACATAGTGTTACTAGCTTGGTGTGTGTCTTTTTTCACCCCTTTCTCCATATATAAGAGGGATTTTTACTTAAATGAGACTATTACTTAGCATCTTTTCTTATTTCAAAATTCATGGTGGATATCCAGGCAAATGTATGGACATGGAGCTAACTCATTTTTAAAATAACTGCATATATCAGTCACTATTTAACAGCCATTCTCCCCTGCTTCTCTGTGAAAATGACCTGATTTTATTTAGGTATTAAGTGACCAGCAATGTGCTCAGGTGAGGTCAGCCTCTCCTTAGTCCCAAAGACTAGATGATAGACCAATCATCACCATAGTAACCCCAGTCATGGTAACTCCATTCCTTTGTTTCTTTTTATATAAATTTTATGAAGTATAATATTAATACAGAAAAGTACATAAACGTCGATTACTTTTTACCAAGCATCAATCCCATATAAACGTTACACAGATCAAAATATGAAACATTACCTGCATCTCTGAAGCCTACCTCAGGGATCACTGTCCTCCAAAGTAATCAGCATTTGATGTCTATAGATTAAACTTGCCACTTTTCACATTAGATAATCGAATCATACAATATCTAACCTTTCATATCTTTTTTTATTTTTTTTTGAGATGGAGTCTCACTCTGTTGCGCAGGCTGGAGTGCAGTGGCGCGATCTCAGCTCACTGCAACCTCCTCCTCCCCGGTTTAAGGGATTCTCCTGCCTCAGCATCCCAAGTAGCTGGGATTACAGGTGCCCACCACCATGCCCAGATAATTTTTTTTTTGTATTTTTAGTAGATATGAGGTTTCACCATGTTAGCCAGGATGGTCTCGATCTCCTGACCTAGTGATCCACCTGCCTCAGCCTCCCAAAGTGCTGGGATTACAGGCATGAGCCACCGCACCTGGCCTGTATCTTTATTTTGTTGTTCAACATTGTGTGTGTGATGTTCACCCATGTACTTATAGTAGTAATTTTTCACTGCTGTATAATATCCCATTGTGTGACTATAATACAACTTATCTGTTCATTCTGTTATTAATAGAAATTTGCTTGTTTCTAGTTTGGGGCTATTACAAACAATGCAGCTATGAATATTCCTGTTCATGTCTTTTTGGGGTATGTATTTATGCATTTCAATTGAGCATACATCTAGAAATAAGAATTACTCAATTCATAAGGTAGGTATATGGTCAGCTTCGTAGAAACTGTCAAAGAGTTTGCTAAAGTGTTTGTACCAATTTACATTCCTACCAACACTATGTAAAACCAGCAGTGACTCCACATCCTCAATAACACTTGTTATTGTCACTATTGTTTATTTCATTTTAGTCACTCTTGTGAGTATCTCATTTTGGTCTTATTTTCTTTCTCCAATGACTAATGATATTGAGCACCTTTTTATATACGTATTGTTCATTTGGATGTTTTTATAACGCACCTGTTCAGCCTTGTAAATTTTTTTATAAAGCTGTCTGTTCTTGTTGATTTGTCTGAATTCTTTATATACCTAGAAACAAAATATTTTTTCAAATATATGTATTAAATATATTCTACTCTATGGTCTACATTTTCACATTGTAATACTAAAGTTTTAAATTTTAATAAAATCCAACTCATCAATCTTTCCCTTTATAGTTAGTGTATTTGTGTTTGGTTTAAGAAAGGATACTGACCTTGAAGAGATTCTTCAACAGTGTCTTCTAGTAGCACTTTTTGTTTTAATTTTTTGTTTAGCTATATACTCCAGCTGGAAGTGCTTTTCCTATCTGATGCGATGGAGGTCACAATTCATTTGTTTATTTATGGATATCTAATTGTTCTAACATTAAATACTGAAAAGGCCATCCTTTCTTCCAATATGCTGCAGTGGTACCTTTGTCATGAATCCAGTGCTTGTAAATATGCAAGTCTATTTCTATACTCTCTTTTTTGTTCCGTTGTTTTATTCATATATCCATGTGTGGATGCCTTACCATGTTAAATATTAAAATGTTCAAGTAAGTTTTCATATCTGGTATTGGAAGACCAGATAAGTGGTCTACAGGAAACACTTTAGAATTAAGTAAATAACATGTATCTCATCAAAATTTCCTCATATATATATATAGCATGATTAATGATTCCTAACTAACCTTATCTTTACTATGTTGGTTGCAAAATGATACTTTTTCAACTCCGGCACCCAAGTAGGAGGTCTTTGTAATTTATTTATTTCCCTTCCTCCTTCCCATCTAAGAGTCTGGCAGTTGTCTTCAGCTGGGGACCCTAAGTCTGGAAATAAGTCTAATAAATTCATTTCAGGTCTTCTGTCCTCTGGTGATAGGAGTTAACAAAGAACCAGTCACCAAGCCAGCGTGAGCTCATGATTCTCCGTTGCACTATTTTCCATTTTTTTTTCAGTTAGTTTTAGGCATGATTCTTAGAAAGACCATTCCACTGGATTTTTAACTTTTTAGCCCAATCTGACAGTTTTTGCTCTTTGACAGTCCTTAAGACTGTTCATATTTAGCTTACTATTTGATATGCATGATTTTATTCTTTGATATTTTATAGTTGCTACTTATAGTTACCACTTATTTAACTTTGCTTCCCCTTTTTCCATGTTCTTACTTTTTTGGGGCATTGTAGAGTGTCTATTTCTTCCTTCTTTCTAACCCTTGCTAATTTTGGAAATTTCCTAACTCTTCAAAAATACACAAATCGTTATTTTCTGTTTATGACAATCATAACTAAAAATATATTTCTCCATTTTATAAACATAATCATATACCTTATCAAGACAGCTTACTTGAATATTGCTTCCCAAATCCCATCAAGATGAATTTTTAGATAAATTACATCTCCACTCTCCTCCCACCCTTAAGAAAATTTATCTTAGCTTCTCCCCACTCTCTGTACATTTTGCCCCATACAGGTTTTATTTGGGTAATTAAAAACATTTAGTTCTGGCCGGGGGCAGTGGCTCATGCCTGTAATCCCAGCACTTTGGGAGGCTGAGGCGGGCAGATCACTTGAGGTCAAGAGTTCGAGACCAGTCTAGCCAAAACATGGCGAAATCCGGTCTCTACTAAAAATACCATTAGCTGGGCATGATGGCACATGCCTGTAATCCCAGCTACTCAGCAGGCTGAGGCAGGAGAATCACTTGAATCTGGGAGGGGGAGGTTGCAGTGAGCCGAGATCGGGTCACTGCACTCCAGCCTGGGCGACAGAGCAAGACTTCGTCTCAAAAACAAACAAACAAAACAAACAAAAAAACCACTTAGTTCTATCCTATTATTTAGTTTTCTTTTTTAGATGATTCTGTATTAGCATTTCTATTTATTTTATTTTATTTCAATTTTTCCGTCAACTGTTATTTTAAGTTCCAGGGTACATGTGCAGGATGTGTAGGTTTGTTTCACAGAAAAACGGGTGCCTCTGTGGTTTGCTGCACAGATCAGCACATCACCTAGGTATTAAGCTCAGCATCCATTAGTTATTCTTTCTGATGTTCTCACTCCCAGTCCCCCCTCCGACAGGCCCCAGTGTGTGTTGTTCCCCCTTGATGTGTCCATGTGTTCTCATCATTCAGATCCAACTTATAAGTGAGAACATGCAGTACTTGGTTTCCTTCCTTCTTTCCTTCCTTCCTTCCTTCCTTCCTTCTTCTTCTTCTTTTTTTTTTTTTTTGACAGGGTCTCACTTTGTTGCCCAGGCTGGAGTTCAGTGGTGGCACGATCTCGGCTCACTGCAACGTTTGCCTCCCCGATTCAGGCAACCCTCCTGCTTCAGCCTCCCGAGTAGCTGGGGCTACAGGTGCGCGCCACCACACCTGACTAATTTTTGTATTTTTAGTAGAGGCGGGGTTTCACCATGTTGGCCAGGGTGGTCTCAAACTCCTGTCCTCAGATGATCTGCCTGCCTCCACTTCCCAAAGTGCTGGAATTGCAGGCATGAGCCACCACACCCAGCTGGTATTTGGTTTTCTGTTCCTGCATTAGTTTGCTGAGGATAACACCTTCCAGCTCCATCCATGTCCTTGCAAAGGACATGGTCTCATTTCTTTTTATGGTTGCAGAGTATTCCATGGTATATAGATGCCACATTTTCTTTATCCAGTCTATCATTGATGGGCATTTGGGTTGATTCCATGTCTTTGGTATTGTGAAAAGTGCTGCAATGTACGTAAGTGTGCATGTATCTTTATAACAGAATGATTTCTATTCCTTTGGGTATATACCCAGTAATGGGATTGCTGAGTCAGATGGTGTTTCTGCCTCTAGATCTTTGAGGAATCACCACACCATCTTCCACAATGGTTGAACTACTAATTTACACTCCCAACAACAGTGTAAAAGCATTCCTTTTTCTCTGCAACCTCACTAGGATCCATTGGTTCTTGACTTTTTAATGATAGCCACTGTGACTGGCATGAAATGGTATCTCTTTGTGGTTTTGATTTGCATTTCTCTAATGATCAATGAAGTTAAGCTTTTTTTCATGTTTGTTGACTGCATGAATGTACTCTTTTGAGAAGTGTCTATTCATGTCCTTTGCCCACTTTTTAATGGGGTTGTTTCTTTTTAACTGGTAAGTTTGTTTAAGTCTCTTGTAGGCTGTGGATATTAGACCTTTGTTAGATGGATAGATTGCAGAAATTTTCTTCCATTCTGTAGGTTGACTGTTCACTGTGATGATGGTTTCTTTTGTTGTGCAGAAGCTCTTCAATTTAATTAGATCCTATTTGTCAAATGTTGCTTTTGTTGCAATTGCTTTTGGTGTTTTCATCATAAAATCTTTACCTGTGCCTATGTCCTGAATGGTATTGCCTAGATTTTCCTCTAGGGTTTTTATAGGTTTGGGTTTTCCATTTAAGTCTTTAATCCATCTTGAATTACTTTGGACATAAGGTGTAAGGAAGGGGTCCAGTTTCAATTTTCTGCTTATGGCTAGCCAGTTCTCCCAGCACCATTTATTAAATAGGGAATCCCTTTCCCATTGCTTGTTTTTGTCATGGTTGTCAAAGATCAGATGTTTGTAGATGTGCAGTCTTATTTCTGAGTTCTCTATTCTGTCCATTGGTCTATGTGTCTGTTCTTGTACCAATACCACGCTGTTTTGGTGACTGTAGACTTGTGTATAGCTTGAAGTGAGGTAGCATAACGCTTTGTTCTTTTTTTTAGGGTTGTCTTGGCTATTCGGGCTCTTTTTGGTTTCATATGAATTTTAAAAGATTTTTTTCTAATTCTGTGAGAATTTCAATGGTAGTTTAATGGAAATAGTATTGAATCTATAATTTACTTTGGAAGTATGGCCATTTCCACAATATTGATTCTTCCTATCCATGAACATGGAGTGTTTTTCCATTTGTTTGTGTCCCCTCTGATTGCCTTGAGAAATGGTTTGTAGTTCTCTTTGAAGAGGCCCTTCACTTCCCTTGTTAGCTGTGTTACTAGGCATTTTATTTTTTTTGTAGCAATTGTGAATGGGAGTTCATTCATGATTTGGCTCTCTGCTTCCCTGTTGCTGGTGTATAGGAATGTTAGCAATTTTTGCACATTGATCCTGTATCCTGAAAATTTGCTGAAGTTGCTTATCAGCTTAAGAAGCTTTTGGGCTTAGACAATGGGTTTTTCTAGATATAGGATCATGTCAGCTGCAAACAAAGATACTTTGACTTCCTCTCTTCCTATTCAAATCTTTCCTTTGCCTGATTGGCTAGGGCAGAACTTCCAATACTCTGTTGAATAGGAGTGGTGAGAGAGGGCATCCTTGCCTTCTGCCAGTTTTCAAGGGGAATGCATCCAGCTTTTGTCCATCCAGAATGATGTTGGTTTTGGGTTTGTCATATATGGCTCTTACCATTTTGAGGTATATTCCTTCAACACCTGGTTTATTGAGAGTTTTTAACATGAAGGAATGTTAAATTTTACCTGAGATCTTTTCTGCATCTATGAGGTAATCATATAGTTTTTGTCTTTAGTTCTGTTTATGTGATGAATCACATTTATTGATTTGCATATGTTAAACCAAGCTTACATCCCAGGGATGCTGTCAAGTTGGTCATGGTGGATAAGCATTTTGATGAGCCGCTGGATTCGGTTTACCAGTATTTTATTGAGGATTTTTACATTGATGTTCATAAAGGATATTGGCCTAAAGTTTTCTCCTTTTTTGTTGTATTTCTGCCAGGTTTTGGTATCAGGATAATGCTGGCCTCGTAAAATGAGTTAGGGAGGAGTCCCTCCTTTTCAATTTTTCAGAATAGTTCCAGTAGGAATGGTACCAGATCTTCTGTGTTAGAATTCAGGGGTAAATCCATTGGGTCCTGGGCTTTTTTTGGTTGGTAGGCTATTTATTACTGCCTCAATTTCAAAACTCATTATTGGTGTGTTCAGGGATTCAATTTCTTCCTCGTACAGTCTTGGGAAGTGTATGTGTCCAGAAATATATCCAGTCTTCTAGATTTTCTAGTTTATGTGCATACAGGTGTTTATAATATTCTGATTGTTGTTTGTATTTCTGTGGGATCAGTAGCGATATCCCCTTAACATTTCTGATTGTGTCTATTTGATTATTCTCCCTTTTCTTCTTTGTTAGTCTAGATAGTGGTCTATCTATTTTATTAATTTTTTTCAAAAATACAGCAGCTATGCTGCATTGTGGGGGACTCCTCCTTCTCTGGACCGCCTGGACTCTCTGGAGCCAGCAGGCTAGAATGGCTGAGTCGACTGAACAATAGTGACAGTGGTCGCCCCTTCCCACTAGAAGTTGGTCCATCTCAGGCAGTCTCTCCAGCCTGGTGTAGCTGGCTGGCTGGAATTCCAAGCCAGTGGATCTTAACTTGTGAGGTGTTGCGGAAGTTGGGCCTGCAGAATGATGCTGCTTGGCTTCCTGGATTCCACCCCCTTTCTAGGGTAATGTACAGATGAATCTCCCACCTCACCGGGATTTCCGGGGCTGGAGTATGTAAAACTCCTGGGTCTCTGTGTGTGCCTGAGCGGCTGCTCTGCCAAGATTCTGGGCAACGCTGTGGATCAGAGCCAAGGCCCTGGTAGTATGGGCTCACGAGGGGATCTCTTGATCCATGGTTTGCAAAGATCCATGGGAGAAGTGTGGTTTCCTGGGCAGGGTTGCACAATCACTCACCACTCCCCTTGGTTGGGAGCAGGAGTTCCTCTGGCTCTGTGCTGCTCCCAGGTGGCTTGTTGCCCCACCCCGCCTTTCTTCATTCTCTGAAGGTCAAGTTGTCCACCTAGTCAGTCCCAATGCAGGAACCTGGGTATTTCTGTTGAAGGTGCTGAATTCACTCACTGTTTTCATTCTTCTCCATGACAGCCATGGACTGCAGCTTCTTCTAATCTGCCATCTTGGACCCTCACACAATATGCTCTTTTTCTTTCAATATTTTCATTACAAACATATATATGTGTATATATATTTATTGTGCACCTTTATGTTCTGTCTTCATCATTCCCTATCTTGAGATCTATGTTCTGATTTAATTGCACTCAACTTTCATTTCACTTGATTTAATTGCATGCTTCAGTAAGTTCCTTGGATACGGTATTTGGGCAGCATAAAATATGTATATTGGCTTATCTGAAAATGCCTTTTATTCTGGAAGAGATGAAATATAGCTCTGATGTATAATGGTTTTTTTAGATCTGTTCTCTTTTCAACTAGTGTTACCAATGAGAAGTCTGACATTAGTCTGTTTTTTTCTCCTTCTGTGTAGTATCCAATGTGTTCTCTTTAACTTGGAGCTCAGAAGTTTTACTAGGGTGTGTGTGTGTGTGTGTGTGTGTGTGTGTGACCATTAATCCTGATGGGATTCATTCTGTCCTTTCATTATATTCTCAATTTTTTCCCTTCAAATTAGAAAAAAGAATTCTTCCTGTTAATTATTCTTCTCTGTGTATTACTTTTTCATCTTTGAACATCCTATTCCTTGAATATATAGTCTCCCAGGCTTCATCTTTTCATACCTCCTATCTTTCCTCCCACAGTTTTCATCTCTTTATATTTCTACCTTATCTACTACTATTTCTTTCGATTGATCTTCAGATCACTACTGGTTTTTTCAGGTCAAATACAAATTTTTATTTTAGCTGGTTTTCTTAGATGCTCTAGTAGTTTTACCACGAAAGTAATTTTAAAGTATTTTTTCCTGCTTTTCTATTAGCTAACTGTACTGAGAGTCAATTTCATATACCTCTGGTTTCTAAGACTTCTTATGTGATTTGTTTTTTGAAGCTGGTTATGGTTCAGGATTGCCTCACTCAAGCCCTGAGGGTCTCTGGAGCAGTGTCAAACAATTAATAGTGGAAGAGACAGAAAATTCTATTATCATAAATAGGTGGTTAAAATAAACCTTGTCAGAATCCAAACACCCACTTAAGACAGAAGGAAGAACCCTCTTTGCTGTCAGGCCTTCCTAAGAATAAGATGTAGCTTTTCCTCAACAATGGACACTAAATAACTCAGTCACTCAATAGACTTTCCTTCAATGGACTTGAGTGAGCAAAGGCTGACAGACCCTTCTAGGGTAACAGGAATACAAATAGTGTTAGAGACATCTGGACCCTCTGAAATCACACGATCTGGTTTTTAATCTCTGGCCTCAGTGACAATCAAGCACTCTACTCTGAAGGTAATTTACCTTCTTCCTGAGATCCTGTTAGACTCTACAGCTTCATACGTGTCCTAGGTGCTCTGCTAGCTTTCATCCTTTGCTGAAGTATCCCTACAGAAAAGGAGTTAAGAGGGAGTTGAAGTCAAAGGTACGTGTTTAAGTTACCATCTTCACAGGACTCCATCACTGAACTTTCCTTCCTGCCATAATTGTCTACTTTCTCTTCTTGTCAATCTGAGCAACTCCAAGCTCTTTAGATCTCAGTTTTCTATTGATTTCCCATATCACTTCTCCAGCATTTGGGATCAGAGCCATAACCAAACTTCCTGGGCCCCAGTTACAGAATCAGGAAGGTGGCTATGCAGGTATCCCTCCTCCCTCCCTGTTCCACACTGTCTAGAGTGCAAGGGCATCTTTCCTTCTGCCAGTGCCTTTTTGCCCCGAGCCATTGTTTATCCCGTTTTCCTTGTTTTACTTTCTCAGTCTAGATGCTGAAATATTTTAGTTTGGTTATTTTTCATTAGGTTTCTGGATATCCTCTTACTTCATTTTTCCCCATTGTCACTCTCAGGGAAGCCCTTTAAACTCCCTTCCTTAAAGTCAACTTGATACCTTTTTAAAGAAACATACCTGACAGAGGATCACATGAGGTCCCATCCTCAAAGACCTCACTGTCCAATGGGGGAATTGGGAAAATAGACTCCTTCATTACGGTATTATAGATGTTATGACATGTAGTGAGTTGAATAGTGCCCCCCCCACCACAAAATTCATGTTCAACTGGAACCTCAGAATGTGATCTTGTCTGGGAATAGTAGCTCATGCCTATAGTCCCAGTGCTGAGGGAGGCCAAGGTGGCAGAATCACTTGAGGCCAGGAGTTTGAGAACAACTTGGGCAACACAGTGAGACCTCATCTCTACCCAAAAAAAACTATCTGGGGCCAGGCGTGGTGTCTCATGCCTGTAATCCCAACACTTTGGGGGGCCAAGGCAGGCGGATCACGAGGTCAGGAGATTGAGACCATCCTGGCCAACATGGTGAAACCCGGTCTCTACTAAAAATACGAAAATTAGCCAGGCGTGGTGGCGCACACCTGTAATCCCAGCTACTTGGGAGGCTGAGGCAGGAGAATTGCTTGAACCCGGGAGGCGGAGGTTGCAGTGAGCCAAGATCACGCCACTGCACTCCAGCCTGGCAACAGAGTGAGACTCCATAAAAAAAAAAAAAATTATCTGGATGTGGTGGCACAATAGTCCTAGCTGCTTGGGAGGCTGATCAGGGAGGATCACATGAGCCCAAGAGTTCAAGGCTGCAGTGAGCTAGGATCACAATACTGGACTCTTGCCTGGGCAACAGAGCAAGACCCTGTCTCTAAAAATAAAACTTAAAAAAGTGATCTTATTTGGAAATGGGTCTTTGTAAATGTAATTACATAAGATCAGTTCACACTTGATACTAACAAATACTAGTTTGTATTTGCCACCCCAGAATCCATTCTTCCCCTTTGCTCCCCCACCTTTCTTTCCAGTATGGCACGTGGCTGCGCATCCACGCACCGCATTTCCTTGCATTCTGAGCTGCTTGGTAGGGCCATGTGACCAAGGTCTCACCAATGAAATATGAGTGAACTGATGTGTGCAAATAATATATCATTTCCTTAAAAGAATGCTTGGCTCTCTACTTTTTTTTCTTCCCTTTTTCCTGCTAGCTGACCAGGTATGTAGTACTGTAAATCAGCTTTTACCATACAGAGGAGGATGATACACTATATTCTAGAACAGCACTGTTTCATAGAAATATAGCGTGAGCCACAAATGTAAGTAAAAATTTGTAAGCTTTAAAAAAATACAAAGAAATGGATGAAATTAAATTTAATAACATTTTTAACTCAGTACATTCAAAATATTATTTCAAAATGCAATCAATAGAAAATTATTAATGAGATTGATTATGCCTTTTTTTATTCCCACCAATCTTTTAAATACAACATTTATACTTACAACATATCCTAATTTGGACTAGCTACATTTTAAGAGCTGAATAGCCACACGTGGGCGTTGGCTGCCATATTGGATGGAGCAGCTCTGGAGCATGGCAGAGCATCATGGTAGGAGGAAGTTGAGTCCATGGTGCAGACCCCTCCCCCGTGCAAGCTCCCCTGAACTATCTAACTATGGCTATTATATACAAAAACAAACTTTTACCTTGTTGGGGCCAGTGGGTTTTTTTAGTTTCTTTATTGTAGAAGCTTAGCCTGTATCTCACACTTACTTACACTTAATTTCACACCTGTAGCAATACTAATATAGTACCTCATTGAAAATGCCTTTGTTCAAGGCAGCTAGAAGGTTTATACAATATCTAAAATGTAAGGAATTATAACTGAAAGTCTCTGGTAATATAATGCTTGAAGAAGTACCTGGAGGACCAGATATTTCATAGTAAACTATGTCTCACTTCCATCTATTTTTTATTTTTTAGCTGTCTGTTGACTTCATGCGTCCATTGCTTCTCTCTCATATTTTTCTTTGGAACCCTTGTGTTTTATAGGAACTGTTTATGACTGAATTAAAAGATGTTATGTACAGGATATATTGTAGGTGCAATAAAAACTCAAAGGACAGAAAGTGAAGTACAAATAAAGTTAAACTAGAAAGAAGTTAGTTGTATCAAATTAGGGAAAATTTAATTGTTAAAAGAGAAAATCATACAAGCACATAATTGCATTTTCAAGAACATTTAAAATTTCTGCTATATGCTAGACATTGAATTAGACAGCAAAAATTCAAAGATGAGTATTACATGGATCCATCCTCAAAGACCTCACTGTCTGATGGGGGAAATGGAAAAATAGACTCCTTCATTACAGTATTACAAATGTCATGACATGTAGTGGGTTGAATATTGTGCCGCCATAAAATTCATGTCCAACTGGAACCTCAGAATGTAATACTGTCTGGGCACAGTAGCTCATGCCTATAATCCTAGTGCTGAGGGAGGCCAAGGTGGCAGAATCACTTGAGGCCAAGAGTTTGAGAGCAGCCTGGGCAACACAGTGAGACCTCATGTCTCCCAAAAATTATCTGGGCTTGGCGACACACATCTGCAGTCCTAGCCGCTTGGGAGGCTGATTGAGGAGGATCACATGAGCCCAAGAGTTCAAGGCTGCAGTGAGCTAGGATCATACCACTGCACTCTCACCTGGGCAACAGAGCAATATCCTGTCTCTAAAAATAAAAATTAAAAATTTTAAAAAAATTGTGATCTTATTTGGTAATGGGTCTGTGTAAATGTAATTACTTAAGATCAGGTCACACTTGATAGGCCCTAAATCTAATGACTGGTGTCCTTATAAGGAGAGGAGATGACACAGAGAGGATCAGGTGAAGACAGAGGCAGAGATTAGAGTGAGGCATTTGCAAGCCAAAGAACATCAAGGGTTGTCTGGGATACCAGGGGCTAGAAGAGGCAAGGAAAGAATGTTCCCTGGAGTCTTCAGAGAGACACTGTGATTGTGGACTTCGAGCATCTAGAACTATGAGAGAATAAATTTCTTCTGTTTTTTGAGACAGAGTCTCACACTGTCACCCAGGCTGGAGTGCAGTGGCATGATCTCAGCTCACTGCAAAGTCGTTCAAATGATTCTCATGCCTCAGGCTTCTGAGTAGCTTCAATTACAGGCATGTGCCACCACGCCTGGCTAATTTTTGTAGTTTTAGTAGACATGGGGTTTCATCATGTTGGCTAGGCTGGTCTCGAACTCCTGGCTTGAACCAGTCTACCTGCCTTGGCCTCCCAAAGTGCTGGAATTACAGGCATGAACCACCGCGCCTGGCCAACTTCTTCTATTTTAACCACCCAGACTTGTAGTAGTTTGTTGTGGCCATTCTGGAAAACTGATGCAAGGTAAAATGAAGCAGTGACCTTGGGGAGCACATAGGAGGAGCAGCAACTTGGACTGGGCACCGAGAAAGATTTGTAGGTGGAGAGGACTGAGTCTTGAGACATGAGTACAAGTTGGGCAGCTGAAATGGGAAACCGAGGATTTGTGAGAGAATTCCAGCAGAAAGGATAAGCAGGTGCAAGGTTCCTGTCAGCATGAGAGCATGGCACATTTTTGAGACCTCAGGCATTTGTTTTAGCAAAACTCTAGGATGCAACAGAGGAGAGAGGTTGGAGATGAGATCAATGAGGTATGGAAAGAATGGCTTTAAAAAGGCCTTGAGGTCCATGGCAAAGAGGTAAGCTTTATCTTATAGGTGCTCTAGAACCTGTACAGGTTTTCAGTTGGGTGTCACGGGTTGGTGGCTGACCAGATTAGATCTGCCTGATAATGAAGATGACACTAAAGAGATGGAATTGATATGATTCAGTGACCAATTATAATTGAGGTGTGAGGAATGGTGAATTTAAGTGTGGTGCTAAGATTTCTGTTATCAATGATTAGGTACCTGCTGATCCCCCCAGATGAGAAAGAAATAGAGGGTTTAAACAGCATAATGATGAGTTCAGTTTTGGAAAAGTTAAGCATATTGGAAACTTGGTATGTAAATCCAGCCAGGGAATAAGAGCCTGGAACACTACCCTTGGGGATATCAACATGTAAGGAATAGACTGGGTGGTAGGATGGAGGGGAGAGAGCAGAAGGGGAGACAGAGATCATAAAAGCCAAGAGAAAGGTCATTTCAGAGCACACATTTTAGTGCAAAGTGCTATTAGGCCTGTGGGCTAGAAAGTGCCGACTAGATTTAACAATAAGACAGGTGATGACCTTAGGAGGTGCTCGCTGGGGTGTTGGTAGCAGAAAACAGATAGAAGTGAGTGGAAGAGAGAATTAAAATAAGAAAGTGGAAATGATAAATACAGACTACTCTTTCAGAGAGCTTAAGTCTTAAGAAAGGAAACAGCAGGAAAGGGCAGATAAGAGAGGGTTGTTTTTTTTTTTTTTTTTTTTTTTTTTCTTAAAAATAGATGATATAAATATATCATGCTGAGGGAATCTTCCGATAAAATAGAAGAGAAGAAAGTTATCTCGTAGAGCAATGATAATGAAGCATCATCTAGGGCAAGATCCTTTTCTGCTGAGACAGGAAGAGGAAAACAATTAATGCATTGGGAGTGAGCCAGCAGAGCAAACCAGGAGGGACTTGAGGGAGTTCCCTGACTTCTCTAAACTGAGGACAGGGCCTTTGCTGAGTGAGGGTGGGCTGCTGGCTAGGGATCTGGTGAGGCACTGACCTCAGTGGTGCCACTTTCTCCTGTGGTTCTCAGTTGTCCAGGAGTTGGTAGTTCAGAGATTAGAAATAGTTGGCATGATTGAGGGTTGGGCCTTTGCCAGGTAGGCATGGGGGAAAAAGGGAGGCAAGGGAATTGAGGTTTTGGGGAAAAAATAATTGAATTAAGTTTCTTTGGAGTTTAGCCTGACAGAGAACGCACCTGTTTAGTCTTATTCAATGTCTTCATTCTACAGAGGGAGAACCTGAGAAATTTGCCCAGGCCAACGTTAGTTGCTGGCAGAGTTGTGTCCAAAATTCTGACCTTTTAATCCTATGGCTTTTCTACTGCACTGACTGAGGCACTCTATTCCATCTGTTTCTTGCTGCATGCTTGGCCAAACTCCTTGGTGGAGTATTTGAACACAGCTGTTAACCATTTGGGATAAGGCAATTGCACGTTGTCTCTCATCTGGCTTTTGAGCATTATTGAGTGGTGCTCCATCTAGATGTGGGTTGCTTGAATTCACCTATTGGTGTTTGGAAACCTTGCTCTTTCTTCTGGTTCCCAGGAGATGTTGAAGAAGCACAGTTAGTATGACAGGAAAGGAAACTGTGTAAGGCATGAAGTTTGTGATTGTAGTGTGCCCTGTGATGGAGTGCTTTCAAAATCTTTTTCCATTTTTTTCCAATCACCATGAAGTCTTTTCTAATGTCAACCCCTTTCATCCCACTTTGAATATTTCTCCTTTGGTGTCACTGTCTTTCTTTGTTGCAAGAAGAAATTGCCATCACTAGGATTAAGGCCATTGTGAAATAGCAAGAGACTGACTCCTTGCCAATATTGCCACAGATATTTCAACACCACCTTCTTGATAGACACACTGAAAATATATCATCATACCTCTGCACCAATCACTTTCTGAAATAAATGCAGTCTCAGTCTTTCAGTCTCTCTATGATTGAAAGGCTCATTCTGAAAAAGAAAAGAATTTGCTATCAATTAGAATTATTCTTAAATAGGGAAGATACATATTGTAAGTACTTAAAGCTTAATTACAGTGATATAAATTATGTAAATAATCACAGATTATTATTAAAATAATTTACATTCTAACAAGTAAAAGATGTTACTGAAGTTTACAGATCCCAAAATAATATAAGCTGAGAATACTGTGAAATACAGACCTTTAAAATAAGAAAATTAACATTAGAACTGGACTGTCAGTAGAATTTATTTAAGTGTTTAAATTGGGTGAACGTTTTATTTTGTTGGATCTCATCACTTTACTCAGGATTTAGGATTAACAAATTTAGCAAGTAAAAATACAGGATGCTTAGCTAAATTTGTATTGCAGATAAACAACCAATAATTTTTAGTGTAAGTATGCATACTTGCATACAAATATATTCATTGTTTATCTGAAATTCAAATTGTACGGGAATGTCCTGGGTTTTATGTGGCAACCTACTCAGGGCTCAGTTAACTTCAGCATGGCAGAAAAACTACCTTTGTCACCAGGCGTGGTCCTGTGTGTTTGCTTCTCAGGAGCCGCCCCTCCCTGTCTCTATGTCTTTGGGCTCACGTGAAATTATCTTTGGGCTGGTGTCTGCTACCTAGGCTGGAAAGTGGATGAAGAATTCAGCCATTTCCACAGAATAAGGACATGTGGACGGTGGCTGGGAAGCAGGAGAGCAGGAGGCTGAGACAGTTCCGAAGGAAAAAGACCCAGGGCCCTCAAATTGCTGGTTTGTCCTCCTATAAAACCTTGGATTGTCATGATTTCATCAAAGCATATCCTTTTAATACTCCTCTGCTGGAACTCTCTTTTTTGAAGTCAGCAAACAGGGTTCAACTTGTTTCTGACTTTTTTCTTTTTTTAGATATGGCATCTCGCTGTGTTGCCCGGGCTGGTCTTAAACTCCTGGGCTCAAGCAATCCTCCCACCTTGGCCTCCCAAAGCTCTGGGATTACAGCTGTGACTAATATTAATACACTTGTATTAATGAAAGTTTCCCAGCCCTCTCCCACCCCCGCCAGATGTTTATTTTACATTCCCGAAGTCTAAGCCAACCTAAACTATGAAGATTTTTCTTCCCCCACCCAACCACCCCCACTCACAAATGGTGAGGGGTAAGGGTTGGTCAGAGTATTGGAAAGAAAGTTATCTAGTAACAGGGTAGAAGAAGGTGGGGGTTTTCCTCAGACTTGAAAGTCTGTGGGTAGTAGGGTGAGGAAAAAGAGAGGGGAGTGGGTGGTGCTATCTGCCTGGGGTCCAGCTGTACTCCCTACCCCATCTTAAAGAATACCCCAGGTTCTGAGAAGAATGTATATTCTGTTGATTTGGGGTGGAGAGTTCTGTTGGTGTCTATTAGGTCTGCTTGGTGCAGAGCTGAGTTCAATTCCTGGATATCCTTTTTAACTTTCTGTCTCGTTTGGTAACTATACTCTGGGTATGATATGGTTATGATAACTGACACTAAGTCAGATAATGGCTCTTTTAAAACATGAAGATAAGTGTGAGTGTGTAGACATATTCACACACACACGTACATATTATATATACATTTGGAAAAAACTTCCAGGCTGCAGTGCAGTGGTGCAATCATAGTTCACCGCAGCCTTGAACTCCTGGGTTCAAGTGATCCTCCCGCCTCAACCTCCCGAATAGCTGGGACTACAGGAATGAACCACTGTGCCTGGCCCAATCTTTTAAAGAATAAATGTAATGTACATTTATTACTCAGCCTCCTGAGTAGCTGGGATTACAGGCACACATCACCACACCCAGCTAATTTTTGTATTTTTAGTAGAGACGGGGTTTCACCATGTTGGTCAGGCTGGTCTCAGAAAATTAGCAAGTGCCAAAAAATGTTAAAAAGGAAACAAATCAGCCACAATTCAGAGATAACTGCTATTAATATTTTGGAATACTGTTTTTCAGTTTTTCCATGTGTAAGTGTTTTAAATATTTGAAATCACACTATCTCACTTAATGTTGAATCATGATCATTTCCCATTGTCAGGCCTTTTCTTTCTTATAAGGAGACCTGTATGTCATATGCAAGATATTTAGAAACATGATATGGGAATTTATCAGTCTCTACAACTCTCCCTGAACATCTTTCTGAAAGAGAACTTCCCTTAGCAGTGATGACCTTTGACTTCAAACTTGCAGCCTAAAATTCTCACCAATAAAGAATTTGTCATTTTTGGAGGGAAAAAATGTATGTAAACTTCATAATATGCCTTTTTTCTTAGGTTTTACAGCTCATACTCTTAAAATATTGCACAAAAAGCAGCATTCTCATGCAAGCATCTTGACCACTCTCGCATCATTTGCATTAGGTTAATTCACCATGTACACTTCTGAAGGCTTAAAGCCTAGCTTAAGGAGCCAAGCACTGATTTTATCATGGCACTTTCTGCTCAAAAGGCAACACTCTCTGTCTGATGTCTCTGCCCCATAGTCAACCCAGTCCCTCTCTGCTTCTGACCAGATGTATGATTTAGATAAGTCTCTGCTGCTCTAGGCCTCAGTTTCCTTACCTATAAAATAGAGGCTTCGACTAGATGATCTAAGGGTTTTTTTACCTTGACATTCATGATTAAAATTAGAGACCAAATTAAGAGAAACGTTCTTTTGTCATTTTCCAAAGGATGTCCAGGAATCTGGGCCCAGAGGCATGGAATGGATATGTAAAACCATGAAGTCTGGTAGAAATAGCACTGGGGACACTGAGCCCAAGGAGCCATTTCCACCTTCCAAACCTAATACCTGCCATCATGAAATAGCTCCACAGTGGCAAGGATTCCTTAGTTTCCCGTCTATTTTGAAATCATGTGGATTCCAAATTTCCTTGAAGCCTATCTTTGGTTGCTCCACATCAACTGGGAATGCATTAGAATTCAATCAATAATGCCCATTGTAACTTTTGGGCGCTTTTCTCTGTGGAAACTAACCTAGGCTCCAGGAAGTCAGATATTAAACAGAAATTCAGTAAATGTTTATTTAATAACAAATGAATGATAGACTACCTAGGTATACTTAGGTTCATGCATTTTTTTTTTTTTTTTTTTTGAGATGGAGTCTCACTCTGTCACCCAGGCTGGAGTGCAGTGGCACTATCTCAGCCCACTGCAACCTCTGCCTCCCAGGTTCAAACAATTCTCCTGCCTCAGCCTCCTGAGTAGCTGGGATTACAGACGCATGTCACCATGCCAAGCTAATTTTTGTATTTTTAGTAGAGACGTGGTTTCACCATGCTGGTCAGGCTGGTCTTAAACTCCTGACCTCGTGATCTGCCTGCCTTGGCCTCTCAAAGTGCTGGGATTACAGGCATGAGCCACCACGCCTGGCCAGGTTCATGCATCTTTTTGGAATAAGCCTTGTGGCACTGGATTGTGAAAAGAATATATTTTTCACAATTTTCTAAATGTAAGGTTTAAGCTATTTGCATGTATAAATTACTAAGAGATTTTCACTCTAGTAGGCAATTTTATATGCTTCTATCTAAATTCATCGTGATAATACAGATGTTGGACCAGATAGCTATTATATTTAGAGGATGTGTATTGCATTCATCTTAGCCTTGTTTTTTTCATGATTAGCCTCTTGGCCATCATTGCAGTGCACTGTAAATACAAAATAAGTGTCCCAAATGCACACAGAGGATGGAATATGATCATATCAAGGGAATGGAATTTACCTTTTGGATTACCTTCCCTGTGCCAGGCACTGTGCATATAGCAATTTAATTATCATTAAAAAGCTCATAGCAACTGGATGAAGTGAGTTCTAATTTATCTGATTTTCTGCATGGGGGAAATATTGTACTTTCCTGAAGTCACATAGCAGGCAACTGAATTGAGGTTCCATCCTAGGTTGATAAAGTTTCAAAGCTCACACAATTTTCACTGTCTGAGAGAAAAAGCAACATTAGACAAAAGGGCATCTTTATCAAATGGAATTGGTTAAAGGAGTGGAAGAAACCTAAGGGACTAAAGACATCAAATAAAAGGGATCTAAAATAGGGGAAAGGCAGAAGACAAATAGGACAAGTTAAAGGAAATGTAGGGCCAGGAGCAGTGGCTCACGTCTGTGATCCCAGCACTTTGGGAAGCCGAAGCAGGTGGATAACCTGAGGTCAGGAGTTCAAGACCAGCCCGGCCAACATGGCAAAACCCCGTCTCTACTAAAAATACAAAAATTAGCCAGACGTGGTGGTGCATGCCTGTAATCGCAGCTACTCAGGAGGCTGAGGCAGAAGAATCGCTTGAACCTGGGAGGTGGAGATTGCAGTGAGCCAAGATCGCAGGCCACTGCACTCTAGCCTGGATGACACAGAGAGACTCCATCTCAAAATAAATAAATAAATACACATTTTTAAAAGGAAATGTAGCTGAAGTCAAAGAGGGGAGAAAGCAGTAAGAGGAAACCAGTAACTGAGTTGCAGCCTGCTAGTGCTTGAAGACTGAGCCACCTTGTGTGGCTTAGTTCTTTACCCAAGATCATGGGGTTTTGGTTTTTTTTTTTTTGAGACAAGTTCTCACTCTGTCACTCAGGCTGGAGTGCAGTGGTGCCATCAGGGCTCACTGCAGCCTCGGCCTTCCTGGGCTCAGATGAGCCTCCCATCTCAGCCTCCCAAGTAGCTGGGACTACAAGCACGTGCCACTATGCCCAGCTAATTTTCTGTATTTTTTGTAAAGACAAGTTTTCATCATGTTTCCCAGGCTGGTCTCAAACTCCTGAGCTTGAGCAATACTCCTGCCTTGGCCTCCCAAATTGCTAGGATTACAGGCCACTGCGCCCAGCCAATCATGGTTTTTTTTTTTTTAAGGTAACAGATTAATGGTCAAATATGTTTATGCATCCCAGCAATGAGATCTTTTTGTGAATTGTCCAACACATTACCTCTATTTTTAACCTTAGCTGTCTTTGGCTTGTTGGGGGACCATGGTATGAGAAGGGGCAGTGGTCAGGGAGTCAGGAGATTCTGACACTTGCCAAAGGCCGCTTGCTGCCTGTGTCACCCTGGACAAGCCTTCTAGCTTCTGAGTCTTAGCTTTTCCATTTCTAAAATACCTACTCTTCCAACCTGTTAATGTTTTGTACATGTACATAAAATGTAGAAAACCCGAGTGAAATACATGCATGCATGTTGATTACACAGCACTGTACAAAAATATCATGATGACTGTTTCAACTAAAAGCTCCTGAGAGTAATATTTGTTCTTCTAACACAAGTGTAGAGAGGAAGGATTCAGGTTACATAAAGGATTCTAGAGATAATTTGGATATAGAGTTCAATCTGGCCTCTCTGGTGACTACAGTGATTTTGGAGATATTGGATTAATGTGCTTTGTACTCACTGAGGAAATAAATCACTTTATGAGTCAAGATTGTATTTAACACCCTCTACAATAAAAATGAGGAATTTCATATGAAGCAATGATTTACTTGTGACTAGAGCTGGCGTCATTCTGACCAAGTTACTGAAGTTGACAGCGGAAGAAATATAAGCATCCAACAGTGAGTTGTTCCAAGTGGAAACGACCATGCTGTTTCCAGAAACATTTGGCAAGCAATCTGTGTGGGGAGAAAATAATAGCAAAGGCAAAAATGAACAAATGACAATCTAGCCATCAATGTGTGCCCCATAGAGTCACGGCAGCTAAGGGAGAGATCTCCTGATTTCAGAGTCATAATTCCTCCTTTTGACTGCATGCAAATAAAGACACGTTGGCTTAATGTGAGCAGATCAGGGAATTTATGAGTCAGCAAAAATGAATAAAAATGCCGGCTAGGTAATAAATAATTGTTTCTATTTACTGCCTAGCTGCTGGCTCTTTAACTTATGTCAGAGGCATAAATAATAAAATCTGAACAGTATAAATGCATGCATATTACCTGGGCTTGAAGTTTAAAGTACAATCAGCATTCCACAATAAAGATTTTTGTAGAATCTATTATTAGATCCCCTTTTGTAGACTTTATACTATTAAAGAATATATTATAACTTCCCTCTTGCCAGCAGATAAAAACAAAATTGTTTCTGGCTTAAATCTCGGGTACTAAAATATTTTCAACTTCCAGAGATTACCAGGATATTCCAAGGTACTTTAGAAAATTTTTGTTTTGGGGAAATAGAGGCTTGTTTGGGGGCAGAAGAAAATGTATCTAGTCATTAATTTCAAACATTGTGCAATTTGCTTTTCCTCACATACAGATATGATCAAGTCCTTTCTCTTTGAAAAGTATGAAACAAACTTCGGCACACAGTTTTTAAAAAATGTTAAAAATTGTCCTTCTGTTGAAGATAAATGAACTAACTGTTACAAACCATTGTGTCTTACATTAGCCATTATTACTGTATTTATTACTTTCAAAGTCATGATCACTGTCTCTCTTCTAAAATGTTATTACAACTCTATCTTATATTTAATTGTGTACTTATTAACCTATTGGAGACTACAGCCCATGATTTGCTATATCATTTTTTAAAAACAACTGATCCTTTTGCTCTTGTATTGTAAAAAAATTTTACCTCTACCATCCCAAATTCCTCACTTCACACCATGACTAAGTTATAGTCTCCTTGAGAGCAGGGATTATAATCCCTTCTGCATAACAGGTGTTCAATATACCTTTGTGGAGTAAATGGCTGGATTGAAGCAGGAGCCTCTTTTCAACGTGCTATGAAAGGGAACAGTGTAAAGAGAAGTTCAGCAACAGCACCAAGTGCCACAAGAGATAATATTATTTCAGCTTACCTTGGGAAAATCTCCAGGTTCATTGCATCTAGCCATGTGAAACTCCTATGCATGCTTAAGACAGTAACAACTATTTAAAGTTTTCTATTCGTCAGTGAGAAAATGAAACTAAGAAAGGAGGAAATCAGCATCTGAGTTCAGGCGTTTGGCATAGTGGTTAAGAGGCACTGGGGTGTTGCAATCTGGGTTCACATCCGAAGCCTGCCATTTGCTAGGTGTATGATGCTAGGCACACTTGTTTAATTTCTAAGTGCTCCCATTTCATCACCTGTAAATGGGAAGACCCACCTCACAGGGTGTTGTGGGAATAATGAGTTAATATGTGTGAAGTGCTTGAAACAATACTGATCTTGACCCATGACAAGTACTGTGTAGGCATTCACTGCTGGCTTTATTACTCTAAAGAAGCCAGCTAGCAGGCCTGGAGAACTAGAGGACCAGAGATTACGTCCATGCTCTGCCGCTAACTAGCTGTGAGTGCTAGTTTGACATCTCTAGGTTTCTGTCTTTGAATCTGTGAAATAAGGGTGTAGGCTACATGGAAGGGCTTCTGGATTTCAAATCCTATCATAATTTATCTGGCCCTTCATTTCCTCCCTTCTAAAATGGAATTGTACAAGGTTGCTGCAATGAATGTGTATGCAAATGCAAAGCAAGTATAGTGTCAGTTTTTAGTGTCAATATAGGGTATATTTGGTGCTATATTCACTACAAAAGCATTTCAATATTAATTTCCAAATCTACTAAGTCCCAATTGCACTGCAAGTATAAAATTAAGTGGTCATAAAAGAAAATAAAGCAACTACAAAATCGTTTTGATAGGATGGTTTGCCCACTGAGCAGCGGCTTCCTCTTCCTTCTCATCTCAAACTTTTCCTCCTGTTTTCACTCAAGGAAGCATGAATTTCTGGAGTGAGAGACATCTTTCTCATTCTTGGTGTCTCTGTAATTTAATACACTCGTATCCTTTTAAAAATTGGATTCTTCATTTCTTTCCTTTTGTTCTAGAAATATGTTTGGCCTACTAATATATTTGCCTCAATTGGGTAAGTTTGGCCCAAGGGTGGGAATATTTAGTAGACTGGTAAAATCTTTCATAGATCTGTAAATGCTGGAGATCCATAGAGAGCACCTGATTTTTGGGAAAAGGATAAAGTAAATACACTATAGTTGATGAACTGATGATTATGTGGGTTTCCTTTACCTGCTGATCACTTGAGTGTAACTAGATTTTACACACACAACAGGTGGGTTTGATCACCTGGTGGGTCACACACTAATGACTGCAACCGAGGAAAATTTAACAAGGGGATTTTATTATTTGCAACAAGTAAGAAGGGCACCAGGGATAGTTCTCAAAGCAGTGCCTCCCAGAAAAATGGTGAAAACAGAGCTTGTATTGGGCTGGTTAGCTGAGTCATTGCATGTAGAGGCAGAATAAAGGTAGACCAGGCATAGACCTGATCATGCTTCTACATATGTCACATGTATAGAACATGGCTAGTAAGCTCCTCCCTGAGCAGGGATTTAGTATGGTAATGAGTGGAGTTCCCCAAAGTTCATCTCCAACTCAGGTACCTCTGGATCCAACCAGTTTCTGTTTTTCCTGAGTTGAGCTTCTCCCTGGAACTTTTTGAAACAATGAGAACTCAAGGCGCAGCAGTTTTAAGTTGGTACTTTTTCACAGTGTGCACCCAAAAACCTGGGGACCCTGGGCTACAGACAGGCAAAAATTTACAAAACTGGAATATATATATATATGTGTGTGTATATATATATATACTATATATATATATGTGTGTATATATATATACACATATATATGTGTGTGTATATATATATACACATATATATGTGTGTGTATATATATACACATATATATGTGTGTGTATATATATATACACATATATATGTGTGTATATATATATACACACACATATATATGGTGTGTGTATATATATGGTGCATGTATATATATATGGTATATATATGGTGTGTATATATATGGTATATATGGTGTGTATATATATGGTATATATATGGAATATATATATAAAAATAGCTACATGTTATATATTATATATATTCCATATATATAATATATACATGTTATATATTATATACATGTTATACATGTATATATGTATGTATACATATACATATATATGTATATATGTATACATATACATATATATGTATATATGTATACATATACATATATACGTATATATACATATATGTATATATGTAAGTATACGTATATATACATATATGTATATATGTATGTATACGTATATATACATATATGTAAGTACATATATGTATGTATAGGTATATATACATATATGTATAGGTATATATATGCATGTACAGGTATATGTATGTACATATATATGCATGCACATATATATGTATTTATATATATGCATGTATATGTATATGCATGTACATATGGATGTATATATGCACGCATGTCTGTACATATGCATGTATGTATGTACATATAAATGTATATATATGTATACATACATGTGTATATATACATGTATATGTATGTATACGTACATACATATGTATGTATACGTGTATGTATACATACATATGTATGTATGCGTACATACATATGTATACGTACATACATATGTATGCTTACACACATGTATGCTTACACACATATGTATGTACGTGTACATACATATGTACACGTACATACATATGTACACGTACATACATATGTACGTGTACATACATATGTACGTGTACATACATATGTATGCATACATATATATGTATACATATTGTATGTATGCGTACATACATGTGTATGCATGTATACATGCATATATGTATGTATGTATACACATATGTATGCATGTATACATATATGTATGTGTATATGTATATATGTACATGTATGTATGCATATGTATAAATGTACATATATGTATATGTATATACGTGCATATATGTATGTATATGTATATACGTGCATATATGTATGTATACGTATATACGTGCATATATGTATGTATATGCATATGTATATATGTACATATATGTACGTATATGCATATGTATATATGTACGTATATGTACGTATATGTATGTGTATATGTACATACACATATATGTATACGTATATGTACATACACATATATGTATACGTATATGTACATACACATATATGTATACGTATATGTACATACACATATATGTATACGTATATGTACATACACATATATGTATACGTATATGTACATACACATATATGTATACGTATATGTACATACACATATATGTATACGTATATGTACATACACATATATGTATACGTATATGTACATACACATATATGTATACGTATATGTACATACACATATATGTATACGTATATGTACATACACATATATGTATACGTATATGTACATACACATATATGTATACGTATATGTACATACACATATATGTATACGTATATGTACATACACATATATGTATACACATATGTACATATATGTACATACACATATATGTATACATATATGTACATACACATATATGTATACATATATGTACATATACATATATGTATACATATATGTACATACACATATATGTATACATATATGTATATATGCTGAGCTTTAATTATATATGTATATACATATATAATATGTATATACATATATATACATGTTATATACATGTCATATAATATATATATTCCATATACATATGGCTAATGTATATCCAGATATATATATTCCATATATATATGGCTTATATATATATATATTTGCTATATAAAATATAATGGGGCTAGGCGTGGTGGGTGGCTCACAACTGTTATCCCAACACTTTGGGAGGCCGAGGCGGGTGGATCATGAGGTCAGGAGATCGAGACCATACTGGCCAACACAGTGAAACCCTGTCTCTACTAAAAACACACAAAAAATAGCTGGGCATGGTGGCACGCACCTGTAGTCCTAGCTACTCGAGAGGCTGAGGCAGGAGGATTGCTTGAACCTGAGAGGCAGAAGTTATAGTGAGCCGACATCGTGCCACTGCACTCCAGCCTGGTGGCAGAGCAAGACTCTGTCTATATCTATATCTATCTATCTATCTATCTATCTATCTATATGTATATATATATGTATATATATGTATGTATAATGGGCTGTATACAATATATGATCATAACATTTTAGAACTGGAAAGGATCTTAAAGCTTACCTAATCAAAATATGGCGATTTAAAACTAGTTCAATGATGTGACAAGAAGGGTACTTCACCTTGTGCTATTTTTTCTAAAATCTCATAACCCCAGTCTAATCGTGAGAAGAATATCAGGTGAACCTAGACTGGGGGAATATTCTACAGGATGCCCAGCTGGTACTTCTCAAGACTGCCAAGGTCATGAAAAACAAGAAAAGACTGAAGAACTGTCACAGACCATATGGGACTTGGGAGGCATGACAAAGAAATGCAATGTGGGACTTTGGATTGTGTCCTGGACCAGAAAGAGAACATTAATGGAAAAACTGAGGAAATACAAGCATGTCTTAAGTTCAGTTAGTAGTAATGCACCAATATCAGCTTTTTAAATGTGGACAAGCATACCACTGTCTTGTAAAGTGTTAACAATGGGAAGAATGAGCTAGAGGGGCATATGGGAGCACTCTGTACTCTCTGTGTAACTTTCCTATAAATCTAAAATTAGTGCAAAGTAAAAAGTTTATTTAAAAATAGATAGACACTTCTTTTGGGAGGCCAAGGCAGGAGGATCAGTTGAGCCCAGGAGCTCAAGAACAGCCTGGGCAACACAGCAAGACCCTGTCTCAAAAAAAAAAGTAACTAGACACTTCTAATGAAAAATAATTACTTTTTTGGTGAAACATTGCTCTAGTGCTGGCCTAGAGTATATGGACTGTTTCAGAGGTCAAACAAATATATTAGTAAATATGTAACTCCCTTGGATGGGAAATTTAACGTAAGCATACTTAAATGTTCCACTATTATTAAGAATTTGTAGGCCTGGCGCAATGGCTCATGCCTGTAATCCCAGCACTTTGGGAGGCCAAGGCGGGTGGATCACCTGAGGTCAGGAGTTCAAGCCAGCCTGGCCAACATGGTGAAACTCCGTCTGTACTAAAAATACAAAAATTAGCCAGATGTGGTGGCAGGTGCCTGTAATCCCAGCTACTCGGGAGGCTGAGGCAGAGAGAATTGCTTAAACCCCAGGATGTGGAGGTTGCAGTGAGCTGAGATTGTTGCACTGCACTCCAGCCTGGACAATAGAGCAAGACTCTGTCTTGAAAAAAAAAATTGTTTGCTTGCATCTTTCCCCATGAGTGTTCATTTTAATTATTCTAAATACAATTTTGCAAATGGTAGAATGAAATTTTGCAAATATCTTTTTCATATTAAATATAGTATAGACTTTTCCGAAAAGATCAGTTTAGAAAGATAAGCTGTTTCGTTCTGAAATTGAAGGCAAAGAATGAGAAGCCAATGACATATTTTGTCTGATCATTTCCTTTTCCATTTACTTAAGTGGTTTAAATATTAGCTCTGAAAAGATCTATATGTCTTTATAAATTTCTTAGGACTCTCATTGAATTGTTTCTTTTTTTAACTGTGGAGATTAAAGCCATAACTTTTATTAATATCACATAAGAGATGTATGGGAAAATATATTAGCTTGTTCCCCAAGCGTAAAGATAGTCATGTAATATTTAGGGTCATCCATTAGTTTTATTATGCTGCAGTTTGAATATAGTAGCAGCTAATAAATTAACTTGCTTAAATTCATGCTTGGCCTGTTCATCACAAAGAAAAACTGGAATTTAGATCCAATGTGAAGGTTAGTTATGCAGATAAATTTGATTGATTCTGAAACAAATTGTGAGAAGAAAACGAACCTTCAACTTATCCAAGTTGACCTCATCTCTGGTCATATTTGCAAGACAGGGAAGGTAAAGGATGCCAGCTAATCTCTAGACAGGACTTTGGACTGACCATGGAAAGTTGGAGGTTTGCATAAAGATACCTTGAATGGAATAAATAATTTAGTGGAGATGTCCTTATCCCTTTCACATCAGTCCATCCTGCAGAACAAAGTATCACCTTCTTAGGTGTTCCAGAATTTAATAATTTGAGTCTGAATTGTTCTCCCTGGAACCCTACTGGTGCTCCTCTTTGGAGTAGAGCAGGACACCCTCCTTCCCTTTCAAGCCTTTCCCCCTCCCTTCTCTGTCAAAGTCCCTAGCTATGACTCTCAGATTATCAGACTACACAATTTACCACCCCTTCCCTGCCACTGTCACTCTACCTCATTCTTGGAAGATTTTAGTTCCTTGACCTCTCTCTCTTAAACCATGCTAGAATTTGCCAAGAAATATGTAAAATTATTGTTATATCAGCATGTGTTACGTATTTTTCTGTTCAATAAACATAAACATAACATCTCAGTAGAAAACAGAAACAAAAACTCTCACACTGTCATCTGTCCTGCATAGATGGGTGCAGGGTGAGGGTGGGCACATGTGTTTCCATGGTACTCTTTTTTTCTAGCTCTGCTTTTGCTGTTTGTTCAAGACAAAAGGCATGCTTTCACCTCAGGACCTTTGCACTTGTTGTTTCTGTCTTCCTGGAAGGCTCTTCATCATTATCTGCACCTGACTGACCTCCTTCACCTCTTTCAGGTTTTTGCTTAACTATTTCCTTCTCAGTGAGGTTTTCCAAACAGCTTTATTTAAAATTGCTTGCCTGCATTTCCAGTCTTCCTATTTCCCTCCACCACATTAGTTTTTTATAGCATTTATCACCAGGTAATGTAATATATATTTCAACTAGGTACTTGTTTGTAGCCTGCCTCTGAGGCAGATACATTTGTGTATTTTGTTCACTGCTATATCCTCAGTGCCTAGAATGGCTGGCACAAAACAGATAGGAAGTGACATACAGCATGCCCTCCAATAAGATCATTCAGTTCAATGGTGTTTCATTATAGCATTGATGGGAAAAAAAAAGAATTGGTTTCTCTATGGGTCATTTTGCTTAAAGTTGCAGTTTCCAAGAATCTTCACAATCTTAAGTGAGGACTTATTGTACTCATAACTATGTATTGAATTAATCAATTAACCTCATGAAGTAGGTACTATCTTTATTCTGATTGTACACATAAGGAAACTAAATTTTGAACCATGAAGTAACCTCTCCAAGAAACATTGGCTTGTAAGTGGTATTGGTTGGACCCAAATCAGTACCCAGACGCTGGGCAATTTGTACTCAGGGGTCTGCACTGCTTTGCTTTTCCTCTGTGAATTAAGTGGAGGACTTGTCTCCTAACTTTGTAAAGGAAGGCTGAAATTTGAGGTAGTAGATAAGAAGCTAAAGAATATTACATTATGGGCTTGAGCTGTTTCAATAGCTATTTGTCCAGCTACTAGGATTTTTAGTTAGACAATGAGAATCTGAAATATATTTTAACATTGTAACCTGAATATTGCAGAGGTACACAAGGTCCTGAGGAGGAAACATGCCCACTCTGCTCAAGGAAGAGCAAAGACTAAGTATGGGTGGCGGGGTGGCAGGGGTGGCAGCAGTGGTACAGAGAAGTGACATGCGCTTTGCACAAACCTATCAGAACAGATGCCGATTGGAGAAATTTTCATTTTGGTTTTTCACTGACTAATGCTGAGAATGAAGTCTTTATGGTTGAGGAAACAATGTAGCTTTTTGATTGTCCAAAATGGGAAACTGTAATTTTAGCTCACCATAACTATGGCTAAATGCATTGCAGGTTTTTTTTCGAGTTTTAATAATTCTTGGCAGTGTGATGATAATTTTGATGAAATAAAATGTTAAATTCTAAACCACACTGATGAGTTCATTCTATATGCAATAGGCGCATTACAGTAAACAGTTTACTAAACACCAGAAATAATGTAACACAGTTTGCCAATTACAGGCGGAAAATGTTATGATGATAGAAGACCAGTTTTGAAAAAAGTAGCAAAAAAATGATTATAAACAGTTTGGGTCACAGAGAAAATAATTTGATGTAAGTAGAATTTGGTAGATATTTCTATGAAGCATTAAGAACAGATTTAATTTGAATGCCAGCTGCAAGTTAGAAAAGCATCACTCCTATAGAGTGCAATGGTTCAGACATCCTGGAGTGTCATAGGTCTGGATACCTTCCCAGAGTAGAAGAGTAATTGACAGGTATCAGCCCATATGATGGATGAAGAGATGTTCCATACTTTGAAAGTGTTCACATTTTTTAAAAAAATGCCCAGAGGAAACTAATTTCAGCTTCAATAACATGCTGGTTCAAAGAGAATAAAATATTTTGAATATTAATATAAGAATACATGTTTCACTCTAGCAGATGAAATATTCTTTGCTCAAGGACAAAAGTCAAACCTTAACGTTGGTCCTCCAGAAAAGAAGAAAACTCTCAAGTGTAGCTGAGTGCTCTACTCTGCTGTAAGTGAAGTAGCTGAGCTTTGTAACTGAGAGAAGAAAAAAAGGTAATCAAAGTTATCCTGAGTTTTTAGGAACGAGGACTATAATAATATAATGGTATTCTTGGTAATGGAGAAAGCTACAGCAAGGAAGAGAGGAAGTCTTTCCCTTGATGTACTAAACTTAAAATGATGCAAACACTCTGATACAGGTGTTTTACCAGAAGACAAATCACAGAATATGAAAAAAGAGCAGTGTTGGTTTTGAAGAATATGAAACAGGTTTACAAATAAAAAACAAAGGGCAGATCCATGAGTAATTTTGCAGCAGGAAAAAATTGATATACATTACAATACACATTATTGAAACAATTGGTAAAATTTAAATATAAACACATTAGATAATAGTATCGTATCGATGTTAAATACTTAATTTTGACTATTGTATTATAGTCATGTAAGAGTGTCCTATTCTAGGAAATACACACTGAGGTATTTAGGTGAAAGAAGGATATTTGTACCTTACTCTTAAACGATGGCTCAGTGTGTGAGAGTGTGTGTGCCTGTGTGTGTGTGTGTCTGGAGACAGTGTGCACGTGTGAGCACAAATGATTAAGCAAATGAAGGCAAAATGTTACAACTGGTAAATCTGGATAAAAGTAAAATGCACACAGGACTTCTTTTTTACTATATTCATGCAAATTTTCTGTAAGTTAGCATTATACCAAAATAAGAAGTTACCAAAAAAAGATAACTCAAAAATATTCCCATGTAATTGGAAACAATATCATAAAATCATACATTACATTGGAATATTTTGGGTTAGTAGCATTATTAAATAACATGAATTTAAAAAGTAATGAAGAAACCAAAGAAATACATAGAACTGAATATAAATAAAATAACATGAAAAAAATACGTTGAAAAGGAGAAAGCAGTCCTTAGAAGGAAATTTACAGCTCTTTAAAATCAACATGTCAGGAAACAAGAAAGCTTATCACCAAGCCAGCAGGGAATTTACCATTTTTTTTCCTTCTCGTTCTTCTGCCACTTGGCTGTAGATTAGAGTGTAGCCATGGAAGTGCCCCAACTTTCTGGATGTAGGATCAGAAAAGGGAGTTCCAGGAAGGTAGAAAGTACCAGGGAAATCAGAAGAGGAATGAGCCCAGGAAAGTGAGCCCCTAAAGTTGTTTATGAACCTCTAAGCTCCCCCTTGAGCTGCACATGCTGGGTCTGAGCCTAGTCAGCACATAAAAGACTTTGAGAATTGAACTAACAGATCATCAGATCCTAGACTGGCCAATGCCTGGAGCATATGAAACAGATCCAAGTAGCAGTCCGAAACCATCAAACCACAGCACACAGAAAGTGTGTTAAAACTGGTCACCAGAACGTAACCCGATTGTCTATTAAAATTAAAATATCAACATTTGCCACAGGATTTAAACAAGACCCAGGGTATTATAACATAATATTTAAAATGTTCAAGATGCAATCCAAAATAATTCAGCATACAAAGACCCAGGAAATCTCAACTCACGTATGAAAAAACAATCAACAGATGGCAACATTGAGATGACAATGATGTTGGAATTAAGTAAAAAGACTTAGAGGCAACTATTATAAATTCTCCAACAAGCAATTATGAACACTCTTAAATCGAAAAATAGGAAGTCTTAGCAAAGAAATAGAAGATATAAAGAAAAATACAATGAAAAAATTTAAAACTGAAAAATACAAGTGAAACAAAAAAACTCACTGGACAGGCTAAATGGCAGGGTGGAAACGACAAAAGAACAAGTCAGTGAATTGTAGAGAATCAATAGAGACTATTTCATCTGAACAACACAGAGAAAATATTTTAAAAAATGAAAAGACTTATGGTCCTATGACATAATTTTTAAAAAACTCAACGTTCCTGTCATTGGAATCTCAACAAAGGAGAAATAGTATGCTGTTGAAAAAAAATGTGAAAAAAATAATAGCTGAAAGCTTCCCAAATTTAGAGAAAGATATAAATAAACCTATGTATTTAAGAAGCTCGGCAATCCCCAAACAGTATAAGCAATGAAATCCCTACTCAGAAAACACCATAATCAAAATGCTGAAAACTAAAGACAAAGAAAAAAATCTTGAAAGTATCTAGGAAAAAATAATTACATGAACAGGAATAATTTTCGTTTTACAATAATATTGGATTTATGGAAGAGTTGTCAAGATAACACAGAGTGTTTCCAGAAACTCTTCACCCAGTTTCCTCGATGTTAACCCAAAAGGCAATGAGGAAATCTAAATGACCAGGTTCCAGAGGAAGAAGAAACAAGTGTCTGGTGCCCAGAGACGACCAGATGCCCCACCAGTTCTGATCCATAGGAGAATGATCGTTCCACATGGCCAACTCCATCCTCATGCAGCAATTCCTCCACAAGCACAAGACAAGCTTGTCCTGATGTTCCTTGCCCTGGCAGATGTTCAGGACCTTCCTTTGATTCAACCCCTCCACCTAAATGGCCCAAGCTTTCGGGGCTGTCATTGTGAAGACCCCTTCCTATAAACCACAAGGCCCTACAGGTGCTGGACACTGTTGTTCTCACAAACACATCTCATGTCCACTTTTGCAGAGACTGAGGTACTTCAAGCTCCTTCCACCCTTGCATTCACTTTGTTCCTGTCTCTGTCTTGAAATGCTATTTCTTCCCCCTCTTTGCGAATCTCTCCCTCATCTTTCAGGTCTTAAATGTATGCCTTTGAAGAAGCTTTCACTGATTTCCCAGGCAAAATTAATTCCTCCTGTTCCTCTTTTTCATCACATTCTGTGTTTTTTAACTTTCTATAAAAACACTTATTGCAATGTGCAATTGTGTAACGATGTGATTATTTGTTGAATGTGCACATCAGTATCTCCATGATGACACGGATTGGATCGGGTTTTTGTTCATTTGCTGTATCAAGTGTTCTCAGAGTCACAGGGGGAAGGTGGTTATGGCATTGGGTGTGACACTTTTCCTTGCACAGATGTATTAGATTTTGTTCAGTAACAAAGCATAAAACCCAACCTCCCAGTGGCTTATAAAACAAACATTTACTTCTCAGTCATAGGTCTGTGGGTGAGTTGTCTTCTCTCTAGGCTTGGCTGTGCTCAGGTTTTGGGTTGGCTTCATTCTCAGGTCTGTTTGTCATTCAAGGGCCCAAGCTGAAGAGGGGGTTGTGGCCTAACCATGGTCGTGTTGTGCTGGACGTCACAGCAGAGGAGGAGGCGCAGAACAAAGGCTGCTCTCAAAACCTCTACTCAGACCCGGCCCACTCTCATCTGCTGGTATCCTGCTGTTTCAAAACCAGCCAGAGGGCCCAAGGTCAACATGAGGGAGAAATCAACCTCCCCCGCCTGTGAGACATAATGTTTCCAAACGGTCCCTTACTGGGCTGCTCTGTAACCACATCAGACCCTGGCACCCGGGACTGCACACTGCGGGCCCCATGGCCTGGGCCTCACAATTCTTAGAAACAGGTTCCACTCAGGAGGCCATGGGTGTCCCAAGTGAGGAACAACGTGCTCCAAATGTCACCCATCAGAGTTGTCGGAAAAGGAGGAAAACTTTGTCAAGGACCTTGGGTCAGTGCATTTCAGGAAAGCCCTGCCCCCGCGTTGACGCCACAGTGTACTTTTACAAAGCCCCTTAGTATCAAATTCAAGGTTGTCACTTACTGTCCGCTGATGTTTATTGAAAGCCTCTTGGGTGCTGGGAAGTGCACTTTTGGGTGGCGACACAGGCGAGAAGCCAGGCTTGGGTCAGGCCTTTCCTTTGTGGTTTCCCATCCCTCCACCTTCCCACAGAGTTGTCCCTTTAATTTAGACTCATCCCCACAACCCCTGTGAACCAGCAAGGGACAGCCAGGCAGAGCCCAGGTGACATGAACATAAAACAAATGAGACAAGAGGATTCATTGATACAAAACCAGGATGTCAGGAACCGTCACTTGAGAAATGCATTCTAGTGCTTTAGAACTCTTGTGAATTATGTTATCGGGTTAGTGGAAACGTGGGAAGTCTTTTCCTAGCCATATGCGAAAAGATTGTCTTTACACAGTAGGCAGACCAAAAATACACGCAGAATGAGTGGGAAACCCCATATGTGGTATGGGAGAAGGGGGAGCGCCAGCAGCAGATGCGCCATGACTTGAGTACTGGCCGTGTCCACACATTGTGCTAACTGCAGTGGCTGCTTTACTGCTTGGTGACGCAACCCTATGACAGAGTACTATTATTATCCCCCTATAAACACACAGCATCCACAGGATTGAAATGCAACTTCAAGAGCTACGCAAACAAGAATAAAGCGAGTACACGGTATCATGTCTGATGAGTGTGAACTTTCGTGGCAGAAGACTTGGTTCTGGTTCTGTCCAGGCCACTGGAACCCACTATCTGTGGGTGCAGGTGATTTTCCATCATGGAGCTAATACCTTAGCTGGGCATTATTTCACTTAATCCTTACAAGTGCCTTATTAGGTGCTTTCCATAGCTCTCCTTCAGCTGAGGTTTAGAGAAGTTAAACAATTTACCCAATATGTGAACTGGATATGTCTGACTCTACAACCGGTCTCTTCCATCCTATTTCCTCCATATAAGCCGTAACTTGGGTGCTTTTGTGAACATCAAAAAAGATGCGTATAAAGTCGCCTTGGGGAACGTTAAACCAAAGTCAATTAACATTACAAAATCAACTGAGGCCATATAGAACTTCCTTTAGAAAATTAACACATCCAATCATCATATTATTTCCCAAATGTTTACTTAGGTGCCTGTTGCAAGCACTATCTTATGTCATCTTCAATAAGCCCAAGAGGAAGCTTCTGCTCTAATCTTTAGATATTAAATTACGCGTTTCGGGGAAACTTCGCGTGTGAGGTAAAGCAACATGAGCGACTCTAAGGCGGCGCGGCATTGCTGTCCGGCCTCCTGCATCTCGGTGAGCAGAAAACGCGGGAGCGGGAGGGACTTCCCAGCTCCCGACGCCAGACACAGGCACAGCCGCCGCGTCAGAGGGAAGGCGACGTGGTTCAACAGCAACGGAGCCATTACTGGCGCTGAGCAGGGATGTTAAGGACAGAGCCAAGTTATCAGAGCTCTCCGAATCGAGTCCAGGGTCTGGACTGCCACAGACGGGTCGCCGCCTCCAGCCCCTGGACTTTTCCTTGGAGTGTCCGGGCGCGGACCTACTAGCTCCGAAGCCCTATGGGTGATCCCTTTCTGCTGGGCAACTGGGGTTGCGCTTTACACTACAAATCGAAGACGTCGCTTTTTCCATTTGTTCTGCAAGTGTTTATTGTGCACCGTCCACTCCCCCACAAACTCAATGTGCCGGCGGCAAGAGGCAAGACCGCAGACCCGTGGGCGCGCCTCCCGGTGTCGGCCGGTGTGCGCGGAGGGCGAAAGTGGCCGGGGCGCCCGCTCCGAGACGCGGCAGAGCCCCGCAGCCTCAGCGCCCGGCCTGCGCGCGCCCGGGGGAGGCTCTGGCCCACGCACATGCACACGCACGGGAGCGCTGGCTCCCGCGTCCCCGGCGCTGCGCCGGCGCCGGGCGCGGGCGGAAGCCCACGAACCAGGGCGGGAGGGAGCTTGAGGCGGGGCGGGTGTCCGCGAGCAGCGCTCGTGCTTAAGTTCCCTGGCTCCCGAAGCCCCGCCCTTGCCCCGCCCACTCCTTCTCCCGCGCGCGGGCTCCGCGCGCCCCAAGCCGCGCGCGTGCGCGCGCGTGCGCAGGCCAGGGCCCTCCGGGGGCGGCCCCGTAGTCTCCAACGAAAGCGTCGGCAAGGGCCCGGATTAACCCTTTCTTTGCTCGCCCACTTAGAGACCCGGTCGGGTTCCGTGCCTGCGCAAGCCGGCGGCGCGCCTTCCCCCCAGCCCGCACCGCGCATGCACGGGAAGGGGGGGGCGGTGGGGGTGTTCACGGCCGGCTAGACATTCTGTGCTCGTGCAGGAGGAGGGCTGCTACCATCAGGGACGTGCACGATTTCCCCCACCCCGCCCCCTCCCCAAACTCCAAAAAAAAATCCAAAACACACTGCCACCCACCGTGCCCCCGCGCCCCGAGCCCCTCCGGTCCCGGCCTGCGTTTGCTAGCGAGCGCGGGGAACCCACGGCAGTGTCTGTGCCTGTGCCAGGCTGCAGGTAAGCGCGGGCCAGGGTGCGGAAGGGGCTGGGGCCGTCCGCAAGGCGGGCGCGGGGGCGGCCGGCGGCTGGCGGGGCGGCCCGGAAGACGCGCGTTCTCGCCGAGCTCTGGGGCACCAGCCAGCTCCAGGATGTGCGGCGGCCGCCAGCGGCGCGGCGCGGTGCGAGCGGGGACGGGCGTGGGCCAGGGTTGGGCGTGGGGCCGGGGCGCCCCGGGGGCCGCGCGGGCCGGCGAGCGGGCTCGGGGAGCGGCCAGGCGGCGGCGGCCCCGCGCGCGCGCTCGCAGAGCCTCGGCGGCCGAGTTCATGGCCGCCCCCGCTCGCACCGCCGCAGTGCACCGCGGTGGGGGTGGGGACGGCCCGAACCCAGCGCGGAGCGCGGCCCGCCGGGCGCCGCCCCTCCGAGCCGCGGGCCCCGCCGCGCCGCCTACAGCCGCCGGCGGAGGAGGGGGCCGGGACCCAGCGCACGCACTCCCGGGTGCGCCCGCGGAGCTTGGGTTAGCCGGCCGCGCGCCGCCCCCGCCCCCGGCCGCGGGAGGGCGGGGGAGGGCCCGGCGCGAGCTGGCCGGGGAGTGCGCGGGGCGCGAGCTCCGGGCTCGCGGGCGGAGCGGGGCGCGGCGCGGCGCGGGGCTGCGGAGCCGGCCGCACGCCCGCTCCCGCTCGTCGCGCCGCCGGGGCCGCCGCGGGCCGCAGTCCCTCCCTGCGCGCTCCGAGCCGCGGTCCCAAGCCTGCGCTCGACGTCTGATTATGAAAGGGAAAGTGGCCCTTTCACCACCTGGCTCCCAGGCTGGGAGCTTTTGTCTGGGAAGGAGTGCAAACGGCCTCCTCCACTCCCCACCTCCCAGGCCCAAAGAAATTGAGAGGGAGGACTCGATACGCCTTGAGGGCTTCTTGGGTCTGCGCTTGGCTCCCTGCTTCCTCCCGACTCCGAAGTTGCAAGCTTGCAACAAGGAAGTCGTGCAGCCGCCATTGTCGGGCTGCCCGGGGCAGGGGAGGCGGCTGCAGCTGCTTATGTAAGTTTTTGGCTTTGCGGGAAGCCCGGCTCCCTGCACTGTAACGCGGCTTAGCGCGCCCGCAGTTTGGAGAGCAATTAGGAAGGGGCAGCCTTATTATGAAGGTGGTGTTGGGGCTACGTCTTTTCCTACACCTGCCTACACAGATGCTGGCAACAGCTGTCTTCCAGTTTTGACTCACCTGAACTGAGCAATTGGACATCTCAATGGCAAGGGGGGCGGGGCGGGGAGGAGGCGGCTTTGGACACACATGGTCTCTCTTCCAGGTCTCATACATCTTGAGAGAGAGAGGGGAGAGGGGCGAGTGGCCAAGTACACACTAGCCAAAACAACAACAACACATTGATATGTTGTCATAGCTAGTCTAAGGCCACTCCTCTCTCTGGTCCCATGCACTTTTATCCCACAAGCCCTAGGACGAGTTAGTGACAACAGTAGTAAGTGTCACAGTGTAAGGTTTTTGCTGGGCTGCCTAGCCTCTGGATGATTACAGGCCTGGGTGCTTCTAGGGAATAGAGAGGCAGAAACACGTAGAATGATCAAGTCAGAATCATCTTTTGGAAATGTTGCCTAACCTCAAACTTCAGATGAGACATCCCGCTTCTACGCTGGGTAGCTCGGTGTGTTCACTTTTCTTTAGAAGGAGCTTATTATGGGTTTCAAGGTGTTGGTCTCCAGGTTGGAGTCTTGTTCCATGGTTTTTGTGTAAGACTGTTACAGCCCAGTCCTTTGCTCCTACCACACCAAACAACTTATCTGTGTGGTCACTGTTCAGTAGAGGAAACTTTTTGTTTTTCAGGATATGGGTCTGCAGGATGGAGTTCTTCCGGTAAGAGTTAAAACTCACAAAAAAGCTGAAATTCTTTCACCCTTATTGTAGGGATAGAGGTAAAAACACCTGGATTTATCAAATACAATCTTAAAAACAAACGTGTATGCTATTAATACATCACACAGGTGCAGAAAGAAAAAGCAATCATTGTTCCCTCTCCTCCCATGTTACCTGTTGGGTTTATGTACTTCTATAGCTTTATTTGTAAGGTATATACTTCTATAGGTTTGTATGAGCCGAGAGAAAAATGTAGAGGGCTAACATACCCAGCGGGAAATGGGATAGGTGTAGGGGGCACGGTGCACTTGTTTTTTTCTATATCTGTGTAGCCATCAATCTCTGTACAAATATGGACATGAGCTTAGTGTGTGAGGAGAAATCCCTTAATGGTTCTCCAACCCCTCCTTCCAGTTCCTAGGGCACAGCCCCTTTATGCCCGAGTGCTACAGCCCTTATCTGTTCTAGTCCATATCTGTTCAGAACTGCACTTGATGTACCAGCTACCTACCTGCCACTCTCCCCAACCTGAAAATGCACAAAAGAGGGAACAAGAAAGTTTATTTTTAAAAAATCAATTCTTGGTTTAGGATTTGGGATACAGGAAGATCCTACCTCATTCTTGTTTATCCTTTCCTCTGTAGGTCTGGCGTGCTCCTGATCAGAGTTACTCTGATCTGAAGATTTTGGCGTTCAAGGCATTAAGATAATAGCCTGAGTTGTTCATGGTAACTATAACTTTGGATATTAAATCTTGATGAAAATGACTTGGCATTTGCTTTAAAATATATATACCAATTCTGATTGTGCATGAACACTTCTATTTGTCTGGGGGAAAATATTAGCCGAATAAAAGTAAAACAATGTTTTTAAAAAGGAAACATAGAGAATGCTTTAAGATGACCAGTTTTTTAACATGATGACAGAGATCTTTCATGCCAGTTCCAAATTTTTGCTTATAAAATACTCTCAGCACTTATCAAGTACTTACATCTGGTGTTGATGGCACTTTTATCTGGATGCAGGTAGATTGGCATCTAGAGAGAACAAAGCCACTTCCCAAATGTCATCTCATTCTCTTAAGGTCAGATTAAACCTTGACCTTCATTTAGAAGTGGCCCAAAAGTGCTGTGGAAAATCTAGAACACAACACTCAATGGGATATTTTGGCAGTAATGTTCCTCTCTAGTTCTGCAATAGTAATTTGTTCCTTCTGTCAAGGAGGTATAACATAATTATTTTGCTGAATCCTCCATAGAGTAGATGGAATAAGAGTAGGTGCAACAGAGAGGACTAGAGGATTGTTCCCTTGAACCTGTTTCTTAAAACTTGAGTTTGAGTTATTTGATTATCTCTAGTCAGGAAGCACTGGTTTTGCAGCCAGATTGTCTGCATTTAAGTCCCAGCTCTTCACTAAATAGCTATAGAATATTGGGCAGATTTCTAACTTTGTCTCTAAAATAAGGATAGTGATACGTACTCATGAGGTTACCTGAATATTAAATTAATTAAAACATGTAAAGCACATAGAACAATGCCTGGGATATAACTAGGCAAATACTTAGTAAATTGAAGATGAACAGGAGTAACAATATGGAGATCCTTGAGTTGGGATCAGTCTTTTCTACCCATATTCAAAGACCACTCTTAACATTGACTTTCTGAAATTGTTAGGTTCCATAGATTGACCAGGAAATGAAAATGTGACTGTGTTCTCTATATGGAAAAGTACTATTTATAATTACTAAACTTTTTTTTTTTTTGTAGGAGTTTTTCATCAGTATGTCTGAAACCATTAAATATAATGACGATGATCATAAAACTCTGTTTCTGAAAACACTAAATGAACAACGCCTGGAAGGAGAATTTTGTGATATTGCTATTGTGGTTGAGGATGTGAAATTCAGAGCACACAGATGTGTTCTTGCTGCCTGCAGCACTTACTTTAAAAAGCTTTTCAAGAAGCTTGAGGTTGATAGTTCTTCGGTCATAGAAATAGATTTTCTTCGTTCTGATATATTTGAAGAGGTCCTGAACTACATGTACACAGCAAAGATTTCCGTGAAAAAAGAAGATGTTAACTTAATGATGTCATCGGGTCAGATTCTTGGTATCCGATTTTTGGATAAACTGTGTTCTCAGAAGCGTGATGTGTCCAGTCCCGATGAAAACAATGGTCAGTCCAAAAGTAAGTATTGCCTTAAAATAAATCGCCCCATTGGAGATGCTGCTGACACCCAGGATGATGATGTAGAGGAAATCGGGGATCAGGATGACAGTCCTTCTGATGACACAGTAGAAGGCACACCCCCGAGTCAGGAGGACGGCAAGTCGCCCACCACAACGCTCAGGGTTCAGGAAGCGATCCTGAAAGAGCTGGGGAGTGAGGAAGTTCGGAAGGTCAATTGCTACGGCCAGGAAGTAGAATCCATGGAGACCCCAGAATCAAAAGACTTGGGGTCCCAGACCCCTCAAGCCTTAACATTTAATGATGGGATGAGTGAAGTGAAAGATGAACAGACACCAGGCTGGACAACAGCCGCCAGTGACATGAAGTTTGAGTATTTGCTTTATGGTCACCATCGGGAGCAGATTGCCTGCCAGGCGTGTGGGAAGACGTTTTCTGATGAAGGCAGATTGAGGAAGCATGAGAAACTCCACACGGCGGACAGGCCATTTGTTTGTGAAATGTGCACAAAAGGTTTCACCACACAGGCCCACCTGAAAGAACACCTAAAAATCCACACAGGATATAAGCCCTATAGCTGTGAGGTGTGTGGAAAATCATTTATCCGTGCCCCAGACTTAAAGAAGCATGAGAGAGTTCACAGTAATGAAAGACCGTTTGCGTGCCACATGTGTGACAAAGCCTTCAAACACAAGTCTCACCTCAAGGATCATGAAAGAAGACACAGAGGGGAAAAGCCTTTTGTGTGTGGCTCCTGCACCAAGGCATTTGCCAAGGCATCTGATCTGAAAAGGCACGAGAACAATATGCACAGTGAAAGGAAGCAGGTTACCCCCAGTGCCATCCAGAGCGAGACAGAACAGTTGCAGGCGGCAGCGATGGCTGCGGAAGCAGAACAGCAGCTGGAGACGATAGCCTGTAGCTAGAGGCGGTGGGACAGGGACACTTTGCCTGGAAAGTGGAGACTGAGATGACGTGGATCATAATGAGTGAATGCCAGTTACAATATTTTTGTGGAAACGTATGGAACATTGTACTCACTGGACTTAAGGCAGTGCTTGGTTAGCTATTTTTAAGACTTTTCAAGGAAATGGTGTTCCTCAGTTCTGACCAAACCGTTTCACTGTCTTGTCTGGTGTCTAGTATTAATGTTGCCCAGTAAGCACCTCTCTCCCTTTTTTTTTTTTATTATTTTAATTTGAGAACTCCTGTGTCCAGTTTAGAAGTGAGAGACTTCCATTTTTAGTTCCTTTACACTCACCACCCTAGCAAGTGCCCTGCACAGAGTAATAAGTAAATTGATTTCCTAATCACAATTCTATGTGACTTATGGTCAAAAGAGCAGTTTTAATAACTTTAAAAGTACTTCAGATAGACGCAGAAAATTGGTGAGTGGTTGACCAAGAACACTGCACAAATATAAAAAAAGTTCTGGAAATGCAGAATGGCGTTAGATTTATATTTGGTTTGTTAATTTTATATCACTGTTTTTCACTGTTTTTGTGGACAAATAATGGTTGCTTTGCTGAAGTGTTCTTCCTCAATCTTGATTGCCCTGTACCTACCCAAAAGCTGTAGTCACACATCCTAAAGGCCAAGCAAACCCACCGGGATGGTGGGGGGTCTTGGAGCCAAGCTCTTAGGTTCCTCTTATTTGGGGCAGTACCAGTCCATACCAGCTGCGATTTGTGAGTGGACCTGTGGTAAGAAGAATAGAAAAGGCTCTCAGAGATAAGGTTTTTTACATGTGTAACAATCCCAAGATTTCCTAGATTAAAATCTTAATTGATTTTGAAATTGGATTTTTATTTAGAATCAAAATTAGGACAAGAACAGATAACTTCTTCAGATACATTTGTGTAACTTTACAGAATGTCATCAAGCTTTGGGGCTCTGTGGGGCACATGATTTATCCATAAAGGAGATGCAGTATGCTTACTTAAATTAATAAATTTAAAATCTTTTAAGTGTGTAAATAGTAGTGTTGGTCTTACGTATTTCAAGTAAAAAGTAGACAGCTGCACTTTTTTTGCACATTGGATTAAAATAACTTCCATCAGCAACAAACATCAGACTGTTTTTAACAAATATTAAAGATTGTCAGACCAAATGTTTATGTTTTCGAAATATATTTCATCACTGGTTACAGTTTTAAATAGAAGTTGATTGCCTTTTCATAGCCGTAAATGAGAATTATAAACTCTATTCCAGTTTTGGTATACTAAATGTTCTTTTAACCATCTTTAGGAATATATTGAAATGCCAACAATAGTTTGAATTGTGTTCTGTAAAAAAGTATTAGTCAATTATTTTTCAAAATGTAGAATTGTAGAAAATGTCAATTTTTCAAACTCATTTTTCATTGCTAGGATTTCTTTTAAAAAAATTAAAGTAATTTCACTTCATAGCTTGTTGCATTAACACCTGTAATTCTATTGTGAAAGAAATTTGATTTTTTAATTGGTGTGTGTTATGCCCAAGATGTTAGGATGAAGATGCTACCTTTTTAAAAATTTTAGTTATTGGTAAAATGTTTAATTTTACTTAAAATTAATTTCTTTTCTTGAAAGTTGTTTATTCTGTTCTAAAAGTAGTCCTGTCACTGTGTTTTTATGCTACTTATAGAAGGGGAACTGATTGCCGTTCCTAGGCTGTTTTAACCAAAGCAAAGGAAAAATAATTTTAACATCTTGTCAATAGCTACTTCAACAAACCATATTTTGGGACTTCATTTTTTGTATATAAAAGAAAATATACTTCTATCATTCCTCTTTTCATTTTTTCATAGCAACCTTCCACATACCTAGATTTCTACCAAAATGTATTTTGTATGCTAGCTTCATCCTGGCTTTACAGAGTTGAAGTTAAACATGTGATATTAACCTCCTTTGAAACCACATAGTCATGGTGGTAACCCCCAAAAAGAAAGGTTAATTTTCAGCAGTCTATGTGATGCAAATATTTATCATTTAGCCTATTTTGCATGAGAAATGTATTTGTGTTATTTCTGCCACTGGTACTGGGTTTACACGTGTGTTAGGGCACCTGTTTCCTTTATATATTTTTGGTGGCAGCAGAATCCTATCATGGCAGCTCTCCTGTCTGCTGGGTCCTGGTCAGTAACACTGCCTCTCTACACCTGGCTGGATTTGGTAGTCCTCTGCATAGTGGAGCCATCGTGTTAGAGTCTTCAAGTTACCTCCAACACCCTAGGGAGTTAATTCTGAAATGTGGTTACTCTGAATCTGTAATGTAAGAGGAAGGTCAAGGCTAAGTGTCAACATTACTACCTTTTCATTACTTACAAATCATTGACTTTTTTCTGTTTTTACAGAGAATGCTACAAACTTGATGTTAGCTTTTGTGCTTAATTTGCATTGTATTGGCACTGATTGAGGAAGAGAAATTTAGGAAGTTTAAATGTAAAGTAATTTGCCGGCCATTAACTTGATCACTAATTTAGAATTGTTAGAAAATACAGAGGTCGCCATCAAGTGAGGTTGACACTAACAAATTCACCCTATTTTGTTAGGAAAAAAAAGACAAGATGAGGGAAAATGATGCAAATTTATGTAGTTTCCAACTTAATGGGTTATTTTGTGTAGTTATCTGTAAGTCATTTGGAAGGTGGGATTCATTGTCACATAGTAATGCTATTAGTGGTGTTTTGTTCTCAGGATTAGCAAGCCTTAGGGTGCAATTGTAGTAGAGCTGGCACATAGTAAGGATTGTGGTGCAGGGTTGAGTCCTAGGCGGAGGCAGAGAACTGTTACAGCAAAGAGAACGGAAAGCTCTCACTCCCTTTGAAGTCTGTCTCCATTTTTGCTTACCCTCTTGTAACTGGAGCTCTTTCCCCCTGGGAACTATTTATAATAGGGTTAATCCTGCATCTACTTAAGGTATGTAAAGATAGCATGTTGCCTACTTGTGTTGAGCATCATATGCGAGGCACTGGGCTGGACCCTGGAGATGCAAAGGCAGAAGCAGTTTGGTCCCTGGCTGTTAGAGTGAGTGTGCCCCTTCCCAGTCTGGTCTTACATGTTCTTTTTGAAAATGTTTTTCCATCACCTGTTATCCATGATTCCTTAAAGGTTGCCATACTGATCTCATCTTAGGGGCCCTGGGTGTAATTTATCTGGATTGTGACAGATTTTAGCAGTTGGGTGTTTTCATGATCTCTTCAAAAGATGTTCCCACCTACCAATACTCATTTAAATCTTTTCAGTATAACGAGGAGGTGAGGTTTAGTGGAAAGACTTTACAAGACAAACTTAGATTTGGATCCTGGTTTTGCCTCTCAGTAACTGCAAATTCAGACAAGTTCTTAACTGCCTTCAGCCTGAGTTTCACCATCTCTAAAATACTGGTATTTCTGCCTCACAGCCTGCTGAGGATTAATGTGATGGCCAGGAAAAAACATTAACCCCAGCATCGACACTTTTTAGGTTCACTGTAAATGTTCCCCGCTTCCTAAAGAGCATTCCCAATGGAGTAGACAGAAGCTGAGAAGCATCTCTCAGTTCTACAATCATTGGCCCTCAGCTGTAGACCTAGACCTCATTAAGTGTTATTAACTGAAAATGTCTACACTGTGTTTGTCTTAGTATTTCTGTAAGCTTCGGTCCATTTGTGGCTCTGGTCTTACAAACTTGTATATTTGTCTAAATGTTGTCTTTGATTTTGTAATTTCCCATCGTGTACATTTTAAAGTAAATCATTGGAATGTAGTCGGTGTAAACACTGGCCTCTCTGGATGGCTCCCTTCTCTTCTTTGGGAACATCTGTGATGGCAGAACCAGAATGGCAGAACCAGAATTGCAATTTTGAGAGCTGGCTTTTGAATCTCATACATGAAATCATACATTAAGATATTTTTGCAGTATGCTTTTCTAAAATTGGGTGCATTTCAGGCTGCACCCAACTGTTCCCTTTCTAGTTAATTCCAAGATGATCTGTTGCTTTCTCCCCAGAGGGGCCTAGACTACATCCATTAATTCCATTTTTTTTCCCTTTAGTTCCAGAATAACAGTTTGCTGAGTCACTCTGCTCTTCTTTGGGGGATATTTCTACTAACCTTACACATAAGTACTTTTTATAGCCTAAGATTAAAGTATGTCAGTCATTGAATGCCTTGTATGTGCCTGGCATTTGACTATGTGCTGGGAATGCAACAGTGAGCAAGACCAGCACCATTCCTGCCCTTCTGGAGTTATCCAGTGTGGGATGCTTATCTTTCCAAGTTTTACAACATTTTACAAGGATTTACAAATAATGTAATGATCACAAATAGGCAAACTGCTATTTTAAAAAAAAATCTGCCATGTTATGTATTTTAATCCAGTTCATGGAACATACTTTAGAAAGTAGGAATTTTTAATAAGTTGTCATGGGTTAGTGGTTAGTGGTGCCAACATAAACATTCTTAAATGACTTGGGAATGTATACTGAGAAAATAATATCTATTAATTATTGCCATTTCCATAGAATGATTCTCATTTTCCCTGATACTGGATTTCAACAAGAGGAATAGTAATAAGAGGCTAAGATATATTTCTTTAAAATAATAGATGCTTGCATCAAGAAAGATACTGATGCAAATAAAATGAGAGGAGTAAAGAATGATAACCTGGGCTCCAGTGACTTTGGGCAAGGATGGTAATGAGGGTTTGAGGGAGGAAGCACCATGAGCAAATAGAGTATGCCCAGTAGTGTCTGAGACTGCAGATGTTCCCTTAGTGCCCACTGACCAGTTAAGGTTGACAGTCTTGATAGGATAACAAGCAAGCTAATGGAAATCTGAAAAGAAAAAATATGTCTTCTGATGGTTTTAGATCAGCTGCTGCTTGTCATGTTGATGGAGTTTTGAGAAAGCGTTCTATGCTATTAAACTCACTTGGAATTGACTCATTTTCTGTGTTCAGCTGAAAGGCAGGAGCTTCGTATGGTCATTTTTTTTTTTTTTCTACTGACTTTGAACTTCAGTCACAGGAGAGATAGTCAAGGGGTTAGGATTTTAATGATAAAACCTAGTATATGTTGAATATTTGCCAGGTTTGGCACTATATACACAATCACTATGTTTTATGACAAGTCTGAGGTAGGTACTCATTACCACTAGTGAAGACACCAAGATTCAAAGAAGTTAAAAATCCTGCCCAATATCAGTCTTATCAGAGCTGGGACAGGAAAGCAGGTCCATCTGCCTCCAGAGCCTGTGCCCTTAGTGACCGTGTTGTTGGCCTCAAGCCACAAAATGTGCAGCTGTGGCCCCACACACATCCTTACTGAGTTCAGACCGCTGTTTGGCAGATGGCAAACACTCTTCTCACTGGAGAAGAGAGAGGCATTTATGCAGACAGCTGTCTCTATGTCTCTGTGCTAAATTGGTCCTTACATTTTTATTTCTCCAAAATGTCTCCCATGCAGGGTACTAATCCTAAACCAATATTGTTTTACCTTGCTTCAGGTGTACAGGCTGCCCCCACGTGATACGAAAAATAAACTGCCGGTAGAATGTCACAGATAATTGCAATATAACACAAAGCTACCAGTTAGCCTTCTTCACATGTTCCATTATGTGGCGAGCCAAGCAAAACCCACAAGACCGAAGGCCATCTAGTCGGGGGCCTATGTAAAAATGGTCTTCTGTGTTAGGAGATCTCCCTATCTATACTCTCCTCTCCTTGCCGCCTTTCTCTCTCTGAAAGGTGTTAGAAAACTTGGATTCAGATTCTGCCTCCACTATTTTCAGGCTATGTCACCACCTTAGGCTGGTTGCATAATCGTTCGTAATTTCTGCCAAAATGCAAATGATTCACTGCCCCATGTACACCATTCTTGCTTATTATTCCAAAAGATAAACTCACTTTAAGGGATAGATAAGAAGTTCAGCCTTAAAATCAGATATAATTGATTTAAAATATTACTGACTTCAAATAGGACGGAGATGTCTAGAAGTTTGACATTTGGGAAACAGTATTACATTTCATTCTTAGGCTGTTTACATTTAATTTAATTTAAAGTATGTGTAATGTTTTGGCTATTCTGTTTCTGTAATCTTCCAGCCAATACAAAACAGGAAATATTAACCAGATTGGAAGGCTACTGGATCAATTGGCATTAGTGTAAACAAGATTACATTTAATAGTCTTGATACCCTGTAATAAAATGTGGGATTGAGAAAAGAGAAATGAAAAACAGTAGGGGTAAATTAATTTTGGGTGGTATATAATCATTATTTTCCCAAACTTCTGGGAGTTACAAAATCATAGGACTTTAAAAAAAAATACATTATGTACAGAAAACAATTTTAACTTTGGTGATACAGTAGAACTGAACTGTATACTAATTAAACTCTGACATCTACAGAGTGCTTTACAGTATACATTATTAAGGTAGCTTACAATATTATGAATAGGTATTACTATTCTCATTTTACAAACTGAAAAAAAAAGAGCTCAAACCTAGGTTCTGTGATTCTGGTGTCTGAATTACAAGCAGCCTGAAATAGAATCCTAAATTGCATATAGGATCTATTTATTTCATTTATATAAAGCTTTTGGCTCTTTCTAAAATTATAAAAGATTAAGATTTGAAAGACTGCATTTAAAACTCCTAAGTTCCTAAATTTGCTTTTTTTATTTTTTTACTATATATTACTGTTATTGTCTTCCAGTATCCATACTACCCTTGTTCTGCTGCATTTTAAATTTGGCATTGTACTTCTGACTCTAAAATCTCAGATCAGGTTTTTTTTTTTTTTTCCTACTGCAAAACTTTGAAAATATTTGTATTGGTAAAAAAGCCAGTGTAGTGATTTAGAATATGGGCTCTGGATTCAGACTGCGTGGGTGTGAGTTCCAGTTCTACCACTACCTGGTTGGCCTTGGGCAAGTTATTGAGCCTTTCTAAGTTTCATTTTCTCATCTGTAAAATGTGATAATAATGTTGCGAGAATTATGTGAGACAAGCTATAGAAAGTTCTTATATATGACCTTATAATTGTGTTATTTCTACCAATCAAGTAAAAGGTAATAACACTTTGATTTCAGTCACCACTCACCATTTAGCTTGCTTATAAGAACTTTGACTAACTGATTTCACCTTCATGAATCATTTCCTTGTTTTAAAGGAGGTGATTGCACTTGGTGGTCTTTAAGGTTATTTCAGGATTCAATTCTATTATTCTGTAATTAATTAGTTGGAGTAACACACCAAAAGCGCTTTTAATGTAATTACTTGAAGTTTTTCGTGCATCTAACACCAAATGAGCACTAAAGGTGATCACAAGATGCAGGTTCCTCAGTACCTTGAGAGGTCACAGGAGAGGGATGTTCAGAGACTGGTCATCATCTCTCAAGCTTTGCCAGAGTTTAAAGTGGGAGGAATGTGGATGATTCCATGCAAATTGTCACAACTCCTAGCAAAATAATTCAAATCACACTTGATGTAATCCACATAAACCTGGGATTTCCTGCTCCTATTTTAAGGGCCTTCTCAGCTTTTGGAGATGCATCCAAAAGAAGTAGAAATCTTACTCTCAATAGTATTGAAAAATAATGTAGTTATTTACTGAAGTTTTTCTGAATTAGTGTCAACAAGTAGATCACACAGCAGCACTTCTTAACATTTCTTTTTATATTTCTCCATTTCTTTTAGCAGCTTCTTCTCATCTTTTCCTTTCTCTCTCAGCTGAATCTAAAAAAGTCATCTCACTCTCCCATGGTTTGGGAAAAACACTAACCACATTTCCTCTCCTCTCACACCACAACAATCATAAACACAAAAGACTCTCATAACCAATAGTTGGGTGGGAGGGAGCAGAAATCCCCCCACCAAGTGAGTAACCACTTCTGCAGCTCAGTGTCCTCCAATTTAATTCTGACACTACCTGGGGATAGCATCAGATTCCACAGATTGAGGTTTCAGTCCCCAAGACTGCCCTCCATCAGACGCCACTTACAAGTCCAGGCCTCTGGAACTTCTGACCAAGCAACTTCAAGCTGGGCTTCCCATGACCCCCACTTTAGATTTGGAGGTAAGATTAATTTGCTGGAGCAGCTCACAGAACTCAGGGTAACATGTTTACTGGTTTATTATAAAGGATACTTCCAAAGATACAGATGAAGAGATGTGTAGGGTGAGGTATGGAGAAAGGAGCATGGAGCTTCCATGCACTCCCTGGGTGCCATCCTCCAGGAACCCCCTTTTAGCTCCCCAGAGGCTCCCCAACCAAGTCCTCTTGGGTTTTTATGGACTACCATGTGGAAATGTGATTGGCCTCCAGGGTATGAGGTAAGACCCTCTCTGGAATTATGATCTCATGACCTGCAACTGGAAAGGCGGGGGAATATTAGAGTCCTGCCTTGGGACAGGTGAAAGAAGGACAGAAGGTCAGAGAGATTCTATTTCCTGAGGCCCGACACACCCAACATTATAACAAAAAACTATAACAAGGGCTATGGAAGTTGTGAGCCAAGAACTGTGGACAAAAACCTATATCTGTATCTCTCTTTTTTTTTTATTATACTTTAAGTTTTAGGGTACATGTGCACAATGTGCAGGTTAGTTACTATGTATACATGTGACATGCTGGTGTGCTGCACCCACTAACTCGTCATCTAGCATTAGGTATATCTCCCAATGCTATCCCCAGAGTGTGATGTTCCTCTTCCTGTGTCCATGTGTTCTCATTGTTCAATTCCCACCTATGAGTGAGAATATGCGGTGTTTGGTTTTTTGTTCTTGCAATAGTTTACTGAGAATGATGATTTCCAATTTCATCCATGTCCCTACAAAGGACATGAACTCATCCTTTTTTATGGCTGCATAGTATTCCATGGTGTATATGTGCCACATTTTCTTAATCCAGTCTATCATTGTTGGACATTTGGGTTGGTTCCAAGTCTTTGCTATTGTGAATAGTGCCGCAATAAACATACGTGTGCATGTGTCTTTATAGCAGCATGATTTATAGTCCTTTGGGTATATACCCAGTAATGGGATTGCTGGGTCAAATGGTATTTCTAGTTCTAGATCCCTGAGGAATCGCCACACTGACTTCCACAATGGTTGAACTAGTTTACAGTCCCACCAACAGTGTAAAAGTGTTACTATTTCTCCACATCCTCTCCAGCACCTGTTGTTTCCTGACTTTTTACAACTATCTGATCTTTGACAAACCTGAGAAAAACAAGCAATGGGGAAAGGATTCCCTATTTAATAAATGGTGCTGGGAAAACTGGCTAGCCATATGTAGAAAGCTGAAACTGGATCCCTTCCTTACACCTTATACAAAAATCAATTCAAGATGGATTAAAGACTTAAATGTTAGACCTAAAACCATAAAAACCCTAGAAGAAAACCTAGGCAATACCATTCAGGACATAGGCATGGGCAAGGACTTCATGTCTAAAACACCAAAAGCAATGGCAACAAAAGCCAAAATTGACAAGTGGGGTCTAATTAAACTAAAGAGCTTCTGCACAGCAAAAGAAACTACCATCAGAGTGAACAGGCAACCCACAAAATGGGAGAAAATTTTCACAACCTAGTCATCTGACAAAGGGCTAATATCCAGAATCTACAATGAACTCAAACAAATTTACAAGAAAAAAACAAACAACCCCATCAAAAAGTGGGCGAAGGACATGAACAGACACTTCTCAAAAGAAGACATTTATGCAGCCAAAAAACACATGAAAAAATGCTCACCATCACTGGCCATCAGAGAAATGCAAATCAAAACCACAATGAGATATCATCTGTATCTCTCTATAACACCACACCTACATAAATATTTTCCCAAGTATTTCCACTATTCCTTCAACCTTTTCCTCTACCATCCTTTTGCACATAAAGCAGTTGTATCTGTTGTCGGAATCTGACATTTGCTCTCTATCCCTTCTTGGAATTAATTAAGGCCTAGGTCTGCTTGCAGAGCAAGTAGGAGGGAGGAGGTATTACAGTTACACAGATTTATTTTCACAGCTGTCACATTATTAGTGTTCTGGTCTTACTATTCACCACTCTCCCCCTACCCTCCCCAAAAAAGAAAAGAAAAGTTATTGCATTATGTTTTACATTATTATCACAGGTCAAATCCCATTACGTCAAAATAGGTCACTTCTAAAGTTCAGTTTTATTTTGGCTTTTAAATAGTATAATCTGCCCTCCTATATTGCAGAAATGTAGAAAAATGCTTTGAGAAAAGCACTAAATGGAATAGATTTATAATATTTACCTGGAAGAAAATAATTATAGTTTCTAGGAATTAGAAACTACCTCCTTAAGTGGGAGAGATTAATGCTTGTTCAATTTCAACTATTTTTAGCGCTAAATTTGGTATTTTTCTCTATTATGTTGCTTGTTTTATTTCTCAAATTTAGACTTAAATCTATTGACTTCCTATGAAGATCTTTACCTTCCTTACATCTTGTACATATATACATTTGTGTTCCTCCTGTACTGCTAGTACAGTTTCATCATCATTTTGTTAAATCAAAATTCATTGTTTATAGGATTGCGATATGTAAATGCTGTTGCAGCTGAGCCACCTAGCATACTATGATATATTTTCCTTGCTTGCAAGTTGTTTCCCTGCAGCTAAGAACTTTTGTTTCCTTAGGTTTTTATGTGTATACCAGTAATTCCACCCTAAACTCTGTGCTAGTTGTCTAAGTCTCCTGTCCGTATGTCAGTTGTGAGGTATTACATCATTTGCATCTGTTTGAAGAACTTCATCTCAGAGAGTGCTGGGCACTGATATTCTGGGCCTCCCTTGACCATTATTCTAGAACTCCATTCTTGAATTGGATTACCAACTATAGATCTCACCTTGTCTTTTCCTGATTTGTTCTCTTGTTTTGGTGAAAGAACAATGGTATGGTTTGGCTCTGTGTCCCCACCAAAATCTCATGTTGAATTGTGATCCCTAATATTGGATGTGGGGCCTAATAGGAGGTGATTAGATCATGGGGGCAATTTAGCTCCCATGATTGTTTAGCACCATGCTCATAGTGCTGTCTTGTGACAGCATTCTCCTGTGATCTGCTTGTTTAAAAGTGTGTAGCACTGGCTGAGCATGGTGGCTCATGCCTGTAATCCCAGCACTTTGGGAGGCCAAGGCGGGTGGATCATGAGGTCAGGAGATCGAGACCATCCTGGCTAACACGGTGAAACCCCGTCTCTATTAAAAAAATACAAAAAAGATTAGCCAGGTGTGGTGGCAGGCACCTGCAGTCCCAGCTACTTGGGAGGCTGAGGCAGGAGAATGGTGTGAACCCGGGAGGCAGAGCTTGCAGTGAGCCCAGATTGTGCCACTGCACTCCAGCTTGGGTGACAGAGCGAGATTCCGTCTCAAAAAAAAAAAAAAAAAAGTGTGTAGCACCATCTCCCTCCTACTGGCCATGTGAAGATGTGCTTGCTCCCCCTTTGCCTTCTGCCATGATTGTAAGTTTCCTGAGGCCTCCACAGAGGGAGAAGCCTGTACAGTCTGCAGAATCGTGAGCCGACTAAAGCTCTTTAAAAATTACCCAGTCTCAGGGATGTCTTTAGAGCAGTGCAAGAATGGAATAATTCAAACACATCCTCAATTGGAAGAGTGAATGAGAGGTGAACTTTTTGAGGTCCATTTTGCCTTCATGCTTTATTGATGGTTTGGCTGGGGGTAGAAAATAATTTGTAGGGAAGTGAATAATTTCATGTTTCTCCATAGTTAGGGCTTTCCGAGTGCTTTTAATAACACCTACGTTGAGAAACTAGCCTGGGAAGGGTAAAATTGAATAGCCAGAGACTTGCAGAAAGATTTAGAGACTTACCTCCAAATGCATTCAAATTTCAAAGGGGGATGACCCCAAGAGCCAGTTATTCATGTTCCAAAGGATGAGGAATGACTAGGGAGCAAAGGTTTCTCTGCTTCTCTCAGATGATGATAGGGCCACTGGTGGCCTGTATAAGCCCCCCAGATAATTTCAGGCAGATTCTCATATGTGCAGGGTGACGTGGCTTTCATCATGTTTTGTGTAGATACTGGGGATGGGGAACTCTTGCAGTGATTGCTATAATAGCAACTATGAATTCTGCTTCCAAAATCTGACATTTACTTTCAGGATAGAAATTTGAGTACAGATATTAAAACCTTATAATAAACCTTTAAAATTTTGAAAATGTCTTGAAAAGTCTGATGCCATTCTCAGTTTTGATCCCTTATGTGCAACCTATGGATTTTTCTCTCTTCAAAGTTGGAAAAATCTTCCTGTCACCCCCTATATTCTAAAATATGGTGATGTTTCCTAGTGTGGATGTACTGGAAACTGGTAGGTCCTTTCAGTCTGGAAAATATATCCTTCAATTATTCTGGAAAGTTTTCTTGAATTATTTATGATTTACTCATTTTTTTTCTTTTTCTTCACTTTTCCTAGACAAGCCCTCTAAATTTATTCTTATTGTTTATTTTTCATCTCTTTGTCCTTGATCAAATTTTTGAGAAATTTTCTTAACTTTATGTTTCTAACATTTATATTTTTTAAAAAAATTCATTTTGAAATAATTTTAGATTTAGGAAATATTGATCAGAAAATAAGTAGAGAATTTCCCAGTGAACTTCTTCTAGTGTTAGCATCTTACGTAACTATAGTACAATGATGAAAACCATGAAATAAAATTGATGCAATTCTGTTAATTAAACTATAGACTTAATTTTGAATTTCACCCTTTTTTCACTAATGTCCTTTGTCTGTTATTAGATCCAGTCCACAATTTCACGTTGCAATTATTTCTTACATTTTCTTAATTTTCTCCAATCTGAAAGTTCCTTATTCTCCCCATGTCTTTCATAGTCTTGATACTTTTTGGACAGTACTGTTAAGTTACATTTTAGACTGTCTCAATTTATTTTGTCTGATACTTTCCCACATTGCATTGAAATTATGCATTTTTTGGCAAGAATACCACAGATGCAATGTGCCTTTCTCTTAATTTATCTTAACATTTTTGTGTATGCTCTCCAGATTTCTATGTATATATATATATATTTAAATATATAACATGATCCCATATTTATTTTTTATCATGCTTCTTTCATTAAATGGCATAAAACAAAACACCTTTCAATAACAATATCCTTGCATAGTATGATTTTTATTTCTGCATAATATACCATTGTTTGGAACTTACCATAATTTATTTAAGCCTTCATTTTAACTGTTTTTATATGCTTAATGCTTTGTGTATATAAAGCATACCACTATTACTAACTCTTTGTTCACATCTCTGTGCACAGTATATATCCTTGAGATAGATCTTAAGAAGTAGACTTATTAGGTCAATATAGATGAAAAATTATAAGGCTTTGTTATCCACAGTCAAGTTGCCTTTAAAAGGTAATATTATTTATACTTCTTTCAGCTGTGTCATACCTTTTTAAACATTTACATTCATGTGTATTCATATTAACATCTGTGAATACTATGGGAGACCAGAATATGCCTTGTTAAAATATAGAGGTTTGTTGAGCAGAAATCAAGAAGAGGCAGATAAGGAAAGCTCTCTGTCCTTCATTTGTTTCATAGATTTACGAAGACAAAAGGTATCCTGCTGCCCTTTCCTGCTGTTCTACGAGGGAGAACAAAGTTAAGTACCAACAACTTTGGACTCTTAGCCTGGTCATGGCAACAGAGGAATCTACATTAACAAGCTTTACTAACCAGCCTTTATCTGCCAGTTATTTGCCTTCCCCCTACATTGCTACCTCTAAAGACACAAAGTTCCTTCCTTTTGACCTGTTACTTCGCTAAAAATGTATGGCTCTTTGTTGAAGATGCTATATAAGTTGGAATTCACAGCCACCTCTTTGAAAGCTACTCATTTTCTGGGTGTCTCCCACGTGTATATGAAATATGTATGTTAACAAACTTATGATTGTTTTTCTCTTGTTAATTTGTCTTTTGATACAGGGGTCTTTTCCAACTAAGAACCTATGAAGTTTGAAGAAAAATTGTTCTTCCCCCACAATACATTTATTTAAAAAAATGTAGTTCTTTTAACATTTTACATTATAGGAGGTATTAAAAACATCAGTTTTTAATGATAAAACTGAAGAGTCTAGTAAGAGTTTAATCCTTTTCTTTAAAGATAGAAATCTTCCTACAAAGGACATGAACTCATCCAAAAGAAAAAAATTAAATGGCAAAAAAAAGAAAGATTAAAAAAAAAAAGAAATCTTCCATTTTCACCCTATCACTTTATCTGTCCCTAACTGACTCTAAAACTTTGTGAAAGTTAGGTAAACATGGTGGAATAGACCTTTCAGTGGTTTCCTGGAGATATATCCAGTATATATCCTAATATACTTTCTCATACAGATACATTCATTGGGGTGTATATGTTTTCTACAAGAAATTTTAAATTTTATTTTTATAATAATAATGAAAAGTAATACCAAATATGTTTGGGAAGACCATCTTATAAACAAGAAATAACTGCCAATCACTTGCAAATCCCACATTTTTTGCTTAGGATTCTATAATGTCTTAGTCCTTTTGTTCTGCTATAACAGAATACAACAGACTGGGTAACTTAAAAAGAGGAGAAAGTTATTTCTCTCTGTTTTGGTGGCTGGGAAGTGCAAGATCAAGTTATAGGCATTTGGTCTTGTGAGGGCCCTCTTGCTGCATCCTCTCATAGCAAAAGGCAGGAGGGCAAGTGAGCTAAATCCTGTGTGAAGCCTCTTTTATGAGGGCCTTAATCCCATTAATGAGGAATGAGCCTTCATGACCGAATCCTCTCTTAAAGGCCCCATGTCCTAATGCCATCACATTGGCAATATCTGAATTTAGGAGATTAAGTTTTAACATGAATTTTGGAGGAGACAGACATATTCAAACCATAACACATACTACAACAAAGAAAGGTACTATCTGTGTTGTCATGGAATAATAAGAAAACCTGATGAAAGTAGATTCCATAAGTAGAGTTGTATTCTTGCAAATGGCATTGAACAAATGAAAGTTTGGTTGTGTTAATAAAAACACGACAAAGTAGCATCTATCTTAAGCATTTAAATGTAAGTCATTTAAATGTACCTTTATTTACCTGCATTTTGATACAGGGCCAAGGTCTTTTATGTGAGCCCAATGTCTAGATTCCATAATCTATTTTTTAAATAATTCATACTCATAATACTACTGCTTTTCTCAAATGGAGAGGGGACTTAAATCCATTGTGAAACAATTATTACATCTCAGATTTTTTAATTTTTGGGGGTCAATATTTTATATTTGTCTCATCTATACATAATATAACAATTTAACCATTCAAATTTTTCCCAAAGAGCCAACAGATTTTTAAAATGGAAACCACCCTTCTCTTTCTTCTCATAATTATTTATCAGTTTGTGAAATACTTAATTAAATTTCATATTTAAATTAACAAGTACAACTGGCATAACATGTCTGGGGTGGAAATAGAGGAAGACAACAAACTCTTGGCAGGCATACAATTCAATTTATAGAGGCAGACATATGTGAATGTTCTAGACAGTAGCCCACTAGCCGTGAGCGTATAGTGGGCTATAGGTGTCAGACAAGGGAATATATAGTGTCATTTATATCAGAATCATGTCATATTGTGAAGAAGTAATCTATTTTTAGCAAAACACATCATAATTCAGCTTTAATTCATGTTCATTTGAATTTCGTTGGTTTTGAAATTTGGTTTGTTTTTAACTGGAAATTTTAGTACTTGCGTGTTACAAGCATAAGTATTTATAGTTGGTTTAAGTTGAATATGTTTAAGTAATGTTCTTTTTTGGGGGGTTGACAAACAGGTATTTTATCTTTTAAATTTTTATTTTAATTTTTGTGGGTACTCAGGTGAATATATTTATGGGAGACATGAGATGTTTTGATACAGGTGTGCAATGCATAATAAGCACATCATGTAAAATGGGGTATCTATGCCCTCAAGCATTTATCCTTTGTGGTAAAAACAATCTCATTATACTCTTTTAGTTATTTTTAAATGTACAATTAAATTATTATTGACTATAGTCACCCTGTTGTGCTATCAAATGCAAGGTCTTAGTCATTCTTTTTAACTATTTTTGTACCCATTAACCATCACCACCTCTACCCACGACCACCCTTTCCAGCCTCTGGTAACCATACTTCTATTCTTTATATCCATGAGTTCAATTGTTTTGATTTTTAAATCTCACAAATACATGAGAACATATGATGTTTGTCTTTCTGTGCATGGCTAATTTCACTTAGCATGACTTCCAGTTCCAACTATGTTGTTGCAAATGACAGAATCTCATTCTTTTTTATGGATGAATAGTATTAATACTTCACTGTGTATAGGTAACACATTTTTCTATCCATTCACATGTTGATGGACACTTAGGTTGCTTCCAAATTTTGGTAATTGTGAACAGTGCTACAACAAACATGGCAGTGCAGATATCTCTTTGATATACTAATTTTCTTCTTTTTTGGGTGTATACCCAGCAGTAGGATTGCTGTATTATATGGTAGCTCTATGTTTAGTTTTTTGAGGAATCTCCAAACTGCTCTCCATAGTCATTGTACTAATTTACATTCTCACCAACAGTGTGCAAGGGTTTCATTTCTCTACATCCTTGCCAGCATTTTTTATTGCCTGTGTTTTGGATATAAGCCATTTTAACTGGGGTGAGATGATATCTTATTGTAGTTTTGATTTGCATTTCTCTGATGATCAGTGATGTTAAACACCTTTTCATATGCCTGTTTGCCACTTGTATGACTTCTTTTGAGAAATCTTTGTTCAGATCTTTTGCCTATTTTTCAATCTTATGATTAGATTTTTTTTCCTATAGAGTTGTTTGAACTCCTTATATATTCTGTTTTTTAATCCCCTGTCAGGTGGGTAGTTTACAAATATTTTCTTCCATTCTGTGAGTTATCTGTTCACTTTTTTGATTGTTTCCTTTGCCATGCAGAAGTTTTTAACTTGATGTGATCCCATTTGTCCATTTTTGCATTGGTTGCTGGTGCTTGCGGGGTATTAAGAAATTTTTGTCCATCTCAATGTCCTGAAGAGTTTCACCAAAGTTTCCTTGTGGTAGTTTCATAGTTTGAAGTCTTAGATTTAAACCTTTAATCCATTTTGATTTGATTTTTCATATAGCATAAGATAGGGGTTTAGTTTCATTCTTCTGCATATGGATATTCAGTTTTCCCAGTACCATTCATTGAAGAGACTGTCTTTTCCCCAGTGTATGTTCTTGACACCTTTGTTGAAAATGAGTTCATTGTAGGTATGTGGATTTGTTTCTAGGCTTTTTGTTTTGTTCCATTTGTCTGTGTGTCTGTTTCTATGCCAGTACTATGCTGATTTGCTTACTATAACTGTGTAATATAATTTGAAGTCAGGTAATGTGATTCCTCCAGTTTTGTTCTTTTTGCTTGGGATAGCTTTTGTTATTCTGGAACTTCTGTGGTTCTATATAATTGTTAGGATTTTTTTTTTCTATTTCTGTGAAGAATGTCATTGGTATTTTGATAGAGATTACATTCAATCTGTGGATTGTTTTGTGTAATATGGACATTTTAAAAATATTGATTCTTCCAATCCATGAATATGGGATATATTTTTATTTTGTGTGTGTCTTCTTCAATTTCTTGCATCAGTGTTTTATAGTTTTCATTATAGAGATCTTTCACTGCTTTGGTTAATTCCTAGGTATTCAATTTTAATTTGTGGCTGTTGTAAATGGGATTACTTTTTAAATTTCTTTTTCAGATTGTTCACTGTTGGCATATAGAAATGCTACTTATTTTTCTGTGTTGATTTTGCATCCTGCAACTTTACTGAATTAGTTTATCAGTTCTAATAATTTTTTGGTGGATCATTCAGGTTTTTACAAAAATAAAATCATATCATCTGCAAACAAGGATAATTTAACTTCTTCCTCCAATTTGGATACCCTTTATATCTTTCTCTTGTCTGATTGCTCTAGTTAGGCCTCCCAGTACTATGTTGAATGACAGCGGTGAAAGTGGGCATTCTTGTTATGTTCTAGATCTTATAGGAAAGCCTTTCAGTTTTTCCCAATTCAGCATGATACTAGCTGTGGATCTGTCATTTATGGCTCTCATTATGTTGAGGTATGTTCCTTCTACACCCAGTTTTTGAGGGTTTTTATCATGAAGAGATGTTGAATTTTATCAAATGCTTTTTCAGCATCAGTTGAAGTGATAATGTTTTTTGTCTTCATTATGTTTTCTCATATTGATTTATATGTGAATGTTGAACCATCCTTGCATCCCAATATGGTTTGGCTCTGTGTCCCCACCCAAATCTCATCTTGTAGCTCCCATAATTCCCATGTGTTGTGGAAGGGACCTGGTGGAAAATGACTGAATCATGGGGGTAGGTCTTTCTCATGCAGTTCACATGATAGTGAATGGGTCTCATGAGATCTGATGGTTTTAAAAAGGGGAGTTTCCCTGCACAAGTTCTCTTTTTGCTTCCTGCCATCTACGTAAGATGTGACTTGCTCCTCCTTGCATTCTGCCATGATTGTGAGACCTCCCCAGCCATGTGGAACTGTAAGTCCAATAAACCTCTTTCTTTTGTAAATTGCCCAGTCTCAGGTATGTCTTTATCAGCAGTGTGAAGATGGTCTAATACAGTAAATTGGTACCAGTAGAGTGGGACACTGCTGAAGAGATACCCAAAAATGTGAAAGAGAATTTGGAACTGGGTAACAGGCAGAGGTTGGAACAGTTTGGACGGCTCAAAAGAAAACAGGAAAATGTGGGAAAGTTTGGAACTTCCTGTAGACTTCTGGAGTAGCTTTGCTTAAAATGCTAATCATGATACAAACAATAAGGTCCAGGCTGAGGTGGTCTCAGATGGAGATGAGGAACTTATTGGGAACTGGAGCAAAGGTGACTCTTGTTATGTTTTAGCAAAGAGACTGACAGCATTTTGCCCCTGCCCTAGAGATTTGTGGAATTCAGTTTCATAAGGGAAGCAGAGCATAAAAGTTTAAAGAATTTGCAGCTTGACAATGCGATAGAAAAGAAAATTCCATTTTCTGAGGAGAAATTCAAGCTGGCTGCAGAAATTTGCATAAATAATGAGAAGCCAAATGTTAATCACCAAGACAATGGGGAAAATGTCTCCAGGGCAAAATGTCAGAGACATTTGCAGCAGCCCCTCCTACCACAGACCCAGAGACCTAGGAAAAATAATGTTTTTTTGGGCTGGGCCCAAGTTTCCTCTGCTGTGTGCAGTCTAGGGACTTGGTGCCCTCTGTCCCAGCTGTTCCAGCCATGACTAAAAGAGGCCAAGATACAGCTTGGGCTGTTGCTTCAGAGGGTGGAAGCCCCAAGCCTTGGCAGCTTCCATGTGGTGTTGAAGCTACAGGTGCACAGAAGTCAATAATTGAGGTTTGGGAACCTCTGCCTAGATTTCAGAGGTATGGAAACACTGGATGCCCAGGCAGAAGTTTGCTGCAGGGGTGGGGCCTTTATGGTGAACCTCTGCTAGGACAGTGTGGAAGGGAAATGTGGAGTCTGATCCCCCACACAGAGTCCCCACTGGGGCACCACCTAGTAGAGCTATGAGAAGAGGGCCAGTGTCCTCCAGACCCCAGAATGGTAGATCCACTGACAGCTTGCACCGTGTGCCTGGAAAAGCTGCAGACACTCAATGCCAGCCCATGAAAGCAGCCAAGAGGGGAGCTATACCCTGCAAAGCCACAGGGATGGAGCAGCCCAAAACCATGGGAACCCACCTCTTGCATCAGTGTGACCTGGATGTGAGACATGGAGTCAAAGGGGATCATTTTGGAGCTTTAAGATTTGACTGCCCTGCTGGATTTCAGACTCGCATGGGGTCTGCAGCCCTTTTGTTTTGGCCAATTTCTCCCATTTGGAACAGCTATATTTACCCAGTGTCTGTGCCCCCATTGTATCTAAGAAGTAACTAACTTGCTTTTGAATTTGCAGGCTCATAGGCAGAAGGGACTTGCCTTGTTTTGGATGAGACTTTGGACTGTGGAATTTTGAGTTAATGCTGAAATGAGTTGAGACTCTGGGAGACTGTTGGGAAGGCATAACTTGTTTTGAAATGTGAAGATAAGAAATTTGAGAGGGGTCAGGGGTGGAATGATATGGTTTGGCTCTGTGTTGTCACCCAAATCTCATCTTGTAGCTCCCATAGTTCCCATGTTTTGTGGGAGGGACCTGGTGGAAAATGATTGAATCATGGGGGTGGGTCTTTCCCATGCTGTTCTCGTGATAGTGAGAACACGAGTGAGATCTGATGGTTTTAAAAATGGGAGTTTCCCTGCACAAGCTCTCTTTTTGCTTGCTGCCATCCATGTAAGATGTGACTTGCTCCTCCTTGCCTTCTGCCATGATTGTGAGGCCTCCCCATCTGTGTGGAAGTGTAAGTCCAATAAAACTCTTTCTTTTGTAAATTGCCCTGTCTCTGGTATGTCTTTATCAGCAGCATGAAAACAGACTAATACACATCCCAAAGATAAATTGCACTTCGTCATGATGATTTTTTTCACATATTGTTGAATCTAGTTTGCTGGTATTTTGTTGAGGATTTTTATATCAATAATCATCAGATATATTGGCCTATAATTTTTTTTGATATGTTTTGTTTGGTTTTGGTATCATGGTAATACTGGCCTTACTCATACAATGTTTGGAGGTATTTCCTCCTCCTCTATTTGTCAGAGTAATTTCAAGAGGATTGGTATTAGTTCTTTAAATGTTTCATAGAATTCAGCAGTGAAGCCATTGGGTCCTGGGCTTTTTTTCACTGGGAGACTTTTTTTACAGCTTCAATCTTTTTACTTGCAATTGGTCTGTTCAGGTTTTGGATTTCTTCCTGGTTCAATCTTGCTAGGTTGTATATGTCTAGGAATTCTTCCATTTCTTCTAAATTTCCAATTTATTGGCATATGGTTACTCATGTACCCACCAGTGATCCTTTGAATTTCTGTGGTATCAGTTTTAGTCCTTTTCACCTCTGATTTTGTTTATTTGAATCTTCTTTCTTTTATTTTTTACTGTGGCTAAAAATTTATTAATGTTGTTTAACTTTTCAAAAATCAACTTTTTGTTTCATTGATCTTTTTTATTGTTTTCTTCATTTTACTTATTTCTGCTCAATCTTTATTATTTCTTTTCTTCTATTAATTTTGGGTTTAGTTTCCTCTTGTTTTTCTAGTTCTTTAAGATGCATCTTTAGCTTGTTTATTTGAAGTTTTTCTTATTTATTAATGTAGGCACTTATATCCCTCTTAGTACTGTTTTGCTGTATCCCATAGATTTTGGTATGTTTTGTTTCCGTTATCATTTGTTTACAAAAATATTCAATTTTCCTCTTAATTTCTTCATTGACCTACTAATCATTCAGAAACACATTGTTTAATTTTCAAGTATTTGTAGTTTCAAAAATTCCCCTTGTTATTTGTGTCTTGCTTTATTCCATTGTGTTCAGAGAGGATCCTTGGTAGTATTTCAATTTAAAAAAATGTTTTCAGTCTTGTTTTGTGACCTAACACATGGTCTGTCCTTGAGAATGATCAATGTGCTGAGGAAAAGAATATGTATTCTGCAGCCTTTGGAAGAAATGTTCTGTAAATCTCTATTAGGTCCATTTTTTCTACAGTGCAGATTAAGTCCAGTGTTGCTTTGTTGACTTTTCCATCTGGAAGATCTGTCCAGTGCTGAAATTTAAGTGTTGAAGTCTCTAGCTATTATTGTATTGGGGGTCTATCTCTCTGTTTAGCTCTAATAATATTTGCTTTATATATCTGGGTGCTCCAGTATTGGGTGCATAAATGTTTACTATCATTATATCCTCTTGCTGTATTGACCCCCTTTTCATTATACAGTGACTTTCTTTGTCTCTTCTTATAGTTTGTCTTGAAATTTATTTTATCTAAGTATAGATATTCCTGCTCGTTTTTGGTTTCCATTAGCATGAACTATCTTTTTCCATTAGCATGAACTATCTTTGTTTTCAGCCTATATGTTTCCTCATAGGTGAAATGTCTTTCATGTAGGCAAAAGATCAATGGGTCTTGTTTTTTATTCATTCAGCCACTCTGTATCTTTTGATTGGAGAGTTTAGTCCATTTACATTCAATGTTACTATTGATAAGAAAGAACTTACTCCTGCCATTTTGTTATTTGTTTTCTGGTTGTTTTGTGGGCTTCTCTCCCTTCTTTTTTTCCTTTCTGTCTTGCTTTTAGTGTAGGTGGTTTTCTCTGGTGATATGATTTAGTTTCTTGCTTTTTATATTTTGTGTACCTGTTGTATGTTTTTTTGTTTGAGGTTACCATGAGGCTTGCAAATTCGATCTTATAACTCATTCTTTTAACTTGATAACAACTTAACACTATTTGTATAAACAAACAAGCAAAAAGAAAACTAGTAAAAACTCTACACTGTAACTTTGTCCCACAGCTTTTTAACATCTTTTTGTTTCTATTTATATCTTATTGTACTATGTCTTGAAAAGTTGTTGTAGTTATTATTTTTGATTGGTTCATTGTTTAGTCTTTCTACTTAGGATAAGAGTAGTTTACACATCATAGTTACAGTGCTATAATACTCCATGTTTTCCTGTGTACTTACTAGTACCAGTAAATTTTGTACCTTCAGGTGATTATTTATTGTTCATTAATTTCTTTCTTTCTGGTTGAAATACTCCTTTTAACACTTCTTGTAGGACAGATGTTGATAAAATCCCTCGACTTTTTCTTTTTCTTGAAAAGGTCTTTTTATTATTATTAAGTTCTGGGGTACATGTGCAGGATGTTCAGGTGTGTTACATAGGAAAACGTGTACCATTGTGGTTTGCTGTACCTATAAACCCATCACCTAGGTATTAAGCTTAGCATGCATCAGCTCTTTTCCTTAATACTCTCCCCCTCCTCACCTGGCAGGCCTTTAAGTTCAGGGATACATATGCAGGTTTGTTACATAGGTAAACTTAATATATGGGGGTTTGTTGTACTGATTATTTAATCACTCAGGTATTAAGCCTAGTATCTATTAGTTATTTTTCCTGATTATCTCCCTCTTCCCAGCCTTTACCTTTGGATAGACCCCAATGTGTGTTGTTCCCCTCTAGGTGTCCACATGTTCTCATCATTTAGCTCACAGTTATAAGTGAGAATATGCAGTATTTGGTTTTCTGTTTCTGTGTTAGTTTGCTAAGGATAATGGCCTCTAGTTCCATCCATATCACTGTGAGGAACATGCTGTCATTCTTTTTTATGGCTGCATAGTATTCCATGATGTATATCTTCCATATTTTCTTTATCCAGTCTATCATTGATGGGCATTTAGGTTGATTCCTTGTCTTTGTTATTGTGAATAGCACTGTGATCAACATACACATGCATGTGTCTTTATAATAGAATAATTTATATTTCTCTTGGTATATTCCCAGTAATGGGATTGCTAGGTTGAATGGCATTTCTGTCTTTATATCTTTACGGACTTGCCATACTGTTTTTCACAATGGTTGAACTAACTTACACTCCCACCAACAGTGTATAACCATTCCCTTTTCTCCACAACCTTGCAAGCATCCTTTTTTTTTTTTTTTTAACTTTTTAATAATAGCCATTCTGGCTGGTGTGAGGTCATATCTCATTGTGGTTTTGATGTGCATTTCTCTAGTGATCAGCGATGCTGAGCTTTTAAAAATATGTTTGTTGGCTGCAAAGTTCTTCTTCGTGTCCTTTGCCTACTTTTTAATGGGGTTGTTTCTTTTTTTCTTGTAAATTTAAGTTCCTTGTAGACGTTGGATATTATACCTTTGTCAGATGCATAGTCAGCAAAAATTTTTTCCATTCTGTAGGTTTTCTGTTTGCTTTGTTGCTGGTTTCTTTTGCTGTGCAGAAACTCTTTAATTATATCCCATTTGTCAATTTTTGCTTCTGTTGCAATTGCTTCATCATGAAATGTTTGCCCATGCCTATGTCCTGAATGGTATTGCCTAGGTAGTCTTCCAGGGTTTTTATAGGTTTGGGTTTTACATTTAAGTCGTTGATCTATCTTGACTTAATTTTCGTATATGGTGTAAGCAAGGGGTACAGTTTCAATCTTCTGCATACGGCTAGCCAGTTATCCCAGCACCATTTATTGAATAAGGAGTCCTTTCCCCATTGCTTGTTTTTGTCAGCTGCATCAAAGATCAGATAGTTGTAGGTGTATGGCCTTATTTCTGGGTTCTCTATTCTGTTCTATTGGTCTATGTGTCTGTTTTTGTACCAGTACCATGCTGTTTTGGTTATTGTAGCCCTGTAGTGTAGTTTGAAGTCATGTAGCATGATGCCTCCAGCTTTGCTTTTTTTTTTTTTTTATTATTAGGGCTCTTGGTCATTTGGGCTCTTTTTATGGTTCTATATGAATTTTAAAACAGTTTTTTTTCCTAGTTTTGTGAAGAATCTCAGTGGTAGTTTAATAGGAATAGCATTGAATTTGTAAATTACTTTGGGCAGTATGACCATTTTAGTGAAATTGATTCTTCCTAACCATGAGCATGTAATGTTTTTCCAATTGTTTGTGTCATCTCCGATTTATTTGAGCAGTGTTTTGTAGTTCTCCTTGTAGAGATCTTTCACCTCCCTACTTTGCTGTATTTGTAGGTATTTTTTTCTTTTTGTGGTAATTGTGAATGGGACTATGTTCCTGATTTGGATCTCAGCTTGACTGTTGTTGGTGTATAGGAATGCTAGTGAGTTTTGCACACTGATTTTGTATCCTGAGACTTTGCTGAAGTTCTTTAGTAGCTTAATAAGCTTTTGGGCTGAGATTAGGGGATTTTCTAGATATAGGATCATATCATCTGCAAACATGGTTACTTTGACTTTCTCTCTTCCTATTTTGATGTCCTTTATTTCTTTCTTGTGCCTGATTTCCCTGTCCAGGATTCCAATTCTATGTTGAATAGGAGTGGTGAGATACAGCATCCTTGTCTTGTGCCAGTTTTCAAAGGGAATGCTTGAAAACTTTTGCCAGCTGTTGCCCATTCACAATGATGTTGGCTGTGGGTTTGTCATATATGGCTCTTATTAATATGAGGTATGTGCCTTCAATACGCAGTTTATTGAGAGTTTTTAACATGAAAAATGTTGAATTTTATCAAAAGCTTTCCTGCATCTATTGAGATAATCATGTGTTTTTTTGTCTTTAGTACTGTATATATGATGAATTACCTTTATTGATTTGTGTATGTTGAACCAACCTTGCATCCCAGGGATGAGGCCTACTTGGTTGTGGTGGATAAGCTTTTTGACGTGCTGCTTGATTTGGTTTGCCAGCATTTTGTTGAGGTTTTTTTTTCCAAGAATGTTCATCAAGGATATTGCCCTGAAGTTTTCTTTTTTTGTTGTTGTTGTATCCCTGCCTGGTTTGGGTATCAGGATAATGCTGGTCTCATGGAATAAGTTAGAGAGGAGTCCATCCTTCTTAAGTTTTTGGGCTAGTTCCAGTAAGAATGATACCAGATCACCTCTGTACATCTGTTAGAATTCAGCTGTAAATTCATCTGGTCCTGGGTTTTGTTTTAGTTTGTAGGCTATTTTATTACTGCCTCAATTTCAGAGCTTGTTATTGATCTGTTCAGGGATTTAATTTCTTCCTGGTTCAGTCTTGGGAAGTGTATGTGTCCAGGAGTTTCTTCATTTTGTCTAGATTTTCTAGTTTATGTGCATAGAGGTATTCATAATATTCTCTGATGGTTGTTTGTATTTCTATGGGATCAGTGGTCACATCCCCCTATTGTTTCTGATTGTGTTTATTTGAATTTTCTCTTTTCTTCTTTATTAATGTAGCTAGTGGTCTATTTTATTAATTTTTTCAAAAAACCAGCCTCTGGATTCACTGATCTTTTGATTTTTTTGTGTGTCTTTTTCTTTCATGCAGCTCTAGTTTTGGTCATTTCTTGTCTTCTGCTGGCTTTGGGTTTATATTCTCTTGGTTCCCTAGTTCTTTTAGTTGTAATGTTAGGTTAATATGACATATTTCTAACTTTTTGATGTGGGCATTTAGTGCTATAAATTTCCCTCTTAACACTGCCTTAGCTGTGTTGCAGAGATTCTGGTATGCTGTATCTTGTTCTCATTAGTTTCAAAGAACTTCTCAATTTCTGCCTTAATATTGTTATTTACCCAAAAGTCATTCAGGAGCAGGTTTTTCAATTTCCATGTAGTTGTGTGATTTTGAGTGAATTTCTTAATATTGAATTCTATTTTGATTGTGCTGTGGTCTGAGAGCTTTTCATGATTTCAGATCCTTTTCATTTGCTCAGGGTGTTCTACCACCGATTATGTGATTAATTTTAGACTATGTGCCATATGATGAGAAGAACGTATATTCTGTTGTTTTGGGGTAGAGAGTTCTGTAGATATCTATCAGGTCCCTTTGATCCAGTTCTGAGTTCAGGTCCTGAATATCTTTGTTAATTTTCTGTCTCGATGATCTGTCTAATAGTGTCAGTGGGGTGTTAAAGTCTCCCACTATTATTGTGTGGAAGTCTAAGTCTCTTTCAAGGTCTCTAAGAACTTGCTTTATGAATCTGGGTGCTCCTGTATTGGGGTGGATGTATATTTAGGATAGTTAGATTTTCTTTTTGAATTGAACACTTTACCATTATGTAATACCTTTCTTTGTCTTTTTTGATCATTGTTGGTTTAAAGTCTGTTTTGTCAAGAACTAGGACTGTAACCCTTGCTCTTCCATTTTCCATTTGCTTGGTAAATTTTTTCTTCATCTCTTTATTTTGAGCCTATGTGTCATTGCATGTGAGATGGGTCTCTTGAAGACAGCATACCACTCGGTCTTGGTTCTTTATCCAATTGGCCACTCTGTGTCTTTTAATTGGGGCATTTAACCCATTTACATTTAAGGTTAATACTGATATGTGTGGATTTGATCCCATAATTATGATGTTAGCTGGTTATTTTGAAGGCTTATTTATATGGTTGCTTTATAGTGTCACTGGTCTGTGTACTTTAGTGTTTTTGTAGTGGCTGGTAATGGTCTTTCCTTTCCATATTTAGTGCTTCCTTCAGGAGCTCTTGTAAGGCACATCTGATAGTAACAAATTCCCTCAGCATGTGCTTGTGTGGAAAGGATCTTCTTTCTCCTTCACTTACGAATCTTAGTTTGGCTGTATATAAAATTTTGGTTTGGAATTTCTTTTTTAAAAAAGAATTTTGAATACTGGCTCCCAATCTCTTCTGGCTTAAAGGGTTTCAGCTGAGAGTTCCACTGTTAGTCTAATAGGATTCTATTTGTAGGTGACCTGACCTTTCTCTCTAGAGCTGCTTTTAAGAGTTTTCCTTTCATTTTGACCTTGGAGAATCTGATGATTATGTCTTTGGGATGATCTTCTTGTGAAGTATCTCACTGGGGTTCTCTACATTTCCTGAATTTGCATGTTGGCCTTTCTAGCTAGGTTGGGGAAGTTCTCCTGGATGATATCCTGAAATACGTTTTCCACTTGGTTCCATTCTTCCCATCTCTTTCAGGGAAATGAACTAGTTGTAGATTTGGTCTCTTTATATAATCCCATGTTTCTCGGAGGTTTGTTGATTCCTTTTCATTCTTTTCTCTCTATTTTTGCCTGCCTGCCTGTCTTATCTCAGGAAGATGGTCTTTAAGCTCTGAGATTCTTTCCCCAATTTGGTCTATTCTGTTATTAATACTTGTGCTTGCATTATAAAATTCTTGTAGTGTGTTTTCTTAGGTCTATCAGGTCAGTTACATTATTTTCTATACTGGCTATTTTGTCTGTCAGCTCCTGCATTGTTTTATCCTAATTGTTAGCTTCCTTGTACTGGGTTTCAATGTACTCCTGTAGCTCAATGATGTTCATTCCCATCCATATTCTGCATTCTATTTCTGTCATTTTGGCCATCTCAGCCTAGTTCCGAACTCTTGCTGAAGAGGTGATATGGTCATTTGGAGAAAAGAAGGCACTGTGGCTTTTTGAGTTTTCAGTATTCTTGTGCCAATTCTTTCTCATCTTGCGGGCTTATCTACCTTCAAACTTTGAGGTTGCTGACCTTTGGATTTCTTTTTCTCTTTTACCCTCTTTGATGACCTTGAAGGTTTGATTGTGGTATAAAGTGGATTCAGCTGACTGGTTTCATTTTGGGGAGATTTTAGGGGGTCAACACTCAGCTCCCAACCCTAAAACTGCATGCTCTAACTCTGGGGGACTTGTATTAGGCCTTGACTTGGTACTCTGGCTCCTCAAGGTTTGGAGTCCACTGTGCTGGGAGGGCCAAGGTGTGGCAGCTTCAACAGAGTGCTGGCAGATGCAGGGGTTCCATCCTCACTATGGGCATTCACCATATTGGTGGAGGCAATGCAGCTGGTGGGGGGTCCTGTTGGAGACAGTGTGCATAGTTGTACTGGAGGTAGTGTTGGCTTGGGGGTCAAGGGCTGGCCAGTGCAGGTCTGGGTGTCTTCTCTGTGCCCTGCAAGCAGGAATGATCACTTAGGATGTGGGAAGATCTGCTGTTCTTTGTGTTGTGTTAGTGCAAAGGCAGGGTGCTGGTGGTAGTGGGGCTTGCTGGCCCTGTGCCCACGAGGGTCCATCTGCAATGGTGGTTGGCAGGGAGAGAGAGGCAGACTGAATTCCTATATGCTGGTGGGGCAAGTAAAGCAAAATCCACCTGTGTAGACATGCACCAGAAAACTGATGTGGGGAGTTGCTGTGGGTCTAAAGGAAGCTGCAGTATGAGCGGGGAGCATGTGGGCTGTTGCAGGGATGTAGTAGCTGCCTAGCTGGAACTCTCCACTGGTCAGGCATGGTCCTCTGGTGCAGAAGCTATGATCTGGGCCCCAGGGACCCAAAACTTCCCTGTAAGCAGGTGTGGCCAGGCTGGGGACCCAGGAGAGTCCAGTAGACCACTGAGTGCTCAGGTTGGGCAAGCCCCATCTGATGTGCAAGACCACCATGCAGAGATTAGGTCTGACAGTTCACCTAAGGCTAAAGTCTCTTGTGGGGACAAGTCAAACCTAAGAGGATGGCCATCCCTGGCCATACTCCACTACAGATAATCCCATACCAAACTCTCTGGGATCCACATCAGCTGACTTGCTGCTCCAGCCACTTCTCTAAGCAGCTCTCTCTGACACCTCAAGTGTCCATGGTGGCAGAAGGGGTCCCCTTCTGCCAGGATCCCACAGGCATGTGGCAAGAGCAGGTTGCTCCTTGCCAGTTCCTCTCACCGGTTCCCCCTGAGCTGTTGTGTTTCAAAAATGAGTCCCAGTGTGCAGTAGCCTGTGCTGGGTTCCCAGATTTCTCTCCCCTCACCCCAGCTTCTCTGTCTTTCCTCCTTCCACCCTCAGCGACTTCCCTCTGAAGATCTGTTAAAAGCATTCCAGTTGTCTCAGCCCCTCCATGGAAGCTGTTCCACTTGTCTGTGTCTAGTCAGCCATCTTGTCCTCTGTATTCTGGGAAGGTCTTTATTTCTCCTTCATGTTTAAAGGATGTTTTCACTAGCTATACTATTTTAGGGTAATTTGTTGTACCCTAGAATAGTATATATTTAAACTATGGCATATTTAAAGTCGTGTCACTCCCACCTGGCCTATAAGGTTTCAACTGAAAATCTTCTGCCAGACATATTGGAGCTCCATTGTATGTTATTTATTTCTTTACTCTTGCTACTCTTAACATCCTTTCTTTATCTTTCACCTTCGGGAGTTTGATTATTAAATGCCTTAAGGTAGTCTTCCTTGGGTTAAATTTGCTTGGTGTTCTATAACCTTTTGGTACTTCAATATTGATATCTTCCTCTAGGTTTGGGGAGCTCTTTGTTATTATCCCTTTGAATAAACTTCCTACTCCTATCTCTTTCTCTACCTCCTCTTTAAGGTGAATAACCCTTAGATTTGCCTCTTTAAGGCTATTTCCTAGATCTTGTTGGCATGCTTTATTGTTTTTTATTCTTTATTCTTTTTTCTTTTGTCTCCTCTGACTGTATTTTCAAATTGCCTATCTTCAAACTCACTAATTGTTTCTTCTGCTTGATTAATTCTGCTATTTAAAGACTCTGATGCAATCTTCGGTATGCCAGTTACACTTTTCAGCTTCAGAATTTCTGCTTGATTCTTTTCAGTAATTTCAATCTCTCTGTTTAGTTTGTATGATTGAATTCTGAATTCCTTCTCTATATTATCTGAATTTCTTTGAGTTTCCTCAAAACAGCTATTTTGAATTCTCTGTCTGAAAGACGACATATCTATATTTCTCCAGGACTTGTCCCTGGTGTCTTATTTTACTTCATTTGGGGAGGCCATGTTTTTCTGGATGGTCTTCATACTTGCAGATGTTCATTTGTATCTGAGCAATGAAGAGTTGGGTATTTATTGCAGTATTCTCAGCCTGAACTTTTTTGTACCTGGCCTTCTTGAGAAGGCTTTCCAGGTATTCAAAAGGACTTGGGTGCTGTGATCTAAGTTGTATCTCTTTTAGGAGGCATCCCAAGCCCAGCAATGCTGTGGTTCTTGCAGACTCATAGAGATCCCACCTTGATGGTCTTGGACAAGATATAGAAGGATTCCCTGGAGTACCAGGTAGAGACTCTTGTTCTCTTCCCTTACCTTCTCCCAAATGGAGTCTCTCTGTTCTGAGCCACTTGGGGCTGGAGGTGGAGTGACACAAGCACTCCTGTGGCCACCATTAGTAGGACTGTGCTAGGTCAGTCTTGAAGCCGGCACACACTGGATCTCGCCCAAGGCCTGCTGTAACAACTCCCTGGCTATGGCCTGTGTTCACTCCAGGCCACTGGGCTCTATAATCAGCAGGTGGCAAAGCCAGCCAGGCCTGTGTTCTTCTCTTCAGAGTAGAAGTCCCCAGGCCCTGAGTGGGTCCAGAGGTGCTGTCCAGAAACCAGAGACTAGAGTAGAAAACCTTAGAAGTCTACCTCGTGTTCTACTCTACTGTGGCTGAGCTGGTACTCAAACCACAAGAAAAAGTCCTTCCCATTGTTCTTTTCCAAAGGCAGAGGAGACTTACCCTGTGGCCATTGCTACCACAGGCCCATGGGGAGTATTGCCACACTACTATCAATGTTCCCTTAAGGCCCAAGAGCTCTTCAGCCAGCTTGTAGTGAATGCTGTCTGGCCTGGGACTCACCTTTCAGGGTAGTGGGCTCCCATCTGGCCCAGGGCAGGTCTAGAAATGCCATCCAAGAACCAAGTCCTGGAATTTGGAACTTCAAGAGCTCTCTTCAGTTAGCAAGTGATGAATCCTGCCAGGACTGGATCCTTCCCTTCAAAGCAAGGAGTTCCCTTCTGTCCCAGGGTATATCTAGAAATGCCATCCAGAGCTAGAGCCTGGAACTGAACTCTGATCAGTTCCCTTTTCTGCTCTATTGAGCTGGTATCCAAGATGCAAGACAAAGTCCTTCCTTCTCTCCTCAAGTGGAGGGTATGAGTCTCTTTTGGAACTGTGAGCTATGTGGTCTGGGGTTAGAGGAGTGGTGATATCAGCACTCTCTTAGCCACCCAGGCTGGTGTCTCAGTAGTTCGTGTGCCCTCCTAGCCCACTGTTTCTGGGCCCAGTTCAACACTAGGATTTGCATAAGTCTTGCAGTTCTTGTGGCCTAGACTGCCTTTCAAGTATATTTAGGGCCCCAGAGAGCCTTAGCCTGTGGTGGGGAGGCTTGCAGGAACTCAAGTTTGGAGACCATTGGGATCAGCAATTCCCCTCTGGCTAGGCCTGGTTTAAATGCTCCCTCTGTGGGTGGGCATCAGCTAAGTTTTGTTCAGTTTTGTTTTCTGATCTAATAGGGCAGCTCTGAGTTCAATGTGTCACAACTGCTGCTCTCTCTCTCTCCCCAGTGCACAGAAATGCTCTCCATACCACACACTGCTGCTGGGGGATGGGGGAAAGATGGCTTCGGTAATTCAAGACTGGCTTTCTTCAGTGCCTCTTTCAGCAAAATGATGTTAAAACCAGGTACTGTGAGTGCTCACCTGATGTTTATTTCTTATGAAGTTGCTTTTTTGGGTCTAGCTAGTTGTTAAAAGGGTGTCATTGCAGTGGGGATGATCAGTGGAGACTTCTATTCTGCTGTCTTGCTTTGCCCCAAGTTCTAAGTAATATTCTAATAAAAAGTATTGAAATTAGCATTAGGGATAGATGAGGACTTATTTTTTTCAGTTGTATAAAGGGGTTCTATAATACTTAGATACTTGAATAAGAAACACTTTCATACGAACTAGGAAGAAACTTGTAAGAACTAAAGTAAAAATAGCACATATCCATACCTAACAGACACATGAATTTACATTTACTGCTGCACTTGTATCCCCTGCCTCCCCTTCCATTGCTCAGTGGAGCACTCAAGCCATCAAACTAACAATCTGAACTCTAAACTAGGCTGGGAAGGCAGAGGCACAGTGGATACAAAGTTGAGTTGGTTCTTGCTCTCAATAAATAAGTATACAAAGGGAGAAAAAGTATATAACTACTAATTCAGACAAAAATTACTATTTAACAAGGCAAGAAGATAAACTGCCATGAAAGAAGTAGAGGTGATTACTGTGGGAATCCAGAACATGGTCCGATCCCGCTGCTACTTAGTTTTTGCACAATGAGTTGCCACACTAAAATTTGTGATTTGTAGCCTTAAGAGTGCTTTGTTCTGAATTTGCCTCTCTATGAATTAAAACCATTATAATGGTGATGTAGGGGCCAAGGGATTTCTCCCTCCCTCTCTGAAGGTTTGAGTCTTTAAGTCTGCTGAAATAAACTGGCAATGGACAGATTAGGAGGACTATTTTATTAATCTGCACATATGCACAGAAGCCACACAAAATATGACACTCAAAAAAGAGGCCATACAGAAAAGAATAGAGGTTTGGAGCTTCTTGGTGGAGATGATGACAGGCTATGAGAGGTGTAAGGGAAGAAAGGTTTGGTGAACAAAGGCTGTCTTGTTATACAGATAAAGGCTCTCATATAGTAGCCCTTGAAAGACTAGATGGTAACCTATGGTACCAGTTTCTCTGTCAATTCTGTAAAAGTGTCAGGACTTTAGTCTCCTTTTCCTGTGAGTCAATCTTTCCTAGATTTGGATAAGGCAGATAAGGAGGCCCTCAAGAAAGCCTGTTTGCATCTGCTGTTTACTTCACTAATATAGATTTCCTCTACAGATGCAAATCTCCTCCACAAAAGGACAGCTTTTCAGAACTACTCCTGTGTCTGCAGCCCCTTTAAATAGCCATACTGAAATATGCCAAAGAAACATATTTTAGGGTGGCATATTTTGGTTTCCCAGTGACAAACTGTTCAATTCTCAGTTGTTATCACTGCTAACATTAGCCTTTATTATACGATATTGCTTGCAATTATATTCTTTTAGGCCCACATAAGTGTGTTGAAAGGAAGTGTGCGTGTTTGTGCGTGTGTGTGTGTGTGTGTGTGTGTGTATTTAGTCCCTTTAAGTATGAAAGTTATATTTCTCCTGAGGAACTGAGATTAAATCATAATCTAAATATGAAATTGATAGTTAAACCATTAGTAATGAAGGGTATGATTTTTAAATTTAGGTTTTTATAGTCTTGATAGATGTTCATGTAATAGATGTTCATGAAACAGATTTTCCTAGAGTACTATATGTTTGTATAGTCAAGGAAATAATGCATGTAGTGTAGTCCTGACAGAAGTCAACAACACTAACTTCTCTTTGCCAACATCAGGAAGGAATCTGGCAATTATCCATGTATTTAACCAGAACTCATTGTCTCAGAACAGAAAGAGGACTTAGTCTGAGAGGTTGATTTGGGAAATAAGCAGGATAATCAGATAAATTGAACCATGAGTCTGGTCTTAAAGACCAACTCAGAGATAAGGAATTAGAAACTTGGTGGCTGAGCTATTAAGAGGCTCTTGATATAAAATCTCCTCTGTTCATGCGTGGGTCAGAGATAGGCAAACCAGGCGAGTAGTGGGGGCTCCTTAGGGTATTCAGTCTTAGGAGTTTAGGAAGACAAAAGTAGAGGCAGTTCTGTCTGATAAGCCTTAATATGTCAAAGAAAAGGCAAAGCTGGACAGTAGTAAAAGTGTTAAAAATATATTTTATTCAAGACTATTGCAATACAGGAAAAGAGACCTCAGCATAAAACTGGGCTCACAACTATGTAAACCATGAGCAAGTGGAAATTTATAGCCAAGGAGCAGGGAGGGTTGGTGGAAATAAACCATGAGAAAATTACTGAGAGGAAACATCAGAAACAAGGGAGATTCTGGCTATACCAATCTAGCAGGATTCTTGCTGAAGACAGGCCAGGATGATGGAACATCACCTCAGAGATGGTAAAAGATGAATGCTGTGATTTGAATGTGTCTCTCAAAGTTCATGTGTTAGAAATTTAACTCCCAATGCAACAGTGTTGGGAGGTGGGAATTTTAAGACGTGATTTGGTCATGAGAGCTCTGCCTTCATGAGTGGATTAATATCATTATTGTGGGAATAGATTAGTTGTCACCTAGGTGGGTTTGTTATAAAAATGAGTTTGACCCCCCTCTTGCTCTCTTTTGCCCTTCTGCTTTCTGCCATGGGATGACGTGGCAAGAAGACCCTCACCAGATGCGTCTGGGTCTTGGACTTCCCAGACTCCAGAACAGTAAGAAATAAATCTCTATTATTTAAAAATTAGCCTGTGGTATTCTCTCAAAGCAGCACAAAACAAATTAACACAATGAGAAACTCAGTTATATATTTATTGTCTTAGTCTGTTTTATGCTGCTGTAACAGAGCTATATTTATCAATCAGATAGTGAAGGTGATCAAATAAAGAGGATGGGGGATTCTTGCTAAACTGACTGAGCAATGTTCTTGCTAAAACTGGGTTTTTACGTGGAACTACACAGATGGACCTAGAAGAAGTTTCAGCAACCTGACTGAAGCTAGGTCAAGCAAAGAATATCAAATGAAAGAACAAAGTGTGTCAGAATTTGACAATTAGTTCTTAAGGATGGTCAGATTAGTTTATTGAATTTGCAAGGGGAGGTGAGAGAACCACAGCTTTTACCATACTGGCAAGTTCCTCACCACCTAAGAGATGGAGAGGAGTGATAATATTTTTTTCTCTTCATTTTCCTATATTTTATATAGGAAGTATAAAATATAAGAAAAACGTTCATAGTAAGCATGTTTCATTTTATAATAAGAAATTAAATTTTCTGTGAAATATTCAAGTGCTGTGTTATACAATTAAGCCCAAAAACAAAGTAAGCAAAGTATCACATACTATATTTGAATGTCATTTAAATAATGTTATTTTTGGAAAAACCTTTAGAAATAAACCAATCTAAACTCTTACCCAATAAAGAGGAAACCACAAACCTAGAGAGTTTATATTTCTCACATAGTTACTGACATATCTAGAACTAAGCATTTTTTCTTGTATTCTAGTGCTCTTTCCCACATATTGTCAAAATTATATTTCTCTGAGATAGAGTTTTATATAAATAACTCCATTTGGAATCATTAAATTATGTTCAAAAGTAATCTAATACCATTTTATCCTAAAAGATATTTCGGGAAAAGTGAAATTGATATATATCCTTGAAAGAGAATAAGGCAGTAATTTGCCATTACAGTATTAGGAAGGCATCTGCTATTGCTATATTCCTAAGCATTTTGGGGAAAAGTGACTAAAATTCAAATAAATTGGTCTAAATATTATTGTCAGTTTGGAAATTAATGATAAAGGATCATCTAACAAAATCTTCTGATTGGTGAATAATAGAAATAGGTTTTAGCACTTTCCTTGGGTTTTTTTAATTTATTTATTTTTGGAACGGAATCTTGCTCTGTCGCCCAGGCTGGAGTGCAGTGGCATGATCTCAGCTCACTGCAACCTTCGCCTCCCAGGTTCAAGCAATTCTCCTGCTTCAGCCTCCCAACTAGCTGGAATTACAGGCACCCACCACCACACCCGGCTAATATTTTGTATTTTTAGTAGAGATGGGGTTTCATCATGTTGGCCAGGCTGGTCTCAAACTCCTGGCCTCAAGTGATCCACCTGCCTCAGCCTCCCAAAGTGCTGGGATGACAGGCATGAGCCACCACACCTGGCCTTTTCCTTGGTTCTTAAAAATCCTTTTGACTATGGGAGAATTTTTAGATTGAATGTTCAAGTTTACAAGGGGATCAAAATCGTTAAGGAGATGCTCAAAGTTAAGTTGTATGCAAAATAACTTTGGAAGTGTTATTATTATTTGTAACTCAAATATCTTTTTAGTTTGGCATTCAGAGGTATTAATTAAAACAAAAAGTATCATTCACAATCTATAATATTTTTGTTAAAGGGTCTGTATTTTCACTTCAAAATTTCCTCTCAAATCTATCATATTTCTTTGTTCTGACCTGGTCTTTCATCTTCTTTCCTTTGGACTATTAAAAGTTTGTTTTTTCAACTGATCTGTCTTTAGTTTATACCCTGCAAAATCCATTCTCTAGACTGTTTCCAGATTTATCTTTCTTTTTAACATATTTGATACAGTAATTTCCCCAAAACATGAATCTGATTATATCCTGTCTTCCTCATACACTGTTAATTTCTCAGTGTCTGTGTCTCATGGTTCCCACTTCAGATGACTTGTGGCATAATCAGGGGAATTCCGATGCAGGCATTGAAGGTGAAAGCACTGCCAGGGACTCAATCTTGGGAGTTAGTCTGGGGTGAAGCTGGGTCCAGGATTGAGCCTTTGCCATTTGTTGGTAGGTAGGTGGGCACAAAAATGGTGTCACCTAAGGTACACTTTTATTTATTTTTTTAGTTTTAAAAACCATCAGGCCAACGTATTACCTAAGACATTGTTGAGGATGATCTTACTTGGAATGTGCTCAGAAGGAGCAGTTTCTTCATTCTCAACACTCCTCCCCACCCCCACCTCAAGCTACCTCTCCTTGAAGGCCATGATGAAAGATCTTTGTCTATATCCTAACAGCAGTGAACACCCAGTAAGGGATTCTGAGAAAGCAATTGACAACAACAGAATATACACATCTATTTCTGATTGGAATCAGATAGATACCTGATCTCAATCATTTCCCTAGAACCTTCCCTAACCTGGGGTAGTTGCTATCACATCTCTGTTAAACTCAATTTCAAAAGAAGATTTGGAATTTTTTCATCAGAGGCAGTCTGCCATCCTACTTTCTCCCACAGCCCCAAATTGTCACATTTTACTGATCGGGTGATGTTTTGCCAGTTAATCAACAATGTAACATTTTTTGCAACCTTACTCCACTCGTAATCTGTTAATTTTGATGAACTTTTTCTACTGATCTTAGAGCAAGGCTTCTCTTGCCCTTTGAGAACTGAATGTTATTAAATATTCCTCTATAAATCCCAAGATAATTATACACATTTTCTTCTTTAGCTTTTTGATGTAGTACATTATGTCAGTAGATTTTTCTAATGTTGAACTATCCTCATATTCCTGGAATAAGGAAGTCCACGCAGATTATGAAGTGGTATTTTAGTTTTTTAACATGTTGCTCAATTTTATTTGTTACTATTTTACTTAGATTTTTGTATTTGCTTTTAGTGAGATTGGTCACTACTTTTATTTTCTTGTATTGTCTGTATACTGTTTTGTTATCACAATTATGTAATTCTAATAAATAAAGTTGGGCAAATATCTCTTTTTCTCGTAGCTTTCAAATTATGTGTCAGGTTGAACATTGCAATAGACTGACTGTTTACGTCCCCTCAAAATTTATGCATTGAAATCCTAACCCCCAAGATAATGGTATTAGGAGGTAGGGCATTTGGAAGGTGATTAACTCATCAAGGCAAAGCCCTTGGGAATGAGATTAATTCCCTGGAGAGATCCCTCAACCCTTCTACCACATGAGGACACAGCATGAAGGCATCATCTATAAGCCAGAAAACGGGTTTTTATCAGACACTAAAACAAGGTGTCAGTAGGGCCATGCTCCCTGTGTGAGGTTCTGGGAAGAATCTGTTCCATGCCTGTCTCCTAGCTTCTGGTGGTTCCTTGGCTTGAAGCTGCATCTCTCAATCTCTACCTCTGACATCACAGGTCTTTCTTCCCTATGTGCCTCTCTGTTCTTTCCTCTGCTTAAAAGGATACCAGTCATATTGGATTAGGACTTACCCTAATCTGTTATAACCTCATTTTAACTACATTTGCAAAGACCCTATTTCTATATAAGTCCCTGCTATGGTTTGAATGTCCCATTCAAAATTTACTTTGAAATTTAATTGCTATTTTAACAGTATTAAATGGTAAGACCTTTAAGAGGTGATTAGGCCATGAGGGATACACCATCATAAATGGATTAATGCTGATTTTTATAAAAGGGCTTGAGGCTCTGAGTTTAATTTCTTGTTCTTTCTCATCCCGCCTTTGCCCTTCTGCCACGGAATGATGCAGTAAAAAGGCCCTGCCAGATGCCAAACCCTTGATTTTAGACTTCCCAGCTTCCAGAACTGTGAGCCAATAGATTTCTGTTCATTATAAATTACCCAGTCTCAGGTATTCTGTTATGGTGGCACAAAATGGACTGAATCACATTATGAGTTTCTTAGCAAGAAACCCAGAAATGTTCATTGTTGTGTACGTGAGTTCTGGGGTGACATTATTCAACTGAGTATAGACCTCTTTCTGTTTACTCCTCTTTTTTTCCCCGTTTACCTCCTTTCTTCTTAGAACTTTAATCAGTTACAAGACAGGCAGTGAACCGGTTGTGTTCCTACTTGCTATTGATGACCTTTTAGAAATCATTCCTTGCTATGTTTTTCTTAGTACTCATGAATTATAAGATCATCAATAACTCATGAAGATACATTATTTATTTTAAACATGCTCACTAGACAAGCTTCATATATTTTCTTGGGCTTTTTACTCGTCATCTTTAATTATCTTGCATTATTTGGGCTTGCTTGAACTTTAAAGGTCAGTCAATACATTTTTCATAACTTTTAATGGATGTTTTTGGTTTCGTTTTTAGTGTCATTCAAAGATGGATAATATCTCCATCAACCTTTTCTCATGTTTAAAACAACTGGTGATTCTATGAGGCTTTATTTTTTGATGCAGATATTCATGGTTACCTGATGAAGGGGTAACTCTGAACAAGAAAGTCCAGTGAGAGAAGTGTGAGATATACACAATATATTGTAAAAAGAGTGATGCCATTTTTACATCGAAGTGAAGAGGGAACTTCACTGGAAATGTTTCTTAGCAATATCCTCATTGCTGTAGGCCAAAATTAGACTTTCAAGTCTCTTCGAGTAAATCAAATGAACTATTTGGGGAATTTTTTTTTTTTTTTTAAGTAATCATGACCAGTGTGAACAATGGACTAGAAGGGAGTAAGAACGACATGGTTAGGAGGACACAGCACAGCGCCACACTGCAGAGTGAATAACAAACACCAGAGGGACAGCTGTGCCTGCACCCAGGAAGTGCGTCCCCTCACCCCACCCAAAAGGAAAAGAGGGTTCAAAGATTGTTGAGCCCTGACCAATCACTTTATCCCCTCCTCCTCCCTTAGGAAAGACCATGAAAGGCGATGAAGAAAAATGGAAATGTACCCCCAATATTCCCGACTGGAGAGAGAAGAAACACTTCCCACATCCTGTTTATCTGTAAGGCCTGCCATTTCTATCTTCAAAATATACCACAAATCTATCCCCCATCTCTACCTCTGTCATCTGCACCTTAGGCCAAAATCCTTTCCTTTCTCATTTGGATTATTGTAATTCAGGCCTCAGCTGCCTAAAATTCAGAGAAGAGGGTATATGAAGGCTTATGTAGACTTCAAGTAGATTAGAAGCCCAATATAATAAAGTGTTTGCCTAGGACTTAAGAGATGATGCTTCCTTATTTCCATTTGGCAATTTACCACTTGTGTATGCCCCAACAGTCAGAACCCTGGAAGGAAGAGAGTTGAGTCATACTTTGAATCCCAGTCCAGCAGATGTTTGAATTTGAATTTCAGAGTACATGACTCTGAAAAGTGCTCCCTTTTTTCCTGTTATATGCAATAACTTAGTATTAAGTTGGAGCCCAGATGACATGTCTTGCAACTGACAAGCACCTTCTCATCTTATCACATCATTATAACTTTTTCCTCTATCCATAATATATCAGCTTGATAATGTATGTAGAGTTATCCACTATTACATAAAAAATTGCCCCAAATCTTTGAGGATTAAAACAAAAATAAATACGTATGATTTCACAGTTTTTATATCAGTAATTCAGGAACAGCTTAGCTAGCTGCGTCTGGCGTAAGGGTCTTTCATAAGGTTTTGGTCAGGATGTTGGCCTGGGACCACTATCATCTGAAGGCTTGACTGGGGCTTGAGGATCTTCTTCCAAAATGATGTCCTCACGTGGCAAGTATATGCAGCCTGTTGAAGGTCTCAGTTTCTCACCACATAGACTTCTTCCTAGGGATATTTGAGTGTCCACTCTACATAGCACCTGACTTTGCTTGAAGCTAATAATTCAAGGGAGATCAAAGTGAAAGCCACAGTGTCTTTTATAACCTAATCTTATAACCCACATGCCATCACTCAATCTATTTATTAATAGTAAATTACTCAGTCTGGCCCCTACATAAGGTGAGGGGAATTAGACTCCATCTTTTGAAGAGAGGAGAGTTAAAATCTCCACCATGTCTCTTCTCTTTTTGAATTCTGGCCTCTCTTCCCCAATTCAACCTTCTTGCCAATTCCAAATCTCCTGCCTTCCCTCATCTCCAAACGTATGCACATACTAACTTTATTTAACAGATTTTTCAAATTTCTTTCTGGTATCAATTAGAATCAGTTTTGGCTGTAGCAGCAGCAAACTACAAAATAGTGGTAGCTTAAATCACATAAGGTTTATTTCTACCATGCATAGAAAACATTTGTAGGTAGGCAGTCCAAGGCTGGTCTGGTGATATTGTTATAGTTTATGACCTTCATCCTCATGGTTCAAGATATCTGCTAGGGTTCTAGTTGCCAAAGGTGAAACCGAGGAAGCAGAGTAGAGAAATACAAAGTTAAAAAGTGTGTGCTAGCAGTTGTTTAAGGTTTCCTGGAAACCTTACTGTACAACACATTGCCTCCCTCTCCGCATCAGCACTTAGTTACATGCAAATGTATGACATGTAATATGGAAGCATAAGATGTACAAGCTAATATGCTAAATGTTGTCTTTATTTGCAGGTATGTGATGGTTAATTTTAGGTATCAATTTGACTAGATTAATGGGTACCTAGATAGCTAGTAAAGCATTAATTCTGAGTGAGGGTGTTTCCAGAGAAAATGGGCGCATGAGTTGATAAACTGAGTGGGGAAGATTTGTCTTCAATGTGGGTAGGCACCATCCAATTGGCTGGGGCCAAGATAGAACAAATAGACAGAGGAAAGGCAAATTAATGCTTTCTCTTCTGGAGCTGAGACACCCTTCTTCTCCTGCCCTTGGACATCAAAACTTCAGGTCCTCAGGCCTTTGGCCTCAAACTGAGAGTTATACCACTGGCTTTCCTAGTTTGGAGGCTTTTGGACTTTTACTGAGCCACACTATTGGCATCCCTTGGTCTCCAGCTTGCAGACAGTCTATTGTGGGACTTCTCTGCTGCCATAATCATATGAACCAATTCCCCTAATAAATGCCCTGTCATCTATCTATTATCTATCTATCTATCTATCTATCTATCTATCATCTATCTATCTATCTTATTATTTCTGTCTCTCTAGAGAACCCTAATGAAAAGTGATTATATGCCCAGCTAAAAATCAGGGAGTTTCTTGCTAAGGAAGATGGGGAGAATAAATATTGGCCATGGCTACGTATATATTTTTGGCTACCCGGACATCTATGAGCACTGTTTTCCTATGTAGGGTGCTGTGTGTGCTCACTATATGGAAGTTGGCTTTCCTCAGAGCTGATGATCCAAGAAAAGCCAGGAACACATTTGCAGAGTAGACATTTACTCTTTCTCCAAGGCAGAAAACTTCAAGATCTTCCTGAATTCCTGCTCCATGTTCAGGATCTCTTAATCATATGCAGTCCCTTCCTTGGGGTCATGTGTACCTTCTTGTGGTCTGCCAGCAGATACATTGAAAAACATATATGGATATGGAAACAGGACACCACCGTAAAAACTATTTGAGAAAGGGGAGGAGAAACTGGTAGTGGTCACTGGTCCATATCAATGATCAGATACCTCTGAGCAGAAAGTACAAGCTCCCTCCCCTAGTAAAGGAGGGTATTCTTTGCTTAGCTATTTGGTAGTCCTCAGTTAAGCTCTTGCCCATTGTATTTTGTGGTTCTTATCTCTGCTTTCTAGGACGTGCATTATATTACATGGCTGCATGAGAAGGGGCCATGGGGCAGAAGCCCCTCTGTGGTGGTTGCCATTGCAGAAGCTCTCTTCCTGCTAGGGTGAATATGGGGACCCAGAAACTGTTTTAGGAGCTTGATGGTCACAGGCCAGGATTGAAATTTCTTTTGAAGAACAATTTCCTTAAAATTTAGTAATCTTCTGGTATATTTGCTTTCAGTTAGTTCCACGTATGTTAGTAGCCAGAGATCGTAATGTCTAGACGATTTCTAAGCCTGAGACATTTTAGTGTGATGTACTTCTTGGGAGAAAAGCTGAGTGTTGGGAGAGACGCGGAGGCAGGACTTGCATGTCTGACATAATGTAAAAGAGTCTCGGAACATGTCTGGGGTCCAGGGTCTAAAACCCCTTGTGGCCTCTGGAACACCAAGCTCTGTGCTAAAGGGTGGAAGGCTGCCCTGACACACCATAATCTAAGCCCAGGGCATAAAACCTCTCGTGGCTTGGATAGAATCCAGGGCTCGTGGCTTCTGGAATGTGTCTAGACTCGCTGGCTCCTTGCTCCTTGCTCTCCCAGGATTGACTGTATCTTGAGTTAAAAGAACCTGCTCTCCACTATCCCAAGTAGTAGAGCATATGCTAAACCATTGCAGCTATAAATCATAATGCGATGCAAATCATAACGTAATGTAAATCATAATGTGCTTAATGCAACGCTCCCTTTCAACCCCACATTCTCACCACCTGTTTCTTTGTTTGAGCACCACCAATAAATAGTCTGGGCTTCCAGAGTTCAGGGCCTTCGCAGCCTCCATACTTAGTGTTGGCTCCCGGGACTCACTTTCTCTCTCAAACTGTCTTTTCTCATTCCTTTGACTACGCCGGACTTCGTCACCCCTATGACTCGGTGTTGGGTCTGATCACCCCAACAGTACTGGCATCTAGGCTCTGCCTATTCTTCCCTATACCAAGCTCAAACACCCTATCCCCCCAAGAAGTGTTGGCTATCTTGAGACATTTAAAAATAATAGGCAAAAATCACAATCTGATCTTTGTCAATGCACTAGGTTCTACTGACTGACAGTTGCTTAATGGAAAGTATTTGAGAAAGACTAGGGGCCTAGGGTACTTTAATTGGATTAATGACCCAAATTTTTGCCCCTCTCTCTAACTATACTCTTTGCCCTAGCATATTGCAGCGTCCTCCTACTCTTGGGGGAACCTTCTGCCCAGTAGCATACTGGTTAAATGTTTCTTAAAAAATACTTTATACATTATGTTATAAATTTTACTGAAAATATGTGTAGCACACATTGACAAATAAGAAAATATGCAATAATCTTTTCTGTAAGTTCTATATAGCCAACTCTTACTGAATGCTTTATTTGACTTTCACTAAATTTTCTTATCCATAGCCAATCTACAGTTGTAGTTCATGAGCAAGTGTAGTTCTGACATGAATGTTAATTGATATTCTCATTGTCAGTAAGAGGAAAGTAAAACAATAAAGAGGTAGCTGAAACTGCAGTTGTTTGTAAATGAGGTGACAACTTTGCAGAATTAGATAATAGTTTTCAAAGAACATTTCCTCAATTATTTTTTGTATTTGCAATGTAACGGCCGCAGACACAACACGCTTTTAAATTTAATCTGCATTAATGTTTTCTCTACCACTTTCTTAAGCCAGACAATTAACAAAACAAATCAACAAGCAACACTTCATTTGTAGCTTCTATCAATTTCTGTGGTATAAACACTCCAACAGTGGCTGATTTCAAGCTACTGGTTTGACACAACTGAAACATGAAGTAGTGTTTCCACCAGATACACTAGAAACAAACACCTTAAGAGGACAGACAATAGTAAAATATAATAAAATAACTAGAAAGTCATGAGTTTTGAGTACCTATTATCTTTGTTTTAATGTAAATTATTTAATTACAAGTACATAAATTAAACAACAGCTGTGTTAACAATCAGCTTGCCAAATTTCTGAAAATTAAACGGTAGACCCATGGGCTGGTATGAGTTGCCTCCTAACACCACAGGTTCTGCCCGCCCTTTCACCTTAGGCTTGGAAAAGTGGTTGCATATTATTCTTTCTTGCTTGCTCTTATGCTGTAAACATGGCAACATTTCTGGGCTGGCCAGCTGAAGGATAAGGCAGTGGAGGAGAACTGAGTAGTCCACCTGTCTCAGCCAAGACAATCCTAGACTAGTAAAGCAGCTGATCCTAGACATGTGTGAGATCCCAGCCAAGATAAGAAGAGCTAGACCCTGCAGCTGACTGGGTACAGGTGAGCCCAGCCAAGACCAATAGAAATGTTCACCCAACCCACAGATTCATGAGCTAAACAAATGTTTAATTTTTTGAAATCACTGGGTTGTAGGGTGTGTACATGTGTGTATATACACACACATATATTTATATACACATATACACACACACACATACATATACACATATATGCTATATATGATGGTTAATACAGAGTTATAGTTTCATCCCATAAGATTACCTCCTTGCAGTCACTGCTGGTAACTACTTCAGGGGTATACGAGCACTTGTATTCTTTACTCTTTCAAAGCTCAAATACAGGACCTAGTCAAACTAGACTGCAGGCCACAGACAGAGTACTTCCTTAGTACGGCTGTGTTTCCTTCCAATTGTAACTGTAGACTTGCTTAATCTAGCCTGTTTGTCCTTCTTTTAAGATTGGCAAGAAGGGGTTAGAAAACATGAACATTTTGGATTTTCCTTACCATTTTCCCCAATCCTACATTCTCATCATTTGCCTCCCAAGACACAGCACATGAAAATGTGATCCATTGTTTTGCCATCACCTAATAAAGACCAACAGCTTTCTAGCCTCAACAAAGCCTGCAGCACCTACTGCTTGACTGTCTTCAACAAACCAATGCCACATTTAAAATGTTTAAACATTAACCTTCCCAGTCCCAGGTATGATGCTTTGTGTTACTTGTGGTATCTATCTCTCTCTCTCTCTGTCAATCACACACACACACACACAGCCTACAGGTAGGTAGTCCAGGGCTGGTATTGTCATTCCACATCTAGAATCCAGCTTTCAGGTCCACCCTTCCTGGGGAGTGACTCTCATCTTCATAATCTAAAATGGCTGCTAGGGTGTTAGCCATCACATTTGCATTCCAGGCAGAAAAATGAAGAAAGGAAAAAGAAGGCAAAGGGCAATGTTCTTACTGTCTTTAATAGTTTCCTAACACTGCCACAGAAGATATCTGCTTATATCTCACTGTCTAAAGTTCAGTCACATGGCCACAATCTCAAGGAAGGCTGGGGTACTTTAATCTTTATTGAGGGCAGTCATGTGCCCAGCTAAAACCAGGGGTTCTATTACTAAGAAAGATACAGCTGCCCCCCACCCCAAAACAATTCAATAAAAATACAAATAAACAATAGTGTAGTAACTATTTTCATAGCATTTACACATTCATTATTATAAGTAATGTAGAGATGATTTAAAGTATATGGAAGATGTGCAAAGGTTATATGCAAATACTGTAATATTTTATATAAATGACTTGAGCACCTGCAGATTTTGGTATCCCTGAGAGTTCCTGGAACCAATCCCCTTCAGATACCAACGAATAACTGTACATGTTTGGTAGAGAACTAGTTGTCTCTACCTAGTCTCCATTCTGGTCACTTCTTTAGTTTCCTAATTTCAGAGTAAGGCCAGTCTCCTTCTGTGATGGTTAATTTTGTGTCAACTTGAGTGAACCAAGGGATGCCCAGATACCTGGTAAAACATTATTTCCACGTGTGTTGGTGAGGGTGTTTCTGGAAGTCATTGACATTTCTACTGGTAGACTGAGTAAAGAAGATCCACCCTCACTAATGTGGATGGGCATCAGTCCATTCAGTGCCCCATATGAAACAAAAAGGCAGAGGAAGGACAAAATCAGCCTCTCTGCTTGTTCTGGGACATCTATTTTCTCCTGCTCTTGGATATCAGTACACTTGCTTCTCTGGCCATTGGACTTGACTGAATTACACCTCCAGCTTTCCTGATTCTCCAGCTTGCAGATGGCAGATCGTGGGTCTTCTCAGCCTCCGTAATCATATGAGCCAATTCCTACAATAAACCTCTCTGTCTCTCTCATTCTGTTTCTCTGGCAAACTCCAATATTCCCTCCTAGGGACAGGAATTTTATCACTCTGATGCCTTATGGCTACTATTCATGGACGTTTCTTATAGCTTTGATTTTCTTGCAGTGTATATCCCAGGTAAATACCTTTCTCTGCTATTGGAGTCCCCTTTCCTCCCCTTATTCTTGTTAACTTTTGGCTTGGATTACATTTTATATGAACTAGGCCTTACCAAAAAATTTTTAAAATGTCTGTCAGTGAGGAAAGGATAGGTCCAGTGTATAACTTAAAAGACGCTATGAGGCAGAGTTCTGTTTTTGTTTTTGTTTTTTTTTTCTTGAGACAGAGTCTCGCTCCATCATCCAGGCTGGAATGCATTGGCACCAACTTGTTTCACTGCAACTTCTGCCTCCCAGGTTCAAGCGATTCTCTTGCCTCAGCCTCCCGAGTAGCTGGGATTGCAGGTGTGTTCCACCATGCCCGGCTAATTTTGGTATTTTTAGTAGAGATGGGGTTTCTGCCATGTTGGCCAGGCTGGTCTTGAACTCCTGGCCTCATGTGATCTGCCCACCTTGGCCTCTCAAAGTGCTGGAATGACAGGTGTGAGCCACTGCACCCAATCAGAATTCTTTTTTATTTTGATAGCTTTGACTGCTTTGATAGTTCTCCATCAAGGAAACTGTTCAAAATGAAAAACAGAACATGTCTTATAGGAGGACTCTCTAAGTCCAATATTAGTGAAGACGATAAGGACAATTTCTTCCTAGAAATAATATATTTCTATCTTCAGCACAAGAGGAATTAATTCCACAGCACTAATAGAAACTGTTAATAGTGTAAATTACAAACAATACAACAAAAATGAAAGCAAAACACACTCCACAGAAGTATGTCAGAAATAAAAAAAAGAAATTCCTTAAACCCTCAAGCCAGCATGCTTGATACAAATTTATACTTTTTTTTTTTTTTTTGAGATGGAGTTTTGCTCTTGTTGCCCAGGCTAGAGAGCAATGGTGCAATCTCGGCTGACTGCAACCTCCGTCTCCGGGGTTCAAGCAATTCTTCTGCTTCAGCCTCCTGAACAGCTGGGATTACAGGCGTGCGCCATCATGCCCAGCTAATTTTGTATTTTTAGTAGAGATGGGTTTATACATTTTTAAAGAATGGACAATGATGCAGATGATTTGTGAGCATTTTGATGAGAAAGTGGTGATTAGAAGGATACAGCATAAATTTAATTGTAAACATGCTTATCTAGCTAACCTAATCTGTTTCTGTAGAATTACTGGCATGGGAGATTGGATAGATGCCTAACCTATCTCAATTTTAAGTAATGTGAGCAAGTCTTTAAGGTATACATAATGATAAAATGGAGAAACATGACCAGATGATGATGGTCATGTAGGTAATTAGATGGATTTGTAGGTGGTTGAAATTGTATCTAAGCATAGCAATCTGGCCTCTGTCTACTCTCCAACAGAATCAATAATCATTCCACATCCCTCTGCTCCAACCATACTGAATTATTTGCAGTTCTCTAAAAACATCATATTCTTAAACCCCAGGGCTTTTGCACATACTATTCCTTTGCCTGAAGCAATGTTTTCTTGCTCCTTTACCTCATTCTTACTCATTCTTTGGATATCAGCTTAAATTTCGTAAGTTGAAAATGCACTTAATACACCTACCCTACTGAACATTAGAGCTTAGTCTAACCTACCTTCAACATGTTCAGAACACTTACATTAGCCTACAGTTAGTTGGGCAAAATTATATAACACAAAGCCTATAATAAAGAATAAGATATTGAATATCTTATATTCAATATGTAATTTCTTGAATATTATACTGAAAGTGAAAAGCAATGGTTTTGCACCATCATGAAGTAAAAAATTCATGTCATGCACTTTCTATAGTACTCAAGAGAACTTGGCAGCACCATTTGTCACACAGAGTTCACCCTAAATTCACCTGGTAATTTTGGTGACCCTCTGCTAGTTAGTTGCTTTTGTCCAAGGGAAAAATAAATTTCTTGTATCTTTATGACAGAAGATAGCTTTGTAATGGAGCAAGGTGCCTAATAAAGTTAGGCTCTTATGTTTCCAGGAAGCTGAAAGATAGGGGTACTATTTTTCTCAATGATTAAATTTCAGTGAGATAGCTCCCAGGTCCTTGAGGAATTCACATTCTTAGGTTGTAAAATTGGCAAAAGCCTAATTTAGTTTTTGGAAAGATTTACAGGCATTTCAAAGAGGCACAGAAAAAGCTTACAATTAAGTTTCCTAAAGTAAATGACCAAAGAAAAGGATGTGGAGGGTAAAAGTCTCTCTCTCTCCTTTGCACCAGGCAGAATTAAATAGTTTTATTTCTAATTTGTACTCACCCTTACACCAACAGTGTGAGCATCGCCTAGGAATTTTTGTTAGAGATGCAAATCCTCAGATCCCAATGCAGACTTACTTGATAAGAAACTCTGGGGATAGGGCCCAGGAATTTGAGATTTTACATAAGCTCCCTAGGTGATGCTGAGAATCATTGTAGAGGATTGTTGATAGCAGGCCATGTGCAAAGGATCTGGGGAAGGCAAAGGATTTAATTTTGTTTAAATTAGTGGTTATCTGAGGTTTGCATAAGTAGTTATCTGGTCTGCTAGTATGTTACCTTCAATTAATTGGCAAGAAATTAGGATATCAAAAATAAAGATATTAGATGAGCCTTAGTTTAGCCAAGACAGTCAAACCTCAATAATTTACACAATAGAGAACAAAAACTAAATGATTATTTTTAAACTGTGCTAATTCGGCTCTCAAGTTCATTCTCTAGTTTACGAAGAGTCACCTGATCAAAATCATTTGAAAATCATTTGATTACTAAATCAAGTAAGCCATAAAAGCTAAACCCAAGTGAAACTAGATAATTGTGCAATTTTCTTAGATGGACTCCTTCTTAAGTTCACCTGGCTCTCTACTGGGGACCAAATCTTATATTTCTCAATTATGTATGCAAACTGGAATCACCTGAAAATACGTTTAAAGACAAAAATTGCAGCAGAGAAGCCAGGGAAGGGGTAGAGTGGATTCTTCCAGCACATGAGTTCACATGACTGCTTCCCCTTCTCAACAGGGGCCAGAGCCTGCCAGGACCTCAAAGAGGAGAGCTTCAGAGGCCCAGCTGACATACTAGGCATAGGGGCCAAAGAGTCTACCTTGAGAAAGGTTTTTATATCTCAAATTTGACCCACTCTTGAATGACAGCTCTAAGAAACTGGCTTCTCAGGAAACTGAGACAAACAGCATCTGTGATGCTACCATGCCTTCCTTAGGAAGTCGGCCTGAAGCAAAGCCGGTGGAATCTGATTTCTAGCGACTCCGGGTGTTCGTGTTCCTGTGATAGGGCCTCCCTTATGTGTCCATTGGCCCCATTGTGGATATACTGCAGTTTAGCCAGAAAGACCTGGATGTGGAGGTTAAAGCCACACAAATGGATAAACTGGAATTAAAAAGCATGAGGAGCTTTCCATGAAAAATGCCTGGAGATGGGGAAAATCATGGATGGGATTGTAACCCAGGTGATGGAGGTGTCTCAGAAACAGAGGAAGCTTGCCAAAGCTGAAATCCAGAAGGTTCTGAAAGAAAAAAAAAATCAAGACCAACTTACTAGACGTGAACTCCACGAAAAAAAAATCTCATCTTTTCAAGGGATTTGAGAAGCAGGAAGCTAGTGAAGCCTACTACAAAAATGAATAATGGCTAAAATTATTATGCTAAGCATTACATATTAGGAAGACCAGAGATACCAAGCATTAAAAGCCCACACATAAAAGAAACCCAATCTAGTAAATGAGGAAATTATGCAGGTCCAGAGGAAGACCTGAGTGGATGACTTGGCTCTTCCAGGTGAGCCTGATAAACAGGTATGGATCCGTTCCCTTGAGAGCATTCAGCAGAAAATAAAAGACTAAAGAAAATGATAAACTGATCAGAATCTGTAATTACCTGTTTTCAGAAGTATAAAAACCTAAAATCACTGACCAGTGACCTTCTGTCCCTCCATGTAACTCCATCTCTACAAGCAAGCCTTGTGTACCTTCTCAAAAAAAAAAGACATCTGTATGAGATATTTTGACTTTCATGTTCTGACTTATAAAATGGTGACGGCGAGCTTTCATTAGAAAATCCGTGTATTCTATCAAATGTATGCTCTTGTGAGGTTTACTGAAAAAAACTTGTTTTTTCCTTTGGTGGTGGTATCCTGTAGGTTTTTTACTATGGAGGAAAAAAAAAAACGCTGCTTTGAAACTGTCAGTAAATACGATCAAGACTCAATTTAAAACGGGACTCAAGCGTAGTTCATATGAGGCCAAGTTAATGGGGAGTTCCTTAGGAACTTTTGTAATACTAACTGGCAATAAAATAACTGCTACAACATGTCTTTATTTCGTCTTTCAAAAACAGTGTTTTCCCCTATCATCTTTAGGTAGATAAACTGTCCACGAAGGAGAGAGTGATCAGTTTATCTTAACATAAAGATTCCTAACTAGGAATTCAAAAAGATACTTCAGTGGGACGATATTGATCATCAGAATGACAAACCCATGAACGTTTTAGGAAAGGCAGTTTCAGATTTTTCTCCTTAGAGGGTTTCAAGAAACCCCTTGATTGAGAGGAGGGCACATATCCTCCTCTTACCTTCTTTGTTCCCAAAAGAGACTCAAAGAATTGTGAACCAAACTTTCATAATATAAAGTCTCTAATTACCTGAGAAAACTGCAGCCCAAAAATCTAAAGTGGCTTACCCAAAGTGAGGAAGTTAATACTATTCCTTTTAGTCCAAGAGAATAATGCCAACTGGATACAGCTCAAAGACTGCACCATTCCCATTATTTTTTGCCATTAGTTACGTTTAATTTTAAATATACCATCTTTGGCAGCAAAAATCAAGCTGGGCTTTCCTTCTCCTTTATAAATTGCATATATTTTTAACATATATTAACACTTTAAAACCGTGGGGTGGAAAGTTTAAAATGCCATAAAATAAGAATCATATATGCATTCTTTACACTGTAAAGCATTTTACCAGACATTAGAATCTGCATTCAGAATTCTTTCTCAGAACGTAAGTGTTCTTGAAGACATATATTTTGTCTTACTAATCTGTTTCTTCCAAGCACTACTGTACTAGGCATACGGTAAAGATATACATTCAAGTTTTAAAAGTAAATACTTTTTCCTGGTAGTGGCCAGGGCCTGCGTTCCTCAGACCAAAAGGCGCAAACTGGCATTGCTGTGATTTCAGAAGAGAAGTGAAATGTATAAAACGAAGTAATTCTGGGGAAGGAAAATGTCACAATTTTTCTTCAGTGTTGTCAGGCACACTAACCCGGGAAGCCGTCTCTGGGCCTGAACTATCCAAATTAGTGTCCGAGGAAGTGTGACAAATGCAGGCCCTTCCAAGTTTGACCCTGATTCTCAAAGGTGGCCAAAAGCCGTCTCTAGAAACGGCGGTGGCAGCGGCGTGATTCTGGGAGGTCCATTCAACTTTTAACAGGTCCTGGGCAGTGACCGGGTTGCTGGGCAGTGCAAAGGCATAGAGATTGGCGAGAACAGGCGGCGATCAAGCTTCCCAGCGAGGGTCAAAGTCCAGCAGCTTGGAACTAGTGAGCCGGGCTTGTAGGAGTGAAGCGGCTCGCGCGGGCCCGGCCGGCAGCCGCTCCCCAGACACCGGGGATCCGGCCCGACTGTTTCCTACCCACGACGGCGAAGACCCGCTACAGCGCGTCCACGAAGCCCCAGTACTGAGCCAGGACGGGGCTCTCCCTCTCGATGTAGGCGACTACGAACTGCTCCGCCAGCCGGTGAGGCAGCTAATTAAGAAAGCCACCTTCAGGATGTCTTTCGAGAATCTAGCCTCGAAGAAAGTCATGTAAGAGAACGCCTGCATCAAAAAGTCGGGAGGCCGGGCGGAGTCGCCGTTAAACGTCCAGGGAAAGCCACCAGGTGGGCCGGCGAACGCTCCCGGGCCAGCAGGTAGGCTTTCTCGCACAGCAGCCCCCGCACCCGGTCCGTAAGCTCGTTGTTCTCCCTGCGCCGGGCATGGTTCTAGGTCAGGAGGTCCTACATCATGACAGCCAACGCGTCCATCCTGCGCCTCCCCGCAGGCCTTGCTCCCCGCTCGGTCCCTCCCGGCCGCGGCGCTGCCGGAAGTGCGTGTCGGCGCGGGGGCGGATCCCGGTGGCGGCGAGGGGCGGACTCCGCGGACAAGGCCAGGCCTAGCCTTGAGCTCCGTCGGGCAGGGCCGCCGGGATTGGTGTCCGGCAGAGCGTGAGCCCAGCGGGCTGGAGTCGGCGAGCGGGAGTGAAAGAAGAAAAGCTAGAGAGCGAAGGCAAAGCCCGAGGAGAGAGGGCCGCGGTCGGCGGAGGAATCTGACTGCACGGTTGCGTGCGCTCACTCCCGGAGGGCTCCCTCAGGCGGGCGGCTCCGCTAGTGGCTAAAGGCAAAGCATTCCGGGGCGCGGCGCATGAAGTTGAGCTTCGTCCCTGCTAGCCGCCGCTTTCTCCCCAAAAATACATCCTAGCCTTAATGTTTATGCCTCCATTGCCCCAGTTCTTATCTGTTTTGCTCAATGTCTCATAGCTACAAGAAGGCAATTTCTGACGAAGCCCTCCGTCCCTTCCAAATGGATTATTTTGGCGGGCTTCCACCCGGACAGTATGCCACCCGAATGACTGGACAAGTGCACGGGAGCGGCTGTCATTTGCGGAGTGCGCCTTGCGATCTAGGCGCCTCACAGCGCAAATTATCCAGTAATTTCTCTGAAATCGATGCTGGTTTGTTTTCCCAAGGCAAATCAGCAGCTTATACAGACATTGGGGCCACAAAGCCGGTGGAACAACGGGAGACGGCTTCCTGAGTGTCAGGTCCTCCAAGATGAGCTTAAACTTCGGGTGGTGGGCAGGCTCGGTAGGCGGGAAAGGCCCGTGTCCAGATGAATGCAGTCCATGTTTATATTGATGAAAGACACGTATACCATTTGGTCCAGCTCAACCATTCTTAACAAGTGCTGGCTGTGAGCACTGGTGTGTGTGTGCCTGCGTGCAACCAGCAATGTAAGTGATGACCAGCTGCATGATGCCTTAATTTGAGTGGACAAAGTCGGTCAAGAACCACTTTCAGGCTTCTGGGTCTCCAAGTCTTTGTCTCCCTGTATCCAAACGAGGCATTCCAAGTTTGACAGCATGGAACATTGCATGTCCGAAATACCAACCGTGAAACTGGGTAAAAAGCTTCAGGAGGTGATATTGATGTGTATAGTTTAGGAAATAAAACCCAATACTTACTTCAAAGAACGTAATTTGTGGCTTTTTAGAGAGAAGGATACTTTGACAGTTTTCATTTGTCGTCTACATGTATATGGTACGTTTCATTCTGCCTTTTAATTAATTTGGTATTTTACTATGAAAACTACTTTGTATTAATAAAATAATGTATTTCCAATGTTATAAGTTGTGTTATAACAGTTTCAAAAGCCAAATAAACAAGATGCATTTTGATATCAATTGTTTAAAACGCGTATTTTGAGGAAGAACAAATTCATACTCAAAAAAGTTATCTTTGGGTGGAGTATTGTGGAAAATTTTTACTTTATACATTTCTAGGTTTCTGAAGTGACTGTATTCATTTTATAATTATAGAAACAAGACGTTAAATCCAGAAAACAAAACTTAAGCTTAACCAACTAGAAACTGTCAACCAACTTCTCACTAGGGACTTCCCAATTTAACCAAATATTTTTATTTGTTTTGTGTCTGCAAACATCTTACAAAAGTTTTCCCTTTTTGCCTCCACAGTGGAGCACTGAACTGCTTGTGGTCTAGTGCTGACTGATTCATGAATCACTGGATGCTCAAATAAACTCTAAATTAAAAAAGACATTAAATGAAAGAAAAAGTTAAGAAAATAGAAATGCTTTCCATTTTTTAACAAATGCTTAAACGGAAGGAAGGATGCATGCAGAGGTTAAGTAAGACTGCGTTTCAGATCTGAGGCTCGATCTGAAGAACATGTAGTATATGCCTATTCCTTTATAGCTAGACGTTATTTTCTTTGCTGAGGGAAAAGGAACATGTCATTATATTCAACTCTTCTAAAAAAGGAAAGCCATCTACCGAGTCAGTATAATTTATGGAATTTATCTGGAGCTAAAGGTAGTATCAAAATGCCATTTAAAGTTGCAAAGCCAAAATGAACTCTTACTTTGTCCTTTATAATTTACATGAAATTTATGAAGCAAATAACGAGACTAGGCAGTCATGCTCAAAACACTCAGGATGTGCCTACCACTGACTAATGATAGCTACATATATTCTTTTGTAGGTATATATTAGAAAATAAAATTTTAAAACAACGTGGCCAGATATATGACAGATCTTCAATAGGTATGCAATGTCTGTTTTTAAGTAATGAAACAAAGCAAACACTCCTGAATCTATGGCCCATATGAAGACCTAGATTGTTGAATTTACTGTTATTCCCCTATCCCATCTTTACAGAGTTAACCACTAACCTGAGATTTGGGTTAATCATTATCATACCTGTTTTATTTTTTAAGTGTAGTTTTATATCTATCGATCAAGATCTATATATCTACATACTTTTAAAAGTATGGTTTACATATAAGTATAGTGCACACACATATATGTGTGCTTAATGTTGCTTGTTTCTGAGATTTATACAATTAGTATGACTTTCAGATTTCTGCAACTTGCTTCACTAATTCAAGATTGTTTCTATCATTCCTCCAAGTTGTGCCATGTAGTATTAGTTCATTTCTTCTTGTTGATACATAATATACTACTATGAATATACCATAGTTTATGTGCCGATTTTCCTGATGTTTGGACTGTCTCTAACCTTTTGCTATTACAATTATATGATTATTCTTTATATGTCTTCTGGTGCACATGTTAAGAATATTTGTAGGGCATATATTTAGGAGTGGAATTGCTGGGTTAGAGGGCATGTGGTGATGCTACAGTGTTTTCTAAAATAGTTGTTTCTACTATTGTAGTTGTTTAAAATACAATATTTTAAAAAGTTTATACTTTTACCAACACTTGGTACTTTCAGAACTCTTAAATTTGCCAATGTAGTAGGAGTAAAGCTATAGCTAATGAGTTGTTTTAATTTGTACTTTCTTGATTATTAGTGTGGCTGAGCATCTTTTCATATGTCTTCAGGTACTGCTTGTTCTGTGCCATGCTTGTTCATGCATTTTATCTGTTTCATGGAGGTGTTTTTCCCCCTAATCAATTTGCAAGAGTTCTTGGACATATCTTGGACATGAAACTTTTGTCAGTTATGTGGATTGAATATCTCCAAGATTGTGGCTTTCCTTTATAATTTGTTTTTATATCTTTTGATGAGTAGAAATTACTTTGATTTAGTTGAATTTATCTATCTTCTCTTGTGTTTAACATTTTTAAAATGGCTTTAAACTCTTCCAACCTCAAAGTAAAAAAAAAATTCTGCACTTCTTTTTTAAAGCTTTAAAGTCTTGCCTTTTTATTTTAAGTCTTGGAATTAACATTTTGTGAGATCAGATCCAATTATTTTGTCTTTCTTCTTATTTATTTATTTTTGGACACAAGGTCTCACTCTGTTCCCTAGGCTGGAGGGCAATGGTGTGACCATGGCTTACTGCAGCCTTGACCTCTCAGGCTCAAACGATCCTCCCACCTCAGACTCCCAAGTAGCTGGGAATACAAGCATGTGCTACCACATCCAGATAATTTTTTCATTTGCAGAGACAGGGGTCTCACTCTGTTTCCATGGCTGGTCTTGAATTCCTGGGCTCAAGTATTCCTCCCACCTTTGTCTTCCAAAGTGTTGGGATTACAAGCATAAGCCACTATGCCCCACCCAATTAGTTTTTCCTTGTGACTGAACATTTGTTCCAAGAATACTTATTAAGTAGTCTCTTCTTTACTCACGGGTTTGCTATGCCATCTTTCTCATATATCAAGTTTCTATGTATGTGTGATTCTGAGGTTTCTATTCTGTTCTATTTATTTGCTTGTATTTCCATAAATACCAAGTTGTCTTAATTTATAGAGCTTTATGATAATTTAAGAAGAACAGTCTTCTTCTGTCTTATTTGTCTTCTTCAGGAGTGTCTTGGCTATTCTCAGGTCTTTGTTCTTCTATATACATTTTAGAATCAGCTTGTTGAACTATTAGTCTAATTGTTTTATCCCCTTGCCTGTAAAAAAATATTTTCCTTGCCTTTGGGGCTACGGTTTCACTACAAACTGTCTAGGAGAGGATATATTTGTATTTAGCTTGTTTAATACATTTGTGTTTCCTGTATCTGTGGGTTTATGACTTTGCTTCTGAAAATATCCCAGCTGTTATGTCTTCAAACATAGCTTCTCTTTCATTCTTTCTATTTTCTCTGGCTGAAGCTCATATTAGCAGTACATTAGATCTTATTATTATTCCAGTCTGTCTTTCTCTTAATCTCCTACAGTTACTAGATCCTTATCTCTCTGCTACTTCTGGGTAAATTATTTGAGCTATCTTTCATTTCAGTTATATTATCTACAGTTGCTTTAAGTTTGCTGCATAACCTATCGATTGCATTCTTAATTTCAATAGTTATGTCTTTTATTTCTAGAAGCTTATGTAGTTATTTTTAAAGTAAGTCTATTTTGTTAATCCTATGTCTCTTGCTCATTTATTTTTTCATTTTATTAAACTTTTCACAGATATTTTATATTCTGTATGTGATAATTCTGAATCCTTGAGAATCAATATCTGTTGTTTCTGATGGCTCTCATAATGGCATGTTTCTTTATGTGTATCATGAGTTTATATATATGAACAATTGTCTACTAAGTCTTTCACTAATATGGGATAAACAAGTTATAATAATAATAACTTATAATAACAATAAGTTATAATAATCAGCCATCCTCAGTTGCCTGGTCCATGTCACAGTTATTAAGTGGTAGAGTTCAGAATTAAATTCAGGTCTGTCTGACTTCAAAAACAACTTTTGCTCTCTCGGCCTTAGCGCCATCTTCTTGGAAACTTCTGCACCATGAGAGCCAAGCAGAGAAAGAAGTGAATGCGCAGGCTGAAACGCAAAAGAAGAAAGGTGAGGCAGAGGGCCAAGTAAACTGCTAGCTTGTGCACCCGCGGAGGCCACAGCAGCAGAAACATGAAGTGCCAGAGGCTGGGGATGCTGGCACAAGTTGTTGGACTGCATGCTACTGTCTAGAGCTTGTCTCAATGGATCTAGAACTTTCATTGCCATCTGATCGCTGAGACCACCTCTGAGACCCACCTTGCTCATAATCAAAACTGTCCATCTTGGTCCTTTGCCCTGGAACTGTGACATTCTGTACTACTTCTGTATTCACTTGTGGACGGGTGTAACAATCATACAATAAATCACTTCTGCTGCTGCCTTAGCCGAAGAATTAAAAAAACAAAAAAATAGAATACTTAACCAGGTGTCCCAAGGGCAAGTTTGCAACCTCCTTATAGGGCCACAGCTGATGTACTCTTGAAAGTGCCACCTCCTGGCTGGAGGCCAACCAACACAAAACCAGTGCACTAAACAAAAACACAACCAAAGACCCTCATGGAGTCCACTTCACTCCCCTCTTACCTCCACCAGAGCAGGTACTGGCATCCACAGCTGCAGGACCTGAAATTGGATCACATCACAGGACTCTTTGCAGACATTCCCCAGTACTAGCCTGGATCCTGGTAGCTCTGCTGGGTGGCTAGACCCAGAAGAGAAAAAAACAATCACTACAGTTTGGCTCTCAGGAAGTCCATTTCTAGGGGAAGCAAGAGAGCACCACATCAAGGGAGCACTTCATGGGACAAAAGAATCTGAACAGCAGCCCTGAATCCCAGATCTTCCCTCTAACATAGTCTACCCAAATGAGAAGGAACCAGAAAAACAATTCTAGTAATATGAAAAAACAAGGGTTTATTTTGTTTTGTTTTTTGTTTTTTTGTTTTTTGTTTTTTTTTACCACCCCCAAAACATCATACCAACTCACCAGCAGTGGATCCAAACCAAGACTAAATCTCTTAATTGCCAGAAAAAGAATTCAGAAGGTCGATTATTAAGCTAATTAAGGAGGCACCAGAGGGTGAAGTCCAACTTAAGATAATCAAAAACATGATACAGGATACGAAAGGAAAATTCATCAGTGAAACAGATAGCATAAATAAAAAACAATCACAAGTTCTGGAAATCAAGGACACACTTAGAGAAATGCAAAATGCAATGGAAAGTCTTAGCAATCAAACTGAACAAGCAGAAGAAAACTTCAGAGCTCGAAGACAAGGCTTTTGAATTAACCCAACCCAAGACAAAGAGGAAAGAATTTATCAAAACAAACAAAGCCTCCATGAAGTCTGAGACTATGTTAAACATCCAAACCTAAGAATAATTGGTGTTCCCAAGGAAGAAGAGAAATCTCAAAGTTTGGAAAACATATTTGAGGGAATAATTGAGGGAAACTTCCCCAGCCTTGTTGAACTAGACATCCAAATACAAAAAGCTGAAAGAACACCTGGGAAATTCATCACAAAAAGAGAATTGCCTAGGCAAATAGTCATCAGGTTATCTAAAGTCAAGAAAAAGGAAATAATCTTAAGAGCTGTGAGGCAAAAGCATCAGGTAACCTATAAAGGAAAACCTATCAAATTAAGATTAAGCAGATTCCTCAGCAGAAAACCTACAAGCTAGAGGGGATTGGGTACGTATTTTTAGATTCCTTAAAACAATTAGCCAAGAATTTTGTATCCAGTGAAACTAAGCTTCATAAATGAAGGAAAGATACAGTCTTTTACAGACAAACAAATGCTGACAGAATTCACCACTACCAAGCCAGCACTACAAGAACTGCTAAAAGGAGATCTAAATCTTGAAACAAATCTTTGGAATACACCAAAATATAAGCTCCTTAAAGCATAAATCTCATAGGATCTATATAACAATAACATGATGAAAAAACCCCAAGGTATTCGGGCAACAAGTAGCATGATGGACAGAATAGTACTTCACCTCTCAATATTAACGTTGAATGTAAATGGACTAAATGCTCCACTTAAAAGACACAGAATAGCAGAACAGATAAGAATTAACCAACCAAGTTTCTGCTGTCTTCAGGAGACTTACCTAACACAAAAGGACTCACATAAACTTAAGATAAAAGGATGGAAAAAGATACCCCATGCAAATGGACACCAAAAGCAGCAAGCAAGAGTAATTATTCTTCTATCAGACAAAACAAACTTTAAAGCTACAACAGTTAAGATAGACAAAGAGGGACATTATATAATGATAAGAGGACTAGTCCAACAGAAAAATATCACAATTCTAAATATATATGCACCTAACACTGGAACTCCTGAATTTATAAAACAATTACTACTAGACCTAAAAAATGAGATAGACAGCAACACAATAATAGTGGGCAACTTTAATACTCCACTGACAGCACTGGACAGGTGTTCAAGACAGAAAGTCAACAAAGAAACAATGGACCTAAACTATACCCTACAACAAATGCACTTAACAGATATTTAGAGAACATTCTACCCAACAACTGCAGACTATACATTCTATTCATCAGCACGTGGAACATTCTCCAAGGTAGATAATATGATAGGCCACAAAACAAGTCTCAGTAAATTTAAGAAAATTGAAATTATATCAAGTACTCTCTCAGATCACAGTGGAATAAAATTGGAAATCAACTCCAAAAGGAACACTCAAAACCATGCAAATACATGGAAATTAAGTAACCTGCTCCTGAATGATCATTGGGTCAACAATGAAATCAAGATTGAAATTTAAAAATTCTTTGCAGTGAATGGTAATGGTGACATAACCTATCAAAACCTCTGGGATACAGCAAAAGTGGTGCTAGCAGAAAAGCTCATAGCAGTAAATGCCTACATCAAAAAGGCTAGAGAGGACAACTAGACAATATAAGGTCACACCTCACAAAACTGGAGAAACAAGAACAATCCATACCCAAACCTAGAAGCAGGAGAGAAATAACAAAGATCAGAGCAGAACTAAATGAAATTGAAACAAAAAAAATTACAAAAGATAAATGAAATGAAAAGGTGGTTCTTTGAAAAGATAAATAGAATTGATAAGACCGCTAGTGAGATTAACCAAGAAAATAAGAGAGAAGATCCAAATAAGCTCAATTAGAAATGAAACAGAAGATATTATTACTGATACCACAAAAATACAAAAGATTATTCAAGGCTGCTATGAACACCTTTATACACACATAAACTAGAAAACCTAGAGAAGATGGACAAATTCCTGGAAATACACAACCCTCCTAGATTAAAACAGGAAGATATAGAGCCTCTGAACAGACCAATAACAAGCAGCAAGATTGAAATGGTAATAAAAAAAATTGCCAACAACAAAAAAGTCCAGGATCAGACAGATTCACAACTGAATTCTATCAGACATTCAAAGAAGAATTGGTACCAATCCTACTGACAATATTCCAAAAGATAGAGAAAGAGGAAAACACCCCTAAATCATTCTATGAAACAGTATCACCCTCATACCAAAAACCGTTCTATGAGCCAGTATCACCCTAATACGAAAAGAAAGAAAACTACAGACCACTATCTCTGATGAACATAGGTGCAAAAATCCTCAACAAAATACTGGTGAACCAAATTCAACAGCATATCAAAAAGATAATCCACGATGATCAAGTGAGTTTCATACCAGGGATGCAGGGATGGCTTAAGATATGTAAGTCAATAAATGTGATACATCATATAAACAGAATTAAAAACAAAAATCACATGATCATCTCAATAGACACAGAAAAAGCACTGGACAAAATCCAGCATCACTTTATGATTAAAACCCTCAGCAAAATCAGCATAGAAGGGATATATCTTAAAGTAATAAAAACCACCTATGACAAACCCACAGCCAACATTATACTGAATGGGGAAAAGTTGAAAGCATTCTTCCTGAGAACTGCAACAAGTCAAGGATGCCCACTTTCACCACTTCTATTCAACATAGTATTGGAAGTCCTAGCCAGAGCAATCAGACAGGAGAAAGAAACAAAGGGAAAATTGCTAAAGAGGAAGTCAGACTGTCACTGTTTGTTGATTATATGATCGTATACCTAGAAAACCTTAAAGACCCATCCAAAAAGCTTGTAGAGCTGGTGAATGAATTCAGCAAAGTTTCATGATAAAAATTTAATGTACACAAATTAGCAGCTCTGCTATCCACCAACAGTGACCAAGCTGAGAATCAAATCAAGAACTCAGTCCCTTTCACAATAGCTGCAAAACAAAACAAAACAAAACTTAGGAATATGCCTAACCAAAACAATGAAAGGCCTCTACAAGGAAAACTACAAAACACTGCTGAAATAAATCATAGACAACACAACCAAATGGAAACACATCCCATGCTCATGGATGGGTATAATCAATATTGTGAAAATGACCATACTCCCAAAAACAATCTACAAATTCAATGTCATTCCTATGAAAATACCAACATCATTCTTCACAGAACTAGAAAAAACAATCCTAACATTCATACAGATCCAAAAAAAAAAAAGCCTGCATAGCCAAAGGAAGACTAAGCAAAAAGAACAAATCTGGAGGCATCACATTACCCAACTTCAAACAATACTGTAAGTCTGTAGTCACCAAAACAGCATAGTACTGGTATAAAAATAGGCACATAGAGCAATGGAACAGAACAGTGAACCCAGAAATGAAGCCAAATACTTACAGCCAACTGATTTCTGACAAAGCAAACAAAAACATAAAGTGGGGAAAGGACACCGTATTCAACAAATGGTGCTGGGATAATTAGCTAGCCACATGTTGAAGAATGAAGAATGAAACTGGATCCTCATCTCTCACCTTATACAAAACTCAGCTCAGGATGGATCAAAGACTTAAATCTAAGACCTGAAACCATAAAAATTCTAGAAGATAACAACTGGAAAAACCCTTCTACACATTTGGCTTAGGCAAAGACTTCATGACCAAGAACCCAAAAGCAAATGCAATAAAACCAAAGAAACTAGATGGGACTAAATTAAACTAAAAAGCTTCTGCACAGCAAAAGCGTTAATCAGCAGAGTTAACAGACAACCCACAGAGTGGGAGAAAATCTTCACAATCTATATATATCCAACAGAGGACTAATATCCAGAATCTACAAGGAACTCAAATCAGCAAGAAAAAACAAACAAAGAATCCCATCAAAAAGTGGGCTAGGGACATGAATAGACAATTTTCAAAAGAAGATATACAAATGGCCAAGAAGCATATGGAAAAATACTCAACATCACTAATTATCAGGGAAATGCAAATCAAAACCACAATATGATACCACCTCACTCCTGCAAGAATGGCCATAATAAAAAAATAAAAAAATAATAGATGTTGGCATGGATGCGGTGAAAAGGGAACACTTTTACACTGTTGGTAGGAATGTAAACTAGTACAACCACTATGGAAAACAGTGTGGCAATTCCTTAAAGAACTAAAGGTAGACCTACCATTTGATCCAGTAATCCCATCACTAGGTATCTTCTCAAAGGAAAAAAAAAGTCATTATACAAAAAACATACTTGCACAGGCATGTTTATAGCAGCACAATTCACAATTGCAAAAATATGGAAGCAGCTCGAATGCCCATCAATCAATGGAGTGGGTAAAGAAAATCTGGTATAGATATACCATGGAATACTGCTCAGCCATAAAAAAGAACGAAATAATGGCATTCACAGCAACCTGGGTGGAATTGGAGACTATTATTCTAAATGAAGTAACTCAGGAATGCAAAACCAAACATCCTATGTTCTCACTCATATGTGGGAGCTAAGCTATGAGGACACAAAAGCATAAGAATGATACATTAGACTTTGGGGACTTGGGGGGAAAGGGTCCGGGGTGTTCAGGGATAAAAGACTACATATTGAGTACAGTGTACACTGCTCAGGTGATGTGTATGCCAAAATTCTCAGAAATTACCACTAAAGAACTTATCTATGTAACCAAACACTACCTGTTCCCCAGAAACCTATTGAAAAAAAAACCAAAAACAATGGTTTTCATCTTTTTTCCCCAGTGTTTTCCATGTTTTAGTTATATAAATAGCACCTTCATAATTTTTGACATATAAGTATTGCATTGACAATTGATGAAATAAGTGAGTATATGCAAAATAAGTATATTGATTAAATGAGTATATACATTACTATATAGCAAATAAGTGTTTGATAATGCCAACTATTGTTATCTTTATTATTTTTCTTTAAATAAACTTTATTTAAAAACTTATTTATCTACTTTAGCGTTACCCTAAGTAATACTATCTGTGATATTACAGTTTTGATGTCTAACATATTTGTTGTAATACAATTTAAGGCACATACTTAACAATTACTAGTGTTTATATCCTCATATGCTTCAAAAAATCTTTTGTCTCATTAGTGTTAACTGTACCACACTGATAAACACCACAGGCACTCAATAAACTCTTTTTGACTAAATGTGTGTTTAATTCTGTTGCTAAACTAAAGCATAGTTAACAGCTAAGCTCATTTGAGGTCCATTTACCTCCTATTTGACTTTGAGCAATTTAGTCTCTTCATCTCGTCATACCTCAGGTTTTTTGTTTGTTTGTTTTGTTTTTTTGTTTTATTTTGAGATGTAGTCTCAAAAGCTGGAGCAGAGAGAAAGAGTGCAGGTCCTCATTGATTTCAGGCTGGGATGCCCTGCTTTTCTGCACCAGCTTAGGAGGGGGTTGGACCCAACAAACATTAAAAAAATAATAAAAACAATCTATTGAATGTTAGATTTTATAATAGTTATGGATGAGAAAAAGGGATCATTTTCTTTTTAATTATTATGTTTAAGCATTAGCACTCTACAATAGAGATCTTAATGTTTGACAGAACAAAATGAAGATTAGTGTGCATTTTCTATTTCAGCTATAGCCCATGTATAACTCAAACCACATGTCATCACTCAGAAAAACAGAAGACCTGCCCTTGACTAAGAAATGGCCATAATCAAGTGCTATCATCCTCTAATTAGAGGATACAGATGCAATGCTTTTCTTTTTTCTTTTCTTTTCTTTTCTTTTCTTTTCTTTTTTCTTTTCTTCTCTTCTCTTCTCTTTTCTTCTTCTCTTCTCTTCTCTTCTATTCTCTTTTCTTTTCTTTTCTTTGAGACAAGGTCGTGCTCTGTTACCCAGGATGGAGTGCAGTGCTGCCATCTCAGCTCACTGCAACCTCTGCCTCCCTGGTTCAAGCGATTCTCCTGCCTCAGCCTCCTGAGTAGCTGGGACTACAGGTGCCCACCACCACGCCAGGCTGTTTTTTTGTATATTTAGTAGAGACGGGGTTTTGCCATGTTGGCCAGGCTAGTCTCAAACTCCTGACCTCAAGTGATCCACCAGCCTTGGCCTCCCAAAATCCTGGGATTACAGGTGTGAGCCACCCTGCCTGGCCCATACCTCAGTTTTTGAAGGTAATGATGGATATTATTAAGGAAATAATGTATATAAAACTTTTAATATAATTTCAGATACATAAGAAGGGCTCAAGAATGTTAAAAAGCATTATTACCTTAGTTTAAAGTCTTCCAGGGGAGAAATTCTAACACTTTAGAAATGTAGCATTTGAATAATCCTCCTGGAAGCTAACAATCTATATAGGGGTATTATTTTAAGGATCTTTTGTTTTGTGTATAATTTTTAATATTTCAGGTGAAATTTACATAAGATTAACCATCTTAAAGTGAACAATTAGTGGCATTTAGTACATTCGCAATATTGTGCATTTTCATCACCCCAAAAGGAAACCCTGTACTGATACCATTTGCACCCAATTCTTCTCCCTGTCCCTGGTAACCACTAATTTATGTTGTGTCTGTATGGATTTTCCTTTTCTGGATATTTCTTATAAATGGAATTATATAATAGGTAAACTTTAGTATCTGCCTTCTTTCATTTAGCGTGTTTTTAGGGTTCACATATTGCAGTACGTATCAGTACATCTTTCCTTTTTATGGTTGATATTCCATTGTAGGTATATATCACAATATGTTATTCCATTCTTCTATTGGTGGAACTTTAGGGTGTTTCCACCTTTTGATTATTGTCAATAGTGCTGGTAGGAACATGTGTGTACTTATACTTGCTTGAGTACCTGTTTTCAGGTCTTTTGAGTAGATACCTAGTAGGAAAATTGCTAGGTTGTATGGTAAATCTATGTTTAACTTTTTGAAGAACTACCAAACTGTTTTTCCCAGTGGCTGAACCATTTTACACTTCCACCAGCAATGTACAAGGGTTTCAACTTCTCCACATCCTCCCCAACACTTGTTATTTTCCATTTAAAAAAAAATTAGCCATCCTATTAGGTGTTGAGTAGTACATCATATGGTTTTGATTTGCATTTGCATTTCCCTAATAACTAATGACGTTAAGCATCTTTTCATGTATGTGCTTGTTGGCAATTTATGTATCTTCTTTGGAAACATATCTACTTAGATCCTTTGACCATTTTTAAAATTGGGTTGTTTGTCTTTTTGTTGTTGAGTTGTAAGTGTTCTTCATATGTTCTGGATTCTACACCCTTGTTAGATAAATGGTTTGAAAATATTTGCTAGCATTCTGCAGGTTGTGTTTTCACTTTCTTGATAATGCCTTTTGCACAGAAGTTTTTAATTTTGATGATGACCAATTTATCTATTTTCTTTTGTTGGTCATGCTTTTGGTGTCATAACTAAGCATCCCTTGCCAAATCCAGCATCATGAAAATTTACTCCTGTTTTCTTCTAAGTGTTTTATGGTTTTAGCTCTTGTACCTAGGTTGTTGATTCATTTGAGTTAATTTTTGAATATAGAATGAAGAAAGAGTTCAACTTCATTCTTTTGCATGTGGATTTGCAGTTGCCTCAGCATCACTGGTGAAGAGACTATCCTTTCTCCCATTGGATAGTCTTAGCACACTTGTCAGAAACCAATTGGCCATAGGTTATTTCCTGACTCTCAATTCTATTCCATTTATCTATATGTCTGTTTATATGTCAGTATCACACTATTTTGATTACTGTAACTTTGTAGTAACTTTTCAAGTGAGAAAGTGTGAGTCTTCTGTTTTCTTTTTAAACAAACAAACAAAAACATTGTTTTGGGCTAGGCATGGTGGCTCATGCCTGTAATCCCAGCACTTTGGGAAGCTGAGACAGATGGATCACCTGAGATTAGGAGTTCAAGACCAGCCTGGCCATAATGGTGAAACCCTGTCTCTATTAATATACAAAAATTAGCTGAGCATGGTGGCACATGCCTGTAATCCCAGCTACTCAGGAGGCTGAGGCAGGAGAATCACTTGCACCTGAGAGGCGGAGGTTGCAGTGAGCTGAGATCGCACCACTGCACTCCAGCCTGGGTGACAGAGCGAGACTCTGTCTCTAAATAAATAAATAAATAACAGTGTTTTGGCTATTTGGGTTCCTTCATAATTCCACATGAATTAGAGGATTGGCTTTTCCATTTATGCATAAAAGACCACTGGAATTTCGATCAGGATTAGAATAAATGTGTAGATCAATTTGGGACATCATTTGAACAATATTAAGGTTTCCAATTCAGAACATCGTATGGCTTTCCATTTATTTAGATAGTCTTTAATTTTTTCAATAATGTTTTATAGTTTTCAGTGTACCATATCCTTGATTAAATTTATTCCTAGGTTTTTTATTGTTTTGTTTGCCATGGTAAATGTAAATTTCCCCCTTATTTTGTTTGGATTTGCTTTTCAAATTGTGCGTTGCTGGTGTATAAGATACAACTGATTTTTGCATGTTGATCTTGTACCCTGCAACTTTGCTAAATTGATTAACTGTAGTGGCTTTTTTGGGGGGAGGGGGATTTTTGGACCATCTGCAAATACAGATAGTTTTACATCTTTCTTTTCAGTTTGTATTTTTTAATTTATTTTTCTTGCCTCATTTTTCTGGCTGGAACTTCTAGTACAGTGTTGAGTAGAAGTGGTGAAAGCAGCATCTTTATCTTGTTCTTGATACTTGCATGGAAACTTTAGTTGTTCACCACCAAATATGATGATAGCTATGGATTTTTTCATATATGCCTTTTATCAGCTTGAGGAAGTTTCTATTCCTTGTTTATTGTTTGGTTGTTTAAAAATCATAAAAGTGGTTAATCTTGTCAAATGCTTTTCCTGCATCAATTAAGATGATCATGTGATTTTGTTCCTTCATTCCATTAAGATGGTATATTACATTCATTTTCATTTGTTGAACCACCCTTGCATTCTTGGGATAAATCCCACTTTGACATGATGTATAATCTTTTTAATATGCTGCTGGATTCAGTTAGGATTTTGTTGAGAATTTTTATATCTGTATTTAGAAGGGACATTGATCTGTAGTTTTCTTCTTTTCGTATCTTTGTCAGATTTTAATATTAGGGTAATACTGGCCTCATAGAATGAGTTAGGGAGTGTTCCCTCCTGTTCTATTTTTTGGAAGAATTTGAGAAGGATTGGTATTAATTCTTTAAATATTTAGTAGAATTCACCAATGCAGCCATCTGGTCCTGGACTTTTTGGGAGGTTGTATTTTGCTTTATTTTGCTTCTTAAATCACCAATTCAGTTTCTTTACTTGCTATAAGTCTGCTCCGATTTTATATTCCTTCTGGAGTCAGTTTTGATAATTTGTATGTTTCTAGGAATTTATTCATTTCATCCAGGTTATCTAATTTGTTGATGTATAATTATTCATAATATTCTTTTCTAATCATTTTTATTTTTGTAAGGTTGGTAGTAATGTCTCCATTTTCATTTCTGACTTTAGTTATTTGCATCTTCTTCTTGATTTCTTTCTCAGTGTAGCTAATGTTTGTCAATCTTGTTGATTTTTTTCTGGGAAAAAACATTTGGTTTCATTTATTCTCTGTTGTTTTTATATTATCTCTTTAATTTATCTCTGCTGTAATCTTTATATTTCTCTCTGCTATTTTTGGTTTTAATTTGGTCTCCTTATAAAAAATGTTTGAGTATGTATTCTGAACTAAATTATGCTCCCCCATTCATATGTTGAAGTGCTAATCCCCAGTGTGACTGTATTTGAGGATAAATTCATTAGAGAGACAGTCAAGGTTAAATGAAGTAATAAGGGTGGGGCCCTCGTATGATAGGATTGGTGTCCTTATAAGAAGGAGAGACATCAGAGCACTCTCTTGCTCTCTGTGCATGCATGCACAAAGGAAAGGCCATGTGAGAGCACAGTGAGAAGACAGCTGTCTGCAAGCCAGGAAGAAAAGCCTTATCAGAAACCAACTCTGATGGCACCTTGATCTTGGACCTCTGGCCTCCAGAACTGTGAGAAAATTAATTTCTATTATTTAAGATACCCAGTCTGTGGTATTTTGTTATGGTGGTATTAGCAGATGAATACGAGGTGTGAAGTTAAGTTATTGATTTGAGACCTTTCTTCTTTTGTAACATAGGCATTTACTGCTATAAATTTTCCTCTGAGCATTGCGTTTGCTATATCCGATAGGTTTTGTAACATACATCTCTTTTAATAAATTTAACTTGCTTTACTACAACCTCGTTATTGTCCAAGGCAATAGTGTACTAGTATTCAAAAATTTTTTGTCATAAGCCTTTAAAAACATCTTGGAAAGGTAGTAGAACCACACATACATGCACAAAAATTATGGTCCCAGTTCACATTAGTTATAAGCATTTTTTTTTTGCTGGGTAGGAACTACTTGAAAGATATCTTCCTATAGATATACATCCATGAAATATACTCTTGATTGAAGAAAATTTAGAAATGAATATGAAAGGAATGTGTTAGGTTCTCCAGAAAAACCAAACCAATAGGACACACACACACACACACACACACACACACACACACACACACACACACGAGAGAGAGAGAGAGAGATGGGGGAGGGGAAGGGGAAGGGATGGGATATTTTTGTGATCATAGGGACTGAGAAGCTACTGGACAAGCTGGGAGGGTGGAGATTCCAGTAACAGTTGAAGTTGCAGACCTGAGTTTGAAGTCTGAAAATTAGGGCAGAATTTCCATGTTGCAGTCTAGGACAAGAATTTTTCTTTGGAAAGCTTGTCTTGCTCATTGTTTTTAACTGATTGGATGAGACCCTCCCATATTATGGAGGGTAATTTGCTTTACTTAAAGTGATTATAAATGTTAATCACATTTAAAGAAAACCTTTATAGCAACCCATTGAATAGCGTTTGACCATACAACTGGTCATCATAGTCTTGCCAAGTTGACACGTAAAATTAATCATGTAAAAATAAAATGAATAGTATTTGAAGATATTAGAAAGAGAGAAGGCATAAACAAAAGTGGAAATTTATGAGAACTCATCTGAATGTCGGTTTTTAACTCATGATTATTTTAGAAAATAATTTATATCAGGAAGATTTTAAAATAGTTACTTTTTTAGGCATGTAAATTCATAATATACCCCATCTGTGAGGAGTTAGTTATTCAAAATATATTTGAAACTTGCTAAAAGCGATTGTGACAAAAGATGGTGCAACTGTCAAATAAATAGTTGTTTTTGTTCAGAATGCATCTTTTATCAGTTGCTCACTCTGTTTGGGGGATTATTTATAGTGACTCGAATTGTGAGTCAGGATGTAACATGTCCCTTGATGTCACATTAAAAAGACTTGTGAGACTTACAAACTACAGAGACTTGATGAATGGATGACCTCTGGGATTGAAGTAACATTTTAAAATGAGTATCTTTTCCTTGAAGATGTCTTTGGGAGACAGTTCTCCTGCCTCATGGATTTTGCTTTGTTTTGATGTGGGCCCAATACTAATGTATTAGCCCTTTTTGATAGTTTGTCAGTATGTCTCAAGCCCCTATTATGTTCACCAACCATGTGGATTTACTAGGGGCATTAAATGAATAATGCACATGAAAACAACTTTGGAAGGAATAAAAAAAGTAGGTTGATTATACAGGTAAAACCATGTCTTTACCAAAGAGATCATAAAATGTCAGAGAATTTATCAGGAGCCACTGGTAGGTTTTAAAATTTCATACAACATCTAGATGAATTTTGGCATTTTAGGTGGTAAGGATGATTGTGTTGAATTTTAGAGCTTTCATTGTGGGAAGCATTAATGAGTTTATTGAATTCAAAGTTTTATAAAGCAGAGGGAGGCAGTAATATGGCTTATGTGACTGTCAGTTTAACAAAGATGAGTGGTCATTAGACAGAATTCCAAGACCAACACTGTGGTTTATTATATAAAATACTAACCATGAAAGTTTTTGAGAAAGTCTTCTTTTACCATTTGACCTGTCTTTTTTTTTCCCTGCCTTTCTTTAAGTGTTGCTATTCCCCATTCCAGGGCTTTATCTCTTCTTCCTCTATACCCTCTCCCTATATAATTTTAATCAGGACCAGGGCTTCAGTCATTTATATTTCAATAACTTCCAAATCTTTGCTTGTACTGTGGACTACTATTTGTAAATACATGGGTGTGTTCAAAGAATCTTAAACTAAATATGGCCTAGGTTGAACTCTTTACCTCCACATCAGCTTCTGCTCTGAATCTCAATCTTAGTTAGTCTCACCACATCATATTAGTTAAGTTAACCCTAGCTTCTGGGTAAATCCCCAAGACTTAGTGGCTCAACACGGTAGATGTTTGTTTCTTACAAACGTGAAGTCCAGTCAATAAGACCGGGATATGGGCTCTGCTTTCAGGGATCCAGGGTAACAGAAGCTCTTCTTTCATCACTGTGTGCACTGACATCTTGCTGACAGGGGAAGAGAATGGAAGATAGAGTGGGGGAGATTTTTATTGATGAAGACTGGAAGTGGTGCTCATCATTTTTGCTCACATTCCCTTGACTGTAATTCAGTCACATTGCCACACCTAACTGTAAGGGAGGCTGGGATATGTAATCTATCTGTGTGCACAGAAGTCAGAAGGAATGGGTTGGTTGGGAATACAACAATATCTTCCGTAACTCATCTTATCTTTCAAATTAAAAACATTCTCATCGAACACATGGACACATAGAGGGGAAAAATACACACTGGGGCCTACTGGAGAGTGGAGGGTGGGAGGAGGGAGAGGATCAGGAAAAATAGCTAATGGGTACTAGGTTTAATACCCAGGTGATGAAATGATCTGTACAACAAATCCCCACGACAGAAGTTTACCCATGTAACAAATCTGCACAAGTATCCCTGAACTGAAAATAAAAGTTTTTTATAAAAAACTCTTCTCATCTTTGAGTTTTCCTTTTTTAAGCCATTAAATTTGATAAGTTAACCTATATTTCTTACTTTATAACCTTATTGCTGCTATTCTGTTCTGGACCTTGATCATTTCTTCCTCAGACTTTGGAATAGTTTTCAAAATGACACTCTTGATTGTGTTGCCAACACTGTCTTTCATAATACCTAACTAATGATGTCACTCTAATGCTTAAACATGCTTCAGTAGCCTCAGGATAAAACTCTGTGGTAAGGCATCAAAGGTACTCAAATTGTAGGTCCCAGAGTTCTACATGGGGAGCATCTACTTGTTGCTTGTATCATGTCTTTCTCAACGGTCCCTATCGCCTAGAAGAAGAGTTAATTGCTTCTTTCTTACTGTCATTTCATGCCTTCAGAATAAATGTATAGCACATTTCACCAGGTTAGAAACTCCACAAAGGGTAATTCACTGCTATATTTCTAGGGCCTAGAAATCTAGGCACTTAATAAGCCCTCAGTAAGTGTCCAGCAAGCATTGAATGAGCAGATTATAGTTTTTTTGTGAACATATCTGTTTGCCATATTAGATTATATAAAAGTTAAAGATGAAGATTATGCCTATTAATTTCTAAATCCCCTATGTCTGGAACATGGCACATGCTGAATAAATTATTACCAAATTGAGTAAAATAGGTCTTAGAATACAAGAGATACAATTACTGAGAATGGTTGGCTTAAGATGCAGCAAGATGCTTCTGAGGAAAGAAAGCACTGGACATACACATGTAAATGACACCATCACTTGTTTATGAAAATATACTTATGATTTCTAATTATATGCCAAGGTTGTCCTAGGCACTAGAAATGTAGTGATGAATAGAAAAAAGATATAGTTGGTGCTACATGGGAGCTCATGATCCAGATACTGCACACTAAGAGAAAATTAAAATTAAGATAGCATATGATGAGGGATCACACTTCTCTGTAGAGTCAGATAAATGGTCCTGAGAAAAAGACACTTAAGTTGAGATTTGAAGGATGTGAAGGCACTAGCCAGGTGGAAGGGAGAAGACGGGTGATTTCCACAAAGGCAATAGGCAAAGCCTCTTTTGGTCAGAAGAAGCATGGTCACTTGAAAAACTTTGCCCTTTTTGTTCCCTCTGCTCAGGTGTCCATTCTGATTTCTTCTCCACCATTTTTAGGTCTTTTTTTCAAATTTTGCCTTCTCAATGAAGCCTTATCTGAATCTTACTTAAAGTCTCAGACTTCCTTCCAACACACTCTATTCCCTTCCTCCACTTTTTCTCCATACCATTCATCACGGTGAAAAATATATTTTTATGTATTTATGTTTTTGTTGATCTCTCCCCAACTTGACTGTAAACTCTATGTGGGCAGGAGATTTTTATGTTATGTTTACTTTGTATCACCAGCCCTTAGAACAGTACTTGACCCATCATAAGTATTCAATATTTGCTAAATGAATGAATTAATGAATCCATGTGTGCGTAGTGAGTAGGCAATTAGATTTAAAAGTTTGTTGCTCAGAGAAGAGTTCTTCAGTGGAAAAATAAATTAGAAACTTATTGGCATGTAGATAGGTTGACAATGTATCCATGTTGGCCCTGAAAAATCTGGGCATAGTTGCCAATGGTACCCCTCCTTTACTCTTAAAAATGCTCTCTGGCTTGGAAGATTCCTTTAAAAATACATGGTAGTTGAGGCCGGGCGCGGTGGCTCATGCCTGTAATCCCAGCACTTTGGTAGGCCGAGACAGGCAGATCACGAGGTCAGAAGATCGAGACCATCCTGGCTAACACGATGAAACCCCGTCTCTACTAAAAATACAAAAAAATTAGCCAGGCATAGTGGTGGGCTCCTGTAGTCCCAGCTACTCGGGAGGCTGAGGCAGGAGAATGGCGTGAACCCGGGAGGCAGAGCTTGCAGTGAGCCAAGATCGCGCCACTGCCCTCCAGCCTGGGCGACAGAGCGAGACTCCGTCTCAAAAAAAAAAATAAATAATACATGGTAGTTGAAACCATAGGAGTGGATGGAATTGCCTAGAGAAAATATAGAGAATGAAAACAGGAAAGGATCTAGGAAGAGCCCTTAGGTTCTCTCACTTACAAACTCATAAAGGAGAAGGACTGAGAAGAAGCTGTCAGAGGAGAAGGAGGAAAGCCAGAAGAATGTTAAAAAAAGAAAAAAGAAAAAAAAACACAGAGAAAAGAGCAGTTCAAAAAAAGGGGATGGGCCAGGTGCAGTGGCTCATACCTGTAATCTGAGCACTTTGGGAGGTCAAGGTGAGACGATCATTTGAGCCCAGGAGTTCAAGATCGGCCCGAGCAACATAGTGAGACCTCATCTCTACAGAAAATCAAAAAATTAGCTGGGCATGGTGGCATGTGTCTGTGGTCCCAGCTACTTGGGAGGCTGAGGATTTCCTGAGCCCAGGAGGTTGAGGCTGCAGTGAGCCATGGTGGCACCATGGCATTCTGGCCTGGGGAACAGAGCAAGACACCGTCTCAAAAAAACAAAACAAAGCAAACAAACAAACACACACAAAAAAAAACAGGAATAAGGTGGTCAATAGAATCAGTCTATTGAGAGATCAAGTAAGATAAGGACTGAAATAGCTGTTAGATGTCTTGGAAGTCAGTGATAGCTCTTTTGGTGGAATAATTAGGGTAGAAGTCAGATAGATGAAATAAAAGGAAGAGAAATGAGGAATTGAAGGCAGCAAGTTATAGAAAATTCAAATGAATGGGGAGAGAATATACGACAGCTGGGCGTCAAAAGGGAAAGGGAAGTTCTGGATCTTCCATTTAGCAGATTGACTACATGCTTAAGGCATTAGCAAAACAGGAACACCAAAACAACAACAACAACAAAACTTGGAAATAATTTAGTATTTGACAATTTTAAAATGAGGAACTAGAGGAATCTTCATCAAAAACCTCATACTTTAATAGAGCTTTTTCTCAGTTATCTTTATGTTTGAATTACATATGAGAAAGATCATCTCAATACTTAGGTTCTCTGAAGACTCTAATCTGGTCCTGAATATGGTTATAGGTGGGATGAGTGTGGCACTGAGAAAAGTGGTTTTCTGGTTTTGTTTGGAAGATATTTGAGCTTGTTAAACATTGATAGGAAGAATCCAGATGTGGGAGGTCAGCTGAATACACAGGGGAGGGAAGAGGTAATTGACGGTAGTGTGTTATCTGAGAAGGTGGGAAAGGATTGATCTGAGGAGAGATGGAGGACCAATCTGAGGACTGGTTTCTGATAAGAGGAAGGACACCTCTTCTGTTGTAACCGAAAGAATGAAGGAGAAGCTGGTGTGTCTATAGCTGAGTGTAGGGTTGGATATGGGAGGGAAAGTGCTTTTTTTTTTTTTTTTTTTTTGGTGGAGACAGGGTCTTGTTCTGTCACCCAGGCTGGAGCGCAGTAGCGTGATCATGGCTCATTGCAACCTGGACTTCCCAGGTTTGAGTGGTCCTTCCACCTCAGTCTCCTTATAAGCTGGGACAACATGTATGAGCCACCATGGCTGGCTAATTTTTAAAATTTTTTTGTAGAGATGAGATCTCACTCTGTTGTCCAGGCTGGGAAGGGACATTTCTTTCTGAAGTCTTCATTCTCTCTGAGAAGAAGGTAAGACCACCTGAGAGTGAGGAAGGCTTCTACAGCTCAAAGCAGTTAGAAGAACGTGAAAGTCACAAAGGAAACAATGGTAAGGGTTCTTCTGAGGTTAGCTATTATGAATCATCAGTAGACATTTCTTCAGTTACCCAGGTAATTACAGGAAGTAATAGGCTTTTTCTTTGATCAAGTAAAAATCACTGAGCGAAAGGTACTTCAGTGCTTAAGTGTGGCATTACTCAAGTGGCTAAATATCCAGTTCTCTCCCTCTCTCTTTTTTTCTTTTTCTTTATTTTTATATTTTTTTTGGGCTATATAATGGGTCAACAGATGCATGTGAAGAAAACAGTGGGGATAGCTTGGAGACAAATACTCTGGAAGACAGCTTAATGTTTTGTTTTGTTTCTTTTTCAGGAATGAATGAAACTGAATACCTTCTTCTCATAGATAAAGTCCTTCTTGGACTGCATGGGAATCAAGAGATCTGAGTCATAGTTCTGGTTCTGCCACTTGTTAGGTTTCTTTCTCTGGGATTTAGTTTCCTCTTCACAAAGCTGTGAACAGATGATCTTATTCTTCTTCCACTTTTAATATCTCTGAGTCGATGGCATTCTGTCTCTTTTTTGGCTTCTGAGTGACAGGCAGGAATGTAAATCATGGACTTCTTTTTAAAGTTGAAAGTATTCTTGCAGACCATAGGTGTCTGAATTCATGCTCTAATATACTGGGTTTTGAGGTGGCCTGATGAACTGTTGATCTTCTTGCTGGCCAGAGTTTTGAGCCAATCAGGAGATAAGGCAAAGGAGTCAGGCAGACAGATTAAAACACTGTCTTTATTACTGGTAAATCTGATATTGGCAAATGTGTCTTAGAGCTGCAGACAAATGGGCTTTATAATACTGAATTCCAGAATGAGGCAGACTTACCCACCAGAGTCACAGGCAGCACAGAAAATCACATGCTTTGTTATGCTGTCTCTGGTAATTTTCACATAGGGAAGCAGAGCAGAACACAGGCTTTCTGTAGGCAGCCAGCTCCTTAAAGGCAAGGAGAGAAGAAGGAGTGGGACAATCCATGATCAGGTTTTCCTCCAAACTTATCAGTGAATTAAGTTATTCCTTCAGGCAGAAATAAGAAAGAAGCAGAGAGACAGAGGGAGAGAGAGAGAAAAGAGGCAGTGGTATTAAGCTACTTCATTGACTGCTTCTCCTGTCTCCTTTATTGGTTTCTCCTCATCTTCCTAATTTTCAAACACTGGAATATTTCAGATTCAATCCTTAAAACTCTTATTTGTCTTATTCTCTTCCCATTTGCTCTCCTCGAGTCTCATGGCCTTGTCTATGATGATCCCAAAATTATATCTCCAGACTGAAATACTTCTTTGAACTCCAAAACTTCATATTCTTTTAGGTCTTTACTCAAATGTCCTTTTCTCAGCTTTCCCTAACTATCCTATATAAAATATCTGGAACCCTCTACCCAGCACAGTCTATCTCTTTACTCTATTTTCCTCCATAGTACTCTTCACCCCCCGCCCTAATATATTCCTACTACTTGTTTATCCTCCATAGACAATGTCTGTATAATGAAAATTTCATGAAGACAGGGTATAGAAAGTGCCTGGCATATGGTAGTCATTCAATTAATATTGGTTGGTTGACTAAATTAGTAAATGAAAGCTAAGGTGCGTCTCCAACTGGGAAGGAAACATTAAGATTAGGGAAGACGCATCCTCCCTCACAACATCATACCAACAGAGCCTAGGCTGCAAGGCAGTGACTGGGGTACAGTTTGAATTGGGCATTGGGGTAGGGGAGAGACTTGTCCCAGGGGGAAGACAGCTGAGCACCAAGTGTTCAGGGGCGAGACTGAAGTTGAAAATCAGGTAATGGAAGAGGACTTCCACTCAGGCTGGATCCAGGTACAAGGAAACAAAACACTTAGAGGTGCATCTAGTCACCATGCTCAAAGACCACCAGCTAAGACATTTTGGAGAGTTTTCCTTTTTACTCCTTTTTCGCTTGAAGGGAAAAATAAGAAAAAGAAAGAGTGGAACTATCCATGCTCAGGTCCTCACCTAAATTTATGAATCAACAAGTAAGTCGTCCCTTCTCACTGTGATGCCCCTGCCTTTGGGCATAGTAAATTATTTCACCACTTTATTGTGCTTATTATGCTGACATCATTATTCCTTTAAAGTCGCTCTCTTCCACCATAGGGTGAACTTCTTGAGTGCAGAGAGTGCCTTATTCGCATTAGTATTTCCAGGGTTTAGCACAGAGATATTCACAAATGTCATTTAAATGAAAGAATTTTGGGGATTGTATGCTGGAGGGGGAAAAGAAAGTTAAAGGGCAGGAATAGCTCAATCTTGGGCTCAAAGCCTCTATGCGGAAATTCCCAAGAACACAGTAGACCTTTGATTTCCCTAACAGCTTGCAGTTTAAGACTTAGTTAAATTGAAGCATGGGGCTGTTTGCATAGACAGAGGGCCTGCAGAAGAGATAAGATGTGAAGTCTTATTTTAAAGATAGCATCTCACTGGTTTTTGAAAAGAATTATTATTAATATTGTTCGTTATTATTTTACCTCAATACAGATTGATTATCCCTTGTTCAAAATGCTTGGAACCATAACTGCTTCAGAGTTTGGATTTTTTTTTCTGATTTTGGAATATTTTCATGTACATAATGAGATATCTTTTCATGTACATAATGATATTTTCATGTACATAATGAGATATCTTGAGATATTTTCATGTACATAATGAGATATTTTCATGTACATAACGAGATATCATTGGGGATATAAGACCCCAATGTAAACACAAAATTCATTTATATTTCATATATACTATATATATATATATATATATATATATATATATATACCCTTAAGGTAATTTTTATGCAATGTTTTAAATAATTTCATGCATGAAGCAAAGTTTGTGTTAATTCTACTTACGTAGAATTTTCTACTTGTGATGTCATGTGATATGGTTTGGCTGTGTCCCTACCAAATCTCAACTTGAATTGTATCTCCCAGAATTCCCACACGTTGTGGGAGGGACCTAGGGGGAGGTACTTGAATCATAGGGGCCCGTCTTTCCTGTGCTATTTTCATGATAGTGAATACGTCTCATGAGATCTTATGGGTTTATCAGTGGTTTCTGCTTTTGCATATTCCTCATTTTCTCTTGCTGCCACCATGTAAGAAGTCCCTTTCACCCCGCCGCCATGATTCTGAGGCCTCCCCAGCCATGTGGAACTGTAAGTCCAATTAAACCTCTTTTTCTTCCCAGTCTCGGGTATGTCTTTGTCAGCAGCGTGAAAATGGACTAACACCTCATGTCAGTGTTCCAAAAGTTTCCTGTTTTGGAGCATTTTGGATTTTGAATTTTTGGATTAGGGACCATCAACCAGTAGTAGTTTTGGTAAATAGAGAATCTCCTTGACTGGGGGCTAGGATATGTTGTAGCTACAATAAGCCATTGCTTATAATGAGAATTTATTATCTCAAGAGTTCTAGCTGGGGGCCGGGGAAGGGATAATCAATGATGTACATAGTCTAACTCCAGGGATCCAGAGAGGCAGAAGACATTTAAAAGTTCCATTACCAAAACACAGTGTCATCACAGCAAGATTACGGGAATGGACACTATCCTTTCCAAGATGGGCTAAAGATGAAGGTTGTGGTGGTGTAAATGTGAACTCCAAGCAATTGCTGTTCTCTGCCTGGCATTGCAGGACAGTCTTGAAAATATAACATATACCCATATAAGTATGTCTAAACCTGTGAGTTACAATATAGACTCAGTAGACAATAAAATTATGTTGTTCAAAACAAATACCTGAAAATGTTGGTGGTGTTCAGCTTTTCCTCTATGTTGGGTTGCTGTTCATTCAAAATATCAAATATCAGGACCAGAGTCAAATCAATGCTTTTCCATGGACAAAGGCACATGTATCTATGGATATTTGTCTATTAAAGTAAACCTCTACACATTTTTTTTTGCCTGTGATTCTCTAACTTTAACTTATGTAAAACTCATTTCTATAAAATTGAAAGTAACCTGTCCATTGTTTGAATTCTATGGTCTTTCTTTACATGGTTATATGGCATTTAATTCTATTCTGCCCTTCAATATAGTGATTTATATGTATTTCTGTCTCCTTTATTAGATTTTAGTAACCTTGAGGTCAGGGATCCTGTGATCCTGTGTTATTTTTATATCTCGTACAGCAATTAATCTTCTGCCTTGTATATAATATTCAGTAAAGATGTCTCAATGAGAATTTAATGAATAATCTTAAACATCATTTATCCATATAACTTTACAGTGATTACATATTCATTTAGGTTCAACTCATTTTGGTAAGAAGCAGCTTTATGCAGAAAAAAATATTGCATAGATTTTTGGACTTAAGCCTGGTCATAAAACTTGATATTAAATAACAAAAACTACTACTATCTCTGCTATGCTACTAGTACTACTGCCCCTAAGTGCTGTTCATTGAGCAAACACTGTATTTTGTCATTTGTTGCATCACTTAATTTTCTTCCAAACTCTATGTGTTGGCTATTAATTTCCCAATTTTAGCATGTAGAAAATGGGGGCTCAGGAATATGCATTCATTCTCATAGCTAGATATTTAACCCTGTCTTACTCCTAAGTTCTCATTCTTCTATACTACATGGCCCTTTTCTAGTTTGTCATAAAACTAAATTATATTTTCAATGTGTGTCTTCATAATGTGATAAATAATCAACAAATGCTCATTCAAAATGGAAATAAGAATAGTATCCTAAAGAAATGATAAAGTTCAGGCCATAAGTATTGCTTTTCTTAAGCACAAAACCTATACTTATGAATATATAAATATATATTATATTAAAATTTAGTTGAAACATATTTTAGGAAGGTACACAAAAACTTTGGTTTGGCATTTAAATGCTTAGATTAAAACCTGACCTTTGTAATACATTATATTAATTTAAAAGTAAACAAGTATTTCCTCATTGCCTAGAAGGTCTTGGAACCATGGCCTCTGAGGAACATGAAAGAAGGTCCATCAGATACTTTCTAGGAACTTATGATATTGCCAAGGAGATGGCATTCAGATGCAAAAGCATGAGACAAGGAATGGTAGTATGATGGTTAGTTTCATGTGTCAACTTGACTGGATTAAGGGATGCCTGGATAGCTGGTGAAACATTGTTTCTGGGTGTGTCTGTGAGGGTGTTTCTGAAAGAGATGAGCATTTGAATCAGTGGAGTGAGTAAAGCAGATCCACCCTTACCAGTGTGGATGGGCATCATCCGGTCCACTGAGTGCCCAATAAAACAAAAAGGCAGAGGAAGGGAACACTGGTGTTCTGTATTTGAGCTGGGACATTCATCCACTCTTGCTTTTGGACATTGGCATTTCTGGTTCTCAGGCCTTGGAACTTGGACCAAGACTTCACCATTGGCTCCCCTGGTTCTCAGGTCTTCAGGGTTGGACTGAATTATACCACCAGCTCTCCTGGGCCTCCAGCTTGCAGATAATAGATTGCAGGACTTCTCAACCTCCATAAGCATGTGAGACAATTCCCATAATAAACCTCTTTACATATATATACATATATATAAATATATGTATATAATTTTTCTTTTTCTCTGGAGAACCCTAATACAGGGGGATTAGTTGATTAGGGGCCCCAATGAGCCAATGTTCCCAGGGCAATTACATTCTGGTCCCTGCTGGCAGGCAGCAATGCGGTCTGGAGTGTGTGAAAATGGAATCTGAAGAACAGGTAGGATTGTAGTCCACTGGTTACCATGACTACTATTCCAATTCCTCTTGTTAAACATTTATTGTGTTTATTATATATATGTTTATGTATTTTAGCACCTCATCATTTGGAGAGTCAGGGATAAAAGAATAAATATTCTAGGTAGTTAATTCTTACTTATATTTCAGATTTCAGACCAAATGTCAATTATTCAGGTAAGACTTTTCAGTCCCATCTCTCTCTACCCTAGAACTAGGCCCGGTGTCTGGTAATAAGCTCTTTTCAAATACAGTGGCTTTTCTCCTACCACTTAATCATGATTTACATTGATATATCAAGATGTAAGCTCCCTTGCTAGAATGTAACTTCCACAAAGTCAGAGATCTTTATTTTCACTGATGAATACCAGATCAGTGCGTATTACACAACAGGCACTCAAAAATGTTTGTAGAATAGGAAATAAAAGCACTGCTTAATCTCCAGATATCTCTCACCTTTGTATTGTTTTTGTCTCAAATTGGCATGTTTTTATTAATAACTACTAACTCTGGGGTTTTCAGACAAAGAAGAAAAAGAGACAAAGCCTCCTTTGGTACATGGGCCTTAAGCTAAGAAGTCACTCTTGGTTGTGTAAAAAGCCCTAGTAGTGAAGATGCTTTGTCCTGAGGCTTTACTCAGGACCAAGGCACCTTTCCTTCATCCATTTCTTGCTCTCACTGTGAGCCGAGGCCCCTTAAGCAACACACAGGGGAAAAGCAGATGAAACTAAATGGCTGATAACTAAGGTAGGGCCAATGAGAAGTGGCAGGTCCTGTTGACAGAAGAGGATACAATGTTCAGGACAGGAGTAACCCCTAACTTGAGGATGAAGACTTTCAAAAGCAGGTGGTATAAGGGTAATAGTATGGATAATCCATTCTCTTCACACTATTCAAGGTAGACACTGTATGGTTGCTAATAGGAAACTTGAACCTGAATTAAAGAACTGTTCTTCACATACTTCTGAATCCTATGTGTGTAATCATCAGTCAGCTCACGGAAAACCTTGCCCTCAGTAATGAATATGCCAACCAAACTTCTGAAGTTAAAGGCAAGTTACAGGTGAAATCATACACTATCTTAGCTTTAAGCATAAACTTCAATCCCTTTGTGCACTTCTGTCCTCATTTGTCCTGTGTTACAGCATTGCATTAAGCAGCGAACAGTTTCATGCTGAATAGTCATAGCAAAGGTGCCAGATGCTTGTGTCAGGGAAATGTGCATAGTCAGGATTTCTTATACAAATTTGAGAAACAAAGACATTCCAAAGGTAAAAGCATCAGAAGGTTTAGGAACTGACAGTCTTGAACCATCCTCTATCTCTGCACATTACATGTGCGAATTGCTGAGCAATCTGACATTTCTGGCTATTTTAGAGATAAAGAAGCAAGCATTAGAGGGTTGCACATGCTGGCTCCCCAATAGTCCCAGAGACAGCTCCTGAGGCCTGACCTTGTCTTCAAAGGGCCAGAATCCTATGACTGGTCTGCCAGCTCCTTGCAGTGTACACATTGTTCCCTGCATCAAGGGCCCGGCCAGAGCTTTGAGCTTTTCTGGAGAGAAAACTCTCCCGAGGATGCAGGGCTCTGACAAAAAGGGAAGAGTATGCACAGTTTTCTCTTTGACCACTATATCCCTGGACATACACTTCTGTTTCAAAAGCCTGGGTACTCAAAGTGCTTAATTTAACCATCTTTATCTAAATTAGGTAAGAAATGAGATCACAGTGATTGCTGAGAAAGCTAAGATTTTATCTGCACACTGGGCTTAGCCTGAGCCCATTCTGAGTGGAGAGAAGAATTCATTCTACCTCTGCTGCTAGAGATGGCACTGATAGGAAACATTCTGTCGAGGTTATCTGCAGGGGTTTTCCAGTGTAATCCATCCCTGTCAAAAACTAAGAAACAGATAAATGCTTAATGTACTAAGAAAAAATAACCACTCAATCTAGAAACCTGCTCAGTGAAACTGTTTTTCAAGAACAGTGGTGGAATAAAGACACTTTAGATAAACACGATCTAAGGGTTTATTATGAAAGATCATACATAAGGGATTTTAAAAGTGAGCTAGCTATTTGTATATAGGTTAATAAGCAAATGTTTATTCTATAAAAACTAGAATAATAACATCTAATTTTTGGGGAGAATGGCTAGAACTAAAATATTTGATACTAATATGTAAATGTTGAGAAGAGTGTGATCAGAGTTAAAGCATTTTAAGGATATATTGTTGTTGAGAAGAATAAAGATACTAATTTTGATTACCTTCAGATACAGTTAAGAATAATTTTTAGAGGCATGATAGTAGTGTGATTATATTTAAATATTTAAATCCTTAATTTTTAGAGATATGTACTGAAATAGTTTCAAGTGAAGTGGTATAGTATCAGAGGTGCACTTCAAAATATCTGGGGGTGGGAAGATTGGGTGTGGGTATAGGTATAGATGGAACAAGATTTGCCATAAAGTACTAAATACCACCACTGTATGAGGAGTAAATGGGGAAAGAGTTCATTATATTTTTTTACTTTTGCATATATTTGAAAATTTCCATAAAATTGTTTAAAATACACATGATTTCTAATAATACATTTATATATACATACATGCATGCACACCTTATATACATATAATAAAATATGTATTTCACAGAGACAATGCTATGTATTCACCAAGCCCTGTTTCATTTATATAAACTATCTTAAAAATAATAGTATTTAAATGAATTCATTAGAACGTTCATGTATTCAATAAACATTTATTTTTAAAATATTTATAATTTTTATTATGTGCTGTGAAAAGTGCTGGGCATTGGATTGAAAAGATAAGACATAACCAACCTTTCCTTGAGGAACTCATAGTTTAGTAAGGAAGGCAGCAGTTCATTATAGTCCAGTGCACTACTCACACAGACATGAACATAGGGATTCTTGCAAGACAGGGGAGGGACACTTAACCCTGCATGGAGCACAGAAAGCTTCCAGAAGGAGGCCTGGGCCTTGCCTGGAGGAATAAGTAGGAATTAGCCAAGTGAAGAGGAAATGTGAGTAGGGAATTCCAGGCAGGAGGAAGAGCATGGTAAAAGATACCAGATCAGGAACATCAGATGATGTGGAAACAGTGTTAGAGGAATATGACATACAAGCAGGGAGTGGTGAGATACAAAGTTAGACATGAGGCAGGGGCCGGATCAAATTTGTAGGACATGTTTATGAGTTTGGATCTCTCATAGACAAGGATGGATATGACAATATAGATTTAGCAGGTGGTTTGGGCTTCCAAAAAAGCAGACTGAGGCTACATCTCAACGTTGGTCAGTTGCAGGAGAGGTGGGACCTCAAGGGGGAAAATAACTGGAGGCCCAGATGAATTTGGAGACATCCCAAGACCTTCATTTTACTTCCAAGAATATATACAGCTTGAAAAATGTCAAGCTGATGCTAGAGAGATAAAATATCAATAGCAGAGTAGGTGTCTGGGCAGATGAACTTGAGGCCACCTTCTAGGTCCTTCTTAACTCCAGAGCTCTGAGGGATCAGGGACCAGGGTGAGATGTGGACATCTAGATGATAGATCAGGAACCAAGTTCCACAAGCAAAGAATAGACAAAGTCACAGTCATATGGCATGACTTCCTGAGGAGAACAGTGTCTCCAAATTGGCTGCTTCACCCCCTTGAGTTTAAATACAACCTCTGAGGAAAGGCATAAAATGAAAAAAAAAAAAAAAAAGAAAAAGAAAAAGAAAAAAAAGAACTCTTGCCCTGAAGCACAGAATGAGTTTTCCAGCAAAATAAAACAACAAAAAAACATTTCCTTCCTTCAGGGTAGAAAAACTGGCAATACTTTTGTGGCTTTTATCTCGTCACCTCTGTTCCTCTTTGACACTTTATGTTTTGACCCCTTGAGGTTAGGAGTTAAAAAACCTACCCGCTCCTCCTCCAGCCACACCACCCCTCACCCTGGCATTTATGAAAAGCTTGCTGTTCAAGACTTTAGTCTCTGCTCCTGATTTGAAGATCATATTTTAAAATTCAGAAGCCAAAAATTTGAGTGTTTATTTTCTAAATTGAGCTCAGTCTGTTCCTGAAACAATGCGTTTCAGCCTAGAAGTCTACTTGTCTACTATTGCTATGAAAACTGGTATAAAAAAAAAAAAAAGGAACTACTGACTATGAAAGCCATCGATTTCAATTTCCAAACTTTATTATGCTACATAAACATTGTTAGCTTATTCAAAACTCTTTTGACTCTTTTTATCCTTACATTTATCTGGCAGAAACTTAATATTTATAACTATCCTCCCCCACCCCCATTCATAGAAGAGAATGCTGTGTGTTTCACCGTCTTCTCCTCCACCTCTGTGCTCACCCATTATTCAAGGTGACTCGACAGCCCCAACACTTCACTCTCACGGATCTTTTACTTCCAAGGCCACTCTCAAGACCTTATTGTCATCCAGAAGGGCTACGCATCGGAAACTTTAAACTCAGAAATCCTGCCTGCAGTCCTGCTAGCCTTACTTCTTTGTTTTCATCAAGCTTAACTTTTGACATCACAACCTCTAGTCCAGAATGACTTTTATTTTTCTTACTTTGTTAGAGCGTCCCTCTTGGCTAAACTTCCTTCTCTCCCCAAATTGGATCTGTGTTACACTGTTCTTGCATTGTTATAAAGAAATACCTGAGGCTGGGTGGTAATTTGTAAAGAAAAGAGGTTTAATTGGCTCACAGTTCTGCAGACTGTACAAGCATCATGCCAGCATCTGCTGAGCTTCTGGGGAGGCCTCAGAGAGATTTTATTCATGGCAGAAGGTGAAACAGAAGCAGGCACATCACATGGCAAAAGCAGGAGCAAGAGAGTTGGGGAGGTGCTGCACACTTTTAAATAACCAGATCTCCTGAAAACTCACTCACCACCTTGAGGACAATACCAGGCCATGAGGGATCCATCCGCCCCCTTGAACAAAATGCCTCCCTGCAGACCCCACCTCCAACACTGGGGATGACAACTCAACATGAGATTTGGAGGGCACACAGATCCAAACTATATCAGGATCCCACTGGTTTAGTGGCATTCTCATCTGTACCCTGATTTCATATGACCATGCCACCTGACACCTCCATAGATAAATATTTGCTGGCCTCAGCAGGGTCTCAGTGTTCTTCCCTCCCTGCTCCTCTCTCCCACACTTTTTCTCCTGTCTCTTTTTTCCGCTGGACTCTAAGCTACTTGAAAGTACACTTGTGTCTTATTGCTCCAAATCTTCAGTATCTAATACTGTTTGTAGTATATAATAGGGATCAATAAATGTTTGCTGAATAAATTAATGAAGACAATGGTAATGATTAAGTTGCAACATATTATATCTATTTACTCATTTTTCAGTCGTTCATATTGGCTAAATACAATAATCCAAAATGTTGAGGAGAAAATGTGAAATTATTTTAGATTTAAAAAAGATTTTTTTAAATTAGGAAAAACCGAGTTAACATACCTTTAGAATTAAGGTTAGCTCTCAAAATATTCCATGTTTTGGATATTCTCACCCATATTTTTATTTACAAAAATATTATACTGTTATAAACTTATTTTTAGATGAAATTCTATAGTAATGCATTATATAAAGTAAAATGCATCCATTATAAGTGAACAGTTCTATGAATTTTGATATATTTATACACCCATATACCCACTAGTACAGTCAAGATATAGTACATTGCCATTATCCCAAAATGCTCCTTTATGTCTCTTTTTAATCAGTTCCAATATACCTTTCCAAATTTCCAAGCCCCAGATAATCAATGATTTGCTTTCTGTCAATAACAAGTTAGTTTTTCCTTTTGTAGAATTTCACATAAATTGAATTGTAGAGCATACACTGTACTCTGTTGTGTCTGGCTTCTTTTGCTCAGCGTGCTTTCAATATTTATCTGTGTTGTTGCATGTATATGCCACAATATGAGTATCCATACACAGGTTGATGGACTTCTAGGTTGTTTTCACTTTTTGGCTCTGATGAATAGAGCTACTGTTAGCCATTCATGTGTAAGTCTTTATGTGGACACAGGTTTTCATTTTTCTTGGGTAACCACCTTGGAGTGGAACTAATGGGTCTTATGGGAAGTGTATATATAATGTTACAAGAAACTATAAAACTGTTTTCCAAAGTGCATGTAAGCGTTTTACATTCCTACCAGCAATGTAATACAGTTCTAGTTGCTCCATATCTCATCAACGCGACATTGTCGGTCTTTTTAACTCTTGCCATTCTACTGGGTAGGTAATTGATACTTCACTGTGGCTTTAATTTATATTTCTCTGATGGTTTATGATGTTGAGAAGTCTTCATGTGCTTATAGGCAATTCATATTGTATTCCTTTTGTGAAGTGTTTGCTCAAATATTTTGGCAAGTTTTAATTTGGGTCGTCATCTTAATGAATTGCAAGAGTTACAAATACGTATGTCAGATATACGTATTGTGAATATTTTCTCCTAGTCTGTAGCTTGCCTTTTCACTTTCTTAGCAGCATTTTTCAAATAGCAGAAATTTTTAATTTTGATGAGGTTCAGTTTATCTATTATTTTATTTTATGACCCATGCTATTTGTGTCTTATCTAGGAAATCTTTGTCTACCCTAAGGTTGCAAAGAATTTCAATGTTATCAGTTGATTTTTAATAGAAGCTTAAAAGTAACCAGTTAGTCACTATTGCAATGATCTTAGCTATCATATTCTAAAGAAGAATTCTTCTCCGACACTGAAATCCCTGTGTAGAGTACCATGACTCTCACCAATTCTGAATGGAGCCCTTGAATAAAGATGAAGAGCTTTCAACAATTGCCTTAAAATTAATAAGTGTTTCCAAAGATAGTGATTAAGTTTACTCTCAAACATACAGCCTAAGTGAGCAGGATATGAGAAGAGCATTCAGTTTCTCAATTTGGACTGTATTTAGGCTCTCCTGTTTGTGATATTTTAAAAAATTATCTTTTTTCTCTTTCTCCTATTTTTTTAAATCTCTTCTATCTCAATATGCATCTTTTCTGTCTTTTGTATGTTTCTCCCTTATGCATGCTTTTCCTTCTTTTTCTGTTTCCTGCCTCTTTTCATTCTCCTTGCCTTATTCCTTTTCCATCTTTTAACTTCTCTCTTCACTTCTTTTCTTTCCATTTTTCTCTTTCACTTTTTTCCATTGTTTCTTCTTAAATTGACTTAGAGTGGAAGCTATAAACAGATTTATACATTCAGAATTTATTGGATAAAGTTTTATAATGTGTATTCACAATTTTGAATATGAGTTGAAAGCTAAGTTAGTTGAATGCTTTATGCTTCTCCTTATAAACTAACCAAATAGGTTTTATTTTCAATGTTGTCTTCAACTAATCTTCCATCTCCTGTCATCTAATAGAATAAATAATAACATTTGGTGATTTGGGAAAAACTTTTCTACAGAAATGAATATGGATACATAGCTCTTTGGTAGTGAAAAAGGTCTTCAAAGGCATTTTTTTCAAGAAAATATTCATTTTGTATAAACATAACGCAAAATATTAACTATTCTAATGAAATTTTTTTCAATAAGAAAGTTTTGCTGATGTTTTACTTTCAGAAAATACAGCTTTTATATTCTCTTTTAAAGCATCCAGCAGGACTCATAAACTGCTTCATAAAATGCAAACCTACAGAGACATTGTTCTATACTCTTCAAACCTGCAATATGCTTTAATATTTTCTATTTTTTAATGTAGTAAGTTATGATTTTTATTCCCCATTCCTCTATATCCTACCTTCTATCTTTGTTTTTATTTTCTGTTCATGCCATTTCCCTCTCTCTATCTATTTTTACCTCACTTTCTTTAAGTCTTTATAGATTGAATAGCACAAAGATTAGTTTTTCAGTCTTCTTCCTTATTCAGTTTTTCTATTTCCATCTCTCTGTGTACCACATTCTCTCATTCGTTTTTTTATATTTCTGTTTTACTTCACTTCTGTGTCCCCCTTAGGTGCAATTCAACATCTTCCAGCAGTTTTTAGAAAAAGAAAATCGTTATTTTCAATCATTTTATTTCTGTAATCACTGAAACCTATAAGCCAAAACATTTTGGAAACAATTATAGTTTAATGCTTTATAATGAAAATGCCTCTTTTAAACCTATTTCAACTTCCTTAGGGATGCTAAAATTATTTTTAAATTTAGTGGATTGAATGATCTATTTAAAATAAGCATACAGTGGAAAGAATCAGGGAATGGCTGGAGTCAAGGTATGTTACAAATAACTGGGGCAATTGGAATGTTTCAGGATGTGTTTTCAACATTTTTTATTTGCTTAAGCTCTAAAGAGAGAGTATAATAAATGAATGTTAGAGTGAATGGATACAGACTTGGAGAAATCTGAGAGTTATAGCTCTAATCTCCCTATGGTGATTTCTTTAGGGTCTCCAATTTAATGTTTATATATCACATACATTTTTATTCTATTTTATAATGTACCCATGCTCACTTTTTAATTAAAAATTTTCCCAAATTTCCAAGTAAAATCACTGGTTCCACAGGAAACTTTTTCCTCCTGTGCCTTCTCATTCATTCAGCACCCTGTTAAGCATCTGGTGGATGCCCCAAATTTGTTTACTATCTTGCTTCCTATCACTATTCCCATAATTGACCAGATATGACAGTGCTAAAAGTCAGAATGGGGTACATGGTGGTGGTAGCTGACTCTCTGACAAATGGCTGTCTTCAAATGCAGTGGACTGTTTGAGTAGAAAGTGAGTCATTCTGAGTGGAGGTGTTAAAACAGAGAGCAAAATATTATTGAGAACCTCATTGTGGGGTAAGACTGGATAAATGGTCTATCAAAGAGAATCTTGTTCTTATCCTAGTAGAATAAGAGGAGGCTTTCATTTTCCTATCAGGCATTCTATTGTTAAATTGATCATTTATATTAAGATGTAAAGACATAAGAAAAAATCTAAGGCCTTGGCAGTGGCTCACACTTGTAATCCCAGCACTTTGGGAAGCTGAGGCAGGTGGATGGCTTGAGCTCAGAAGTTCAAGACCATCCTGGGAAACATGGCAAAAGCCTGTCTCTAAAAAATGCAAAAATTAGCTGGGCATGGTGGTGTGCACTTGTAGTCTCAGCTACTTGGGAGGCTGAGGTGGGAGGATCTCTTGAGCCTAGGAGGCGGAGGTTGCAGTGAGCCGAGATGGCACTGCTGCACTCTAGCCTGGGCAACAGAATGAGACCTTGTCTCAAAAAAAAAAAAAAAAAAAAAATCTAGTAGCATTATTGGGGTGTTTCAATAAAGCTAACAGAATAATAACCCAAGTAGTAGTAAACATTGGAGATAGTATTGTTGACTGTAACATTTACTGGTGAAATAAATGAAACTGTAAAATAGAAAAATCACTGAAGTACCTCGGTTTTATTGGAAATAAAACAATGGTTCTGACTAAAATATATGCACACGAAAATTGGATTGGGAATATATTGTCCTCTGGCTAGTGATGTTGGGTAGAAAAAAATGAAGAGGTGATTGGAGGATGAAGGGCAGAAAACAGCTGAGGATGGAGGTGAGAAGAGTTGTTTTTTTTTTCTCTGTTCTTGACCTGTTGAGCTGGATTCTTACTACCTCCTATTGCTAATCAAATAGCCCAAGGAGCCCCAGACCATTTTCAGGCATTCTTTCTTTCTACTACCATCTTGGCTACTGTTTATCTTGGTAGTCTATGGGAATCCATCTGGGTTCCTTCTTTGTTTAAAACTCAAAAAGATAAGCTCTGAGGTTGGGAAAGATACAAGTAATTTCCTTCTGTTTAAAAGCTGATGCCTCTAATACCTTGCTAACCAAGTTTACTCCATAGACCAGCAGCATGGACATTACCACGGAACTTGTTGGAAATTCAGAATCTCGGGACCTAACTGCTTGTATTAGTTTGTTTTCATGCTGCTGATAAAGACATACCCGAAACTGGGAACAAAATAAGGTTTAATTGGACTGACAGTTCCATGTGGCTGGGGAGGCCTCAGAATCATGGCTAGAGGCAAAAGGCTCGTCTTACATGGCAGTGGCAAGGGAAAATGAGAGAGAAGCAAAAGCGGAAACCTCTGATACTGATAAACCATCATATCTCGTGAGACTTATTTACTATCACGAGATTAGCATGGGAAAGACCGGCCCCCATGATTCAATTGATTCGTACTGGGTTCCTCCCACAACATGTGGGAATTCTGGGAGATACAATTCAAGTTGAGATTTCATGGGGACACAGCCAAACCATATCACTGCTGAATCATAACCTTTTTTTTAAAACAAGATCTCCATAGGATTCTTACGCACATTAATGTTTGAGAAGCACTGGTCTAACATATTTTGTTTGCTTTCCCATAGGGTGTACTCTACTCCCAGGGTGCCAGTGATTTCCTGGAATGAGTTTAATTGAGGCTGTGCTCTCTCTTAATTAATCTGTTAATCCATCTCACAGCTAATCCTTACAACAAACCTTCAAGATACCTTAATCCTTATATTGCAGATGAGACAGGACAGGTTAAGTAACTTATTTAAGGTCATGCATCTAGTAAATGATGAGGATGTGGTACCTGGGTCTCAGTCTGATTCTCAAGTCTTTTGTTGTTGTTTTTCCTATACTATATTGCTTTTCCTTGAACTTAATCATGGGTAACTGTTTATGTATTGGGAGATGAAAGCCCATTTAAACATAAGGGCTGTAAAAGACAGCCCTTTTGAGTGTGTTACAAGAAAAACACCTTTCATTCCAAAATTATTTTAAATACTGTTTTACACTTCCCGTGGGATGAAGAAAAGAAGACAGAGTGAAGCATCATTGGAGAAACTTGGCAAAATGGGAGAACTCTATCCTGTCATGCACACGCTTTATCCTGCCCATCAGCTGACTTTCATCTTGCTGCTGCTGGGGTAGGCCCCATATGTTCAAGCCTGTGTTGAGCCAGGTGCTAACAGCAGTACTGATTGTATTATGTTGAGGCTGCCCATATGCCTTCATGCAAACTGTAGTTCAAAAGCTGTAAAACTATTTGCATTTTCAGTCTATCGGATGGCTTTAAAAAAAAAACAGTGCCAATCAGTCTATTTGGATGCTTTATATTTGCCAAAAGACTGTAGAACTTATTGCCATCAACCAATTATCAGGAAATACTTAATTTTCAGAATAGTTACATTTTCCAGGGATAGTTGCAAGTGAAGAAACCCCATAAAACACTGGAGATGACCTTGATTACCTTTGTTCTTGGAAAACCTTATTTAGCTGGAAAAATAGGGGAGAGGCTGGAGGATTCTGGGTGGCTTTAGCTTTGGGTTTGTAACCCACATGGACCTGTTTCAAGCTGGGTGACATCTAGTGTGGGCTGTTCACACTGCACAGACATTATTAGGGAATAGATACCTAAAGTGAGCAATGATTAGGAGGATGAAGTGAGCATAAGGCAGTCCCAGTACCTTTAAGGTAGAACTGGGTGTATGAGCGGGGCATGCAGACAGTTTTCAGCTGGGTGAGGATAGGGGAAGAACTGATGTTTCTTGATTGATCTCAGGGCTGTTCTCACACTTGCAGGGGGCTCTGTTGGCTCTTCCTTGTGAAGGGTGTATGCGTTATCTTTCCTGTGCCCTGGCCGGCCTTGCTTTTTCTAAAGTGATGACCTTGAGGACCTTCAAGCTTAGGAGCTTTCAGAGCCGGATTTGCCACCTGGGAGCGGAACCTGATAGTAGCGCCCTCCTCGAGCGCTCCATAGTCACTGTGTCCTTCCTCTTGCTCTCTTCCTGACGTTAGCAGAGGACTGGGACTCGCGAGAGAGGACTCACGGACCTCCAGGACCTATTAACTTGACAGACCCGCCCCTCTATTCGAGCCAGCCCAACTCGGAGAACTCAGAGTCATCCTCGAGAGTAAAGAAAGCTCTTAGAGTTTTTTTTTTTTGACAAATCTATCTTAAATGTCAGTCCAATATCCACGGCGACGAGCCACAGCAGGTAATTAAAAGCAATTCACTGTCCCCTGCCGGGAAGTTTACCTTTCTCTCTCTTGCTCTTCCGACCTTCGTCGCGTGAAAGCGGTGGAAGTGCTTTGCTCCCTAAGCAGCAGTGTACGTCGCCGAGCTGGCACAGGAATGAGGGATGGACTGAGCGGGGATTCACCCTCCTCCTCCCGCCGCCGCTGTGGCCGCATTGTGGAGGCAGAGCGCGCGGCGGCGGCTGGAGCTGCGGCCCCAGGATCTAGCGGCGGGAGCTGTCCGGGGTGCTGACCGCCCCGCCCGCCGCCCGCCCAGCGCGCCCTCCTGCACCGGACCCCGCCAAGTCCGGCCTTCTTCCCATCCTCCGTCTGCCTGTCTTTCTCTCTTAATCTGGGGGCGTAGCGGCTGGAAGAAATCATGGTGTTCGCTCCAGGTACACCGCACCTTGCTTTTTCACCAAGTGTCTAGGAGGGGAGCAGGGTAGAGGACGGAGAGGAGAGGGAAAAAAGGCCTCTTTACCTTACGGCCCATCTGCGCGTTTCGGAGTTACTGTCTGTGCTCATGGGGCGGAGGAGTGCCTCGGCGCGTCGCCTTCGCCCCTCTCCCCAGTCCCGCCCCATCTGTCCTCTAACAATCTCCAGCCCTTCCTCGCCCTCGTCCCGCTGCTTCTCTTCCCATCTGGCTCCTCCACACCCCTTCCGAGCTCAGGAGCCTTAAGAACTGGGACTTTCGCCAGCAGCACCGGCACCTACACGGGCAAGAGAGTGGAGAGGTGGGGCAAAGAGTAGTGGGCTTCGGGCTACTTGCGTGGGAATCTCCCTCACTGCTACTTCCCCCTCCGCAGAATTGGCAAAGTGACCCGGGTCCTCCTGGCCTCCCGAGGAGAAGGAGGCGAAGTGGGCGAAGCCAAGGGGAGTAGGACGAAGGGCAGAGGAGCGATACTTCTTAAGGAATTAGACCTGAAACTCCGACCGGAGGCTGCAGCACAGAGGCAGCTACTGCGGCGCCGCTGGAGGTTGCCGTGTCTTTTTGGAGCAGGCGGTGAAGGACCTTGGTCCCTTTGCTGCTCTCCGTGGCTACTAGTTGGCGAAGAGTCAGATTTGTCTGCGGTTGACCGGCTTGGCGGCGTGTGCGTGCGTGCGCATTTGAGTCCGCCCCACTGGAGCAAGGGAGGCCAGGCTAATCGAGGAAGCGGGGAAAAGCGTGGTCGTTGTGAACGTCCGACGCTGTCTCTAGGGGTAGATCCAAAGTATTTCTCTCTCACGCATTTTAGGGTCTGATTTCGTTAAAGACTGCTGTGGAAAACAGGGAGTGGGGAAGGCTGGAGGGGCCTAGAACTCTCTAGCTTTGTTCCTGGGGTCTTTAACTTGAAAGATTGGCATGTATTTGCTGTGGTCATGGGCTTCAGATGGCTGGGGAGAAAAGGCGTAATGCATTTTTTTTTAAAGGGAAGAATTGAGTCTTTTCTTCAAAAAATTCAATTAGCAAAACTTGAGAAGAGCAAGTCAGTCCCCTCCCCCTCCCCCTCAGAATGCTAGCTGGGGAGGGAGGGATGAGTTTCTGTAGGCTCTGGCTTTACCACAGGCAGTGGTTCTTAGAGGAACGCCTTAAAGGAATGCCCAGGAGCTCTTCCCATGCCCATCCTAAATAACTCAAGGGAGGAAATTGTTCCATATAGCAAAGGACATTCAATCAACACTGGAGCAAGGAAGTTGGAAAACAGCTCTTTGCTGCATTTATACAGCACTTAACACTTTACAAAGCAGTTTCATGCTGCTATCTCATTTGATCTCCTAATTACCCTGAGAGTTAAGGAATATCATTCCTACTCTACCATCCCCAGGGAGGCTGGTTCCAGATAATCTTGCTAGTCTCTAATGGAGTTTTCTGACCTCGAATTCTGTCTTTTTCTCCCACAACCTTTCTTCCTGACAAAATATCTCACTGGCTCCAGGGGTAGATGATTTTTGGTCCAAGGTCAGATGTAGCCAGAGACTCAGCATATCCTTTCCATTCCAAGGAGGGGAGGGATATGGTGTTGTACAAGAGTTAGGGTTGTTGCGTGATGTTAACTAGGCATTTTCTAAAAGCAAGATCGTGAGTGATGGCCACTGTAATGAACAGTGGGGAATTTCTGGAGTAGACTGGCTTGGTTTAAAGAGCCCACAATTTGGACAGGACTTTACTTTTCCATTTTACTTTCAAGTTTTGTATTAGTGTTTTGTTCTGTGTGGAAAGTAGAAGTTATTCATAACTGTCAGAGATGGCGTGAATTGACCTGGATAGGATAGATACAGAAACGTCTGGGGAAACTTTTTTTTTCATCACTTCTTCAATTTTGGGGTTCTCTTGAAAAATCATAAGCATTTGGGACAATAAGAACAGGATGCTAAAAATACTGTGTCAACTTACCTTCTCATCTATGGATCATTTGTTTTCTAATTCGTATAGTGATGTGTATTATTCTGAAAGAAAAGCAGAACAATGAATTGCTTTTGAACTCCGCCAGATTTTCAGCACTGCAACCTCATTTCTTGCCTATTGCTTTTCTAAATCTCTATAATAATCTGGGAATCCAGATGTTTTGTACTAGTTAAAGGAAATACACTCCCACCCCTTTCTTTCAAGCTAACCTAACACTCAGAAAGGGAAGAAACAGGGTCATGTGCTAAGATCACTCCAAAATTATTAAAAGGGTGTTATATAAGCCAAGATGAATATAACAATAAATTAACAAGGAGCTATTCATAAAATTGGGTCAGTGGGTACTGTGCCCTTCAAAACACATTGTAGCTTTTTTGGATTTTAGCACAGGAGGGCAAGAACCCTGAGGTACAGTTCTGAACTTGCCTCAGCTAACTGGTCTCCCTTTGAATGATTCTCCTGGCTCTTTACCTTAAAGGCAAAGGTGAAGAGTGACAGATATTTGTAGAACAAGTTCTAGTCCAGAAGTACAATGGAATGAGGGGGAATTAGAATGAGACTTTATTAACCCTATTTAGGATTTAGTCTTATATGCCATAACATATTCTTACATTTTTTTGTTTCAGTTAGTCTATAGATTGTAAAGAATACAGCTTAAATTGGACAGGGTATTTGGGTTGTTTTTCAGTTTGCATGAGGCAGACAGTTCAATTCTATTTTTTCCTCTTTCTCTTATTATTAATAGACTATAATTTAGGAGGGTTTTAATTTTGTGCATGCCAGTTTTCAAACCCCTTGAAGGTAAGGGGCATGACTACTAATTTTTTAAGGAGTTAATTACTTGAAGCCCATCATTTATTTATGCTTCTGTCTAAAGGAACTATACGAAATTATTAACAGTTAAATGAGGTATAAAGTATACATATATATTAATTTCTGTGTAAGTACCATATATACCTAAATAGAAGTTAAACTAAGCTAGGCTACATGACTTAGGCTAAAGACTAAAATGAGGCCTCTTGCTTCCTTTTCCTAAATTGCTTTATTCCTCCTCCTCCCACCCCCATAAACTGAACGTAGAAAATTTCAAAAGCAATATGAGAAAGCTAAGAAGCATACTACCAGGGCCAAAGGAAAGGGGGTGACACAACCAATATGGAGAAATATATTTGTCCCATAATACTAAACTGATCCAGGTTATTTAGGCTGTGGCTATAGCAATATCTTACATTCAGGAGGAAAAACATTTCTGGGAGGAGTTCTGTACTTCTAATACAGTGCTCTTGGTTTTGTGGGGAAATATCAAGGAATTATTACTAATTTGTAGGCAAAGTCAATGAGGAACAAGGAAGAAAGACCACTGACCATTGGTATTAAAGGTGACAAAGTACACAAGAGAATGTCAGGATATTTCTTGGCCTAATTCCAGGAAGAGAAAGAGGGAATGTTCACAAATTCAAATGCCTTTTCAGTACCATGGTTTCACCCAAAGAATTCCAGACTCTGAACAATCAGGTTTCTTTTCCTAAATTCCTTCTTCCTTGAGGAAGAGCTAAGAAGAAACAGAGTGTGAGGTGGAAAGTGAGGGCAGAAGTTACCTTATCCCTGGGCCATTCCCCACTTTCTTTCATGATTAATATATAATTCAGGGATTAGTCTATCTTTCTTGTGGATAGGCCTAATATATACTTGATTTGCTTGGATTGCCTTCAAGTCAGGTGAATTGCCAACATAAAAATATTTCTTTTCTTGCATAAAAATTAGGCAAGGTATGATAACAAGGATTTCATGGAGGAATAAAAATGGTGTAATTGTAAGCAAAAAGACAGCCAGTCTCTTGACATCTAAGCTTCATCTGAAAAATATTTCGCACCAATATTTCTAGAAAGAATTTCCAAATACATATAAGAAAGTATTTATTGCAAGGTATTTATAACTTTTATTCATTTATATAAACCTCTTAACAAATTCCTGACACATTGATAAATAAACAAATTATATATCTGACTGTCATAACTGTGAGGTTTACAATGTGCCAACACAAAAAAATTCTTTTCTGTTAGCATAGTCTTTCAACTTCTATTTATGTATTATTTTAAAAATTAACATACAGAAAAATTGGCTTTTTTGGCATAGAGTTATATGAGTTTCAACATATGTATAGATTCATGTAATGACCACAAAACAGTTTCATTGCACTTAGTTTTTCTCTTGTGCTACCCCTTTGTAGTCAAACCGTTCCCCCTTCCCCCTCACCCCACCAATCTCTGGTGACCACTGATCTCTTTCCTATCCCCATGGATTTGCCTTTTCAGACTGTTGTATAAATGAAACCATACCAAGTTTTAGACCACTGGGAGTGCTTCAACCCCATACCGTAGATAGAATGGCTTACAAATCATAGAAATTTATTTCTCACAGTTCTGGAGGCTGGAATTCCAAGTCCAAGATGTTGGCAGATTCGATGTGTGGAGAGGGCCCACTTTCTCATAGACAGCACCTTCTGTAACCCCAATACTTTGGGATGCCAAGGCAGGAGAATTGTTTGAGGCCAGGGAAATTTTAGAACATAGTCCTTGTCTCTACCAAAGAAAAGAAAAAGAAAGAAAGAAAGAAAGAAAGAAAGAAAGAAAGAAAGAAAGAAAGAAAGAAAGAAAGAAAATTAGCTCTGTGTGGTTGCACATGCCTGTAGTTCCAGCTACTAGGGAGAATGAGCTGGGAGGATCCTTTTTGAGGTAGGATTGAGCCACTGCACTCCAGACTGGAAGACAGAACAAGATCCTTTTCCTAAAAACAAACAACAACAAAACCTAATTGACTATATTTATGAGCATCTATTTTTAAACCTTTAGTCTGTTGAATTAATCTATATGTGTGTCCTTTCATTAAGACCACACTGTCTTTATCACTATAGTTTTATACAAGTGGAGCATGCCTAATCCAAAAATCTGAAATCCAAAATACTCCAAAATCTGAAACTTTTTTGAGCACTGACATGACGCCACAAATGGAAAACTCCACACATACTTAACACAAACATTGTTTGATGCACAAAATTATTTAAAATATCATTGAAAGCTACCTTCTGTGCGTATAAGATGTATATGAAATATATGTGTATAAGAAATATATGCGTATAGGCTATGTGCATAAGATATATATGAAATATGAATGAATTTTGTATTTAGACGTGAGTCCTAGTCACAAGATACCTCATTATGTATATGCAAAGATTCCAAAATCTGAAAAAAATCCAAAATCTAAAATGCTTCTTGCCCTTAGCATTTTGGATAAGGAATACTCAACCTGCAGTAAGTCTTAAAACCAAATAGTGTAAGTCCTCCAACTTTTTTTTTTCAACATTATTTTGGCTACTGTAGTTCCTTTACCTTTCCATATAAATTTTAGAGTCAGGTTGCCTATATCTACATAAAATCCTGCCTAAATTTAGATGGAATTTCCTGAAATCTATGGATCAGTGTGTGGAGAATGAACTTCTTAACTATGTTGAGCCCCAATTCATAAACAGATGTGTCTCTTAGTTTATTTAGCTCTTCTTCATTTCATCAGAATTTTGTAGCTTTCAGCATACAGATCTTGCATATGTTGCTATATTATACCTAAATGTATCTTTTGGGGGGAGCTATTGTACATGTAATTTAAAAACAATTTGATGTCCGCACATTCATTGCTAGTTTATACTATGTATGGTTCAATTTTGCATGTTGACCCTGTTTTCTATGTTCTTGCTTCACTCTTTTATTAGTTGTAAGAGATAAGTTGTAGATTCCTTAGGATTTTTAAATGTAGGCAGGTACTTTGAAAAAAGTTTTATTTCTTCTTTTCTAATTTTACGCCTTTTTGTACAGACTAGTGCTTCTAGTACAATATTAAATAGGAGTAATAAGAAGACATTCTTGCCTTGTTTACAATCTTAGGGGAAAGCATTCAGTCTTTTACCATTAAGCATGAAATTAGCTGCAGTTTTGTTTTGTTGTGGATACTTTTTATTAGGTTAGAGAAGTTTCCTTCTATTCCTAGTTTGCTGAGAGATTTTATCATCAATAGATGTTGAATATTTTCAAATGTTCCCTCATCACCAATTTACATATTGAAACCCTAACCTCTACTGTGATGGTATTTGCAGTAGGGCCTTTGGAACATAATTAGGGTTAGAAGAGGTCGTGGGGGTGGGACCCTTATAAATGGAACTAGTAACTTTACAGAAAGAGACATGAGAGATATTATCTCTTTCTCTGCCATATGGGAATACAGGAAGAAGGCATTCATATGCAAGTTAGGAAGAGAGCCACACACCAGGAACTGAACTGGTTGACACTTTGATCTTGGACTTCCTAGCCTCTAGAACTGTGTAAAATAAATGTCTAAAGTTTAAGCTACCCAGTCTATGATATTTTTATTATAGTAGCACAAACAGATTGGGCTACTATTAGAAAATGATGTGAATTTTTCAATTTTTTCTGCTTATATAAGACCGATTGTATAATTTCTTTTTTAAATGTTTCCGTCACCAGTAAAACTATATGGTTATAGAGTTTTGTTCATAGGGAGGTCATTAATTATAAATTCAATTTTTAGTAAATATAGGTTTATTTTGTTTATCTTGAGTGAATTTCAGTAGCTTTTTAGTAAAGTTGCTTATTTCATTTAATTTGTTGAATTTTCATGAATACAGTTGTTTGTAATATTCTCTTTTCTATTTAATATACATGGGTTCTATAGTAATAGCCCCTGCAAAACTCATGTTGAAATTTAGTTGCCATTATAACAGTATTAAGAAGTAGACCTTTAAGAGGTGATTAGGTCATGAGGATTCTCCCCTCATAAGTGGATTAATACCACTATTGCAAGAGTGAGTAATTAGTTATCGCAGAAGTGAGCTGTTGATAAGAGGATGATTTCAGCCCCATTACTCTCTCTGTCTCACATGCTTGCTTTTGCCTTCCACCATGGGGTGACCCTTGCCAAATATGAACACCATACTCTTGGACTTCCTGGCATCCAGAATCGTGAGCCAAATAAATTTCTTGTCCGCATAAATCACTAAGTCTGTTGTATTTTGGTATGGCAACACCAAATGAACTAAGACAGAAAATTGATACTGAGAAGTTGGACTGTTGCTATAAAAATACCTGAAAATATGGAAACAACCTTGGAACTGAGTAATGAGTAGGAGCTGGAAGAATTTGGAGGAGCAGACTAGAAAAGTCTGTATTGCTGTGAACAGAGCATTAAAGGTGATTCTTGTGGGGGCTCAGAAAAAAAAAAAGAGAGCTGTAGGAAAAGTCTGAAATTTCTCAGAGATTGTTTAAGTGGTTGTGACCAGAATGTTGGTAGAAATATGGATGGTAAAGGATAAGGCCTCAGATGAAAATGAAGAACAAGGGGTTGAAAATTGGAGTAAAGGCCATCCTTGTTATAAAGTAGCAAGGACATGGACTGAATTGTGTCCATGCCTGAGAGCTTTACAGAATGCAGAATTTAAGAGTGATGAATTAGGATATCTGGCATGGTTACTTTTAATAGCATACAGTGAGATGTAAGAGGAAAGGAATGACTTAAAGACAAAATTTATAATTAAAATGGAAGCAGAGCAGAAAAATTTGAAAAATTAAGAGCCTGGCTATATAAAGAGTGAAAAAGTGTGTTTGTTAGAGAATGCAGAGGGCAGAATGCTGTGGCCAAGTCATCATTTGCTAGAGAGATTACAATGGATAGAAGGATGCCAGGTGCTATTCATAAAGACAATGGGAGAAAGATTACAAAGGCATTTCGAAGATCTTCTAGGTTGTCCCTCTTATCCCTGGCTGAGAGCTTTAAGAGGGCAGAATGGTTTTGGGGGATGGGGATGAGGTGCCCTCCACAGGCTTGCTGCACAGAGTTGTCTTGGGTCTCTGCTCCCTACATTTCAGCATAACTCTCCTTGGCTGCTCCAGCCATGGCTCAAATGGGCTCAGGTGTAGCTCTACCTGCTGCTCTAAAAGGTACAAGCTGTAAGCCTTGGTGGCATCTACATGAAGCTAATTCTGCGAGTGCAAGAATACAAAAGCTGTGAAGGCATGCATTTTTCCACCTAGATTTCAAAGAAAGTCATAATTGTAAGGTCAGCTGAGAGAGAATGGACAAAAGAGAGAGGAGACCCAAGTTCAGGCAAGCCTTTATTAACCTGCTGGCTGCCCTCTTAACAGTCAGAGGAGCAGCTCTGAGCTTACAAAATGAGGGGTTTATATTGGGTAGGGGAGTTTGGGGGAGTTCTTTGGTATGGCCACATCCCGGGGTTGTTTGCTGGTTAATTTTGCCACATATCACTTTGTGACATTTATGGTAGAATTTACAGGAGGGTGTAGGTAAAATTTGTTTATGCTTCCCATGACATCCCCCTGTGCAGTCTGGATGGCTTGTAATTAGGGTTACAAGCAAGGGTTTGCAGCAAGGCCTGATAGGTAAAGTCTGCTGGCTTCACTGTGGCACCTACATAAGGGCTTAGAAGTGTAAAGGGGCTCAGGGGGAAGGATGGGTGGCACAGAGAAGAGTTGCAAAGCATAATGGGGAGGGGTGGGCAGCACGGAGAGGTTTAGGGGAAGTGTCAGCTGTACCAAGAAGCTTTTTTGGGGAGGTTTGTCCTTAACAATAATCAACCTTGGTGCCCAGGAAGAAACTTGCCCATGGGTGGAGCTGCCATAGAATTCCTCAGTAGGGCAATGCCAAGTGGATCCATGGAAGTGAGGCCACCCCTGAGACCACAGAACTGTAGGGTTACCAGCATAAAATGCCATCCTGGGAAAGATTCAGGCAAAAGACTTCAACCCAAGAGAGCTGAAGCATGAACTGAGCCCACCAAAACCATGAGGGAAAGGTTGTCCAAAGCCTTGAGGCCCAACTCCTGTCCCAGGGTGCCTAGGATTCAGGACATTGAGTCAAAGAATATTATTCTTTGGCTTTAACATTCAATGTTGTTTTCTGTTGGGTTTTGGACTTACATGGGGGTCAGTTAACCCTTTTTTTCTGGCCTATTTCTCCCTTTTGGAATGGGAATGCCTATCCTATGCATGTCCTACCATTGCATTTTAGAAATAGGTAACTTGTTTTGATTTCACAGGTTCACAGCTAGAGGGAATTTGCCTCAAGGTAAATCACACCTTGAATCTCAGCCATCTTTGATTTAGATGAGACTCTGGACTTTGAACTTTTGAATTGATGCTGGAATAAGTTAAAACTTTTGGGACTATTGGGATAAAATGAATATACTTTGCATTGTGAGAAGAACATGAGTTTTGAGGGACTAGGGGTGGGATCCGGTAGTTTGGATGTCCCTCCAAAACTCATGTTTAAATTTAACTGCCATTGTAACAACCACATTAAGAGGGGGGACCTTTAACAGGTAATTAAGTTGTGAAGTTTGTGTCCTCATGAATGGGTTAATGCCATTATTGTAGGAGTGGGTTAGTTATTGCAGGAGTGGGCTCCTGACAAAAGAATAAGTTTGGCTCCATTTCTCTCTGTTTCATATATGTGCTTCTGCCTTCCACCTTCCCACCATGGGATGATCCTCACCAGATGCCAGTGCCATGATTTTGGACTTCCCAGCATCCAGAACCATAAGCCAAATTAACTTATGTTCTTTGTAAATTGCCAAGTCTGTAGGTATTATGTTATACCAGCAGAAAATGGACAAAGACATTTCCCTTTCATTCTGGATATTAGTAATCTGTGTCTTATCTGGTTTTCCTTGTCTGCGTGGCTACAGGTTTATTAGTTTTTAAAATCATTTCAAAGATACATCTCTTAGTTTCATTGATTTCTTTATTGTTTTTCCTGTTTTCAATTTTGTTGATTCCTGCTCTTTATTATTTCCTTTTTTCTTCTTGCTTTGACTTTGTTTTGCTCTTGTTTTTCTTGACTTAAGACAAAACTTATATTGTTTATATTAGATCATTCTGTTTTCTAAAATAAGCAAATTTAATGCTATAAATTTCCAGCTAAGCATTGCTTTAGAGTATTCTAAAAATTTTGATGTTGTATTTTCATTTTCATTCATTTCAAAATATTTTCTAATTTCCCTTGAAACCTCCTTTTTGTCCCATGGATCATTTAGAAGTGTATTGTTTAGCCTCCAATTATTTGGGAATTCTCTGGATGAATTTTTGTTATTGATTTCTAGTTTCATTCTATTATGATTGGATAATAAACTTGCAATTGTTTCAGTTGTTTTAAATTTGGTAAGGTATGTTTATAAGCCAGAATGTGGTCTATCTTGGTGAATGTTTTACATGCACTTTAAAACAATGTATATTTTACTCTTTCAGGTGGAATGCTCTATAAATGTCATTTTGATACAGTGAGTTGAAGGTGTTGTTTACCTCTTTTATATCCTTACTGATATTCAGCCTACTTGGCATATTAATTACTAGAAGAGGAGTACTAATACCTCTAGAAAAAATTGAGGATTTTTCCATTCCTCATTTTGGTTTACCACTTTTAGTGGTATGTATTTTGAAGCTCTCTCATTAGATGCATGTACACTTGAGATTGTTATGTCTTCTTGGTGAATTGGCCATTTTATTGTTAGAGAGTGTCCCTCTTTATTTCTAGTAACCTCATTCTGAATGTTATTTAGACTGATAATAAATCCAGTGCTTTTTTTCAACTTTTATTTTCAGTTCAGGAGTACATGTTCAAGTTTGTTACACAGGTAAACTGCATTTCACAGGGGTTTGGTGTACGGATTATTTTGCCATCCAGGTAATAATCATTGCACTTGATGAGCAGTTTTTTATACTCTCCCTCCTCCCACTCTCCACCCTCAAGTAGGCCCTGGTATCTGTTGTTCCCTTCTTTGTGTCCATGTGTACTCAATATTTAGCTCCCACTTATAACTGAGAACATGCAGTATTTGGTTTTCTGTTCCTGTGTTAGTTTACTTATGATAATGGCCTCCAGCTCCATCCGTGCATCTATGGAGCTCCAGCTCCTACAGCTCCAGCTGCATCCATGTTGCTGCAAAGGACATGATGACATTCTTTTTTATGGTTGTGTAGTATTCCATGGTGTATATATACCACATTTTGTTTATCCAGTCTACTGTTGATGGGCATTTAGGTTGATTCCATGTCTTAGCTACTGTGAATAGTGCTGTGATAAACATACACCTGCATGTGTGTTTATGGTAGAATGATTTATATTTCTTTGGGTATATACCCATTAATACGATTGCTGGGACAAATAAGTTCTTTGAGAAATCACCAAACTGCTTTCCACAATGGCTGAACTAATTTACACTCCTACCAGGAGTGTATGAGCATTCCCTTTTCTCTGAAACCTCACCAGCATCTGTTATTTTTGTCTTTTTAAGAATAGTCACTCTGATTGTTGTGGGATGGTACCTCGTTGTTTTAATTTTCATTTCTCTAGTGATTAGTGATGTTGAGCATTTTTTATGTGCTTATTGGCTACATGTATGTCTTCTTCTGAAAAGTGTCTGTTCACTTCCTTTGCCCACTTTTTAATGGGGTTGTTTATTTTTTGCTTGTGAATTTGTTTAAGTTCCTTGTAGATTCTGGATATTAGACCTTTGTTGGATGCATAGTTCGTAAATATTTTTCTACCATTTTGTAGGTTGTCTGTTTACTATGTTGATAGATTCTTTTGCTGCGCAAAAGCTCTTTAGTTTAATTAGGTCATGTTTGTCAATTTTTGTTTTTGTCGCAATTGTTTTTGGCATCTTCTTCATGAAATCTTTGCCAGGGCCTATGTCCCAAATGGTATTTCCAAGGTTATTTTCCAGGGTTTTTATAGTTTTAAGTTTTACATATAAGTCTTTAATCCATTTTGAGTTGATTTTTTATATAATGCAAGGAAAGGGTCTAGTTTCAATCTTCCACATATGGCTAGGCAACTATCCCAGCACCATTTATTGAATAGAAAGTCCTTTCCTCACTGCTTGTTCTTGTCAACTTTGTTGAAGATCAGGTGGTGGTAGGTGTGCAGTAATATTTCTGGGCTCTCTATTCTGTTCCATTGGTTTATGTGTCTGTTTTGGTACCAGTATCATGCTGCTTTGGTTATTTGCAGCCTTGTAGTATAGTTTGAAGTTAAATAATGTGATGCCTCCTGCTTTGTTCTTTTTGCTGAGGATTACCTTGGCTATTCAGGACCATTTTTTGGTTCCATATGAGTTTTAAAATAGTTTTTTTCTAATTCTGTGAAGAATGTCATTGGTAGTTTGATAGGAGTAGCATTGAATCTGTAAATTGCTTTGGGCAATATGGCCATTTTAACAATATTGGTTCTTCCTATTCTTGAGCATGGAATGTTTTTCCATTTGTTTGTATCACCTCTGATTTCTTTGGGCAGTGTTTTATAATTCTTGTTGTAGAGATCTTTTACCTCCCTGGTTAGCTGTATTCCTAGGTATTTTATTCTTTTTTGTGTCTATTGTGAATGGGATTGCATTCTCAATTTGGCTCTCAGCTTCGAGGTTATTGGTGTATAGAGATGCTACTGGTTTTCATGCATGGATTTTGTATCCTGAACTTTGCTGAAGTTGTTTATCAGAACTAGGAGCATTTGGGCAGCGACTACAGAATTTTCTAGGGATAGAATCATATTGTCTGCAAACAGACAGAGTTTGACTTACTTTCCTCCTATTTGATGTCTTTTATTTATTTCTTTTGCCGATTGTTCTGGCTAGGACTTCTAGTACTATGTTGACTAGGACCGGCTTTCTTTTGGTTAGTGTTTGAATGATATTGTGGATCCTCATTATTTGTGAATATCATATTTGCAAATTTGCCTACTCCCTAAAATTTATTTGTAACCCTCAAATCAGTGCAGCACTTTTGCTGTCATTGTGGGGCATGTGCAGAGTGGCAAAAAAATTGAGCCACCTAACACATTCCTAGCTAAGGTTGAACACTCTCTCTTTGTTCCAGCTCTGATACTATAAACAAATGTTCTTTTCGTGTTCTATTAGTGCCATGTGTTTCATATTTTGGTGTTTTTTGTTAGTGATTTCACTGTTTAAAATGACTCTTGAATGTAGTGCTGAAGTGTTTCCAAGCACAAGAAGCCTGTGATGTGCCTTATGGAGAAAATACATGTGTTAGGTCAGCTTGTTCAGCCGTGAGTTACAGTACTATTGGTTGTGAAATCAATGTTAATGAATCAACAGCATATGTTAAGTAAGGTATCTTTAAACAGAAACATATATTAAACAAGGTTGTGTATTTATTGCTCAATTGTAAAAAATATTGTGATAGAGGCTCATGGGAAACTAATCCTGATTTTTCCTAAGAGCAATGGTTTCATATGATCTAATTAAGTGTTTGCAGTAACTTTATAGAAAATAACAACTGTGAATAACAGGAATCAACTTTGCATTATTTTCCTTCATTTTTACTTTTAAACTACCTTTTGCATTATAGTCAACACTGGGTTTTTTTTTAAATTTTGCTTTTTAAATCAACTGCATACAGTTTTAAAGGTGGTTTAAGTTGGCTACTGACTGCCTACATGTCTTTCTTCTCTAATTACTATATTTTCTGATTTTCCATTACCATTTAAAATTGAATTATATTTCATCATTTGAAAATTTTTGCTGTAGTTTCAGAAATTTTAGAAAGCATAATTAACCAAATTAAAATATAAAAATCACTCACAGTATCATTCAACTAGTCATTACTAATATGTTGAATATAATTTCCTATCCTTTGTCTGTATGAATATATCTTTCTATTTTTGTAACAAAAATTTTATCCTGACATGCATATTATTTTTTGATGTGATTGTTTACTCAATGTACTCTTAATTTTTTCATGTCATTCAGTTGTCTTTTATGTATCATTTTTAAAAAAGACATAGAGCAAAAGGTGCCATTATTTATATTTTTCCTTTCAGATGATAAAAGTGAGGCTCTAAATGCCTGACCTATTTTAGTTTGCAGAACCAGGATTTGAAAGTTGGGCCACTTTTTTCTGTATGCAGCACAGTTATTAACTAGGAGGCAACAAACAATTTGCAAAATAGAGTTAGGGACAAAAAAAAATATGTGCACTAGGTAAAACTGGTGTCTTTAGAAAGAATCTTCCGTATGTCCAGCACCTTTTCTTCAGAGTTAGAGGATATAAGATGCTCTTCTCTCTTGCAGAGAAATGGACTCTGTCCTTGCACAGTTCCTAGATTCTTCATGTACTCCTGGATGCTGCTGTCAGGGATGGAGAGTAAAAGAATAGACAGCCAGAATCACCAAAAGTTGTCTAGAAGACTAAGAAGACCTAATAAATTCACACCGTGCTTTGTAGTTTTGAAAGCATTTATGTTAATTAAGTGCCACATGCATGAGCTTTCTTGAGGTGAAAATCAATGGAATTGGACTAGTTATAGTCTCTCCTTCTCTATAAAACTGATAAGAGTATTTCAGTTATTCCATAGCAATTCAAATATGAAGCAAAGTTGGTTGTTGCAGAAGCTTGGGTTTGGGGACACATAGGTCAGGGTTCAAACAACTAATTTCTGTCACTTTCACATTTAGTGGCATTGGGTAAATTATCCAAGCTTGCTGATATGCCTATTTGAAAAATGAATATCATAATATCTGTTTTCCAGAGTGGTAGTGAAAATAAAGATGAATTGCCTAGCCCACGGTCGGCTAAATGGAAGCTATTACTGATGTTATTGTTGTTTTAAAGAGGAATAACTAATAATGTGCATCTTATATACATTTGCATGTGGATGATCTCAACATTGGATCATCAGTTAGGAGCTAAAGAGTTGATTCTTTCTGTGGAAAAAGACCCAACTTACTGGATCACTATGTTACCTGTGCAGACATTAAAACTTTAAAGCAAAATGCTACAATAAGCTAGGCTGATGATAAAGCAGATGTCTGAGTGCATCCTGAGATGAATAAGTTATGAATCATGGAAAGTTGCTGTTTAAAGGCTAGCAGCTGCATGCTTGAAAGCAGATGGCCATCTTGCTGATCTGAATAATTCTGATCTCGTCTATATTTAAAAGCTGAATACGTTTAGGTATGAGGATGAACGTGTAAGTACACTCAATGGCCCTGAATGATGATTTTCTGGTGAGGGTATAGTGCATTATGTTTTTAATACTTCATTACTTAGGTAGGGTCAATTTGTATTGTGAGGTATTAGGACCTACATTACCATCCTGTGGTCTTATATCAGAGCCAGATACATATATTCCTGGATACTATTCTTTGATCATTATCTTTGGTCTTGAATGTTCTTAGGAAGAAGCCACAAACCTTGTTGGTGAAACAACCATGCAGTCACTAGCTAGGGATTAGGAGAGGGTTGGTGTTTTCTTCAAAAGCAGTGACTTGCTATGTGACTTTGAGTTAGTTAATATAACTCCTGTGCCTCTTTTAAAATCTTGTTCCACATCATCATCTTCAGCATCCTTAGAGGTTTAGCATCTTAGCTCTCACTAATGACCTTTACTGGGCAGATGAGATGAATGTAAGAAAAGGCAAGGGAGCTAACATTTGTATAAGACCTACTCTGTGCCACATGTATCACATGTACTTTTCAGCAAGGAACGACTTTATATAAGTAAATGCCAAAGTAGAACTGTCTTTCTTTAACATGTGGCTAAAATGCTGTTCCATATTCCAAATAGTCACAGCTGATGGATTTGCTGCAATGAGCAGACAAAAGTAAAGTGCCTTCTCTCAATTCCTTTAAAAAATTATACTTCTTTTATTTTCTTTTTGAGATGAGGTCTTACTCTGTCACCCAGGCAGGAGTGCAGTGGTGCAATCACAGCTCACTGTAGCCTCAACCTCCTGGTCTCAATCAGTCCTCTTACTTCAGCCTCCTGAGTAGCAGGGACTACAGCCATGTGCCACCATGCCTGGCTAAATTTTACTTTTTTTTTTTTTAAGAGATGGGGTTTCACTCAGTGACCAGACTGATCTTGAACTCCTAGGCTCAAGGGATCCTTCCATCTCACCTTCCCAAATTGTTGCTATTATAGGCATGAGCCACCACACCTGGCTGTATTTTCTTTTTTTCAAACTAAGAGAAGTGTTGCTGTGGCACTCCAGAAATACCATGAAATTATGAATGTAATATCTCTATTCTGGACAAGTATAATGAGTCTGTTTGACATTTAGACAGGAGGGCTCTATGGAATCCACATCTTGTGTTGCCTGACACAAGTTGTTAATTTTTATCTCCATGGAATTTATTTCTAACATTCTTGTGCACTTATTCCTGCCTTCCCATTTTATTTTTGCATTTTGGGGGGAATAAAAAAGGAAATTATGTGTTTATTGCCATACTGTAGAAGAGATTTTAATCACTCTCCAACCAGGGAATTTAGAATGAAGTTCCCTACAGCCTTAATTGCAATCCGACTCATGCTTCAGAGTAGATTATTTCACCACCTGATCAGGTCATGCTATACAAGTTAATAATTAACAGTTACTTTACTCTAAAAATAACTTACGTCAAGAAGCACAACATGTAAGGCTTCTCTTATCTTGCCATTCTTTGTTGTGCCTATAGGACAGTGCTAGCTGAGTGGAGCTGTTGGCCATCAGTAGAAAGAACTGGTATGACCACGCCTCCATGTACCTGCCTTAGACAGGGGCAGGTCTCTCCCCATGAACCTCTCAGTCACATGCACCTGGCCTGGGAAAAGAGAAAACAGCAGCCTTGGTGGGAATGGAGCTGAAGATATCAGTTAAGGCCATAAATAGGTGGGCAGTATGGAGGATAAACACTTTATATAATTTGATTCATTTATTTCACAAATATTTGCTGCCTATCTTCTGTGAACTATGTACTCTGCTAGGTAGTAGGCAGGACTTTAATATAAAGAAGGACACTAAAGTGTCAGAGTGCTGTGATTGAAGGGCAGAGAACAAAGCAGGTTGGAGAGGAAGATGGGTCAATTCTTTTGGGAAGAAAGTGAGTGTCTTGCTCTGGGTCTGAGTCCTCCTGGGAAGCATGCAGTGGGGGTGGCTAAAGCTGTGCTCCAGTAAAGAAACCCTTTTCAACTGATAATCCCTTAGCACCACTGGGCCAAGCATGGGGCTCTGTTTGTGAGTGCTGGAGTGTGGGATGGGGACAGAGAAGCTACTGAAGGTGAAAGAGAGTCCTTTTGTCATGTCCTTTTAGGTACGTAAATATACCTTATAAAGAAATGGCCTTCAGTGCCTTTAAACAACAATAAAGATGTCCTCGAGGAAGGAGCATATTAAAGAGCTGAAAAGAAACTTTCTAAGGGGAGCAGATGTATTTGATGTGTGTCCTAACTTAAGCCCTTGAAGTTTATCTTCTACTTGAAGTTATCTTCTTTTAATGACCACTGCCACCACCAGAACAGGATGAAGGTGTGCCAGGCTCCTGATTTATCAAATAACTAAAACTAGAACTACCATTAGATCTAGCAATCCCACTACTGGGTATCTACCTAAAGGAAAATAAATCATTATAACAAAAAGATACCTGCATTCATATGTTTATTGCAGCACTATTCACAATAGCAAAGATATCAAAGATATGGAATCAACCTAAGTATCCATCAACAGATGATTGTATAAAGAAAATATGGTATACATATATATATATATACACACATACATACATACATACATATACTCAGCCATAAAAATGAAGGAAATCATGTCTTTTGTGGCAACATGACTGGAACTAGAGGCCATTATCAGTTAAACAACTCAGAAACAGAAAGTCAAATACCACATGTTCTCACTTACAAATGGGAGCTAAATAATGTGTATGCATGGACACAAGGAGAGAAGTAATAGACACTGGAGACTCACAAGGGTGGAAAGGCAGGAAGTGGGTGCGAGATAAGAAATTACTTAATGGGTACAATCTACTATTCAGGTGATGGCTACACAAAAAGCCCAAACTTCACCACTAATCAATATATTCTTGTAACAAAATTGCACTCTTATCTCCTTAGTCGATTTTAAAAAATGGTGCTTTGAGCATGGTTAGACATGTTTTCTCCTTAGTTTCTCTAACCATAGCTGAGGTTGACTTTTATTAAATAATACGAAGGGAAAACCCAAAGAAAATTGGCATACCAATACCTTTAAAGGGGCAGAATTTTTATCTGATTGCAAATATATTTTACTTCTTAGTTCCTGTTCCAGCTCACCCCATTACTATCTGTGCTTTGGCTCAGGGATTATCAGTGCTGGGTGCACCTGGAAAGCTCTGGGAACCACCCAGGCTGGTAAAATAAAAATCTCTAGGGGAGTGTTCTAAGCATAAGGATTTTTTAAAAGCTCTCCAGGAAGTTGACTGTGTGGTTGGGTTGAGAAGTTCAGATCTAACTTCTTAAGGGCAGGCACAACAGGCAGGTGGCTTGCCTGATTCTTTATTCTCCATCTCCTTGTGCATCTCCTCTTGGCACATACAAGTGCTCTGTACATGTCGTATAAATGAATGAACAAATGATCATCTTTCTTTTTATCTCATAGTTTTCCCATTAAGTATAAACTGAGAGAAGATTCTAACTCTGCTGCTCATATAGGGGCCTTTCCCCTCAAGCCTAGCCCTGGTTTGAAGAACACACCTTTCTGGTCATTGGCAGCTCTGCAGGATTGCCACTCTTTAGATACTGACAGTGATCTTGTCCCTCTTCCTTTTTTTGAGATGGGGTCTTGCTATGTTGCCCAAGCTGGTATTGGGCTCCAGTAATCCTCCTGCTTCAGCCTCCAGAGTATTACAGGCTCCAGCCACCATCCATGCCCAGGTTGTCCCACTTCTTCATGGTGAAATCTCAATAATTCAATTACCATAGCATGCACAAAACCATGCATATCAATAAGCAGGAGGGTCTGTCTGTCCTTAGGCAGATGAGTCCTGCTTTGGTTAGGCTAGTGGATGATGTACAGTCCTCCAAAACACAGGGCAGAAAGCAGGAGCATGCAGCCACCCCGAGCAACACCAACCTGGATGTGCACTGAGGACTTTAGGAACAGTCTTTCTTGCCTGGCTGTTTGCTTGCAGGCGTGACTCTTAGATGGATAAAGAGTCACAGTTGAGGAAGGAATAAGACAGGGCCCACAACATTTATGCTCAGGAATTCCTCAGGCAGTGTTGACACTGTGTCTTCTCCAGTGATGTTCTAAGCAGCTTTTGATGTTCCTTCAGACAATCATCCAGGTCAAATGAAGAAATAGGGGCAGTGTTCTTAGTGCCACATTTCAGAAGGGCATACCACTGCAGATTTCAAACAGGGAAATTATTGAGGTAAGTATATTATCAAGTTAGGTTCAAGGCTTCTATTTTTGTCATACGACTTAACTTAGAAGCAGTTTATATATGGGAAATAAAAACAGCATTTTTTATTATTTATAGAGTATTTATACAGTGCATGAGTCTGAAAATAAATATTTAATGTTATTTAATGTGCTAAGTATCTTACTTTGTTTAGAGGGTTCTGGGATTGAATTGCCTAAATGTTTGTCAAACTTCTATAAAAGGTAATTATAGATATAGGTATACATATGTATGCATATATATATATATGGAAAATAGAAAACATGTATGTAAAATGTCTTCATCCCCTAAAAAATAAGGCCGGTGTACAGGAATCATGGCATAGGAAAACATTGCTTGGCTTGAAATCAGAAACTTGGTTTTAATACAAGGTTTTTCTACTTACCTGCTATTTGATTTGAGGACAGTTACTTCATCTTTCTGAATCTCAGTTTACCTAATTATAGAATAGTAATAATAATTTCTTTCTTATCATATAGGGTTGCAATAATGATTTAAAGAGAAACATTATAAAATCTGCTTAGTAGAAGATACATCATATATAAATTTGAGTTACAATTTGCATTTAAGATTTTTAACTTTAATTGAAGGCTCACTTTGCATAAATCTGTAAGAAAGAGAATTCTATGATATCCTTAGGCATTTTAATGAGCAATCTTACTGAGCCCACTACTGCCACTGGGCTAGCTGAGGTTGTGATTCCATTGGGTACTGGCCTTTGGGAACTGCTGTATTTCATTGCATCCCGAGACCAACATATCCTGAAGCCACAGTGGGTGTCTGAGTTAAATTATATATACCCTTGGAAGTACATGAAGACTTTCCAGACTGTATATAGGTGCAGGGAGAATTTTAAGGGAATTAGTTTTTCTTAGAATTAGAATTTCCAAGCAGTATATAGGTGCAGGGAGAATTTTAAGGGAGTTAGTTTTTCTTAGAATTAGAATTTCTTAGAATTAGAATTTGTTGTTATCGTGTTTTTTCTTAAAGTTGCTTGAGAAACACCTACAGTTTTTATTATCTAGCCATTACTTTTCATAATTGCTCTTTTCTCTTTTTATGAAAGAAAGAGATGTGTCTCATCCTTTTCTAATCTCACATTGTCCTGACAGAAAAACACCAAACATTGGGAGGCACCAAACATTCAGGAAATGATCTTAAATGTTGGCATCTTATCATAACACTTGAATCCTACAGTGTCTACAGGATTTTAAACACTTGGCTTCCATAACACTTTTTCAATTGAAGTTCTGTCAGTCTTTATTTACCAGTTTGTTTTTTTTGTTTGTTTGTTTGTTTTTGAGACAGGGTCCCACTCTGTCACCCAGACTGGAGTGCAGTGGCACGATCTCGGCTTACTGCAATCTCCACCTCCCAGGCTCAAGCGATTCTCCTGCCTCAGCTTCCTGATTAGCTGGAATTACAGGCATGTACCACTACCACCCAGCTAGTTTTTACATTTTTAGTAGAGATGGGGTTTCACCATATTGGCCAGCTTGGTCTTGAACTCCTGACCTCAAATGATCCACTTGCCTCGGCCTCCTGAAGTTCTGGGATTACATGCGTGAGCCACCGTGCCCAGCCTATTTACCAGTCTTTATTTGTCAGTTTGGTAAAGACTGTCTAGGGCAGTGGTTCTCAACCAGAGGTGATTTTGTTCCTCTCTCCCTTCTCCAGGGGACATTTGGCAATGTCTGGGGACATTTTCCCTTGTCATGACTAAGGAGTACTACTGACAGGGCCAACTACATAATTTGCAGGGTCCATTGCAAAATGGAAATGTGGTGCTGTTGTTCAAAAAGCAGGACAAAATATCATTAAATGCACTAAAATCTAAAGTTTTTCTTACTTCTGTTAATCTCTCTGTCTCCTCATATCATGGTGTTTTGAAATTGCCGCTTCATGTTTAACTAAGTTAAAAAAAACCCTATAATTTAAAGTTATGAGCATGAATTTTATTATTCATTTTAATACTGTGCAATACTAGTTTCAAATATAAATTAAACTCATATGCTGAATCACTAAAATTGTACAAGTTGAGTTTCATAGCTCGTACATGGTTATGTATTTCTTACCAGAACAGTGGAAACGCTGCATAAACTTACTGAACCGTTTTTCTTTCACTTCCTGATATGCACATGTTCTACCAACATGCTCTACCTTTGGCTCACTGATGAGTTAGGAAGGGCTGAAAGGAAAAGGAACTAAGCACTTCTCTGCCATTCCCTTGCCTTCTATGTCACTGTTTTCAGTGTAAGTTGTTGGCCAATATAGGGAAGTAACAAGAGCAAGAAAGAACATGATAGGGTCCCTTCGTTGTTTATGTTTCCTAGGATGCCATGATCTCTTTTCGTGTTCTAAGCAAGTTATAGTTCTAATAGAAAGCATGGCCTTCCACCTACCTACAACTCAGTTGTCGATGTCCTGTGCTTACCTTCTACTAACTTTGAGGCTTTAAGTCTCACTGAACTCACATGCATCATGAGCCACTGTAATTCTGTGCTTGTGGGGCATTGCTAAGGCCTTATGAGTATACAAATGGGGAGGCAAGGAGTGACAAATTGTACACATCTCCTCTCTGCAGGTGGGGTTCCATTGTTCCATTGAATTTCACTTACAAAATGCAAGTCTTATGAAGATAAGATCATTAAGAATTTTAAGACAGCAATGGCAGAACATTAAACCAAGCACAGAGTGCCTCTGAGTGTGAGACCCTGTGCGGCTACACTGGCTACCTACCCCTGAAGCTGGCCCTGGCTACTGGTATCTGGTCAAGGGAGGCTAGGAATGCTGCTAAACCTCTTACTGTGCACAGGATAGTCCCTCAAATCAGTGACCACCCTGGAAAGGTTAGTATTCTGTCTCTGCAGGGAATCTGAGGCCTGCACATGAGGCCAGTTTCCTCCTCTTCAGTAGAGTTGTTCCCGTGGTGGAGTCTGCTCTGTTCTACAAATGTCACGATCACTCCATCTGAGACAATTGCTTTCTACATTTTTTTTTTTGACAGAATCTCCCTCTGTTGCTCAGGCTGGAGAGGAGTAGCCTAGTCTCAGCTTACCACAAACTTCACCTCCAGGCTTTAAGCGATTCTCGTGCCTCAGCCTCCCAGGTAGCTGGGACTGTAAGGGCACGCCACCATGCTCTGCTAATTTTTGTATTTTTAGTAGGGATAGGGTTTTGCCATGTTGGCCAGGCTGGTCTCGAACTCCTGGCCTCAAGTGATCTGCCCACCACAGCCTCCCAAAGTTCTGAGATTACAGGGCTTTCTGCTCTTTGAGAGGCTGTTTACTCTGCAAAGTCAGGCCCCCTCAGTGCTTTATACAAGTGGGCAAACTTGCTTACCACTCTTTGCCATCAATTTGCTGATAAGACCAGACAAGGTGGCCTAGCTTTCTAAGGTGGACCTTGACTGCTCCTAGCTGAGTGGTCCTCACAGTCCCTATAGGCAGTATTCCCTTGAAAGGGAATTCTATGTGCACTGCCTCTTCCACAGCACAGGACTTAGGGAGAGGCAGCCCTCAAGAGCTTGGATCTCCCTAGGCAATGGTCCTCAGGATTGTTCCCACCAGCCTGGGTCATCTCCATCATTGAGTCCGCAGCATGACTGCAACTTCCCTGCAAGTTTGAAAGTCTTAAAAAAGGATGTTCATGGGAGAAAAGCTGGCATAGGTAGCCAGGAAACCCAGGGCAGGAAGCAAAGAGCAGGTATGGAATGAATACAAGGGGAGGGCTCTGGGGCAAGGGCTCAGAGCATCTTCCTTAGACTTTTGTTGTCACAAGCCAGAAAGAGTGCTGGAGTGGGTGAGCAAAGATCCCAGCCTGCCCAGAGTTAATTTTCCACCCTCTTTTTGCGGCTGCAATTCCATTTCTCGGTCTCTAATGGCGCACAGCAGATGGCCGAGGGGGGATCATGCCAAAGACGGCCCAGAGACAAGCACTTCCATAGCACTTAATGCTACAGGCGCTATCAGTGCAACAGAGTGTTTAGAGATCACCAGCCCCTCTGCACTTCTGCACTCCTAGAGGTCAAAATGATTCTTTGAACATCATCTCCAAATTATCAGCAATTGAAACAGCTTGGTTCATATTAATTATTTATTAGTCAATCATTATGCGCCACACCTAGGCTAGTGCTAAACAGAGAGGACCCCTGCCCTCTGGGGCGCTGAATGAGTTTAGGCACAGAACCAAGAAAAACAACACCCCACCAGTTGTCTTGACTGTGTTTTTTCCTCCAAAGGAAAGCACATTATTTTATTCCAACTAAAATGTAACAAAACTCAACCCCTGATTTCTGTTTTGGCTCCCAGTAGAGCTGCCAGCTGTCCTTGTTGGGCTTTGAAGTCACTGATGGCTGTTCTTCTTTTTGGACATGGGGAAAATGTCAGTTTCTTGAATCAATGATTTGGAAAAAAATTACAGAAATTTGGAAAGCTATAAAATGTAACACATACAAAAAAACACCAATAATGGCCCATGATTTGATATTTTTAAAGTTTTGGTTAATTCTACAAAAAGCTTTCAGCAATTGTGTCCAGTTAGTCCCTAGGAAATTTGCATATATTATGTAGCTGTGTGATGGTCAGTAAAAGCAAGTTATCTCCTGAGAAGGAATCTGAGCATTTTCATGGCCATTAGTAATTAGTACCATTTATTAAGCTCTTTATTTTGCACATTACAATATCAGCTTGTGGGATTTTAATGATTCAATAATTTTTAACCAACTGTGAAATAAATATTTCCCATGTATTGTAACTTAAACAATGTTTAAATAAGATTTTTAACCAAATAATTTATCTTGCTTCAAAGTATCTAATTATGTTGCAAACTTTAAAACAAAAGGTGTGTAATTTAGATTCCACACCTATTTTCTTCCATAATAACTCTTTTCTTCATTGGCAGAATTCTAATATTAAGTCTTAAAATGTTCCTTAGAGGGGGTTTTATAAATATGGTATAAATTAATTGAGTTAAGCTCCTTAGAAATTGCTTCCCTCAGCAGTAAAATTTCAATTTTTTATATATTTTTAATAAATATAAATAAAAGAGACCAAGAAACAAGCTATTTTCTGATATAGAACTTTATTCCTCCCTAAAATATGTTGTCAGCAATCATTTAGCCTTTGGTAAAATAATTTCTTAGAGGCAAAAACACATAGTTACATAAAAATTATGTAAAAATATATTTTAAGTCATTTGGTTAGATAAGATGCACATTGCAATGCCACAAGAAATCAATATGACTAATTATCAAAGATGAGTCATTCTTTAAAATTTTTTTTAAATTTTTAATTTTTGTGCGTACATAGCAGGTGCATATATTTATGGGCTACATGAGATATTTTGATACCAGCACACAATGGGTAATAATCACATCATGGTAAATGTGATATCCATCCCTTAAGCATTTATCCTTTGTATTAAAAAATTCTAAGTATATTCTTATTTTAAAATGTACAACTAAATTATTGTAGACTAAAGTCATCCTGTTTTAATTTTTGTACCCATTAACCATCTCCAGTTTATCCCCACTCCCCACTACCCTTCCCAGCCTCTGGTAATGATTATTCTACTCTCTGTCTCCAAGAGTTCAACTGTTTTAACTTTTAGCTCCCCCAAATAAGTGAAAATATGCGAAGTTTGTCCTTCTGCATCTGGCTTATTTCACTTAACACAATGTCCTCCAGTTCCATCCATGTTGTTGCAAATGACAGGATCTCATTCTTTTTTATGGCTGAATAGTACTCCATTATGTATGTGTACCACATTTTCTTTATCCATTCTTCTGTTGATGGACACTTAGGTTGCTTCCAAATCTTGGCTTTTGTGGATCATACTGTAATAAACATGGGAGTGCAGGTATCTCTTCAACATACTGATTTTCTTTCTTTTGGGTATATACCCAGCAGTGGCATTGCTAAATCATGTGGTACCTCTGTTTTTAGTTTTTTGAGGAACCTCCAAACTATTCTCCATAGTGGTTGTACTAATTTACATTCCCACCAAATATGTACAAAGGTTCCCTTTTCTCCACATCCTTGCCAGCATTTGTTATTGCCTGTCTTTTGGATATAAACCATTTTAGCTGGGGTGAGATGATATTTCATTGTAGTTTTGATTTGCATTTCTCTGATGATCAATGATATTGAGTACTTTTTCATATGCCTGTTTGCAATTTGTATGTCTTCTTTTGAGAACTGTCTATTCGGATCTGTTGCCCATTTTTTATTGGATTATTAGATTTTTTTCCAGTAGTGTTGTTTGAGCTCCTTATATATTTTGGTATTAATCCATTGTCAGATGGGAAGTTTGCAAACATTTTCTTCCATTCTGTGGGTTGTCTCTTCACTTTGTTGATTGTTTCCTTTGCTGTGCAGAAGCTTTTTAACTTGATGTGATCCCATTTGTCCATTTTTGCTTTGGTTGTCTGTGCTTGTTGGGTATTTCTCAAGAAATCCTTGCCCAGAATGACTAATCATTCTTTTGATAATTACTTATTAAATGGAAGTATAGCATATTGTTTAAGAGTTCAGCCTGTGGACTTTCTTTGTCTCAGTTTCCTCATGTGTAAAATGAAGAGAAAATACTACCAACCTTGTTCTGTTACTGTATAGCAACCCACCACAAAATGCTGTGGCTTAACAACATGACCCCATTCTTTTGGGGTCATGAATCTTCAGTTTAGAGGGCAGGGCTGGACATGGATAGTTTGGTTCTGCTTCACTTGGCATCAGCTGGGATGACTTGAATGCTGGGGTCTGGAGTCATCTAGAGGCTTGTTCACTCCCATGACCGGTGGTTGATGCTGTTCAACCAGCCAAGATCTTAGCTGGGTTCTGTTGATTGGAACACTTGCATGTGGCATCCCCATGTGGCCTAGGTCTCCTTGCATCTGTTGTCTGGCTTCTAAGGTAAGCCTCCCAAGGGAGAAAAAGCCAGGTATTCCTTTTTATGACAGATCCTTGTCATTTTTCTTCTACCATATTCTGTTGATTGAGGCAGTCACAAGTGCCCACACAGTTCAAGGGGAGGTTAAAGACACTCTGTTTCTTGATGAAGAATGGCAAGGTTCTGAAGAAAATGGGAAAACAGGCATATTGCTTTGGTCATTTTGAAAAACAATCTGCATGCTATGGTTTTCATGAGAATTAAATGAGTCAACACACACATAAAATATAAGTGTGCTATTGTTATTAATGAGGATGTACAATGTGCCAGGGGACTGTACACTATCTTTGCTTAGCAGAGACTCAAAATTCTAGGGATGCCCCGTTATTTAAACATAAGGAAATTGGAACCCAGTGTTTAACTTGCTCAGTTATCCAATGAAAGAACTGGGGCCATGATATCAAAGTTGTGAATGCTTACTACAGGTCACATTATGGAAAATGGAAACATAGAGTTAGCAATCACATAAATAGACCTCTAAATAGTTAATGAAGACATGGAATGAATGCCTTGTCTGTGGAGATCCTTGGAACCTGATTCAAAGTTAAATGTGAGTCTAAAAGGCTGAGTCTTTCCTCTTACTTGGAGTATATTTGTATTCTGTTGCAAAGTTGGATTTTGCCTTTATTTTGTGATTGATAGGATCAAATGAATTTCTGCCAAAATTTCTAGTGCCACATATTTTGCCACATCACACACGATAGGCAGTATTTTTGTTAAAAATCAGAATATTTTTGAATATCCCAAATGTGTGAATTAGTAATACAGAAGGCATGCCAGTCTTACTGACAAGTATAATTGTACCCAGTGTAGAATTTCAAATGGTTATAGTTATTAAAACTTTAGGCCATCACAGGCCTGAAAGGCTGCAGGTGAAGAGTAACTGCAACCTACCAGGCATTAGCTATCATGTTAGGTAGTTTACATAAGCAGGTTTTAATGAGATAAAAATCATTTTGTTCCTAGACAATTATGTATGTAGATTATTATGAAGTTTTATCTTTTTGCTCAGAAGTATGTTAATTGGGACAAAATGTTTTTCTTGCTTTTAGTTTATCTAGATTTTCTAAAATCCATGTAAACTGGAAAACAGTAGTATTTTTAAAAATCCAGATAAACTAAGAGAGACCTCAGAGGAGACTGAGGCTGCCACATTAGTTGCTGGCCTCGTCAAACATTATCCGCGGTAATGGTACTGGACTACGTGGTCCAGGCTATGGACAACTAGTAGATTTCAACTCCTATGCCAATTGTGCTTGGATTTTTGGAGCTGAGCTGTGTAGAACTCACTGGAGAAGAGGGCCTTAGCTGATGAATGATATTTGTCATGGTCTCAGGCAGAGAGGGTGGATACATGTGCATGTGCTGTATTTGCTGTCCTTGCTGTGAATTTCACCTAACTTTTCTGTGATTGTGAATTTTGTGTCAACTTGGCTAGGCTATGGTCTCCAGTTGATTGGCCAAACACCTGTCTAGATGTTGCAGTAGGATATTTTTAAAGATATAATTAACATTTAAATTATTAGATCTTGAGTAAAGCATATGACTCTCCATAACGTGGGTGGTCTTATCCAACCAGTTGAAGGCTGTAAGAGCAAAGACCGAGGTTTCCCAATAAAGAAGATTCTCTTTAAGACTGCAACATAGAGTCTCTGTCTGATTTCCCAACATGCTTCCCTGAGGAATTCAGGCTCAAGACTGCAACGTTAACTCTTCCCTGGTTATCCAGATTGCCAGCCCGCCCTGCATATTTTAGACTTGCCATCCTTCACAAACACATGAACCACTTCCTTAAAACAAATATTTCTCTATGTATTGATTCTGCTTTCCTGGTGAATCCTGACTAAAACACCTCCTTTAGTTCCCTTATGTAGCTCCCCCATCCCTTTTTGTTGTTGTTTTTGTTTGTTTGCTTTTTTTTTTTTTTTAATGAATTGCCTCATATGAGGAAACAAGCACCTGTTTATTATGCATGTCATCCAAATGCCCCTTTTTATTATTATATTATGACCACTGTTGGGTAATGGTTTATGAGAGTCTGCCCTGTAAAACACCTCTGTTACAAACTTAAATGTTTTAAGCTCTTGAAGGGATGATATTACCTGGTCTGTCTGCAAAGTTAACATTTGTGAGTCAAGATTTGGTGGCAGGATCCATAAAGAAGGGTTCACACTAAGACAAAGTTACAAAAAATTTGTAGTGGGCTTCAAGATAAAGTAACACTTTAAAACAGTATAAGGTATGGAAATATAAAGACAGTGTGGTACTGAGGAGGAATGGGCATGAGTTTTGGATCTGAACTGTAATATGCAACTTAACTGGATACGTGGTCTTTCAAAAGGTGTTTAGCTTTTCTGAGCTCCATCTTTCCTCTTCTACAATACAGTGGAAATAACATCCAACTTCTTTACAGGTAGTAGACAGTGTAGGTGCTCAAGCAATGGTAGCCTCTTTGGCTGTCCTGGTTATTAAGAAAGGTTACATTCAAGCCACGGCAAAATAATGAAGTAGTTATGTTTTTCTTTATTGCTTCCCTCTGCTCTGCTATAACTAGGTTTCCTTCAAGTTAGCCTCGTCTCTTTACTTCACCCAGTGCTGCTTGGAGACTACTCATTCACATCAAGATTTGTGATAAATAAAGCACACATTGTTACCCCTTTGGTAACAGGGCTTAAGAATCAACAAAAGGAGCAAAATTCTGGTAGTAGCCAGAGTGCAAAGGAAGTTGTGTTCAGATGGGTTTGGGTACAGGGAAAGGAAATGGTGGTTTCTTCCACAGCCAGCCCATGCACGTGTCTCATTCTACCACTTGCATTTAGGGGAAACAAGATTATTTCATAAGGCAATTTAGAGAAATAGATGAGATAATTCATGAAAATGTTCATCTGTGTCAGGAACAGAGGAAGTATTCAATAAAGGTTACTTAGAAACATTAGCTATTGCAGCAGCAGCAAAGGCAGCACTGATTTTACTGCAAAGAATGGCATAGAGCACTGCTGGTGGGGTGAAAGTATGAAAAAAGGCTAGATGAAAAAGTAAACATGGTGTCTATACTGGCACCAACTAGACTAGACTAGCGAAAAATAAAATATTTAAGATAAGACCAGGACAATATCATAAAACTCAAAGCACTGTTACATAGCTATTATTACCACTGTTTGGTAATGGCTCATGAGAGTCTGCCCTATTAAACATCACCTCTGTTATAAACTCAATTGTTTTAAGCTCTTGAGGGGACGATATTACCTGGTATTTCTGCAAAGTTAACTACATTGATGTGGCATATACTAATGCTTGCTTAAACAACAGTAACTCCTCCTTCATTCATGTAGAAGAGTCCTGATTTTGTTGTCATGTCTACCTTTTGCCCATGTGACGCAGGCAGTTGCTCACAAGTCTAGGTTACAATGATGGTTACATTTCCATTGCCAGTGATTGGTTCAAGGGCGGCCATACGACGGAAGAGATATGAAAGGAAGCCTGCTGGTTGGGATGTGAATGTGTAGGGGTCATTTCACATTTCACCATTCCCTTCTCCCTATCTGCAGTTAGAGATTTAACAATTTTAAAAAATCTATCTGACTCTTTCAGTACATTTCTCTGCTCACTTGAACTGCCATATTTACCATATATCAAGTATCAGGCTTCTAAACCTGCTCCATTTATCCATCTGTGTCTGTTTTGGTGCTAACATCACACTGCTTTAATTATCATATAGTTTTTAACACGTTTTAGTATGAGGAGTGAAAAATCATGAGTAATGTCCTTCATGTATCATTTACTACTCTAAGAGAAGGCAGACCATTCTTTAATAATGTGTGTTAGCATAGCGGATTGCTAGTCACTGTCACCCAAGCCAACTATGTGCAATATTTTGCAGATGGTGAAAAATGTTATAGAAGATGTGATTTTAGGAGCAGAAACATGTTTAAAAAGTGTCTACAACTGATTCAAGAGGAAACAGATGCTCACATGTTTTTGTGAACTCTGGTTTGGAGTTATTCAAGATGCTTACTGTGATTAATATTCTTGCAACCTTAAATTATGCTCTGTCAACTTCTAAGGAAACAGTTTCAAATGCCTTATTGAGTAATGGTGGAATAACAAGAACTAAATCAGGTTCTGACCTTCTTTTCCTGCATGTTGAGCAGACTGTCATATCTGAAATGGATTTTTATCAACAAACTTTGTTTTCTTCTGCATATTTATCATTGAGATGTTCTTTAAAGATGGTTCTTATTTCATGAAGTATATAGAAGTATGGTGGCTCTGAGAATTGGATTTTCTGCTTTTGGACACAAAACAGGGCCTTGTTCTGTGAAACAGCACTGGATAGTGGTCCGTGTGTCTATATGGGAGAGGGATAAAAAGGGAAACAGAGCATAGCAAAGACATTTTCTATGCCTCCTAAGGCAAAATGAGAGGGGAAAAGTTGGTAACTCACTAGTGCCTGAAGAGTCAAATTTATTAATTCCGAAAATAAAAACCCAAACATTTTGTTGTGACAAAACAGAAAAAAATGCATTGCTCTAAGACTTGAACCTCTTAATTCCTGCCAATAATTAGTAATATAATAATGAATTAGAAGAAGACGTATACGTAGATGATAATATGGTATTTTAGGTAATTCTACATGTAATTTGGGAGACCTTCACACTAATAGATGCTTATATTATTTTTGGATACATTGTAATTAATTTAATAGAAATCAGGGAGTTTGAAAGTCATGAATATAATGGCTTTTCACAATCATGTGTAGCACATTTTAGAAATTTGAATATTGGAGGAATTTTTCCTTCCTAGAAAAGGAAGCTTGAACCCAGACATGACAAGTGAATTGTTGAAGTCACTTAGTAGGTTAGTGTTGAGGCTTGCTGCAAGCCTATAACTTTATTCTCAGCCCAGTGTGGGTTCCACCAAACTAGGAACTGTAAAATCCTTTTCACTGCAATCAGTGGGCAATGGCCGTTTAGAGAACTGTGTGAAGGATCCTGAGCCAAGCTCACTTTCAACAAGCAACAGGATGGATTAATAGTGCTTGCCTTAGAAAGAGGAGTGGTGATACATGAGGCCTACACCTGCTATCCTGATATCATGCCTTCCTTTTATTTTTAGACACCAATTTGTACCTATTCTTAGCATATCTGTTAAGGATTCCTTTTAGGCCATATTTGACGTCTGAGTCAAGCTCTCTATCATCTGATTTTAGGACCAGACATGAAGGTTGAACAAGTGATCATATTAGAATCCTGAGCATTTGCTTTGAAAACTCCCATCTGTACTCTGAAAACTGAGTGTGGTACAAGAGTGTCATTATTTTCTTACTGTGTTTATGGGTTTGATTTCATATTATAATTACAAGGAGGAGATGAGTGTGGCAAGGAGATGTTGCCATTGCTGTTCTTTCTTACACCTTACTCATTGTCTCCTACCCCCTTTGGAGTTTTGACAGGCAGACCTTGCCACTCTCCAATTACAAGTTAAGCATGGGTTAGAGTCGGTAGCTAAGGGACCATTTTATCTGCTTTTATTAGCTACTAATTAAAGTCTTGGGTGATATCTCCCCTTAATAAGTAGAAGATGCAGGTTGAAACATTCCAATAGAATGTTTTTCTGGGTTCCTCTATCTCTTTTAATGGGCCCTTGTACCAACCCATAATTCCTCAATTCGTTTTTATGTTCTGCTACCTACTAGCCTGGCAGATTGGCATAAACATAAGAGAGACACCAATTGTACACAGCAGGGAATGAAATAGAATGGAAAATTATTTAATTAATGGCCTAGAAAGGTAGCAGTAAATTCAAATCATAGAGGAAAATGTTATTTATACATTCAGTTACCTTTAGATATAATTGAATACATATTAGTGGCTTGTACTCCCAACTCTTTAATATTGATTTTAAAAGGCCAGTGATGTGACAATTTTCCTTACCCATCATCACCAGAAATGCATTGTCTGCACCAATTTATTTTTGCATTGTGTGGGGGTGATATAAATGTTATGAGCTGCCTTTGCATAGAGAATGACACTAGTGTAGTATGCATTACTCATAAGGCAAGTACTGTAAATATTTTCAAATGTCACGATAAAATTTTGTTAAGCTACTGAATCAACTTCAACCATCCCTTCTCCCATGACCATAGGGGGATACATTGAGGACAGCTTGTGTGACAGAGGTGTTATCTGTCGTCCTGGGAGGGACTCAGATTTCTGGCTCATTCTAGATTGTAGAAATGACCTTGACATTCTTAGCCCTATAAAAAACAGATGAGTCCATTGGTTAGAGATAATAAAGTAGAAATTACACCACATGTTTTAGTTGCTTTTCTAGAGGTAAATTTATTTTCCAGTGAATGAAGCATTCTATTGGTAAAATAAATACAAAATTGTGATATATCTTCAATCCACCTGTGGTCCTAAGTTATGTTAACCTTACCCCAAGTCACAAGAAATGAATTGCTTACTCTTCTACTTTGCTGAATTCTGGCCTGTTAAGGCAAAAGAACTTTGTAATAAGTGAAGGGACTAACCTGTATGTTTGTCATCCTTTCCATCTTTGTATCAATTTATCTATTCCCCTGGGGCAACATAATTTTATATAAAATCATTTCTACATGCATTTTAAATTCAAATATCACTTGGGTTTTTTCACTGTACTTTTTCACCTTGCTCTAGATTTTTTGCACATGGTTAGAGAATATTTTCCACATACAGGTGTAAGAGCTACCTATGATATATATTCAAAAGAGTAATGGTCATTTCTGTTCACTTGATAGAAGTACACCCTTCCGCCAGTTTTCTACAAAGGCATAATAGTTGTATTATTCAATTTTAAAAATAAGCTGCTCAGTACATGATGTGATGCACATAAGTATACCAGATGGATTCAAAAGATATTGAGTCATATTGTTCAGCCTTCTGAACACACATATCGATAATATTATTTGCCAGCATTTCTTTTTTATCATTTGCAAATGTTCTACATCGATTCACCTGTTAATGCTTCATGAGGCTTGGAAGTGTATCTTCTGATTTTTTCTTACTTCTTGGAAGCCATTTCAATTCAGTCCTATTAACTCCAATTAAGTATTGAAATATATTGCTTGAAGGCTGCCAAGAAGACAACATGACTTTAACATACAAGGAATTTCAAGCATATATGGGGGGAAATGTTTCCATAGATAAGAGCTTGTAATTTGACAGTATTTCTGACCAGTAATTTTTTGGCTTCACGATAAAGTAGAATTTGAATATTTTCCACTTGGTTTATTTCTATCTCTCAACAAGTCAAAAATTATCAGAATAGCAGTTCCATTTCCCTTTAACAAAAAGTTATTTCTTATATTGCACACGAACCTGGGTGCTTTGTTACATTCAATATAATTAAAGAGGAAAACCCTGGAAATGATACTAATCTTCATAATCCTGGTTTGAGGCCTGGAGAGGGGATAGATAAGTAATATCCAGAATTTTCAAACTAATGTTTTAAAACCTTTTTGAAGATTAGTGCTTGACTCTTGTTTCTCTAAATGCAGTGCAGATTTGGCAATTAGCTGGTTAAGTACATGGAAAAGGCAGAATTTGCACTTTGGGACTTGCACTTTGGGACTGCTTCGTTGTGCCCATTAATTAAATAGGCTGTAAAATAGTCACTTAGCTACCAAATTTCCTCACGGTCTGTGGGTATAGGCTGAAGTTAGCATTGAAGAACAGGGTGGCTGCCTGAAACCTGCACCAGAATTACCTGCAGTCATGGCTAAATATGTACATTCCTGAGCCGAATCCCAAACCTACTGAATTGGAATCTCTGTGGGTGGAGCCTGAGAATCTTCATTGTAACTATCAGTCCTAGGTGATTCTTATGGATACTAGATTTTGAGAGTCACAAACCAACAAGAAGCTCCATGACCTGCCTGAGGCTATCACTTAGACCTGACCTTTCCTGTAACTGGTCACCCTCTTTATCACTTTTCCCTTTGTTCTCTGCTTTCCAATGCCTATCCCAGGGCTGAGTGAGCCCTTTCCTCTTCACACTTCTGTCATTGATGATTTATTTTTTATAAAGAGAAATATGCAAAATGAGAATTTGTAACTCACAGTAGCTTTTGAAATCAGCCCAGCAGCTACACACACACACACACACACACACACACACACACACACACGCATCACATTGAACTCTTCATAGAGTTTGAATATTTACTACATATTTTTATCCTTATATTCATCCTAGGCATTTCTATTGAGATTCAAAGATGAGTTAAACTAGGCTAGGGAGTTAAGACCTGCTCATAGTTCCCAGATATTCTGTGCCTTTGGTGAACATTTTGAGGACCAGGAAATGTGGATTTTCTCAATCAATATCCCTAATGCCTGACATGTTGCCTGGTCTGTAGTAGATGCTGAATAGAAGTTGAAATGACTCCAGGTATTATCTACCTCCTCTAGCAGATCCAACCCTCCAGGACATGGGCCAAGAGAGCAGTCAGAGCAGCAGGATTTCTAGCTTGCTCAGAATCCTTACCTAGGGGACCAGAAGAGTGAGATCCACCTTTCCTAGCTCTGGCTTCCTGATTTCTGGAGTTTTCTTTCTAAGAGAAGAGTCTAGTAAATAGGCCAGGTGAGAAAATGTGGCCATGCAACTGTATCATTTGTTATTTTCACTGATTTTGACCTAAGTCCTTATAATCTCTTTAACAGTATACAGACTCAAGTTAGCCCTTTTACACATAAATCCTTCTCTTCTCAGTATCCATTACAGTATCAATTGTTTTTGGTCTGTGGTACATACGCCTCTCAGATCTCCCAAAAACCTTGAAGAGCTCCATCTTTTACTACTGTTCCCTTCGTTTGCATGTGGCTATTAGCAAACAAATCCAGCAATCTATGAAAAGAGTAATAGATCACACCTGAGTGAGTTTATCCAAAGAATTAAAGATTGGTTAGCATTAGAAAATTGGCCAGTGTGCTTTGCAATATTAATAAATTCAATGAGATTAAATAATACGTTTATCTCAGTGGATGTGAGAAAACATTTGACAAATTTGATAGGCATTTCTAATTAAAAATAATTCTTAGGCAGCAAGAAATAAAAAGGAAATTCTTACACTGACCAGTGGGACCTACCAAAAGCTCCAGAAAATATCACAGTTAATATTGGGATAGCAAAATCTTTTCCTCTGAGATTAAGAACAAGATAGGAACACCACTTTTTTTCAGTCTTCTAATAGAGGCTCCAACCAGCATAGAAAGGTGAATAAGTAAGTAAATAAATAAATAAATAGAAGGTGGAGAAATTGAAAGGAAGACAGCAAGTTGTCATCACTGGGAGATGCAATCATTGTATATGGAAGTTTCAACAGATTATTAGAATTAAGAGAAGTTGGTGAGTTTTCTGAATTTAAAATCAATAATTAACATAACAGATTTATTTCATTTCTATACATTAACAATAAACACTTAGAAAATACAATTTAAAGAAAAATATAATTTACTATGATGTGAAGTATCTTGGAATAAATTTAACAAAAGATGTACAATACCTTGTAAACATAATTTTTTTTAATTAAAGGAGATCTAAATAAATAGAGAGATACACTATGGACATGGAGCCGAAGAACAAAATATGGAAAGATCTAATTTTCCCAAGTGAAGCCAGTGAAGCTCCATGGAACTATGGAGTCCCAGCCAAAATCCCAACAGGTTTTTAAAGTTTTTGAACCTAATATTTTGATTGCCAAATTTACATAGGAATTCAAAGGGCCAAGATTAGCTACACTATTATTCAATAAAAATAGTAAAATGGAGAGACTTGCTGTTCCAGATGTTAAGGCTTATAAAGTACTAGTATTTAAGACAGAGAAATGGGTGCAAGTCAAGTAGTTCAATGGAAAAGAATAAATAATTTAAAAACAGCCCACCACATATATGGATACTTGGTTTATAATGAAGGAGGCATGGCAAGTCAGTAGGGAAAGGCCAAACGTCTCAAAACACAATTCTGTGGCAATTCACTATTCATACGAAAATACAGGAAATCAGGTCCTTACCTCACACTATGCACAAAAATCAATTCCAACTGGATTAAAGTACCAAATGTAAAATCAAAATTGCAAAGTTTTCAAAAGACAATAGAGGAGAACAACTTCATGATCTCAGGACAGAGAGCTGAAGACCACAACAAATTATTAACAAGAAATGAATAAAAAAACCCAGATTTGATTACATTAAAATAAACTTCTGCTCATTAAGAGAAACACAGAGGTTCTTTTTCTGAGCCACAAAGAGGGCCATAGAAGTATCTGCTGCACATATAATTGACAAGGAATATATATAAAAAAGTAAGAAAAAGGAAAACAACCCAGTAGAAAAATGGGCACATAACTTAAACGGGTACCTCATAAAAAGGGGAATCGTCATCATAAATCAATCTCTGAATAGATGTTCAACCTCATTAGTTATCTGGGAAATGCAAATAAAATCCGTGAAATATAATTGCATGCTTACCAGGTTGAAACTTTTAAAATGATGACACATACTAGGTATTGGTTAGAATTTTGAACAATGACAGGGTTCCTTGCTGAGGAGAGTGCAAATTTGCTGACCTCCTTTGGATAACAGGTTGGCAATACTTAGCGAATTTGAGCATGCTTATTATTCTCTACAATGCAGACAACTACTCCTATTTCTAGATTCTGGAAGTTCCTGCACATGTGTAGGCAAGGCCAAGAATGGTAGAATCATTCATAATAGCTAAAAAACTGGAATCAAGCCAAATTCTATTACTGATGGAATGGAAACATTGTGGTCTATTCATTAAATGGGGCACTATATAGAAGTAAAAATGATCAAACCAAAGATACAGACAACAATATAAATTTGTGACAAAATATTAAAGAAAAGCATGGAAATGATTGTGAGAAAATTCTGGAGATGATTTATCTTTCGCAGGATTAAGGGGACACGATTGGAGAGCAGTACTCAGGTGGCGTCTAGGATCTGGCCAATGCCTAGTTCTTAAATTGAGTGGTGGCTAAACAGACAAACCAACTAACAGATTATGTTAGAAGAGTTTGTGGCTGAAGAACTTAATGTTTCATGAAAAAATAAGATGAATTGAAAAAATGCAGCTGTTATTTTCACTAAATAAGGCAAAAATGACAGCACAATGACAGTGTTGTCATTGTAAGTTCTTGTATCTTAAACTAGTCAGTTCTTATGTCTTCTATAATTAATTTCTATTTTACCATAGTTTGCTTGCTAGAAACTTTTAAGCCACTATCTACAATTTCAGTTAGATAACATGTAATTTAATTTTATTTGAAGGTAGCTAATTTGCATCCTCAAAGGTACTGTTTCACTTTTCCTCCCTTCCTCTAACTCTTACCTCCCTTTCTTCTTGTCTTCATTTCTGGTTCTCAGACCAAAAGCTCAATACATTTGACTTGGAGTTTTTGAATGTGGCAGCCGAGGCTCCCTGAGACACAGGGTGAGACACAGGGTGAAACACGTGACATTAATTTCCTGTCACATAGTTCTAACAAATACTTCTAAAGTCTGGGTTTATTTTTCTTCAGCTACTTTTTTTCTTCTGAAATATCACTGGAAAAAAAAAAAGACGTAAAACATCTGATCTTGTTCTTCACTTCCTTTTCTATTTCAAGCCACCTGTTCTCTCTTTCTGATTAACCCCAACACAGTAAAAAGAGCCAAGATTCTCATTCTCATGGTTATAAAAAAAAAAGATATAATAAAAGAAAAGCCACATATACTAGGATAGGGAACTCATGGCTGGAGCAAGATTTTTGTATTTCTTTATCCTATTTGTAGGTGAAGCAGTGTTGACTCGTATTCTCATTTATCCACTTCAAAAATTAATCAGATGTTTTCACCTGTATTTTGTAGTTTAGTTGTAAGAAAACCAAGGCTTGTTCAGGTGAACTCAGAAAGGCCCTGAAATGGGATCCAAACCCAGTGTCTCTAAAACAAGGGCTTTCTCGGCACAGGCTCATGACTACAGAGCCTCAGAGTGTTGGCAGGACTTGGTTCAATACATACCCATGTGTGCAGGGTTCAGGAAGTTTATAAGCTTGAGGAGAATGTTGTCATGGCAAATGGTTGACCAACAGGAACAAAATTATCTGGGAACATCACTGGACCCAACTGAAAAGAGCTTATTTTCACACTTCTTTGTTCTGTAGTGTTTGAAACCAAATGGAGGGAGTGGAGAACTGACCCCTTTAGAAGTTTGCAGGCATGCAAAGGGAAGAGGAGGAGGGAGAAAACAAGAAGCTAGGAGATGGCAGAGATGAACTGGGTGTAACATTTTGAAACTGCTAATTGGCCTAGCCATATGTGGCCTGGAAATTGGAGCAGCCTTTCTAATATTCACGTTCTAGTGTGTTTTCTGCACCGTCTCTCATGCAGAGGGGCTGAGCTGGCACCAAAGGAGTGTCTCCTCAGCTGCTTCCTCTTGTGCCTTAACTCTCACTGCAGCGAATCAGCAAAACATAGCAAAGGAGGCCAAGAGCAGAAAATTAATGGGAGCAGAGAAATTGGGGGAAGAAAGAACAGACTGGAAAACAGTGACTTTCACAGCCACTCATTGAACCATACTTACAGATTGTGCACTGGGCACACGGGACAATGTTGAGTGACAACAAAGGGAGTCATCCCCTTGAGAGCAGATGCTCTAGGGGACACAGGCTGCAACAACCTTGTGAGGGCGTGCCATTATTGTACCCATTTTAGAGGTGAGGAAACTGACTTGTTCAAGATACCACAGTCAGTTGTAACAGAGCTGGGCTTGGTGTCTCACACCTGTAATCCCAGTGCTTTGGGAAGTGGAAGCAGGAGGATCACTTGAGGCCAGAAGTTTGAGACCAGCCTGGGCAACATAGTGAGACCCTATCTCTGCAAAAAGATTAAAAATTTAAAAAATTAGCTGGTGGTCGTAGCATGCACCTGTAGTCCCAGCTACTCAGGAGGATGAGGTGGGAGTTCAAGGCTGCAGTGAGCCATTATCATGCCACTGCACTCCAGCCTCGGTGACAGAGTAAGGCACCATCTTTGAAAAAAATTTAATAATTTTAAAAAAAGTTTCTAAGTCAAAATTTTTTAAGAAAATAAAGTAAGTGGTAACGAGTCATGCATACACACATGACTAGATTTTATCTTTGATGAATTGAGTACAGAGTCATAGGAAAGTCCACGTCTGCTAAGTGAGAGGACGGGTGAGGGCGTGAGGCTGCATAAAAGACAGGGACTGGTCACACATGCCCCTGAGGCCCATGGTGAGAGGTTGAGCTTTCTTTCCAAATGCAATGGGAGGCCAAGGAAGAGTTGTGTGCAGGTGCATGACAGATTGGATTTACATTTTGAAAAAGTTACTCCAGCTGCTGTTTGAGACAGTGGAGCAAATGGAAGCATAAACAAAAGTGAGGGGATACATTTATATATTTTCCATTTTGTGCAGAGAAGGAAATAATCTTTGGGTTCTGTGTCTGGACACCAGCTCCTTGCTTTCCTTCCTTATCCTGAAGACGGAAGCTGCAGCAGGAAGGTGTCATGGAAGGATCTCTGGCCCAGGGTGTGGAGCGCACAGATCTAATCCCGTGTGTGACTCCAAACAATATTCTGAGCCTCCAGTTTTCCACTTAAAAAATAAAATTGATACTTCATCTTGGTTAATCATTTCACATCTTAAAATATTTCATGATACTTAAAAATTGTAAAAAATCTTAGTTATCACATTGTTCCTGATGGTGAAAACTCGGCCTGCCTTATGCAAACCTAGTGATGTTAGACATTTAATTAATGTTTATGAGTGACTATTTAGGAGAGGCCAGAAATTGAGGATAGCTGGAGGAAGGCTTCTAGTTTCACACCATGTCCTGTCCCCTACCCCCATTACAGCCTTGAAAATTCATCATTAAGAATTAGTTTACAACATCTGCCTGCTTTTTATTGCTCCTTCTAATGCCTCCAGCCTGGTGTGAGAGCAAGAAAGACCCCCAGGCCATGGAGCTGCTTTAAAGCACAGCTATGCCTTATTTGCCCCTCAAAGTTTCTGCAGTCGGAATACACTGTCTCACATAACTCCTGCAATTTTTCAAATGTGCTGAATATGGAGGCTGTTGTGATTAACAGTATTAATCATCTAAAAGCATTACTGAATTCATAGCCTCTTCTTGTCATTGTGTCATGAAGGGATATGGGAAATATTTTGACATTACAAAGGAATCGTCTTCAAAAGGTTGGGAGCTGTTCTTTCAAGGAGAGTAGAAAGGATTTTATTTTATGGCAGAGGATAATTTTCCTCTGGTTAGCCCCCTGAGATTCTCCCTCTATACTCACTTCCTCCAGGGACTAAATATTACTTTTGAGAGATTATTTAGTTAAATTCTAGACTTGCACTTTCTGATGACTTGTCACATCTGGGAATTTGATTCCTTCTTTGGCAGAGAAATGGTGATTGTGAAGATTGCGCTGTTTATTTCAGGGAGAACAGTGGCATACGGTGGGGGTGTTTTTTTTGTTTGTTTTTGAAGATTCCTTTAAAATCACTCATAGTGCTCATATTGGTTCCCTCCCTCCTTCCTTCCCAGGAAGGGAGAGCATGTCCTCACCATGCCCGGGAACTGAGAATCTTTCGTTAAATATTTAAGAGTTCTGGTAATACGGTCCAGTAATTCTTATCTGAGTGGGGACAGGAAACCTCTGGACTCCATTTCCAGCTGCTTCGGAACTCCTGGGAGGATGAATCTATAAATGGCCTAGTAAGAGTTTTTGTTGTCAGAAAGTGCTGTGGATGTACTAGTTACTCTAAGTATGTTTGATAAAATAAAAACAGCCCTTGTCTCATGAGTCAAGGATTTTCCCTATCTTCTTACCTCCGATGTCCTGGTCCCCCAGGAGGCCACCACTAGGACATAGCAGAGGCTACGGAAGGTCCTGCAGTGGGAAAGAAAGTATGCAAGCCTCTGGCTTCCAAAATTTGCCTTGCATTCTATTAGGACCTTGGTACTGTGGCTTCCTTTAGCACATGAGATCACACAGTGTCTACTTTTGCTGCCCCTATAAATAGCAGACTCCTGCATCTGGGAGTCCTGAGTTCGGGCCAGCCTGGTGGTTTGGTGGCTCTGGATTGCTTTTCCTGAACTTTCTGTTTGTCAGCTGAAGAATGACGCGGTTCATACATTTGGAAAGGAGAGCTTGTTTCTCATAGAGGGCTACAGCCTGCAGGGCAGCCATTCTGACCGTCTGGGCAGTGCAGCCGCGGATGAGAGGCCAGAAACGGACACTTTCGGGGAGGGGCACAGGGAACAGGAATTCTGGCTGAGCAGGCCAGATATACATATTCAATAAGCTACAGGAGGAGTCATGAATATTTACGAAAAGAGAAACCTACGCATGCGCAATTGAGATTCATACCTCTCCCGGGTCCCGATTTCAAAATACAACCGAGTTAGCATGAGCCCAGAGTGGAGTTTTCAGCCCCCTGACATCAAAAGATGAAGCACAGGATGCAAAACCCTCACTGCACAGCCTGCATAGACTCACGGGAGCCACTCCATGGTCGATGGTCTCTTATCCCAAAGGAAGGCTGGCCCGTGCAGTGGCTCGCGCCTGTCATCTCAATACTTTGGGAGGCTGAGGTGGGCAGATTACTTGAGCCCAGGAGTTCGAGACTAGCCTGGGCAATGATGGGATGGGAAGTGGGACAGGTCTTGTTATACCTCCTCCTTCGCCAACCCCGTTAGGCTTTCTTCCCTAAGGGTTAAACAGAAACCAGCCCTGTGGTGTGGCAAGACACTATCTCTACAAAAAATACAAAAAATTAGCTGGGCGTGGTGGCGGGCGCCTGTAGTCCCAGCTAGTTGGGAGGCTGAGGCGGGAGAATCGCTTCCAGGAGTTTGAGGCTGCAGTGAGCCAGGCTAGCGCCGCTGAACTCCAGCCTAGATGACAGGAGGAATGCTAGTTGGTTGTTTTGTTGGAACGTAAAAGGGAGGGGCAGCATCAGTTGATTGACTGACATCAGGTGGAGTCTCTTGAGAGGGCTAGTTTCTGTTTAATCGTTAGGGAAGAAAGCCTAAAGGGGTTGGCGAGGGAGGAGATAGAACAAGGCGTGTCCCACCTCCCATCCCATCAGGGTCCAGAACTCAGTTTCCCAGGTTACTCTGGGGTCCCCTTGGCCAAGAAGGGGTCTGGTCAGTTGGTTGGGGGAGGCTTAGGATTTCATTCTTATTTCTCATTTCATAGATTTTCTAGAGTTCCTACTGACTGCAAGAAAAAAGAAACTCTTGGGAGGAGTTTGATTTCTGAGTCTCTTGGGGGTAAAAGGAGGAAAACCTACATTTCTGCTGAATTTTGCAGAAATGTATGTGGTGGTCAGAACAGCCTTTTAAGTCTCTCTGAACTCATAACACAGTCTTGGTTGTTATCTACGTGCTCAGAAAAAGGAAATATTTAAAGGATTTCCAAGACAGTATTTTCATAAGCATTCTCTGTGCCTCTACCTCCAGTGAAAAGTCTTTTTCCAAGTGTGTGTTTCCCTGGTGAAAACCAATTATTTTAATGTAGCCCAATTTGTCCAATTTTTTCTTCATGGTTGTTGCTTTTTGTGTCCCGTTTAAGAAATCTTTGTCCACTCCCAGGTCACAAAGACATTCTTCTAAAAGCTTGATTGCTTTACTTTTTATAAATTTATTTTTTAATTTTTCATAGAGATGAGGGTCTCACAATGTTACTTAGGCTGGTCTCGATCTCCCAGACACAAGTGATCCTCCCGCCCCAGCCTCCCAAAGTGCTAGGCTTCCAGGTGTGAAGCAGTTTTAAGTTCATAGCAAAACTAAGCAGAAGGTACAGAGATTTCTTATATGCCCCCTTCCCCCACACATTCACAGCCTCCCCCTTTCTACATCCCCCACAGAGTGGTTCATTTGTTACAGTTAAACCTACACTGACACATCATAATTACCCAAACTCCACAGTTCATAATAGGGTTTACTCTTGGTGTTGTACATTCTATGGGTTTAGACAAATATGCAATGACGTGTCCATCATTATAGTATCTATCATACAGAGTTGTTTCACTGTCTTGAAAATCCTCTGTGCTCCAAATTATTTTACTTTTCAGATCTAGATATGAAATCCATTTGGAAATTTTTTGTGTGCAGTATGAAGTAGTCACTTTCATTATTTTTCTGTATGAATAACTACTTGGCCAAGCCCTAAAGACTGAAAATACTGTCCTTTCCCTACTATACAACAGTGTCATGTTTTCCATAAATCAGGTGTTCCATATATCTGTGTGGTTGTTTCTGGACTCTTTAATGTACTTGTCAATTTTTGTATCCCTGTATTATTATCACACTTTCTTAATTGACATAGCTTTGTAACTGGTATTCATAGCTGGTAAATTAGATCCATCTTATTGCTTGTTTTGTTATTTTTCTTTCCTTCAAAATTAACTTTGCTTTTTCTTGGCCAAAATAACTCAATAAGCATCTTGATTCCTAGAGTAAAATTGTCTTTTCCTTTGCAAGTTTTATTGGCACCATTTTTATGGCTTCCTTAAGGAATTACAATCCAGTAATATTGTATCATTTAAATTATGTTCTAAAATAATTCAGCAGCTCTGCACATAAAAGCTTTCCATGACCCTGTTAGTCAACCAGCCGCTTGTCTGCCCTGCCCTTCAAGGCCAGGGCAAGAATTCACTTCCTTTTCCCCTTGGCCTTTCCAAAGTCCATCTGTGTTTCAAGGCCTTCTCCAAATCTTGCATATTCTTGCCTTAATTATGTAACTCTCCTCAGACTACTGAAGCTATGCTGGGTGGCACAGATATGAGGAAACATGGCTGCTTTACTATCAGAAAAAGGCTCTGATACCTCCCCAGGACCCCAGGCCCAGGCTGGCCTCCTTTCTTCAGCGCCATCGCCCGTCTCCCTCCCTGGTGGGCACTAGCCACTCAGGCTGCCTTGAGTTCCTCTCTGGCCCTGCTTTTGTTACGCAGATCAGGGACTTGCCACTCAGGGGTGGATCTTTTTGCTTGTAATGTTCTTGCCTTCCTGCTCCCAGCACCTTCCTTTTATCAGTTAATGTTCATTAATCCTTAAGTCCCCTCTCTGGACATCTTTCCCTGACACCTAAATTAGATGAGTTCCCTTTGTGGTATTGTAATCATAACAGGTTCATTGTCTGATGCAATGGCAAGTCAATACGTGGAGACACTGGGTTGCAACAGAGGAAAACAGGTTTAATGGTAGAGCTGCTGATGAGGAGATAGGAGGAAACCTCAAATCTGTCTACCCAAGGAGATTAGGGCTATGGATTTTAAGGGTGTGGAGTGGGCTGAAGTGTTTGGAGATAGTTGATTGGTCAAAGAGTGCAGGGTGAAGTCATGGGACAGGAGGATGAAGATGTTGCATTCTCATACCGATCCTGTTCCTCTGTGTGGGTTGGCATCCACTATTTTGCTAGAATTTGGGTTCTGAAAAACCTGTTAAGTGATCCTTAAACAAAAACCTCATTATTGTAATGTCAGCTATCCTGTCTGTAGGAACAACAGGATGCACTGGCAGTATCTAGTGTTGAGTGACTTTCAGCATCAAGTAAGCGGGCCAGAGCGCAGCCTGACTGATGCTTAATTAACTATATTTCTGTCCAGAGCCTGGCATTCAATTCCTGTCAACCTTGTGGGGATGGTTTCAGTATGCTCCCCATGCTCCCTTCATAGCACATGACATAGCTCCCAATTATAAACCCAGCTGATTAGCTGGTTAACATCTGACTCTTCTAGATTGTAAGCTCACATAGGGTAGGGACTATGACTGTTCTGCTCAACATTTTAGTCTACAATACCTAGCCTAGTGTTTGTCATGTAGTAAGTGCTTTGTAATTCTTTTATGAATGAATATATGTATGAGTGAAACATTTTGGCCTAGTGGCTTATGTTATTCTCCATAGTACCATACATGTAGGTCCTCCATAAATATCTTTCTGATTCATGTCATCTTGTTGTCTAGGATGTTTTAATAAAGAACTCCATATAATTTATAAGAGTAGCTGGCTACATTATGACATAATGTGACTGGCCATTGTAGGTAGAGTCAGGGGTGACTCTTAATTCCCTGTATCTGATTTGATAAGGGTGGCGGTGGTAATAGACAGTATCACTCAAATATGACTTAGAAATGTCCTATGCCTGCTGATAGCTGTCTTGCTTTCTGCATCTCAAATCTACCTAAAATGCTTCTGATTTGGTAATGGTGCACAGGGGAATAGCATGCTCAGTTGGGCTAGCAGCAAGCTGGAAGCTCAGGGGCTGTGGCTTTTCATTGCTGGGAACTCATGTAACTTTAGCTTGCTTGGTAGCAAAGCAGGGCTCCTGGGTTTGCTTTATTTGCAGTTGGTGTAGATGAGTGAGATTTAACATCTGGTCCTTCAGGGAAAATTCCTGTAGTTCCAGAGCTGAAAGAACAAAACTATCATTCTATTATTAAAGGGCCCAGAATTAGTTCTTGTTCTCTGTGTTCCATGTGCTCATCATTGATAAATGATCATACTATCTTTGCAGTCTCAAGCCATCAGAAGGGGAGATAAAATAATTCCTCCCTGTTTACCAGCAGCAGCCCTGTGTATTACAGTGTGTGTGCAGGGAGTGGTGCTGGAGTCCTGTCTTGCCCTGGGAGGGACTTCTGTAATTTGCATACTTAGTGAGTCAGTGGGGAGAGATGAGAGATAGAGATGCCATTTGTGATACAACCTCTGGTGCCCTATCTGTGCAATCTAGAAAAAAATCACTAGCCAGAGTCTGTCTCAAAATGGAACACTGACCTTTTCCAAAACCCGCCTCACTGGAATATAACAGGGCTAATGTAAAAGAAGTAAATGACACTTAGGTTCTGGGGGGAAAATTGATGTAAGTTTTTATCAGGATGGTCATCCAATGGTCATTAGAAGCACAATTTTAATACTTATACATAAGAAATTAGACCAATTATTAACCATATTGCAATTGAGTTCCTTAGACACCTTCCACTGGAGAGGCATGAATGGGATATGGGGCAGAAAGTTCTGAGGGGCGTGGTGGGGAGCTGCAGAGCTCACAGTGGTCTGTGGAAGGCCGGATCCCCATGGGGGAGCACTGGGTGATCATAGAGAAGCAGGACCATGTGGATGCCTGGGGATGAGGAGAGGCAAGTAAAAATCCGAGGTGGAAAGACACTGAAGACAAATTCAGTTACACCACGTTCTCGATTTTGGTTTATTTATATTGGGCATTTAAGAGTTTATAGCCAATTAAATCAATTCCTCATTTTTTTGTGAAACATGAAAATGATGTTGTAAATGCTAATTAGGCTAGAGGATGTTTGCATCATTTAAAGCTAGGCAACAGTCTGCCTATGACACTAAGTGATTCATTACATTGAAGTGAATTCAGTGCATAGAAATCAATGGTGAGTCTTTGAGGATTTGGGTGGCTGGCCCTGCCTTCTGTTGGTTGTAGTGTACTTCCTCACATGGTACTTGTATTATTATAAGAGACTCCATCAGGAGTTTCTCAAATATCTTGTCCTTACAAGTGAATGCCATAGGAACGCCAGGAAGTATGAGTGTGATGCCGCACAGAGACTAACCTGTGAACACCTGCTCTCCAGGATGCTTTGCCAAGGCAATGGAGCTAAGTGGTTCCTTCCTCCTAAGTAGCTGTGTTCCCACCTCTTGATCCGAACTTTTTGGCCACAGCAAATTGGGCCAGAATAAACCTTGTTATTCAACCTATTGCTGGCTTAAGAAGTGGCCTGGAGGCTAGTGTGGTGGAGTGTGCCTGTAGTCCCAGGTACTTGGGAGTCTGAGGCTGGAGGATTGCTTGAGCCCAGGAGTTTGAGACCAAGCTGGTCAACATAGTGAGACCCCATCAGAAAAAAACAAAAACAAAAACAAAAATAAAACACTGCCTGGTATAAAAGTGCTGCTTTATAAGGATAATGGTGATATATGGTGAGTCTATTAGGCTCTCTCTTTCAGGAATTTCAACTGAAGATATGGCAAAGGTCAGTCAGTTGCAAGAACATTGGCCAGGAACTTAGCTGGAATGACCTCAGAGGGAAGGAGATATGTACAGTCATGAAGCAATGCACGTCGTGAATATGCAGAAATAAGAATGAGTGAATGCATAAAGTCAGAGAGACTCTAGAAGAAGCGGAGAGGTGCTTGGTTGGTAGCAGCAGATGGAGAGACGAGGCTCGCTCATGGCAGAGGATAACCTAGGTGGTACAATAACTGGAGTATACTGGATTTTTCCAATATCTGAGTTGTAATATGAAGCTCAGCTGAACGGTTCCTGGACACTTGGCTACGACATTTGTATCTCTATTTTCATGGTCCCCTCCCCTCTGCCATAGCTTAAGGTAACGGAAGAGAATATTATTCCTCTCATACCCAAGAGCCTAACACACAAGTAGTATGTGTGCTTTGTGCAGCTTTTTATTTGGCATGTATTATCTGTTAAGTGCTCTGGGTGGCTTTTCTCCCAACCTTAATCCCTCTCTTTCTCTGCTCCAGGCTTCGCTGCTCTCTTTGTCCCACAACCTCCCCTGCAGGTATGTGTGATCCAAAACGAAGTGGTAATGAGGGCAGTGAGAGTTAACACGCATCTAGTTTGGCTAAGATACTTTTTCTAGGAGCAAGCCTAAACCTTTTGAAATTGTTGTTGTTTGTCCTTACACTTATACACTGTACAGTGGTAGACAGAGCAACCTGGGTTTCGCATTTGTCCTGCTGCAAGTATATACTGTATTCTACCTTTTCAATGTAGCCTTGGCTTTGCTTGGAAGTAATTTTTTGAACTTCTTAATGGCTTATTTGTTTTAGCATTAGAACCTTATTGAGTTTTATTTTTATTTATTTTACTTTTTTTCTTTTTTTTGTGACAGAGTCTCACTCTGTCAACCAGGCTGGAATGCAGTGGCATGATCTCAGCTTACTGCAACCTCTGCCTCCCAGGTTCAAGCGATTCTTGCACCTCAACCTCCCAAGCAGCTGGGACTACAGGTGCTCGCCACCACGCCAGACTAATCTTTTTGTGTTTTAGTAGAGATGGGGTTTCGCCATGTTGGCCAGGCTGGTCTCAAACTCCTGAGCTCAAATGATTCGCCCATGTCGGCCTCCCAGAGTGCTGGGATTACAGCTGTGAGTCACTGCACCTGGCCCCTCCTTGAATTTCAGAAAGACATATGGCTGCCCAGCCTGTGAATGTATTTCATAGCCTCCCACATAGCTAAGCGTGGCCATGTAATTAAGTTTCCCTCAATAGAATGTCAGAAGAGTGATGTTTGCAACCTTTATGACAACTCTTTAAAAAGAAATTGCTTGCCCTCCATTTTCTCTTTTGCTCTCTTTTGGTCCCACATGGGATATTGGTTAACCAGCTTCACTCAGGTAAATGAGGGCAATATTATAATAAAGGTCAGAGCAGTAAGATGTAAGGAAGTTAGAGTCCTTAGATAACCCATGCAGCAGAGCTACTTACACACTGGAGTACCTCTGAACTGTTACACGAGAGAGCAATGAATTTCTCTTGTGTGAGCTGTCCTATTTTTGAGTTTCTCAGTTACAACAGCTTAGTCTATTCCCTAACACACAATGGTGGACACTTACAAATGCTTACTATGTGTTAGGGACCACACTGACTGCTGAATATTCTTTATGTCGGTTAATTCTCCAACAACCAACCTAAATTAATGATACTTGCCCATTTTACAGATATGCAAAGAGGCTTACTGAGGTGAAGTACCTTACCCAAGATTGCATGAATGCAAGTGGCACAAAGGACTTGAAATCTCTGAAGTGATTCAAAACACATATTCTTGATAGCTATGCCTTCGTGACTCTTCATATAGAAAAATTTCTATTCTTCTTGGTCACTTCACAGCTTCAGTCTATTGCAATTCATGCCTCCAGACTCCTCTGCTCAGTTTGGTGTAGATTGATCATTTTATCCTGTTTTTTAAAATATTGTTCTTCGCTCTCAATAGGTTTATCTTGCTTTGTTCACTAGATTGCAAATCCCTCAATGGATGGATAAAAATGCTCAATAAATGAAGATCATAAGTCTTAATGGATAAGAACTGTCTGATCTTCTAGAATTACTCAGTATTATCTTTTGTGATGTTTCCTCTTAGGTGTATAAATTCTGTTGTTAATTAATCAACCCCAGTGAACGTCATCCCTCCAATCTTAAATACATCTTCATGGTAGTGAGCATATTCGTGTAGAGGAAATATCCAAAAAGATTATTTTAAATAAGAAATGATGTCCATTCTGTTTACCACTATAAATATAAATAGGTGGGATTTAGGGTTTTCCAGATTGCCCTTCAACCAAATGGTAGATTCATGATCAGTCTACCATGCATGAGTTCGTATTACATCTACTGCACAATTAAAAAAATACAAAAGAGCAGTTGCCTTAAACAAGGTATATTACTTTTTTCTAACATAAAAAGAGGCCTGGAGGTGGGCATCTGAGAACTGATATGGTGGCTTCTTGGTCATTGGATACCAAGCTCCTTCTTTTCCTTCTGAAATCCCTGAAAACAGTTTGTATTTTAATGGTTCTAATGGCTCTGGTCCTTGTAATAACTATCAGGCCAGAGTTGCAGGCAATAGGATGGGGAGAGGACAAAAGGCCTTTATCTGACTTTACCCTTCTACATCCCTTTTCCAGAATTTTTACTAAATGAACTTCCACTTCTACCACAGAACTTAGCTATGCCTAGTTACATAACTACTCAAATAAAATTAAGATTTTGTTTTTAACTAAGAAAGAAAGCAGAGAATCAGTGCTGGGTAGACTGCCTTGCCTTCTAATTAGAAAGTTCCCACCATTCCAGATTGGGGGTTGACAAACTGGCCCATGGGCCAAATCTGGCCTGTGGTCTGTTTTTTTGTAAATAAAGTTTTATTGAATGAAAGCCATATGCACTCATCCATAGCTGATTTCATGCTACAACAGCAGAGTTGAGTAGTTGTTCCAGAAGTTGTACGACCCATGAACTTAGACTGTCTCCTATCTGGTTCTTTAAAGAAAAGTTTGCCAATCCCTGCTCTAGATCACCAGGCGGGGAGGGGGGCAGGTTCTGATGAAAAAGTTTGCCAGTGCCTGCTTTAGATCACAGTGGGCAGCTTCGGATAGTTTCACTGGTTGTGATCCTATTATAGGAGCAAAGTTGACCTTGATATGGATTCAGTCATCATTTGTTCTCCAGCCCCAGCGAGGTTATATACACTAGGCATGTATTTGGCTGCAAGTAACATAAAACCTGAATAATGTTGGATTAAACAGAAAGGAAATATTTTCATCACATACATGAATGCCCAGAAGTACGTGGCCCAGGGCTGGTACAGATGTTCAGTGTTGCCTTCAAAATTAGTCTGCTTCTTTCTGCCCAGCCATGCCCAGAATGTTGGCTTTCATCTTCATGCTTACTGGAAGATGAATGCAACACCTGAAGGCGTTTAATGTCTGCATTTCCTGAAGGAAGTGGGGAAGGTGCGAAAGGGCAACGGTCTGTTCTTTTCTAGAAACTGTCTCTCTAGCAGCTGAGGATCCTAGGATTCAAACAACCATGGAAGAAAAATATTGGAAAAAACCCAATAAAAGTAATAACAGTACAGCAGTGAAAATAATACAATTTTTAAAATATAGTATAACAACTATTTACATTACATTTATATTATATTAGGTATTATAAGTAACTGCAGATGACTTTAAGTGTTTGGGAGGATGTGTGTAGATTATATGCAAACACTAGGTCATTTTCTATCAAGGACTTTGGTATCCACAGCATGTCCTGAGACCAATCCCCCAATTGTATGTGCTCTAGTGGGCTTCTCATAGTTAACTGGTCCACTCCAGTGTGTTCTTACAGTCTCACTCTTCCCTCCCATCTTTCTCCTCTACCTTTCCCTCTCACATTCCTGAAATTAATTTCTCTCCTTTTCCCCTCCTTTTCATGTTTTTGGCTAGGTGAGAAACCTGGAAATGAGCCTGAAGAGGTGAAGCTGCAGAATGCCAGCAAACAGATTGTGCAGAATGCAATCCTGCAAGCTGTGCAGCAAGTCTCCCAGGAGAGTCAGCGCAGAGAAGAGAGAATCAGTGACAACCGGGACCACATCCAACTGGGCGTTGGGGAGTTAACCAAGAAGCACGAAAAGAAGTAACATGGTGGATTTGGCTCTTGACATGTGCTTGGTTTCTAGCCTTCCTCTTAGTATAGGACGCATCTCCAAAATGTTGCCAGTAAAGCAAACCGAAGTGTCACCGGCACCTAGCTGTAGAATGAATTCACACTAGCCCCTGGCTGAGAAGCACTGTTTTGAAAAAGTGCATTAGACGATTCTGTTCATATTTATGCAGTGCCTCTGAGACATAGTGGGGCCAAATATGACACTGTAATTGCAAAAGTAGTTTTGCAGGCCAATTTATTTTTAAAGTTCTTTTATTTGAAAAAAAGAATTCTATGTCTCGTTTATTTACTTCTGCCTTTTATGCGTTCCTTCTGTGAATTTAACAAGCAGCCTTTTTGCTGAAATACTGAATACAGTACTGAGTTCTTTATGGTATATTAAAAAGACATGCTAGAAAGGTGAGGGAATGCAGTTTTAGTTACCTTCAAATGTGAAATTGAAGGCTTTAAGTGGGTTCAGGTCTAAGATCAAATTAAGAAAAGGGAAATTCTAAGGCTGAGTCCCTCGGGACCATACCAAGGCATTTACTAATATTTATGTTATTTTAAGAAAGGGAGGAGTTTAAGTTTCTCAAGAACTCAGTCTTTTAGTCTCAATTCTCTGAATGATTTCATAATTGGTGTTTATGCTCTGTGTAGAAATCTTTTGGGAATATTATGGATTTCTTTTCTCAAGATTAAATAAAATAAGACAAGTGAGTCTACACATGTGAGTTGCCAATGACTCATTTCCTTAGCAGCCTCATGGAGAATGGCTAGAAGTGTAGATTTCTTCAACAGCTGCCTATCATTAAGAGACTTACACTTGGGGCTGATTATGGGGTGCAACATCCTTGGAAGGGATTCTGGGGTCCTTAACGAATGCTGTTTTGCCACTAGGCTATGCATTTGCATTAGGACCTTACTAACTTTTCCCATTCACACATTAAATTTTTTTTTTGAGATTATGAAAATCATACAGGTCAGGAATACATGAGAACACAATGGGGACAGTAAAGTGACAGTGTTTTGAATGCAGTGACAGAGATATGTGTGTGTACACGTGTAATAAAGTTATCTGTGCAGCAACAGGATCAATCCCTGCTCCACTTCTGTGAGGATAATGCACATATTTCTGGAGTATCTACAGTCCCATTTCCTGGGCTTCACAAAAGTTATTGAATTGGTGCTATTGGGGACAGAGGAAGAATTTGACCTTGGTTAAAAACCTTCTAGTTTCAGAGTATCAATATCTACATTTGATTTTTTTTTAAAGCAAAGTATTCGGGTATAAATTGTGACTGATATTAAGATATACTTCTAAAATTCCAATATGCTACAGTTTCTAGAATAAATAGTTGGATAATAGATAATGAATGAAAAATATCTTACCAGCTTTGTTATGCTATCTCCCACAGTGCACAGGTGGAATAAATTCACAGGAAACATGGAAGGAGAAGGAAGCAGAAGGGCTTAAAATTTAAAGATTGTTTACTCACAAGTATTTCTTTTAGCAGAATTCATGCCAAGTGAAGAGTGAGTTTAAGTCGACCAAAAGTCATATAACTGATGTGATATAATTGCATAGCATACATAGTGAGAATGAAGGTATTCAGGGAAATTATTCAGGAGTGCCACAAATAAAATAAATAAATAAATCTAATGCTTGTAGTTTGTAAGTGATCTGGTACTATGTCTACTCAGATATCTGGATATGACCAGCCTTTGTTTTTGCTGTCAAGTGACAGAAACATATAAACATACTATTTTTCCTCTCTGATGTGTCTGTACTAAAAAATTGGGAATTTTTGGAACATCTTATTGACCTCTGTGTCTAAATGTTATTTATAAATAAAACACATACAGCTTTGAAATATCTTAAGCAAAGTTTTCTAGACTCTGCCGTTTGGCTCATTTTGTACGTGGATCTTACCATTATTTGGAACCATGAGACTTCCAAGGCTATTTTCAAACCCCTAGATATCATGACCAGGGGAAGTGCTTCCTTAATGGGCCCTTCACTGTGACTGTGTGAGGACAGCCATGGGATGGTGGGTCCTGAGGCTTGAAGAGAAAAGGATGTATGCTAAGAAGTGGTCTTTTGATCTAAAAAATTCAAGGTAAGTGGGTCTGGAAGGTAGAGTGTCTGCCATAATTTTTGAGATGGAAAATCGACAGCAAGGAACAGAGATATGACTAAGTTGTTGGGAGGACAAAAGGAGGTTCAGCAATGCCTGTCCTCAATAGGTAGGTGCCATATTGGCAAAATTCTAAGAAAGCTCAGTCATAAAAACAAACGAGTTAAAGACCTATAAACTTTTACAGATCTTTCAGTATGAAGAAAAAGTTACTAGATTTTACAAGGGGCCTACAGAACTTCATTTGACATAGGATTAAGGTGGATTTCCACTTGATTATCATCATAAACCAGATCACAGCTTTTAGTTTCAGAAATGAGTGGGAACATTTACTTAGTGTCCTTTATCTTTCTGATTTACTGCATACACAGGCTTCCCATCTCTGTGTGTTCAGCTGTTCGTCTTCTCTGTTGCCTGCCCCTAGGGTGGATCTAAAGAAAGAAATCCTTTCATGTTACTTTTCTCTGCTGTAATCATCTGTTCAGTGCAAACAGTATTGTAAATTGATGCAAAATGACTAACTCGTTCCCTTCATTTCTTTTCTTATTTATTTTTTAGCCGTTTAGGTTTCCTTTATGGTGGAATTTCAGGTTACAAAGAAATGAATCTATCATTTAAAAATAATCATTGAATTTATGCCATTCAAAGATGAGTAACTGGCCATCTTCCAGGCTGTTTTAAGGTTTCTATGATAAAACAATACAAAAGAGAGGGATCTTTAATTTATCCACTGTAATAGCTTAGTCTAGTAAAATACAGTAAAATAATAAAATCTATGAAAAATCTGAAACTAGTTTAGCCCCTATAATACCAAAACAGATGTAGAGACAGGAAAGAGGAAATTACGGTAATAATATCTTTCTTGAGCATGTGAAAGTTTTCGAAAGATATTAGTACAAATTCCCTCATTTATCTCATTGCCACAACCTCAAACTAAGGTGTAGCCTGAGAAATCTTGATATAGTTTGGCTGTGTCCCCACCCAAAATTTCACCTTGAATTGTAATCCCCACAATCCCCACATGTCAAGGCTGGGACCAGGTGGAGGTAATCGGATCATGGGGGCGGTTTCCCCTGTGCTGTTCTCATCAAAGTGAGTGAGTCTCATGAGATCTGACGGTTTTATAAGCATCTGGCATTTCCCGATTGCACTCACTCCATCTTGCTGCCCTGTGACAAAGGTGACTACTTCTCCTTTGCCTTCTGCCATGATTGTAAGTTTCCTGAGCCCTCCCAGCAATGTGGAACTGTGAGTCAATCAAACCTCTTTCCTTTATAAATTACCCAGTCTCCAGCAGTTCTTTACAGCAGCGTGAGAACGCACTAATACAGATCTTATTCTCCTTTTGCAGATAAAGTCACACTGAGGCTCAGGGAGAATAAATATAACCTAGATGGAGAAAGTGAGCACTATTGTGCACAAAAATACATGAAATCAGTAATCTCAAACCCTGTGAGCATCTGAACACAAAATTTAAGAATATAAATTCTAGGGATTTTAAGAATATAAATTCTAGATGTATCAGTGTTAAGATGTAAGAATGCAACTGCTTTAGATAAAACATTTCTGCATAAGAAATTTAACAAAAATAGTAAAGAGTCAGTGAAAACATTCAATAGAAAAAACTCAATGCCATTCAACTAAAATGTGGTAGCTAAGGAAAGAAACAAGAAACTTCAGAGGGAACAAAATAGAAGACCACAGTAGGGTATGAGAATACTACTAATCTTTCCTCCATTCCTCAGAAACCATATTAGTAAGTACACAAAATCCTGATCCAGGTGTGAGAAAAACAAAGTGAGTGACTTTGTCCTTTGTCTTCTGGCTACAGTGTAGTGGAAATGGCTGTTGGGAAGAAATAGGTGAGATAGGAGACGGGACTCCTCTCAGATGAAAGTGGCAACTTTGGCTAGGTGCGGTGGCTCATGCCTGTAATTCCAGCACTTTGGGAGGCTGAGGCAGATGGATCACCTGAGGCTGGGAGTTCAAGACCAGCCTGACCAACATGGAGAAACCCCAGCTCTACTAAAAATACAAAATTAGCCAGGCATGGTGGTGCATGCCTGTAATCCCAGCTACTCAGGAGGCTGAGGCAGGAGAATCCCTTGAACCTGCGAGGCAGAGGTTGCAGTGAACCGAGATCAGGTCACTGCACTCTAGCCTGGACCACAAGAGCAAAACTCCATCTCAAAAAAAAAAAAAAAAAGAAGAAAGAAAGAAAGTGAAAACTTTCTCTTACAGAAATTTAAAAAAAAGGAAGAAAATAGGGGAAGGAAGGAAGGGAGGAAAGAAGATAAATCCCCACAGCATATTCTAGGAAAATAGATACAAAATGCTCAACAGCAATAGTACCAGAATAAAAGAAAAGTTATTATGTTCTGGGCTGTGAGCAAGTCATTTACGATGGTAAATTTTCATGCTAGCATCAGATTACTTCTTAGCAACATTGAATACTCTAATATAAGGGAGAAATGGCTATAAAGGAGCACTGAAGAAAGGAAAGTATGAGGGAAGGATATTATTCCCAGCCAAGACATCAATTAAGAATAAAGGCAAACATTTAAAAAAAATTAAGAATTACAAGTACTCAAGATTTCTTTGTGAAAAATCTGCTTGACCATGAATTTCAGCCAACAAAAAAATGAATAAAAATAAAGACTTTAGGAATGGAGAGGCTGCAACAAAAGGACTAGTGAAGAGCAGTATCTTCACCTAAATATAAAGTGAATAATACATAATTGTGAAAATTATGGCCAAAAAGAAGTATGTAAATTGTTATATCTTGATAACAAAAAATATAATAAAAAAAACCAGGAGGTAGGCAGGGAAATGACATCATGCTAATGACTTTATCTGTCAGAAAGGAAAGATAATTTATATGATCTCAAGTTGAATGATTTAGTTAATGAACTCCAAGGTTGCCAATCCCTTATTAGATTTTATAATTCCTCTTCTTAACCTTTGAGGAATGTTTTGGAAACTAATATGATACAGAGTTATTTAAAGTTTAGCAATTTCTTTAGTTTCCACTTAGTATTTTTTCTTTCATTAAATTAAAAAGAAATTAAGTATTCTATTGGTACCCTTTTTTCACTTTTATTTTTTTGAGACAGTGTTGCCCAGACTGGAATGCAGTGGCTTGATCTCAGCTCACTGTAACCTCCGCCTCCCGGGTTCAAGCAATTCTCCTGCCTCAGCCTCCTGAGTAGCTGGGACTACAGGCACGTGCCACCAAACCCGGCTAATTTTTGTATTTTTGTAGAGAGGGGGTTTACCATGTTGGCCAGGCTGGTCCCGACCTCCTGACCTCAAGTGATCCCCCCGCCTTGGCCTCCCAAAATGCTGGGATTACAGGCATGAGCCACCATGCCTGGCCTTTTATCTGTATATTTTTACTGTGTCCTTTTCCACTGGAATAATCCCTTGACATCTTATGTGTCCCACTGTTAGCTTATTTCCACTGAAGCTGACCTGGAGGACTCCTGCTGCATGTGAAGACCTAGGGTGACTTTGTTACTCAGAAAAGCAATTCCTTTGATCATTCAACTTAGGCCACAAGTGGTACATAGTTTAAGTAATAAGAGAACAAAAGAATAGCTTTATTCCTATGGTGTTTTTCCATTTTTAAAGCAAGTTACTATTCTTTTCTTAGCTGATTTCTACTTAATCAATTAACCAGTGTTTTAACTACATGCCTGACACTTGTGTCTAAGAACTGATGCTCTTGCATGAATGCTCCACTAATTGAGTTATATGTGCAGCCAGTGTTGTTGCCGCCCATCTGTATGCCCTCAGTATGTGTCATTTCCTTATTCAGAGATGGCTTCTGGCTGCAAATAGCTGTCACTTTTTGCCTGTGGGCCTTTTCTAGGTATATCTGTGTGCTCAGCCTACACAAGGGCTTGGCTAGAACTACCAGGGAGCTAAGGCCCCAGGACAGCCTTCCAACAATAATGGATAGGAGATGGTGTATAAATACTCCGGCCTTCTCACCGCTCCGGTGGGCCAACTCTGAGGCGTGTCCCATGGTCTCCCATTGGTTGAAACCTGATGAAGTCCCTGGTGTGCAGCCCCTTCTCTCTCATTTCTCCACTTTCCTATTGGTGCTTCCTATGAGCTACTTTCTCTTAAATTCTTGTCTCAGGATCTATTTCTAAGGGGACCGAAGTTAAGACAATGATGTTACAGTGCTTCCTATCAAAGAAAACTGAGGTTACTAATTATTTGTATCTTGTTGCAGAAAAATTGGACCAGGCTTTCTGAAGAGACAATCTGCCTCAACCAGGTATTGAGCAGTAGGTGATGTCTTTCAAAACAAATGCCAAAGTAATTGACTGTGAGTTGGTTAAGAAATCAGATGTGTTGTGTATTTTAATTTTATTGTGGCTATCTTAGCTGGCTTGCGATTGATTCAATTTCAGTTCTGTTTTCTAAACTGGCTAATTTATACCCATTGAATCCACAGAAATATCACATGAACAGGTACTGGAGGCTGCTGTACTAAGGAAAAGTGGTACAGAGACTATTGCTAGTCCGTACAACTTATAAACCTAAAGAACTGAGATTTAAAATGCAGGAGACAAATATCAAGTCCAGTAATTTTATCAGTACCTTCCCTCCTGAGACTAGATATTTTTGGCAAGTTTTGGCAGAGCCATCCCTTTAAATTTGTTTACTGCTTTGCTTATGCTTTACAATTAAAGGTTCACCTTTGAAATCAGAAAAAATAAATATATGTAGATCTAGAATTTGTTTCTAGTTTTGCAAAATTTAAAGTTTACGGTAATGTATGAGAGTTCCAAAAAAGGCAGTATTGTTGAAGTCAAGAGCTCACCACTCTGAGTCAAGTGATCTGGGTTCCAATTCCAGGTATAGTTACTAAAACACTTTGTGATAGTCCTTCAAAAAAATGTATCGCAATAGGCAATTATATCTCTATTTTTATATTATTTAATTTATCTTTCCATAACTAAGGAGTAGGCTTCATGAAAGCAGGTATAGGTCTTTCTTGATTAACCTGTATCCTAAGCAAAGAGCAAGCACTTGTTGACCAAATGGATGTTACCTGTGTGACACTAACAAGCTTTGTAATTTTTCTAAGCCTTAGTTTCCTCATCTGTGAAACAGAAGTTGGCTAAGGTGACCACTAAGCTTCTTTCTAGTTGTAAAGTTAAATGAATCTGTGGTATTTTTATTGAGGCTTTACTTCAGTGCACAGCATGATGAATTTTTATATAAGAATATAACCAGGTAAATACCACTAGTTTGATATACAACATTTTCTCCACCATAACACATTTCCTTAAGTCCCTGCCAGTTGATACCTCCCCCAAACTAAACAATAACTGACCTATATAATCTTAGATTTGTTTGTGAACTTCATATAAACAGAATCATGCAGTACACACTCTTTTGGTGGGGTATTGTTTCCTAAATATTTTGTCTGAAAGATTCCCTCATGTTATCGCAAACAGTGGCAATTTGTTCTATCTATTTGCTCTCTTGTTTAAATATACCACTACTTACTTATCCATTCTACCATTGACCAAGGGTCTCCTCCCACCAATTTTGGCTATTACAAATAAAGCTGCTGTAAATACTCTTATACATATCTTTGGGTGGGTACATGCCATTTCTCTTGGGTAATTTCCCAGAAGTAGAATTTCTGGGTTACAATGTATATATATATTTACTTTAGTAGATCCTGTGAAAGAGGTTTCTAATGTGGTAGTTTTAACTTATCCTCCTGCTAGTAATATATGAGAGTTCCAAATTGCTTCATATGTTTGAGACAAGCTTAATCTTTATAAAGGAATTTTGTTTCATAAGCATCATAAGGTTATGGGAAATTTCACTCTGCCTTCAAAGCCCTTGGTTCCCTGGCCTACAATGGGTAGTGCCAGAATTCAACAAGAGTCCTCTAGGCAGAAACTGGCCTCATTTCCACTCAGTCCACCTGCCTGCCAAAATCCTTGCTGATATCATTTTCCTCCGACTTCACCCAGATAACACACTCTGGAAGGCGCTCCCCTGTTGCTGCAATTCCAGTTCATCTAACTCCTATTCCCTCTACTCCAATCTGCTTTATTTAAAGGCTGCTTTTTGTCATTTATTCACTCTTTTTTCTAACTGCAGGAGCATTGGACTACATCTTTTGGAGACCAGAGGTCCCCTGATTCTATGAATTCCTAATCCACATACTTTGGTACCAGTAATAATGTACCAGTTACAGATAGCATTTATGACATTGGGATCAAATATAGGAGCTAAAATCTGACTTTCACTTTGATTTGTTTCAGAATCATAACCTTGAAAGCAACCTTGAGAAACTACTTACTCCACTGATATGCTCTCTGATATACAGTGTTTTCTGGTGAGGAAATTTTGCCAGGATCATAGTCACTGAAAATTATGCTTGACATGGGTAATAAAGGAGCCCAATGTTATTAGGCAACAATTCTTCATCTCTTTTCTTTTTCATCCATCTTTTTGCTGTCCTCCTTTAATCTGTCTACACCAATCTCTTCCCCACCTCCACCAAGCTTCTGCCTCTTCATTCCTGAACAATTTTAAATACAACCGTGAAATAAAAGAAGTGAGTGAAAGAAAGAAAGGAAAAGAAGAGAAGAATGCTCAGATGAATGTGGAAAAGAGTAAGTTTTTTGCTCGATGTAGCAATGTGTATGAGTGTGCGTGCTCACAAGCACCATACACAGGTATATTTATGTGTATTGGGGTGTATTTGCTTTCAAGACCAAACATGTATATTTAGCATGAAATTAAGTAAATTTTTCGTAGTTTTGGTCTAAATGAAAAGTAACCCTATTTTGTAACCACAATGCACATAAATATTAAAAAGAAATATAGTTGATCCTTGAAAAATATGGATTTGAACTGAGTGGGTCCACTTGTACATGGATTTTTTTTTTCAACCAAATGTGGATCAAAAATACGGTATTCATGAGATTTGAAAACTGTGGGTATAGAAGGCCAACTTTGTATATTCAGATTTCACAGGGCCTGCAAATCTTGAGTATGCATAGAATTTGGTATAGTTGGGGAGTCCTGGACCCAGTCACCAACGCATGTAACTCAGCATGACTGTAATTTGCAGAAAATGTAGGTATTGAGAACCTCAATCTTTTTCAAAGATAGGCACTCTGTGGCATCGGAACAGTTAAAACTGGTGCAATTAAACACCAATTAAACAATTAAAATATATGATTTCCTGGAAATGCTAGCCAAACTTTCAAAGAGGATTCTTTATTTGAATTGAGTGATGAAGTCAATTTTGCTATGGTTTTAGGAAAAAAACAAAACAAAATCTCACACAATAAAAATACCCTCCATCATTTTGTAAAGTAGTTTTTCTTTTGTAGTAGCTTAGTATTCTGGTTTGTCTCAAATTGTTTATTTTTATTTTCATTAAATTAAAAGTTTATTGAAAATTAGCATTTATGTTGAAATAATATAAATGATTATAAATCACTCTGATGCTGACATTTGTTCAAAACTAATTAGATTTGTGACCTTAAGCAAATAACCTTACCTTTCTGGTGCTTGTTTATATTATTTCAGAGAAAAAGGATCATGATACCAGTTCCATTTTGGTAACAGAATGTTGGTATCATCAAATTAGGCCCTGTGGAGTTCCAAGCACTAAATGAATGGAAAACTATCTAGGCAAATGCATCCCTTAACACAGCTAGACAGCAATTACAGACTTACTATGTGGTTTCTTCACCTAGTAAATCAATCAAGATAAGCTTCTTTCCTAGACTAGTGGTAGAAAACCTGAATATTCTCCTCTACATCTGATTTGTGTTTTTTCTTAATCGTTCTTTTTTCTTGCCTTCCTACAATAGGGGTAATCTCCCACAAGGTCTTCTCATACCATGGGCATAATAGGGTGAGAATTATCAAAAGATTGATCCTGTGCAGGAAAGTTACAAGAAAATGTAATTTTTTTCTCCAATCCAATTCTCTTTATACTTCTTTCCATAAAGCTACATCCAATCTCTTAAAAGCTGTATCCTTTGGTTAAAGATCTAGTTATAGATCTCTTAGGACTGCCCCTTGTCCTTGACTCATGAAAACAAAACAAAACAAAACAAAAAAACACCTCTTTAGAATTGGAGAAAAAGTGTGTTGAGCTCCTTATAGAGGGAAAAACGTGTCATGTTAAGGGAGTTCATTTACAAATATAAGTGTGAATGGATGTGCTTAGAAAAGTTCAAAGTACCACACAAATTCATTGCATTGAGAACTTATGATCCTAGGCACTGTGTAAAAACCCTTATTTTCAGGATGGTTTTACGATGTAGGAAAGGGAAGAAAGGTAAATGTTCTTTATGCAAATGCTTACAATATAAAGTCAAAAGTAACAGACTTAATAAAATACAAAATGGTGAAGGAGACCAGAAATTTTCCATGGAGGAAAATATATTTCAATGGAATATTTAAGAACTATAGAAATGGAAGAAAAGAAAAACCATTGTTTTAAATAGACTTTCTAAATTACTGTCTTTAATTTTTTTTCAGTTTTCATATAACAAAAATAATTTGTAAATGGTAATGTTAAATAACAATTACAGGGAGTCATTGTTTTGGACTAAGCTCCTGCACTAGGTCCTCAATAGATCAGACTAAAAATAAAAATGAAGTCACCAATGCTCACCAAACCAAAAGTAAGTTGTTATCTTTTAAGAAATCAGGAGACATCAACAACAATTTTCCAAACAGGCCACTTTCAATGTTCGGTGGGCTTAATAATGACATTCTCTCTGTTTTAATCCTTGACTAACCTGAAGTAATCTTATGTTAATTAATCTATTATTTTTCTATTTTTCTGCCTGGCCATCCCCACCTGAAGAGGAAAGTAACTTTGAAATGACCAATCTGCTTTTTGTCCTTTGTATTTGCTTTCTTCAATCTTTTTTCTGTCTATAAAGTCAACAACGTTTACCCACTGGAACACTTATTCTATTTTATGGAATGAAGTGTTGGCCGACTCTAGGATTACAATAAAGCTAATTGAGATGTTTAGACTAAATTTGTTGTAATTTTGTTCTTCTGACAGTAGCCTCCCTCTTCCTGTCTGGCTCTATCTCCCGCCAGCTTCCACCCAACAATTTTATACTCTAGTAGTCCTAAAATACTTGCAATTTCTCTTTGATTTCACTTCTTTGTATCTGTGATCATGCAGATCTCTGTCTACCACAATTTCCTCAACCTCTTTTATCCTGGAAACTTTTATTCACCTTTATGAATCCCTTGAGCATCTTGTCTTTCTGGAAGTATTTATCACATCTCTACATTTTCATTATTTCAACACTTAGTCCTGTCTAAACACAGTTTTTTGTGTACTGAAAGCTCCCAGAGATGGCTTTATCGTATTACCTGCCATATATTCTTGCAATTATCTACTGAAGAGTCCATCTCCCCTGTTAGGATTTAGCTTATAAATCCTTGTAGGGCAAGCACCGTGACTTAATAATAATTTTTGTACTCACACTGTAGCACAGTGCCTTAAACATGATTCCTACTCACCAAATGTGGAATCGATTTGTACTTTCAAACTTCCCAATGTGTATTCTGAACTGAGCTGCTTTTTAGGCATGGGCACAGATGAAGGTGAGGGGGTCCCTTTTAGTCTGGTCTTTATTTTTTTATTTGTATATACAATCATGGGATGCAAGGGCAATTTTGCTACATTGATATATTGCATTGTGGTGAAGTTAGGGCCTTCAGTGTATTAATCACTGAAGCAAGCACATTCTACCCATCAGGCAACCTCCCATTACCCACCCCCTTCCAACGCCTCCAGCCTGCGAGTCTCCATTGTCCATCATTACACACCTGCTTCCGTGTGTGCACTTATTTAGCTCCTACGTCTAAGCAAGAACATGTGATGTTCATCCTTCTGTGTCTGAGTTGTTTCACTTAAGATAATGGCCTCCAGTTCCGTCCATCTTGCTGCAAAAGACATGATTTCGTTCTTTTTAAATGGCTAAATAGAGGCGGTTTCCATGGCCTCTACCACCACTTCCACTATCTCAGAGCTGGCCGCCACCACCATCACCTCTGCCGCTGCCTCCTTGGGACCCTCTTCCAGCTCATCCTCTGCCCCCTCTGCCCCTCTACACATTCTGGGCTCTCGGTCCTGGAGAAGAAGCTGTGTTCCATCTTCCTCGCGGCCCGGGGCGCAGCCATCGTGGTCGGTGGTGGTGGAGCTGGCCAGGCTTAGGCGGGAGGGCGGCCCCATCAACCCGCCTCGCTGCCTCCCGGGAACCCGCAGCTCGCTGCTCTCAGCCTGGAGCAGCTCAAGAGCCAGGCCCCCATGGACACCAAACCAGCTTACCAAAACCCGAGGCGGAAAGCTGAGCATTCGGTGTCTGTACACCTGGATGAGCAGGACTGGAATCCTACGATGCACAAAAGCCTATTGGGAAATGATCAGACGCAGAGTGAGGTTCAGTCAGGGACACTGGAAGCTGGAGTAGACAGGGTTATTTCTCAGACAGTGGATCCAAAATTAAACCACATCCTCAGGCCACCAGTGGAAGGAGCAATTCATGAGTTTCTGGAGGCCAGGAAAAAAAGCAGCAGCGCCAGCTCCCCGACCAGAGCCCAAAGGGCCAGGACACTCCAGCTCTACCCCAGAGCACTTCCCAAGAATATCCCTGACACCTTTTGAAAGTTACATTTGATTATTGGTGAAGAAGTGGCTTCGGTTACATAAAAGTGTGTATTAACCAGACTTCTCTAGAGGGACAGAACTAATAGGATAGATGTATATGTAAAGGAGAGTTTATTAAGGAGTATTAACTCACAGGATTGCAGGGTCCCACAACAGGTGGTCTGCAAACTGAGGAGCAAGGAAGTCAGTCCCAGTCCCAAAGCTGAAGAACTTGGAGTCTGATGTTTGAGGGCAGGAAGCTCCAGCACAGGAGAAAGATGTCGGCTCAGAGGCTAAGTCAGTCTACTCTTTTCACGGTCTTCTGCCTGCTTTTATTCTGGCAGTGCTGGCAGCTGATTAGATGGTGCCCACCCAGATTAAGGGTGGGTCTGCCTTTCCCATCCACTGACTCAAATGTTAATCTCCTTTGGCAACACCCTCACAGGCATACCCAGGAACAATACTTTGCATTCTTCTATCCGATCAAGTTGGCATTCAGTATTAACCATCACAAAGTGCAACTTCAGAATTAAAATGGAACAAAGTCTCACCGATTTCAAGATTTCAGCTTTGACTGTGGGCCATGTCCAGTTTGAATGGGGTGTGAGTTTGGCAGTGGGGAAGTTGACAGAGTGGTCCCCTGCATTGTGCTACCATTTGGCCAGCCTGTCCAAGGGTGCAGCACCCAGTAGACACTACAGAGATACAAAGAAACAATACAGCAACCTGGGGTTGTCCTGAAACAGACTTTTATACTTGAACATGGAGACTGTGCTTTATTTTATTATTTTTTATTTTTTTGGACAGAGTTTTGCTCTTGTCTCCAGGGCTAGAGTGCAATGTCGTGATCTCGGCTCACTGCAACCACTGCCTCCCAGGTTCAAGAGATTCTTCTGCCTTAGCCTCCTGAGTAGCTGGGATTACAGGCACCTGCCACCACGCCTGGCTAAATTTTTTGTATTTTTAGTAGAGACAGGGTTTCGCCATGTTGGCGAGGCTGGTCTTGAACTCCTGACCTCAGGTGGTCCACCCATCTCGACTTCCCAAAGTGCTGGGATTACAGGTGTGAGCCACTGCTCCTGGCTGAGACTGTGCTTTAAACTGGAGACTTTAGGGTTTGTGCTCTGAAATACACAAAAGCTACAGTGAGAGAACATAACCAGTCCCAAAGATAACTTCAAAGAACAATGACAATAAAGGTTGTCTGGGAGTAGTACTTGACAGTGCTTTTTTGATATTGTTTCCCAGAGTGGCAAACGAGATTGTACAGGCCGCATAGCTTTAAAGTTGTTGTAACTTTCTTGAACATGAATCTTCCAGACAGTTTCCTTTCCTTTGTAAGAGGTAATAAAACATGAAACCCTAGAATGTGTGAGGAAGTTCAGACATTTTAGGTATAAGGAAACACATTTGCAGGCTCTCTGTCCAGGGCTGCTTCCTGTTCTTCAAAGGCTAGTGAGTCTTGGGTGTGTTTATTTTATTCTCACATTTGTGTTTTTTAGAAAAGCAAATGGTAATAAATGGCTTATTTTTTATAATAAGAAAAAATGGCTAAATAGTATTTTGCTGTGTATATGCACCACATTTTCTTTATCCAGTCCTCCACTGATGGACACTTAGGTTGATTCCATATCTTTCCTATCTTGATGCTGCAATAGACATACAAGTGTAGATATCTTTTTGATATAATGATTTCTTTTCTTTTGTGTAGGTACCCAGTAGTGGGATTGCTGGATCATATAGTAGTCCTGTTTTTAATTCTTTGAGAAATCTCCACACTGTTTTTCGAAGAGTTTGTACTGTTCACTCTGTTGATTATTTCTTTTGCTTTGCAGAAGCCTTTTAGTTTAATTAAGTCTTATCTGTCTAATTTTATTGTTGATGCCTGTGCTTTTGAGGCCTTAGTCATAAATTATTTGCTTAAACTAATGTCTAGAAGAGTTTTCCCTAGATTTTCTTCTAGTATTTTTACAGTTTCAGGTCTTACATTTAAGTCTCTAATCCATCTTGAGTGGATTTTTGTGTATGGTGAGAGATAGGGGTCTAGTTTCATTCTTCTGCATATGGCAGTCCAATTTCTCTAGCATCATTTATTGAAAAAAGTGTCCTTTCCCCAGTGTACATTCTTATCAACTTTGTCAAAGATTAGTTGGCTCTAAGTATGTGGCCTTATTTCTCAGTTCTCTATTCTGTTCCATTAATCTATGTATGTATGTCTTTTTTTAAAAAAAAACAGTCCCATGCTCTTTTGGTTACTATGGCTTTGTAGTATAATTTGAAGTCAGGCAATGTGATGCCTTCGGCTTTGTTCTTCTTGCTTAGGTTTGCTCTGGCTATTTGAGTTCTTTTTGATTTCTAATGAACTTTATAATTTTTTTAATCATTCTGTGAAAAATGACACTGGTATTTTGATAGAGATTGAATTGAACTTGTAGATTGCTTTGGGCAGTATGGCCATTACAGCAATATTAATTCTTCCAATCTATGAGCATGGGATTTTTTTTTCATTTCTTTGTGTCACCTACAATTTCACCAGTGTTTTATAATTTTCCTTATAAAGATCTTTTACCTCCTTGGTTAAATATCTTTCTAGATTTTTTTTGTAGTTATTGTAAGTGGGATTGCTTTATTGATTCAGTCCTCGGCAAGATCATTATTGTTGTATAGAAACACTACTGATTTCTGTACATTGATTTGTATCCAGAAACTTTACTGAGTTCATTTATCAAATCGAAGAGTTTCTGATGGAGTCTTTAGACTTTTCTAGATAGAAGGTCTTATCATCAGCAAACAGGGAAAACACACCATTCTCTTTTCCAATTTTGATGCGTTTTATTTGTATTTCTTGCCCAATTGCTCTGACAAGGACTTCCAGTACTATGTTGAATAAGAGTAGTGAAAGTGGGCATCCTTGTCTTGTTTCACTTCTTAGAGGGAATGCTTTCACATATTCCCCATTCAATATGATGTTGCCTGTTGGGTTGTCATTAATGGGCATTATTATGTTAAGGTTTGTTATTTCTCTGCCTAATTTGTTGAAGATTTTTATCATGAATGGATGTTAAATTTTATCAGATGATTTTTCTGTGTCTATTGAGATAATCATATGGTTTTTGTCCTTAATTTTGTTTATGCAGTGTATCACATTTATTGATTTGCATATGTTGAAGCATCCTCACATCCCTAGGATAAATTCCATCTGATATGGTGTATTATCCTTTTGATGTGCTGTTGGATTGGATTTGCTAGTATTTTCTTGAGGATTTTGTGTCTATGTTCATCAGGTATGTTGGTCTGTAGTTTTATTTTTGTTGTATTTTTTTCTGGTTTTGGTATCAGGGTGGCCTCACAGAATGAGTTAGGGAGAATTCACTCCTCCTTGATTTTTCAGAATAGTTTCAGGAAGATTGGTATTAGTTCTTCATTGTATGTTTAATAGAATTCATACATATATCTGTGAATCCATCTGGTCCTGGGCTTTTTTCGGAGTGGGAAATTGTTATTACTGATTCAATCTCAATATTTGTTATTGGTTTGTTCACAAGTTCTATTTCTTTCTGGTTCAGTCTAGGGAGGTTGTATGTTTCCAGAAATTTATCCATTTCAGGTTTTCTAGTTTGTGAGCATATAGCTGTGCATAATAGTCTCTGATGATCTCACATTTATGTAGTATTAGTTGAAATGTTTCCTTTTTTCATTTCTGAACATTTTTATTTGGATGTTCTATCTTCTTGGTGAGTCTGCTAGTGGTTTATCAATTTTGTTTATCTTTTTGAGGAACCAACTTTTCATTTTGTTGATTCTTTTTTTTGTCTCTATTCCATTTAGTTCTGTTCTGATCTGTGTTATTCCCTTTCTTTTGCTAACCTGGGGTTTGGATTGATCTTGCTTTTCTATTTCCTTGAAGTGTGATGTTAGGTTGTTAATTTGTGCTCTTTCTACTTTTCTGATTAGGCATTTCATGGTATAAACTTCCCTCTTAGCACTGCGTTTGCTGTATCCCACAGGTTTTGGTATGTCATATTTTCATTTTTATTTATTTCCAAACAATTTAAATTTCTGTTTGAATTTCTTTGTTGACCCAATGATCATTCAGGAGCATGCAGCTTATTTCCATGTATTTGTACAGATTCCAAAGTTTCCCTTGGTATTGATGTCTGGCTTTATTCTACTGTGTCATGAGAAGATACTTGGTATGATTTTTAAAAATTTGTTAAGACTTATTTTGTGGCCAAACGTAGTCTATCTTGAAGAATGTTCCATCTACTGAAGAAAAAATGTATATTCTTCAGCTGTTGCACAGAATGTTCTGTAAATGTCTGTTAAGCCTATTTGGTCTACTGTCAGATTTAAGTCCAACATTTTTTGTTAATTTTCTGTCTTGATGATTTGTCTGCTGCTATGAGTGAGGTGTTGAATGCCCAACTATTACTGCATTTCTGTTTATCTACATATTTAGGTCTAGTAATAATTATTTTGTAAATTTGGGTGCTCTAATGTTAGATGCATATGTATTCAGGATTGTTATTGCCTCTCCTTGCTAAATTGATCCCTTTACCATTTTAATTTTAATACTTTTAATTTAAAGTCTGTTTTATCTTATTATTGTTATACTTTAAGTTCTAGGGTACATGTGCACAATGTGCAGGTTTGTTACATAGGTATACATGTGCCGTGTTGGTTTGCTTCACTCGTTAACTCGTCATTTACATTAGGTATTTCTCCTAATGCTATCCCTCCCCCAGCTCCCCACCTCCCAACAGGTCCCAGTATGTGATGTTCCCTGCCCTGTGTCCATGTGTTCTCGTTGTCCAAATCCCACCTATGAGTGAGAACATGCGATGTTTGGTTTTCTGTCCTTGTGATAGTTTGCTTAGAATGATGGTTTCCAGCTTCATCTATGTCCTTACAAAGGACATGAGCTCATCTTTTTTTATGGCTGCATAGTATACCATGGTGCATTATGTGCCACATTTTCTTAATCCAGTCTATCATTGATGGACATTTGGGTTGGTTCCAAGTCTTTGCTACTGTGAATACTGCCACAATAAACAAACGTGTGCATGTGTCTTTATAGTTGCATGATTTATAATCCTTTGGGTATATAACCAGTAATGGGATCGCCGGGTCAAATGGTATTTCTAGTTTTAGATTCTTGAGGAATTGCCACACTGACTTCCACAATGGTTGAACTAATTTACACTCTCACCAACACTGTAAAAGCGTTCCTATTTCTCCACATCCTCTCCAGCATCTGTTGTTTCCTGACTTTTTAATAATCGCCATTCTATGAGATGGTATCTCATTGTGGTTTTGATTTGCATTTCTCTGATGACCAGTGATAATGAGCATTTTTTCATGTGTCTGTTGGCTGCATAAATGTCTTCTTTTGAGAAGTGTCTGTTCATATCCTTTGCCCAATTTTTGGTGGGATTGTTTGTTTTTTTCTTGTAAAATTGTTTAAGTTATTTGTAGATTCTGGATATTAGCCCTTTGTCAGACGGGAAGATTGCAAAGATTTTCTCCCATTCTATAGATTGCTTGTTCATGCTGATGATAGTTTCTTTTGCTGTGCAGAAGCTCTTTAGTTTAATTAGATCCCATTTGTCTATTTTGGCTTTTGTTGCCATTGCTTTTGGTGTTTTAGTCATGAAGTCTTTGCCAATGCCTATGTCCTGAATGGTATTGCCTAGGATTTATTCTAGGGTTTTTATGGTGTTAGGTCTTATATTCAAGTCTTTAATCCATCTTGAGTTAATTTTTGTATACAGTGTAAGGAAGGGATCCAGTTTCAGCTTTCTACATATGGCTAGCCAGTTTTCCCAGAATCATTTATTAAATAGGGAATCCTTTCCTCATTTCTTGTTTTTGTCAGGTTTGTCAAAGATCAGATGGTTGTAGATGTGTGGTGTTATTTCTGAGGACTCTGTTCTGTTCCATTGGTCCATATATCTGTTTTCATACCAGTACCATGCTGTTTTGGTTACTGTAGCCTTGTAGTATAGTTTGAAGTCAGGTAATGTGATACCTTCAGCTTTGTTCTTTTGGCTTAGGATTGTCTTGGCTATGAGGGCTCTGTTTTGGTTCCATATGAAGTTTAAAGTAGTTTTTTCCAATTCTGTGGAGAAAGTCATTGGTAGCTTGATGGGGATAGCATTGAATCTATAAATTACCTTGGGCAGTATGGCCATTTTCACAATATTGATTCTTTCTATCCATGAGCACGGAATGTTCTTCCATTTGTTTGTGTCCTCTTTTATTTTGTTGAGCAGTGGTTTGTAGTTCTCCTTGAAGAGGTCTTTCACATCCCTTGTAAGTTGGGTTCCTAGGTATTTTATTCTATTTGTAGTAATTGTGAGTGGGAGTTCACTCATGATTTGGCTCTGGTTGTCTATTATTGGTGTATAGGAATGCTTGTGATTTTTGCACATTGATTTTGTATCCCGAGTCTTTGCTGAAGTTGCTTATCAGCTTAAGGAGATTTTGGGCTGAGATGATAGGGTTTTCTAAATATACGATCATGTCATCTGCAAACAGGGACAATTTGACTTCCTCTTTTCCTAATTGAATACCCTTTATTTCTTTCTCTTGCCTGATTGCCCTAGCCAGAGCTTCCAACACTATGTTGAATAGGAGTGTTGAGAGAGGGCATCCTTGTCTCGTGCCAGTTTTCAAAGGGAATGCTTCCAGTTTTTGCCCATTCAGTATGATATTGGCTGTGGGTTTGTCATAAATAGCTCTTATTATTTTGAGATACGTTCCATCAATACCTAGCTTATTGAGAGTTTTTAGCATGAACTGGTGTTGAATTTTGTGGAAGGCCTTTTCTGCATCTATTGAGATAATCATGTGGTTTTTGTTGTTGGTTCTGTTTATGTGATGGATTACATTTATTGATTTGAGTATGTTGAATCAGCCTTGCATCCCAGGGATGAAGCCAACTTGATTGTGGTAGATAAGCTTTTTGACGTGCTGCTGGATTTGGTTTGCCAGTATTTTATTGAGGATTTTCGCATCGATGTTCATCAGGGATATTGGCCTAAAATTCTCTTTTTTTTGTTGTGTCTCTACCAGGCTTTGTTAACAGGATGATGCTAGCCTCATAAAATGGGTTAGGGAGGATTCCCTCTTTTTCTATTGATTGGAATCTTTTCAGAAAGAATGGTACCAGCTCCTCTTTGTACTTCTGGTAGAATTTGACTGTGAATCCAACTGGTCCTGGACTTTTTTTGGTTGGTAGGCTATTAATTATTGTTTCAATTTCAGAACATGTTTTTGGTTTATTCAGCGATTCAACCTCTTCCTGGTTAAGTCTTGGGAGGGTGTATTTGTCCAGGAATATATCTATTTCTTTTAGATTTTCTATTTTATTTGTGTAGAGGTGTTTATAGTATTCTCTGATGGTAGTTTGTATTTGTGGGATCGGTAGTGACATACCCTTTATCATTTTTTATTGCATCTATTTGATTCTTCTCTCTTTTCTTCTTTATTAGTCTTGCTAGTGGTCTATCTATTTTGTTGATCTTTTCCAAAAACCAGCTCCTGGATTCATTGATTTTTTTGGAGGGTTTTTTTTTGTCTCTATCTCCTTCAGTTCTGCTCTGATCTTAGTTATTTCTTGCCTTCTGCTAGCTTTTGAATGTGTTTGCTCTTGCTTCTCTGGTTCTTTTAATTGTGAAGTTAGGGTGTCGATTTTAGATCTTTCCTGCTTTCTCCTGTGAGCATTTAGTGCTATAAATTTCCCTCTACACACTCCTTTAAATGTATCCCAGAGATTCTGGTACATTGTGTCTTTGTTCTCATTGGTTTCAAAGAGTATCTTTATTTCTGCCTTCATTTTGTTATTTACCCAGTAGTCATTCAGGATCAGGTTGTTCAGTGTCCATGTAGTTGTGTGGTTTTAGGTGAGTTTATTAACTCTGAGTTCTAGCTTGATTGCACTGTGGTCTGAGAGACAGTTTGTTGTGATTTCTGTTCTTTCACGTTTGCTGAGGAGTGTCTTACTACCAATTATGTGGTCAATTTTAGAATAAGTGTGATGTGGTGCTGAGAAGAATGTATATTCTGTTGATTTGGGGTGTAGAGTTCTGTAGATGTCTATTAGGTCTGCTCGGTCTAGAGCTGAGTTCAATTCCTGGAAATCCTTGTTAACCTTCTGTCTTGTTGATCTGTCTGATATTGACAGTTAGGTGTTAAAGTCTCCCATTATTATTGTATGGGAGTCTGTCTCTTTGTAGGTCTCTAAGGACTTGATTTATGAATCTGAGTGCTCCTGTATTGGGTGCATATATATTTAGGACAGTCAGCTCTTCTTGTTGAATTGATTCCTTTACCATTGTGTAGTGGCCTTGTTTGTCTCTTTTGAAATTTGTTGGTTTAAAGTCTGTTTTATCAGAGACTAGGATTGTAACCCCTGCTTTTTTTGGTTTCCGTTTGCTTGGTAGCCCTTCCTCCATCCCTTTATTTTGAGCCTATGTGTATCTTTGCACGTGAGGTGGGTCTCCTGAATATAGCACACTGATGGGTCTTGACTCTTTATCCAATTTGCCAATCTGTGTCTTTTAATTGGGGCATTTAGTCCATTTACATTTAAGATTAATATTGTTATGTTTGAATTTGATCCTGTCATTATGATGCTAGCTGGTTATTTTGCCCATTAATTGATGCAGTTTCTTCATAGCATCGATGGTCCTTACCATTTGGCATGTTTTTGCAGTGGCTAGTACCAGTTGTTCCTTTCCATGTTTAGAGCTTCCTTCAGGAGCTCTTGTGAGGCAGACCTGGCGGTGTCAAAATCTCTCAGCATTTGCTTGTCTGTAAAGGTTTTTATTTCTCCTTCACTTATGAAGCTTTGTTTGGCTGGATATGAGATTCTAGGTTGAAAGTTCTTTTCTTTAAGAATGTTGAATATTGGCCCAAACTCTCTTCTGGCTTGTAGAGTTTCTGCCGAGAGATCAGCTGTTAGTCTGATGGGCTTCCCTTTGTGGGTAACCCGACCTTTCTCTCTGGCTGTCCTTAACATTTTTTCCCTCATTTCAACCTTGGTGAATCTGACAATTATGTGTCGGGAGGTTGCTCTTCTCGAGGAGTATCTTTGTGGTATTCTCTGTATTTCCTGAATTTGAATGTTGGCCTGCCTTGCTAGGTTAGGGAAGTTCTCCTATATATACTGAAGAGTGTTTTCTAACTTGGCTCCATTCTCCCTGTCACTTTCTGGTACACCAGTCAAATGTATATTTGGTCTTTTCACATAGTCCTATATTTCTTGGAGGCTTTGTTCGTTTCTTTTCACTTTTTTTCTCTGATCTTGTCTTCTCACTTTATTTCATTAGTTTGATCTTCAATCACTGACATCCTTTCTTCCACTTGATCGAATCAGCTATTGAAGCTTGTGCATGCATCACAAAGCTCTCGTGCCATGGTTTTCAGTTCCATTAGGTCATTTAAGCTTTTCTCTACACTGTTTATTCTAGTTAGCCATTCGTCTAACCTTTTTTTAAGGGTTTTAGCATTCTTGCAATGGGTTAGAACATGCTTCTTTAGCTCGGAGAAGTTTGTTATTACCGACCTTCTGAAGCCTACTTCTGTCAACTCGTCAAACTCATTCTCCATCCAGTTTTGTTCCCTTGCTGGCGAGCAGCTGTGATCCTTTGGAGGAGAAGAGGCACTCTGTTTTTTGGAATTTTCAGCTTTTCTGCTCCGGTTTTTCCCCATCTTTGTGGTTTTATTTACCTACGGTCTTTGATGTTGGTGACCTACAGATGAGGTTTTGGTGCGGATGTCCTTTTTGTTGATGTTGATGGTATTCCTTTCTGTTTGTTAGTTTTCCTTCTAACAGTCAGGCCTCTCAGCTTCAGGTCTGTTGGACTTTGCTGGAGGTCCACTCCTGACCCTGTTTGCCTGGGTATCACCAGCAGAGGCTGCAGAACAGCAAATATTGCTTCCTGATCCTTCCTCTGGAAGCTTCGTCCCAGAGGGGCACCTGACTGTTTGAGGTGTCTGTCAGCCCCTACTGGGAGGTGTCTCCCAGTCAGGCTACATGGGGGTCAGGGACCCACTTAAGGAGGCAGTCTGTCTGTTCTCAGAGCTTGAATGCTGTTCTGAGAGAACCACTGCTCTCTTCAGAGCTGTCAGACAGGGACATTTAAGTCTGCAGAAGCAGTCTGCTGCCTTTTGTTCTTCTATACCCTGCCCCCAGATGTGAAATCTATGGAGGTAGTAGGTCTTGCTGAGCTGTGGTGGACTCCACCCAGTTCATGCTTCCTAGCTGCTTTGTTTACACTGTAAGCTACTCAAGTCTAGCAATGGCAGGTGCCCCTCCCTCACGTCAAGCTGCAGCGTTGCAGGTTGATCTCAGACTGCTGTGCTAGCAGTGAGCAAGGCTCCATGGGCATGATACCTGCTAAGCCAGGCACAGGAGGATATCTCTTGGTCTGCCAGTTGCTAAGACTGTGGGAATAGCACAGTATTTGGTCAGGGGTGTACTGTTTCTCCAGGTACAGTCTGTCATGGCTTCCCTTGGCTAGGCAAGGGAAATCCCCCAACCCCTTGCGCTTCCTGGGTGAGACAATGCCCTACCCTGCTTCAGCTTGCCCTCTGTGGGCTGCACTCACTCTCCAACCAGTCCCAATGAGATGAACCAAGTACCTCAGTTTGAAATGCAGAAATCACCTGCCTTCTGCATCAATCTCACTGGGAGCTGCAGACAGGAGCTGTTCCTATTCGACCATCTCAGAAGCCTCCTCCCTGAAGTCTGTTTTATCTTATATAAGTATAGCTATTCCTCTATGCTTTGGTTTCTGTTTCATGGCATATCTTTTTCACCCCTTTACTTCCAGTCTATATGTGTCTTTATGAGTAAAGTGAGTTTCTTATAAGCAACATATAGTTAGATCATGCTTTTTAAAATCCATCCTGCCAATCTATAAGGGGAACATTTAATCCATTTATATTCAAGGTTAATATTTATATGGGAGGCTTTTTTTCTGTCATATTGTTAACTGATTTCAAATTATTTTATAAATTCCTTGTTCCTTTATCTCTTTTTGTCATTGTTTGAAGGTCTTTCGTGTTACCATTTGATTTCTATCTCTTTCTCCTTTGTGTGATTGATTTATAAGACCTATTAGTTTTATATTTACATGCTAGTGAATATTGACCATTTATTTCTGTTTAAGACCCCTTTGAACATAACCTGTAGGTCTGGTCTAGTGTTGACAAATTCCCTCTGTATTCTCTTGTCTTGGAAATACTTTATTTCTCCTCCATTTATAAAGACTATTCTTGCAGGATACAAAATTTTTGGCTAATGCTTTTTTTTCAGAGCTTTAAAAATGCATTCCATTTTCTTCTAGATTATAATGTTTCTGCTGAAAATTCCACCATTAGTCTAATAGGGTTTTCTTTATAGTAAATAGGTGCTTATCTCTTGCTAATTTTGAAATTCTTTTTTAAACTTTGACTTGTGATGAAGTCCTTTTTGCAGTGTATTTTGCTGAGGATTGCTGGGACTGCTGTATTTGGACATCTAGTTCTCATGATAGACTTGGGAAGCTTTCATTGATAATTTCCTTAAATAGTTTCTCTAAACTTTCTGGTCTCTCTTCTCCCTTGAGAATACCACAAATTTGTAGTTTGGTTGCTTTATATAGTTGCAGATATTTCAAAGACTTTGTTCATTCTTTTCTATTATTTTTTCCTTATTTTTATCTGACTGGAGTGTTTCAGAAGCCCTCTCTTCAATTCCTGAGATTCTTTCTTCTGTTTGGTCTAGTTTATTATTGAAGTTTTCAAATATATGTTGTATGTCTTTTAATAAAATTTTTAGTTCCAGAACTACTTCTTCTATTTTCTAAGCTATTATCTTTTTGGTAATTTTCTCATTCACATTGTGAATTGATTTTCTTACTTCTTTGTATTGGTTTTCAGATTTCTCTTGCATCTCATTGAACTTCTTTATAATCTATACTTTGTATTCATTTTCTGGCATTTCAAGGAACTCTTTTTGATTAAAAGTCTAAGCACACATGTTCTAGAAAGACCAACCCAACCTAGACGGCAAAGGCTGGAATAAATAATATTTCAAAAAATTGTGGCTGGACAATTTTTGTAGTTTTTTAGTGATGTCATGTTTTCTTGCTCTTTCCTGTTTCCTGTGTCCTTCCATTGATATCTATGCATCTTGTGTAGCAGTCACTTGTACCATTTTTTGGAAATTGCCTTTGTAGGGGAGAATTTTTCCTGAAGATATGTATGTGTTGTTTTTTGTGTAAGATAATGTGTCTTTAATTTTAGGTGCCTATAGTAGTCTGATCTTTTTATGACTTCTTTGGCAGCCCACCGAACCAGTGGTATCTGTGATTTCTTTGTGTGTGTGTGACATAGTGTACAGTTAGTTTGGGTTCTGGTGAAGTTTTGTTGGGGACTTGGATGCCAACTGAGCTTGTCTTTGGGCCATCTTGGTGGCAGAAGTGGGCTGAGTGGACCTGTTCTTAAGCCCCAGAGCAGCTTACACCGACTCTGGTGTTAGTGGGTCCTGAAAGGCCTATTTTGAGGTCCCCACATGGTTAGCCTAGAAGTGTCTTGTGGGAGCAGTGGGACAGGTGTGTGGGAGAGTTCTCAGGCTCTGGTATGGATGTTGACAGTAGCAATGGTGGAGCAACTCACTGGGACCCAAGCAGTCTTTCTTGCTATTGTTGGTAGCTGTTGATGGGTTGGGTGGGCTAATCCATCTAGGCATGGACTCCTACCCAGCATCCCCACAGAACCAGGGAATCTACTCACCATTCAGGTGGGCAGTACTTGGAACTTTTGCAGGAGCTTCAGAAAACCTTAGCTTAGGGTGTCATCTAGTGCTGAAAAAGATATAGTGATCTAGGGCTAAGGGAATGAAGAGGCAAACTGTATAGGAAGTCTAAGCACACTTGTGCTCGGAAGACCAACCCAACCTAGACAGCAAAGGCTGGAATAAATAATATTTCATTGTGAAGACATAGAAGTACATCTGTAAGAAACAACAGCAATCGAGAAACCATGAACTCTCTGAATGCACAAAGCAAGAAGCCAGTGACTGACTTAAATGAAATGGAGCTATGTGAGCTCTAAGATCTAGAGTTCAAAATTGTATTTCTTTTTACAAAACCCATTGAACTGCAAGATAACACAAAAAAGCAATTCAGAAAATTGACAGAGGAATTTAACAAAGAGATGGTGATTTTTAAAAAATCCAACAGATATCCTGGAACTGAGAAATACATTAGCTGAACTAAAAAAAAAATGCATCAGAGGTTCTCAATAATAGAATTGATCAAGCAGAAAAAAAATAGTGAGCTTGAAGACAGGCTATTTGAAAATACATAGCCAGAGAAGAAAAAAGTTAAAAGAATGAAAAGGAAATAAGAGTTCTATGAGATCTAGAAAATAACCTCAAAAGAGGAAATATAAGAGTCACTGGCCTGCAAGAAAGAGTTGAGAAAAAGCAAGACATAGAAAGCTTACTCAAAGTATTAATAACAAAAAACATTTGAAACCTAGAGAAAGATATGAATATCCAGGTACAGAAAGGTCAAAGTTCACCAAACAGATTTGACCCAAATAAAACTATCCCAAGGCAGAGAATGATTGAAGTCTCAAAATTCAAGGACAAAGAGATGACTCTAAAAGCAGCAAGAGGAAAGAAGCACATCACATGTGAAGAAGGATTGATTAACCCAGCAAACATCTCTGAGGAAACTGTACAGACCAGGAGGAAGTGCAATAACATATTTAAAGTACTGAATAAAAAGGGAAACCCTGTTAACTGAGAATACTGTACCCAGCAAAACTTTCCCTCAAACATAAAGGAGAGAGAAAGATTTTTCCAGACACAGAAAATCTGAGGGAATTATTCATCACCAGAACTGTCTTACAAGAAATGCTAAAGGATTTTGTCAATCTGAAAGAAAGACATTAAAGTGTAACAAGAAAATAATCTGAAGGTATAAAATTTACTGGTAATAGTAAATTCACAGATAAATTCAGAATACTCAAAAACCGTAATTGTGCTGTGTAAGCCACTCATATCTCTCATATGAAGATAATAGACAAATCTATTAGTCTGTTCTCATGTGACTATAAAGAACTACCTGGGACTGGGTAATTTATGAAGAAAATGAGTTTACTTCACTCACAGTCCTGCATGTCTGGGGAGGCCTCAGTAAACTTGCAATAATGGTGGAAGGTGAAAGGGAAGCAGGCACATCTTCACATGGACAGCAGGAGAGAGAGTGTGAAAAGGGATAAGTGCTACACACTTTCAAATAACAAGATCTTGTGAGAACTCTATTACAAGAACAGCAAGGGGGAAGTGTGCCCCCATGATTCGATCACTTCCCACCAAGTGCCTCCTCCAACAATGGAGATTGCAGTTCAACATGATATTTGTTTGGGGACAAAACATATTATTCCTCCCCTGGCCTTTCTCAAATCTCATGTCCTTCTCACTTTACAAAACACAATAATGCCTTCCCAACAGTCCCTCAAAGTCTTAACTCATTCCAGCATGAACTCAAAAGTCCAAGTCCAAAGCCTCATCAGAGACAAGGCAAGTTGCCTCCTATGATCCTGTAAAATAAAAAACAAGTTGGTTACTTCCAAGATACAATGGGGTCAGGCACTGGGTAAATGTTCCCATTCAAAAAGGGAGAAATTGGGCAAAACAAAGGGGCTACAGGCCCCATGCAAGTCCAGAATTCAGTAGTGCAGTCATTAAATCTCAAAGCTCCAGAATAATCTTTTTTGACTGCACATCTCACATCTAGGTCACACTGATGCAAGTGGTGGGCTCCCATGGCCTTGGGCAGCATCATCATGTGGCTTTGCAGGGTACAGTCCACACAGCTGCCTCCATGAGCTGGCAGTGAGTACCTGCAGGTTTTACAGGTGCACGGTGCAAGCTGTCAGTGGATCTACTGTTCTGGGATCTGGAGGATGGTGGCCCTCTTCTCACAGCTCCACTAGGCAGTGCCACAGTGGAGACTCTCTGTGGGGGCTCCAACCTCACATTTCCCTTTCGCACTGTTCTAGTATAGGTTCTCTACAACAGCTCTCCCCCTGCAGTAGACTTGTGTCTGGACATCCAGGCATTTTCATACATCCTCTGAAACCTAGGTGGACTCTCCTAGGCCCTAACTCTTGCCCTCTGCACATCCACAGGCTTAACACCACATGGAAGCCATCAAGGCTTGGGACTTGCACTCTCTGAAGCAGTGGCCTGAGATGTATATGGGGCCCTTTTACTTGTGGTTGGAGCTGGAACAGCTATGACAAAGGGCACCATGTCCTAAAGGCTGCACAGAGCAGCAGGTCCCTGGGCTTGGACCATGAAACCATTTTTTCCTCCTATGCTCCCAGGGCTGTGACGGGAAGGGCTACTACAAAGGTCTCTGAAATGCCTAGGAGGCATTTTCCCCATTGTCTTGACTACTAACATTAGGCTCCTCTTTACTTATGCAAACGTCTGCAGCAGGCTGGAATTCCTCCCCAGAAAATGAGTTTTTATTTCCTACCACATGGCCAGGCTGTGAATTTTATGAATTTCTATGCACTGCTTTCCTTTTAAATATAAGTTCCAGTTTCAGATAACTCTTTTTTCATGCCTATGAGTATAGGCAGTTAGAAACAGCCAGGCCACCTCTTGAATGCTTTGCTGCTTAGAAACTTCTTCTGCCAGGTACCCTAAATTATCTTTCTCAAGTTCAAAGTTCTATAGATCTCTAGCCCATGGGCACAATGCCACCAGTCTGTTTGCTAAAGCATAGCAATAGTGACCTTTAGTTCAGGTCCCAATAAGTTTTTCATCTCCGTCTGAGACCACCTCAGCCTGCACTTCATTTTCCATATCACTATTAGCATTTTGGTCACAATCATTTAACAAGTCTCTAGAAATTTTCAAACTTTTCCTCATCTTCCTGTCTTCTTCTGAGCCCTCCAAACTCTTCTGCCTATTACCCAGTTCCAATGCTGCTTCCACATTTTCATGTGTCTTTATAGCAATGCCCCAACTCCTGGTGCTAATTTTCTGTATTAGCCTATTTTCACACTGCTATAAAGATATAAATCAGACTGGGTAATTTATGAAGAAAAGAGATTTAATTGACTCACAGTTCCACAGGCTGTACAGGTAACATGGCTGGGGAGGTCTTAGGAAACTTACAGTCATGTCAGAAGGTGAAGGGGAAGCAGGCACATCTTCACATGCCTGGAAGGAGAGAGAGAGAGAGAGAAAAAATGGGGAAGTGCTACACACTTTCAAACAACCAGATCTCATGAAAACTCACTCATTATCATGAGAACACAGCAAGGGGGAAATTTGTCCCCATGACTCGATTACCTACCACCAAGCCTCTTCCCCAGCATTGAGGATTACAATTCAACATGAGATTAGGGTGGGGACATGGAGCCAAACCATATAAACAAATATACCACAACAATAACCACAACAATTTGTTATGAAATACACAATATTAGAAGAGGTAAATTGAGACAAGAAAGAGTGAAAATGTAAGGGCATGTAGTTAAAGTGTAAATATTTTTAGCTTTTTCTTTCTTCTTTTTTTGTATTCATTTTTTGTGATCAAAGTTAAGTTGTCTTTCATTCCAAGTAACTCGTTATACCTGTAAGACTTTTTTAAGCCTCATTGCAACCACAGAGCAAAAACTTGTAATAGATACATTAAAATAAAAAGCAAGGAATAAAAATATACTACCAGAGAAAATCACATAGTTGCATAATGGAGTAGGTAAATGGATAAGAAAAAACAAGACCCAACTATATGTGGTCTACAAGAAACTCACTTCACCTGCAAAGACATGCATAGACTAAGTGAAAAAATGAAAAAGATGTTTCATGCAAATGGAAACCAAAAAAGAGCAGGATTAGCTATATTTACATCAGATAAAACAGATTTCAAGTCCAAAACTGTAAAAAGAGACAAAGAATGTCATTATATAATGATAAAGAGATAAATTCAGCAAGAGGATATAACAATTATAAATAAATGTACCCCCATTACTAGTGCAAACAAAATATATAAAGAAAATATTAATAGACCTAAAGGAAGAGATTGACTACAATACAATAATAATAGTAGATTTCAACATACCACTTTCAGTAATGGACAGGGCATCCATACAGAAAATTAACAAAGAAACATTAGAGTTAAACTATGTCATAGACCAAATGGATCTAAATCACATTTAAACACATGTTATTCAACATCTCTACAATATACATTTTTCTCATCAGCACATGAAATGTGCTAGGACAGATCATATATTAGGTCACAAAACAAGTCTGAGCAATTTCAAAAAATTTAAAATTATATGTAAGTATCTTTCTTGACTACAATGGAATAAAACTAGAAATCAACCAGAGTTAGTTTGGAAACTGTACATGGAAATTAAGCCACATGCTCCTAATGATCATTGTGTCAATGAAAAAATTTTAAAATGTGTTAATATAAAAATGAAAACACAACATATGAAAACTTTTGGGATACAGAAGAAACAGTACTAAGAGGGAAGTTTATGGCCATAAACACCTACATTAAAAAAGTAGAAAGACTTCAAATAAACAACCTAACGATGCACCCAAAGGAGCTAGAAAAGCAAGAACAAATAAAACCCAAAATTAGTAGAAGGAAAGAAATAATAAAAATCAGAGCAGAAATAAATAAAATTGAGACTACAAAGCAACACAATAGAAAAAAAAATGAAAAGTTGATGTTTTGAAAAGATAAACAAAATTGACAAACCTGTAACTAGACTAAGGAAAAAGAGAAGACTCAAACAAAAGCAGGAACAAAAAGGAGACATTACAACTGACACTACAGAAATAGAAAGTATTACCAGAGATGATTATGAACAATTACATAGAAACAAATTGGAACACCTAGAAGAAATGTATAAGTTATTGGAAGCATATAACCTTCAAAGATTGAACTATGAAGAAATAGAAAGCCTGAACAGACTAACAACAAGTAAAAATATCAAAGTAGTGATAAAAAAAGGTCTCCCATCAATGGAAAGTCCAGAACCAAATGGCTCCACAGCTGAATTCTACCTTAGCCAAAAGGCTAAGAAGCAATTCCACTGCTGAATTTTATCAAACATTTAGAGAATTAATGCCAATCCTACTCAAACTATTTCAAAAAATTGAAGAGAAGAAAATAGTTGCAAAATTGTTCTATGACACCAGCATTACGCTGATACCAAAGCCAGGCAAGGACAAACACAAAAAAGAAAAAAGAAAACACAAAAAAGAAAACTACAGGCCAAAATCCTTGACAAACATAGATACAGAAATCCTCAACAAAATACTAGCAAACAGAATTCAACAACACATTAAAAATATCATTCATCATGACCAAGTGGGATTCATCCCAGGAATGCAATGATGGTGGAAAATATGCAAATTCAGTTAATGTGATACATCACATTAACATAATCAAGGACAAAACCATAAAACCAATTTAATAGATGCTGAAAAAACATCCAATAAAGTTCAATATTCTTTCATGATAAAAACTCTGAACAAATCAGGTATAGAAGGAACATACATCAACATGATAAAGACCATATATGACAAGCCCACAACTAATAATATACTGAATGAGGAAAAATTTAAAACCTTTTCTCTAAGATCAAGAATAAGACAAGGATGCCCACTTTCACCATTTGTATTCGACATAGTACTGGAAGTCCTAGTCAGAACAATTAAGCACCAGAAAGAAATAAAGAGCATCCAAATTGAAAAGGAAGGAGTCAAATTATTCTTGTTTGCAGACAACATAATTTTATATTTTAAAAAACCTAAAGCCTCCACTAAAAATTGTTATAACCGATAAACAAATTCAGTAAAGTTGAAGGATGCAAAATGAAAATACAAAAATCAGTGTGATTTGTATATGCCAACAGCTAACAATAGAAAAACTCAAAAAGGCAATCACATTTACAATAGCTACAAATATTTAAATATGTAGGAATTAATTTAACCACAGGAGTGAACAATCTCTACAAATAAAATTATAAAACACTCATGAAAAAAGTCAAGTAAGACATTAAAAAAGGTCCTATGCTCATGGACTAGAAGAATTAATATTATTAACATATCTATACTACCCAAGGCAATCTATAGATTCAATGCAATCTCCGTGAAAGTACAAATGACATTCTTTACAGAAATAGAAAAAACAATCCTAAAAATTGCATGGAGCTACAAAAGCCCCAAATAGCCAAAGCAATCCTGAGCAAAAGGAATTAAACTGGAAGCACTGTACTACATGCCTTCAAAATATACCCTGAAGCCATAATGACCAATACTTCGTAGTGCTGGCTTAAAAACAGATATATAGACCAATAGAAAAGAATAGAGAACTTAAAAATAAATCCACACATTTACCACCAACTCATTTTTGACAAAGGCACCAAGAAAATGCATTGGGGGAAAACAGTCTTTTCTTCAGTCATTTGAATAGCGTTAGAAAAGCTGGATAACCATATGCAGGAGAATGAAACTAGACCCCTAAACTAGATCTCTCACCATATTCAAAAGTCAAGTCAAATTAATGTGGGTTAAAGACTTAAATCTAAGATCTAAAACTATAAAACCACTAGAAAAAACACTGGGGAAATGCTTCAGGATGTTAGTCTGGACAAATATTTTTGGAGTAAGACCTCTAAAGCACTGGAACAAAAACAAAAATAGAGAAATGAGATTACATCAAGCAAAAAAGCTTCTGCACAGCAAAGGAAACAGTCAATAGACTGAAGACAACTAACAGCATGGAAGAAAATATTTGCAAACCATTCATCTGCCAAGGGATTAATAATCAGGATACACAGGTAACTCAAACAACTGAACACCAAAAATTAAATAACCTGATTAAAAGCTAGAAATAATCTGAATAGAAATTTCTCAAGAGAAAACATACAAATGGCCATTAAAGGCTGGCTGTGGTGACTCACACCTGTAATCCCAGCACTTTGGGAGGCTGAGGCAGAAGGATAGCATGAAGCCAGGAGTTTGAGAGTAGCCTGGGCAACATAGCAAGACCTCATCTCTACAAAAAAATTTAAAACATTAGCTGGATGTGGTGGCATGCACCTGTAGTCCTAGCTTCTCAGGAGGCTGAGACAGGAATATCCCCTGAACTTAGGAGATGGAGACTGCAGTGAGCTATGATTGTGCCACTGCACTTCAACCCGAAGAGCAAGACCCTGTCTCAAAACAAAACAAAACAAAAGAAACAAACAAAAACAAACCAAACAAAAAAATTACCCGTAGGTATATGAAAGAATGGTCACTAATCAGGGAAATGCAAGTCAAAATCAGCAAGGATATGGCGAAAGGGGAAATCTTATACACTGTTGGAGGGAATGTAAATTGGTACAACTATTGTTAGTTGAAGTATAGAGGTTCCTCAAAAAACTAAAAACAGAACTACCATATGATCCAGCAGTCTAACTGCTTGATATATATCCAAAAGAAAGGAAATCAGCATATTTGAAGCAATATATACACTCTCATGTTTATTGCAGCATTATTCACAATAGTCAAGACATAGAATCAACCTAAGTGTCCATCAGTGGATAAATGAATAAAGAAAATGTGGTGTATGTATGCAATGAAATGTTATTCAGTGATAAGAAAAAATAATGAAATTTTGCTATTTAAAGCAAGACTGATGGAACTGGAAGGTATTATGTTAAATGAAATTAGCCAGTCACAGAAAGACATATATTACATGTTTTTACTCATATGTGGGAGGTTTTTTAGCTTTTTTAGCTCCCACATAAGAGTAAAAAAAGTTGAAAAGTTGAAAAAAAGTTGATCTCATGGAGGTAGAGAGTAGAATGATGGTTACCAGTGGCTGGGAAAGTTAGGAGGAGTGCAGGGGTGAAGAAAAGTTGGTTAATGGGTATAAAAACAGTCAGTTCGAAGTCATTTCTAGTGTTCAATAGCATAGTAGAGTGACTATAGTTAACAATAATTTATTGTATATTTCAAAGTAGCTAGAAGAGTTGGAATATTCCCAAGACAAAGTAATTTCAATGTTTGAGGTGATGGATACCCCAATTATTCTGATTTGATAATTATTTTATGCATGTATCAAAATGTCACATGAAATCCAGAAATAATATGTACAATCATTATGTATCAATAAAAACATATATTTATTGGATGAGTAAATGAGTTAACTAATACAATCTTTAATTCATTTATTTATTCACATTAAATTAATCTCCAAAACCCATGGTTAGATGCACTAACCAATTTAATTCTTATTTCTTTATAAAGCGTGTACTACAGTGTGCCTATTTTACAGTTTTGAAAATTGAGATGTACAGAAGTTAAGTAACTTGTCCAAAGTCATCCCTCTAACAAACAGTGAGATCAGAATATAAGGAAAGCATTCTGCAGCTTGCAATCTGTGACCACAGTTTTATTGTGGGACTGTGGGGGTTGGGGGAGCCTGGATAGGAGAGTAGGAGGCACCAGGAGGATGGCTAGAAAGCAAAGTCCTAATTCTTTCCTTTACAGGGCCTCTGACCTTTCCCTACCTTATTGTCCTCACTTGTCCATGTGGACAACATTCTCCCTATTTGCTGGGTTATAGTGAGGATTGGATTTAAAAGTCAAATAGAAATCTCTAAAGTTCTATGCAAAACATATGTGAAATTAGTATTTAGAGGAAGGCGATTATAAATTGGCCAAGAAGAAAGTATTTTTGAAATGCTGGGTAAATGCAGATGCAGAGGTTTGGGATGGAGAGGTTACCTTCTCTCAGAGTAAATAGAACTGAGGAAACCAAGGGCTTCAGGGAGCTTCAGATTTCTCTGGAAATCTTGGTCAGAGTCAGGGGAACTGGAAGTAAGATGTGGGAGGAAGAGCAATTAAAAAAAACAGAATGGCATTTGCAAAATGTATATATGTACATAGAGATCATAAATGTTAATTGGCCTTAGGAGCATTTGATCAATGCTATTTTGTATTTTTCTAATAAGCTTTAAAGTACATATTAGTAATTTAAATACTTATTGGAGGATGTTTATAGTTACAGAACAATATTTTCTGTTTGCTATTCCTTTTGCCCTGTCTCTTGAATATATCTCAGTGTTCCTTTCAAATATAAGATAAAGTTAAAAGGTTTTTTTAATCATCTAATTAAGGATGAAAGATTAGCTAACTGAATTATAAAGGGGCTGATCTCTCTCCATTCCCCACCCCATCCTCCTGCTTCTTTTATAAGTGAATTAACATGCAATTTAAATTGAATGAATTATAGCCTATCAGAAGATATAATTTAATAGCTCCTGGAACAAAAACCAGTAGGGAAATAAGCTTAACTGAAGTTAAAGTTGCCTTAAAATGTAGTTTGAAATTGGATTTTGAATTACTTAATATATAAATTCCAGAGTTCTGAAGCATGATGTATTTTGGTTCTGATTGTTTTTATGTTCTTTGTGTTAAAATTTGACACATTTCTAAACTATATAATTTGATTGTAACAATACCTGTATTGATTTTAATAGTTTATAATTAACCATCTATAGGTATAAAATGCTAGAGCTGAGGGAGCTTTCAGCATAGTATTTCTGAGAGTTCTTCAGAAGCCTAGTCTTGTAAGATGCACTGAAAATCAAAATTATTCTTCAGGTAATCAAGTTGAAAAATACTGCACACAGTGACCCACTCTCAGAAACTTGCAATGGGCATGAACTTATTAAAGACTCTGGTAAGTTTTCAACAACAAAAACCTATCAGTTTTTGTTCAACTGTTGTTCCAATATACTTCACCACAGAGCCCTTCTGGACAAACAGCTATTAGTGACTTTGTAATATTTAGTCCCAGGTCAAGTGACTTGCCCAGGGATACACAAACGCAAAAATCCTGATTCTACAGCTAGCTAATGTTCTCACCCCAAAGAAAAAATATATATCATTATTATAGCCGATTTTCAGAGAACACATGCTTACTACTAGTGATTGTTTTAAAAATGTTCATAATCATCTGTTTAATAACCTGTTCTAAATGTTGCTGGTTATTAATATCAAGTTCTTCAATCTGTAGTTACTACTTTTTTTTTCCTCTTCTAAATCAGATTTTATTAATATTTCTGATCCACTATGACATCTAGTGTAGTTACTACTTTTTGAAACTGAAGACATTTGCCAATCTTTAATTCTTTGATTTAAAAAAATTTGTCTTGGTTTCCCAAATATATTGATAATGGTTTTATAAACATGTATTCAAGTTTCATATGATATAATTGTTCTGATTTGGTTATTTGAAATTCTTGAAAGCAACAAGTTATTCTCTTACAATTACCTCATATATCTTAAGTTTACTTTTCCCTTTAACCATTATTTTGACTTTTCAATTCTTCTCCTTCTTAAAGTAAAATAAATGGAATATTACTTTAATTTTTGCTTATGGCCAGCTCTATACAACAACATTAGTGGTATGTAATTTAATCCAATATGTAATACTTATATATTGGCTTTTGGAGCTTTAGATTTAAAACATTAAATCTAGGAAAACTTTAGGAAATTTTGCTCATGATATGCCCATAATTTAAATTTAATCCTGGAGTATTTCTAGAATTTCTCTGAAAATTAACTCATGTATTTGGATTAATTTCTGATTAATTCAAACATTACTGCCTGTACCCACCGACAAAGAGGAAAACTGATATAATACTGAATGTCACCACCTGGTTTAAAAACGGGAACTATCTTTTATATAAGCAGTAGTTGGTCCATATCCATGATACTCATGAAATTCTTAAGATAAAACTTCCCTAAAGGCACACCAGAGTGTAATCTACAGGCCTGGCAATATAAAATAAGAGAGTTTGAAGGAAACAGCCTCAAATGACATTTATTAGGGTGAATTTATGAAGGGAGGGAAATTCAATGGAGGGAAATACAATGTAAAATTCTGCAGCTTTGATGGGGCACAGTATGTATAACAGATTCAGAATGTTCCCCCTGTGTTGGGAATAGCATAGGAACAGTTACTATACTATTTATTGATTGATGGTTAATCAATGGGCAAACTTTTCCTACAGAAAAGTTAAGAGCTTGACATCATGGAGGGCTCCATTCTGTGTGAAGTGATGAGGCAAGAAAGTGAGGGAGACTGGTAAACCCACAAAAGAAGCTGGTGAAAGAGTGGGGAAGACAATTGGTGTAGGATGTAGACTCAGCTTTCAACTAGCAATTGCTTGAGATCTATGGACTCTGAGGTATGATGGAAGGCACGACACCAACTCCAGGTAGCATAACTACACTGATAAATAACATTTCCTGAGATTCTGCTATGTCCAGGTATTTTCAATTAGAATTCAGTTTGATCATCAGTACAGCCACAATCAATATTATAATTACTGTCTTGTATAAATGTGAAAACTAAGGCTTAAGGAGTTAAGAAATTTGTTGAAGTTCCTGGAAAGTGTCAGGGCCAGACTTTACGTCTGAGTCTGTTGAGTTATGAGTTCAGGACCTTGGCCAGGTCCTGGCTATACTGTCTACCAATAGAAGTGTCCAGGCAAGCAGTTGATGCTGATGTCCAGGATATCTGAATAGAAAATTAGTACATCAGAATAAACATTTGGGAGAACACTTACTCAGCCCCACGTTCTGACCTTTAAGGTTTGGTGTGAAGAACCATGGCTGTAATGAATTAAATATAATCCTTGTTTTAGGGAGGTCTCAGTCTAGTGTGTTTAAGACAAGTCCTTCCAAAGCATTTTGACAGCTGCAGAGAGGACATGAAGCACTGGAATTTGAATGCTTGCTGCCAGGTGTGTACTTCTCAGATCCCCACAGCCTTCACTGCTTCCTACTGTTAGTTGATTCACCCATTTTCAATATGTTCTGGACCCTTAAGACATTTCAGTTGATAACTTTAGTTCAGAATTTGTTGCACAGGGGAGAGAGGGGGCAGTGTTCAAGTAGTTGCACTTTTAGTGAGGTGATGAGTACATAAATAAAAAAAAAAGTAACATCATTTATAAATTTGGTATTTAGAAATATTTTCTTTCTACCTAATTAAGTATAATTTTCCTCCCTGTTTTAGCAAAACCCAGTCATTCTTTCTTTTATTTATTTAAATTATGACCATGTGATAGTATAGTGTCTTATTTATATATTTGCTTTTGGCTAAAAAGTTTGTAATCATATCTTTATTGAAAAAGTGTTTCATACTTACAAAATAAGAAAAGGAAAAAAATTACCCTTAATCCTATTGCTACAGGGAAACACTGTTCCTGTTAACTTCTGGGGTTTTATGTACAAGTATACTCATTTCTACATTTTTTCCCAAAATGAGACATTCTATATATGCTATTTGTAACTTATTTTTTTCCACTTAGCAGTATGTCATAAATGTTTTTTGTATCATTAAGCATATTAATTTTTGACTTACATAGACTTTGTTGAAAGGATCTGTCATAATTTATTTAATTAAATTTCCATTGAAGAGCATTTATTGACCTTTATATTAATAATTTTTATTTACTTTTAAATTGAAATTTACAAGGAAATACCCAGTGTTCATTTTCTGATTGTTAAGAATGAGTTAAGTTTCTCCATGATTCTTAATGTTGTCAGTGCTGATGACTTGAACAGAGCCACTTACAACTTCCTGTTAATGTTTCTGAGATGAGAGACACCGAAGAAGATCCATTTTAACTAACCCTTGACAGAAGGATGCAAAGTAAATGAAGAAATGATTCATGTGACTCTAAACCTGAGACCTGACTTGCTTCTCTTGCTTGGCACTAGGTGGCACTTTAGCTGTTGAAAAGAAATGTCAGGTAATCTTTAGAAATGGAAGTTATTTAGGCTTGATTTCTGCCTAACCTTTCCAGTGATAATTACTTAGGTTCTTTCTGCTTTTTAAAATGTTTCTCCTGTATGATTACCCTTTTGCAGTACCATTTGGCAGGTTTCATTTTGTCCACTTTTAAACCTTCAAAATATTAGTTTTCCTCTCCCTCCTACTGGTCAGTCTGAAGTAAAATGCAAAACCAAAACCCAAAATAAACAAATGGAAACTAACCAACTAACTAACCAAACAAACAATCTGGATTAAAAGTGCGATAGAATCTTAACTTTGAGGAGTCTCAATTCAGATATAGCCCCCAGCATAAATAAATAAAATTTTTAGTTTTTCATGAAATAATTGAACATGAACTTTCAAAAACCATGCTTATAACTTACTCAAGTGCTGATGATGTGTGGGAAAGTGTTGAATCCTGGCTAAATTTTTTTCTGCCATCTTGTTAAGTGCCATACTCCCAGAATATGTTTGCATATACAAAGAAGAAAGCTTATTTGAGGAACACAATAAAAAGGCACATCCTACATTAAATTCATTTGATTGCCATAAGCGATTAATTTCTTGAATTATTAGATGATTAGAATTATGATGTTGAGTTTTCTTTTCAAAAGAGCAGATTATTGGGAGTTCACCCATGCATTAATAGGTTAATTTTGACTTTGATAGACACAACAATTCCCCAAACAGGCTGCTTGCTTCTCTTGTTAACACAACTAAATTAATTCTATTTTTTTAGGAAAATGAGTGTCTTTGTACTTAGTTTTATTATTTTTTCAAATTCAGCATATTTCCCAAGGATAAAGCCCCATAAATGAAATTACCAGCTCAAAAGGCATGCACATTTTAAAAGATATTAGTACATATCACCAAATTGATTTTGAAACAGGTCAACAGGCTGTTAATATGGAAGGGCCACAAATTTGTTCTCCCATGATAAATTCTTACTTTAATTATGTTTTAGTTACTCACAACATCACCATTTTAGAGATGCTTGAAGAGTTTTCTCTTTTAATACTGATTTATGAGATAGACTCCTTTCTTTCAAAGAAAATTAAACCTCTTTACTTTGTGCAACTTGTAACTTTTAATGTGACTGTTGGAAATAAATTACAAGGATTTGCTAGCCCCAGTTGCTAGTTTTCTTGCTCTCTTGGGATATATGCCACATGGACCCACTGATTTTAAAGTTGTATGATATTTTGCAAACATCCATGAAGAATTTTTGCAAGTATTTTCCTAATGTTGCCTCCTATGAGTTAAATAGCAGACTTGGAATAATATTGAGATCAGCTCTCTAAATTGATTTAGTCTGTTTCTATTTCTTATTTAATTTGAGAAGAAGTTGAGAGTCAGACATTATTCTTGGTTTTCCAATAATCTTTCTGGATGAGCTCTGAAGTTGGCATCTATGATACCTAATAAAAAATCTGGGTTATTCTTTTGATGCTTTTGAAGCATTTCTAAAGAATATCCTAACAGGATGCTACATACTGAAAATAAGAAAAGATGCAGCAGGCTAGTTAGAATATTTATTTATTTATTTAGTGAGACGAAGTTTCACTCACATCACCCAGGGTAGAGTGCAATGGTGTAATCTTGGCTCACTACAACATTCACAATTCTCCTGTCTCAGCCTCCTGAGTAGCTGGGATGACAGAGAGCTGCCATCACGTCCGTCTAATTTTCGTATTTTTAGTAGAGACGGGGTTTCACCATGTTGGCCAGGCTAGCTTTGAACTCCTAACCTCAGGTGATCCGCCTGCCTCAGCCTCCCAGAGTGCTGGAATTACAGTCATGAGCCACCGTGCCCAGCCTAGAATACTTTAACAGTGCTACTCTAACCAGAACTTAGATCTGCCTATATAATTATTTTAAGAATAGCTATTCTTATTCAATTACTGAAACAATATATATTTATAATAAAATGTTGGAAAATGAAAAAAGTACAAAAAGGTGTATTAGTCAGGAATCTTTTGTTATCAGGTGATTAAAACCCATCCCAACTAACATGAACCAAGGAATAATTTGTTTGCTTACCTAAATAGAAAGTCAAGAGATTAGTGAAGTTCTAGGCAAATCTGGATCTAATGGTTGTAGGGTTAGAGAGGGAAACCCTTCTCCTCTGTCCTCTGAAGGTTTGATGAAAATGAATTGACAAAATCATATTGGTAGGAAAAAATGGCATACAAAATTCAAGAGAATTGTAGAAGAATGATTACCTAATAACCAGTGAGGTTCAGATGTTTATATATCCTTCTTCAAAGGAGAAGAAAAGATGGGGTTGTGGGAGTAAATAATTCAGGGGAAAAGACTGAGCCCAAAGAACAATGGCCTGGGACAAAATTCCTGTAAGCTCTGGGGAAGGTGGTAGGAAGGTGAGGGGAGGAACTTCGCTGTGAACAAAAGTTGTCTTGTTATGCAGATAAAGCCTCTTAGGTAATCTCTCAGAGCGGCCCTCAGAAGAATAAATGAAAACTGTGTCTGGGTGTGGTGATGACTTCCAGTCTCTTCTCTTCTCTGGTGGTTCATCTTTTGGGGTTACTTGATGAGATTCTTAGGGAGGAGGTCTTAAGAAAATTACATTTCTCTTCGAAAGTTTTCTTAGAGAAGGGGATTCCAAAGACAGTTCATCAGATGCTTTGGGCGCTGGGGGAAGGGGGGCAGGAGAGAGGATTAGAGAGACAGAGGGATGGGGAAGGTCAGAGAAATAACTTCGTGCTGAGGTTGATTTCTGAGACTTTTCAACTTTCTTTAATTCAAAGCACTCAGCATGCCAAATTGTCATTTTGAAGAGTATCATTTTCTTTGCCCCAACATGGCAATGCTATGTCTAATGATAATCTTATCTCTAGAGAGAATATTGATTGAGAAAATCTCTCCTTCCGCCTCCATTTTATTTCTGCTTTCTTGTCTCTTGGCTTTGTGTCAAAGGGCTGTCTCAATGAGGTGGCAAAACAACAATAATGAGTCACGCTGGAAGCCCCAAGTTAAGAATGGCTTATCAGCTGATATGATCCATGCAGGGGAGTGAAAAAACTTTTTTCCCTGTATCTTTCTAGGTTCTCTAGCTGGGGCCCTAATTTATAGACTGACAAAGTTATTAGTGCAAGAAACACAAACAGAATTCTATTAACATATACATAATACATACAGATGTAAGTGCTCAGTGATAAGTAATTCAAAGTAGTGGCTTTGGCCTTTATAGCATCTAAGCAAAAGAACAATACATTTTGAGAGAAGTCACAAGACAAAGGAAAAAGACTTTGAGTTTCTAGGACAGCAAGTTGTGGAAATATATGGAGGAACAAATGGAAGATAAGGGTTAGTTAGTAAGGTTTGTTATACAGATGCCTCTGGTGCCATCTCCAGGCTGGTAAATGTTTACAGTTGTCTCTGATGATTAACTGAGGTACTTTCTGTTGGGGCAGGGGACATCTTTCCAAATTTATTTCCTGCTTATAGGCAAATGGGGGGGAGCAGAAAGTTTTATTGTATCTGTTTCTTCTCAACTGGCTTCAGCTCAAAATAATCAATACGTCAAACTGGCATATTTTGGAATGGCATATTCTGCTATCCTTAATCCTTAGACCTTATTTTTGCTGTTTCCAGGGCATATGCTAATGGGCCAAGCTCCAGTCCTGAACGAATTACTGTGGCCAGAAGTTTACCAGAGCCTTCTGGCTGGGCCTAGGTCACATGCCCTTCTCATCACTCAGTGTTGAGAGGCGTCCAACTATCCAAAGCTCAGAGTGGGTTACCCATAAAGAAAAGGTGCTGTGTTACACAGAAAAGTAGAAAAAGGATTGTGCTCTGAGTAGAGAGAACAATAGTTACTTCATTTATCTACAGAAGAAAAGAAAATCTCCTAGAATGATACTGCTCAGAGATAATCACCAGTCACATTTTTAGGTGTAACCTTCGAATCCTAAAATAAATACCTTAAAAAAAATTAAGCTCATCCTTTATTGTATGTGATGGTTCCCTATGTTTTCTTTTTAACAACTTATTATCAACTTTGTTAGCATCATGTACTTGTACCTTTCAAATGCTGTTGACACCAGCTAATTCATCCAAGAATACATTTTACATCTTAAAGTGAAGATGTCGTTTTATCCCGTCCAAATTTTAATACTCAATATAGCTATCTGTTCTGGGCTTCAAAACTTATCTTTCCCACACCTGTTTAAATCAGAGTTCTCCAACATCGTCTCCTGTTTTCTCTGCACTACGTTATAATCATCTGCCTCGTGTGTTCATTGGTGGGGTCATTTCTCAGAACTCTCTGGTTTCTTGACCCGTCCCAGACACCTCCCTCTCCCTCTCAGATGAGGTCCAGGGCAGGACTGGGGTGAGGTTAGAGAGGTTCTTGTCTTGGCCACCAAATGTAAAAGGGATGCCAAAAAACCTCAGTAGTCAAAAGAATATTTTAATGAAATAGTTTAAAAATCCAAACTAATGGCCAGGTGTGGTGACTCACACCTGTAATCCCAGCACTTTGGGAGGCCGAGGCGGGTGGATCACAAGGTCGGGAGATCGAGACCATCCTGGCCAACATGGTGAAACCCTGTCTCTACCAATAATACAAAAATTAGCTGGGTGTGGTGGCATACACCTGTAGTTCCAGCTACTTGGGAGGCTGAGGCAGGAGAATCGCTTGAAGCGGGGAGGCGGAGGTTGCCGTGAGCTGAGATCGTGTCACTGCACTCCAGCCTGGTACAGAGTGAGACTCTGCCTCAAAAAAAAAAAATCCAAATGAATGCAAAATAAAAATTCATGATGAATTTTCAAGACTCTCTCCTTTGACCAAAACTTAAGTCAGGCTCCTCTGAGTCCTTTTTGACTATGTTCAACCTTCGGCTTCCATTTCTATCCTTGTAGAATCCAGTTTGAGCAAGAGTCTTGCTAAGCCAGTTTTGTGAAAAGCCCCCACCCTTGGTAATGACCACCTTAGATGGCTTTTCCCACTAGCATACCTTCAGTAATAATGCTGCCAAGCCAGTTTAGCCAGAAACTCTGTGATTCTTGATGTTTCCTCTTAGTAATTTTTTATCTCCCCACCCTGCTCCTTTGTTATAAATCCCCACTTATCTTTGTTGGAGTTGAACGGAGCCCAGTCTCTGTCCCCGACTGTAAGACCTCACTGCAATGGTTCCTACACCTATCACCATGACCCCCTTGGATAAAGTCTGCCTTACATTCTTTAGCAAGTGATCATTAAATAATTTTTTCTTTAACATAAATAAAATAGCAAAATTTTATTTTATTTAAGGACGGGGTCTCACTGTGTTCAGGATCAGTATTACTGATTTGCCTTTTGCATCCAATATGGCTCAGCACAAAGCTGATCTTGATCATCATTGCTGCCAAGGCACCACCAAATCCATCCTCCCCATACCTAAGTATTGCAGTGTGGAGGTTCCTCTCCTTTGTTGACTAAACTGAGGGAAGGGGGTCTCCTAGGACACCCATGATTAATTTTTGTGCACATAATCCCTGTTTATGATATCATAATTAGAAAATACAAAGAAAAAATGTAAAAGAAACTCACATTTGATTCTGAGACAGGAATAATACAGGGTGGTCCCAGGAGAATACAAATTCCAGGCAGTAGTTTCATATGACTAGAGTCTATCGGCTGGTAAGACCCTGAAAACCAGGATATGGGCCAAGCTGGCTAAGACTGACTGGACCCAACATGGCACTGGATTTGATCTAGGTTTCACCTAGGGCCTCATTATATGCTCATTAACACACTGAATCACACACCCACCAGAGCTGTGGCAGTTCCGTGACCACCCATATTTGGTATAGAAATAGGTGACACCACAGTTCTGAGAAATCTCCACATTTTTTCAGGAATTTTTTATGAATATTACACCCCCTGATTAAAGAAACCCATAAAGGTAGAAACCCCAAGCTCCACTAAGTGACTCTCTCCAGTATGCCTGTACTCCCCTTCCTTGAGTGTGTGCTTTTCCCTTTGCAATAAATCTCTGTACTTTCACTATTTTCTGGCTCATCCTTGAATTGACTCTCACAATGATGTCATGGTCCCACTAGCATTTGGGGATCTGGAGTCAAGGTCCCACAGGCATTTGAGGACCTCCTCCAACCCACCAGTATCAATTCTACTATCAAAAATCACCATGTCTAATAAGTCAGAAGGAGTGCAGGAACTTTTATTTCTGAAGGAGCACAGGAAATTTCACCCCAAAATATGGCTCCCTGGTATAATGGATATTTTGAATTAAAGACCCTTAGAGATCAACAGGCCCTGGAAGAGACTTTCTCCCATCTACGTAAGGATAGGAAGGACCTACCAAGGAGGACAATTGTTCCATTCCCTTCCCATGTCATTATTCACTGCAGAAAAGAAGACAAAGAATGTAATCATACATGAACAGATCCTTTCACAAGATTATGTTTGTCTACAAGGATCATTCAACTTGCAAATAGAACTATTTACAAGCTAATCTCTGTTCCTCCATCAAACCATTTTCCATTTATTGCCCTTCAACAGAATTCCTCTTCTCCCCCTCCCTTAATCTGTTTTGCCAGAATCCAAGCCCCCAGTCTTTCTGTAACCTCAAGATGGTATATAAGCTTCTGAACCCCATTGGGATATTAGGCAGTCACTCTGTTATTCCCCTCATGTGCAGGGTAGGAATAAATTTGTAAACCCTTTTCTCGTATTAATCTGTCTTTTTGTGAGTTGATTTTTCAGTGAACCTTCCTAGGGTGAAGGAAAATCTCCTTCACCCATGCAGTTCACATGTTGGAATACTCTTTCAGACTTTTCCCTATTTACATAGAATATGTATATACGTATACATATACATAAACACACACACAGGATTATACTATACATATGCCATATGTACCAATACACAATTTTCTCCCTTATGAATGTGTAGTAAACACCTTTTCATGTTAATAAATATATATTAATACCTACGTCCTCATTTTTAATTCTCCCTGATTCTTATAACCCTGCCTTTATGACCGCCATCTGCCGACATGGTTGTTTTCTGTGATAGGGATGTGTTAGTCCATTGTCACATTTCTATAAAGAACTACATGAGACTGGGTAACTTATAAAGAAAAGAAGTTCAATTGGCTCATGGTTCCACAGGCTCTACAGGATGCATGGCTGGGGAGGCCTCAGAAAACTTACAATCATGGCAGAAGGTGGAGAAGAAGGAGGCACATCTTACATGGCTGGAGCAGGAGGAAGAAAGATAAGGGGGAGGTGCTGCACACTTTTAATCAGCCATATCTCATGAGAACTCACTCACTATCACAAGAACAGCAAGAGGGAAATCTGCCCCCATGATCCAGTCGCCTCCCACCAGGCCCCTCCTCCAACACTGGGGATTACAATCTGACATGAGATTTGGGCGGGGACACAAATCCAAACTATATTAATGGTTTATCTTAATCTCAATTGTAGAAAAGATCAGTTGTTTCTGGGTGGAGTGGAAAGGGTCTGAGATGAGGTAGTAACATTTTTGCAAAGGCAGAGAGTGCCTTGACTTCAAAGGCCTAGGACCTGTCTTGGTCACAGGTCATAAAACGGGAAATAGGGAGGAAATGATTCTTTAGATTTGAGCCATCCCCCCCCTATCCTGCCCATCCTCACCCATTTTATAGGTCCTTGAATGACGTCTCTATTTTCATTCTTGGACATATTGTAGATTCCACCTTTCAGCTAATTTGTGGTTAGGTGAAGCCATAGGACATGTTTTGGCCATGGAAATATGGTTGGATGTTGTGGCTGTCACTTCTGGGATAAGGCAGTGTAAGTTCCTGCACAATCCTCCAATCTCTTCCCGAATAGGGAAAAAAAAGTTCTGTTGAAAGAACAAAGTCACAAAAGTGGTGTAGTCTGGAGGACAGCTTCAGATTTTACATGTGTGAGAAATACACCTTTAACAGGTTAAATCACTAAGATTTGGAGAGTTATTTTCATCACAGCAGTCTATTCTATCCTGAACGAATTCACTCCCCTTGATGGTATCACCTTGAATTATATCAGTTCTTGATCTTCACAAAGATAAGCAAAGCTGGACACTAGTTAAAGTGGTAAGGACAGATTTTAATCAGTGATAACTATTTCAATAGGGAAAAGAGTCCAGTGTGAACAAAATTCAACTTCGAGTTGTACAGAAGTGACTGGGCATTTTAAGGATAAAAGAAGGAATTAGGGAGAGGGGAAAGTAGGGGCTCAGTTAGGAAAGTGAAAAATTCCCAAAAGTGGTAAAGTGGAGTTGGTCCATGGGAAACCATGTGGGTTTTTTGACTGGCGCTTATCCAAGCTAGGTTCTCGCCTTCCCACAGAGACTAGGAGACAGGGGCCTTATCTTCAGGTGATGCCTGGAAAAAACGCAGATTCATTTGGCAGTCTTGAGTTTTCTCAGGCCAGCACTTTAAGGCTAGTGAAGAACACCTTTGGGATGTGGGGTTGAGCTGTTGGAAACTATGTTAGTGTTAAGCCTTTATAGACCACAGTTGAGATCTAGTTGAGAAGAGGGCTCAGAGGAGCCTGGGTAGAGTCTAGTGAAGGGTAGAATCTTCATCAGACCCAACGGAAAATCATCTTGAAAGCTGATTTTTTGGAAATTTACTAGTCCGGGAGCTTAGAGAGGCTTCAAGTAGATCTGTAAGTTTTTCCAGGTATAAGCCGGCCTGAAAACCTTCTTGAGAATATTTTACAATTCTGAAGCTAATGGGAAAGAAAAAGGATGAGTCTAGAAATACTGGTTTCTTGGGCAAGTTCTGTAGGTGGTGAAGAAAGGAGCTTGCTGAAGAACAGACATCTGAACATGAGAACACAGTATTTTACATGTGCACCTGGAACACGTGAATAAGGAAGCTGGTGCGAGTGGTTGCCTTTGACCCTTAGGTCTCAGACACACTTATTGGAAACAGGGATGGGGTCACCAACAAATGTGTGCTCTTCTTTCTACCTCCCAATCATTAATCTTCCTTACCTCTAAAAGACCAATACTCTGATTTTAGGAAAGAAAAACTAAAAGTTCTGGATTTTGAAAAACCTTAAGCCTAAATTGCAGACTATAACTGGGTCTAGACAAAAGATATCGAAGTATCATTAACTGAGGAAAAACAATCTCAATCAATCAAGTTTTATTAAGCCAGCTTTAGGGCTTGTCTGGGCAAAACACATTCCACAGATGCATCTATGGCCATTTTTCTGAAGAAGTTTTAGGGAGGTTTAGTATTTATACATTTCCTTAAAGAAGGGAAAGGCATGTAGGAAGAGGGGCAGGTAGATTGCAAGGCAAATTGTTACATTCCTGTGAGACTTTAGTTCCTGACCAGTACCTCTGCATTTTACATAACATAAGGTGTGTGTTTGAAGAGAAAAAGAGAGTAAAGGAAGAGTCAATTATGCAGACTTCTCTGGTAGATGGAGGAATGACTGATCACCTCTTGCCTTTATTCTGCACTTGAGAAGATAAGCTTGTAATCGACATTATCAGTGTGGAACCCAACAGACTTTAGTTTTAGGGGCTAGACTTACATTTGCAGAGCTACAGTTACAACTGCTATGAATGAGTCATGGGACAGCCCTTCCTACATGCCTGTTGCCTTTCAACATTTCCCGGGAACCTGGCTAATGCATAATGCTCCTAACAGCCGTGCATTTGGAAGAAGATGTTGCCTGACAGCTTCCAGGCTTAACCTTCCCTTTTGCATGAGGATTTCGGGGGTCCTGAGACTTTTTATTTTCCTTTATTGACATGAACAAGTGAAGGAAAATACTAGATTGTGCCAGTCAACATTATAGATATTTGAGAGTAGGCCCTTTTGTCATGGTCAGGCTGTAAGTTTCTTCAGGACCGGGATCTCTATGTCTTGTTCATCAATGTCTTTACGTAGAACTTGACAATGCCTGGAATGTTGTAGGTGCAGTTTAAAAAATTGAATGAATTTAAATAATTCTTGCTGGATACCTACTGCTGGAGGATAGGAAATGTCAACCATTTCTCAAAGATTAATGACCCATAAACATTCATGCTGTTTCAGCAAGGAAACAACTTCCTACCTTGTGAGATCTTGGCCTTTCCTGTACAGAGAGCACTAGGGGCAAGGATGCTACAGAAACAGAAAGCCAAGTGTCATTTTCTCCCCCTCCCAGCTGCTGGAGTTTAACCTCTGTGAGTGGGTTGATAATCTGGGAACTTCTGCTCTGGACTTAGTAATGGATCCTCTGCTAGTGCATCTTTTTTTTTTCTTTTTTTTTTTTTTTGGTGGTGTTTGTGAGCAGGAGAAGATTTAAGAGTTAAGGTGAGAGAGGCTATTGGTTGGGGTACAGGAGATGAAGGGAGGGAAGACTGAAGGAAAAAATCAGGGGAACAAGGAAGGAAAAGAGAAATCTTGTGCATTATAGATGTAGGTATTAGCTTATTTGTATGTCAGTAGAAATGTGGTCAAATGGTATAGGAATAGTTATTCCTATAATTTTCATCTGGTCATTATTTCAATGACCCACTTTCGGTGGGGATGGGAGAATACTTAAAATAATAGTGACTACAAAATTCACTCTATATTGAAATTCTTATTGTTGTGACAGGAGCAATTGTTTGCAAAAAAATGGTCCCTCTCCAGCCCAGACTTAAAAGCATAAGTGTGTTCTGCTTGGTGAAATTTGTGCTTAATTAGTCACAAAAGTCAGGCTGAGTCACCATTTAAAAAAAAAAAGACTCTTCTTTTGGAGCCCTGTGTGGTTGTTTGTGTTTAAGCTTGTGACGATTTTAAAATTGTTTAAACTTTAAGGCAAGGAACTAATTCTCAAGAGTTGAATTTCTGCTTGCACAAAAAGATAATTTTTACTTGGGTACTCTTGTATTAATATTATTACTTTGCAATACTGAAAATTTCATTATAGGCTGATCTGTGAGCTACTAGGCTGGGTATAGCTGCTGTGGATATTAATGTTTTGAATAGTGATAAGCACATGGGAATTATATGATATATAAAACAGTTCTGATGCTTACAATCTACTGTAGCAGCTACTTACCTCCAAGTGACTTTGGTTTATGAACACTACGTTATTGGTTTGTAAAACACCACAGGCAAGCTCATGTGGGACTCTATATCACTTCAGGGATTTCTGAGAGTCCCCAGATGATGTCCATATCCTCACCAACAAGACAGGTGAATCACCCCAGATGACTCCTGCTAGCAACCTGCTATGTGCACCAGGCATCGCTGCTTCTGTTGGGCATCGTAGCTGCCATTGAGTCTATTTCAGTAGCTCTTTAGGAGCATCCAGCCAAATTCTGAATCTAGATTGATAAGAATTAAAATGTAGGATCTGTTTTTGTAGATACCAGGTTTTAAAAGAACTACCCAGTGCTGAATTCTAGACCTTGGACTTCCTCATTTCTTCCTCATTTTGGGCAGCAACACATCTCCGTTCTATTGCAAAATATACCCTTAGAGCTTGGCCACAGGAGGAGTGAATGAGGCCTTACATTCTGTAAAGAAAACCCCCTGTTGATGCTCCTAATTCTGCCCTGCCCAGGTTAATTCTGTGAAGGCTTTTTTTCTTAATCTTTTAGTTTTATGAAATTATACCATTTTAAAGCCCTTCTAGTCATTTTTCTTTTTATTGAATTAATCTCTTTATCAATCAAGTTTGTCCAGAGGAAACACAGGACCAACATGACAGAAAGAGAGATTTGTTTTAAGCAATTTGCTAATGTGATTCTCCAAAGTCTGTAGAGCAGGCTAGAAAGTCAGGCAGGATTTATTTAATTTATTTAACTTATTTAGTTTTAGATGGAAACTTCCTATGTTGCCCAGGCTGATCTCGAGTTTCTGGCATCAAGCGATCCAAACACCTTGGCCTCCCAAGTGCTGAGACTGCAGCCATGAGCCACCACACCTGGCCCTCAGGCAGAATTCCATGTTACAGTCTTGAGGTAGAATTCTTTCTTCTCCAGGAAACCTTGGTCTCTGCTCTTAAGGCCTTTAGCTGATTAGATGAGGCCCAACCACATTATTAAGGATAAACTCCTTTACTTAAATTCGATTGATTATAGATGTTAATCATATCTACAAGATGCCTCCACAGCAACATCTAGACTGCTATTTGACCGAACAACTGAGCACCATGCCCTAGCCAAGTTGACACATGAAATTGGTCAACACAATGTCCTGCTGGTATCTCTTTCCTCAGCAGGTTGCCTACCATAAAGTTCTCTCAAGTATAAGTTTATTTATTTCAGTCAGATATTATCCTTATTGTTTTGCCAAGCAATACCCAGGCTGTCATAAAATTAGCAGTCTCAAGTGCACGTTTTAATTAACTCCTTTCATATAAATTGTGGTCTTCCATGGAAAGAAGAAATGCTAGAACATATTAGTGAAGAAGTAATTTTTTCTTCAGAAGTATACATAAAAAGGATGGACTTAAATTTGGAGGCAATCTATAGACATCTCAACTGGTTCATCTTACACAATGCTGACTAAAAAATTAAAGTTGGGCAAAGTTTCCTCTTGATGGGTGCCAAAACTGTGTAGCCCAGATCAGCTGGGAAACAAGGGCAGAGGTTTCAATGGAAATTTTAAACAAATGGATCAACATCCTGAAGGATTTATTTGAAAAGTTGTAATAGATGATGGAACACAGCTTTACTAGTACAATCCTGAAGACAAAACACAATCAAAATAATGGCTACCAAGAGGTGAAAGTGGTCTTAGTCAAAACGAAAGTGGACCAGTCAAAAGCAAAGGTCATGGTAACATTATTTGGGGATGATGAAGGCATTTTGCTTGTTCACTTTCTGGAGGACCAAAGAGTGATAACATCTTATTACGAGAGTGTTTTGAGAAAGTCAGCCAAAGCTTTAGCTGAAAAACCCCCAGGAAAGTTTCACCAGACAGTCTTTCTCCACCACCACAATGTTCCTGCTCATTCCTCCCATCAAACAAGGGCACTTTTGTGAGAGTTTCAGTGAAAAAATCATTAGGCATCCACTTTACAGTCCTAATTTGCTTCCTTATGAATTCTTTTTGTTTTCTAATCTTAAAAAAAATTTAAAGGGCATCCATTTTTCTTAGGTTAATAATGTAAAAAAACAAAACACTGCATTGACAAGGTTAAATTCCCAGGGCCCTCAATTCTTTCACGGATGGACTACATGGTTGGTATCATTGCTTACAAAAACATCTTGGCATTGATGAAACTTACATTGAAAAAGTTTATGTATTGTATTTCTATCTTTTAATTTTATTTTTCTGTGAATTTTTTGAAGTCCTTTTGTTTATCCCACACCTCCCGTCCTCAGTATATTCCTGAAATGAGATTATGGATTTATAGGATATTAGGAAAGAAAGATTCACCCAACAAGATGTCATTAGTGGTGGCACCCAAAATGTGGACAGGTGCTATGACAGATGGGCCCAGGCAGCAGGGATGGAACCTCTAGGGTCCACAGTGAAGCACTGAGGGACTGCACCTCTTGCCAACATCTCATTTTCAAAATCGTCTTCTCTCCTTGAATAAGCACACAGCTCTTTTAAGAAAATAAAATATAATGAACAAAGAGAGGTAAAATACTTTTACCTAAGCCATTCTTATACCTCCAGGTTTTCATTTAGACTATGACCCAAGGAGATACAGATCTCAGTAAAATATTTTTAAATAAAATTAACTATACCCCTAGGATAGGATTTAAAATAAATTCTTCTTTGATAGCACACCAAAGTTCATTCAGTTTGGAACCTGGAATCTGGGAAGTCCACATTCATTCTACATTTTACTTTTTCTTGCCCCCTTAACTTTTTGTTCATTCTCTTGTCCTGTTTCCTATACATGCCTCTCGTTTCATTCCAGATACAAGTCCCTTTGAGGATAGGATTGAAATGTATTTGTTTCATTCAAAACAGTTTATAGGTTGTTGTTGTTTTTCTTTTTCCTTTTTTTTTTTTTTTTTTAGTTTTTTGAGATGGAGTCCTGCTCTGTTGCCCAGGCCGGAGTGCAATGGCACAACCTGGGCTCACTGAAACCTCCACCTCCCGGGTTCAAGCAATTCTCCTACAGCTGCCTCCTGAGTAGCTTGGATTACAGGTATATGTCACCATGCCTGGCTAATTTTTGTATTTTTAGTAGAGACGGGGTTTCACCATGTTGACCAGGCTGGTCTCAAACTCACGACCTCAGGTAATCCATCTGCCTTGGCCTCCCAAAGAGGTGGGATTACAGGCATGAGCCACTGTGCCCAGCCTGTTGTTTTCTTAATAAATACTAAATACAAATTTTGAAATAGACCTTCAAGTAGAAGGAAAATATCTATAAATGATAAGTTGAACTTGTTAACTGTCTTTTCAACAACCATCCCTCTCATTTTCCTTTCTGACAACACTACAGTTATTTTAAGAGTAGGACAGTAATAGGCTCAGGAAAGATAGGTTCATCTCTGGGGATACATTATGATTGGTTTAAACCAGTATTGGTGATCTCTTTCTTCTTTACCAGTGACTGGTTTAAGAGTGGCATGTGGCCCAGTCCTAAGCCAATGAAACATGATGGAAACACAGCTGGAATTTCTGGAAAGCTCTTTCTTTTTTTCAAAAAGTGAAGCAAGCCAGATATGGTGGTACATGTCTAGAATCCTAGCTACTCAGGAAGTTGAGGTGGGAGAATTGCTTGAGCCTAGGAGTTTAAGACCTGACTGTGAAACATAGCAAGACCTTTTCTCAAAAGAAAAAAAAAAAGTCAAGCAGATGAGGAGAAATCCTTTTTCCTCCTTGCCTTTAGACCTCCTTCTGTGAGGATGTGATGCTTGAAGCTACAGGATTTATTTTGTGACCATGAGGAGAAAGTAAAGAGAATTTCAGAGAAGCATACTCAGAACCCTGACATCACGAGCTGCTGAGCTAGCCAACGGTGGAAATTCCCACTACTGAATTTCTTTGTATGTAAGATAAATGTCACCATTGTTTAGGTCACTTTCAGTCTGGATTCCATAACTTGCATCCAAAATAATTCAAACTGATATAGAAAAACATTCAAGTACATTTTGTGGTATAAACATAAATATCTTCTAGAAAGATGTTCCTGTGGGGAGCATTCCAAATCCCCCATGGGGAGTTCCAAGAAAATTTTGCCTAGAAACAACATAGCATTACCACTTGTTTACTTGGTAATATTGCCTCACTATATTGTAACCTTCAGGAGAAAGCTTCCTATCTTGATAAGACGCGAAGAACTCACAAGTTAGAATAAGCAAAAATCTGAATAGCACCAGATACTTTTAGAGGCTGGGCACAGTGGCTCTTGTTTTTCTGTAACCCCAGCACTTTGACAGGCTGAGGTGGGTGGATAACTTGAGTTCAGGAGTTCAAGACCAGCCTGGGCAACATGGTGAAACCCTGTCTCTACCAAAAATACAAAATTAGCCAGGCATGGTATCATGTGCCTGTGATCTCAGCTACTTGGGAGGCTGACGTGGGAGGACTGCTGGAGTTTGGGAGGTTGAGGCTGCAGTGAGCATGATTGTGCTACTGCAAGCCAACCTGGGTGACAGAGCAAAACCTTGTCTCAATGAATAAATAAATAAATAAATAAATAAATAAAAATTAAAAAAAAATAGAATCCAGATACTTTCAGAATCCCCTTGTGTCTGGAATTTATTCCTTCCGGTGGGTTCTTGGTCTCGCTGACTTCAAGAATGAAGACACAGACCTTTGCAGTGTTACAATTCTTAAAGATGGTGTGTCTGGAGTTTGTTCTTTCAGATGTTCAGATGTGTCCGGAGTTTCTTCCTTCTGGTGGGTTCATGGTCTCGCTGACCTCAGGAATGAAGACTCAGACCTTCGCAGTGAGTGTTACAGCTCTTAAAGGTGGCATGTCCAGAGTTGTTTGTTCCTCCCAGTGGGTTTGTGGTCTCGCTGACTTCAGGAATGAAGCCACAGACCCTCACAGTGAGTGTTACAGCTCATAAAGGTAGTGTGGACCCAAAGAGTGAGCAGCAGCAAGATTTATTGTGAAGAACAAAAGAACAAAGCTTCCACAGCATGGAAGGGGAGCCAAGCGGGTTGCAGCTGCTGGCTGGAGTGGCCATCTTTTATTCCTTTTGGCCCCACCCACATCCTGCTGGTTGTTCCATTTTACAGAGAGCTGATTGGTCCATTTTACAGAGAGCTGATTGGTCCATTTTACAGAGTGCTGATTGATGCGTTTTTACAGAGTGCTGATTGGTGTGTTTACAATCCTTTAGCTAGACACAGAGTGCTGATTGGTGTGTTTTTACAGAGTGCAGATTGGTGCATTTACAATTCTTTAGCTAGACAGAAAAGTTCTCCAAGTTCCCACCCGACCCAGAAGCCCAGCTGGCTTCACCTCTCAATTCCTCCTCTAGACAGGACACCCCAACTGCTGTTGGGAATTGGGTGATGACCGTTCTAGCTACTTCCTGCTGCATAGGGGTGAAGAAGGGGCCCTGCAGTTGTAGTGTCCTCCAGAGGGGAACTCTTTAGGCCAGTGAAAGGGCCAGCTGGTCAGTCCAGGGGTCCTTGGTATAGGTTGTTAGTTGAACTCATTTTGGGTTCCATTTGTAAGACCATCTGTAGCTTGATGGCCTTGATGCTAGAGGAAACAAATTTGACAAGGAGGTTAAAAATACAGGGCCCAAAGGGGTAATAGCAAGATGGCTGTCACAGGACCTAGAAAGGGGAGAAGCCATGTCACCCAACTCCAGAGGTTGGTATAAGAGTTTGAAAGGTGTTGTCTGATTTCAGAAGCCTTTTCCTGTAAATGCCGGGTGGCATCTTGTACTATCCCTGACTGGTTAGTGTAAAAACAACATTCTTCCCCTAAGAAGGTACAGAATCCTCCTTTCTCAGCAGTGAGGACGTCTAGGCCTCAGCAGTTTTGGAGAGTCACTGCTGCCAAAGAGTCTATTTGGGATTGTAGAGGAAGGATAGATTTTGTTATTTCTTGCAAACTGTCTGAGAAATCCTTTGAGAATGTGTGGTAGTAGGATAATACATGTTACACTGTTAACTTTTAGCAAACTTTACTTTTGTTGGAAACCTTGTAAGTTTGGGATTTCAATTATTCGTTGCTATTAATAAGACCTCATTCAGTCCATATTAACTTAGAATTCATATAGATGGCTTCTTCCTGATTCTGTAAGTACTTTAAGGTTTGGCTGAGTGCAAAGAGCTCGCACATTTGAGCAGACCAATTATTAGGTTATTTTCCTAACTCTGCTTCTACAAGAGTTTCCTTACCATTTACTGAATACTCACTGCGTTTTTTCCCCTTAATCTCCTTGGAGGAAACATCTGTCCTCCTGTCCTGAAGGGAGTTCCTCCTTGGTCTGGTCAGACCTTTGTATGGTAATTAATTAAGATTTAGATCCCCTGTTAGGACACCTGCTGGATTAAGGTTTTTAATAGGAAGGCTATGGGTTGTCAGTGGCCTCAGTGCTTTCAGGCTATGCCCTTGTTTACACTGACAACAAGGTGGTATTGGAGTGTTATGGGGTCATGGAGAAGACCTTCAATTATCAATTATAGGTTTTAATTACCCTGGCTTTTAAAGGAATAGGGTACACTGTTTTTTTCTTTACTACTTCCATCTCTCTTTCTTTTTCTTTGACTTCTTCTTTGTCTCTCTCTTTCTGACTCCCTCTTTGTCTCTTCCTCTCTCTCTTTGACTTTGTCTCTCTCTTTGACTCCTTCTTTCTCTCTTTCTGTCTCTTTCTCTTTCCTTTCTGTTGGTCTTTCCCTGTCTCTGCCAGCTGCTTATGTTGCTGTTCTCCCCTCTCCTTCCCCTTTTGATGGCTTCAGCAGCATAAGACTGCCACCTCCTTGGGTTTTCGCACTGTGTGCAATAACTCCATGGTTTCCTTGTGATATTTAATGGGGGTTCTCTCAGAGGTTAGGAACTCCCTTTCTTTCCATATTGCAGCATGGGCATATAGGATTAGATACACATACTTACTATATGTAGCAAAGTCTCCCAATTACAACTGAGGAGGTGGGAGAAATACCTGCTTACAGGCTGTCCCAGGATTCTTTGGATGGTAACGGACCTTGAGGACAGCTGTCCAGGACAGGAGATTAACCCTGAGAAAGCTGGGCAAGTGTCCAGGAGGAAGTCAATTTCCTGGCCCTCAATGGTCAAAAGTACATGGGGCTCAGTGAGGGTGATGACATGTGCTGGCGCTTGCCCCGGACACCCTCAATACTGTTTTTGGATCATTTGGTTGGGGGCTTTTGGCCCAGAGAACCTTTGCCCTCTGGGGCAGTGTGCCTTCCAGTGATTGCTTTGGCATAGTGGACATGGACGAGGGGGCAGCTTGTTTCTCATTGGACAATCTTTTTTAAAGTGTCCTTGTAAACCACACTGATAACAAGCCCTACTGGTTGATTGGCCCGCTCCATTTTCTGTCCTCTCTGAACCACCAAGGTTTGTTTGTCTGAGGGCCATGACTAAGGCTGTGGCCTTTCTCTGATCTTGCTTTCCTTTTGGACCTGTTTGTCTTGGTCCCTATTATAGAACACTGAGGTTGCCAGGTTTTAATAATGCCTCCAGATTTTGTTCAGGGCCCAGAGCTCACTTTTGGAGCTTTCTCCTGATAGCTGTGGCTGATTGGGTAATAAACTTATCTTTTAGAATCAATTAACCCTCGTGTGAGTCAGGTGACAGGGGAGTATATTTTCTTAAGGCATCCCATAGCTGTTCGAGGAAGGCAGAAGGATTTTCTTCCTTTCCCTGAGTTATGGTGGACATCATTGAATAATTCATGGACTTTTTCCTAATTCTCCTTAGTCCTTCTAGAACACAGGTCAACAGATGTTTGCAACTCCAGTCCCCATGATCTGAGTCAAGGTACCAGTGGGGATCCATACTGGGGACAGCTTGCTGACCGGCAAGGAATTTGTCCCTTTCTTCGGTAGTCATTCTATCACTTACTTAACTAAGATACCAGGTATCTCCAAACTCTCGGGCTGCAGCTAAAGCCACATTTTTTTCATTAAAGGCCAGGGTTTGATCTAACAATAGCATGGCATCTCTCCAAGTGAGATTGAAGGTTTGCCCTAGACCCTGTAGGACATCTATGTACCTATCAGGATCATCTGAAAACTTCCCCAGGTCTGCCTTGATCTGCTTTAAATCAGAGAGGGAGAAAGGGGCATGTACCTGGGTTGGGCCAAATTCCCCTCCCCCTACAGCTTGAAGGGGACATAACTGATAGCCCGGGAGTTTTTGTGATCCTTTGGAGATTTCTTTGCTTGTTTCCTTCTGGGTGGGGGAGATTAGGAGAGGCTTATCATTAATAGGAAGGGGAGCTATGGCGAGTCTAGGATATGGAGGTAAGCAGAGAGGTCCTCCTGTGGGAAGTAAATTGCAAGCTTTGCATAGTTGTGGATTCTCCTTGAATGAAAAGAAAGCTTAGACATAAAGTACTTCGCTCCATTTGCCTTCCGCCTTACAGAAAAGGTCAAGCTGCAGGATAGTATTGTAATTTATACTTCCCTCAGGTGGCCATTTTTCCCCATCAGAGAGAGAATATTGGGGCCAGGCCACAGTGCAGAAAAAAATGAGCCATCTCTTTTTCAGGGTTTTTGGGCCAAATTGGTCCCAATGGCTTAGGATGCATTTCAAGGGTGAGCCTGTTGGTGCCTGAGTGTTTCCCATCTGAAAGACAAAACTGCCTATGGTTTTGATTTGTTTCTACCCCTGCCCAAGAACCTGCAAATGGTCCCTGGACCCTGCTGATTGGAATAGTTGTGCTCACTGATGCAGCAGTAGAAACACTTCTTGCCCAAGAACCTGCAACAGTCCCCGGACCCTGTTGATCGGAATAGTTGCGCTCACCGACGCAGCAGCAGAAACACTAGTTTTCCTCCTAGACCACAAGGAGGACTGAGGAAGGTCAGATTTAGTGGCCGCTTACTGATGCATTCTCGAAAACCTGCACCCTTGCCTGTCCTCCTAGACCACAAAGAGGACCAAGAAAAATTGGATTTAGTGGCCCTTACCGACACATTATAAAAATCCTGTTAGAGTTCTAAGCATTCTCCTGTTAGTATTGGGACTTTACTCCATCCTATAAAGATGTTATGCCCCGAAAATGAAGTGGATTGCCATACCCTGAGGGAAGGAAGGGATCTCTAGGGTTGGAGGAGTGATGCCTTTTGTCCTCACTTGAATAGGAAGGATATCATTTCTGAAGCTCCCCATATCCTAGCTTCAGGAATAGCTTTTGTTAGGTCTGCTAGTCTGAGGAGGGATCCTAAAAGGATAGTTGGTCTCCCCACCTGATTGGGCTTTGGGCAAAAATTATGTCTTTCTGATTGGTGAGCCTGGGTGCCTAAAGAAGGGAATAGAGTCCTGGAGTTTATACTAGAAATCATTCTTATAGGAAAAACTAGAAAAGCACCAGAGACAGGGAGTGGTTTTTAGAAGCAGAACTAGCCTCAGAGAAGAGAGGCGAGAGGAAGTTTGTCTGACAGGCATTAGGACCCAGGGGGCATGGGTCAGGATAGATAGGATAGATGGGCGAGTCTTGCTTGGGCAACGTGACTTTGAGAGTACTGCTCATGGCCTCAGGTCAACCAACTTGTTGTCAGGACCCCGGAGCTGAATGGCTTTCCTCTCTGTCAACCCTCGGCTCAGCCCAGAAGTACAGGAAAAGCGGAAGCTGGTTCCAGGAAAACCAACGCTCCCAACTCTGAAGAATTGGGGGTTGTTAGAGAGCCCTTTCCGAGAAAGCCTGACACCCGTGTCTTTAGTCCCATGGCTGCACTAGTCACTTTTAACTGGCCGACAGGTGCCCAGTATTTAGCCCCCAAATTCTAAGGAAAAATAGGACAGAATAGTAATGAAAGGGGCCCAATGGTACTCACTGCTTGGCGATAGGCAATAGTCCCATCTGGGTCACCAAAATGTGTCCCATCTGGGTCATCAAAATGTGTCCCATCTGGGTCACCAAAATGTGTCTGGAATGTATTCCTCTGGCAGGTTCTTGGTCTCACTGACTTCAAGAATGAAGCTGCAGGCCTTCACGGTGAGTGCTACAGTTCTTAAAGATGGTGTGTCTGAAGTTTGTTCCTTCAGATGTTCAGATGTGTCCAGAGTTCCTTCCTTCTGGTGGGTTCATGGTCTCGCTGACTTCAGGAGTGAAGCCACAGACCCTTGCAGTGAGTGTTACAGCTCTTAAAGGTGGTGTGTCCAGAGTTGTTTATTCCTCCCAGTGGGTTCATGGTCTGGCGGACTTCAGGAATGAAGCCACAGACCCTCACAGTGAGTGTTACAGCTCATAAAGGTAATGCAGACCCAAAGAGTGAGCAGCAGCAAGATTTATCGTGAAGAGTGAAAGAACAAAGCTTCCACAGTGGGGAAGGGGACCCAAGTGGGTTGCCGCTGTTGGCTGGGGTGGCCAGCTTTTATTCCTTATTTGGCCCAGCCCACATCCTGCTGATTGGTTCATTTTACAGAGAGCCAATTGGTCCATTTTACAGAGTGCTGTTTGGTGCATTTTTACACAGTGCTGATTGCTGCATTTATAATCCTTTAGCTAGACAGAAAAGTTCTCCAAGTCCCCACCCAACCCAGAAGCCCAGCTGGCTTCCCCTCTCACCTTAACATTTTGTCAGGTGCAAAGATAATTTCCGATGTCTTGCTGTTAATATATATTCTAGTTATTCCTTAATAGGTGGCTAGGAAGAGGATGTCTAGTAAAAACATCTCTTTACAAACAGTATCATTTTACTCTACAACAATATTCAGTGTTTAATTTGGAAAACTCATCCTCCAGATTTGGCTTCTTCATGTTTTGTTGTTTTTTTGTTGTTGTTTGTTTTTTGAGGAACCTGGTGATTTGAAGAGTTACATGTCAAATGGGTTTGGGAAATAGAAAAATTGAATAGCTGAAAACAGGGTCTACACTTGTATCTCTTTAGTCTGCTTTTAGCTTTGACACTTCCCTACCACTTAGGTGAAGCAACTCCAACTGATTCGTTCAATGATTTCTTACCCTTTTTCTGTTCAATGTAATGAATCTTTTGCTCCATTAGGCTTTGTGCTTTCCATTATGCACTTGCTGAAGCCCCCAGTTCTTTGATATTCTGAATTCTGCATGTCTTAGGCACACTGTTCTCCCCAATTGTCACACTGATTTCTACCTGCAGTTCTAATCCAACCCCAAGTCGGTTCCAGAATAGATGATGTGCACATAAGGCATTTCAGGGCACATTTTCTGCACCAGATTATCTTTCTTTAAAGCAACCTTGAAAGTGTCTTTTTTTCTTTCCTTTCTTTTTTGAGACAAGATCTTGCTCCATTACCTAGCCTGGAGTGCAGTGACATAATTACAACCCACTGCAGCCTCAGCCTCATACACTCAAGCAATCCTCCTGTTCAGCTTCCCAAGTAGCTGGAACCACAGGTAGGTGCCACCATGTCTAGCTATCTTTTTTTAATTTATTGTAGAGATGGGGGTCTTGCTATGTTGCCCAGGCTGTTCTCAAATCCCTGGGCTCAAGTGGTCCTCCCACCTCAGCCTCCCAGAGTACTGGGATTACAGGTGTGAGCCACCATGCCCAGGCTTTTCCTTTTCTGTTGGTAAAAGCTAATGAACTGAATGCCTTGGACCACTACAAACGATTTTCAAGCTTTCTTTCATAGCTAGAAAGAAGCAAATCATGGATTACCAATCATGAGAACTCTAATGCTAGGTTTTCTAACTGTATGTTTATAGATAAATCATGGAATCTTGTGCCTCAGTTTCTTGATCTATGGTCATAGGGAGAAGTTTTTTCTATGGTTTCATTCTCTGCATCGAAAGGCTTAATTTCTTGTCAGTGATGCTATTGACACTGACAAGAAATTAAGGTTATTATTTGCCCTGACCATGAGTAAAGACAGCTCAGATATTAGTCTATTGCCTCCAAAATTCCTGAGATTTGAGGCCCAGCTTAAGTTTTGTGGTATGCCCATATTACTAATGTTTCCCCCTTATAATATTGTGCCATGTCAATGGCATAACCATCTCCCAAGCTCCTTCTCAGAACTTTCCCCAGAGTGGAGCTAGAATGCACATTGTGTTGCTTTGCCTTTACACATCTCTACTTCATTTATATTAGCCCTTCCTCCTTATAATGCTATCTTCATACAATAGGGCTTATTCTAGAGTGATGAGAGTAGTGTGTCCTTGTAAAAACCTGATATCCATTGCTCACAGTTCGATTATAATCTTGACTTGCCTCAATTTTATTATCTCACGAATGCAGACTCTCCTGGGTTCTGCCCTCTCCCTCTCTTCATTGTGTTTCTTCATGAGTTCTCCTTGATCTATGTAATTTTTAAAATAAATTGACCAACTAATTCATTATATTTCTACTAACTTCCCTTTCCTATTTTCAGTGTAATAGATTCTGTTTCCGATAAAAATTACCCCTCTACAGGAGCAATGATATTTTCTCTGTATGCCTAAGGGTATTAATAGAGATGAAAAGGATTAATATATGTAATAGCACTCTGTCCATAGCTTTATACTTTTTAATAGATAAAAACATTATTATATACAATATTAGTGTAATATTTGTTGTAACCTAATCATTTTTTTGGGTCCTGTATTTGTACTGGAGTCTGGACTTTTGGAGTCAGAATGTTACAGGAAAGGGGTCCCGATCCAGACCCTAAGAGAGGGTTCTTGGATCTCACACAGGAAAAATTTAGGGCCAGTCCCCAGGGCAAAGTGAAAGCAAGTTTATTAATAAAGTAAAGAAATAAAAGAATGGCTACTCCATAGACAGAGCAGCCCTGAGGGCTGCTGGTTGCCCATTCTTATGGTTATTTCTTGATGATGCTTTGTTGTTACAGTTATTTCTTGTTAAACAAGGAGTGGATTATTTTTAGACCATATAGGGTAACTTCCTGACATTGCCATAGCATTTATTAACTGTTATGGTGCTGGTGAGAGTGTAGCACTGAGGATCACCGGAGGTCACTCTTGCCATTTTGGTTTTTGTGGGTTTTGGCTGGCTCCTTTACTGCAACCTGTTTTATTAGCAAGGTCTTTATGACCTGTATTTTTCTTATTATACTTTAAGTTCTAGGGTACATGAGCACAACGTGCAGGTTTGTTACATATGTATACATGTGCCATGTTGGTGATGACCTCTGTTTTGTGTTGTCTTCTTGTCTCATCCTGTGACTTCAAATGCCTTAACCATCTGGGAATGCAGCCCAGTAGGTTTCAGCCTCATTTTATCCAGCTCCTATTTAAAATGGAGTTGCTCTGAGTCACATGGCTCTGACAAGAAGAGCCCTGGATTTCACTTCTTGCCATGCCATTTTCCAGCTGCGTAACTTTGGACAAGTTGCTTAATCATTTAGAGGCTTTCTCAAAAATGAGAATATTTTGATTTTGCTGGGATTAAAAATGATAAACAAAAAATGGAATGCAAAGTGTTTGGTGTAATCCCTATCTAGTTTCATGACCTGTTATTAAGTCTTACAAGTGTTTTGTGAGTTGTCTTTTTTAAGCCAATATTTTACTTTTCTTTTGTGTTGGTAGATGTTTAAATAGATTTGGGAAAATTATCCACACAGCTGACGCTCCTCCATTTCCTCACTATAAAATCTTTCTATACCATATACTTAAAGTATTGCACCTGCTCTCCTTCTCTATAGTTGGTCTCCCTTTTAATCCATTTCTCACACTTATGAAAGCATTCTTTATTTTGCCACTTCCCTTCTCAAAAACTTCAGTGCCTTGTCATGCCTTATGGGATGAAGTCTAAATTCCTTCACCTATTTCTCTGAGAAGCTGGACAACCTAGCTGCATTATACGTCACCTACCTTCTTTCTCACCACCTTTCTGCATGAATCCTCTGCTACCACCACACTACTCTACTCCCTCTCCTCTTCCCCAAATCTAAATCTGATTATCAAATCCTGACCCCACTGAGAAGTGTTTCTTGAAGACCCTAACCCATAATTATCTTCCCTTCTCTAAACACAAGTGGTTATTGCTGCATGTTGCTGAGTTGGCTGGTGAACATTTTGATTTTCCTGCACTTGCCTTACTTATTAGGCATTGAATCGCTTCCATGTCTGTTTCTCCATGTCTCTATCATCTTCCCACCTATGATCCCCTTTTCATTCCTCAGCCTGGACCTACACTTTATCATCTAAACAACACTCTCAACGGTATTCCAAATTTCTTGCATACTTTTCTTTCCATCTTCCTAGCAAAATTTAAACTCTGAATCTACTTTCTTTTTTACACCCAGCCCCAGACAGCTGAGCACTGTTGGAGAGAAATCTGCAACCATGGAGATTGGTTCAGCTACATATGTATGTCTTCAAATGTGGCAGGAAACTTAGCACCATCTGATAAACCTTTTGTTGCTTTTGGTCACCTTCCTGCCCCGCATATATCAGATCCATTTCCAAATTTGCATTATTCTCTTGTATCCTTCTCTGCTTCAAGCCCTGACTCTAGAAAGATGAGCTTGCTTCTGACTCCATAGAAAACACAGAGTCCATCAAGCATGACCTTCTTTTATTCTCTCTACCCAGTCCAATACAAATAGACAAATATACTCTCATCAATCTTTACCTGCTTTCCTCCAGCCTCTGATGATCAGGTATCTCCATTCTGGCTAAGGCCAACTTCTTCACCAGGATTCTAGAACTGATTCTGACCTACTCATTCCAGAATGTTGCTTTATCAATTATTCCTCCTGTGTCCTTTTTCCACTCCTCTCCTGATTTCTTCCTCATAGCCTATAAGAATGCTCAAGATTTTTCCCTATCTAAAACACTTCAGTTTTCTCGATCCTGCATCCTCCTCTCCCTTTGCAATTAACATTTCAAAATTCCTTGTTTCCATGTCCTTCATTCTCATTCATTTCTAATTTTCTGCATTTGTTTTCAAGAAACAATACTTGACTAAAGCCACTCTCACTACGGTATCTAAAGACTTTTTTTATTTCCAAATTCAAATTGCACAATTTAAAGTCTTATTAGATTTTGATGTTGCATTTTATACTTTTACCATTTCAATTTATACATTTCTTCTATATTACACTTTATATTGCTAAACTCTTTCAATAATAAAAACTACCATTTATTAATTACTTAAGGTATGAACGAATTGCACAATATATATTCGTTACAATAATTCTGAAAAGTGGATATTATTCGACTTATTTTACATAGAAAACTAAGGCTTAGAAAGGTTAAATCATGGCTTAGGGTATGTGGGAGTGATGGAGCCAGGTTGGCACCATATTCTGTTCACTTCCAAAGCCACCTTTCTCCTGTGTTTATGGAAGGTATAGCTCAGGGGCCACTTCTTCCAAAATACCACCCATAGCTACTCGTTGGGTCGGATGCCCCACTTTATGCTCTCATTATGTCATAAGCCTCTGTCATTTCATGGAGCAAATGATGTCCTCACTTAGCTGTTTGTGTCTTCCTCTGCTTTCAGTGCTTTACCCACTAAAGACAGATATATGCCTTAGTTATTGTCAGGTTAAATGCTGGCATATACATTTTTAAATGCTACTTGATGATAGACAACATCTCTACACTTTGCATTCCCCAAGAAATGACATAGGGTCCTATCCATGCTCACATTGTTCATTCTGTTATTTGAATGGATAAAATATTTGTTATCAAATACTCACAGGCCTCATAATGACAAGTACCTCTCTGAGACTCTCTAATTACTGAAGACTGTTCTGCCCAGATCTCCCTTCCTTGATCTGTCTGACTGAGTGGATTTTTTATATTTTTTTAGATGCAGTTTCGCTCTTGTTGCCCAGGCTGGAGTGCAATGGCATGATCTCAGCTTACTGCAACCTCTGCCTCTTGGGTTTAAGCAATTCTCCTGTCTCAGCCTCCTGAATAGCTGTCATTACAGGCACCCACCACCACGTGGCTAATTTTTTTTTTTTTTTGTATTTTTAGTAGAGACAGGATTTCACCATGTTGGCCAGGCTGGTCTCGAACTCCTGACCTCAGGTGATCCACCTGCCTCGGCCTCCCAAAGTGCTGGGATTACAAGAGTGAGCCACCATGTCTGGCCAATTGAGTGGAATTTTATCTGGCTGATATAAAAGAGATATCAGATATAAAACCCAACAGATTGAATCTTGTATCTGGCCAATGATGGTGTACAGGGAGAAAAAGTGTCCAGGTGGACTGCCACCAGGAAAGATGGTTTTTTGGAGAAATGACACTGTTTTTGCCATGCTTTTCTTATTTCTCCTCTAAAGCATTCCTGTATCTGTGTCTCTTAGAGATTAATTGTGGACTTCTGACATATCAAGGATTCTTTCACCCCCTGAAATATTCTACTTTCCTTCCCCATCCCCATTATGGAGGAGGTAGAGGGGCAGCCACCGAGGATCCGGGGACCTACTGGGTGGCCTGGGCATCTGCCAAGCTCTGAATCCCTAACAGCCCATGAGCTCCCTTGTCTTGAACCCTAATCCTCTGCAGTGCTATGGAAACTGGTAGAAAGTAGCACCTCACAGCAGGCAAAATCAAATGGACTACACAAATGATTAGCTGACTTTTCTTCTGTAGACACAGATTTTTATGCTTGTGGACCTTTGCTGCTGGAACCTGTAGGCTGTGACCTGAACAGAGTGTGGCTAAACAGTCATATCCATTAATTTCTGCTCTTTAGGAGCCAGTAAGTCTTTCTCGAGTTGGGATTGAAAATTTCAACATTGTCTTTACACTGGCAGCACATTTTTCCTCTTACTCTCTCCAAACTTCTAGAAATGTGATGCTGAATGTCCTATTTATTTGGGACAAGGGCCAAAATGAATTGTTTCTCCATCAGTTATGCTAAGCAGGGAGTAATACAGCAGTGTGTATTGGGATAAATTGACAAAACAGCCATAGCTGATGATGTGATTCCAGCTTCAGAGCATGATATGCTCCTTTGACCAAAGGATTGTCTCCTTTAGAAGCCTGACATGCAAACGCATCCCTGCTAACTGGCAGCTTGACCTCTTCTATGTCACACACACCCTGTGGCACGGGTCACGCTGGTAGATGCACTGAGGCATTGACAAGCAGAGGGCTTGCCCTTGAGCTGACAGAGTCCTCATGCTCTTGAGCAACCCCTGCTTACCTGCTGTGTGAACCCACTCGGAACAGTTAGGGCTGCTTGTCTTAGTCTGGCTGGAAGCACATTTACACACAGTGCAAGTGAAACAGACTGCTGTCCTCACAAATCCACCCACTGCTCATCAGGAGAGAGACACAGGGCAAGACTGGGAAATGCAGGCTAAGTTCCTCTAAGTAGAACACACAGAGTCATCAAGGTGATGTTCAGGGAAATGGAGCAGAAGATGATTCAGATACAGCCTCCAGCCAGAAAGCCAACCATGCAGCAGCACAGAGCAATCCAAACTGTCCGAGGGACCAGGGCCTGGAGAGAAACAACTTTGAAAGGAATATTAAAAAAAAACTTTAGGCCGGGCGCGGTGGCTCACGCCTGTAATCCCAGCACTTTGGGAGGCCGAGGTGGGTGGATCATGAGGTCAGGAGATCGAGACCATCCTGGCTAACAAGGTGAAACCCCGTCTCTACTAAAAATACAAAAAATTAGCCGGGCGCGGTGGCGGGCGCCTGTAGTCCCAGCTACTCGGGAGGCTGAGGCAGGAGAATGGCGTGAACCTGGGAGGCGGAGCTTGCAGTGAGCCGAGATTGCGCCACTGCAGTCCGCAGTCCGGCCTGGGCGACAGAGCGAGACTCCGTCTCAAAAAACAAAAACAAAAAAAAAAAAAAACAAAAAAAAAAAAAAAAAAAAACTTTATTGTTGTAGAGTAGTATTAGGGTCACAGGAAAATGGGCAGAAGGTACAGAGATTTCTCATATGCCTCCTGCCCCTCCCCCAGCCTCTGTCATCATTAACATCCCCTAGCAGAGTGGTGCACTTGTTATCACTGAAGAGCTTACATGAACACATCATAATCACCCTAATTCTTTTTTAAAAATGGGCACTTTTAACAATTCTTTTACTATTTTCAGAGACAGAGCCTCACCCTTTGGACAGGCTGGAGTGAAGTGGCATAAACACGGCTCACTGCAGCCTTCACCTCTTGGGCTCAAGGGATCCTCCCAATTCAGCTTACTCAGTAGCTGGGGCTACAAGTACGTGCCACGATGCCTGGCTATTTTGTTTTTTATTTTTATTATTTATTTATTTTTTTTATATATTTTTTTGTAGAGATGCTGTCATGCTATTTTCCCCAGGCTGGTCTCGAACTCTTGGGCTCAAGTGATCCTACTGTCTTAGCCTCCCAAAGTGCTGGAATTACAAGCATGAGCCACTGCCCCCAGCCTATTTTAACAATTCTTTAGTGGCTTGGATTTCTTTAGATTTGGGGAGAGAGTACTAGAACTAGTTTTTTTTCCACTTATTTTAGTCTTGACGGATTTTTCTGCCCTTTTATTCACAACTAGCCCTTATCAAAGTACCTGTGACAGGATCCCAGGGTGTTTCCCTGAAAGCCTATGTAACTTAAAGGGGCTGCTGCTTCATTTAGCAGAGCCGGAATGTTTACTGCTGTTTTATATGCATTAGTCTTGGCTTTCCAGACATATCATTAGCTCTTCAGGACAGGAACCATTTCTCAGTGCCGAGTTCACGTAGGTTCTCAATAAAGTAGGTGCTGGTATACAGTAGATGTTTGTTTATTTCAGAGTACAAATACCCGAGGCATCCAAACACTTGGGATAGTTATGAAAGAATTTCGCTACCATGTTCATCCATTTTGTAATCATGTTGCCACAATAACAAAATGACAGTCTCCTTTAGGGCATGACAATAATGTAATAAGCCAGGCTGGGGAAACGGGGGATGTGTCCTAGTGGCCCAAGCTACATGATCCAGATAGCGTGGTGGGGTTTGAAATAGACATATGAAAAATGACTCTGTCAGAAGCTGTTTGATATTATGAAAATCTGATAAACTACATGGAACAAAGGTCATTCACTCCAGAGCAAGAGATATTTCAGAAGTATAGACAAGCACAATTTGTAAAGGAAGATGTAGCTAGAGACAGCAGAGGATGTTGATGGATCTTTCCAAAGATCCTTTCTGATGGTGAGTGGGTTTTGTCGTACTCCTATCCACAGGTCAATAAAGATTTCCAGGAAAACAAATTTCCATACATACTTTACAGTTCTCTTTACCATTTTAAAAGGAAATGGATATGTAATGCATTTTTTTTTTTTGAGACAGAGTCTCTCTCTGTTGCCCTGGCTGGGGTGCAGTGGCATGATCTCAGCTCACTGCAACCTCTGCCTCCCAGGTTCAACCGATTCTCCTGCCTCAGCCTCCTAAGTAGTGGGGATTACAGACGCGTGCCACCACCTTCGCCATGTTGGCCAGGCTGGTCTTGAACTCTGGACCTCAGTTTATCTGCCCACCTCGGCCTCTCAAAGTGTTGGGATTACAGGCGTGAGCACTGTGCCTGGCCAGCAATTTTTGATTTTTATGCCAAATTATGTTAAAGGTATTCATTGTGTTTATGGTATCAAATATCTGGAATATTATATTATTTGGTTTCATTTTCAAATAAAACTAAGTAGTTTTAACTGATATGAATTGATTACAGATAATATATCTCCCAATTGATTTGTGCTAATCAAAAGACTCTAAATTTTATTTCATCCTTACTATATTTTATATCTCATTTTTTTTTGTAGCATTGCACTATGGGCTACATTTTTTAAAAATTTTGTGTTATTTTGAAATTAAGACTTCTAAACTTCAGAAATATTATTTACCTGGATGCAATCAGTACTCTGAAGTTAAGGGTAAATTATCTACAATAATTCTATGGTTATCAGTAGATTTAAAAACCACTTTGTCACCATCTCTAAAATGGTATCAATTTAATTAGGTAAACTTAAACTGAAACTCAGAACTTGTCCTTGACACATTGTTTAAATTAACTGCAATTGCCACATCCTGTCAATTCAAATTCCTAAATACTCATCTTTCCACCTCTCTTCTTTTCTGTGGAGCCAGGCTCAGACAGCACCCTGTAGGTTTCCTTCATAGACTTGCAGTAGCCTCTACCCTCCCTGAGAGTGGACACTGGATCTTCTTTTCTCCCTACTTTTTCTTAATCCCCAGCAGAGTGCCAGGCAAGTAATGGATACTGAATAAAAATCTGATGAATGAATGAATGAAAACTTTACCTAGTTTGAATGATCCAGAGTTCTGAATTAGTAAACCCTAGTATATCAGGTGGAATTAAACATTACCAACAATTTATACTAGGCAGTGCCTGTCGAGGTTGCAGGCAATTCTCTAGGAATTGTTTTATGTGCCTGAATCACCTACTTTATAGATGCAGTGTACACTCTTCGGTTAAGGTTGTCAGAGTTCAAGTTTTCTGAAACAAATGGTGTTGACTTGAAATGACTGTTCTGTCAAGGTGGTGGGTATATAATATTTTCTCGCAAAGAAGAGGAGAGCAACAATTGGTATTTATTTTGAAAACTAGACAATGAGGTAATAACATAACAGCTGGGTAATCTTTAAACCAGGAAAAGAGGTAACAATAAATTAAGCATGGTTATGCTAGAATCATCAAAATACATCCTGCAGGTGCAGTCAAGTTGAAGACACAATCAAGGGGGTCTGTGGAGGTCATGGAGATTTGAGATTTCATTTGTCTTCCACCTTTCTCAATCCTGTGAAGAGGAGCTTGGAGAAAATTTTGAAATGCAAAAGTCAGGTGTCCTTCATTCCTCGTGGCAAATAAATACATGAATTTTTCTAGTGTGAGTGTGCATATTTGGGATCCAAAAGGGGACCTCAGGGATGTTAGGAGTAAGTTGCCACTGTCATTTTTGTTTTTATGACCATTTCTTTTTTAAATAGCTTCCCTATACATTTTATTTTATTTTATTTTATTTTAATTTAATTTTATTTTATTTTATATTAAGACTAAGTATCACTCTTTCACCCAGGCTGGAGTGCAGTGGCACAATCTCAGCTCACTGCAATCTCTGCCTCCCAGGTTCAAGCTATGCTCCTGCCTCAGCCTCCCCAGTAGCTGGGACTGCAGGCACCCACCACCACGCCAGGCTAATTTTTTGTATTTTTAGTAGAGACGGGGTTTCACCGTGTTGGCCAGGATGGTCTCGATCTCCTGACCTCGTGGTCCGCCCGCCTCAGCCTCCCAAAGTGCCAGGATTACAGGCCTGAGTCTCTGTGCTCGGCCACATTTTATCCATTTTTTTTGGATGTATTATATTCCTTTTCCTCAGGGCTTCCAGAGTTTTCATGGCTTTTTATAGATAGAGTAAAAATTTCTGTGTTTAATAACACTCCTTGTGTTATTAGAGGTGTGTTCTTTGTCTTTGGTGCATTGTCAATTAACATTTTACAGTGAGAGAAAATGCCTCTGAGGTTTTATTTCCCTTCTAATTACAGAAATCTTGCAGCTGAGGGAAGACATTCACAGTGGGACTTTTTATGCAGCATTAATCTTGCGTCCAATTTCTCCTGGGTCACTGTGCATGGTAGCGCCTGTTAACCTTAGCGGGAATCAGGTGGGCGCTGCAGAAACTCAGCGAATCTTGGGGTTCGGTGCTACTGGCTGCGGGTTAATGACAAACCCAAGTGACAGGGTCCCTGAAATCCTTGTTTCTGATGTGGTAATTGCCCAGATCTAGGGGTGTTAGGTTCTAGACTTATTGAAAACAGAAGAATAAGTCTGGTGTTTGAATAAATAATTGATCACTTCTCTGTGTTCAGAAAAGTTTTCTAGTGGGTAGAAAGTGTAGGCTCTTTCTAGTCAGAGTAAAAGTTGCTTTCACCATTGTGTCTGTATCAAGCTGAGAACACTCCCAACTGGAGGTAATAAGCCAACAATTTTTATTAGAAAAGTGGTATGTTTCTAAAATGACTAATCATGAAGATCAGAAAAGATGCAAATGCACACGTTTATCAATCCTTTGATTGACCTCAGCAGCACAGCCGGACTGGAGCCTCTAGAGGCCATAAGCAGTCAATGCATTTCTACACCCAACTCCAAGGCATGCAATTTAGGATGATTATTAAATGATAAAATAAGTGTGGGCCAGTCAAAGAGGTTCTGACTTTTTTTCCCCAGAATGGCCATTTTCAACATATATATTTTTAATTTGAATAATCAAATTATTTTAAAATAATTGGGAGAAGAGTGCAAGGATGTATGGCTTTGTCCCAAGATATGTAAGATCTGTGTTTTGGGTAATTGAGTGCTAAGCTAAAAGCCTCTAGGAGAAAGAAACTTATTTTTGTAACAAGCACATGGGTGGAGTTACAGCATGGCAAAATCGGTCCTTGGAAACAATATCAAAATGAAGTGCAATGCTGTCACCTGGTGACCGTGTTCTGAAATGACACAATATCATCCTTGAAGTCTGCTACCCTCCCTTTCCCACTCGCTCCTCCCCAACTTTAGATGATATCATGGAATTTTAGAGATAGAGAAATATGAGAACAAATTTCATTCAGCTTCTCCAGTTTACAGATGAGAAATGGAGACCTTAAGTGATTAAAGCGAAACGGCCCTGGCCTATGCCTAGTTAATGGTGGCATTAGTGGTGAAAGAAGGTACTTGGAGCCAGTCAAGTCAGATTTAAATGGCAGCTCTGCAATTTACTAGCTGTGAGATTATGGGCAAACTGTGGAACCTTGCTGAACCTCAGTTTCCTCACACGTAAAATGAGAATTCCATTAGAATAATGGGTTATTCGGAAGACTGGATGACATAATCTGTGAAATTTGTCTGATAAGTTATTGGTTGTTATTATTGTTGCTATAACTGTTGTTGTTGCTGCTATCATTAGTTTTGTTTACTGGCACCTCTTGGCTTCCAGAGCATCATTTCTATAAATCCAATTGCTTTCAGGGGACACATGTGAGTGGTCATTGCATAGAGGCAGAGAGCCAAACCAGTGGAAGCTTAGCTGGAACACAGAATCTGGCCCAGGCTGAGGGGAGATGACACTTAGGATTTCAGTTAAGACTGTTTTCTCTGGAGGGTCCTGATTAAGCCTCTGGCACACGAGGATGCGGAGAATACACATGAGTTTAAGGTATCTCTGGGTGCTGCTATTCCCTGAGTCTCCTTCAAAGGTACCCCCCAAACTAGGGGGCCATTGCTTCCTGCATGGAGTGAAGAATCCACTAGGCCACAGGGGCCCAGGAATCATAGTTTTTCTGATTTTCACTCCATTAGGCTGGGGCAGGCGCTCCATGGCCTTCAGGGGTTACCCTCATGGCAGTGTTATGTTTTCCTCAGAGTCCTTGGCCCTGTAGCAGGGCTGGCTGTGGGGATAGGGGAGGAAGAGGAGGTGGAGGAGGAAGAGAGAGACAGAGAGAGTCAGGTGAAAGGCAGGAGAAAGTGGTCATTGGTTAAAAGTGCAGGTTCTTGAAATAAATCCTCTATCACATATGGATTGGCTGTGTGGTGATCTGGGCAAGTTACTAACTTCTTTAAGATTTGGTTTCCTCATTTGTAAAATAGGATAAAATTATAATATTGCTTACCTTCTTGGAACGTAAGGAGGAGAAAATGCGATGAGTCCATGTATAGTACATAGAACAGTGCCTTACACACAATACATACTGAAAAAATGTTGGCTCTCAATATATACATGTATGTGTGTGTATGTGTGTGTGTATAATTATATATAAAATAATCACATATACATATATAAAAAACTGAGTGCTGAATCTAGCATTTGTATCAGTCTCTGGGCAGTGCTCAGTATGGCTCTAGTCAAGTAATTATTCGTGATACTCATGAAGCTCACATTGCCCATGACGTATTATCACCTGTGGATGTTCTTGGATGGCTTTATACTCTGCCTGTATTTTCTGAACCAAAAACATTGACACATATATGGGTTCTTTTAGGATAGGATATCTGAAAATGGAACAGCTCTTTAACCCCTGAGATATATGTTACAACTTCATTCTACACTCTTGCACTCAAGTTACTAAAGTGATAAATAAGAACAAAAAGTAAACTAGAAAAATCTCTGTATAACCCTGCAAATCTAAGACTTTCAAAGTCAGGGTAGCAGAGTAATGTTTCTAGAGCATCTCCTCTTTATGGCTTCCCATTCCCAGGCTGTTATGAACTTATTTTCCTCAAACAGCCTTTCATAGAAACAGAAATTCAGAATCTTGTGGAGTTCTCAAACCACCAGAGAAAGATTTAGACCTAAGTTAGAGCAATAAAATATAGTGAAACTTGTTGTGTCCCTTGGGTTCTTGGTTGAATGCAAGATAAGCCAAATATGGTCAATTTAAGCAGGTGAAAAATGTCTTCTTTACATCAACAAAAGGGATGGTGAAGCAGTTCTGAATGGGCAGGCACAAGGGGTCTGGATGGCAGGGGCCTGGAGTCGGGCCAGGGAATCTTTTACTGCCATCTCCAAAGCTGTGTGCGCTCCCAGCCCCACCCCAGTAGACTTTCAGAGATGCCGTGAATTCACACTTTTTATCACCCTCTCCAGAAGCAAGGCCTGGACGAAACCTGTGATTGGACTAGCCTAGCTCACATGCCACCCAATGGCAGGGAAGGAGAAAGTGGTCCTTCTTTGGCAGAGGAAGCCTCTTACCAAGACTCACACAAAGGGGGCTTTCCCTGAAATGTCCAGCAAATCCTGATAAAATCCCCTCCCCTTGTTAAAATAGATTCTAAGAAGTCACGATGTTTGATCATTTTGACAAGTGGTGAGTGAAAATCCACCACTATACCAGAGGAGGGATTGATAACATAGCAAGTGGAGTCTGTTGCTAAGTTACACAGTTGTCACTAATGAACACCAATTTTTTTTTGTTTTATTTTTATTTTAGAGACAGAGTCTTGCTCTGTCACCCAGACTGTAGTGCGTGGTGTGATCCTAGTTCACTGCAGCTTTGACCTCCTGAGGTAAAGTGATCCTCTTGCCTCAGCCTCTTGAGTAGCTGGGTCTGCCAATTTGCCCCACTACGCTGGGCTTATTTTTATTTTTGTAGAGGCAGAGTCTCGCTATGTTGCCCAGACTTGAACCCTAATTTTTATGTTCATGAAAATGAAGACTCTTAGCAGCTTATTTAGAATCAAAATTATTCTAATTGCACTCAACTCACTGTATTTGTCTGAATATATAAAACTTCAATATTTAAAAGTATTTACACACGAGATCTCTCTTTTGCTACTAATTTGTTGAATGATCATTGTGTGAAGGCTCTGTGCTGAGCACTTTACATGTATCATCTCATTTAGTCCTCATCACCTCTTCAGGAGCTAGTTTCTACCCTCATTCTCATCTTTAGAGGTGAAGAAATTGAAGCCTAGAGAACTATAGCTAGTAAGATTGAAGTTAGGGCTTGAACTCAGACTTGTCTGGTCCTAAATAAAGCCCATGTTATTAACTGAGCTATGGTATTTAATTCAGCTCAAATATTTTAATTATTTATGACAGCTCTTAAAAGCAAAGGTATAATTATCTATGGAAAAAATAGAGAGAGTGTTGATAAAAACGTTAGAGAACAAAAAAGCAGAATACTACTACTGCAAAGGAGCTGTGGGTGTTCTGAGTAGACAGAACTCATTCAAGTGCTTCCTTTGCTGGCATCTGGGGACAAGACAGTCTATCCCCCTGAATTTAATTTTTCTTATTTTAAGGTGGTGTTAATCACTACCCACTCACCAGAATGGTTAAATAGAAAATACCAAGTGGTAAGTGTAGAACAGCTTGAACCATCACACACAGCTGATGGTAGTGTAAGTTGGTATAGCCACTTTGGAAAACTGACAATATCCACTAAAGCCAGGTACATGCATAACGTATGACCCAACAGTCATGCTTTCAGGGTTTCTCTGTTTCTTGTTTATTTGTCTATTTGTTTTGTTTTGCTTTTATGTGACTGCGGAATATGTTGTGTTTAATCTGTGAAATTTTGCCAAGCTTTACCACTAGAATATAATATACGCACTTTTCTGTCAATAAAAAGTTTCAACAAATAGTAATACAAAAATGAACTTATAGTGTCCTTGCAAAAGTGAAACATATTAAAGTTCCTGGGGTAGAGCAGCCATTCAGTCAACACATTTCCCTTTGGTGAGCATTCTATGGCAGTAGTACGTGGGGAGAACCTGGAAGCTGGAGTCCACTGGAGTCATCCAGGTGAGAAATAAGATCCCAAGTGGCAGCAAGAGTGGAGTGGGAGAAACAGTGTCCCCAGAGCAGGAATGGCTGATAGAAGAGATCTAGGCTGGGGACTGATACAAGCAAGGGCCTGGGGGTGGGACCAGGCAATCGAGGCCACCTTGGTCATGTCAAAGAGGCTGATCAGGGAGGTCAAAAGGTCATAATGTGGCTCCTGGGAGTGAGAGTGGTGAAGGAGATTGGAGCATCAAGAGCCAGATCAGGCCGGTAGAGGCTGGGAACAGAGGATGGAGGAGGAAGCTACTAGCTCATGCCGAGCATGCTTGGTATGGAGCAGAAGCTGAAGTCTATACTGTTAAGAAACTACACCATCTTCTTGCCACTATCCTTCCTTTCCCTCCCATCTAAAATTTGGATAAAAAGCCTTCTTTCTACTAAATGTGCCTTAACATCACCTTTTTAATCCACATACAAAAGGCAAATGAAAACACAAGTTGGGGTGGAGAATTGGGCTTACTATTTATGCTCCATGTGAATGAAGGAGTCATTCAACTGCACAGAGGCTGAGTGTTCTCAGCCCGCAAATGCATGATTCAGATGTGACCGGCAGAGAACAGACGTCAGAATAAATGTGATAGTGGACTCAAGACTGCCTTGAAAGTCTACAGAACTGCATAAATATGGGATGAAATGATTCATGGTCAGTTGAAATCCAATGATGTAGAATTAAAAAAATGCTATTTCCCCATTGTCTTCTCCTCTTTCAAAAAGACACCAGATTGCTCTTGATTCATTGTGTTGCTTTATTCTGTCTCTCTTAAGTTCTGAATCCGTGTTTTGCAGAATTTCTTAAGGAGACTCAACCGTTCAGACTAGCTAAGGTGTCTGTTAGTTAACTGTTCACTGTTCTCTAAACTGAAATCTCTGTGAATTATTTTATTTGGATCTTGAAGTGCTGAGAGAGAGTTACCGCCCCTGATGCTGAAGTTAGTAGCTCCTTCAGCCTTGTTAGCATGAACAAGTCCAACCAGGCATGGCATGACAACCTGCTTTAAGCCTCCCCTGCATTTTGTGAGCTTATGCAAATGTAGCCCAGACAGGTACGATATAGAAAATCTAATCTAATCACCCAAGCTTGACATGTAATGAGTTTCCTTTTTTGTCTCATTGTTTCAAAGACTGGCCAGGCAGGTGATCTAATGTGTTTGATCACTTTTCTACTTGTCAAGGCACCATGGAACATTCCAGGACTTATTTAATTTCAGTTTTTAAAATAACCTGTGTTCCTTTTTGTGGTTACTTCTAATGGCTGAAAATGAAAACTGTTTCACTCTTTAAGAATTGCCTATGTAATTCAATTTTGCAGAGGAATGCAGTGTGCATGCCAATTCAGATCCAACTACATTTATTGAGCACCTGCTACATGTTAGACATGGGCTGGTTGCATCACATCCATTACCTGGGGATTGGATAGGGCAGATGCTACAGCTGGTAACAGCTATTTTGAGTCTGCTTGACATAGAAAGAGTGTCTTAGTTTGTGTTTCCCCAGAAGGAGCCCATGACGTAAGGATTTGATTGCATGTTTTTTTATTTTGGAGGTGATTTCAGTAAACAACAGTAGGGCAGTGGAGAATGTAGACAGGGAAGAGAAGAAAGCTGATAAAAGCTTCAATCAAACAGCTCCAACTGTGAGCAAATGGAGCTTAATTCTGCTGGGACCTCTGGGAAACAGATTGTGTGCCTCAGAAAGATCTCATCATCTATCAGACTATTCCATGGTGGCTGCTCCCAGGGATGAAGAGTCCCTCAATTTTGCCCTCAGGCAGAGATTGCATTTCAAAGGCAATTGAGCACACGTGGAAATGTAAGCGCTTGGGCAAGGTGGTTAGGGCTGCAATAGTCCATGCCCACACAGGAGGAAGACCAGAGCCACATCCTTTCGGGGTTCCTTAACACTTTCGGTCTGGAAATCTAAATTTGATTGAATCAGGTGGTGGGGGAAGATTCAAGATCAATGTTTCTACTTGGTGTCTTTACCTTAGTCCAGTAAGCAAGTCTAATATGTCACCTAGACGACATCCTTGTGTCAGTCGTGTCATGTCAGAGGACAAGAGATAATGGCCTGGAACCTGGAAGCTCAGGAGCCTGGACCACAGGTCCCCGAGGGAAAGGAGCAGAGGGAATTTCCAGGCAATATTTGTTTTTATTATACAAAGCTGTTGTCCCATACCCCATGCCATCTCCTGAAGACCCAAGAGGGACCATGTGGAGAGGGAAGACATCCAGATGAAAGGTTGACACAAGGTTCTCACTAAAAATAAACCATGGGCCTCCAGGACCTACTCCCTAATGCTGAGTGTTCTGCAGTGAGCAGGTCTATGCAAACCTGCTCCCAAAGGCCAAGGAAACTTATAGGCCAAAGAAAGAACTTGGTACATTCAGTTTCTCAGACAGAAACATTTCATAGGGTCTTACTAACATAAATCATGTCTCACAGAAGTAAGACAAGATGGCAGATCCCTGTGCTATCATTCCTCAGATCCAGAGTGTATACACCAGAGGGAAGAAATGTGTAGGACAATTAAGTCGACCCCTCCGGGAAAGGCAAGAATGCTATGTGACTCTGCCTAAGGCGAGATTTATGGTCAAGGTTGTTTTGACCTAAGGGCAGGATTTATGGTAACTGTAGATAAAGTGGATATCTTACAGACATTCCCAGAACAGGAATTAATTAGAAGGCAACATGGTGGGTTAGCATCCAAGATGCAGTTGCTTTAGCCTCCACACTGAACCATAGATCTTATACCTCTGATAGTGAGGAAAGGTGGCCAAGGCAAGTAAGTGAGGAAAGAGCCCCATACCCAATGCGGAAAGCAAGGCAACACAGAGCCATTGGTTAGGGCCCGGGAGCTAGGCTGGTTCTGATCCTGGCTCAGTAACTAAGTGGCTTTAAAGTGTTTAACTGCCTGTGAGTTGGTTTTCTCATCACTAACTACCTCAGGACTGGTGTGAAGATTGCAGGAGGTGAGAACTTAACAGGTGTCTGTAAGGGGAGCCATTCTTGTGCAAGCTGCCTGTCACCAACAGGGGGCAGCCTCAGGGCCATCTTACTGGACCTCATTAAGGAAGACAAGAAAGAAGCAATTTAAAGAGGGAAATCTAGAGTTAGTACAAGTCTCTAGTTCCAGGATCAGTAAGTCTTGATTTGAACCTATTTTTTGGAACAGTGAGAGAAGAAAAGGAGGCAGAGGAATAGAAAATGGAAGGAAAGTGGAGGAAGAGGAAAGGAGAAGAGAGGTGCTTAAACACTCATAGACTGGAATGTGCTAAGAAAAGTCTATTCTGATTTTCTTTTAGGGAGGGGCAATTTTAACTCCACATTTATGAGGTATTCTAAAGAAGTTTACATTTTTTTAAGTGTTTTTTTTTCCCCAGCCTAGAAACATATTCATGGAGAATTCTTGCTTTCAATCAGTTTGCATCCTCCACTTCTCACTCCCAGAGGTGACCACTTTTATGAGTCCCTTATTTATGTCTCTAGAGTTTCTTTATGCAAATGCAAGCCAATATGAATGTATATTTTAAATTTTATCCCCCAAGAGATGTTTAAAATTGGTAAAAGTAGTAGTAAAAGCAAGTGACATTTTATTATTAACTATATACCAAGCACTCATTTTACATATATTAGATTGATTTTATAGGTAAGGAAACTAAACACAAGAGAGTTACATAATTTTCCCAAGGTCATAGAGCAAGTAAATTAGGGAGACAAAATGTGAGCCCTCCTGGTGTCCAGAGTCTGAGCTCTTAGCCATGATGCAATACCAGCACTTAGAAAGTAATTGATGTCCACAGAGAGAATATTCCTAGTATCTCTAAAGGGATAGTCTTTCTATCTCTGCCCAGAAGCTATTCCTTTACAGTCACAACTTTTAGTGCCCCGTAAATCATAGCATCTCAATAAAGAAGTAAATGCATTCCCTGGACTTAAGGATCAGCTGTAGACTGAGCAGTCCTTGTTCCCGGAATCCTCTGAGGGATTCATTTAGACCAGAGAGATGTGCCTATCTCTATGTCAGACCAGAATTAGCTATGAGTTGTGACCAATATGCAAAGTAAGAACTTTATAGTGTGGTTCTATTATCTACCACAGAATGTGTGTTAGTCTGTTCTTGAGTTGCTATAAAGGAATACCTGATACTCAGTGATTTATAAAGAAAATAAATTTACTTGGCTCCTGGTTCTGCAGGCTGTACAGGATGCATGGTGCCATCATCTGCTCGGCTTCTGAGGAGGCCTGAGGAAGCTTTTACTTATGGCAAAAGATGAAGAGGGAACAGGCATCTCACACGGTGAAAGCAGGAGCAAGAGAGAGAGCGCAAAGGGAAGTGCCACATACTTTAAACATCCAGTTGTCATGAGAACTCACTCACTATTACAAGGACAGCCCCAGTTGGATGGTGCCAAACCATTCCTGAGAAATCCACCCCCATGATCCAATCACCTCCCACCAGGCCCCACCTCCAACACTGGGGATTACATTTCAACATGAGATTTGGGGGTGGGGACAAATATCCAAACTACATAAAGATGAAAGCTAAATTCCTCAACTAAATCTAATCCTCTTTAACCACCAGCACATTGCGAAACATCATGTTTTTATTCTCACAGCCTGCATAGCGATGTTCTTATGGCACCACCTGAATATTCCTTCCTATTTAAGGCTTCAGAAGCACCCGGGAATTATGGTGTCTTGCAAGAGAGTTTTTTTTCCCAATCTGGTTGAGCAGAATCTTAGACTTTATGATCTATCTTTTTTTTTTTTTTTTTTTTTGAGAAGGAGTCTCGCTCTGTCGCCCAGGCTGGAGTGCAGTGGCATGATCTCGGCTCACTGCAAGCTCTGCCTCCCAGGTTCATGCCATTCTCCTGCCTCAGCCTCCGGAGTAGCTGGGACTACAGGCGCCCACCACCACGCCCAGCTAATTTTTTATATTTTTGGTAGAGACGGGGTTTCACCATGTTAGTCAGGATGGTCTCGATCTCCTGACCTTGTGATCTGCCCACCTCGGCCTCCCAAAGTGCTGGGACTTTATGATCTTGAAGCCAGCAACAGTAGACACTGTCATCTGAGAATGCAGAAACAAGTCTGTCAGCCTCGCTTGGAACAGATTAATCCCCAGAGTACAGCAGTATTAGACTTGCTTTTGCCCTGTTCAGACATAAAGAGGTGTGGCTTGCTGGCCTCTGTTAACTGTAGAATTTAGTAGCATCAGCTGGTTCTGGGGAGGTTTGCACTTAGAAGACTTCTCACAACTGTCTTGGTCCTCATCTTTTCAATAGGTTAGTTGTGCAAGCATCTAGAGTCATCTGGATTCACAGTTGCCATTTCATCCTTTCCCGTATCACCCCAAACCCAATTTTGTCAGCCATGACACTACTGCCAACTAAAGAAAAAAACAAGCTTTTAAATAATTAAAGTTAGTTTTATTCAGAAGTCTTACTGAGGACTATATCCTGGGAGCAGCCATTTAGAGAGCTTGTATCAGACTAGTCCAAAAAGTGTTTCAGCTTACTGTTTATACACAGGTTGTGAGGTTTAGTATGTGCAAAATCCTATCAACCCTTTTCAGAAGTTACATTGATGAGGAATCACAGCAAAGTCTGAGTGTGAGAGTACAGTTTTTTATAGATTACAGAGGTATAATCACCAATCCTGCCAGACATTATCGTATGTGTAGGAAAAGGAAAGAATTAGAGTCATTTATCTTTTAAGGAATTTAGTGATTCAGGCAAGATACATGGTGGGGGCCATGGGCTCCATCCTGTTTTGTCCTCAAATCATTTTAGAGCTGCACATCGTCACAGAGTCAGGGGCTTTGTGAAACTATGCTGGCAAGCAGAAATGAGCAAACATGGCTTCTTACATATGCTGGCTACTTTGTCTCACAACAGCCTGCTCAGACCTCCTTTCAAGATAGAACCTTCTGTGAGGAATGTAGTGAGTTGATAACCTCCTGTGGATGCACCCATAAGACCTGCCTCACTGAGGCCACACCTGGGCTCATACCACAGTCCAGGGCTGGGCCACATGGAACACTAAACTCTGGCCATTTCTGCCTGGTGTGGGACTCCTGCGGTGGGCACTCTTATTCCAAGGATTCCCAATGGCCTCACTCAGACTTTCTTAGAGCTGCAGGGCAGACTGAAGCACTTCCTGCCCAGTCCTCCTTCCCACTCCCTCTCCCTTCACAAGTGACCCACCCATGTCACAGGCAGAGGCTTTCCCCCAAGTCAGGTTCATCCTTCACCCCGTCATCCCATCCTTCATCCCACCCCAAATTTCTTGCTCTTCTAATTCCTTCTCGGGATATGCTTTTTCCAGGACTAAGATGGACACAAACCTCCATTGAAAGTGCTGGGGTAGAGACTACAGGGACCTCGTGGCCAAATCCAAAAGCCTTTTGCAGATCTTACTTCCCTCCACTTCTCCAGGTCATTTCTTCCCTGTGCCTTCAGTGCCCCTGCCATCTCTTGAGTCCTTTTGCCCACCCCAACTGTCCTCTTCAGACTCTGTGGGTGCTTCTCCCATGGCTCACTCCTTAAGTCCTTGGGCTTTTTGCTCAGTGGTCACACAATATCTTTGGTTGATTTATTCAATCCCTGATAAACTTATAATTTTCAAATTATCATCTCTTGCATAAATCTCTTTCTTTAACTTGAAATTCCCTTATACAAACATCTACTCTTCTATTGGACTTTCCATAGCAATCTCAAACTCGAAATGTTTAATACATATGTCTTAGTCAACTCAGGCTGTAACACAGCACCACAGTCTGCATGGCTGAAACAGACACTTGTTTCCCACAGTTCTATAGGCTGGGAAGTCCAAGATCAAGGTTCTGTCAGGATTCAGGCTCCGGTGAGGGCTTTCTTCTTGGCTTGAGGATAGCCACCTTCTCATAGTGTCCTCACATGGCCTTCCCTTGGTGTGTGCTCATGAAGAGAGAGAGTGTGAGAGAGATATCTTTCTTCCTTTTCTTATAAAGTTACTAATCCTATCATGAAGGCCTCACCCTAATGAGCTAATCTTACCCTAATTACCTTCCAAAGGCCTTAACTCCAAGTACCATCATATGTGAATTTGGGGTAAACACACACATTCATTTTGCTCAGATTCATAACTGAATCTCATAATCTCTACCTCTTAATTCCCCGGACTTTACTGCATTTCTTACCCTTTAATGCCATAACCATCACTCCTGTCATTCAACCTTCCTTTGCCCTTACAGCTTCTACCATCATAAGACCCACGGATTATATTTTTCAAGTAATTTTTAAACCTCTTTCTTTCTCTCCTCATGTTGTGGGTTGAATTATGTCCCCCCACAAATTCATATGTTGAAATCCTAACCTCAAATACCTCAGAATATGCCCTTATTTGGAAATAGGTTCTTTACAGAGGTAATCCAGTTAAAATCAGGTTGTTATGGTGGGTTTCAATCCAGTATGACCATGTTTTTAAAAAAGGGGGAAACTTGGACACAGAGACAGACACACATAGAGGGAAGAAGATGTAAGGAGATCCAGGGAGAAGACAGCCATCTATAAGCCAGGAAGAGAGGCCTGGAACAGATCCTGCCCTAACAGCCCGTGGAAGAAACCAATTCTGCTGACACATTGATTTTAGACTTCTAGCTCCAGAACTGTCAGACAATAAATTTCTGTTGTTTAAGCCACTTGGTCTGTGGCTCTTTGGCATGGAAACCTTATCCAACAGAGACACCATCCTTGTTTCTACTGTAATTGGTCAGTCTCTGTTGTTAACGGAGTTACTACAACAACCTCTGTAGTAGGCAGAGTAATGGGCCCCCAAAGATGCAAGTTCTAATCCCCAGAATCTGTGACTATGATACCTTACACGACTGTGTAGTTGTGATGAAGTATCTTAATATGTGGGGATTATTCTAGATCAACTAGGTGGGCTGAATGTAATCACATGGGTCCATATAAGAGGGAGACAGGAGGGAGGTTCAGAGGCAGAGAAAGAAATGCAATGGTAGAAGTAGAAGTGTGTGTGTGTGTGTGTGTGTTTGTATGAATGAGAGAGAGAGAGATCTGAAGATGCTTTGCCACTGGCTTTGAAAATGGAAGAAGAGGCCACAAGCCAAACAATGTAGGGGGGCTCTAGCAGCTGGGAAAGATGAGGGACAAATTCTCCTGCAGAGGCCCCAGAAGAAACACAGCCCTGTCGACACCTTGACTTGAGAACCTCTGACCCCTAGATCTGAATGACAATAAATTTGCGTCACTTTAAGTCACTAAGTTGGTGGCAATTCATGACAGCAGCCATAGCAAACTAATGTAGTCACTAAAGTGCTCTCCTAAGCCTTTCTTTAATTTTTTCATCCTTTACCTTTATCATCCCCATGATTAGTTTTTCTCAACCATTCATAAGACCATATGACTGTAGCTATATAGATTTACTCACCACTCACCTTCTGACACACACTTCCAGAGACAGCCCAGGCAATTGTGTGATCTCTATTTGATTGTTTTTTTGTTTGTTTTTTGAGACAAACTCTTGCTCTGTCACCCAGGCTGGAGTCCAATGGTGCTATCTCAGCTCACTGCAATCTGCGCCTCCTGGGTTCAAGTGATTCTCCTGCCTCAGCCTCCTGAGTAGCTGGGATTACAGGCACCCACCACCACGCCTGGCTAATTTTTGTATTTTTAGTAGAGATGGGGTTTCACCTGTTGGCTGGGCTGGTCTCGAACTCCTGACCTCGTGATCCACCCACCTTGGCCTCCCAAAGTGCTGGGATTACAGGCTTGAGCCACAGTGCCTGGCCCTTGATAGTAAATTTTTTTACACCAAAAACCTTAGACTTTTCTTTTGTCATAAAAAAAGCTTAGCTTAGCAAATTTCCTTTCACATAGAGGAAATTGGAAGTTCTATATGGCACCTGTAAAGTGTGTTATATGACATATGTAAAGCCTGTTACATGGCATATGCAAAGTGTGCTATATGGTACATGTAAAATGTGTTTTGATAGCACATATAAAGCCTGTTACATGGCACGTGTAAAGCATGTTATATGGCACATATAAGGTGTTTAGATAATACACGTAAAGTGTGTTACATGGCACATGTAAAGTATGTTCTATGGCACATTAAAGCTCTTCATTTCCCTCTTTTACTTGCTTTGAATGGAATCACATTACATCTATTAGATTCCATAAGTCACACACACACATATATCCATATATCAAATTAACCATATGCAAGCTACATATGCGTATTTGCAGAACTAGGTAGAAAATGTATATTCTTTTCACTCAAGAGGAAGATATGTTTTCTGATAATATCACATATTGGGTTTACTATTCAGGGAGCTATTTTAGAAATAAATTTTATGAAAGTCAACACCCCTTTTAAGCCCTTTATACAAAGAGCAAATCACGCAAAAGATAAAAACTGTTGTGCTTATGTAATCAATTGAAAATAGCAAGAAATGAAAAGAGGTGATTGGCAAAACAAAATGCTTTTGCAATCTTGGCTTGATTAAGCCAGAGTATCATTACTAATGTTGAATGGTAATTTACCCAGTGTTAGCACAAAACGAGGTTAGGAGTTTATTTCTGAATTTTAAGCATACAGAAAGAACATTTGATTTCATTTTTGCTGCAAACTAGCAAAACTGAGATGATTTTGCTGGTTTAAAGCACCTTCTACTTCTATTGTGCATCACAGTGAGTGGTCAGTGGGTGTATCAGCCAGGGTCCTTGAATCCAATCCAGCAGGCCACCTGCTTTTGTAAATAAAGTTTTATTGGAACATGGCCACACTCATTCATTTACGTATTGTCTGTGGCTGGTTTTTTTTTTTTTTTTTTTTTTTTTTTTTGGTACAACGGCAGTTGAGTAATTGTAGCAGAGACCATATGGCAGGCAAAACCTAAAATAGTTACTCCCTGGCCCTCTACAGAAAACATTCGCTGACCCTGTTCCAGAAGGAAACAGAAGGCACACTCCAGAGGGTTTAATAAAAATTATTCAGTGACGGAACTATTTACAGAGGTGTGGACGGGTTTACGGGAACCGTGAAAGACTGGGGTACACTGGGACTAACGATAGCAGGGAGCAATTTCCTCTTCCAGGCCTTCCAGGCTGGGAGGAAGCTGTGTACCGGAACTGGGCAGAGCTGCAGGCATGAAAGAAGGGCCTGGGAGGGAAGAGAAGAATATACAACCCAGCCTCTTGTCTTAGGCGGCTCGGGCTGCTGCAATAAAAAACCCCAGACTGGGTGACTTCAACAACAGAAATTTATTTGTTCACATTTCCGGAGGCTGGAAGTCCAAAATCAAGGTCCAGCAGGGCTCAGCCTCTGGGGAGCTTTCTCTTCCAGGCTTGCAGATAGTTGCTTTGTCCTTACATGACCTCTCCTCTGAGCTGTGTGTGGTGAGGCAGGGAAGGAGGGAGGGAGAGAGTGAGGGAGAAAGAGAAAGAGGGAGAAGGAGAGAGACAGATCTCTTCCTCTTCTCCTAAAGCCACCAATCTCGTAGCATTAGGAACCCGCCCTTATAACCTCATTTAACCTAAGTTACTTCCTGACTCCAAATACAGCCATACAAGGGGTGAGAGCTTCAAGATAGGAGTTTTGAGGGGACACGTGTTTAGTCCATATCACCTCTTTACCTCTCATCTCCTGACGGTGTCTCCCCCTCTCATGGCCCAACCCGACAGGAAGCCAGAGGGTGGGGAGCCGAGATGATGCTGTCTACGTAGAGCAGCCTCTGACCACAGAGTGGGGAAGAGAAAGCTGTACTATAGATGGGAGGTGGGGAAGGGCAGGGAGGCAAACAGAGAGCAATCAAGACAAGGGAGAAGTGTAGAAAATGTAGCTGAAGAGAAAAAAAGTTGCTTATAGAACTGTCCATGAGGAAAATGAGAATATGCCTTGTTTTAAAACCTCAAAGGACTGATTCACACTCTTATTTAGTGGAAATACATCAAGAGACTGCAAGCTTAACTTTCTCACAAACACATACATCTAAAAATAGCCTTTTGGAATCTAATTTATTGGTAAGCAAAGGATTGCAGCATTTGACTTACAATTAAGGTGTCACCTCCAAGTTAATCATAGGTCCATGGTTTGAATAGCTTAGATTCTCAACTTTCCAGAACATTTAGTAAGCGCTTGTGAAAAAGCTAAGAGCTCTGAAGGATAGAGGGGTTTATAGAAGATGTGAGACTGGTACCCTAATGCCTTCGTCAGGATCAGTATGGAGCAGACCCTCAGGACTGCAGAAGCAAGATCAATTCCTTTTGACAGGAATGACCAGTCAAAGACATGATGCAAAAGGCAGCATTTAAGGTACTCTTTAAAAAAATTTTATTATTATTATACTTTAAGTTTTAGGGTACATGTGCACAACGTGCAGGTTTGTTACATATGTATACATGTGCCATGCTGGTGTGCTGCACCCATTAACTCGTCATTTAGCATTAGGTATTTCTCCTAATGCTATCCCTCCCCCCTCCCCCCACCCCACAACAGTCCCCGGTGTGTGATGTTCCCCTTCCTGTGTCCGTGTGTTCTCAGTGTTCAATTCCCACCTAAGAGTGAGAACATGGACTTTTGTTTTTAACTAAGGGAACAAAGTCCTTTGATCCTTAAGGGGGTTTTGAGCCCAGCCTCGGTGTAGTTACCATTTATATCCACAAGATGGCAGGCACGACCCGGGAAGAGCCTGCAGTAGCCACCTCTGGATTTCAAGGTCTCCAGGCTCAGCCAGCTGGTGAGGTCTCTTGAGTCTCAAGAGAGGTTAGTGGGCAATGGCTTAGAAGCTGGGATTCAATTAGTAGCTTTTCCTATGTGGGAAAAAGCATCAGATCAGAGGACAATAAAGTAGCTAGGAGAAGTCATGAGGACCTGAGAAAGGAGGTAAGCAAATTAAAGCAAAATCAAGCAAAATCTGGATAGAGGAAGTAGGGTCATTTTAATAAAGAGTTGTTGCATGGCGAAAAAATCACAGGGACAGGCGGAAGGTCGGAGGAGCCAGAACGCCGGGTTGGAAAGTGAAAGGCTAAGAGATAAACCAGGCAGCAGAATGGAGGAAGTAGGGAAGAGGAGAGGGGCGTGTCAGGACAGCCAGAAGAGGTCTGAGCTTACAGTGCTATTCCTGCCCTCCTGTCCACATCCCTTGGTATGTCAAGGAGGGTTGACTGCTAGGATGGATTCTGACTTATTGGATCTTGGAGGAGGAGCAGGAAATAGAAGGCACAGAATAAGCCAAATCCACAGCCAATTCAGAGAATGGCAAACACTTCATTTTTAAAAAATTTAGATTCAAGAGCCACATGCACAGGTTTGTACTATACTGCATAATGCTGGGATTTGGACTTCTACAGAACCCATCACGCAAACAGTGAACATAGTGCCCAGTAAGTAGTTTTTCATCGCTTTCCCCTCTCTCTCTGTCCCCATTTTTGGAGTCCCCAGTGTCTATTTTTTCCATGTTTATGTTCATGTGTATCCATTGTTTAGCTCCCACTTATAAGTGAGAACATGTGATATTTGATTTTCTGTTTCTGTGTTAATTCACTTAGGATAATGCCTCAAGCTGCATCCATGTTGCTACAAAGGACATGATTTTCTTCTTTTTATGGCCGTATAGTATTCCATGGTGTATATGGAATTTTCTTTATTCAACGCACCATTGATGGGCACTTAGGTTGATTCCATGACTTTTTTTTGTGAATAGTGCTGTCATAAACGTAAGAGTGCAGATGTCTTTTTGACAGAACTGTTTATTTTCCTTTAGTAGATACCCAGTAGTGAGATTCCTGGGTTGAACGGTAGTTCTAGTTTTGGTTCTTTGAGAAATCTCCATACTGTTTTGCCTAGAGGTTGTACTAATTTACATTCCCACCAACAGTGTGTAAGAGTTCCCTCTACCACTGTTTTTCTCTGATGCACAGATATAACTATCTCACTCCAAATGTTTTACTTTTTTTTATTTTTAAGATCCAAGGTCTTGCTCTGTCATTCAGGGTGGAATGCAGTGTGAAATTATAGCTCACTACACTGCCACATCGATCTCCTGGGCTTAAGTGATCTTCTTGCCTCAGCCTCTTGAGTCGCTGGGACTATAGGCATACACTACTGTGACCAGCTATTTTAAAAATAATTTTTAAAAAAAAATTTAAAAAATAATTTTAAACTATGTTGCCCAAGTCGGTCTTCAACTCCTGGCCTCAAGTGATTTTCCTGCTTTAGCTTCTGAAAGTGCTGGGATTTCAGGTATGAGCCATCATGCCCAGCCCCAAACATTTTATTTTGTAATCAACCTCCAGTTATGTATACATGGCCTTGGCTTACTTCAGGATTTCAATGTAGTTTAGAGGTGTTTGCATTCATTAGAATCCCCCAGACATCTTAGATACCTACTTACCCCCAGTACAAATGGAGCCCTGCTTCAACCCAGAGTGTGAACCACCCTGCCAGTCCTCTTCTGACCACTTTAAAGAATGTGCTAAAACAAATGCACTGGGCAGTGTCAAAGAAACACAATTGGACATTAGTTAAATTGATGAAAAAAGATTGTGTTCAGTAACTACTGACAGCATTAGTTTGTTTCCTAATCAGAAGTACACTCATGTTTCTCTATTAAATGATTACCAGTGTTGATAAGGGGTGAGTTAGGCTAGTCACAGTCATTTCTAAAGTTATAAAAAGCCATGGGGATATAGTTTTAGAAGTACATCTAGAATCTGTATGACATTAAATCTCTAAGGAATCTTTGAAGTACTCTAGTATAGTCTAGTTCTGTCTGAATAGCGTTGGCTTCCCCAAGAGCACTTATCTATTAGGGGTGAGTGGGATTGGTGGAAGTCTGGTTTTGATAGCCATCTTGACACAATACACATGGTCCATAAAGAGCACTGTTCTTTGGAAATGAACATACGGAAAAACACAGGTGTTCTGACATGTTGGCCAGGGTGATTTGCCACTTCATCATACTGTGGGTAGGAGTTTGAAATATCCACTGCTGAACATTTTGAGGTTTTAAAATTAGGATGGAAACCAAGTTTTCTATCAGTGGAATATCTGTATTCTTCCAGAAATTGAGCTTCATATTCTTGCTTCCAAGTCTCTGCTCCATCCTTTTTATCACCACTGCTTCTCTTTGAGGTTTTCTTTTTGGCTCTTAAGACATCTCTCACACTCTTGCCACACTGTTAGCCTCTGACTGCTCCCTTCAGTCCACTTTCCACTGGGCCGTGGCCTGCAATTCACTCCTACCTTCCTCTTCTCTGAGGCTTTTCATATCTCACTTGATATTCAATGCCGTGGATTATATTTGCATTTTTTCTCCTTTTAACATAAGGGATCCTTTCCTTCAGATCCAATTACTGGAAGAGTATAGATATATCATAACAAGTCTGTTATAAAATCAAGAAAATAGAAATAACTAGAAACACTTAGATGGAAACCCAGTTTTGGATTAGCTCAAGGGAGCTACATTTTACCAAAGCAGTTTCTGCTTTTAATCTTTGTAGTGGTTGCAAAATTCCTACTTTCTTCTGCTTTGACCTTCTTGATGCTAAACTTTCCTTTTCGGATACATGTAGTAGAGAGGGAAATTAGGGCAGAAATGATCATCTTGCATAATGTCACAAAGGAAGAGTATGAATAGCAACAACGCTCAGTATTATAAAACTGTCATTGGTCATTTATTTTTATAATCCTAATTAATTTCCATGGGGATTTTTTTATGTTATCAAGAAAGAAAAGCAAAGGTTAAACCTTGGGAAAGTATGCTAATAATTTAGCTACAGGAAAGCTGAGAAGGAAGCACACCTAAGACCGTAAAACTCTAGGCTCAGGATCTACTGATTTTAATTTTGTGATAATTCCCGTAGGATTTGACTGAATTGTTTTTACATCAACAATTTGCTTAAGCAAACCCATTCATGGTTGACAAAGGTTCAGGGTTGTTTACTAGCAGGGTCCTTTATATACATAATTGACAAACACTAATCATAAAGGACTATGTGTCTGTTTGTTGTAGGAGATTTTCTAAAGATCTTTGCCAGCAGACTTTTGCTAGTTCAGATCCAGTTGCTGTGTGTATTTGAGAATAGCAGCTGCTTTTCCTTCAAGATATTTTGTTTATTTATTATTTCATCAAATAAACATTTGACTACTTACAAGTAAATTTATTAATTTAGAGTTTTCTAATTAGCAAAATATTATAAAATTTACCGAGTTTAGGCGAATGTAAGTCACTAGGTAAATTCGCTGTAGGGTATTAAAAATAACGTTACCTGGGTTTTTGTACTGAATGCACAACTTATTAGTTGGGTGACGGTGGGCAAGTCACCTAAGTAGCCTCTTCCTTAGTTTGCTTAGTTGTAAAATGAGGATGTTATCTACCTGCTTGCCATCTTAGGATTTTGGCAAGGATAAAAAGAAATAATTTGGCCTTGCATGATAGCTCATGCCTATAATCCCAGCACTTTTGGAGACTGAGGTGGGAGGACTGCCTGAGCCCAGGAGTTTGAGGCCAGCCTGCACAACATAGCAAGATCCCATCTCTACAAAAATAAATAAATAAATAAATAAATAAAAAATTATCCAGGCATGGTGGCATGTGCCTGTAGTCACAGTTACTTGGGAGGCTGAGGTGGGAGGATTACTTGAGCCCAGGAGTTTGAGGTTGTGGTGATCCATGACGGTCCCACTGCACTCCAGCCTGGGGGACAGAGCAAAACCCTGTCTCAAAAAGAAATAATTTTTGTAAAAATTTTTTTTCTGAATTGTAAAATGTTACATAATTGTGAATACATTGGCATTGGCCTTTGGCAGCTAAATTGGATGATATAATGGTGTATTTCTCATCTAACTTCTACTATTTTCAGCTTGTTTGTAGGACATTAGAAATTGAAACTGTCAGCAAAATTATCCATTTGCATTTCCAAAATAGCACCTGGAAAAATCTCTTATGCCCAGGTTGACCATAGTGAGGCACTGAGGCTCCTGGAACTGTCTTGCTGGAGACATCACAGCTTGTGGGTGGTCAAGTGAAACAGTCTTCCTGGCCTGCTCTGAGTTCTACTAGACCGGGAAGTGTATATCTCGTGTCCTGGGTGTATCTAGTCTTCAGTAACTAGAAATTATTGCTACTTACTGACCTTTGTTATTGTTTTCAGATGAATAATTTAAAAAAATACATAGTAATGTGTCCTTTAACAAAAAAGATGCATTCTGAGAAATGCATTGCTAGATGATTTTGTTGTGTGAACCTCATAGGGTGCACTTCAGAAACCTAGATGGCAGAGCCTACTGCACATCTAGGCTAGATGGTGTAGCCTATTGCCCCTGGGCTGCAACCCTGTACAGCATGGGACTGTATTGAATACTGTAGGCAACTGGAACACAATGGTAAGTATTTATGTGTTTAAACATATTTAAACAAAGAAAGGGAACAGTGAAAATAGGGTATTCTAATCTTATGGGACCACTGTTGTATATGTGATCTCTCATTGACTAAAACATCATTATTTAGTGCATGACTGTATTTGTATTTGTTGTGTGCTATGAACAATGTGACCAAAATGATTTTAAAAGTAGCATAGACATCCATTATGCCCCGTTGAGAGATAAGATTGATGTCTTGAATGTAGACTTTTCCTGCTTTTCTGAAAGAAATTGATACCTGTGGCTACATTCACATAAGCCATGAATATATTTACAGAATGATCAAATTCACGGCATTTGTAAATATGTTTTAGCAAGCAGAGTGGGTAGACCAAGAAAGGCTATCTTTCTCACCTCACCCTTGTTCAAATGTCCCAGGAACTACAGGATTTATGCAGGTGAAATCACACTGAGTCCTGAGGGCACAGCTGTGCTGCCCCATGAGATAAGCACTTATGCGCTAGAGTATTGCATTAGTCATGGTTCTCCAGAGAAACAGAATCAGTAGGATGTGTGTGGGTGCCTGCCCAGTGATCGTTATCTTAAGGCATTGACTCACATGATTATGGAGATGCATGTCCAAAATCAAAATCATCAGAGCAGTTCAGAAGGCTGGGGTCCCAGGAAAGAACTGACATTGCCACTGAAGCCTGAAGGCCGTGTGCAGGTGAATGATTTCCTTCTTGCTGTGAGAGGTCAGTCTTTGTTCTATTCAGGACTTCCACTGACCAGATGTGGCCCACCCATATCATGGAGGATGCTTTACTCAAAGCCCACTAATTTAAACTTTAATCTCATCCAAAAAACATCCTCACAGAAACATCCAGAATAATGTCTGACCATATATCCGGGACCCATGGCTTAGCCAAATTGACACAAAAATTAACCATCACAAGTCTGCTGTTGAAACATTTCTGTTGTGGTCCCTGTGACCTTTAATCTGCCTGATTGCATCAGGAGAAGTTTATAATCTCTGCCAGCCACTCTGAGGTAGGTGGTGGCAGAACAAGGTTAACATCAAGAAGGTAGTGGCTATTGTCCTGGATGGGACTTCAACTATTTGTCTTCTGACTATGCAGTTAGGATGAGATGCATTCATGATGTGCCATCAACAGCTTGCCCAGCAGATGCTGAGTCACGTGTGATGAAGACAGACAGGTCTGGGATAAAGAAATATTACTTGAATCTACTGAGATAAAATTTCAAATAATTGAGTAATGGGACTGATTTTCAAATAAGTGCATTTCTCCCTGAAATTTTACTCAAGGAAGTAAATAGAGTTTGTGTGGCTTGGTTAGTTTGGCATTTATGGCATTGCTTCTGCTTTAATAGTTACTTAGAGATAGTCATTTAGAAGTTATACTAAGTTTACATAAAATTGAATTGATCTCACTCAAACACATGTGAGTGTTCTGGGAGGGGTGCTGTGCTGTAATGGACTATTGATAACCAGCAACGCTAAATACAGCCATGCAGCTGAAAGCTAACACTTAATTCTGTTATTTGGCTGCCAGCTGTCCAAAGAAGTGCTTTCCGAGAATACTTTTCATTTGTCAAATTATTGATGAAATCACCACCATCGTTTCTACTTTTAGGGTGCTTGGTTTGGAAGGACTGAGTAAGGATGTGTACAAGCATTCATCAAATGAACTATTGAACATATTGCTTTTAAAGTTAAGTTTCATAAATGTCTATTAATTGCAGTCCCCTTGGTGCTATTTATGTTCTGATTTGACTTTGAATCCTCTGTTCACCACACACACCACATACACTGGTTTCACTTAGAATTTTTCACCTTTATAGTGGTGCTAAAGTGACCTGCGGTCAGTAGAAACAATATTTTGAGTATCCATACAATCATTATGTTTTTCACTTTTAGCATAGTATTCAATAAATTACATGAGATATTCAACACTTTATTTTAAAGCAAGCTTTGTATGAGATGATTTTGCCAACTGTAGGCTAATGTAAGTGTGCTGAGCACGTTTAAGGAAGGACAGGCTAAGCTATGATGTTCAGTAGATCAGGTGTATTAAATGCATTTTCACCTTACAGTGTTGTTTATCAGGACTCATTGCAAGTCAAGGAGCGCCTGTATATATGGTATTAATTTGCCCTATTATATGGTGGTGACATTGATGGCTAGTCCCAATGTAATGATTTGACAGAAGATACATATTACTCAACAAAATGTCTCATTTTAAATATTAGGTTGGTGCAAAAGTGATCGCGGTTCTAACCTAATAGCAAAACGTTTGTCAGAACACAGAATACTGACACTGTAGTTCAAATTAAACATCGGATCTACAGTGGTTTATTCGGAGTTGAGAGTCCTGGGTCTTCCGAAGGTTTCACATCCACTATTTGAATATTATTATATTTGGTAGGTGCCAATTACATTTGTTTTATAGGCAAGGTCATCTTTCAAGTGTTGGTTTCCTGAACATCACAAATAGATCAGTGATAAAGATTGGCCACAAAGACTACATCGAGTCATATTCAAACATGGGAGCTCAGCTATGGGCTATTGGAAAAGCCATAGCATATGTGACTCATATGCCACACAAAATGGTGGTAGGATGACTGTAATTTATTTCAAAATGCTTCAGCAGAGAGAGTATGACATAAATGAGTGTATTAGTTCATTTTAACTGACCATTCCAGTAATCCCATCATTTTATTAGAGCCACACTCCAGAGGTGATTATTAAAGATCTTGAGCGCTTTTATCTACATCAACACTGGAGGCTTTTCTCAATGGTACAATAATGCTAGAAATACATTTTCATTGCTAAATTATGTGATTTGTTAATTCACATAATGGGTTATGCAAATGTGTTAAAAATAGACACCCCTTACTATTCTAGATCATGTGGCTTAATCAAATTATATAAAGACTCTCCTTTCCTTTTGTACTGATTGGATTCATGAATCTAATGAGGACTCACTAACGTTTCTCTCCTTTTACAGACCTGGGTCCAGACGTTGGGAGCAATCCGGTGGCCTGATGCAGACTGAGCTTAATAGAATATTTTGTATAGAATGTGTGGCACTTGCCTTGGATGAATCTATGTGGTTGGATCACCTAAAGCGATACTCATTGAGCTTACAATACATGTCATAAACATGCTTCTTTATAAACGTTTGTTTCATAAATGTTGGGCTGTGTGTTCTGAGGCTTGCGTTCATTACGACTTAGTAGCAGAGTTGTAGAGGCGCTAACCCTCACCCACCTCTAATCCTCAGGAACAACCATTATCTACTAAACTTAACTAAGATATTTGTTCAAGGTGGGCGTTATCTGTCATCACCCAAGAGGATAATACACTGTAAATGTCATAGCAAGTTGGTGATTTAAGTCACTCAAAATCCTGCTGGTAGCATAGACCCTAAGGATTTTGTTCTTAGACGAATCCAATCGGATCATAATCCTCAAGGGGAATAGTCTTAATGTAGGGACCAGAAGTGTCCTTGGAAGCACTTAAACATTTCAGAAATCAGATAGGCATATGTTTGAGAGAGTGATAAGACAGAATTGCATCTAATACTACTTAGTTCTATCCCTAATATTTGTGAGGCCCACATACCGTATGTCCGAATATTTAAAAGTTATAAGCTGAGCTAACAAACTTTTAAATAAAATATTTGTATATGCTCCTTCTATCTTGCCAAATAGACCTTCAAAGTGGACTCTGTGATGTTCTGGAGGCAGATGACAGTGAGGGCTGTCCTGTCACCTGGCCCCTCCTCTTCTACCCCTGGTTCCATCTCTCAACTACAAAGTTCTTGCATAAGTATGGGCACCCAGGCCCCAGCCATAACCTGTCAAGACCAGCTATCACGTGACCACCCCTCGTAGCTGGGTAGTGCATCTTAGCCCTAGCAACTGCCGTCAGGGTTGTTAGGGCAGGTATCAAGGTTGGGTTCTCCACAGGCAAACTCAGAAATTGTGATCACTGTCCATGAGATTTATTTTGGACTTCTTTTGGGATCAGCCTCTGTGGAAATGAAGGGCTAGGGGGAAGGAAGTTTGGGCACAGAGAGGAGGGTTGTGATGCAGTGTCAGTAGAAGCCTCTGCTGATCCCAAGGGAAGCTCTGGAGCTTGGATGGTCCTTCAGGGTTGTCCTAAGCTGGGGGTGGGCCTTAGTACTTCAGCCACTGGTTGTGGGCTGCTCCAGGAAGGAGTGTGACCTTGGGTGAGGTGATTTTCTTGGTGGAAGTAATTTTGAGGGCAATGAGCACTAACGGCAGTCTGCTGCAGCACACAGCTGTTGGGATAGCCAGTCCTTAGTCCTCAGGGCATCTGGGTGGGGCACACAGCATCCGCCCACAGGTGTTTCTAAAGTACCGAGCACCTGTCATGAGACCAGAAGGAGTAGTAGAGATTCTAGCTGGGCACTGAAGCTTCAGCCCAGACTTTTTGTCTCAGGAAAGAGGACAGTTGGGGAAGAGCTGGAGCAGGCTTTCTCAAGAGTGGGCTGTCTTATTCTATTCCAGCTGCCATAACAAAATACCATAGACTTGAGAGATTAAAGAACAAACATGTGTTTCCTCATAGTTCTGGAGGCTGGATGTCTGAGATCAAGGTGTAGCATGGTAGGGCTCTGGTGAGGGCCCTCTTACTGGCTTGTAAATGGCCATCTTTTTATTGTATTCTCACATGGTGGAAAGAGAGAGCTCTGGTCCCTTCTGCTTCTTATGAGGGCACTAATTCCATCATGAAGAGTGTACCCTCATGACCTCATCTAATGCTAACTACCTCCTGCAAACCCCACCTTCCAAATGCCATCACACTGGGGATTAGGCTTTCAACATTTGAATCTTGAAGGACACAAGCACATAGTCCCACAGCAGGGGCCCCTCGCCTGCTTATACCTAAAGGTGATACTGAACACAGTGGAAGGCTGTTCCTATGAGTGAATGTTTGTGTCACTCCAAAATTCACATAATGAAACCCTAACCCCCACTGTGATGGCATTTGGATATGGTGCCTTCAGGAGGTAATTAGGTCATGCGGGTGGAGTCCTTATGTGATCAGAATTGGTTCCTTCTGGTGGGTTCTTGGTCTCGCAGACTTCAAGAATGAAGCCACGGACCTTCGCAGTGAGTGTTACAGCTTTTAGAGGTGGTGGGTCCGGAGTTGTTCGTTCCTCCTGGTGGGTTCGTGGTCTTGCCGACTTCAGGAGTGAAGCTGCAGACCTTGGCAATGAGTGTTACAGCTCATAAAGGTAGTGTGGACCCAAAGAGTGAGCAGCAGCAAGATTTATTGTAAAGAGCAAAAGAACAAAGATTCCACAACGTGGAATGGCACCCGAACCAGTTGCTGCTGCTCACTAGGGTGGTTTGCTGGGGTGGCCAGCTTTTATTCCCTTATTTGGCCCTGCCCACATCCTGCTGATTGGGCCATTTTACAGAGTGCTGATTGGTCCATTTTTACAGAGTGCTGATTGGTGCGTTTACAAACTTCTAGCTAGACACAGAGTACTGATTGGTCTGTTTTTACAGAGTGCTGATTGGTGCATTTACAAACCTTTAGCTAGACACAGAGCACTGATTGGTGTGTTTACAATCCTTTAGCTAGACAGAAAAGTTCTCCAAGTCTCCACCCGACCCAGAAGACCAGCCAGCTTCACCTCTGACTCGTGGTGGCATTAGTGCCCTTATGAGAAGGGATATGAGAGAGCTTGCTCCTTTCTTTTGCTGCCATGTGAGAATACAGTGAGAAGGTAGCCATCTGTGTACAGAGGAAGGGAGCCTTCACCAGAACTCACCCATGCTGGCACCCTAATCTCAGGCTCCCAGCCTCCAGAATTGTGAGAAATAAATGTTTGTTGTTTAAGCTGCCCAGTCTATGGTATATTTGTTATAGCCCCTGAGCAGACTAAGATAGATGTTATGGGAAGTAGCCTTTTGAAATTCATTGCTGTTTCACTATAGGAAAGATGTAGAAGATGTTGTATAGTGTTTTCTTTCTGGGAATGGATGAGAGAAATTTCTTTGTGATCTTATTTTCAGGAATAATAGTTGCTTCTAAGCGCTTGGTTATTTTCACTGTACAGCCACTGTAACTCTTAATACCTGACCCTCTTTCCTCCTTCTGGTTGGCTACTAGAAAAGCCGAAATCCAAATTGGTGGTACACCTCTAGAAAATATATAAGACCTCAGGAGATTTGTTTAGTTTATAGACTTCACTACTGGCTTCATCTTCTCTTTCTAGTCTTCATTATTTCCTTATCTTAATATCTTCACCTACTCATTAAACAATAATAGGAATAATAATGATGATGATAATATATGTTACATGTATTTGTGTAAGAATGTAAATCATTTCTGGAATTAAGTGGGCATCTGAAAAAATATAACACATACTTCTTCAAATATTCTTTCTGTATCACTCGCATTTTTTCTTTTCTGGGGCTTCAATGGTATGAATGCTCCACATTTTGATACAGTTTTACAGATCTATGAAACTCTGTTCATTTTTATCCCAATCATGTTCCTCTCTGTTCTTATGATGGAAAAATTTCAATTGATCAATATTTAAATTCACTGATTCTTTCTTCTGCTATCTCCATTCTGTTACTGAGCTCATTTAGCAAACTTCTTATTTCAGGCATTATTTTTAAAATTTATCGTTTTAAAATTTTCCATTTGCTTCTTCTTATATGTATTAGTCCATCTTTACACTGCCATAAAGATAATACCTAAGACTGGATAATTTATAAACAAAAGACGTTTAATTGAACCACAATTCCACATGGCTGGGGAGGCCTCAGGAAACTTAACAATTGTGGCAGAAGTAGAAGTAGGCACATCTTACATGGCAGCAGGTGAGAGAGAGAAAGTGAAGCAGGAAGAGCCCCTTATAAAACCATCAGCTCTCATGAGAATTCACTTACTATCATGAGAACAAGATGGGGGAAACAGCCCCTACAATCCAATCACCTCCCACCAGGCCCCTCCCTTAACGCCTGGAGATTAGAATTCAGGATGAGATTTGGGTGGGGACACAAAGCCAAACCATATCATTATAGTTCCTATTTCTCTATGAGAATGTCTGGCATTCAAGACACTTTACCTCATGAAGTACAGTTATGATATCTCCTTTAATGTCTTTGGTGATTTTGAAATCTAGGCTATTTGGGGTTTTCATCAATTAATTGTTTTTGCACTTATGAATTTTTCATGTTTCCTTGGGCCTTTATATATTGAGTGATTTTAGATTACATCTTAGATATTTTCAATATTGCATTGTAAAACTCTGAGTCCTATTAAAATTCTCTGAAAAATGTTGAGTTTTTGTATTTATTTTAGCAGACAATCAAACCAATTAGGCTCAGACTGTATGTTCTATCTATCTTTCTGTGGATGGTAGTTATAATGTCATTTGAATTTCAAAGCCTTTGCTATAAAGGCTTGGTCCACTGAGCAGTTGGCCTAGACTTGGATGGTGGTTTATATTGTAGTTTTGATCTTAAAGTCTTTGCTATGCTACTTTGTGTCTTTTCCACATGTGTCTCTCAAGAGGGAGTCTAGGCATTGTGCCAGTTTCTACATGGAATTAGGGGATGTGCTTCTCCAGCTCTCCTCATTCTGGCAACTGGAGTCACCCTTGGTGCAAAGTGGCAAGAGGAAAAAAATTTCTGTTCTATTCTTTGGAACACAAGGTCTCCTTTTCCTTGCTCCTCAGGTCAGAAAAAAATGGGTTGATAGTTTCGCTGCTGCCCTTGCTATGCAGTTCCATGACTGGGGCCACCCTGTTTTCAAAGCATGGAGGAGAGACAGAAAAACAAATACTGCTAAACTCATCTGTGTATGGACCGCCTCTTCAAGTTTCGACTACTTTCTTCAATCTGTCTGCCATTAGTTAATTTTCTAAGGCCTAATGCTGAAGCTTTTTCAGTCCTGGATTTTAGTTGTCAGTGGCACTGGAAATCCTCATGGAATGTTGATGTTGCTCATTGTTAGGAATATGAGGGGATCCTCTTAATATTTTAACTGTTGGAACCAAGAAGATATATTAGAAAAATAAACTATAAATGAAACACAGAATCAAACTTGAGAATGCAGTCAAATTTTGACTTGCCTGCTTGCAACAGAATCATTTCTTACAGAACTGGCTCTCAACTTAAAGGACAGATTGGGTTTAAGGGCAAAACCCACAAAGATATGGTAAGTCTGTACATCATCTTGTTTATTGAAAAAACAGTAGTAAAAGTGGTAAAAAGTGGTTTATTACTGACTTTGGGTAAAAGTCAGTAATAAATTAATTTTCCCCTTGGGAGTAAGAAACTTACATGAAATGGACCGAAGTTGTCTTGTGTCTCAGGGAATATGATAAAGCAGAAATATGGTCAATTCAAAACAAAACAAAACAAAGCAAAACACTCCTTTTTTTGTAGTTTTTTATTTTTGAAATCCAAATCTTTCAGTATATGCCATCGATATGCTTGTATAGTTATAATGGTGGACATAGTAAATAGCTATAGGCATTTTTTTCTGAGAATAAAATAATCAGAATTTTGGTGGAACGAACAACAATTTTCAATAATATTTCACAGAAGAACATTTTAGAACTTTATACACTGTAAAAAATTCAGTGCTAGGCAATAGGAGAATAATAGAAATAGTACGTGAATAAGCACTTATTGAATGATTACTATGTTCCAATTACTGTTCTAGGAAATATCCATGCTCACAATAATTCCATGACATGGTTATTATTACCCTTACAGTGTAAAAAAGGAATCTGAGCCATGAAGACCTCATAATTTACCTAAATATAGCTGATAAGCATCAGAAATGGAATTTGAAAACAGACAGTCTGAGGTCAGAGCCTGTGCTTTTAACTGCTGTACTCTATTCAAGTGGAAGTATCATCATATGATTAGAAAGTCAAAGTCAGTGTGGTATAATGGAATCTAGGAGTCAGATTTTAGGCTTGGGCTGGCCACAAATTAAGTATGTAACCTTGAAAAAGTCATGCTATACTTTGGCCCTCAGTTTCCTTATGATCTCTAACTTATCTTCCCACTAGAAGAAAATATAGAAGAATATCAATCCTTGGAAGGGGTAATGAGTTTAAGCATAAAAAGAATCTATTCGTTCTGCAATTAGTATGGCTATATACTCTTTGGGAGTTGAGGATACAGAGTAAACAAAATTAATAAAATTGCTGATTTTATGAAGCTTTCATGTAAATGCAGAAGGCAAACAAGTAAATACACAATAAACACATAATACAATGTTAGATAGGAATACTCTAATTAAAAATAAAGTAATTATTATGGGTTAAATGTGACCCCTAAAAGTTCATGTGTTGATAATCCCCAATCCAACAGTGTAGAGAGGTGGCACCTTTAAGAGGTGATTAGCTCATAAGAGCAGAGCCCTGAACTTGCCTGCTTGCAACAGAAACCATTACTTACAGTACTGGCTCCCAGCTTAAAGGACAATTTAGATTTAAAGGGGAAAGCCTCAAAGGTATGGTGAGTCTGTTCATTATTCTTTTTCGTGAAGAAACAGTAAATATTCTATGTGGTAAAAGTCAGCAATAAATTAATTTTCCCCTTGGGAGTAAGAATGGATTAATGCCCTGATCATGGGGATGGATGAGTTATCACAGGAATTCAGCCTCCTTTTCCCCTCTGTCTTGTATACTCATTTTTGCCTTCCACCCTCCTGGCATAAGATGACCCTAGCCAGCTGCTATTGCTCTGCTCTTGGATTTTCCAGCCTCCAGAGTCATGAGCCAAATAGACTTCTATTCTTTATAAATTACTCAGTCTGTGGTATTCTGTTGCAGCAACAGAAAACAAACTAAGAGAGTAATGTTGAGGAATAGAGAGTGATGTTTGTTATATTTAGACAGGATGTTGTTTCTCTGAAACAACATTTGAGTAGAGATCTGGATAAAGTGAGGAAGCAAGCCATGTGTATATTTGTCAAAGAGCATTCTAGGCAAAGAGAATAAGCATTTTTGTGCACAAGTTTTTGTACAAGGATCTCAGTCTGAGCGTTTCTGTAATATAGGTTTAAAAATTGAATAATGTTTACAAATATAAAGTCTAACAAAAATTAGTGAGTTTATGCTTATTTCTGAAAAAAATTATATAAATTTGAAATAACTTATTCCATTACCTTTAAACATTTTATTAGGGAAGAATTTCAAAGCTGACTTTTATTTCAAATGTTATATGAAGCCTGGAGCCATTAGCTCTGGGTCAGAAATATTTGTTCTTGTTTTTTGCCAAATTTGATCAAACCAGGAAGCTTGCCATCAAAGTGGAAGCCATATTGCCTCCAACTTCTGAATGAAAATGAGAAGGAAAATATATTTGGAAAACAAAATATATTTCATTCCAAAATAATAGAATATAGTTCTTGAGTGATTGATAGAAACTGACCTAAAGTTAAGTAGAGTGAAATTGGGAATTCCTGAGGAATGGGGAATAGAAAATGTCCAATTATTATTGGCTCCTGTGGGGCACACAGAGACTATTTAGGAAGAGGCAGTGGCTAGAGATGGCTTTCATGTTCCTGGTATTCTTGTTACTTAATATTTTTGTCAAACAAATTCTCATAGGCTGCCTTGAAGCCCTTATGGTTTTTGGACAATTTATTAAGAATAACACGTAATGTAACAATTTTTTTTTTGAGATGGAATCTTACTCTGTCGCCCAGGCTGGAGTGCAGTGGCATGATCTCAGCTCACTGCAGCCTCCTCCTCCTGGGTCCAAGTCATTCTCCTGCTTCAGCCTCCTGAATAGCTGGGATTACAGGCACATGCCACCACGCCTAGCTAATTTTTGTATTTTCAGTAGAGAAGAGGTTTCACCATGTTGGCCAGGCTGGTCTTGAACTCCTAACCTCAAGTGATCTACCCACATCAGCCTCCCAAAGGGCTGGGATTACAGGTGTTAGCCACTCTGCCTGGCCCTGTAATGATTTTTAGATATCATAGCTTTTGCTAACATATTTGTGTTTTTTTCTCATGCTTTCTATGTAAATAAAATGGTTTTCCTACATAAACTTTACTGTACTAAATAGCCCTTTATATATTTGTATTAGTCTGTTTTCATGCTGCTGATAAAGACATACCGGAGACTGGGAAAAAAAAAAGAGGTGTTGTTGGACTTACAATTAAAACGGAGGCCTCGGAATCATGGAGGGAGGTGACAGGCACTTCTTACATGGTTGGGGCAAGAGAAAATGAGGAAGAAGCAAAAGCAGAAACCCCTGATAAACCCATCAGATCTCGTGAAACTTATTCACTATTACGAGAATAGCATGGGAAAGACCGGCCCTCATGATTCAATTACCTCCCCCTGGGTCCCTCCCCAACACACGGGAATTCTGGGAGATACAATTCAAGTTGAGATTTGGGTAGGGACACAGCCAAGCCATATCCGTATTATAAAATAGCTCCACATGCTTTTTCTCATTTGATCCTGACAATTCTTTTTAAACCATTCCTGAGGACAGAGCCCTCCTGGCCTAAACATCTCCCATCAGGCTCCACCTTCCGACACTGTTGCACTGGGGATCAAGTTTCCAACACATGAATTTCTGGGGGACACATTTGAACCATAGCAACTGGTGATAAAGAATACAGGACTCACTAATACTGCAAGCTCCTCAGCCTTCCTTGGGAGCTGCCTGCACACAATTGCTTGCCAGATGCCCAGGGCTTCCTCTGGGATGCGTGATCTGCCTGGGAAGAATGCGTCCCCACAGTGGCCAGTGACCCAGTGTTCTTTGCTACAGCTGCTTAATTGCTTTAGTGTGCATCACTTCTTGGGGCAACTCACCTCTCTGATAGGCATTTTCTTTCCACAGTCCCATTTATATAATTCTTCTCAATACATTAAGTACTGGAAGTGGAAGAACAGCCAGAAACTATTTCTTGCAGGTCTCTCAGAGAAACCTATTCCAGATCACTTGCTATTAAGCAGCAGAACTGGGACTCAAACCCCGTTTTCTCTAACTCCAAATTTGATGCTCTTCATCTTGATAATAAGCTATAGTAGATTTGTCAAAGTACATAGAAACTGTGACTTCCCTGGTGTTACGTGGTGGTGGAGGTAACAAGAAATACAGAATTTTTTAAAAAAATTATTGCCTAGTGTTCTGTTACAATCATGCAAAATCATGGTTGCTTCAAAAAAAGAGTAAGCTTCAGAACTCAAAATGAAGGTGAGGGTGTTACAATGACCTCAGGTGGCTTGGTTTTTGCTGATCAGCCTCAACTGATGTTTATCAAAAGCCATGGCCCCAGAATCTGTTTGGATTCCTCCCCAAGTGTGTATGTCTTTATGCAATGAGAACCTGCTTGTCCTAAAGGACACTGATGGCACCTGCTGCTAATTTTGATTGAAGTTATTATGAAGGCACTTCCTTTTTCAGATGTGATCTGATGCTTGGACTCTCACAGTACTGGGAGTCCTGACTGTACATCTCTCAGCACCTCATGACCTCAAAACCTGCTAAGAGTTCTTGCCTGGTCAGCTTCTGCTCTGTGGATATATGGGCCAGAGGCGTGCCAGCAACGTGTCGGCTGCAGATGGCTTCCCACATGGTGGTTAAATTTTCTTTCAGTGTTCTCCCTTTTTGCCCTTGTCTCTCCAATGCTTCCCTATTGATTTCAAGTTAAAAATATTTATTTGAGGGAGAGAGAGACAGAGAATAGAAATGAGAGAGAAAACAAACTCCTGGATACATTTTAAACCTCCAAGGTAGAATCCTCTTTGAGCCTTTAGGATAGTGCCTCTCAAACTTTAATGTGTATACAAACCACCAGTTTGTATTACAATGAAGATTCTGATTCAGGACTTCTGGGGATGGGCCCTGAGATTCTACATTTCTAACAAGCTCCCAGCCCACGTCAGTGCTGTATGCGCATTGCTTGCTGTACTTCGAGTAGCAAGATTTTATGATATATGAGTCTATACCACTACCTTCAAACTTGCTCAGTCAAATCCCCCTCTTCTGTACTTTACTCACATCTGAGCCAGCCAGTAACCTTCAGGTGTAAAGAGTCCAGGCCAGGACAGTGTTCTCTGCTTTCCCAGGTCTCTTCCCTCTTTGGGACCCCCTTTTCCTTTGGGAACAGCCACAGGAAAGAGGGAGATAGAAGGGGGCAAGTGTTTCTTCCTTTGATTGTGTCTGTTATTCCTGCATCTCTGAACAGCTATCAAAGCTCTGCATGTGGCAGGCTTCTAAAAGTTAGGTCTCTATTGGCACACGTGTGAGTTTCTTTGTAGGGACTTTCAGAGTCTCCCCATTGTTCAATTCTTTGACACAGGATATATTATTTAACATCAGATTGCATGTTTTGGTGACTTAGAGACCCTACGAAGAACTCAAAAGTTATCACTGGTTTTTTGGACCACTAGTCTCCCTGTGTTGCACCCTGCAGCTGCCTATATTTGAGGGTCGCCTTGCTTGGCAGAAAGCTCTTGGGTGGGTACAAGCAAGACTACTCAAGCCCTCCTGCACTACTGTGACATGGGTCCTTGCTATAATAGCAATGTGCTTCCTCCTTTCTTTGGTCTGCCTTTTCCCCTTTCCTTTTTTTGTTTTTCTTTTGCTGCTTGGCTACATGTAGAGTAGTCCTGGCTAAGGACTGGTGTGGCAATACAGTGGATGCCAGCCTCACCTTCTTGCAGCTGCTCTCAATCTCAACAAGTCATCTCTTGGAGTGTCTCCCTTCACTGGTTTCCAGTAGGGATGAAAAATCCTCAACCCTACTTTCCAGGGAGAGCTCCATTTATAAATGCTATAAACCAAAAATAAAATTCTAAACTTTACAACTAACTGAATGCACCCCTTCTCTTGGCCAAGGGCATTCTGAAGTTAACCTGAAACACCGGTTTAGGCCATCATGGGAAGGAGGGGTTGGACATACCTCATAATACCTTCCTCCCTTTGGAATTCAGGCACAGCTGATCAGCATTAACATTAAACCAGACCTTAAGACTGACCAAACAGACTTTTTGTAGCGATAAAATACCAACATGAGAGATAGCAGGCCCTGCAAGAAACTGAAGTATTTTACCCTGAGATATATTTCTTTGACATATTTTGAAATGGCCTTGCAAAGCTGTCTCTTGTGGGGAAAATCTACATTCTATAGAGAATCCTCTTCCCTTTCCAGGTCTTTTTGTTGATCCAAGAGATAATTAACTGAGTCCAGTACCTTTTTACGTCTGATTACAAACATTTACTATCTATTTTCTCTGAAGCCTGCCACCTGGAGGCTTCATCTGCATAATAGGGACCTTGGTGTCCACAACCCCTTATCCTAACCCAGACACTCCTTCCTATTGATTCCAGGTCTTTAGGTAAACTCTTTCAAGCAATTACCAATCAGGAAATCCTTAAATCCCCCTACCTATGACCTAGAAGCCCCCTCCCCCAACAATCTCCATCACCTTCGAGTTGTCCTGCTGGACTGAACCAATGTACATCTTACATGTGCGCTGATATCTTATGTTTCCCTAAAATATATAAAACGAAGCAGTAGCCCAGCCACCTTGGGCATATGTTCTCAGGATCTCCTGAGGCAGTGTCATAGGCCACGGTCACTCACATTTGGCTCAGAATAAATCTCTTCAAATATTTTACAGAGTTTGATTCTTTTTGTTGACAGTGCTACCTAAGCCATCCCTGCTCTGATTCCCTTACCTTGCTTTCTGGCCTCCTTTTCAAAGCTGGAAAGAGGATGTGAGGCTCAGTTTCATTTACAAAACTCTTGCTAAGCCTTGGAAGGGTGTCTGGGTCCAAATCGTTTGCATCTCTTTAAAAAATCTAGCGTTGATTGCTTCTTTGTCTCTTGCTTTCCCTCTCAGCAGGGGTAAGATCAGAAGTCCCACTCAACCTCTTGAGCCATAGTTATAACTGCCTTTGTTTTGCAGAAGCAGGGCTGGGGAAAAGCTGTAAAAAGTGATGAGATAATTTAAGCTTGTGCCTTCTGAGGTCTTGTCTGTGGGATTAAACCTTTACAGAGCAATAGCTCTCAGTCACTAGGAGGTGACTGGGTGACAGCATTTACTGAGAACCTTATGACAGTATCTTGTTTATTTATTTATTTTTGTTTTTTTTTTTTTTTTTTTTTTTGAGACAGAGTCTTACTCTGTTGCCCAGGCTGGAGTGCAGTGGCGTGACAACAGCTCACTGCAACCTTTGCCTCTTGGGTTCAAGTGATTCTCCTGCCTCAGCCTCCTGAGTAGCTGAGACTACAGGTGCCCATCACCACGCCTGGCTAATTTTTGTATTTTTAGTAGAGACAGGGTTTTGCCAAGTTGGGCAGGCTGGTCTCAAACTCCTGACCTCAGGTGATCTGCCCGCCTCAGCCTCCCAAAGTGTTGGGATTATAGGCATGAGCCACCGCGCCCAGCCCAGTATCTCATTTAATCCTAACCACAAACTTGGGAGGCAGCTTCTGTTATTTAAATTTCATGTTAAGAAAATACACTTGGAGAGATTAAGTAATCTTCAAGAGGAATTGTAGCTACTAAGCTACTACTTTCAACCCATGTCTGTGTGACTCCCTAACCAAGTTCTTAAGCACCATGCTAGGAAAGATTCCCAGTGCAACTTGCTATAAGACATGAGGTTAAATTAACACCGAGGTGGGGGTGCGGGGATATAACCCTTTACTCCCTGTGAATTCCCCTCCCCTCATACATGAAGGTATAGAGATTATTCGATTTGTTAAAAGTCAAGCTTTATTTTGTTAGAATGCAGCCACCAAGGTTTCAAATGATGCAAGAAAGTATTTATTCCAAATGTTCAGTATAAACTAATCCATGTCTTAGAATATTCAGGAACATTTTTCCCTTCTGAATTAATCCTAAAATAAACCTTACTTTTCTCATGGAATGGTTTATGATTTAATTAATTCTGTTTACACAGCAAGGTTGACCATTATTACTAGGTTGAGAAAAATAATAGGCTAATTTTTTGGTTAAACATCTTAAATGATTCAAAATGTGGATGCATTGTTTTCATTATACTTGGGCCATTTGATTTTATAGGTACTGCTTAATTAATAGACTATAGGGTTACTTTCATTTTCAGAAAATAAATTTCCATGGCATCAGAGATGTTTATGTAAACCATTTGTTATTCCTTTTAGTTGTAGCTGTGTCATAAATAATCAATACATACTTTAGAAAGAAAGGCCCAGAGGAACAAGGTATAAGATTGCATCCTTATGTAGAATTGATTCTGAAGTGAAAACGCAAAGGAATGTGGGAAAGGAGTGGTGGCATTGTAGAAACACAAGTCCAGTCTTTCTTGGTGACAGTTTAGGTGGGAATTCATGTCTGATAGGCTTTTTGTTTTTTGTTAAAACCTGCTCATTTACTGACAGTTTGCTGAGTGCCTACTCTGTGCCATGCTAGTTGCTAGGGATATGGGCAGTGCACAACACAGACACAGGCCTGTTGAGGGAGCTCAAGGTCTCTCAGAGGACATTCAAACCAGCAACCAGAAGAATAGAAAAGGAGAGGTGGATAAGGGGCCATGGGTACATAAAAGGCTATGGAGAGGGTGATCATTTATTGAGCAAACTGAAGCAATTCTGAAGATGAAAAAGAACTTTCTTGCAAATTATGCTGGGATGACTGCATAAGCTGGAAATGTTATGAGGTCTCCACTGGGGATGGGGTCAGGGAAGTCTGTCCCAAAAGAGTCACATTTCAGCTGGAGACAGATGGATGAGTAGGAGTAAGCCTAGTGAGGGGCATGGGGTGGGGAGTCCATGTTCAGGGAGGAGCATGTGCTCAGGCCTAGAGCTGATTAAACCAAAAGACATATAGAGGCTGGAGATGAGATGACAAGCAAAAACATGAAAGTAGGCTTGAAAAAAATTGGAATCTGTATGTATCAGTTCAGTTCTCTGTCTCTTTCTCTTACTATCCCATTGTTGTGTTTCAACATGTTTGGGTTCTACTTTCTTCATTTGTAAATAGAGATAATAATATTTAACTCACAGGGCTGCTCTGAGACTAACTGTAATAATTTATAGATGTTGTCTGACACAAAGTAGGAGATCTAAAAATGTTTATTCTTGTATTTTCATACACTAGCAATTCACAATCTGAAAAGAAGTTTAAAAAATAATTTCATTTACAATAGCATCAAAAGGAATAAAGTACTTAGAAATAAATCTAACAAAAAAAGTACATGACCAGTGCACTGAAAATTACAAAATATTGCTGAAATAAGTGAAAGAAGAGCTAAATAAATGTAAAGACAAAGACATCCCGTGTTCATGGATTGGAAAACTTAATATTGTTAAGATAGTAATACTTCCCAAAGTGGTCAACAGATTCAATGTAATCACTATTAAAATTCCAGTGGCCTTTATTTTTCAGAAATGAAAGAGCCAATTCTAAAATTCATAAAAAATTTCAAGGAGCCCCAAATAGCCAATACAATCTAGAAAAAGAACAAAGTTGGAGGACTTAAATTTTCTGATTTTAAAAGTTACTATAAAACTATAATAATCAAAACAGTATGGTACTGGCATATAGATAGATATATGGATCAACACAATAGGATTGAGAGTCCAGGAAATAAACTTATACACCTATGCTCAATCGATTTTCAATAAGGGTGCCATTTAATGGGTGAAAAACTAGTTTATTCAACAAATGATGCTTGGAAAACTGAATTTTCACATGCAGAAGAAAAAAGTTGTACTTGTACTATACACCATATATAAAAATTAACTCAAAATGATTCAAAAAATCTAAATATAAAAGCTAAAACTTTATTTTACTATTATTATTTTTTAAAAATTTATTTTAGGTTCAGGGGTACATGTACAGGTTTGTTACAAGGGTATATTGTATGATTCTAAGGTTTGGACTTCTATTGATTCTGTCATCCAGCTAGTGAACACAGAACTCAGTAGAACATTTTTCTGCCTTTGACCTCCTCCCTCCCTCCCTCCTCTTCTTTTAGATTCCCCAGTGTCTATTGTTGCCATCTTTATGTCTGTGTGTACCCAACTTTTAGCTCCCACTTATAAGTGAGAATGTGCGCTATTTGACTTTTTGTTTCTGTGTTAATTCACTTAAGATAATGCTCTCCAGCTTCATCCATATTATTGCAAAGGACATGATTTCATTCTTCTTTATGGATGTATAGTGTTCCATGGTGTATATGTACCATACTTTCGTTATCCAGTCCACTGTGGATGAACACCTAGGTTGACTCCATGACTTTGCTATTGTGAGTAGTGCTGTGATAAACATATGAGTGCAAGTATTTTTTTCATAGAATGATTTATTTTTCTTTAGGTATATGTCCAGTAATTGGATTGCTGGGTTTAATGGTAGTTCTATTTTTAGTTGTTTGAGAAATCTCCAAACTGAAAAGCTAAAAATTTATACTCAAAGAAGAAAATAGGTAAATCTTCATACCTTGGATTTGGCTTGGAGTGGTTTTTTAGCTGAGACACCAAACATAAACAACAACAAGAAAAATGGCTAAACTAGACTTCAGCAAAATTAAGAACGTTTTTGTATCAAAAAATACTTTGAGTATTAAAGAATAAAAAGACGATCCACAGATCTGCAAGATACATGCGTGTAATGAAAAAGCTAATAAAAAACTTTATCTGATAAAGTTTTAATATTCAGAATATATAAAACAAATTTTTAACGCAACAATGAAAAGACAATTCAATTAAAAGACGGGCAACAGATGTGAATAGACATTTCTCCAAAGAAAGCATGCAAATGACCAATAAGTACAGGGAAAGGTGCTATACATCACTAATCATTAGGGAAATGCAAATAAAAACTGTGATGAGAGGTGAGATAGCAGTTCATTGGTATTAAGATGATTATAACAACAAAAAAGAAAAATTAGTGTTGGTGAAGATGTGGAGAAACTGGAACCTTCTGACAGTACTTTAGGATGGGAGTGTAAAGTGTGCAGCAGCTGTGGAAAACAATTTGAAGATTCCTCGGAAACCTAAACACAGAATTAACATATGACCCAGCAATGGCATTCTTAGATATGTATCTCATAGAATTGAAAACCATTGTTCAAAAAAAATTGTACAAGAATGTTTATAGCAACCTTATTCATAGTAGCTAAAAGGTGAAAACAATTCAAATATCTATCAATTGTTGAATGGATAAACAAAATGTGGTAGATCTGTACAACGGAACACTATTTAGCCATAAAATGAATGAAGTATTAACACATGTTACATCATGGATGAAGCTTGAAACATTATGCTAAATGAAAGAAGTCAGATGCAAAAGGCCACAAATTGTATGATTCCATTTATTTGAAATATTCAGAATAGTGAAATCCATAGAGACAACAAGCAGATTAGTAGTTTCCAGGGGCTGGGAGGAGGGAGGTATGAATGATGACTACTTCTTGGACACAGGGATTCTGTTTGGGATGATGAAATGTTCTAGAACTAGGTAGTGGTGATGTTGTTCGGCATCGTAATCATACTTAATGCTACTGAATTATACAAACTCCTGAGCTTAAGTGATACTCTTGCCTCCACCTCCCAAGTGGCTGGGGCCACAGGTGGATGCCACCATGCCTGCTTATAAAATTAATATTATTTATAATTGACAAATCATAAATTTATACATTTATGGGATACAATGTGATGTTTTGGGTGTTTTGATATCTGTATGCTATCTGTATGCAATGTGGAATTATTAAACTAAATTAATATCCATCAGTTGCTTACCATTTTTTTTTTGTGGTGAGACATTTGAAATTTACTCTCTAAGTTATTTTGAAATATACAGTATATTATTACTGACTATAGTCACCCTCCTGTGCAGTAGATCCTGACTGATTCCACATATCTAACTGAAACTTTGTACTTTTGACCAACAACTCCCCATTTTCCCCTCTCCCCAGCCTCTGGTAACTGTCATTCTGCTCTTATAAGTTTGACTTTTTTAGATTCCACATATAAATGAGATTATGTAGTATTTGTCTTTTCATGCCTGGTTTATTTAACTTAGCATAATGTCCTCCAGGTTCATCCACATTGTCACAAATAATAGAATTTCCTTCTTTTTTAGGGCTGAATAGTATTCCATTGTCCATGCAGTAGAATAAAGTTGGATTCTTATCTCACACCATATACAAAAATTAACTCAAAAAAATACTTAAATATAAGACCTGAAACTTTAAAACTACTAGAAGAAAACATAGAAGAAAGCTCCACAACTTTGGTCTGGCAATGGTTTTTTTGGATATGACTTTGAAAGCACAGGCAACAAAAGAAAAATAGACAAATGGGACCAAACCAAACCAAAAAGCTTCTGCACAGCAAACGAAATGATTAACAAAATAAAGAGACAATCTACAGAGTGAGAGAAAATACTTGTAAATCATATATCTGATAAGGGATTAATATCCAAAATATATAAGTAACCCAAGCAACTCAATAGCAAAAAAACAAATAACCCAATTAAAAAATGGGCAAATGACCTGAAAAGATATTTCTCAAAAGAACACATACAAATGAACAACAGGTTCATGAAAAAAAGCTCAACCTCACTAATCATTAGGGAAATGGAAACTAAAACCAAAATGAGTTATCACCTCATACCTGTTATAAGGGCTATTATTGAAAGATGAACAATAACAAGTGTTGGTAAGGATGCAGAGAAAAGGGAACTTTTATACACCGTTGGTGGGAATGTAAATTAGTAAAGTCAGTATGGAAAGCAATATAGGGGTTCTTCAAAACACTAAAAAAGAAATACCATATGACCTAGCTATCCCACTTCTGGTTATACATCAAAGGAATTGAAATCTGTATGTCAATGAAATATCTGCACTGCCATGTTTATTGCAGCCATATTCACGAAAGCTCTGCTTTTGTATGAATTTAAAGGCAAGGGATTGGCAAGTACAGTGTGGGCAGAAGAAGTACAAAAAATGCCTAAGAAGAAACCATCCATCTCTTCTAATACCCATTCCTTTTTGACAGGGTGGGGAGCAGGGTGCAGGGAGACTGTTTTCATGTGAATAGCATGTTTCAGTGTATAACAAGGACTTTCTGTTGTGCCATCAAGATTTAGACAAACACCAGATCTTGGTTTCAAATACCGTTTCTAAGTTGAACCAGAGACACTTCTTGGAGAAATGTCTTATTCCAGGGCTGGGTCAGGGAAAGTGAAAAAATGAACTTGGAACATCTGTTTGTTTCAGAAAATAAGAAAGTGCTCAAAAAGTGATATGAGTATTTCAAAAGGACACAGAAGCTGGTTTGAAGAGGCTCCAACTAGCCAAATCCGGAATAGTTAGAACATCAAAATAAATCTCGATAGGCACACATAGTCCATATTGATAATGAGCAAAATATTTTAAATAAGTTTAAAAACAAACAAGCATATAACTGAAGGATCAGGTAAAATACTCGCTTAGAGTAGAATACCAACGAGTAAGTGCAGAAAGAATAATGGATTAAGGAAACCACCACTTTCAACCACTGTAGTTATTCATCAAAGGATGCCAAAACTATTGGGTAAAAGTTTAATAGAGAATAGAATATTTACACAGTCCTCAAGTATCTCCCCACAGATTAATTATTAATTTCAAAGAAAAATGACAATTTTACACTGGAGCAAACGGGTGGTCAACATTTCAACAAGAGAACAGAGTTAATGCCATCAATTGTGGGATGAAGTGACATCAAGTGCCATCTCCTAATGTAAAGCACTAATAAGGACATATCAAAAAAGCATGACACAAGCCTAACCACATGGAAACATGAGACAAACCCAAACTGGGGAGCATTCTGGTCTCCAAACACGTCAATGTAATGAAAGACAAAGAAAGCCAGAGAAAGAGACATGCTGACCAAATGCAATGTGTGAACCTTAATTAGATCTTGAAGGAGAAATGCTATAAAGGACATTTGATGGTTCATTACATTTGTCAACTTGAGTGGGCCAAGAGATGCCCACAGACTTAGTAAAACATTTCTGGGCATGTCAGGGAGGGTGTTTCAAGATTAGATTGGCATTTGAATTGCAGACAGTAAAGAAGATTGCCCTCACCAATGTGGGCAGGGATCATCCTATCCATTGAAGGTGGAAATAGAACAAACTAGCAGAGGAAGAGCAAATTCTTTCTCTGTGTTTGAGCTAGGACATCCATCTTCTCCTGCCTTTGGACATTGGTGCTCCTGGTTTTGGGGCCTTCCTCTTTGAACTAGGACGTACACCAGCACTTCCCCCATTTCCACTACCACTCCCAGTCCTTTCCACTCTTTGGACTGAATTACGCCACCAGCTTTCCTGGTTCTCCAGCTTGCAGATGGCAGATGGTGGGACTTTTCAGCCTCCATAATCATGTGAGCTAATTCCCAAAATAAATCTCTGTGTGTGTGTGTGTGTGTGTGTGTGTGTGTGTGTATGTGTGTGTGTATTTTTCCATTGGTTCTGTTTCTCTGGAGAACCCTGACTGATACAGACAGTCTTGGTAAAATCTGAACGTGACTGATTATAGTAATATGTCAATGTTAAAATTTCTGAATTTCATCATTTTAACATGGCTATGTAAGATATAGTAATTCTTTTGTGTTTAGCAGATACATGCTGAAATATTTAGGGAGTGTTAGGGGTAAAGGATTATGGTAACTGCAATTTGCTCTCAGGTAGTTTAGTAATAATAATTATTCTATATCTATGAGAAATAAAGTAAACGTAGCAAGATAGTAGCAATTGGTGAGTTTAAGCAAAAGATATATAGTAGTACTTGCAACTGTCTTGTAAGTTTGAACTTTTTTCAAATAAAGTTAAATAAAAAACTTTATACCCTCACTCACTCCCAACATGCAATTCTCCCTTTCAGAATTCACTCTTGGGGAGACACAGCATGGTGAAGAGTGATGATATCATCTCTAAAGTATGTTCCAACAGTAAAAATTTTTTATTTATTTATTTTTCTTTTTTTTAGAGATGGGGTCTCGCTACATGACCCAAGCTGGTCTCAAACTCCTGGGCTCAAGCGATCAGCCTGCCTGGGCCTCCCACAGTGCTGGGATTACAGGCATGAGCCACCGTGCCAGGACAGGACTTTTGATTTCTATGTATCTGCATTTCTCTGTAATATCAGTCCTGATCCAATAAAACATACAAAGAAACATACTGATACCTTCAAAGCCACATATACAAACACTGTAAAGAGATCCCTTTGCCGGAAATTTTAAAAAGACCGATAGGCTGGGCCAAAGGGACAGTTTTGGGGAGATTGGTGATGATGAAGAAGTTTTGTCACCTTGAATTGTAGTCGGTCCTATTCTGAAATGCATGACTGGGGCCTGCTCAGCTGAGCCGGTGACTCCACAGCCTGAAGGAGCAGATGAGAGATGAAACAAAGAACGTGGTGGCAGTTCTCACAGTTGTGGCTAACACCCCATGACATGCCTGTCACTAACATTGTCAGAGGCTGCAGACTAAATGAATTGGGAAGAATTTCCTGGGATAGTCAACCTCTTACATGCTGGAAGGTACCATTCTGAGCATCTTATTTCTGTGACTAAAGACATATTACCAAGAGTTTCTGTGGAGATGCAGATTTAAACAGGAGATTGATGAATTTTGCCCGGCTGTTTGTGCACTTTATCCACTGTCAGTCAGTTTGATGTCAGCTGCTCAAATTTATGTCAAGGAAAGCCAAATTCTATTAATATTTTGTGTAGCTGAAAAATTACAGAAGAGTCCCCAAACAGATTAATAATTTTTGCATGAGAAATTTATATTTTGGGCAACTTCATTTACTCTGGGGAATTTATTATTCTTTAACACATGAGATAAGAAGATAGAAAACAAGAGGATTAGGCTGAGAGTGGGAGATTAAATAATTCATTTGACTGCACCACTCAGCCCTCCAAATTCTACTTTACTAGATATCAACGTTTGCTTTTTCTTTCAAAGCTTAGCTAATAATTAAGATTGCTATGGGAACATCAATTTGCTCCTTGGAATCTGCTGTTTCTCCCAGTTTAAGATTGAAACTGTTCTTGATAGTGCACCGATTCCTGCTTAATCAGAGTATATCACAAGCAAGTATGTGCCGGTGCATGTTTGGTTTGGTGGCACATTCACACACACATACACACAGAGACATTCCAACTTATAACAGAAAAATTAAGCCGAATGGTGGTTGTTGCTTATGTATGCTCAAGTAAACATTAGGATTTAGTGCTATTGTATGTGCTGTGGTCTACATTGTAAACACACATCAGGGATGAGAAGTTGGGTAGGCAGAACATACATTTCCTTCCTATTGTGAAAAAGGATTGCCTGAGCACCTGTCTGTCCTTATTAGGAAGAAGTCTGGCATTTTTAAGATCCCCCTCCACCGAAAACTTGTTGTTTAAGACATAGAAAGCTTGTGTACTTCAGTCCTTCTAAACACAATTGGAGAAAGAAACCAGCAGATGAGAACTGCTTGGGTGTCGCATCCTGGCAGATGCTTGTTGATCATTTCTGGAATGTCTTTTCTGAGAAGGGACCTACATAGCTAGGTGGGGTACCCTTGATGTGCCTCCAATTTTAGAGCTCATTTGTTTACACGCATATACCCAGACATTGCTCCAAATATGACCTTTAGGCCAGAGTATCTGAATTCAGAAGGATTTGTTATCTCAATCACACGCTGAAAAAAAATTTAATTCTTCTCTTCACCCTCAAGTTCTTATGTTGAATCAGGAAATTTTTTTTTCTTTTTTGAGACGGTGTCTTGCTTTGTTGCCCAGGCTGGAGTGCAGTGGGGCGATCTCTGCTCACTGCAAGCTCTGCCTCCCGGGTTCACGCCATTCTCCTGCCTCAGCCTCCCTAGTAGCTGGGACTACAGGCGGCCGCCACCATGCCCTGCTAATTTTTTGTATTTTTAGTAGAGAGGGGGTTTCACCGTGTTAGCCAGGCTGGTCTCGATCTCCTGACCTCGTGATCCGCCCACCTCGGCCTCCCAAAGTGCTGGGATTTGAGGCGTGAGCCACCGCGCCCAGCCAGGAAATATATTTTTAAAAGCCTCAAGTTTATATTGGTATTGACATTTCCAATTCAAATGTGATATTCAGTGGTTTTCTTATTTTCCTTACTTTGCCACTATCTTAGTCCATTCGGGCTACTATAGCAAAATGCCTTAGGCTGGGTAATTTATGAAGAAGAGAAATTTATTTCTTACAGTTCTGGAGGCTGGGAAGCCTAAGATCAAGGGCACTGGCGGATTTGGTGTCTGGTAAGGACCTGGTCTCTGCTTTCAAGATGGCGCCTTGTTGCCGTGTCCTCCCTGGAGGGGACCAAGGGTGTGTTCTCACATGGTGGAGGGGTAGAAGTGCAAAAGGGCCTAGCTAGCTCCCTCCAGCTCGTTTATAAGGGCACTGATCCATTCATGAAGATGGAGATTTCATGGACTAATCATTTCCTAAAGAACCCACCTCTTAACACTATTGTAACTGTATTAAATTTTAGCATGAATTTTGGACAGAGTGCAAACATTCAAACTATAGCAGAAACATACCTTTAAACATGTGAAAACTACAATTGTAATATTACTTTTAACAATATAACTACTGAGCGAAAGTTAGGATTTCTTTGCAATTTGTTTTGTTTCGTTCTTATACCCATAAATGATATATTTTCAGAGTATGGGGTTCAAAATATTATCTGTTAGGTCCATTTGTTTTAATACATTTCCAGTTTTAGAGTTTACTTTTGAAATTCTTTAAATTTGGTATTTGGAATATATAAAACATTTACATGATTCAAAGTAAAAATATTTCTAAAAGAGTTCCTCAGAAAGGTTCCATTTCCGTTCTGATTTCCCCCATTGTATCCCCCTCAACCAAGGCCCCTAATTTTTTATTTATTTCTTTCAGCATTTCTTGTTAGAAAACACACACATTCATATTCTTATTTTCTTCCTTTTCTTACACGAAGGCTAGCATACTATATACACCATTCTGCACCTTAAAAAAATGAGCTGTCCGTCTTGGAGATCAGTTAAATCAGTAAAAAGAGACATTTTTCATGACTGTATAGTACTTCATTGTGTGGGTGTCCCATAGACTATCTAACCACTACTCTACTGATTGACATTTGAGTTGTTTCCAATATTTTGCTATTATATCTAAGGCCTCAGTAAATAACTTTGTACACATGTTTCATACTTGTGGAGTTGCCTTTTCAGGGAAGATACCTGTAAGTGTGACTGTCGAAGAAAGGGCAAATGCATGTATTATTATGTATTGCCAAACATACATAAAAGTCACAGCATTTTGCATTCTCACTGACAATTGATAAGAGTGTCAGTTTCTTTATGGCTTAACGTACAGGGCACATTGTCAAGCATTTGGATTTTTTGCTAAAACTTTGGGGTTTGTTTTTCATGCACTAGCTTTATCCAGAGTCAGCAGGAGGAGCAACACCTCTTAATTCAGGGGCGTGCTAGAGCTGGCCAAAATTGACTCACAGAGTTTGTTGTCAAAATTTCAGAAATTTTACACTAGTTGCTAACCACAGCCATCATTAAAATCAAGCTATATAAACGTATAATTAAATATTAAAAACAAAGGCAATAAATGCTAAAAAAAATCATGGCTTCCTAATGATTTTACTCTATTTACTACTATCTATGTCCTTGAGCTAATTTACTCCTTTGCCTGTAAGGTGGAAACACGGGGTGAGAACCTACACACCTCTTTTCAATTATGCACTCAGGAACTTCACATTGGTAGCCTGAAACAAGCCATGGTGGGACTATTTACACCATGGAAATCGGCAAACACAACAAACCCAGGCTGTTTTCTTCTTTCCCAGAGAGCCGATTGTTAGCATTTACCAGCACACCACCGAACACTACTGAGGTTCTCACACAAAAAAAACTTCAGGGGAAGAATCTTTCCAAAGGTCCTCTATCTCAGAAAAAACAAAAAAAGCCCCACAAAAACAAAAAAACAAAATATTTCAACACCCAACATCTGATTAAAAAAAAAAATTAATGTGGGTGGGGTATGAGGCTTGTCAACTGTTTTCAGAGGTCTCCTTGATGAAGGCTGCATGTGGTCTAGCACTTCCTTTGGAAGGTGTTATCTCTTATCCCCTAGGTCTTCGGATGAAACTCACATTTAAAAGGCTGTTATATGAAAAGGACTACAGATGCTATTATGTTCATGTTGCATAATATGAACAATTTTAATTTGCATGTTTAATTCCATACAAAAATTGGCATAATCTGAAAGTCAATGAATATTAGAATTATGCCAACTGTTCCCTATTAATCAATTTTATGTGTGAATTCAACCTAAAACCCTCAACAGTTCTATTTTAGGCATATTGATAATACTGACCAAGCCTAAGTGCTCCAAATTTATTATACCTACTCATATTTATATCTGATTGCATTTGTATGTGCTTTAAAGGCATCATTTCCACTTTCGACATTCAACTCAGCTCAACCACATCAAATGCTAGTTTCAGGAGTCCATGTTCAGAGGTAATATTTTGTGCATATTGTAATAGCTGTATCATGCTGTCATGGCATGGATATTAGTTATTTCTATGGATAAATACCATATAAACTTAGAACATGGACCTGAGAAGCAAGAAATATATTAATAAATAATTTTAAATTTTAGATAAAATAACCCAAACCAGTGGACGTTATAGGGAAGAAAATGAAATCTGCAGGAAGATAAAATCAGAGGAGGAGGAATAATATAAGTTTAAATTAAAAAGGAATAAACATAATAAGAGTGACTTTGAAGTCCTTACCCTAGCATCCATGAAATAGGTGAGGGTCAGTTTTTAGGGTTTAGGAAGTCTGTGAATCTCCTGAAATTGTTCAAATATATGTGTTAATGTAATACCATGAATTTTTCAGAAGAGATTTTTCTTTGTTTTCACTGGATTCTCAGAGGGACTCCAATGACTCCCCAGTAGAAAGAGCCATGGTTTACTACCAATAGCATCACATTAAGACTTCTGAAATCTGAACTACTAAGTCATTCTTTAAATTGAACTATTCCCTTTAACCTCTCAGGCACCCGTGTTTTCACTTATGACCCAGTGTGAGCTCTAAGTTACCATCGTCCCATGGCATGCACAGGGTTGGGGCTTAGGGAGAAAATTAAGTTACACTATTCTTTTCCTGCAGAGTGTGGAATCATATGAAACATAAAACATGTGAGTAAAACAGATGGAAACCAAATTTCAATTTCATGAAAGCTGGATTGGAGAATATGATTTAGATCTACAGCCAAATGTACTTCATTTTACTGCTTTTCTGCTTGGTACATTAATATACCCACCAGAAAAGATATTTTACCCCTCTATAAACTTACTGCCTGGAGGAGCAGAGAATGTATGCATCCTGAGGGCACACTTTCCACAAAAGAGCAACTAGAAGGTACTGAACCAAGTGTCTTCAGGCCCTTTTAAAAAACAGCACCAAAAAGATAAATGAGACAGTTGATAGAGACTATTCTTTTCTTGGATGGTGGCGAGTGGGGAGGCATCAGTTTCTTGCTTTAGGAGACAAGGTGGCAATGCCAGGAGGAGTAAAAAAAGCACTGCCCTATAGACAGATGCCTCTTGGGCATACAAACCCAAAAGGCTGTCTAACAGAATAGCTTGAAAAAAGTCATTTGAGGCAGCTGAATGTGGGACATTTTATGCAAGTCTAAGAAAGTTTAATTTGATCAAACATAAGATGGTTACTTATTTTTTAAAATAAAACTTGATGTAACAAGAAGTGTTTTAGGTAGATTAAACTGTGACAATATTATACAATGTATTAGAGTAGTAACAATAGAAAGAAACAGGCACCAGGTGATAAAATTCATGATGTTAGATTCAAAGGTTTTAAATTTTTGGCAGCAGAAATTAAGATAATTATGGTGATTCCTTGAATGCAAAGAGTAAGAGAGTTACAGAGTGAGAAGAATCAAATGCTTCAGTCTTTAGACTATAAGGATTGAATAGCTGAGAAAGAAAGCTTTTGGGGATAGTGACCAACGATGAGAGGTTTTAATATTTCCATTTTTATTCGCTAAATTAAATTGGTGAATTGAGGTGAGTAACACATATTTTGCAAGTAATGAAACTGAAGCTAATATTAGTTACTACCTATGCAACATTATATTTTAATTTGGGATTTCCAAGTCAGCTCAGGACTCTGTGATTTATTTATTATTTATGCATTGATTGAAATTTATGATTTTTTTTTTTTTTTTGAGACAGAGTCTTACTCTGTCAGCCAGGCTGGAGTGCAGTGGCAGGATCTCAGCTCACTGCAACCTCTGTATCCCAGGCTCAAGCAATTCTCCTGCCTCAGCCTCCCAAGTAGCTGGGATTACAGGCGTGTGCCACCATGCCTGGCTAATTTTTGTATTTTTAGCCGAGATGGGGTTTCACCATGTTGGCCAGACTGGTCTCGAACTCCTGACCTCAGGTAATCCACCCGCCTCTGCCTCCCAAAGTGCTGGGATTACAGGCGTGAGCCACCTCGCATGGCCGAAATTTATGATACTTTACTAGCCATATGACAGTTGCCAATTTATGGCTTCTGCTCCACATTCACCCTTCAATTACCTTCTCCACTGTAATGAAGCATTTCTTTGCAGCAAGTACAATATCAAGCTTTGCCAGTAGAGGGAGCTGGAGGGAGATTGGAGAAAGAGAGAGCTTCCTAGTTCCACAGCTGCTGCTGCGGCTGGTGGTGTGCTGCTTTTCCATGGATTTATCAGCAGTATGTGTGTATATACTGGGATGGGGGTGCATTCAGTGATGCTCTACTCTTGCTGTGTGTCCAGACTGCACAATCATTTTGAAAAGTCCCAACTTGACTCTAGCCTGGTGACCACCTTACATGAACACCATGCACCCAAGACCTCCCAATGATGCCTTGCTGGTGACTGGGCTTTTCACTCCCTGACACACCCTTCGTACATTCACCTGCCAGCCTTAACCTCTGTGCAGTTTCTCTAGTGCTGGTCTCCTGCAGATGCTTTCTCCAGAGATCAGCTGTCGTAGCAGCGTAGTTTTCTCTAACCCTGGGATCCTTCAGGGTACATAAATTTTGCAATAGCACAGCTTTCTCCAGCTCTGGCTTCCTGAGGAGTTACCAGAGTAAGGGATTTTTCTTGCACTGGGCTCCTAAGGGCATGATTCCAGAAGTGTTCAGTGGCCAACAGAACCTCTTGGCACCTTAGAGGGCAGATTTTCAGCAAGAACCACTGGTGAGGTCCTTAAGGACTTCCCAGTATTCAGAGAGGTATGCATTTCAGGCTTGGAGGAGCCCTTCTGTGAGTTCCCTAGTCTTAAGGACATTGGTTTTCCCTTATATCTGTTGCTGTTGTGTTCTTAAGAATCCTCTTTAACTCTCACTAGCCAATTTTCCATTATTCCAATTCCATGCTAATAATTCTACGTTAAACTTTTCTTGCTCAGATTACTGTGTGGTTTCTGTCTGCTACCCGGACCCTAAGTGACAAACAGAGGCACTGACCTTGCAACCTCACTCATCTTTTATCATCCTCTGTCAGTGGCCATTCTGTTTTTCTGTATAAGATTGATTTTACTTTATAATGAGCTCTCCATACCTGAAAAAGAATAAGTGACTTTATTCTGAATTATGTAGATCCTGGAGATCCAACTCATTTATGGAGAATAGTTTCAAGCTGCTGACTTGAGTAGGAGAATTCTTCATGGAATAGAGCAAGAAATAGTGGATCTCAAAGGCAGGAATCTGACTTTTCCTTTGTCAGCAGGCAACTGGCACCAGCTTTTGTCTTTCTTTTCTCTATTTTCTCCTTTCTCGTTTTTATCGCGAGTAGGAAGGAACTGAAAGAATACTACAGGATTGGAATTAGACTGCATGGGACTGGGGGGATAGAATTAATTATGGCAAGCAGAATATTGCTGTTTTTTACGCAAATTCGAATTACTCCAATCAGAAATTGTGACCCGGAAGTGTGGGGTCCTAGGTTCTTATCTTCTGAGAGGAAAGAACTCAACCAAGAGACATGCAGTGATAGTTAAGCATTAGTAAAGTTTATTTAAAATGACAGGACCCCCTGAAATCTGGGTCAGAGTGGGCTGCTTGAGAATAAGACAGCCCAAATTATCACTGTGGAAGCTCCCTTATGGGAGTTTTACATGATTATTCATGAAAGGGGCATGAAGGGATGTTACTAGCAAGCATGTTTTGAGTGGTCCCTGAGATGTGCTTGTGCTGTGGCTGTACATGCCAGTACATATGTCAGTTGTCTCATTAGCATTTTAAATCTTCACCCAGGGGTGTGTTTTTTACTATTTTAATGAGCAAAAGGTTACTTTTAGGGTGAGCCAAATCAAAGTGCACATGCTTGCTACTGGGAAAAGTCCCTACTGAAGTCATTTCCTGCTAGGGCTGGATGAGCTTAACCCCAAGTTCAGATGTGGACATTGTTTTCTTCTGATTGCTAGTGGGGCAAGGTTTCCAGAGCTTGCTTCCTCTGAGACTGCCTTTCCTGCTCATGTTTGTCTGTCTACCTACTCTAACAAGGTTGGTAAGATAAACCCCCAGTGAGATTGCCTAAAAATGAATATGGGGGCACTTAATTGGCAAGCCAGTCTTCTCTTTTTTCCCTTCCATTTCCATACCCCACCACATCCTCTAAGCACTCAGTGTCTTCCGGGTGCTCAAATCTTTCAACACCATTCTGGTCTACTCATCCCTCTTGAAGTAATTTATTCTCCATGATGAATTTTCCTACTTCTTTTCACATCAATAAAAACTCCCAAGTATTGAGCTTGAATTAGCGTAGTGCTTTTTAACATTAATGAGTGAATAGAGCCTATACTTAATACCCTCAAAGTGGAGGTTTTCACCCAAATTAATCTTAATTGGTGGAATTTGGTAAGGGAGACAGTAGTAGGAATATACTGTTGAGAAGCGACCTGGTGATGTTTTTTGCTAGAAGCACAACATTTAGACTAGACTATGAATAGAAGCTCAACATTTAGGTTGAGCAAAAAACATCTCCTCCTTCTTCATCATACCCAGGCTGGATTTCTGAGGGAAAAAAACAAATCCATGAAAATTATTGGTAATTAGCTTGGAGCTGCATGCCACTAAAGCCCTTAGTAGTTACATGAGCAAATAAATGATACTATGATCCTTAGTAGTTACATGAGCAAATAAATGATGCTATGATACTATCATGCTTGGCTTGACAAAAAGAACACTAGAAATTATGAATTTTTAGGACATCTTTTGAGTTATGCATTTGACAAACATTTCTTCTGACAATCTTATTTATCATGCCAAGTTGGTAGATTCAAGTAATTATTTCTCTTTTCTTCGTACAATAAAGTAGTCAAAGAGTTAACTATGCTGCTCCAGATCATGGTCTATGAGGGTATCAAAAATGACTAGAATCTTCAGTCTTTCTATTTGATCACATTACTTTCTATCAGGGGATTTTACTTGGAATTTTTCACATGTGCAACCCATTTTTAAACTTGCAGGTTGGATTTGTGAACTAAGAAAAATAATAATTTGCATGGAAGAGATTTCAAATGCCTGTTGATGGGAAGAATTGCCTTAAAGTGGCATAGAGGATCTCAAGAGGGTTTCAAAGTCACATCACAAGGTGTTTTGATTCTTCTGAACATCAAATAATTTTCACAAAAAGAACATACTTTCAATCTGAAGGTAAAAGAAAGGAAGACAAAAAGCAAGGACTATTAGCAGAGCCTGCTCTAAAAGATGTTGAAAACAATAATAACAGAAAGATGGATTCATTCCGAATGTTTTAATCTGTATTTTAATATAATTGCACAGTGATTTCTCTCCTTATGTTGATTTGGCATATCCAAATTAACCAGGAGTTGGTTTTCTAATTACATACTTGAGGTTTAGAAGAGTGGTGTATATTGAAAAATTAAACAGCAAAATTTTCTAGCACCTTATACATTTGGATTTGCTAAATTAGTCCTGATTGGTTTTTTAAGAAATTCATTTTTATGAAGCAGTGTAGGATGGTTGATCAGTTAAGTTTTCTTCAGGCACAGATAAATAAGAAGCAGTGATTCCTTCATTCATTTATTCATGTATTAATTCTGGAATATCATATGGACATAGAAGAAAAGTGATCATATAACTTATTTCATCAGGCTTTTTATTTTTATTTTTCTTCCTTTTCTTAATTATATGTACATACTTTCCATAGAGTGGGGAATAAGCCTAATAAAGATTTAGGGGCTCAATACATCACTGAAGTTGTTAGGAGTCCAGTGGTCTGAAGCATAGCAAGAAATACTCTTACAGAATAAAAGACAAATTATTGCATTTTGTACTTTCCACCACTAAAATGGACCGATGGAGTTTTTGTTTGTTTTGAGACGGTGTTTCCCTCTGTCGCCCAGGCTGGCGTGCAGTGGCACGATCTCGGCTCACTGCAAACTCTGCCTCCCGGGTTCACGCTATTCTCCCACCTCAGCCTCCCGAGTAGCTGGGACTACAGGCACCCACCACCACGCCCTGCTAATTTTGTTTTTGTATTTTTAGTAGAGACAGGGTTTCACCGTGTTAGCCAGGATGGTCTGGATCTCCTGCCCTCGTGATCCACCCTCCTCGGCCTCCCAAAGTGCTGGGATTACGGGCGTGAGCCACTGTGCCTGGCCCTGATGGAGTTTTTGTTTTGTTTTTTTTTTTGTTTTCCATTCTGGGGGTAGCTTATTATTCCATACTTGGAAATACACCTTTAAGTCATGTAGTAAGTTAAAAGGACGGCTTCCTGCTTTAGTAATGTCTACAGCAGAAAAGAAGTCTGTGTCAGGTCCAGGCTGCAACACCAGTAATGCTACTACTTGGATGACATTGAGAGGTGAAGCCAGCTGAGCTTCTGGGTGGAGTGGGTACTTGGAGAACATTTCTGTCTAGGTAGAGGATTGTAAATGCACCAGTCAGCACTCTGTAAAAACGCACTAATCAGTGCTCTGTGGCTAGCTAAAGGATGGTAAATGCACCAATCAGCACTCTGTAAAAACGCACCAATCAGCACTCTGTGCCTAGCTAAAGGATTGTGAAGGCACCAGTCAGCACTCTGTAAAATGGACCAATCAGCACTCTGTAAAATGGACCAATCAGCACTCTGTAAAATGGACCAATCAGCAGGATGTGGGTGGGGCCAAATAAGGGAATAAAATTTGGCCATAGAGCCTGCTGTGGCAACCCACTAGGGTCCCCTTCCACACTGTGGTTGTTTTGTTCTTTCACTCTTCACAATAAATCTTGCTGTCGCTCACTCTGGGTCTGCACTATCTTTAAGAGCTGTAACATTCACTGCAACGGTCTGCAGATGAGGGTCTGTGGCTTCAGTCATCGAGGCCACGAACCCACTGGGAGGAACAAACAACTCTGGCGGTGCCACCTTTGAGAGATGCAACACTCACTGCGAAGGTCTGCAGCTTCATTCCTGAAGTCTGCAAGACCACGAACCCACTGGAAGGAAGAAACTCTGGACACATCTGAACATCTGAAGGAACAAACTCCGGACACGCCATCTTTAAGAGCTGTAATACCGCGAGGGTCCGCAGCTTCATTCTTGAAGTCAGCGAGACCAAGAACCCACCAGAAAAAAACAATTCCAGACACAATATGATCCAGCGTTAGAGGTGTCTTTGGTGGGAAAAAGACATTGTATGGAGTTCATAGAAAATGCCAAATAGGAGAATAATGATGAAGACACCTATAGTTCTACAGCAATCCATGTCATTTGCATCAGAGAGTTACACTTACAAAATAGTTCAAATAGGAGTACTATTTGACCATCTTAGATGTGAATAAGGAGTGCCTGACTTTGGGACTAGTGACCATAGACCCAGAGCTCCCCATCATGACCTGTGGGCTGTCAGAACCACCAAATCATAAGGCCAGGCAGCCTCAGCAGCAATATATTGTTTGATGGAAGTGATACCACTGAGATCTGGCATGAGCAGGGCCAGAGTGAACATTAATTTCTATTTGGTTAAAATGGGTAATTTTCTTAATGGCAGAACTGAGAAAATGCTAGTGGATGCGTATGACTTTTAAAATTGTAAATCCAAGGAGTTCAAGGAAAGAAAGAAAATGATCTGCCCAAATACTCCTTAATTACTGATACATTTTTTTCTTCTAGCTGCTGGTTGTGTTGGCATGACATTATTTTAAATATCCTTTGAGTAGCTTTTACAGTTTGGAAATTATCTTTCTTCTGAAATCTTGAAAGAACATACAAGTAAACCAGTGTGGGACAAGAATTTTTTTTTTAGAAAAAGTTTGGTATATATTCTAAACAGAATGAATCACTTGAAAACTATCCCTATCATAGAGAATAATTTAATATGTGAAAAAAGAAAACAATAAATCTAGTGGGATAGAAATTGGGAAAGTTTGCTGGTTAGAATAAAATCTAGCTTCACTTGAAAACATGTACACAATATATTTTTTCTTTTTCTTTTTTCAATAGACGGCATCTTGCTACGTTGCCCAGGCTGAACTTAAACTCCGGGGTTCAAGCAATCCTCTCACCTCAGCCTCCTCAGTAGCTGGGAGTGTAGGCAAGTGCCACTATCTCTGGATTACTTTTTTGATTTATCTTTTATATCACTTGTGTATTCTTTTATTTCTAGTATATTTGTTTGGGTTGTGATTTTATTCTTCCTTAATCAGATTTGATAATGTTTGGTCTGTCTTGTTTTTGTTTTTTCTTTCCAGAGACAAAGTCTCGCTCTTTCACTCAGGCTGGAGTACATTGGCATGAACATAGCTCACTGCAGCCTCCTGGGCACCTGGGCTTAAGTGATCCTTCCACCTTTGCCTCTCAAAGTGCTGGGATCGAAGGTGTGTGGCACCACACCTGGCAGGCCTGTTTGGTCTGTTTTACTGTCTCCTGCTCCACCTCTCTTCACCTCATACACTCCAATTATTAAGTTCTTGGTTTATTAATTATTATAATTTTTTCTGCTTTCTAAATTATTAATCAACCTTTTATTTTTTCTCCAGCTAAAGTATATGATTGCTTATTCTGTATTGGGCACTGTGCTTAAGATTTTACCTTTGTCACAGTAATTCATTTTTTTAATCTATTGATTTCATTGAGTTTGTTTTGCTTTTTCTTTTTTAAATTCTAGAGTTGAATACTTAATTTATTAAAAATGGCCTTTCTAATAAAATGCTATTGTTTAGTAAAATTACATCATGAAAACATTAAGAATGAATTACTGGTTGAACACAATTGTACAGATTTTAAATGGAAAATATTGTTTTGAGCAATATTTAAAATATTTAAAATATTACATCTGGAGGCACTTAGGAGTTAGCAAGAAGTAGACCTGCTCATTTAATATAAAACAATTTTCAACTGAAGAATTCCTTTTAAAAAATTTCATATGTAATTTTATACTCAATCAATAAAGGTTTTGAGAATAGGTCTCTTTTTTTTGTTTTGTGGTGGGGTGGGACAGAGTCTCGCTTTGTTGCCCAGGCTGGAGTGCAATGGTGCGATCTGGGCTCACTGCAACCTCCGCCTCATGGGTTCAAGCAATTCTCCTGCCTCAGCCTCCCAAGTAGCTGGGATTACAGGTGCCTGCCACCATGCCCAGCTAATTTTTGTATTTTTAGTGGAGACAGGGTTTTGCCATATTGGCCAGGCTGGTCTCGAACTCCTGACCTCAGGTGATCTGCCCCCCCTGGCCTCCCAAAGTGCTGGCATTACAGGCATGAGCCACCACCCCTGGCCTGAGAATACGTCTCTTTAATTGGAGCTCAGGTGAAGCCTTCAGAGCTCTGACTACTCAGCTCTGTTTTTTACTTCACCATTTCTATCTCAAAGACAACTTTCAGGGATGTTAGTGCTTTTTGGAACAGATGATCCTTAACTCCTTTCTTTATTTTATGCAGGTAGAAATGGAAAATCAAAGGTTTTTTTCTTGTTAAATGTTAATTACCACAAGCTGTTCTTAATCTGATTTTGGTTTTACCTATTTTCTATTTCTGGTGTGGTTTCTTTTATATCAAAATGTTTGAGGAGGCCGGGCACGGTGACTCACGCCTGTAATCCCAGCACTTAGGGAGGCCAAGGCAGGTGGATCTCGAGGTTAGGAGATGGAGACCATCCTGGCTAACACGGTGAAACCCCGTCTCTACTAAAAACACAAAAAATTAGCCGGGCATGGTGGCGGGCGCCTGCAGTCCCAGCTACTCGGGAGGCTGAGGCAGGAGGATGGCATGAAACCGGGAGGCAGAGCTTGCAGTGAGCCGAGATCACGCCACTGCACTCCAGCCTGGGCGACAAAGCAAGACTCTGTCTCAAAAAAAAAGAAAAAGAAAAAAGAAAAAAAAAGTTTGAGGAATTTCTGGCTGACTTTTGTTGTCCAGTTTGGGGACTTTAGAGAAGCTATTATGTCAAATATTGCTTAAATTACAAATTTTACAATTTTGCTTATAATTCCTCAGAGAGATAGTATCAATTTGCCATTTGGAATGCAGAATTTTTTTTTAATGCTGTCTCCTTTGAGTATACTTTAACCAAAACCAGTAGCCTGTTTCTATGGAAAATTAGTAATGATGGCTCCCCGACACACTTGTGTACAGGAAGATCATACATCATCATCATCATCATCATCGTTTTCATCATCATCACTGTTGTCACTATGGTAGTAACTTAAGCTGAAGTCCCATGTGACTCAGAATCTGCACAGAGTCACAGTCGAAGAAGCACTGTCCATCAAGTGAAAGTGGTTAAAAGGAAATGCCAATATTTATTTGCATTTCTTGAAGAGCATTAAAGGGTTTTCAATCGTTAACCCACAGCAACATAGATCTCAATACAACTCAAAAGCCTTTTCTTCTCCTAAAATATGCAATACATGATTGCTTTGATGTCTCTCAGACAACTGCTTCTCACTCTCCCTGAGGTTTTTCAGGGTTTGTTTCTTTATTTCTCTTTTATTTCTCTCTGGCATTGTTACTCTCCACCCCATGGCCCCCACCACTATTCTGAATCTATATCACAAAAGCCTGAGAATGGAGTAAGCAATGCTAGAATTCTTTAAAGGGTAAATTAAAGAAATGCAATGAAAAGAAAGCAAAGTGAAAGAAAGAAAAGAAAAAAGAAAAATCCCTTTTCCTTTAAAGGATTGGGAAGGAGAAACATGGGATAACTCATCGAAGAATGCATTTGCCCTTGTCACTTAAGTAGTTCAACACACATTAGCTCATTCAATCTTCATGGCAAGTTTATGAAGTAAATAATGTCATAATTTCTCTTTTGTTGTCAGGGTAACTAGGACTTGGAGAGATAAAATAATGTACTCAGGTCACCTAGCTAGTTAGTGAAAAAATAGAAGCTCTGTTTTTGGTCAATTTACTATGCAATTGTCTGAAGTTTCCAGATTTCATAAAATTTGATGTTATTTTCCAATTAATATTTTTTTCTTAGGATTCATTTTCCCTCTCCAGATCCAAGCCCTTAGAAGCTGACCTTTATTTAAAATGAATTTTTATCAGATCACTGATATTTATACATTAACCATTCCGATGAGTCCTTAATTTTGGAACCTGGCTTCTATAAAAAAAATTGCTTGAGCTATTCCAAAAATTTAAAATACGTTTTTACAGATCGGTACAACTGATTCTTCATGCAGCCATTAGAATATTTAAACTGATTGTGGTAAATTAGGTGGTGTGGGTTTCTTTTAGCAGTTAAGATTGATATGGAGAGATTCTAAAGGGTCTGTACACCAGCATGAGGGTATGTGCACATGCCTCAGTAATCCTTATATTAATATTGGAGTGTTGAGAAATAAAGGCAAGGCTTGGGGAGGATACAAAAAGATACTATCTTGCCATAGTATGAGATAAGAAAATTTATAATCTTCTAAAAGCAGGAAATTACAGCTGTAACCTCTGACATGGAGGAGGAACGAATGTAATCACTGTGGACATGTCAGCAACATCAAAAGGTTCTTTGGGGTAGGCACTACTATATTAATTGTGTAATAGGCATTATGCATTGCTGTAGTTCAATATGTGGTGTATTCCTTGACTTGTGAATTAGAGAAATTCTGTGCAGGTATGCATTAAAGTGTGCAGGTATGCATTAAAGTGTGCAGGGTATGACAAGAAATTGATGTTTGCTTCTATCTGTGTCTCTCAGGACCCTGGTATGCATGATGAAATCTGCTTTGAGGAATGTGAGCGTAGCACTCACTCATTATCCCAATCAATTATTTATCCAAGTTCATAACGAAAGTGAGATTAAACACTTCCATGAATGTGGGCAGACAAACTGGAAAATAATTTTTGAAAGGGGAAGTTCTATGATATCTTTACATCTAGGAAGGCACAGTGTCTTCAGCAGAGCTTTTGCTAGTTGCTGTTTCTGCAATCAAGAGTCTCTTGTTCTGAGTGCAATGAGGATGCTCTGCACAATCAACACTGGGTGATCAGTAACTTTCTATGTTTACAGGTCAGAAGGATAAAGACCATGTGTACTTCTGAAGGTGGGTGTATGGTATTCTTGGCAACCCCTTACTTAGTTCTTTACAGCTGACTTCTTAATCTGTGAAGGAAATGGGAAAAGCAACTAATATCTAGCTGCCTAGTATGTCTGGGTACTGTGTGGTGCTTTATGTGCACAACCTCATTTATTTTCCTAAGGACATGTGAAGTAGGTGTTACTATACCCACTTCCCAGATGAGGAAACAAAGGAGTCACCGTATCTCCTCCAGGTTCATACAGATAGTTAAAAGGCAGATAGGGGATTTGAATTCAGATTCACCTGACTTCTCAGCTTCTGCTAAACTAAACTGTGAAATTCCAAAGATCAGTTCTTCATATACACCCTAGGATGCCTTTCATGTGTTAAGTATCAAATATTTGTTAAACATTTGTGGCATTTCTGCAGGGGAAATGATTGGGTTTGTCAAACATTAAAATTTGTTAATGTAATCAAACTTTGTTTCTATTTACACAGTGTTTTAATTCGATCAGTTAGTTTTAAGTAAGAGAAGAATCTAATTGTTTTTCTCCTTTTCTTTTCAACCCTCGCAAAATAACAGAGTAAGCATACAACAAAAAGTAACATGGAGAAAATGAACAGGAGCTAATATCAGCTGCAGTTTTCATTGTGCGGACGGGGTATGTCTCAAAAATGTATATTTATTTATTCGTTATTATAAATTCAGGGGGTACATGTGCAGATTTGTTACATGAGTGTATTGTGTAATGCTGGGTTTGGGCTTCTAGTGAACCCATCACTCAAGTAGTGAACATAGTACCCAATAGACAGTTCTTCAACCCTTGCCTCTATTACTCCCTCCCTGCTTTTGATGTCCCCAGCATCTATTGTTTCCACTTTTATATGCTTGTGTACCATTGTTTACCTTCCACTTATAAATGAGAACATGTGGTATTTGAATTGCTGTTTCTGTGCTATTTAATTTAGGATAATGGCCTCTAGCTATGTCGCTGCAAAGGAAATGTCTCAATCTTTTTTATGGCTGCATAGTATTCCAGGATATATATATGTATACATATATATATCACATTTTCTTTATCCCATTCACCATGGCACCTATGTTGATTCCATGACTTGGAGCAGGTGTCTCTCTTTTTAAATTTGTTTATTTATAATTTTTGTGGTACATAGCAGGTATATGAATTTATAGGTTACATGAGACATTTTGGCACAGGCACGAAATGTGTAATAGTCACATCATGGAAAATTGGGTATCCATCCGCCTAAGCATTTAGTCTTTGTGTTACAAACAATCCAGTTATACTCCTTTAGTTATTTTAAAATGTAAAATTAAAGTATTATTGACTATAGTTATCTTGTTTTGCTATCAAATACTAGGTATTATTCATTGTTTCTAGCTACTTTTTTTGGTATCCATTAACCATGCTCAACTACCCCACCACCACCCCCAACTACCCTTCCTAGCCTCTGGTAACCCCATCCTTTTATTCTCTATCTCTATGAGTTCAATTGTTTTGAATTTTAAATCCCACAAATAAGTGAGAACATGTGATGTTCACTTTCCCTGCTTGGCTTATTTCACTTAACGTAATGATCTTCAGTTCCATCCATGTTGCTGCAAATGACAGGATCTATTTCTTTTTTATGGCTGACTGGTACACCACTGTGTATATGTACAAAAAGATATTTTATTCATTCATGCATCTGTTGATGGGTACTTAGATTGCTTCAAAATCTTGGCTATTGTGAACAGTGTGGCAACAAAGATGGAAATGCAGGTATCTCTTCAATATACTGATTTCCTTTCTTTTGGGAAGCAGTGGGATTGCTGGATTCTTTGGTAGTTCTGTCTTTAGTTTTTTAAGGAACTTCCAAACTGTCCTCCATAGCGGCTGTGCTAATTTACATTCCCATCAACAGTGTACAAGGGTTCACTTTTCTCCACATCCTTGCCCCCATTCGTCTTTTGCATATAAGCTGTTTTAACTGGGGTGAGTTGATATCTCCTTATAGTTTTGATTTGCATTTCTCTGATGATCAGTGATGGTGAGCACCTTTCCATATGCCTGTTTGTCATTTGTATGTCTTCTTTTGAGAAATGTCTTTCAAATCTTTTGCCCATTTTTTAATTGGATTATTAGTTTCTTTTTTCCTATAGAGTTGGTGGAGCTTCTTGTATATTCTGGTTATTAATCCCTTGTCAGATGGGTAGTTTGCAAATAATTTCTCCCATTCTGTGGGTTGTCTCTTCACTTTGTCTGTGTGTCTGTTTTTATGCCAGTACAATGCTGTTTTGATTACTGCAGTTCTGTAGTAAAATTCGAAGTCAGGTAATGTGATTCCTCCAATTTTTTTTTTCTTGAGATGGTTTGGCTATTCTGGGTCTTTTGTGATTCCGTGTAAATTTTGGGATTGTTTTTCCATTTCTGTGAAGAATGTCATTTGTATTTTAGTATGAATTGCATTGAATCTGCAGACTGCTTTGAATAGTGTGAGCATTTTAACAGTATTGATTCTTCCAATCTGTGAACATGAAATATCTTTCCAATTTTGTGTCTTGTTCAATTTCTTTCATCAGTGATTTATTGCTTTAATTGTAGAGATCTTTCAATTCTTTGGTTAAGTTAATTCCTAAGTACTTAATTTTATGTGTGCTATTTTAATTGGGATCACTTTTTAATTTCTTTTTTTAGATTGTTCACTGTTGGCATATAGAAATGCTACTGAATTTTGTATGTTGAATTTGTATCCTGCGACTTTACTGAATTTGTTCATTCATTCTAGTAGATTTTTGATGGAGTCTAGATTTTTCTAAATATCAGATTGCATCACCTGCAAACAATAATAATTTGATCATTTCCTTTCCAATTTGAGTGCACTTTATTTCCTTCTCTTATCTGATTGCTCTAAGTAGGACTTCCAGTACTATGTTATGTAACAGTGGTGAAAGTGGCTATCTTTGTCATGTTTCAGATCTTAGAGGAAAGGATTTCAGTTATTTCTCATTCAGTATGATACTAGCTGTGGGTCTGTAACATATAGCTTTTATTATGTTGAGGTATGTTCTTTCTATCCCCAGTTTTTTTAGAGTTTTTTTATTATGAAGGAATGCTGAACTTCATCAGATGCTTTTTGGCATCAATTGAAATGATCATGAGGTTTTGGTTCTTCATTCTTTTGATATGATGTGTTATATTGTTTGGTTTGCATATGTTGAACCATCGTTGCATTCCAGGGATAAATCTCACTTGGTCATGATGAATGACCTTTTTTTAAAAAAAAGTGTTTTTAATGTGTTGTTGAATTTGGTTTGCTAGTATTTTGTGAGGATTTTTGCATCAATGTTCATTAGAGATGTTGGTCCATATTTTTCTTTTCTTGATAGGTCTTTGGTTTTGGTATCAAGGTTATAGTGGCATTGTAGAATCAGTTTGGAAGTAGTCCCTCCTCCTCTATTTTTCTGGAGCAATTTGAGTAGGATTGGTATTAGTTCTTCTTTTTTTTTTTTATACTTTAAGTTTTAGGGTACATGTGCACATTGTGCAGGTTAGTTACATATGTATACATGTGCCATGCTGGTGCACTGCACCCACTAACTCGTCATCTAGCATTAGGTATATCTCCCAATGCTATCCCTCCCCCCTCCCC